>NC_000012.12:48710128-49960128 GCF_000001405.40 Homo sapiens
TGATCCACCCAACTCGGCCTCCCAAAGTGCTAGGATTACAGGCCTGAGTCAACACGCCCAGCCTCTAATACCTTTGTAATAAGAAAAACACACACACACATACAAAAATGCCTGAGGACTTGACAGGATATATAACATATCAATGCCACATTGATTATTAGGCCACATTTAATGTATTAAGTCCTCTCACATTTAAATTTGGATTCATCACAGCTAAACTTAGAATTAGTATGTTAAAAGGTGATATTAAATCTGGAATCTGTTGATTCCAAAATGTGCCTAAAATCAATCCTCTAAAAAGGATCAACAACTTCAAATTAATCAGTGGATTTTGAAAAAGGTCATGACATCCAAAAGAATATCCCTATACTAGCCAGGTGCAGTGGCCCATGCCTGCAATCCCAGCACTTTGGGAGACTGAGGTGGGAAGACAGCTTGAGGCCAGGAGTTTGAGACCAGCCTGGGCAACAGAGCGAGATCTCCCGTCTCTAAAAAATAAATATATATAAAAATGTTTGAAAGAATATCTCTATATTGGATAACTACCAGATCATCCATTCATTCAATAAGTTTACTGAAACTGCTTTAGAGAATATACAGAAAAGGGAATCTCTGTCCTTGTTAAGCTTAACAGATAAGAAATAAAAAGATATGGCCTGGCACAGTGGCTCATGGCTATAATTCCAGCACTTGGTAGGCCAAGGCGGGTGGATCGTGAGGTCAGGAATTCAAGACCAGGCTGGCCAAGATGGTGAAACCCCGTCTCTACTAAAAATACAAAAATCAGCTGGGTGTGGTGGCAGGCGCCTGTAATCCCAGCTACTCGGGAGGCTGAGACAGGAGAATTGCTGGAACCCAGGAGGCGGAGGTTGCAGTGAGCTGAGATCGCGCAGCCACTGCACTCCAGCCTGGGGGAAAGAGAGAGATTCCAGGTCTCAAAAAAATAAAAAAAGATATAACTTAAAAGATAAGGCTGGACGCGGTGGCTCACACCTGTAATCCCAGCACTCTGGAAGGATGAGGCGGGCAGATCATAAGGTCAACAGTTGAAGCCAAGCCTGGCCAACATAGTGAAACCCTGTCTATACTAAAAATACAAAAATTAGCTGGGTGTGGTGGCGGGTGCCTGTAGTCCCAGCTACTTGGGAGGTTGAGACAGGAGAATCGCTTGAACCTGGGAGGTGGAGGTTGCAGTGAGCTCAGATGGCGCCATTGCACTCCAGCCTGGGTGACAGAGTGAGACTCCATCTCAAAAATAAATAAATAAATATATAAATAAATAAAAGTTAAAAGGAGGGGAAAATATATATTAACCTATACATGAAGAGTGGACAAACTGATTTGAGAGTTTCTTTTTTTGATTTGAGATTCACTTCACCCCAAATTTCAAGTCTTTATCATAATAAAAGGGAAGAATTATAGAAAACCTTCAGAACTGGCAAAATGGCTAGGAATTTCCTCTTCAAATTTCACTTTTTAACTACTCACTACCTTCTATTCTGGTGCTATCAGATAGCCTCGTTAAATGCTAACAGGCTTCTCTCTCTTTTAATAAGAAGGATATACTCCTTGCAATCAGAGCCAGAGCAAAGCTCCAGGGCATGACTAGAGGTACAGGGGCTAAGGGCAGAAGAAAGCCAACCTGGGTGGATCATCAGCAAAAATCTTTTTCTTTTTGTTTTGAGACGGAGTCTCATTCTGTCGCCCAGGCTGGAGTGCAGTGGCACGATCTCGGCTCACTGCAAGCTCCACCTCCTGGGTTCATGCCATTCTCCTGTCTCAGCCTCCCGAGTAGCTGGGACTACAGGCGCCCACCGCCACGCCCGGCTAATTTTTTTTGTATTTTTAGTAGAGACGGGGTTTCACCATGTTAGCCAGGATGGTCTTGATCTGCTGACCTCGTGATCCGCCCATCTTGGCCTCCCAAAGTGCTGGGATTACAGGCGTTGAGCCACGGCACCTGGCCCACAAAAATCTTAATTCACAAATCCAAAAAGTTTCCTGTGCAGTTACTCCCAATACTGTTTCTGCCAGTTTCTTACATTTCAGGAGCTATGTCTAGCTTCATAAACTCTCTTTCTACAGCATTAAAAAAGTAATAATAAATCTGAAAACCCACCATTCTAAGGATACGAAATAAGCATCCTCAAAAGCATAATCTTTTTCTTTTTGAGATGGAGTTTCGCTCTTGTTGCCTAGGCTGAAGTGCAATAGCGATCTCGGCTCACCACAACCTCGGCCTCCCCAGTTCAAGTGATTGCCTCAGCCTCCTGAGTAGCTGGGATTACAGGCATGAAACTCCACGCCTGGCTAATTTTTGTATTAGTAGAGATGGGGTTTCTCCATGTTGGTCTCAAACTCCCGACCTCAGGTGATCCGCCCGCCTCAGCCTCCTAAAGTTGTGGGATTATAGGCTTAAGCCACCGTGCCCAGCAGGATAATCTTTTCCTTAAAAAAAAAAAAAAATAAAAAAAAAAAAAAAAAAAAAAAGCAGGGAAATACTTGACTCACAAATCCATTTGAAGTATACAGCCGGTGCAGTGGCTCACACCTGTAATCCCAACACTTTGGGAGGCTGAGGCGGGCAGATCACCTGAGGTCAGGAGTTCAAAACCAGCCTGGCCAACGTGGTGAAACCTCGTCTCTACTAAAAATACAAAAATTAGCCAGGTGTGGTGGCACATGCATGTAATCCCAGCTACTTGGGAGGCTGAGGAAAGAGGATTGCTTGAATCTGCGAGGCGGAGGTTGCAAAGGGCCAAGATCGTGCCATTGCACTCCATCCTGGGCAACAAGAGCGAAACTCCATCTCAAAAAAAAAAAAATCAATCCATATGAAGTACTCATCAAGTTTATCCCTATTACCTTGGCGTTTTATTAAGTAAATACAGTCCTTCCTAGAACTGGGATATCACTATGCATTCAATTCCAAGTCATTTATAATAATGTTAAATAGGACCATTTCAAATAGCTACACTGAAAAGATCACTATTTATAATTCTGTACAAAAAAATAAAATTTCTTTATTAGTATAATTTTATTCTTCCTGTTCTTTGTAAAATTTTTTTTACCTTTTTTTTTTTTTTTGTAGAAACGGGGTCTCACCGTGTTGCCCAGGCTGGTCTCCAACTCCTGGGCTCAATCAGTCCTCCCACCTGAACCTCCCAAGGTGCTGTGATTATACATAAGAATGAGCCACCATGCATAGCCTATTTTTCATGTTCTTAAAAGTCATTTTCCCAGTTATTATTACATAATGTGCTTTCCCCTCCAACTGCTGACTGGAATTTTATCAAAGGCTTTTGGAAAATCTAAGTAACTTACATTTACTTCTTTTGCTGTGACCATATTTTATAAACTACTTCAAAATTAATGCCAGGAATGGCGGCTCATGACTGTAATCCCAACATTTTAGAAGGCGGAGGCGGAAGGATCCCTTGAACCCTGGAGTTTGAGACCAGGCTGGACAACACAGGGAGACCCCATCTTCACAAAAAAAATTTTAAAAATTACCAGATATGTTGGCAAGCCTGTGGTCCCAGTTACTTGGGAGGCTACGGCAGGAGGACTGCTTGAGCCCAGAAGGTTAAGGCTGCAATGAGCCATAATCAAATCACTGCATTCCACCATGGACAACAGGGCAAGACCCTGCCTGTCTCCCTACCCCAGCAAGAAAAAGAAAGCTATACCTAAATTCCACATGATTTCCCCTTTAATGTTACTCCTCCAACCCCAAAATGTTGACTTTAGATGTCTGATAATCTGTTTTTTGGGGTTTTTTTTGAAGACAGGGTCTCACTCTGATGCCCAGGCTGGAGTGAAGCGACTCAATCTTGGCTCACTGCATCCTCAACTCCCTGAGTTCAAGCAATCCTCTTGCCAGCTGCTGGAGTAGCTGAGACCACAGATGCATACCACAACACCCAGCTACTTGCTTTTTGTTTTTGTTTTTGATATTTTGTAGAAATGAGGTCTCATTATGTTGCCCAGGCTGGTTTTGAACTCCTGGGCTCAAGTGATCCTCCCATCTCAGTCTCTCAAAGTGCTGGGATTACAGTTGTGAGCCACTGCACCCGGCCTAATCTACTTCTTTAGAGAATCGACATGGATATACTAAATCCACTAGACAAGTAGACACTTAACAGGAAAACTGAAAAGCTGGATTCAGAACAGCAACACAGCACATAATGGAAGTGATCAACCCTAAATTCTAAAGTTCAAGTTACAGTTCAGTAGCAAAGACCAACCACAAATGGAATAGGTAGGTGGAATCAATCACAAAAGGATTATATCATATAAAAAAATTATACTTACATTTCCAGGGAACTGTGTGAAGGACTGAATCATGTAGAATCGATGCA
The DNA here is from genome assembly GCF_000001405.40 of Homo sapiens. Taxonomy (NCBI): domain Eukaryota; kingdom Metazoa; phylum Chordata; class Mammalia; order Primates; family Hominidae; genus Homo; species Homo sapiens. The sequence continues at coordinate 48,714,490 of NC_000012.12, forward strand.
TGTATACTATAGCAGTGTTGATAGTCAATTGTGAGCTGAAGTGTTCAAGTTAAGATCCAAAAACAGGCAGGTATAATTCTGGAAAAGATAACCTCTATCTCCCTCCCAAAAGGATGAAATGGCCAAGCAAGTAGATACTACTAAATGAAAATCATACTTATCTCTCCAAATCAAAGAATATGTCTGTTTTCTTTCACCAAATTATTAATCGCCAACTGACACTTAGCACAATGCCTTACACATAACAAATATTTAATATAAATGTACTGAATGAATAAACAAACATCTCAGGATGTATGAATCTAGACAGATTTTTTTAAAAACTATATAAGGCGGCCAGGCGCGGTGGCTCACACTCTGTCGCCCACACTGGAGTGCGGTGGCACCATCTTGGCCCACTGAAACCTCTACCTCCCAAATTCAAGCGATTCTCCTGCCTCAGCTTCCCCAGTAGCTGAGATTACAGGCGCCCACCAACAGACCTGGCTACTTTTTGTATTTTTAGTAGAGACATGGTTTCACCATGTTGGCCAGGCTGGTCTTGAACTCCTGGCCTCAACTGATCGACCTGCCTTGGCCTCCGAAAGTGCTGGTATTACAGGCGCGAGCCACCGCGCCTGGCTGACAACCTTAATGACAACACACATACAAAAAGGAAAGCATTTTAAGGATGCACTGAAATAGAATTTCGAACAAAAAGATTTAACTCCATACTGACAGGATGCTTAGGAAACAAACCTGGACATCAGCAGGAAACAAACTGGCGATAAAACAGACACCCATTTTGAGATGAACACACCCTTAAGATACACACATTACTGTCAGCCACACATTTAAATAGAAGCTGCACCCAAGAAAATTTTCACACGCAGAGTGGAAAGAAATTTAAAACTATACTAGTTTTCTCCACCATAAAATAAGTGTATTTCCTAACAAACAAAAATATGTGGGAGAGGTTACCTCATTTTTTTTTTAATTTTTTTTTTCTGAGACGGAGTTTCACTATTGTTGCCCAAGCTGGAGTGCAGTGGCGCCATCTCGGCTAACTGCAACCTCCGCCTCCCGGGTTCAAGCGATTTTCCTGCGTCGGCCTCCTGACTAGCTGGGATTACAGCTGCCCGCCACTACGCCGGGGTAATTTTTTGTATTTTTAGTAGAGACAGGGGTTTAATCATGTTGGCCAGGCTGGTCTCGAACTCCTGACCTCAGGTGATCCACCCGCCTCGGCCTCCCAAAGTGCAGAGATTACAGGCGTGAGCCACCGCATCCAGCCGTTACCTCATTTTTGAAAATGAAATACATATCATCACTCTAAGTAAGTTAAGGACCCGGTATTTTGTAAACTATTTAAAACATTAGATTCGTGGGTATCCCCTACAAACGTAAACTAACATCTTTCCTCTGAAATTCTATAAAACAGTAGCTACTAACTGAGCATCTGAATGCAAAGCACTGTGCTGGACACAGAATCAAACACAAGAGGTATTATCCCATTTTATAGACAAGACGGCCAAAAATTTGAGAGGTCACTTAAACAGCTAGTAGATGAGGAATGGATTTTGGACCAAGGCTGAGGCATTAATTCTAGTCCACCCTTTATAACACTTTCAGGTACTGAATTTCTCGAAATTTACACACTAGGTTTGGGAGGCAGCCGTCAACAGAGAAACCTCTGCCAGACCTAGACCCCTAGGGCACAGCGGAAAATGAGAATCTTAACGTCACCAGAGCAGATCAGAACACAATGAAGACAGAGTTGGAAGGGCTGGTTAAAACACAAAGCCGGGAAGGATACGAATTCCCAGCAAGGCTGGCGGCACGGGTGAGCGAGCGGGAAATCAACTCTGCCTCGCTTCCCTAGCGCTAACTGAGTTTCAGCCCGCCCCATCGTGGGCTCTCCCAACTAGACATCCAGCTTCTGCCCACCTTCTTCCCCACTTTCGTCCCCCCCACAGAGCCTGAGACCCGGACGCCAGAGCATGGCGGGACCAACTCCAAGGCCGAAGGCCTAGGCCACAAGGATACACGTTAAGACGCTGCCCCATGTCCTGAAGCAGATTGGCCGCCTGCTGGCGATAAGAAAGTTCTTTATCTGGGTCCACGCCAAAACGACGGGATGGGCTATTTTCCAGCTGTTCTCGAGTGAAATACCACCGTTTGTTGTTGTTCTTCCTCTCTCCCTCCATAGTGCTTCAACCAGAAGGCAGCGGCGAAGGCTGCAGGCACTTCCCAGCGTCACCTAAGAGGCGACCCACATCCGCTGTGCGGGGGCAACTGCGACTTGACGAACTTCCGCTAAGCGTCGACCGCCGGGTTGTTACTTGCCTCCGTAGAGGAAGCAAAAGTCAAAGGACCTACTTCCGGAATGCACCTCGCTACACCCCGTAGCCGAGTTAACAGCCAATATGCGACCAGAAAAAACCTTGAGGCGAGGACGCAGGCGCGTCACGTGACCGTTGGGCGGTGGAGTGGGGTTAGAAGTTCTTTCTTAAAAACCGTGTATCTTCCCGCGAGAACCGGATTGAGCGTTGGCGCCCCGGGTCAGGCTGCGAGGCCGCAATTATAGTGGGATGGGGCGGCCGCCCACGCGCCGCTTGGCGGTTCTTACGAGAACTTTGTTTGTGACGGCAGTGGTGATGTAAAATGGGGCAGATGGGCCGGGCGCGGTGGTTCACGCCTGTAATCCCAGCACTTTGGGAGCCCGAAGCGGGCGGATCACGAGGTCAGGAGTTCGAGACCAGCCTGGCCAATATGGTGAAACCCCCGTCTCTACTAAAAATACAAAATTAGCCGGCGTGGTGTCGCGCGCCTGTAGTCCCAGCTACTCGGGAAGCTGAGGCAGGAGAATCGCTTGAACCCGGGAGGCGGAGATCGCAGTGAGCCGAGATCACGCCACTGCACCCCAGCCTCCAGCCTGGGTGAGAAAGCGAGACTCCGTCTCAAAAAAATAAAATAAGTAAAAATGTGGCAGATGAACTTGAAAGAGAAAGTAGGTGAGGCTGTCAGAAACTGAAAAACAGAATCAAATGGTGGGGCTCTTTCGTATATCGGAGCATAAAGCAACTAGAAGGCTGTTACATTGTTGGTAGCAATGTAAAATGCGACAACCCATTTGGAGAGGTCGCTTTAATGTGTAGCCAAAGGCATGAAAACATTCTCACGTTGTTCGCCAGTGATCCAACTTAAAGGAATAAAATGAAATTAATAACATTAATTAAGAGCTTACATGTCCCAGGCACAATACTGACTTAAATATACTGTTTCATTTATTCAGCACAACTCTAAGAGGTAATTTTTAAGTACGTTTGCGAATGGGTGAACTAAAACTGCCCCTTGAGTGTGGAAAGCCTCCACCACTACCCCTCACTTGCACAGATTAGCAAGTTCTTGCCCTCTGTCAAAATATTTCCCAGCTCCTTTGCCGGGCGCGGTGGCTCAAGCCTATAATCCCAGCACTTTGGGAGGCCAAGGCGGGTGGATCACCTGAAGTCGGGAGTTCGAGACCAGCCTGGCCAACATGGTGAAACCTCATCTCTACTGAAAATACAAAAATTAGCCAGGCGTGGTGGCGCACGCCTGTACTCCCAGCTACTCGGGAGGCTGAGGCAGGAGAATCATTTGAACCCGGGAGGCAGAAGTTGCAGTGGGCCGAAATCGCGCCACTGCACTCCAGCCTGGGCAACATTGCGAGACTCCTTCTCAAAAAAAAAAAAAAAAAAAAAGATACATCCCAGCTCCAGCCTCTGATAACTGTTTGGTGCTGGGCAAGATAGTTAACTTCTCTATGCCTCTTTTCTGTGATAATACCTATGTTTTAGATAGTGAAAGGGAGTAAAGATTTAATGAGTAAAAAGTATTTATAATAGTACCTAGTACTTAGAAAATATTCAGTAGCCCTTATTGTTATAATATTTGTTACATTGTATTGAAATTGAAGGCAAGAGCAATGCCTTCATTTTTGTATGGCACTTACCTAGTAAAGCCCTGGCCCTAGTAAATAGTCCATAAATCTTTGTCAGATAAATGTGCAAAACACCCACAATACAGAAACTGAGGCTTTGGGAGTTTGCCCTCACTACACCACTAATAAGTGTAGATCTTAAATCTAATTCCATTGATCTTTCCATTCACGCAAGCTGTATTCCTGCTTTTCTGGAACCATATTCAGTTTACCTTGATTAAATATGGGTAATTTTAGATAGATTTGGATAATATTAGAATCCTTCATCTTGCTTTGATAATATTTTGGGTTTTGTCATTTCTAGGCATGGGTGATCTTACTATGCTTGATTGTCATTCATTCTCAGAAGTATTTCTTTCCATTCAGGTCACCTCTGCCATATACTGCCTGTAGTTAGTATTAGCTCCATTTTACCCTGGAGAAATTGAGGTTCAGGAAGATTTAAATGACTTACTTCTAGTTATAAAGTAAAAGAACTTGGGATTTCAAATTTCTTCCCTCACAGACTCTTTACTATTAAGAGAATAAGCACTTACAAAATAGATTTTTTAGTAGAATAAGCACTTTTTCAGTTATGTAGTCATGTATGTTATCTTTTGAACAGCTGTGTTAGTCCATTTTCACGCTGCTGATAAAGACAAACCCAAGACTGGGCAATTTACAAAGGAAAGAAGTTTAATGGAGAACTCACAGTTCCACGTGGCTGGGGAAGCCTCACAATCATGGCGGAAGGCAAGGAGGAGCAAGTGACATCTTACATGGATGACAGCAGGCAAACAGAGAGCTTGTGCAGGCAAACTCCCATTTTTTTAAAACCATCAGATCTCATGAGACTCATTCACTATCATGAGAACAGCACAGGAAAGACCCACCCCCATAATTCAATCACCTCCCACCGGGTTCCTCCTACCATATGTGGAAATTGTGGGAGTTGCAATTCAAGATGAGATTTGGGTAGGGACACAGTGCCAAACCATATCATTCCGCCCCCAGCCCCTCCCAAATCTCATGTCCTCACATTTCAAAATACAGTCATGCCTTCCCCACAGTCCCCCAAAGTCTCAACTCATTTCAGCATTAACTCAGAAGTCCACAGTCCAAAGTCTCATCCGAGACAAGCAAGTTCCTTCCACCTATGAGCCTGTAAAATCAAAAGCAAGTTAGTTACTTCATAGATACAATGGTGGTACAGGCATTGGGTAAATACAACCATGCCAAATGGGAGAAATTGGCCAAAACAAAGGGGCTACAGGCCCCATGCAAGTCCGAAATCCAGCAGGGCAGTCGAATCTTAAAACTCCAAGATGATCCCCTTTGACTCCCTGTCTCACATCCAGGTCACACTGATCCAAGAGGTGGGTCCCCATGGTCTTGGGCATCTCTGCCCCTGTGGCTTTGAAGGGTACAGCCTCCCTCCTATCTCCCTTTCCAGGCTGGCATTGACTGTTTGTGGCTTTTCCAGGTAAATGGTGCAAGCTGTCAATGGAGCTACCATTCTGGGATCCGGAGGACCATGGCCCTCTTCTCACAGCTCCATGAGGCAGTGGCCCAGTAGGGATTCTGTGTGGGGGCTCCAACCCCACATTTCTCTTCCACACTGCCCTAGCAGAGATTCTCCATGAGTGCCCTGCCCCTGCAACAAACTTCTGCCTGGGCATCCAGATGTTTCCATACATCTTCTGAAATCTAGGCGGAGGTTCCCAAAGCCCAATTCCTGACTTCTGTGCACTCACAGGCTCAACACCATGTGGAAGCTGCCAAGGCTTGGGGCTTGCACCTCTGAAATCACAGCCCAAGCTCTGTGTTGGCCACTTTCAGCCATGGCTGGAGTGGCTGGGATGCAGGGCACCAACTCCCTAGGTGGCACACAGCACACATGGGGACCTTGGGCCTGGCCCACGAAGCCATTTTCTCCTAGACCTCTGGGCCTGTGATGGGAGGGGCTGCCATGAAGGCCTCTGACATGCCCTGGAGACATTTTCCCCATTGTCTTGGGTATTAACATTCAGCTTCTCTTTAGTTATGCAGATTTCCTCAGAAAATGGGTTTTTCTTTTCTATCACGTCAGGCTGCAAATTTTTCAAACATTTATGTTCTGCTTCCCTTATAAAACTGAATGCTTTTAACAGCACCCAAGTCACCTCTTGAATGCTTTGCTGGTTAGAAATTTCTTCGGCCAGACACCCTAAATCATCTCTCTCAAGTTCAAAATTCCACAAATCTCTAGGATGGGCAAAATGCTGCCAGTCTGTTTGCTAAAATATAACAAGAGTCACCTTTGCTCCAGTTCCCGACAAGTTCCTCATATCCATCTGATACCACCTCAGCCTGGACCTTATTGTCTATATCACTATCAGGCTTTTGGTCAAAGCCATTCAACAAGTCTCTAGGAAGTTTGAAAATTTCCCACATTTTCCTCTCTTCTTCTGAGCCCTCTAAACTGTTTCAACTTCTGCCTGTTACCCAGTTCCAAAGTCACTTCCACATTTTTGGGTATCTTTTCATCAACACCCCACTCCTGGTACCAATTTACTGTATTAGTCCATTTTCACACTGCTGATAAAGACACACCCAAGACTGGGCAATTTACAAAGGAAAGAGGTTTAATGGAGAACTCACAATTCCACATGGCTGAAGGCAAGGAGGAGCAAGTCACATTTTAAGTGGATGGTGGCAGGCAAAGAGAGAGCTTGTGCAGGCAAACTCCCATTTTTTAAAAACAATCAGATCTCGTGAGACTCATTAACTATCATGATAACAGTGCAGGAAAGACTTGCCCCATAATTCGATCACCTCCCACCAGTTTCCTCCCACGACATGTGGGAATTGTGGGAGTTACAATTCAAGATGAGATTTGGGTGGGGACATAGAACCAAACCATATCAATAGCCAAGATCATTTATTCCAGATTCCTGTTGTCTAATTTTCTGACCTGTGCTTGGTTCTCCACTTAATCTCTTGGATTAATGACTCCATATTGAGTCTGCTATCTTGGTTAAGTATGCCACTCTTTAGGGCATACATTAACCTTTAGATACATTACTCTTAAAGAATAATTGACAAAATCCTAAACCAGAGGAATTTTCCTTTTTTAAAAAATGTAAATATTACTCCATTTCTTTTAAGCCATACCTATAGGGCTACTCCTCCTATTTACTAGAGACTAGTCTTGTTCTGGGTATAGGATTCTACCATATTTCATGGTGTTTTGGGTTTGTCTGTTTTTTTGTTTTGTTTTTTGGATGGAGTTTCACTCTTGTTGCGCAGGCTGGAATGCAATGGTGTGATCTTGGCTCACTGCAACCTTGACCTCCTGGGTTCAAGCAATTATCCTGCCTCAGCCTCCTGAGTAGCTGGGATTACAGGCATGTGCCACCATGCTCAGCTAATTTTGTATTTTTAGTAGAGACGGGGTTTCTACATGTTGGTCAGTCTGGTCTTAAACTCCCGACCTCAGGTGATCCACCCACCTCAGCCTCCCAAAGTGCTGGATTACAGGTGTGAGCCACCGCACCTGGCCGAAGTTTTGTTTTTATTATTTTTAAATTTTTATTTTTTCTGTGAAACAGCTTCAGAAGGTCCTAAGAATGTGCGCCCCTCTTTTTTTTTTAGAGATGGGATCTTGCTATGTTGGCCAGGCTGGATTCAAACTCCTAGGCTCAAGTGGTCCTCCCACCTCAGCCTGCCAAATATCTAGGACAACAGGCACATGCCACCACATCCAATTAGATAATAGCTTTTAAATACTGGAACAATATGTCAAATTTTTGTGCTAGCAACAATGTAACAATGTAATGGCTTTAGACATGACATACTTTTTTTTTTTTCTGAGACAGACTCTCACTTTGTCACCCAGGCTGCAGTGCAGTGGCACAATCTCGGTTCCCTGCAACCTCACCTCCCAGACTCAAGCAATTCTCCTGCCTCAGCCTTCTGAGTAGCTGGGATTACAGGCCTACACCAACACACCTGGCCAATTTTTGTATTTTTAGTAGAGATGGGGTTTCACCATGTTGCCCAGGGTGGTCTTGAATTCCTGGCCTCAGGGGATCCAACCACCTCGGCCTCCCAAAGTGCAGGGATTACAGGCGTAAGCAACCACGCCCAGCCAGACATGATACAGGCTTTAAAACTTAATCTGAATTATTAACATTTTCTCTATCACTTCCTTAAGTTCAGACAATCAACTAAATGAATAAATCAAGCTTTGTTTGTAACATTTGCCAATTTCTGTGATATAAATCCTCCCACCATGCCTGATTTCAATATGCCCATATGACATCACTGATCATAAAATTGGGAAAAGAGGCACACACCATCACATATTATTTTCTCCAGACAGATAAAATAGATAGGGCGTTCCAGTTTCCAGTCTGACAGGTAAAGAGCTTGGAAGTCATCACTCCCATTTTCACAAGAAGGAAAAAGCCAAACAAACTGAAACTTAACAACCCTTCTTAGACCCTTCAGAGAATCAAGGTTCCAGGGCCAACCTTCACCCCAAAATCTGGAGAAACATTTGGACTCAAAATAGGTGGAACACAGAATCATGACTTAGTTGGAAGAAAAGCTACTACTGGAACCAGCAACTGGTAGAAATACTTATAGGGCAATTGACTAATTGCTGGAGACTGAACATGGACTAGCTTGAGATATTTTTTAAAACTCCTAGAGACCCAGTGTTAAGCAGTCCCCCACATTTTTGTGAGTTTTGCTTCCAACAGGGAGAGAGAGAAGTTAGCCATTTTGAAATACACCCAGAGCATTCTGTGCTCCTTAACAAAGGCCTGCCTTCAAGGGAAACTGTTGAACAGAGCCTAACCAATGTGGGAGAAAGGATATACCCAACAGAAGCCTCCTCTTGTCTTCCTGTTTCATGTGAGAGAGGGAAAAAATGATACAGTTGTGAAGGTTACAGCCCAGGGATACACGTGCAATAAAAGACAGACCTAATAATAGAATTATGGAATCCTTTCCCCCCATCCACCTTAATAGGGCTCCTGTATAATAATGGGATTACAACTGAAAAAAACTGCAAGGCCCAGACCCTATTTCAGGAAGAGTCTCTAAGGAAAGTCAAAGAGCAAGGGAGGCAAAAACAAGGACACCAGAGGAAATTTTAGCATCTAACACGTACAGCTATAGCAAACAGTAAACACAACCTAATTCCTAGCCATATAAACTCAAAACCTGACCCTTACCCAATACATAATGTCCAACTTAAAACAATTATATGGCATGCTAAAATGTAAACAAACTATATATATATAATATATAATATGTATATATATATATAATGTGTGTGTGTATATATATATGTATATATATATATATATATATATATATATACATATATATATATAAAATCTAGAAAGACAAAGCAAGGCCAGGAGCAATGGCTCACGCCTGTAATCCCAGCATTTTGGGAGGCTGACGTGGGTGGATCACCTGAGGTCAGGAGTTCGAGACCAGCCTGGCCAACATGGCAAAACCCCATCTCTACTAAAAATACAAAAATTAGTTAGGCAATCGGCAGGCATATCACGAGGTCAAGAGATCGAGACCAGTCCCTCTCCCTCTCCCTCTCCCTCTCCCCACGGTCTCCCTCTCCCTCTCCCCACGGTCTCCCTCTCCCTCTCTTTCCACGGTCTCCCTCTGATGGCAAGCCGAAGCTGGACTGTACTGCTGCCATCTCAGCTCACTGCAACCTCCCTGCCTGATTCTCCTGCCTCAGCCTGCCGAGTGCCTGCGATTGCAGGCGCGCGCCACCACACCTGACTGGTTTTCGTATTTTTTTGGTGGAGACGGGGTTTCGCTGTGTTGGCCAGTCTGGTCTCCAGCTCCTAACCGCGAGTGATCTGCCAGCCTCGGCCTCCCGAGGTGCCGGGATTGCAGACGGAGTCTCGTTCACTCAGTGCTCAATGGTGCCCAGGCTGGAGTGCAGTGGCGTGATCTCGGCTCGCTACAACCTCCACCTCCCAGCCACCTGCCTTGGCCTCCCAAAGTGCCAAGATTGCAGCCTCTGCCCGGCCACCACCCCGTCTGGGAAGTGAGGAGCGTCTCTGCCTGGCCGCCCATCATCTGGGATGTGAGGAGCCTCTCTGCCTGGCTGCCCAGTCTGGAAAGTGAGGAGCGTCTCTGCCCGGCCGCCATCCCATCTAGGAAGTGAGGAGCCTCTCTGCCCGGCCGCCCATCCTCTGAGATGTGGGGAGCGCCTCTGCCCCGCCGCCCCGTCTGGGATGTGAGGAGCGCCTCTGCCCGGCCGCCCCGTCTGAGAAGTGAGGAGACCCTCTGCCCGGCAACCACCCCGTCTGAGAAGTGAGGAGCCCCTCCGCCCGGCAGCCACCCCTTCTGAGAAGTGAGGAGCCCCTCCACCCGGCAGCCACCCCGTCTGGGAAGTGAGGAGCGTCTCCGCCCGGCAGCCACCCCGTCCGGGAGGGAGGTGGGGGGTCAGCCCCCACCAGGCCAGCCGCCCCGTCCGGGAGGGAGGTGGGGGGGTCAGCCCCCCGCCTGGCCAGCCGCCCCACCCGGGAGGTGAGGGGCGCCTCTGCCCGGCCGCCCCTGCTGGGAGGTGAGGAGCCCCTCTGCCCGGCCACCACCCCATCTGGGAGGTGTACCCAACAGCTCATTGAGAACGGGCCGTGATGACAATGGCGGTTTTGTGGAATAGAAAGGGGGGAAAGGTGGGGAAAAGATTGAGAAATCGGATGGTTGCCATGTCTGTGTAGAAAGAGGTAGACATGGGAGACTTTTCATTTTGTTCTGTACTAAGAAAAATTCTTCTGCCTTGGGATCCTGTTGATCTGTGACCTTACCCCCAACCCTGTGCTCTCTGAAACATGTGCTGTGTCCACTCAGGGTTAAATGGATTAAGGGCGGTACAAGATGTGCTTTGTTAAACAGATGCTTGAAGGCAGCATGCTCGTTAAGAGTCATCACCACTCCCTAATCTCAAGTACCCAGGGACACAAACACTGAGGAAGGCCGCAGGGTCCTCTGCCTAGGAAAACCAGAGACCTTTGTTCACTTGTTTATCTGCTGACCTTCCCTCCACTATTGTCCTATGACCCTGCCAAATCCCCCTCTGCGAGAAACACCCAAGAATGATCAATAAAAAAATAAAAATAAAAAAATAAAATAAAAAATTAGTTAGGCAAGGTGGCAGACACCTGTAATCCCAGCTACTCAGGGGGCTGAGGCAGAAGAATTGCTTGAACCCAGGAGGCGGAGGTTGCAGTGAGCTGAAAACGTGCCCCTGCACTCCAGCCTGGGCGACAGAGTGAGACTCCATCTCAAAAAAGACAAATCAAGCATCAGAACCAGACTCACATATGGCAGAAATTTTGGAATTATCAGACTGAGATTTTAAAATAACTATTAACATGTTAAGGACACTAATGGAAAAAGAGGACAACATTCAAGAACAAAGGATGGAAAAAGAGGACAACATTCAAGAACAAAGGGCAACGTAAGCAGAGAGATGAAAACTCTAAAGAATCAAAAGGAAATGCTAGAAATAAAAAACACTGTAACAGAAATGCAGAATGCCTTTGGTGGGCTCATCAGTAGACTGGGCATGACAAAGGAAAAAAATCAGTGAGCTTGAAAATATGTCAATAGGAAACTTCCCAAACGGAAAAACAAAGAGAAAAACGAATGAAAAAAGAGTGGAATATCCAGATGCAATGGAAGTAAATAAACTCATGAGCATAGATAAGAGTAAAATAATCAGGAAGAGATGACTTGTTAGTATTTACTACTTTTATTTTATTTTATGACAAGATCTGGCTCTATTGCCAGTCTGGAGTGCAATGGCACAATCTCAGCTCACTGCAACCTCCACCACACAGGCTCAAGCCATCCTCCCACCTCAGCCTCCCAAGTAGCTGAGACTACAGTCACGTACCACACCCAACTAATTTCTGTGGGTTTTATTTTTTTGTAGAGACAGGGTTTCACCATGGTGCCCAGCCTGATTTCAAACTTGTGAGCTCAAGAGATCCATCTGTCTCGGCCTCCCAAAGTGGTGGGATTACAGGTGTGAGACACCACACCCGATGTACTACCTTTATTTTTAATATAACATTCAATTGTAAGTTTAGTTAATTTGATTTTTAATAATGCCTTGTTTAACAACCAATTCACAAAATCAATGAAAATTTAACAAGCTTTCAAAAGTCACTATGGATTGGCACACCACTGCTGAAACAAAGACTCATTGAAAGTATCCTATTCAGATTTCTTTTTTTTCCTGAATATAAGGCTGGATAACTATTAACATTTAAATACTGGTGGGGCGTGGTGGCTCACACCTGTAATCCCAGCACTTTGGGAGGCCGAGGAGGGCAGATCACTTGAGGTCAGCAGTTCAAGACCAGGCTGGTCAACCCTGTCTCTACCAAAAATACAAAAATTAGCCAGGTGTAGTGGCGCGCCCCTGTAATCCCAGCTACTCGGAAGGCTGAGGCATGAGGATCTCTTGAAACCTGGAGGCAGAGGTTGCAGTGAGCCGAGAAAGCGCCATTGCGCTCCAGCCTGGGCAACAGAGGGAGACTCTTAAAAAAAAAAAAAAAAAAAAAATTTAAGTTTCCATTATGTGTTGAACACCGTTCTAAGGAAATATGCATATATTATCTCATTTGATTCTCATAACTGTCAGATATTGTCATTGTCATTTTTTTAATTTAAAATTGAAAATGGAGGCTTAGTTAATCTATTCAAAGTCAGACACCTAGAATATGGCATAACTAAGATATGAGCCCAGGTCGGTGCTCTTTCTACTCACTGCCTTCTGAAGCTTACACTGGAAGACTAGGTCAAGAAAAGGTGTACTGACAATTGATTCCTCCATTTTCCTGAAGTTATTTAGCCCACTCCCACTCCAGCTCCACTGTGAACCTATAAATCCTGTGCCTCATTAGACAAAGGGAGTGTCAGTTGTGGTAATTCTTAGGACATTACCATGGTTACCAGGCACAGAGTCCAGTGCCCCAACCTGGACGTTCCAGAAGAGGCCAGGGAGGATCTGAGATGGCCTTCTTCAACTTGTATCTATTGGGATATCAAAATTCCTTTCAGAACAAGAAAAGGAACACAACTGAAGAAACAAGTAAGGGGAATATAGGGTAGAGGGTTAGAAGGGCCACTTCTTTACCTAGATGCTTCATAGCCACTTCCTAGCTATTTATTTTCCTACCTGGGGTTAGAGATTTATCCTCCAAGGCCAACAGTTACACTAGTTAAAATTGTGGAATAGGGACAATATCCTTTCAGCTTTGCTCTCCTGTCATTTAATATCCTTATTAAGACACACAATTTGGGCCAGGTGCAGTAGCTCACATGCAATTCCAGCAGTTTGGGAGGCTAAGGCAGGAGGATTGCTTGAGTCCAGGAGTTCAAGACCAGCCTGGGCAACATAGTAAGACCACATCTCTATGAAAAGTTACACAAATTAGCTGGGTGTGGTGGTGCATGCCTGTGGTCCTAGCTACTTGGGAGGCTGAAGTGGGAGAATCACTTGAGCCCAGGAGGTCAAGGATGAAGTGAGCCATGATCACACCACCGTACTCCAGCCTGGGCGACAGAGCGAAACCATCTCAAAAAAAAAAAAAGACACACAATTTGTTCAACCAAATAAGTGTATTCTTAGTCATTCGTTGGCTCATTTAACCAACATTTGTTAAGCACCAGGCTTTATGTGCCTGGCATTATGTTGGTGACTAGGGTTAAGACCTCTGCTATAAAGTGACTATCTGATGAGAAAGATAAGTGTGCAAACAAAAATTGCAATATATTGTATGATTACATTAAATATGGAATGTTCTAGAGCCACTAAGAAGGAAGTACCTGATACTATTGGATTTGGAATAAGAACGGGGGAGTGGAGGATGGGGGAATCCTTCAGAGAAGACTTCACACAGGAAATGCTTCCAGAACTGGGTGTTAAAGGATGATTGGCGTTCACTAAAAAGGGGATGGCCGGGTGCGGTGGCTCACGCCTGTAATCCCAACACTTTGGGAGGCCGAGGCGGGCGGATCACGAGGTCAGGAGATCAAGACCATCCTGGCTAACACGGTGAAACCCCGTCTCTACTAAAAATACAAACAATTAGCCGAGCGTGATGGCGGGCGCCTGTAGTCCCAGCTACTTGGGAGGCTGAGGCAGGAGAATGGTGTGAACCCGGGAGGCGGAGCTTGCAGTGAGCTGAAATCGAGCCACTGCACTCCAGCCTGGGCGACAGAGCGAGACTCTGTCTCAAAAAAAAAAAAAAAAAAAAAAAAGAAGGGGATATAGCACAGACAAAGGAACAGAGACCTAAGAGAGAACCATATTAAGTGAATTCCAAGTTCGTGGGTACACATAAAGGGTAAAGTGGAGAGGTGCTGGGAGGCAGACGTTGAAAACTAGGAAGGGGCCAGATAATTGAGGATGCTGTTAGCCATGCTAAGCATTTTAACTTTATAGACAGCCATTGAATTTTTAGTAGGCAGTGAGCAGATCTACATTAGATTCAAAATGCCTAGCCATGCCTCACACATAATAGAGGTTGCATAAATATTTGTAGGGTGAATGGATGAATAACTAAGTTTGAATAACTGTAAAACAGGAAGCTAGGGGAGGCTTTACAGGAGATATGACAATTGATTTACATCTTAAAAGATGAATTGTTGCCGGGCACTGCGGCTCACGCCTGTAATCCCAGCACTTTGAGAGACTGAGGCGGGCAGATCATGAAGTCAAGAGATCAAGACCATCCTGGCCAACATGGTGAAACCCCATCTCTACTAAAAATACAAAAAAAGAGCCGGGCGCGGTGGCTCACGCCTGTAATCCCAGCACTTTGGGAGGCCGAGATGGGCAGATCACAAGGTCAGGAGTTCGAGACCAGCCTGACCAACATAGTGAAACCCCGTCTCTACTAAAAATACAAAAAATAGCCGGGCGTGGTGGTGTGTGCCTGTAACCCCAGCTACTTAGGAGGCTGAGGCAGGAGAATTGCTTGAACCCAGGAAGTGGAGGTTGCAGTGAGCTGAGATTGAGCCACTGCACTCCAGCCTAGGTAACAGAGTGAGACTCCATCTCAAAAAAAAAATAAAATACAAAAAAAAATTAGCTGGGCATGGCGGTGCATGCCTGTAATCCCAGTGACCCAGGAGGCTGAGGCAGGAGAATCGCTTGAACCCGGGAGGCAGAGGTTGCAGTGAGCCGAGATCGCGCCACTGCACTTCAGCCTGGCAACAGAGCAAGACTCCGTCTAAAAAAAAAAAAAAAAAAAAGATTGTAAAGAACAATCTTACACAGGCCTCCATTGGTCATTCTCTGTCCTCTGCAATTCCATCAAAGAAGTTCTGTTTTACTATCCAGCTTCCAGGCAAGATTTGTACAAAGGGTACCCCTGATGGACCTTAGAGACTCCTTAATATCCTTATACAAGCCCTTCCCCTCCCAACCCCAACTGGGTCCCAGCATTATGCCATGGGACTGTTTTTATCTCCAAATAAAGAGGAGCTCTTCTCTACCCTCTTTCAGAAAAACAAACTCTTTGAGAAACCTACAAATTTCCCTTTTTCCAGGCCAAGATTAAGCCTCTCCTGGCTGCTCCAATCCTACCTACCCCTACTAGATAGAATTCTCTCACCATGAAGAAACTGAGTGTACAGCCGACCAATTGTCCTACCCAGTTAGCTACTTAAGCACTGTTGAACAAGACTTGATACTGATCCAAAGAGGCCTGGGCATCATTTCTTTATAGGCTAGACAAAGTGGAAGATTTTACTTTATAAAAATCAGAGCCCTCTGTGGGATGACGGAGAAGTATCCCGATATCATCTACTATCTAAGTTTTCTCATTCTGGTGACAGAAAATCAGAGGCAGGAGGTTTGGCCAAACCTGTGGAATGTAAGGTTGGAGGGAAGATTGAACATCAAATATGCCACCCCTACTCCCTGCTTGCTTCCCCTCCACCCCAATTTTATACCCTCCAGTTACTCTCGCAAAATATGGACAAAGGATTTCAACTTGCCAGTTTCTAATTAATCCATACTTTTGTTGGCTCAAGCACTTTATAATAAACAACTACTTATTATGCAGTATACCAGGCACTGTACTAAGCACGCTACATGCTTAATTTCATTTAATACTCTAACATTCCTGTGAAGTAGGTATTACTGTTCCCTTTTTATCAGTAAGAAAACTGAGGCTCAGGCCGGGCATGGTGGCTCACGCCTGTAATCCCAGCACTTTGGGAGGCCGAGGCGGGTGGATCACCTGAGGTCAGGAGTTCGAGACCAGCCTGGCCAACGTGGTGAAACTCCACCTCTACTAAAAATACAAAAATTAGCCAGGCGTAGTGGCACATGCCTGTAATCCCAGTTACTCGGGAGGCTGAGGCAGGAGAATTGCTTGAACCCAGGAGGCAGAGGTTGCAGTGAGGCGTGATCGCATCATTGCACTCCAGCCTGGGTGACAAAAGCAAAACTCTGTCCCCGCCCCCCAAAAAAAGAAAAGAAAACTGAGGTTCAAAGAGGTTAACTTACTTATGCAAGACCACAGCAATAGAGCCAGAATTTGATTCCAAATTGTCTAACTTATCTGTCTGTGCTCTTAAACACATTATTTATGAGGACAAATGATGCAGGTCTTTTTCCTGTAAGCAGGCCACTGTACAAATGATTGATGGTCAGCCTTTCTAGGTGAATCTGTTAACCCCCAAACCCTGAATTCAAATGTCAGTTGGGCTTTCATAAAGAATTACTCACGGCCGGGCACGGTGGCTCACGCCTGTAATCCCAGCACTTTGGAAGGCCAACGTGGGCGGATCATGAGGTCAGGAGATCGATACCATCCTGGCTAACACAGAGAAACCCCGTCTCTATTAAAAATACAAAAATTAGCCAGGTGTGGCAGCATGTGCCTGTAGTCCCAGCTGCTGGGGAGGCTGAGGCAGGAGAATGGCGTGAACCCGGGAGGCGGAGCTTGCAGTGAGCCGAGATTGCGCCACTGCCCTCCAGCCTGGGCGACAGAGCGAGACTCCATCTCAAAAAAAAAAAAAGAATTATTCACTTCTCCCCAGCAAGTGGTTCTTAGGAGCTCACCATTCACTGGCGCTAAATGGTAACTTTGCTAATGGCCAGAATTGTTGACTTAACTACTGTATAGAGTCAAAACCTTGCAGCCTCATCCCATAACCCCTGGGTAACTTCCTGAGAGTTAACAACATTCTACAACTTCAGAATAGTGTTCTGCAAGATAAAGAGTAACTGGATGTGTTCTTTCTGACCCCTCATCTCTCTCCCTCTCTCTCTTACATACACACACATCTGCATGCACGTCAGAGAATCATATAGTCCAACTACTATATGCAAATACCAAAACAATAGTTTGATTTGTTTCCTGTGTTTAAAACTCAAACTTTGGCCAGGCGCAATGGCTCACAACTGTAATCCCACCACTTTGGGAGGCTGATGCGGGCAGATCACTAGAGGCCAGGAATTCAAGACCAGCCTTACCAATATGGCAAAACCGCGTCTCTACTAAAAATACAAAAATTAGCCAGGGGTGGTGGCACACACCTGTAATCCTAGCTACTCTGGAGGCTGAGGCACGAGAATCTCTTGAACCTGGGAGGTGGAGGTTGCAACGAGCTGAGATTGCGCCACTGCACTCCAGCCTGGGCGATAGAGTAAGATTGTCTCAAAAAAAAAAAAAAAACATAAAAGCCCCTCAAACCCCATTGGAGTTATTGTTGAAAACTCAATATAGGAGTTCAAACATATTCTTCCAAAGAAAATAGGAATTTTCCTTCTGGGACAAGAATTTAGTGAAATCACCATTTGACATAGCAACCAGTTACCACTAATCCCATCCTTCTGAGAGGTATCTTGAACTAAATATGACCAATTTGTTGCTGGGGTCTGGCTCACCTAATCAGCACCTACAAATTCCTACCAACTACACACCCCTGGCATAATCTTGCTACTAGGCATCAAGCTAGCAAGCTTGGATCAATTAACAAATACTATATGATGAAAGTTGAGGCCTGGCACGGTGGCTCATACCTGTAATCCCAGCACTTTGGGAGGCCGAGGCGGGCAGATCTCCTGAGGTCAGGAGTTCGAGACCATCCTGGCCAACATGGTGAAACCCCGTCTCTACTAAAAATACAAAAATTAGCTGGGTGTGGTGACGGACGCCTGTAATCTCAGCTACTCGGGAGGCTGAGGCAGGAGAATCGCTTGAACCCAGGAGGTGGAGGTTGCAATGAGCCTAGATTGTACCATTGCACTCCAGCCTGGGCAACAAGAGCAAAACTCCATCTGAAAAAAAAAAAAGAAAGTTGAATGTAATTACAGTAGACTCATCACAGTCTAATCGTTTGTGAGTTAATTTTTTAAAAGATTAAATTGTGGCTGGGAGCGGTGGCTCACTCCTGTAATCCCAGCACTTTGGGAGGCCAAAGCTACTCAGGAGGCTGAGGCATGAGAATGGCTTGAACCTGGGAGGCTGAGGTTGTGGTGAGCCGAGACCGTGCCATTGCACTCCAGCCTGGGCAACAAGAGCAAAACTCCATCTCAAAAAAGAAAAGTTCAGTGTATGTCTTCTCTTGATCCACAAGTTAATCTTTTTTTTTTTTTTTTTTTTTAGACTGAGTCTCGCTCTTTCGCCCAGGCTGGAGTGCAGTGGTGCAATCTGGGCTCACTGCAACCTCTGCCTCCCAGTTTCAAACAATTCTCCTGCCTCAGCCTCCCGAGTAGCTGGTATTACAGGCACCTGCCACGCCACTTGGCTAATTTTTGTATTTTTAGTAGAGGTGAGGTTTCACCATGTTGGCCAGGCTGGTCTCAAACTCCTGACCTCAAGTGATCCTCCCACCTCGGCCTCCCAAAGTGCTGGGGTTACAGGTGTGAGCCACCAAGCCCAGCTCACATAGTGAACTTTAAATTTTACTTTGACTTAATATAGTAGTCCCTCCCTATTCATGGTTTTGTCTTCCAAGGTTTCCATTTTTCATGGTTGACTGTGATCCAAAAATATTAAATGGAAAATTCCCAAAGTAAACAATTTACAAATTTTACATTGTATGCCCTTCTGAGTAGAGTGATGAAATTTTGCACTTGGGAAAATCCCACTTGGGAAGAGAATCATCCCCTTGTCTAGCATATTCACTATCCACCTGTTACTGCTTGGAAAAAATATATAGTGTATATAGAGTTTGGTATCATCTGAAGTTTCAAGTATCCTCTGGGAGTCTTGGAATGTCTGGAATGTATACCAAGGATAAGAGGGGACTACTGTATGTGTAAATGCAGATTCTTTTTTTTTTTTTTTTTTTTTTTGAGATGGAGTGTCTCACTCTGTCGCCAGGCTGGAGTGCAGGGGCTCAGTCTCCGCTCACTGCAACCTCCACCTCCCAGGTTCAAGCGATTCTCCTGCCTCAGCCTCCCGAGTAGCTGGTACTACAGGCACATGCCACCACACCTGTCTAATTTTTATATTTTTTAGTAGAGACAGGGTTTCACCATGTTGGCCAGGCTGGTCTCGAACTCCTGGCCTCAAGTGATCCGCCTGCCTCGGCCTCCCAAAGTGCTGGGATTACAGACGTGAGCCATCCCCCGCCCAGCCTATGTGATGTATATTTATTTATCCATTTTGGGTGTTTTTTGTTTGTTTAGAGACAGGGTCTTGCTCTGTCACCCAGGCTAGAGTGCAATGACACTATTATAGCTTACTGCAGCCTCAAACTCCTGGGCTTAAGTGATCCTCCCACTTCAGTTTCCTGAATAGTTAGGAGTACAGGTATTGTGATACTCTAAGCAGAGCCCCACCCTGCTAATTTTTTTGTAAAGACGGGATCCCACTATGTTGCCCAGGCTGGTTACCAACTCCTGGCCTCAAGGAATCCTCCCGCCCCATCCTCCCAAAGTTCTGGGATTACAGGAGCAAGCCACTGTGCCCAGCTTCATTCTGGGTTTTATATATTGCCTTCCCATTACGACAGCTAAGAATTTAGCTTTCTTATACCACACACTTTCCATCCCCCACCCTTTTTCCAGTATAGGTATATCATAATTTTAGGTTCAAGATAGGCAGAATTCTAAGAATTATCCTCAATAAATCTTGCCTGTGTGTAATCACCTCCCTTTTGAGTGTGGGTAGAACCTCTGAAAAACTGAGATACCACTCTGTGATTGTTAATTTATATGGAATGAGGGAGAGTATCTGAATGAGCTTTATCTAATCACATAAACTCTTTAAAAGCAGAGAGTTTGGCCAGGCGCAGTGGCTCACGCCTGTAATCCCAGCACTTTGGGAGGCCAAGGCGGGCAGATCACTTGAGGTCAGCAGATCGAGACCATCCTGGCTAACATGGTGAAACCCTGTCTCTACTAAAAATACAAAAAAAATTAGCCAGGTGCGGTGGCGGGCGGCTGTAGTCCCAGCTACTCGGGAGGCTGAGGCAGGAGAATGGCATGAACCTGGGAGGCAGAGCTTGCAGTGAGCCGAGTAGCGCCACTGCACTCCAGCCTGGGCGAAAAAGCAAGACTCTGTCTCAAAAAAAAAAAAAAAAAAAAGAAGAGGAGGAGGAGGAGGAAGGAGGGGGCCACATGTCAAGGAATGCAAGCGGCCTTTAGGAGCTGAGAGTGGCCCCTGGCTGAGAGCCAGCAAGGCATCAGTCCTATAACCACCAGGAGCTAAATTCTGCCAACAACCTGAATGAGCCTGGAAGTAGATTCTTCTCTACAGTCTCTAGATAAGACCCTAGCCCAGCCAACCTTGATTTCAGCTTTGTGATACTCTAAGCAGAGAACTCAGTCAAGCCAGTCCAGCCTTCCGACCTACAGAACTGTGAGATTATAAATAGATGTTGTTTTCAGGCCGGGCACAGTGGCTCACACCTGTAATCCCAACTCTTCGGGAGGCCGAGGTGGGCAGATCACCTGAGGTCAAGAGTTTGAGACCAGCCTGGTCAACATGGTGAAACACCCTCTCTACTAAGGTGGCAGGTGCCTGTAATACCAGCTACTCAGGAGGCTGAGGCAGGAGAATCACTTGAACCCAGGAAGCAGAGGTTGCAGTGAGCTGATATTGCACCATTGCACTCCAGCCTAGGCAACAAGATCAAAACTCCATCTCAAAAATAAATAAATAAATACAAATCAATAAGGCTGGGCATGGTGGCTCACACCTGTAATCCCAGCACTTTGGGAGGCCAAGGAGGGTGGATCACCTGAGACCAGCCTGATCAACATGGCTAAATCCCGTCTCTACTAAAAATACAAAAATTAGCCAGGCGTGGTGACACATGCCTGTAATCCCAGCTACTTGGGAGGCTGAGGCAGGAGAATTGCTTGAACCCGGGAGGTGGAGGTTGTAGTGAGCCAAGATCATGCCATTGCACTCCAGCCTGGTTGTCAAAGGGAGACTCCCTCTCAAAATAATAATAATAATAATTAAGAAATAAAACAAAATAAAATAGATGTTTTCAGTCACTAAATTTATAATTTGTGATGCAGCAATAGAAAACTAATATGATATTAAATCAGTAGTCTTGTAGTCTTACAACTATGTAAAAAAGTTTCACTGCTAAGCCAAATAATGTCACTGTAACTTTTCCTTTCATTTTTCCTATCCCTAGAAACTTTTTGTTTATCCCTAGAGTTAAGAATTCCTGGCCTCCATGGTAGCTCACGCCTGTAATCCCAGGACTTTGGAAGCCCGAGGTGAGTGGATTCCTTGAGCCCAGGAATTAGAGACCAGGATGAACAACATGGGGAAACCTCGTCTCTACCCCGCAAAAAAACACACGAAAATTAGCCAGGCGTGGTGATGCATGGCTGTAGTCCCAGCTACTCTGGAGGCTGAGGTGGGAGGATTGCTTAAGCCCGGGAGACAGAGGTTGCAGTGAGCTGAGATTGCCCACCACTGCACTCCAGCCTGGGCAACAGAGTGAGACTCTGTCTCAAAAAAAAAAAAAAAAAAAAAAGAATTGCCATCATGTTTTCATTTGTTGGTTCTATATGTACTGATTGTTACTTCTTTCCCCAATACTTCAACAGCTCTGCCAAAAGCCCAATGATATTTTTTCAATCACTCAAAACACAGCAATCTGTCAGTTCCATTTTTTCCCAAACTGCCTATCCTACTGTAGTCTAGACTGTTCATTCTCAAAGCCTGTTGCATAATTATTGTCCTGGGACTTGCTTTTGCCTCTCTCCAAGGTAGTATTCCCTGTTTCCTGGGTCGCATGTTTTTTTTTTTTTCTTGGCTTACTCCCTCCTGTTCCTGCAATATGCCAAGAAGCTTTATAAGAATGCATAGGAGGTATGTTTATGAGTCCAGAATGGCCTTATTCTATACCCTCACACTTGATTGACAGTTTTTCCAGATAGGGAATTCTAGGTTGAAAATCATTCTCTGAAAATTTTGAAGCTATGTTTTTATTGTCCTCTAGCTTCCAGTTACATTCCTTTGTATGTAACTAATTCATTTCTTTCTGGAAGCTTTTTTTTTTTTCTGAGATAGGGTCTTGCTCTGTCGCCCATGCTGGAGTGCAGTGGCAAAATCTTGGCTCACTGCAACCTCTGCCTCCTGGGCTCAAGCGATCCTCCCACCTCAGCCTCCTTAGTGGCTGGAACTGCAGGCACACACCACCATGCCTGGCTAATTTTTTGTATTTTTTCTAGAGATGGGGTCTTGCCATGTTGCCCAGGCTGGTCTCAAACTCCTGCAATCAAGCAATCTGCTTGCCTTAGTCTCCCAAAGTGCTAGGATTACAGGCGTGAGCCACATCGCCCGGTCTCTGGAAACTTTTGATTTTCTTTTTGATCCGTAGTATTCTGAAATTTCAAAATGATGGAATTTATTGTAAGTCTTTTTTCATTCATTGTTATGAACACTCCATGAGCTCTTTCATTCTGGAAATTTATGCTTTCCATTTCTGAGAAATTTTATTTTAATTTTTAATTTTTTTTTTTTTTTTGAGATGGAGTCTCACTCTTATCACCCAGGCAGGAGTGCAGTGGCGTGATCTCGGCTCACAACAATGTCCGCCTCCTGGGTTCAAGCGATTCTCGTTACTCAGTCTCCCATGTAGCTGGGATTACAGGCACCTGCAACCATGTCTGGCTGATATTTGTATTTTTAGTAGAGACAGGGTTTCTCCATGTTGGCCAGGCTGGTCTCGAACTCCCTACCTCAGGTGATCCACCCGCCTCGGCCTCCCAAAGTGCTGGGATTACAGGCGTGAGCCACCGTGCCCAGCCTTAATTTTTAATTTATTGCTTCCTTTATTCTTTTTCAAACTACCATTTGTCAGCTATAAAGTCTCCCAAATTGATCTTCTAACATTAATCTTGATATTATTATCATTATTATTAATCACTATTTTTGAGACAGGGTCCTGCTCTGTCACCCAGGATGGAGTGCAGTGGAACGATCATGGCTCATTGCAGCCCCAACCTCCCAGGCTCAAGCGATGCTCCCAGCTCAGCCTCCCTGAGTAGCTGGGACTACAGGTGCAGGCTACCATGTCTGGCTAATTTTTGTATTTTTTAGTACAAACGGAGTCTCCCTATGTTGCCCAGGATGATCTTGAACTCCTAAGCTCAAGCAATCTGCCCACTTTGGCCTCCCAAAGTGCTGGGATTACAGGCGTGAGCCACCATGTCTGGCTTAATTTTATTTATCTTCATCATCATTATTATTATTTATTCTTTGGAAGGCTTCCTTAATTTTATCTTGCAACCTTGTGTTATTTAGCTATTGCTGTATAACAAATTACCCTAAAATATACAGGCTTATAACAGCAAATATTTATTATTTTACTGTTTCTGTTAATTCAGAAGCAACTTATCTCGATAATTCTGGCTCAGAATCTCTCACATGGTTGCAGACAGGATGTCAGCAGGGGCTGTAGCCATATAATGGTTGGAGATTGGGTGGGGGCTGAAGGAGCCATTTCCAGGATATCTGGTGGCCCCAGTTTCTCTGTGGGTATTGACAAGACACCCCAGTTTCTCACCATATGGGCCTCTCCATAAGCTGTTTGAGTATTCTTATATGGCACCTAACTTTCTTTCTTTTTTTTCTTTTTTTTTTTTTGAGATGGAGTCTCACTCTGTCCTCCAGGCTGGAGTCCAGTGGCGCGATCTTGGCTCACTGCAAGCTCCGCCTCCGGGGTTCATGCCATTCTCCTGCCTCAGCCTCCCGAGTAGCTGGGACTACAGGCGCCCGCCACCACGTATGGCACCTAACTTTCTTCAGAGCAAGTGATCAGAAAGAAGGGAGACAAAATGCATTTTTATGACTTAGTCTCAGAAGTGACTGTCACTTCACTTTTTCTATTTGTTAGAAGAGAATTACTAAATCCAGCCCATACCCAAGGGAAGGGGAACTAAGCTCCACTTCTTGAGGGGAGGTATATCAAAGGATTTGTGGAAATATGTGAAAACCAGCACACCTTCATATCAGAACTTTTTTTTTTTTGCTTTTTTTTCTTCATGAAGAAGATAAGAACATTTTACCTTGGTTATTATATTTTAATTTCCAAGGACCATTTTTGGTCCTCTGATTTTCCTTTGTTATATTTTCTGTCTTTTCTCCATGAATATATACTTTATTTGAAATTCTCTTCTTTTCCTTGCATTGACTCTTTTTCCCTCTGAGCCCTTTTTCCTATGAGTTTATTTTGGTCTCTGTTTTTCTCAGTGATTACTCACCTCAAATAACTAGTGATCCTTGGCTTTCCATTCTGATTTAAGGGTAAGAAACAAAAAAAAGCTAACTAGAAGCTGATGGAGGGAGTTGTCCATTATGGGCTTCATTCCAGAGCTTTCCTCTGGCTCTCTATAATTTCTCTGGGGAAGAATCCTATTATTCCTTCTCTGGGTATTGGTTATATGTTTATCTACTAGCATGCTGCAGCTAGGACAGAAGAAGGTATTGAGGGTCTTAATTTTGAGGATCCTGACTTTTTTAACTTAATCACCAGATTTTCTGTCCTATACCTGTGCCAGCTATATTAGTCAGTTCTCACATTGCTTTAAAGAATTACCTGAGACTGAGTAATTATAAAGAAAAGATGTTTAACTGTCCCATGGTTCTACAGGCTGTACAGGACGCATAGCCGGGGAAGCCTCAGGAAACTTACACTCATGGTGGCAGGCAAAGGGGAAGCAGGCATGTCCTACGTGAATGAAGTAGGAGAAAAAGAGAAGAGAGAAGGGGTGGGTGGGTGGTACTATACGCTTTTAAACAACTAGATCTTGTGAGAACTCACTATCACGAGAACAGCAAGTGGGAAATCTGACCCCATGATCTAATCACCTTCCACCAGGTCCCTCCTCCAACACTGGAGATTACAATTCGACACGAGGTTTGGGTAGGGACATAAATCCAAACCATATCACCAGCCTTCACAGTGAATCCTGTGATTCCTCAGATGAATTAGCTCAATTCTAGATGTATCCTCCACTACAGAAACTTAGGTAACAACATTCTTTACTCTGTTAGGTTAATTGCCACCCTTCTGTCCACTTTGCATTTTCCAAAAGATATTTCTACTGAAATATCTCATATGCTCTTATATCCTTGACCACTCTCTTTGCCCTTGAAGGTTAATATCATTGTGATGATGATGATGATGATGTCATTTTAGCAAATTTGGGAGGAAAAGGAAATAAAGCCAATAAGGTCAATCTACCATTTTAAAAAACTTTTCTTGCTAATGTAACTTCAAAATTATAGAAAATGTGTAAGACTTGTAAAAAGAATTTCTCTACACCCTTTACCCAAGTTAACTCATTGTTAATTTTGCCACTCTCTTTTTTGCTTTGTCTCTACTATAATATCTATTTTTTCTCAGATAGTTGAGAATAAGTTGCTCATATTATATCTCTTTCCCTCTAAATAAGCTTGTATCTCCTAACAACAACTCACCATGTAGGTATCAAATTCAGCAAATCTTAACACTGATACAATGCTGTTATATAATTACCTACAGTGCATTTCTCAGTTTTGCCAATTGTTTCATAAATGTCTCTCTTTTTTTTTTTTTTTTTCAGACAGGGTCTCACTCTGTCTCCCAGGCTGCAATGCATTGAGGTGATCATGGTTTACTGCAGCCTTGAGCTCCTGGACTCAAGCGATTCTCCCACCTCAGACTCCCAAAGTGCTGGAATTATAGGCATGAGCCACCACACCTGGCCAACTTTTTTTTTTTTTTTAAGAGAGGAGATCTCAGCCTGGCCAACGTGGTGAAACCCAGTCTCTGCTAAAAATACAAAAATTAGCCAGGCATGGTGGCCGGTGCCTCTAATGCTAGCTACTCAGGAGAATGAGGTGGGAGGATTGCTTGAACCTGGGAGATGGAGGTTGCTGTGAGCCCAGATCACGCCACTGCACTCCAGCCTGGGTGACAGAGTGAGACTCTATCTTAAAAAATAAAAATAAAAGAGATGAGGTCTCGCTATGTTGCCCAGACTGGCCATTAATGTCTTTTAGAGCAAAATTTTTCCTTCCAGGATCCAGTTAAGGATCAAGCATTGCATTTAGTGAGCGTGTCTCTTTAGTCTCCTTTAATCTGGAATAGTTCCTCCACCTTCGTTTCATGATATTGACTTTTTTTTTTTTTTTTTTTTTGAGATGGAGTTTTGCTCTTGTTGCCCAGGCATACAATGGCTCACCACAACGTATGCAGTCCAGGTTGAAGCGATTCTCCTGCCTCAGCCTCCCAAGAATTACAGGCATGTGCCACCAGGCCTGGCTAATTTTGCATTTTTAGTAGAGATGGGGTTTCTCCATGTTGGTCAGGCTGGTCTCAAACTCCCAACCTCAGGTGATCCACCCACCACAGCCTCCCAAAGTGCTGGGATTACAGGCATGAGCCACCATGCCTGGCCAATACTGACATTTTTGTAATAGTATAGGCAAGACATTGTGTAGAATATTCCATAATTTGGATTTTTCTGATGTTTCTCATGATTAGATTGAGTTTAAACATCTTTGGCAGGAATAAGCGACATTATATCTTCAGTCCATCATATCGGGAGGCTCATGATGTCATTTGGTCCCATTACTGGTAATGTGAACTTTGACCACTAAAGGTGTAATTATTGGTTTTCTTCACTGTCAAGTTACCATTCTTCTTTTGTAACCAATAATTTCTGATAAGATTCTTTGGAAAAATGTAAGTATTCTTTTTTTTTTTTTTTTTACAAGGTGTCACTCTGTTGCTCAGGCTTGAGTGCAGTGGCACAATCACAGCTTACTGCCTTGACCTCCAGACTCAAGCAATTCTCTAACCTCAGCCTTCCAAGTAGCTGGGACTACAGATGCACACCACCACACCCAGCCAATTGTTTTGATTTCTAGTAGAGGCAAGGTCTCGCTATGTTGTCCAGGCTATTCAAATTCCTGAGCTCAAGCGATTCTCCCGCCCCAGCCTCCCTAAGTAGTGGCA
The DNA here is from genome assembly GCF_000001405.40 of Homo sapiens. NCBI lineage: Eukaryota > Metazoa > Chordata > Mammalia > Primates > Hominidae > Homo > Homo sapiens. The sequence continues at coordinate 48,741,911 of NC_000012.12, forward strand.
TTACAGGCGTGAGCCATTGCACCCAGCCAACTACCCTATTCTTCATCAAACTTTCACCCACTGATTTTAGTATCCATTGATGGTTTTGTGTGAATCTGTTATTTCTGTGATAATTGCAAAATGGTGATTTTCTAACTCCAATCCATTTTAACTCAAAGTTTACTACAATTTTAAAAAAAATTTTTTGTAGACACAGGGTCTCACTTGTTGCCCAGGTTGGTCTCGAGCCCCTGGCCTCAAGCAATCCTTCTGCCTGGTACAAGCACAGATTACAGGCATAAGCCACCTCACCTAGCCCCCAGCTTTTAAGTGACCCACCTTTTCTGAGTTTTTCCAAAACATTCAGCTTCATTTTTCTTTTCTTTTCCTTTTTTTTTTTTTTTTTTTTTGAGACGGAGTCTCACTCTGTCGCCAAGGCTGGAGTACAACGGCACGATCTCGGCTCACCGCAACCTCCACCTCCCAGGTTCAAGCGATCCTCCTGCCTCAGCCTCCTGAGTAGCTGGGATAACAGGCGCCTGCCACCACACCCGGCTAATTTTTGTATTTTCAGTAGAGACGGGGTTTTACCATGTTGGTCAGGCTGGTCTCAAACTCCTGACCTCGTGATCTGCCTACCTCAGCCTCCCAAGGTGCTAGGATTACAGGCCCGTGCCCGGCCTCAGCTTCATTTTTATAAAAGCCACTGCCAGGCCAGGCGCAGTGGCTCACACCTGTAATCTCAGCACTTTGGGAGGCCGAGGCGGGTGGATCACCTGAGGTCAGGAGTTCGAGACCAGCGCTGGACCAACATGGAGAAACCCCATCTCTACTAAAAATACAAAATTAGCCGGGCATGGTGGCTCATGCCTGTAATCCCAGCTACTCAGGAGGCTGAGGCAGGAGGATCGCTTGAACCCAGGAGGCAGAGGCTGCGGTGAGCCAAGATCCTGCCATTGCACTCCAGACTGGGCAACAAGAGCAAAACTCCATTTAAAAAAATAAATAAATAAAAATAAAAGAAAAGCCACAGCCCTTTTTCTCCACACATATTCCATCAGTTCAAATATTTCATTTGTCTGGGTGTAGTGGCTCACGCCTATAATCCCAGCACTTTGGAGGCTGAGGTGGGCCAATTGCTTGAGCCCAGGAGTTCAAGACCAGCCTGGGCAACATGGTGCCTGTCTCTACTAGAAACCCTGTCTCTACTAAAAATACAAAAATAAGGCTGGGCGTGGTGGCTCATGCCTGTAATCCCAACACTTTGGGAAGGTGGGCAAATTACTTGAGGTCAGGAGTTCAAGATCAGCATGGCCAACATGGCAAAACCCCATCTCTACTAAAAAAAAAAAAAAAAAGTCAGGCGTGGTGGCAGGCACCTGTAGTTCTAGCTACTTGGGAGGCTGAGATGGGAAGATTAAGGCTGCAGTGAGCCATGATGGCACCACTGCACTCCATCCAATGTGGGTGGCAGAGCAAGACCTTGTCTCAAAAAAACCTAAAACTAAAAACAAACAATCAAATATTATTTCATTAAATTACAAAATTGCAGGTACATGGTAAAACTAGCATAAATTGTCGGGAGAGAAGGGGAATCACAACTCACTTTTGGCAAGCATGAATTAAAACTTGAGAGGCTGGCCATGGTGGCTCACACCTATAATCCTGGCACTTTGGGAGGCCAAGGCGGGCAGATTGCCTGAGCTCAGGAGTTCAAGACCAGCCTGGGCAACATGGTGAAATCCCATCTCTATTAAAAATACAAAAAATAGCCAGCTGCTGTGGCTCACGCCTGTAATCCCAGCACTTTGGGAGGCCAAGGCGGGCGGATCGCCTGAGGTCAGGAGTTCAAGACCAACATGGTAAAACTGCACCTCTACTAAAAATACAAAATTAGCTGGGCGTGGTGGCAGGTGCCTGTAATCCCAGCTACTCAGGAGGCTGAGGCAGGAGAATCACTTGAACCCGGGAGGTAGAGGTTGCAGTGAGCTGAGACAGCGCCATTTGCACTCCAGCCTGGGGAACAAGAGCAAGACTTCGTCTCAAAAAAAAAAAAAAAAAAAAAAAAAAAAAATTGGCCAGGCACGGTGGCTCATACCTGTAATCCTAGCACTTTGGGATGCCGAGGCAGTGCCGATCACCTGAGGTTGGGAATTCGAGACCAGCCTGACCAACATGGAGAAACCCCATCTCTACTAAAAATATAAAAATAGCCGGGCATGGTGGAGCATGCCTGTAATCCCAGCTACTCAGGAGGCCGAGGCAGGAGAATCGCTTGAACCTGGAAGGTGGAGACAGTGGTGAGCCGAGATCGTGCCATTGCACTCCAGCGTGGGCAACAAGAGTGAAGCAACCTCTCAAAAAAAAAAAAAAAAAAAGTGTGGTACACGCCTGTAATCCCAGCTACTTGGGAGGCTGAGGCATGAGAATCGCTTGAAACCAGGAGGTAGAGATTGCAGTGAGCTGAGATCACGCCACTGTACTACAGCCTGGGTGACAGAGTGAGACTCTGTTTTCCAAAAATAAACAAACAAACAAAAGACTTGTGGGCACTTGTGGGCTGGCCAGGTGCAGTGGCTCATGCCTGTAATCCTGGCACTTTGGGAGGCTGAGGTTGGCAGATTGCCTGAGTTCAGGAGTTTGAGGCCAGCCTGGCCAACATTGTGAAACCCCATCTCTACTAAAAATACAAAACTTAGCTGCATGGTGGCACACACCTGTAATCCCACCTACTCAGGAGAATTGCTTGAACCCGGGAGGCGGAGGTTGCAGTCAGCCAAGATCGTGCCACTGCACTTTAGCCTGGGCGACAAGAGTGAGATTCCATCTCAAAATAATAATAATAATAATAAAGAAGAAGAAGATGGGGGAGGAGGAGGAAGAGGAAGAGGAGGGGGAGGAGGAGGGGAAAGAAGAAGAAAAAGGAAGAAGAAGAAGAAAGAAGAAGAAAAAAAGAAGAAAGCAGAAAGAAAAGGAAAAGAAAAGAAAGAAAAAGAAGCAGCAGCAGCAATGGTGATGTACAAAAGAGGAAGCCATAGATCAATGTAAATATAAATGAACAAACCCACTGGCAGATCAAATTTAAAAATATATTAAAGAGGCCGGGCGTGGTGGCTCACGCCTGTAATCCCAGCACTTTGGGAAGCCGAGGCGGGTGGATCACGAGGTCAGGAGATGGAGACCATCCTGGCTAACAAGGTGAAACCCCGTCTCTACTAAAAATACAAAAAAATTAGCCAGGCTTGGTGGCGGGCGCCTGTAGTCCCAGCTACTTGGGGTTGGGGGGATTGAGGTAGGAGAATGGCTTGAACCCAGGAGGCCAAGCTTGCAGTGAGCCGAGATCATACCACTGCACTCCAGCCTGGGGGGCAGTGTGAGACTCCATCTCAAAAAAAAAAAAGAGAATAAAAAGATGTTTCTTAGCATAATAAACACCTCCCACCTCACCTCACATCATACACAAAAATAAATTCCAGAGGCTGAGGCAGGCAGTTCATTTGAGGTCAGGAGTTCGAGACCAGCCTGACCAACACGGTGAAACCCCGTCTCTACTAAAAATACAAAAAAATTAGCTGGGCTTGGTGGTGCATGCCTATAGCCCAGCTACTTGGGAGGCTGAGGCCGGAGAATCACTTGAACTCAGGAGGCGGATATTGCAGGGAGCCGAGATTGCACCTCCCAGCCTGGGTGACAGAGTAAGACTTTGTCTCAATCAATCAATTTCAGATGAATTAGAGAGTTCAATAAATCAAACTACAGAAATATTAGAAGAAAACATAGAATATTTGCATATTCTTAGCAGGGTTTTGCAAATCTTTCTTTATTAGACATTAAGCCCAGATGCCTAAAAGAAAATACTGACAGTTTTTACTAAAAAATTATTTAATTGTGTATCAAAAGACATCATAAAGTTAAAATCAAGAGAGACACTGAGTGAAAATATTTGCCATATATAGATGGGTGTATATCTACATGCACATATACTCACATATATAAACCCATACATACTTATATATTCGTATGTATAAATCATGTATGCAATAATATTAACAATATATAAAAAGCTTCTAAGTAAAGCACCAAGCCAGACTCCCCCTCTAATCCAACATCAATTATTTATTTATTGGGAATTGATTGTGCCAGCCACTGTGTAAGACACTGGAAATACAACAGTGATTAACACAGACAATAAAACTAGTAAATAAATAAACAAGATACAAATTGTGCCCAGAGCTAGGGAGAAAATAAAGGGGCAATGCAATAGAACAGAAGTCCTAAACTGCTGGCCTGGGGGCCAGATGTAGCCTGATGACATGCTCAGCTTGCAGAGTGCTTTTTTAAAAAAAATTTAGACCAACATCTAAAAATCCAGAGATTTTATGTAAAACCAACATTTCTGACTTCTCTTTAAAAATTAGATTTGGGGGCCGGGCACAATAGCTCACACCTGTAATCCAAGCACTATAATTCCTTTTTTTTTTTTTTTTTTTTTTTTGAGATGGTGTCTCGCTCTGTTGCCCAGGCTGGAGTGCAGTGGCACAATCTCGGCTCACTGCAACCTCCGCCTCCCAGGTTCAAGCAATTCTTCTGCCTCAGCCTCCTAAGTAGCTGGGATTACAGGAGCCTGCCACCACGGCCAGCTAATTTTTGTATTTTTAGTAGGGACGGGGTTTCACCATGTTGGTCAGGCTGATCTCGAACCCCTGACCCCGTGATCCACCTGCCTTGGCCTCCCAAAGTGCTGGGATTACAGGCTTGAGCCACCATGCCCAGCCTATCCAAGCGCTTTGGAAGGCCAAGGTGGGTGGATCATCTGAGGTCAGGAGTTTAAGACCAGCCTGGCCAACATGGCGAAACCCTGTCTCTACTGAAAATACAAAAATTAGCTGGGCATGGTGGTGCATGCCTGTAATCCCAGCTACTCGGGGGGCTGAGGCAGGAGAATCACTTGAACCCGGGAGGCGGAGTTTGCAGTGAGCTGACCTTGTGCCACTGCACTTTAGGTTGGGCAACAAAGTGAGACTCTGTCTCAAAAAAAAAAAAAATTAGATTTGGCCACACTGGCCCTAAACTGTGGCTGTAAATGACAACAAACAGCTAGAATAAAGTAGCAGCTTCCCCTTCAGATGGTACAGTTTTCTTACCCAGCTTGCTTTACTCATAAGCATTATCTGCCTGGCCCTTACAGACAACTGAGTTTGAAAGTGCCGTAATGAGGAGTAACTTGGAGAGGCCCACTTTATTTTACTTTACTTTTTTAACTTTTATTTTTTATTTTTTTTTGGAGAGGCAGGGTCTCCTTATGTTGCCCAGGCTGGTCTTAAACTGGGCTCAAGTGATCCTCCTGCCTCATCCTCCTCAAATGCTGAGATTACAGGCATGAGCCACCATGCCCAACAAGAGGCCCTCTTTAGACAGAGAATTCAATGAATTAATGTTTAAGCAACAGCCTGAAGAATGAGGAGCTTGTCATGTATAGAGCTAAGCCTAGGGCTTCATCTTCATAAGAGCAGATTCAAAATTGAGAAAAAATTCAAAGCCAAAACTGTAGCAGGTTACCTCCACCTCCCACTTTGATCAGACTGCTTTCATTGCATCCCAGCCTTGAAATTCATCTCCCAGTTCTGACAGCCTTTTTAATAGTGCAGACCCTAACATAGCTATGCACTGTGCCCATCATCCATGATCTCATAACAAAAGGAACCATAGAATAGTATTTCTAATGCCACTATCCTTTTCACAAAGACATTCAGGCAACTTGGCTACCCTCTGCCAAGTTTGGCTACCCTCTGCCAAGTTTTGCTTCAACCATATCATTCAATCTTCCACCTGAAAATTACATTCAATGGTAATTTTGTTCTATTCCTAGTATTTTCTTGAAGCCACTTGAATTGCCCCAGAGTTGAAGTCTGTGCTCACATGGCCAAGCTGTGAGACACATAGGCTGACTTCTGGGAGTTCATTATAAGGCCATGAAAAGTGTTGTGCTCCAGAGACACCTGTCGAGACAAAGGTGACTGTATTTGGCTTTTATCTAAGATGTTTAGTCTTCCTAGAGTGATGAGTACCATAACCACAGATGTCAAGTGGGAACTCAGGGCAGCCTGACAATCCTATCATATTCCCCTAGTCACTCTCCCAATCCTCAAGTCAACTATTTCACATCTCCCTCCTTGAATCTCTGAAGCCCCTCTCCCATTCTCACTCTGAGCTAACTTCCTTGCTCCTTATTTCACTAAGAAAATTAGAAGGAATCAGAGACTTTCCATCATCCCATTTAACATTCCACTCCATTCCCTCTGGTTCAATGAATAAACTGGTTCCTTTTGTGTACTGGAGCCCATCCCTTCTCATCTACTCAAAGATTTTGCTCCTAAAACTATCATCTTCTCCCTCAGGATTCTCCTTCTTTCCAGATCATTTCCATCAGTATACAAATATGCTATAATCTCTTTCATCTGGCAAGGGAAGGGCAAGGGAAGAAACCTCCCTTGACCACGTGGTCCCCTCAAGTTATTGCCCTCATTTCTTTCTCCACCCTCCTCTCCCCACTACCATCCTGATTATATCAAAATTCCTGGAAAGAGAAGTTTATACTCACGGTCTAGAAAAAAAAAAAAAAGCATGCCAATTGCCCTTGCTTTAAATTCATGATCACCAAACTCAAGCGGGTCTTGTTGTCCGCTTGAGTTTAGTGATTATCGCTGCCCAGAAGTCAAACTACATTTCCTGGTTCCATTCACTCTCCTAGTCTCCTGGAGGCCTTTTCCTACCTTCTCCTGTTTCTTCAAACCTCCAACACCTCCTCCCCCATCCTCATTCTCACATAATGAGTTGCCTTCTATTTCACAGAGAAAACAGAAGCAATTGGTAGATAATTTCCATAAGCTATCACAAACCACATCTATCCATCTACCTGCATCTGTGCCCATATATCTCCTATTATCATGAATGAATGGCCCACGCACCTATTAAGACAAACCCCCTCCATTTTTGACCAGATCCCATTTCTTTTTGCCTTCTCCAAAACACCACTCCAATAATTCTTCTCACTCTTGCATTAATTTGTCCATCTATAATTTCCTCTTCTGGCTGAGCCCAGTGGCTCACACCTGTAATCCCAGCACTTTGGGAGGCCAAGGCGGGTGGATCACTTGAGGCCAGGAGTTCAAGACCAACCTGACCAACATGGTGAAACCCCATCTCTACTAAAAATACAAAAATTAGCTGGGCGTGGTGGTGCACGCCTGTAGTCCTAGCTACTTGGGAGGCTGAGGCAGGAGAATCGCTTGAACCTGGGAGGCAGAGGCTGCAGTGGGCTGAGATCATGCCACTGCACTCCAGCCTGGGTGACAGAGTGAGACTCAGTCTCAAAAAAAAAAAAAAATCTTCTTCCATCTTAAAACCCCTCATTTCCTATTTCTCTGTTCCCCGTAGACATAAGAGTTGTCTGTTTTGGCTGGGCGCGGTGGCTCATGCCTGTAATCCCAGCACTTTGGGTGGCCGAGGCAGGTGGATCACTTGAGGTCAGAAGTTCAAGATCTACCTGACCAAAATGGGGAAACTCTGTCTGTACTAAAAATAAAAAATTAGCCGGGCATGGTGGCGTATGCCTGTAATCCCAGCTACTCAGGAGGCTGAGGCAGGAGGCAGGAGAATTGCTTGAACCCAGGAGGCAGAGCTTTCGGTGAGCCAAGATCATGCCATTGCACTCCAGCCTGGGCAACAAGAGTGAAACTCGGTGTCAAAAAAAAAAAAAAAAAAAAAAAAAAGAGTTGTTTTTTCTGTCTCTGGTTCTTCTTCTTCTTTTTTTTTTTTTCCAGATGGAGTCTTGCCCTGTTGCCCAGGCTGGAGTGCAGTGGCCCAACCTCAGCTCACTGCAAGCTCTGCCTCCCGGGTTCATGCTATTCTACTGCCTTAGCCTCCTGAGTAGCTGGGACTACAGGCACCCGCCACCATGCCCAGCTAAGTTTTTGTATTTTTAGTAGAGATGGGGTTTCACCGTGTTAGCCAGGATGGTCTCGATCTCCTGACCTCGTGATCCGCCTGCCTCGGCCTCCCAAAGTGCTGGGATTACAGGCGTGAGCCACCACGCCCAGCCTATCTCTGGATCTGCCATTCTCTCTTGAGCCCACACCAACCCAGGCACTTGCCATCACCACACCATTAAAACTGCTTCAGGCTGGGTGCAGTGGCCCAGGCCTGTAATCCCAGTACTTTGGGAGGCCGAGGCAGGAAAATCGCTTGAGTTTAGGAGTTTTAGACCAGCCTGGGCAACAGAGTGAGACCTCATCTCTACTAAAAATCAAAAAAATTGGCTGGGCATAGTGGCACGCACCTTTAGTCCCAGCCATCAGGGAGGCTGAGGAGAGAGGATTACTTGAACCCAGGAGATTGAGGATGCATTGAGCTATAATCACACCACTGCATTCCAATCTGAGCAACAGAATGAGACTCTCTCTCTCTAAAAAACAAAACAAAACAAAACCCTGCTGTATCCATTTACCAATGACTCACATATTGCTAAGTTAAATGGTAAACTCTTAGTTCTCATTTTATTTAACATATGGGCAGAAAAGTGCAACAGAGCTCAGATGGTTCTGAATCCTGCTACTGCTGAGGTTGCTTGAAATATGTGGCTGGCTGGGAAGGGTTTGACCTTATGGACCACCATGGGGAACATGCCTCCTACTTTTCTATTACCTCAGAACTGGTTTGGGAAATTCACAACGTGGGGCAGGGAGATTATGGGTAAAATACAGCATTCTCTTCGTCTCCTAGCAAGTCCACATCTACCTTGCTTACCCTGGTCTTTCTCATCCCAAATTCTATGTCCATTAATTCAGGGAACCCACAGTTCCTGAATCTCCAGTCACCCTTTTCCACAAGCTAAACAATCTTGAAAGACTTTCATTTGTCTCCAGAATGGTTCCCTGGTCCCAGTTTCTTCCTGGTTGATTTCACCTTGTTAATACATTCACTCAAACTGCTTGACACCTTTCTGTCCATCTGGTTTTAGCACTTCAACCATTCTGTGGTTCAAATCAGCCACATTCCTTGCCTGGTCCCTTAGCTAGGCCTTTAACAGCAACTATAAAAATGAACCTATTAATAGTCACACTTTTCATTCTTAACACTGTTACTATCATGATATTTTTAAGTCATTCACAATTTTTCCTTGAAGAACGATAGGTTTTTTTTTCCTCCTAGTGGGTGTGAGTGTATTAACATTCAACTCAAAAGGGCCCACTCAAGCTTTCCTTATTAGAGTCATAATGAAAACTCACAGAGGTGAGTCAACACGTGTAATCAAACATTCTGCCAGTCCCTGCCTCCTTCCTACCTTTTCCTCCTGATAAAGAATCAAAATAGAAAAATCAAAGAGGCAAATGGATGTGGGGAACATACTTTGGTCTATCCTTGACTTCAGAAACTCAGTTTAAGCCAGGTGCAGTGGCTCATACCTGTAATCCCAGCACTTTGGGAGGCTTAGGCAAAAGGATCACTTGAGCCCAGGGGTCTGAGACCAGCCTGGGCAATACAGTGGGACCCTGTCTCTACAAAAAATTAGTCAGGTGTATTGGCGCATGCCTGTAGTCCCAGGTACTTGGGAGGCTGAGGTGGGAGGATCACTTGAGCCCAGGAGGTTGAGACTGCAGTGAGCCATGATTGCACCAGTGCATTCCAGCCTAGTGACAGAGTGAGACTGACTCAAAAACAAAAAGAAACTCAGTTTATCAAGTATCCAAAGATGTTCAAATTCAGGAGGCTAACTCACACTAAGCAAATTCATAGTGCCTCAGTTTCCTCACCTATAAATGGAGACAATAATGTCTGCCTTATTGTAGAGACTTATTGTAGAGACTGCACAATAAGTAGAGACTTATTGTGGAGAGGCCGGGTGCGGTGGCTCACACCTGTAATCCCAGCACTTTGGGAGGCCGAGACAGGCAGATCACCTGCGGTCAGGAGTTCAAGACCAGCCTGGCCAACATGGTGAAACTTCATCCCTACTAAAAATACAAAAATTAGCCACATGTGTTAGCGGGTGCCTGTAATCCCAGCTACTTGGGAGGCCGAGGCATGAGAATCTCTCGAACCTGGGAGGCGGAGGTTGCAGTGAGCTCAGATCATGCCACTGTGCTCCAGCCTGGGCAACAGAGCAAGACTCTGCCTCAAAAAAAAAAAAACAAACAAACAAAAAAAGGTGTATTGTGGACATTAAATAAAATAATGTATGTAACGTACCTAAGACCTAGCACATAAAACTTTACAACAGATGATGGAGGAAAAGTTATAAATCATATGTAAGTTCACTATTTACATATAGAACATATACCTTTCCTGTGGCTAGAATATCTTTGTCCGCTACTCAAGACATACTTGCCAGGATAGGATACCTGGAAAACAATATTTTTAACCATAAGATTCCTTGAGGTACAAAAAACGCTGGCTGGCTTCAAAGGATATTTCATCTAGGCCCTGAAAGAGGCTGGTCAACTCACTACCCACAGAAGAGCACCCCGACCAGTGACCAGAACTCTCATGTCTACCAGTTGGGAGATTCCTGTCCCTCCCAGGCTCACCATTCCTCTTTCTAATACTGGTTGCTCCTGCAGATTCAGCCCAGCTTCCAGGGTTCATTTACCTTCTACTCTGGAGTCTTGAGTGCCCAAGCTTTCCCTTCTGTCCTGCCCAGGGAAGCACAATCCTGTATCAGTCCTTTCCTTTGCTGAATCTCTCTCAACACCAGCTTTGAACCTTGCTCTCCTATTTATTCTTTTTTTTTTTTTTTTTTTTTGACAGAGTTTTGCTCTTGTTGCCCAGGCTGGAGTACAGTGGGGCGATCTCGGCTCACTGCAACCTCCGCCTCCCGGGTTCAAGCGATTCTCCTGCCTCAGCCTCCTGACTAGCTGGGATTACAGGCACATGCGACCACACCCAGCTAATTTTTTGTATTTTAGTAGAGACGGGATTTCATCGTGTTGGCCAGGCTGGTCTCGAACTATCGACCTCAGGTGATCCACCCACCTTGGCCTCCCAAAGTGCAGGGATTACAGGCATAAGCCACTGTGCCAGGCCATCCTATTTATTCTTAGCTTCATACCTGACACTCCTCTTGGTCCAGGAGGGCCCTGTTCTTTATTCTAGACAAATTCCCTCTAATCTGGCCCTTCTTTGAGAAAACTCCTTGCCTTGTTGTATGAAAATCTTGTGTCAGCCTAGCTCTCACCATAACACAAGTCCAGGCACCCAGAACACTGTTCATTGACCGGAGTCACAGAGAAAATCTCTGCGAGATTTGGGTGGTAGGGAAAGATTATGCCTGTTCTTGTCTTGAGACAATTGAGACAAATGACCTCTCCTTGCCAGACTCTCCAGTGACTACCCTCTAGCCACAGACATGCTGACCTTCAAGCTGTGCACATCCAAAGGGCCTCACTCCAGCTTATCCCACTGCTGCCCTTATCATTTCCCTTCCCTGAGGAATTCACTAATGAGTCCTCAGAGTTGCTCTCATTTCCAATTCCAAATGAATTTCTTTAAAGAAAGGCTCAACCTTGAGTTTCTGGTGAAAGCTGAACTCGTCTTACTTACGTTCTCATTTCCTGGATCCTGTTAGAGGACACAAAAGGTAGTCTTCCCAAGCCTGGCTGGAATGTCTTCTGCTCAATCTCCTAGTCTCCTTGCCTCTCTGAGCTGCCTCTTTGGTGAACTACCTGTTAGGAGACAGCTGGAGATCCCATTCTTAGACTCCAGCAGAGGGCACTGTTGTTCTGGCTTTTCTTTACTTTTTTTTTTCTTTTTTTTTTTTTTTTTTTTCTTTTTTTGGAGACAGTCTCACTCTGTCGCCCAGGCTGGAGTGCAGTGGCGCAATATCGGCTCACTGCAACCTCTGCCCCCCCGGGTTCAAGTGATTCTCCTGCCTCAGCCTCCGGAGTAGCTGGGACTACAGGTGTGTGCCACAATGCCCGGCTAATTTTTGTATTTTTAGTAGAGACAGGGTTTTGCCATGTTGGCCAGGCTGGTCTGGAACTCCTGACCTCAAGTGATCCACCCGCCTCAGCCTCCCAAAGTGCTGGGATTACAGGCATGAGCCACTGTCTCCGGCTTTTCAAACAGGAGCATAAGTGGCACAATTCAACCAAGAATGAATTGGCCAGAGCCACTGAGCCCCTCTGCCTTTCCAAACGGATAAACCTTCTGAAGTTAGAGAAATGTACCTTGGGGCAGAGTGTGATGGCTCATGCCTGTAATCCAACCACTGTGTGAGGCCGAGGCAGGAAGATTATTTGAGCCCAGGAGTTCTAGACTAGCTTGGGCAACATAGCAAGACCCTTTCTCTACAAAAAAAAATTTTTTTAATTAGCCAGGCATGGTGGCACATGCCTGTAGTCTCAACTACTCAGGAGGCTGAGGCAGGAGGATCACTTGAGCCCAGGAGTGAGATGAGGTCTCACTCTGTTGCCCAGGCTGGTCTAAAACTCCTAAACTCAAGTGATTCTCCTGCCTTGGCCTCCCAAAGTACTGGGATTACAGGCCTGGGCCACTGCACCCAGCCTGAGGCATTTTTTTTTTTAGACGGAGTCTCGCTCTGTCACCCAGGCTGGAGTGCAGTGGTGTGATCTCGGCTCACTGCAAGCTCCACCTCCCGGGTTCACGCCATTCTCCTGCCTCAGCCTCTCGAGTAGCTGGGACTACAGGTGCCCGCCACCATGCCCGGCTAATTTTTTGTATTTTTAGTAGAGACAGAGTTTCACTGTATTAGCCAGGATGGTCTCGATCTCCTGACCTCGTGATCCACCCGACTAGGCCTCCCAAAGTGCTGGGATTACAGGCGTGAGCCACCGCGCCTGGCCTGTTTTTCGTTTTTTGAGGCAGGGTCTTGCTCTGTCACCCAGGCTGGAGTGCAGTGGCACAATCACAGCCCACTGCAGCTTCAACCTCCTGAACTTCAGCGATCTTCCCACTTCAGCCTCCCGAGTAGCTGGGACCACAGGCTCGTGCCACCATACCTCAGCCTCCCAAAGTGCTGGGATTATAGGCATTAGCCACCATGCCTGGCTGCAAATACCCTAATCTAGAAGGTAGATTTCTGGGAGGCACAAAGGTAGACTCTTTCTAAAAATTCTTCAGCCTGAAAACATTGTGGCCAATCAGCCCCAGTTGCAACAAACAGAGGCAATGGGCAAAGTAGTGAATAACTAAGATTGTGTGACCACCCCCGAGTCACAGGGAAACTTGTAATACTGAGAAATCTGCACCATTAATTTGGAGGGATGGAACATCCACTCAAGTACTTTTATATGACCCTACATGTCCTTCATAGTCTCTTCAAAGCATTAAAGGTGGTTTTATGGCAACCCCCAATTTGTGGCCCAGTTCTAGAAGCTATTTAGGGTATTTCATATCTACTTATCAACAAAGACCATGCAGAGCATGGCGTTAACTGGGTGGATGAAGGACCTCTGTTGTATCACCTACCGACAGAATAATTGATTCATCTACCTTACCACAGTGGAGTTTGGTTATAAAGAGCTCATTGCGTCCCTCTACCCAGAACATGCCCTTTCCCAGTAGCTGTGGCATGATTCTTTCCAAGCCCTTCGCCCTTCACCCCAGGTACCTTCCAAACCTTGGCAGCTTGGGGAAGTTATGGGTTATCAAGAATATCTCCCAGCTTGCCAAAAATGGATGCAAGGTATATGCCAATTGGTGCTTGATTCCATAGGAAGGCATCCAGGTGAGTGACACTGTCCAGCACACCTCCAAGCACACACTGACCATTCATATGGGAAGCCGGGACCATGCTACTTGGACATGTTGAGATAATAGAGAACATCATCTGCCTGTACCCTTGACAATCAGCCTGAGGCCTCGGGAACAGACAGATTTCCTAACTGTCACTTGAGCTCAGACCAATAACTATTCTCAGTCTAGACTGGCCACTAGGAATATGCTTGTTCTTTCTCCTCAGTTTCTTTCTTTTTTTTTTTTTTTTTTTTGAGACAGAGTCTTGCTCTGTTGCCCAGGCTGGAGTGCAGTGGTGTGATCTCAGCTCACTGCAAGCTCGGCCTCCTGGGTTCACGCCATTCTCCTGCCTCAGCCTCCCAAGCAGCTGGGACTACAGGCCCCTGCCACCACACCTGGCTAATTTTTTTTTTTTGTATTTTTAGTAGAGACGGGGTTTCACTGTGTTAGCCAGGATGGTCTCCATCTCCTGACCTCGTGATCCGCCTGCCTCGGCCTCCCAAAGTGCTGGGATTACAGGCATGAGCCACCGTGCCCGGCCTCCTCAGTCTATTTCTATTTGTCCAAGGACATCCTACCACCCCTACCTTGCCCAAATTCAAATACCGGCTCAATAATATTGCTTCCAGGAAATGGCCTCGTTGCTATAACCTGTGATGAAGTACAAATCAGCCCCATGGTTCAGTCCAGGCTTCCAGAACTTTATATGCTAACCAAGGCTTCAGTACTGTTGCTTCTCCAAGTCCTCAACTGTACAGGGAGGGGATTCAAACTGTGCCCCACTCTGGTGGTACCATTATTTCAGATAGAAAATGTTAAAAGAGATTTAATTGGAAGGCAAACGAGAGAGATGAGGGACAGAGATGATGAATGAGTGAGGCCAAGCCAGGAAGAAAAGAAAAAAGCAGGAGCTGGGGAAGAACTCCAGAATAGAAGTGGCATCTCCGCACTCCACCAGAGATTAGTCAGCAATCCTCGGCAATTTCCAAAGAGAATGGTAAACTGATCCAGTTCCTGACAAGCATCCATAATCATGAAAAATAAAAATTTGAGGAATGGGATGACTTCTGCTCCAGGAATACAGAATCGAGGCACTGAAAACGTCAGATGCAGAGATGGATTTTTTTTTCTTTTTTTCTTTTTTTTTTTTTTGAGACAGAGTTTCACTCTTGTCTCCCAGGCTGGAGTGTAGTGGTGTCATCTTGGCTCACTGGAACCTCCACCTCCGGGATTCAAGCGATTCTCTTCCCTCAGCCACCCTGGTAGCTGGGATTACAGGCGTGAACACTACTCCTGGCTAATTTTTGTATTTTTTATAGAGATGGGGTTTCACCATGTTGGCCAGGCTGGTCTCAAACTTCTGACCTCAGGTGATCCATCCTCCTCGGCCTCCCAAAGTGCTGGAATTACAGGCATGAGCCACGGTGCCCAGCCAAGAGCTGGATTTTACTCTGCATTTGAGACTGGCTGGAGGAGATAGGGAAAGGGGCCTAGCGCCTTTTTGGCTTGCGTGACAGAATGGATGGAACAGCCAAGAGACAGAAATCTTGAAGCCACCCTAAACAGCTTTCCTTTTCTCACTCCCTCACCAAGTCTTGCTCTTCTGAAAGACTTAAAAAAAAAATTAAATTTTTTTCAAACTCATCCTCCCTTGCTCAGGAGTCTGAGATGCAAGCCAAATCTAGCCTATTTAAGCAGAATATGAATGTATTAAAAAAAATATTGGCTGGGCGCAGTGCCTCACCCCTGTAATCCTAGCCCTTTGGGAGGCGGAGGCAGGTGGATCATGAGGTCAGGAGTTGGAGACCAGCCTGGCCAATATGGTGAAATCCTGTCTCTACTAAAAATACAAAAATGAGCCAGGCGTGGTGGTGAGCGCCTGTAGTCCCAGCTACTTGGGAGGCTAAGGCAGAAGAATCGCTTGAACCCAGGAGGCAGATGTTGCAGTGAGCCAAGATCACACCACTGCACTGCAGCCTGGGTGACAGAGTGAGACTCTATCTCAAAAAAATAAAAATAAAAATAAAATAAAATAAAATAAAAAATAAATATATATATGTATATATATGGGACCAGGTGCAGTGGCTCACGCCTGTAATCCCAGCACTTTGGGAGGCCGAGGCAGGAGGATCACATGAGGCCAGGAATTCAAGACCAGCCTGGCCAACATGGTGAAACCCCATCTCTACTAAAAATATGAAAATTAGCTGGGCATGGTGGCACACGCTGGTAATCCCAGCTACTTGGCAGGCTGATGCAGGAGAATCGCTTGAACCCGGCAGATAGATGTTGCAGTGAGCCAAGATCATGCCACTGCACTCCAGCCTGGGTGACAGAGCAAGACTCCATCTTAAAAAAAGAAAAACTATATATATGTGGGGCTGGATGCAGTGGCTCATACCTGTAGTCCCGGCACTTCGGGACGCTGAGGAGGGAAGATCGCTTGAGCCCATAAGTTCAAGGCTTCAGTGAGCTACGATTGCACCACTGTACTCCAGCCTGGGTGGCAGAGGGAGACCGTCTTAAAATACATAAATAAATAAAAAGAGAAAAGAAAATAAGAAAATGTTGGGAAGCACGTAAAAGCTGCAGTAGGAATGGAAAACTACACATGGTGGATAGTAACCAGAAGCAATGCTCAGAATCATGCCATAGACCTGGTCTGGCACAGACACTACTACATTCAATGCTGTGGTGGACACTACTGGCCCCAAGGATGCTGGGCCCTGAATACTGCTGCTGGAAACAGGATGCAGCTTCACTGCTGCCACCTCCCGTCACTAGCGGATAACTTTATATGGCCACTGCTTCCTTGCAACCTTCTTTGATTCAAAATCTGAAACGGATGTGTTTGATTGGCCTAGCCAAAATTCTTTGTCCATATCCTTGCTGAAAGAGAGGTTGGATAAGGAAGAACTAGTCTATTCAGCCTCTATTGTGAGATACAGGTTTTGCTTCATAGGGAGTGATTCCCAAACATAATGAATGCTAGGTAGCCACTATAATACACCACCTTACCAGCCCCATCTCCTGTCCTTCTCCTCTTCACCCAGCACTCGAGGCTCCAAATCAAATAGCTCTCTGATGCCTTTCTAATGCTTCTAAACACTTGTCATTCTGCTGTCTGAAATGCTCTTCCTGATTCTACTGTAACCTACCTCCTTCTTTTCCTCCAAGACTTAGCTCAAACATGACTTCCACTATTAGACCATTTGAAGTTCTGCAAATATGCCAATCCCAGGAAAGGAATGTCTACCCAGATAAGGGCCTTTTTCACTTGGACTAACCCTAAGTATGTGTCCAATATCCTGATTCCAGAAGTTGGCCTCTTAAAATCCAGGAGTCAGGGAGAAGCAAGAGAGTGGTAAGGGAGGTCTTGTGATCACTGTGTTCTCTCTCCCTCCCCTCTGTCACAGCCATGGTGATTGGATTCCTGAGGTCCTGAAAATTGGATGTGAGTGGCTAGGAGAGATCCCTGCTATGCATCTGGTTAGCATGGAGACCAGGGAATCAGAGAATCAAATAGTCATTTGCCAAGTACTCAGAACGAGTCTACTCTAATTTCAGACCAGAAGGAACCAGAGCCTACTAGGCTTCCCCCCATTATCTCAAAAGATGGGAATTATTCCGTGCACCAGAATAGCCACACAAGATACCACGAAGCTGTCCGGAAGGTGTTGTTGAAGACGTGTAAGTACCTTGGGGTGGGCATCATGCTAGGAGAAAAAAAGATATGTCTGAGTTCCTAAAGAATGGCTGGGATGAGGCCGGGCTTGGTGGCTCATGTCTGTAATCCTAGCACTTTGGGAGGCCGAGGCAGGCGGATCACAAGGTCAGGAGTTCAAGACCAGCCTGGCCAACATAGTGAAACCCCATCTCTACTAAAAATACAAAAATTAGCCGGGCATGGTGGTGCATGCCTGTAGTCTCAGCTACTCAAGAGGCCTTGAAGCCGGGAGTTGGAGGTTGCGTGAGCCAAGATCGTGCCACTGCACTCCAGCTTGGGCAACAGAGTGACACTTTGTCTCAAAAAAAAAAAAAAGAATGGCTGGGATGTGGTTGGGTATGGTTATCAGGCAGGAAGAAAAAAAAAGAGCCAAGAGAAGAGACTGAGAGGAAGAGGGAGAAAGTAGACTTGGTGGGGTAAGCACGATATGATAAAATGAAAAAAAAAATTTTTTTTTGAGATGAGTCTTGCTCTGTCACCCAGCCTGGAGTGCAATGGGGCCATCTCAGCTCACTGCAACCTCTGCCTCCCAGGTTCAAGTGATTCTCTTGCCTCAGCCTCCTGAGTAGCTGAGATTACAGGTGCCTGCCACCATACCTGGCTAATTTTTGTATTTTTAGTAGAGGTTGGTTTGTCCAGGTTGGTCTCAAACTCCTGACCTCAGGTGATCCACCCACTTGGGCCTCCCAAAGTGCTGGGATTACAGGCGTGAGCCACCATGCCCATCAATGAAATGAAATTTGAATTAGACTTGGAAGCAGAAGATGTTTGAGTCCTAGTTCTGCCTCTTTTTTGATGTTTCACCTTTTCTTTTCTTTTCTTGGAAACAGGATCTCATTCTGTCACCCAGGCTGGAGTGCAGTGCTGCAATCATAGCTCACTGCAGCCTCGAACTCCTGGGCTCAAGTGATCTTCTTGCCTCAGTCTCCTGAGTAGCTGGGACTACAGGCATGCACCACCAAGCCTGGCTAATTTTTTAAAAACATTTTTGTAGAGAGGGAGTCATGCTATGTTGTCCAGGCTGGTGTCAAACTCCCAGGCTCAAGTGATCCTCCCACCTCGGCCTCCCACAGTGCTGGGATTACAGGTGTGAGCCACCACACCCAGCCCATTTACCCTTTATCAACCTACTCCCTCATTGGTTTTGCTGTTGTTGTTGTTTGTTATTGTTGTTTTGAGGCAGATTCTCACTCTATCGCCCAGGCTGTAGTGCAGTGCTACGATCTTGGCCCACTGCAACCTCCGCCTCCCTTGTTCAAGTGATTCTTGTGCCTCAGCCTCCTGAGTAGGTGGGACTACAGGAGTGCACCACCACCCCTGGCTAATTTTTGTATTTTTAGTAGAGACAGGGTTTCACCATGTTGGCCAGGCTGGTCTCGAACTCCTGATCTCAGGTGATCCATCTCCCTCGGCCTCCCAAAGTGCTGGGATTACAGGCGTGAGCCGCCACTTAGGGCCCCTCATTGGTTTAAAGGCAGGATGTTGGGGAGAGAAAATGCCTGAGCTATTGTTTTACTAATCTTTCAAAATTATTGGGAGAAAAAAGTATATTGTATATTATCATGCATTATCCCTTTGAGGAATAGTAAGCACAAGCTTTGGCATTTTATTGAACTGGGTTTAAACTGCAAACGAATTCTGTGACTTTAGGCAAGTTCCTTTAACCACAACCTCTCTGAACCATCTGGAAATGGGAATAATACTTTTTAGCACTATTGTCAAGAGAGAACATGTACATTTTAAAAAGCATGTAGCCAGCCTGGGCAACATGGTGAAATCCCATCTATAAAACATACACCTGGGCACAGTGGCTCATGCCTGTAATCCCAGCACTTTAGGAAGACGAGGCGGGCGGATCACTTGAGGTCAGGAGTTCGAGACCAGCCTGTCCAACATGGCGAAACCCCATCTCAACTAAAAATACAAAAAAATGTTAGCCGGGCATAGTGGCAGGCGCCTGTAATCCCAGATACTTGATAGGCTGAGGCAGGAGAATCGCTTGAACCCAGGAGGCAGAGGTTGCAGTGAGCTGAGATGGCACCATTGCACTCCAGCCTGGGGGACACAGCGAGACTCCAAAAAAAAAAAAAAAAAATCGCAGGGCATGGTGGTGCTCGCCTGCAGTCCCAGCTATTCAGGAGGCTCAGGTGGGAGAATCACTTAAGCCTGGCAGGTCAAGGCTGCCATGAGCTGTGATAGTGCTACTGCACTCCAGCCTGGGCAACAGAGCAAGACCCTGTCTTTAAAAAAAAAAAAAAAGCATGTAGGACATCAAAGCATGATGTAAGCTGATAAAAAATACAAATAAAAATAAACATCACATAGCGTATGATGCCATTTATATAACATTCTTTTTTTTTTTTTTTTTTTTTTTTAGATAGGGTCTCACTCTGTTGCCCAGGCTGAGTACAATGGTGCAATTATAGCTCACTACAGTCTCAAATTCCTGGCTCAAGTGATCTTTCCACCTCAGCCTCCTGAGTAGCTGAGACTACAGGCATGTGCCACTATGCCCAGCTCTTTTTTTTTTTTTTTAATAGAGACAAGGTCTGGCTATCTCCCACACAGCGATCCTCCTGCCTCAGCCCCACAAAGTGCTGGAATTACAGGTGTGAGCCACCATGCCAGGCCTTATAATACTCTTATATGACATTCTTATATAACACTCTTATAACATTCTTTTTTTTTTTTTTTTTTTTTTTTTGAGACGGAGTCTCTCTCACTCTGTCTCCCAGGCTGGAGTGCAGTGGCGCGATCTCGGCTCACCACAAGCTCTGCCTCCCGGGTTCATGCCATTCTCCTGCCTCAGCCTCCCGAGTAGCTGGGACTACAGGCGCCTGCCACCATGCCCGGCTAATTTTTTGTATTTTTAGTAGAGACAGGGTTTCACCGTGTTAGCTAGAATGGTCTCGATCTCCTGACCTCATGATCCGCCCACCTCGGCCTCCCAAAGTGCTGGGATTACAGGCGTGAGCCACCCCGCCCAGCTTTTTTTTTTTTTTTTTTTTTTTTTTTTTGAGACGGAATCTTGCTCTGTCGCCCAGGCTGGAGTGCAATGGTGCGATCTCGGCTCACTGCAACCTCTGCCTCCCAGGTTCAAGCGATTCTCCTGTCTCAGCCTCCTAAGTAGCTGGGATTACAGGCACCCGCCACCATGCCTGGCTAATTTTTGTATTTTTAGTAGAGACGAGGTTTCACCATATTGGTCAGGCTGGTCTTGAACTCCTGACCTCAGGTGATCCACCTGCCTCGGCCTCCCAAAGTGCTGGAATTACGGGCGTGAGCCACTGCATCCGGCTCTTATAACATTCTTAAAATGACAAGATTACAGAAATGAAGAACAGATCACTGATTTCCAAAGCGGGGCAGTGGGGGAGGGTGGCTATAAAATGCCAGCTCCAGGATGGGTGGTGATGGAACTGTTCTGTATCAATATATTCAATATATTAATATCATGTTGTGGTAGTGTCCCATAGTTTTGTAAGCTGTAACCATTGTGGGGAAGAGTAAAAGGTACACATGATTTCCCTGTTTTTGTTTTTGTTTTTAATAGAGACAGGGTCTTGCTATGTTGCCCAGGCTGGTCTTGAACTCCTGGGCTCAAGTGATCCTCCCAAAGTGCTGGGATTACAGGCATGAGCCACTGCACCTGGTTTCCCCGTATTATTCATTACAACTGTATGTGAACCTATAATTATAACAAAATTAAAGTTTAAAACCTAAAATACTTTCAGAAATCAAAACAGGCACATGTGGAAAGAGGGGTAGTAAGTTATTTCTAATAGCAAAACTTTAACATTTTTCCATTTTTATCTATTCGAGACAGAATCTTGCTCTGTTGCCCAGGCTGGAGTGCAGTGGCACAATCATGGCTCACTGCAGCCTCAACAACCTCCCAGGCTCAAACGATCCTTCCCACCTCAGCTTCCTGAGCAGCTGGTACTACAGGCGTGCACCATCACACTGGGCTAATTTTTGTATTTTTTGTAGAAATGGGGTTTCAACATGTTGCCTGGGCTGGTTCTGGAAGTCCTGGGCTGGAGTGATCCATCTGCCTCTTAAAGTGCTGGGATTACAGGTGTGAGCCACTGCACCCAGCCTCTAATAGCAAAACTTTTTAATAGCTTATTATTAATTAATAGAAAAATAAGCCAAAAATGTAACATCTACTCAATGAATTATTAGGGATTTTAAAAAAATTATTATAAACACTATATAGCAATCCAGAATATTAGGCTATAATTCTAAGTTTTAAAAATATACAAATTTTATACTGGTAGAATTAGACTTATCCAAATAAATAGTAAAAGTACTTTTTTTTTTTTTTTTTGAGACAGTCTCGCTCTGTCGCCCTGGCTGGAGTGCAGTGGCACGATCTCAGCTCACTGCAACCTCCATCTCTCGGGTTCAAGCAATTCTCCTGCCTCATCCTACTGAGTAGCTGCGATTACAGGCACCCCCCACGATGCCCTGCTAATTTTTGTATTTTTAGTAGAGATGGGTTTCACCATGTTGGCCAGGCTGGTCTCAAACTTCTGACCTCAAGTAATCCACCTGCCTCGGCCTCTAAAAGTGCCGGGATTACAGGCATGAGCCACCTCACTCGGCCAAAAGTACTTTTTTTTTTTTTTGAGATGGAGTTTCCCTCTTATTGCCCCAGCTGGAGTGCAGTGGCACAATCTTGGCTCACCGCAACCTCTGCCTCCTGGGTTCAAGTGATTCTCCTGCCTCAGCCTCCTGAGTAGCTGGGATTACAGGCATGCACCACCACGCCCGGCTAATTTTTGTATTTTTTTTTTTAGTAGAGACGGGGTTTCTCCATGTTGGTCAGGCTGGTCTCGAACTCCCGACCTCAGGTGATCTGCCTGCCTCGGCCTCCCAAAGTGCTGGAATTACAGGCGTGAGCCACCGTGCCCAGCCCAAAAGTACTTTTTCAAACAGCATCAAAGTCTGATATTATTACAAAAATTTAAGAATATTTAATACCACATTTAGAACATAATAGGCACTAGATAAATTACATCTATTAATAGCATCTAAATGTGAGGTGGTATTAGTTAGGTTTCAGAGAATTACTTGGAGTGAGCAAAGGAAGCCATTTTTTCCAAGAGGAGGGAAGAGAATGAGGATGATTAAGCCAAGAAGAAAGAAAAATAATAGATCAGTGGACCCCATCTTACACATTTCCCAAGTGGGTTGACCACTTGTTTTTCTACCATCTTAGCACTTGGGGAAAGCTCTCTTGGAGATGGGCTTACTAGCAGCAGGAAGAACCAAGACTGATTCATTTGACCATGAAGGGTGTGAGATGCTAGAATCCGGAAGTGAAGCAGGGTGTGGTGACCACACTCCCAGGACCTCTCAGCACCTGGTCCGGCCAAGCAGTTGCTGGGCTGGGCTGGGCTATTGCTGCCCTGAGGCAGAACAGTGAGCAGAGAACTTGAAGGAATTAGATAACCTGCCCTTCCCCCCACCCATTCAGTTCCCAATCAGGTCTTCAGAATCCCCTTGACTGATGCTCAGAACTTCAGCTTCTGGTGGTCCCATGATCCAGGAGTGCGTCCAGAGGAAACCATGCCATGGATCCGGAGCCCACGCCATTGTCTCATAAAAAGCGCGATGACCAGGTTAGGCTGGGAGGGGTAAGGGTGGGGAGGTCAAGGGAAGTACTCCTTCCCTTCACTTTAATTCTTAGAGATTATTTCATCTCCGGTCAGTTAGGGAATTAGGAGAGATTTGAGTCTTACCAGAGAAAACTGGCCCCAGAATTTGGGCCGTGATGACATTCAAAGGAGTTAGAGATTTGTCTGTGTCTTTGTGTTCCTCTTTGTGGGTGTGACTTCTGAGCTAGTGCAAAACAAGTGTCCATAGTAATCCTGTGGCAGCCCAATGCTGCCTTCGTCGCTACCTCTCCACCCCTCAAATCACCATCCATTGGCAGTAGCCTCTGCCACCCAGGTTCAAGCAATTCTCCTGCATTAGCTCCCGAGTAGCTGGGATTACAGGCACCCGCCACCGTGACCGGCTAATTTTTGTATTTTTAGTAGAGACGAGGTTTCACCATCTTGGCCAGGCTGGTCTTGAACTCCTAACCTTGTGATCCACCCGCCAGGGCCTCCCAAAGTGCTGGGATTACAGGCGTGAGCCACCGCGCCCAGCCTCTTGGGAGCTATTTTTAAGGATCTCCTGCTCTCCAGCCTGGCCTGGCTGAATCTCTCTCTGAATCTCTTCTTTCCAGGTTTATGGATCACTCTATTCTCAATGACAGGACCTTCAGTCTGTATTAAGAAGATATGGCTGCAGAAAGACAAGATGAATTGTGGCAAGAGTGCAGAGGGGGAAAGAAGGAGGTTTCCCAGTTCCGATGGCTGACTAATGGGAGGAGGAGATGGAGAAAGCACAGTAAACAGACTGGACTAAAAGTTGCTTGTGTGCACGGGGGGAGCTGTGGGGTCAGGATGGGAGTGATTCCAGTGTCCAGATTGTTGTGAGAGCTGCTGTGTGGGAGATTCCTGAATAAGCCAGACCTTGGAGTGAGAGGTCTGTGAGGGGCCAAGGCACTGGAAAGAACCGCCGGCTTCATGCATGGCAGGGGTCACACACAAATCTGGGAAGGCACACACTGGAGCTCATGATGCTGAAAGGCCTTGAGTAGTCACACTCTGAAGATACTGCAGCTTCTCCTTAGCAGGGAGAAAGCCACAGGAAGTCCTCTGACCACAGACAAGAGGCCCACGGAGCCCTGGGGCAGGAGGTCGCCTCCTACACCAGGCTCTGTCACTTCTGACCCACCCAGGGCCCAGAACAGCTACAGAGAACAGAGAATTTTACAAAGAGTTTGATTTTATTGATATTTAAATATATTAAATATTTCACTGAAATACATGGTTCACCATCCTCCCCCACCCCCACAGTGGTTACATTATAAAACCAAAGCCCACGGCCTCCCACCTCCTGACTCCTCTACCAACTGGGTGAGGAAAGGGACAATGGTAGCCCAGGGGAAGGGCATGGCTGGCACTGTGGTACGGGGATCCAGGGTGTGGACAGGCCCTCCCACCTGGCAAGAAGCAGAGACAAGCCACCCAAGGCTGAGGTCTTCCCACTCTGATCTACTTATACCCTCACCCCTACCCCATGGCACCAAGTAGTCTCTTCCTATCCCTTCCTATCCAGGGATATGGCTGGGGACAGGGGAGTAGATTTTCTGTCTGGAAAACAAGTCTTTTCCCCTCCTTCTGCCATGACTAATGAAGTACCTGATGGCCCATTTGGTTGATGCATGAAGATGCCCAAGGGAGGCATTACCCAGAAACCAGGCCTCCACAGGGAGCTGGTGTCAGAAGGGGCATGAGGAGGGGCAAGTGCACTGCCTGCCCCTTCCACTCCCAAACCTAGCAACTCTGGAAACCCTTCTCCTCTGCCTCTCTAGTCATTTCCAAGACAAAGTGATCTTCAAGCAAAATTCAGGCTAGTGCCTTTGGCTTAAATAGGTACAGACAGAGAAACTGAGGCACCAACAAATTCAGGCCAGAGTCAAGGAGGTTGCAGGGAAAGGGGTAAAAGGAAGGCAAAGACAGGAAGGGAATCTAGAGTTCAACCTCCTAACCCTTCTGCCAGCCCTCAAGGCTTCACAAGGGACTGGGGAGCTAGAAACATGCTAGACTCAGGCTGAAGGCTGGGGAAAGCCAAGTTTAAGGTTCCTCTTCCCCACCCCGTAGTACCAGTATCCAGGTCCTCAGAGGGATTCCATGCTACCCCAGCCCCAAAGCATACCATGTCCCAGGACACTATCTGGGGAAGCCAGGAAATTCCTCAGCCTCTGTCCATCAAACCCCAGACAGTTCAAGTGCTGGCATGGAGCACTGGGGCTTAAGCAAGCGCTTGGGTCCCTGCCACAGACAGGGAGAGTCATGCTGCACACATGGCCCCCGAACGGCACTTAGGGATTTGGCACAAAAAGGACTCCTCTCCCTCCTTTTGCTACCACACCCCATCCCACTCCTGTGCAACCTGGGCATCTCTCTACATCCCCTGAAGTAGGAAACCCTGCTTTATTCCCAGAAGACAGAGGCCCACAGGAGAGAGGCAACCTGGGGTGGAGAGCTGAGGAGCAGGAGCACAAGGACTCACATAGACCTGGAAAACAGATATGCACACAAAGACCAACATGCACACACAGTTACACAAACACACGGGCCCTCCCCAACACCAGAGACTTGGGAGGGCAGGTTTGGGATCAGGGTCACCTTTCTCCATGCCCTGACCCTTTTCTATTTGGCAACAGAAGAGGAAGAGATGCTCCATGCCCCCTTGTCAGCAGACAGCAAGAGAGCACTGGGGCAGAGTGACCTGATCTGGACCCCGACGGGGTCCTCAGATCAGAGTCTGGCACTGCCCCAGCCCTGGCCGGCCTGCTCTTTGGCACCTGCAGGTGAACTTCCAGCTCCTGACCTGACATCCCCACACACAGGCTTGCTCTCTGAGCATTTTTCACAGTACCAGTGAGGCCAGACACCCCGTTCCCTGGAGCGTGCAGGAACTGGGGCTAAATCTAAGCTGTCAGAGGTCCCTTTGTTCCCCTTTGGGGACAGATCATGGGACTAAGATTTGGCACATGGAAACATTCTCCTGAAATATGGCCAAAGCTGGCTCCCCAGAGCTTCTCCCTCCTCTGCTCTGTGCATAGGAGGGACACCTGGCTGGGGTGGGGAAGTGCCCAGGACCAGTGCTGGGGATGCAGGTATTGCAAAGGCAAGCATGGAATAGGCACTCCTCATGCCTGTCTTTGTACAAAATATTGTACAAAATATTCCCAGGAAAAAAGAGGGAAAAGAAGGGCTCAGCCCTGAACCTGCTGCCCAGACAGACAGGGAAGGGTAGGCATGGCAAGCTGCCATTTTAATCCCTCAGGCAAGAGGCCTCCCTCTGCTTCTGCTACTGACCCCTCCCCTGCTCCCAAAGGCTGGAAGATTGGAGAGGGAACAGCCCTACCCCAAGTAAGAAAGAAAGTCACTTGCATAATCCTCTCGGTAGGTAGCCCCTTGTTTTCCAGCTTGAGGGCAGACGAGCATGATCCAAGCACAGCCTGCTGGGATGTTCCCTTTTGTGGTTAGCAGGGTCTGGAGGCTCAGTGCCCCCTGCCACAGCTCCACCCAGTGAGCACAGAGTCCACTCAATGCCCACCTTGGTCCCTTCAGCTGAATTTGTGGCTGGGCCCTGTTAACTGCTGGGGCCCCCATTGAGGAAGTAGGTGGTCATCTCCCCCTTGCCCTTCACCTTGACCACCCCTCGACACTCCAGCTGGTAGCCCTTGGCAGCTAGAACCTGGTACAGGTCCGTGGTCACCTGGGGGAGTGGGAGGGGAGCCCGCTTAGCCTGGAATCCTTCCTGCTGCATTTGCAGGGGCCCAGGGGTTCTCTAGTCAGGCTAGCTCCCTTCCCCCAGTCCCTGCCCCACCATACACAGAACACTAGCCACCCTACCCCTGTCCTAGCAGACTGCAGAGACACCTGTGGAAGCCCTCCGGGCCCATGTTCCTCCCAGCCCCTGCTCATATCCCCCTCACCTGGATTCGGTCGGGGACCCCCGTGCTGTCCATACGACTAGAGACATTCACTGTGTTCCCCCAGATGTCATACTGTGGCTTCCGAGCCCCGATGACACCTGCCACGACTGGGCCCATGTTCAGCCCTGAGGTGGAGAGAACAGCAAGAGACTAGTGGATGCTCCAGGGTAAACCCAGGGAGTCATCCCACCTCCTGGCACTGGTAGAAGGACCCAGAGAAAAAAATGGAAAAAGGACAAGTCTCCTGGTTGTAAAGAACAATCTAGTTCAAGACGAGCCTGGCCAACATGGTGAAACCCTATCTTTACAAAAAAAAAATACAAAAATTAGCTGGACAATGGTGGTACATGCCTGTAGTCCCAGCTACTTAGGAGGCTGAGGTGGGAGAATAGATTGATTGAGCCTGGGATTTGAGGCTACAGTGAGCTGTGATTGTGCCACGGCACTCTAGCCTGGTACAGAGCAAATCCCCATCTCAAAAAAAAAAAAAAAAAAAAACCCAAAAAACAAATAAAAATACCCAAAGACCTGAGCACCTCAGTTTAGGAGCTCCCCTGAGTCAAGACAGCCATGCTATAACAGTAATCTCCTGAATGCCTATTCCATGTCAACCACTCTAGTAAGCATTTTACCTGGCTTCATCCTTTCTTTTCTTTTTTTTTTTTTTTGAGATGGAGTCTTGCTCTGTTGCCCAGGATGGAGTGCAGTGGCACAATCTCAGCTCACTGCAACCTCTGCCTCCCAGGTTCAAGAGATTCTCCTGCCTCAGCCTCCCGAGTAGCTGGGATTACAGACATGTACCACCACACCCAACTAATTTTTGTTTTTTTTTTTTTTTTGGGGGGGACAGAGTCTCGCTCTGTCACCCAGGCTGGAGTGCAGTGGCACCATCTCGGCTCACTGCAAGCTCCGCCTCCCGGGTTCACACCATTCTCCTGCCTCAGCCTCCCGAGTAGCTGGGACTATAGGCGCCCACCACCACACCCGGCTAATTTTTTGTATTTTTAGTAGAGACGGAATTTCACCGTGTTAGTCAGGATGGTCTTGATCTCTTGACCTCGTGATCCGCCTGCCTCGGACTCCCAAAGTGCTGGGATTACAGGCGTGAGCCACTGCGCCCGGCCTAATTTTTTTTTTTTTTTTTTTTTCAGTAGAAAAGGGGTTTCACTATGTTGGTCAGGCTGGTCTTGAACTCCCGACCTCATGATCTGCCCACCTCGGCTTCCCAAAGTGCTGGGATTACAGGCATGATCCACCGCGCCCGGCATGGCTTCATCCTTTCAACACCTCTAAAAGGTAGGTATTATTATCCCCATTTTATAGATAAGGTAACTGAAGCTTAGAGAAGTTAGAAGACTTCTCAAATAAGCCAGTAAATGGAGCAGCCAGAATTCAAACCAAATAGTCCATCTCTAGTAGCCATGCTATTAACCACTCCCATCCACCAGTTCATTTGAGAGGAAATACCTCTTATTGGACTGGTCACAGATAAGGACAGAAGTATTCAAGTTTATATAAACCTGATTTTTAATCCCAGCTCTGCCACTTACTAGTTGTTTGACCTTGGGCAAGTTATTTAATCTCTCTGAGAGTCAGTCTCTATCCAATGAAAGGCGATAATAGTATCAGGATTAAAATATGCTCAAAAATTTATAGGACAGTGCCTAATGATCTCTGTTCTTAATATCAGACTTGATATAGGAGGTCAGAGGGAAGAAAACCCCACAGGAGCCCTGATGGGAAATCTGTGATCCCATCCCCAGCCTATAATCCCAGCTTCACCTGGAAAAAGTCCTGGGAAAACCCGCCAAGCAACAAAGCCCTCTTACCAATCTTCATCTGGAAATTGTTGAAGGAGTGCTCATTGATGTGCTTCATCTGCTCCATGAGCCGCATGGCGTAGTCAGCCAGGGCAGTGATGTGGGAGCGGCCCACCTGATCGTAGGTGCTGGCGTTCAGCCCTGAGGCAGCCATGTAGGTGCTACCAATCGTCTTGATCTTTTCCAGCTGCCGGAACCGCTCCTCGCTGATAATCTGAACAACACAAGGAGACCTGGCTGTCAAGGCAAAGACCCCAGACCCAGCCCTGCCCCAACACTCATTTCTTGCCACGCCTTGGCTGCCTTCCCCACTTCCCTGTCTCAAGAGCCCCCTTCCAGCTGCTGCTATCAGTGTAAGACTGAGGAGCTGGGAAAACAGGCAGCCTAGGACTCCAGGCAGGACTTGGGCATACAGCTTCAGAAGGTCCCTCCAGTAGCTCACTCACAGAACACAGACCCACAAGTGCAATATTAAGCAATTTCTCCAATCCTTACCTTTTGGGATACTGAGTCCCAGAGTGAGCAAGTGACTTCCCTCCAGAACAGTGAACAGCCCATTCCTGATCTGGATGTTCAGGACACTACCTCACATTTTGCTTCAATTTTCTCTATTCAGAGGACCATCTTGCTTGGTTGGTCTCATGAGGTTCTGTCCACAGACTATTGCCTTCTTCTTCAGTGACATCCACCTGGTACCTATCCTATCCCCCTACAGATCAAGTCCTCCCCTGCTCCCCAACAGTGATGACCCTGCCCCACTAGGGCTGACCCCCTTGCTGCCTCTGACACCTTCATGGGTTCTTGCCTCTGCCTCCACTGTGCATACCCTTACCCCTGATGACTCTGGGTCCCATCAAATCTCTCTCTCTCTTCCCAGTTCCACTCACCCATTCCAATCCCTGGTCTCCAAGTACCCCCCACTCTCTGCCACCACCAGCCAACTGGAAAAGTACCTCATCAAAGTCAGCGATGATCTCGTTGAGCAGCCGCAGGCACTCGACACCCTCATTGTTTGCCTCCAGCTCCACATAGAACTCAGAGAAGTTGGCAATGGAGGCAAACATAACAGCCACACACTCACACGACTGATAGTAGAGTTCATCATTGCGGCGCTCCCGGGCCAGGAAGTGGGCCGCCACGTCCTTGGGCAGAATGTTATGCAGCAGCCTCCGGTTGTATGCCTGTAGCTCCTCCATCTCCTCCTTCTCCCCTGTTGCCTGTGGACACCACACCCATCACCCATTGCCCGACATTCACAAGGGGTAGGTGTGGTGGCCAAGGCTTGGAAGTGCGGATAAGAGGGAATCACATAGAGAAAGAAAGGCCCAGACAGATGAGGCCTAAAGAACAGGCAAAGGGGTAAAGGGGGCAGGTAGAGGATGGGGCAGGGAGTAAGGGATGGGCACAGAGAAGGAATGGAACCAGGGTGGGCCTAGGTGTGGCCTGAGCCTTAGCCAGCTAGCACAAGATACATTTCTGGCCTGGCCCAGGCTCCGCCCCTAGGTTCCTCCTCTTCCCCCAAAGGCCCACACAGTCACCTGTAGTTTCCAGAGGAAGTCTAGGCGGGCAGTCGACTCCACCTGCTGAGCATGCAGATACAGCGCCAGCGCAAACACCAGCAGAATCACAGGGGTCATATATTTGAGGGCCACCCTCCCTGCAGCTGGACTAAGGATAAGCAGAGACATGCTTGGTGTCTGAAGGAGGCATCTAATGGCTCTACCCTTTGCTGCCTCGGAGCCCTCACTTACCAGTCCAGCCCATCAAAGGTCTCATTGGAAGAAGCCCTGGTAAGAAGATAGAAGAGACAAAGTCATCAGTGCTTCCTGGATTGCTGGGTGGGCACATGGAAGGGGAGACAAGAGACTGCATTTACTGAGCACATACTGTAAGTCAGGCATTGGGCCAGGGCTTTTACTTACATTAATTAACTCATTAAGAGTAGAGGTTAAGAAAACCTCTGCTCTTAGAGACTCCTCTACTTACCAGCTATGTGACCTGAGACAAGTCGCTTAACTCTCTAAGCCTCCTTCCTCATCAGTACAACAGGGATCAGATCTAAATAATGTATGTAAAAGGCTTAGCACAGTGCCTGCCATATAGTCAGCCTTCCATAAATGTTAGTTACTATAATCTTTACAACTACCCTGTGATTTAGGTGACATTGCCATTTTACAGATGAAGAAATTGAGGCTCAGAGAAGCTAACTCACCTGTCTAAAGTCACACAGCTAATGAGCAGCAGAGCAGGGATTCAAACCCAGCAGAGACCAGAGGCTTTTTCTACTACAACAAGCTATGGCCACATATCAAAGGAATGGGGTTTTGCAGAGGAAAAGCCAGTGTGGTGTCCCAGGCAAAGCCCCCAAGCAGGAATCAGAAGCTTTGGTTCCTAACCAGAGCCCTGCCACCAAGCAGCTGTATGTCCTATAGGTGGTTAAGATGGTGGATGTGAAAGCACCATGCAAATGTAAGAGGGAATTTTTTTTTTTAATGTCTAGCCTAAAGACACAAGGATTTCCCAGGACTAGGGTTTCCTTGGGGGTAACTATTTGGGGTCACATGCTGGGAGCTCCTCCATCTCCTCCCTTTCCCCCACAGGGGTGTTGTGGCATTCCAAGGCACAAGGGGCATGGGCACCAGAGAGGCTCACAGTGACCTAGAAAGGTGAGGGAAGCTCCTGGGGTATTAAAGGACCTGAGAATAAACTCACAAGCCATGGACGCCAAGCAGTAGGTCATAGTTGTCAAAGATGGTGGCTGGGGGACCCAGCAGAAGCAGCACCAAATAGATGAGCCCCAAGACAAAGATCATGGCCAACTTCCCGATGCTGCTGATGTGCAGGAAGACAGAGCTGGCCAAGAGACTCAGCAGCATGTTCCCGATGAAGTACTGCGGGGGTGGCAGAGGCAGCGTTGGGTGAAGGCAGAGGCCACAGCACCCTTGGGCAGGGAGAGCCCTGCACTCTCCTGCCTGACCTAACCTTCCCACCACACCCCTCAAACCCCCATATCCTCCACCTTCCATGCCCAGCCCCTACAACACACCAGGGCCCCTGGTTGCTCCTAGTGTGGGAGACTCTGGTGAGTTCCTGGGTCCCCAGCGCCCATCACCAGGCCTGGCACAGAAGGGCCAATGTCTGTGCCAGGACAGCCCCCCCACCGCCTGAGCACTGCTCGAACACCTCAGGAAAGCTGCAGGTGGGCATGGTGCCCTCACACAGGGGAGCATCCAGGCCCAGAGAGTAATTGAGCTGCTGCAGGTGGCAGGCAGTGATGTCAGCAGGTGTTAAATTCAGCATCCGGGCTGCACAGCTCCGTATGGGGGTGTGGTTACAGGTGAACTGCAAAAGTGGAGGGGTATATCAGGGTAACCAAGGAGGGAAAGGGTTGCAAGGTACCTGGTGAAGCCATGTACCCTAACCTGGGCTATGCCCAGGTACCTTATACCCCATGGGCCTTAGTACTCACTCAGGGATGACAAGAGGTTGGGAGAACAAGGAAGGAGAACCGGAGTTAACCTTCCCCTATTCTGGGAGGGGGCTCCCTGAGGGCAGAAAATATGTCCTTTTCTCCGCTGTACTCCCAGTGTCCAGGACAGTGCTTGGCACAGAGCAGAGGTGGGAGAATTCCCACTGGACCCTTACCATGTTGGCAATGGCAGAAGTAAACACAAGCAGGACGGAAAAGATGCCAACTGCGGTGCTATGTGCCCGTGAGCGGACAATGCTGCGGGACAGACGTTGCAGGGCCTTAGGGAACAGCTAGAGGCATCAAGAGACCAAGAGTTGAAGGTTGTATCAGCCAAGGAGGAATGGCAACCAGGGATGGGGCCCAGTGGAAGAGGCATGGCCTTCTCCCTCTCCCCATGTGACCTCCTCCCTGTCTGGAGTCCAGCCTGCCCTCCCCAACAGCCTCAGAAATCCCCTTACGTACAGAACCACAGGAGTACACAGCACAGATCAGCACGGTGATTAGCAGCAGCAGGAAGATGCTGGCATAGATCCCAAGCATCAGGGTGGAGCTGGGGCAGAACAGGGCCAGAAAAATCATTTAATTCTGGAAGATCTGGGCATTCTTGTCCCACCCTCTGGAACAAGCAGGGATGCAGGCTCCAGGGATTGTGGGCTTGTGTGGGTATTTAGGAAGCTTCTGGGAAGTGGTGAAGAGAGAAGCTAAGAGAGGAAAGGCAGGGCTCTCACTGTGGGAAGATGAGAAGCTGGATGAAGCAGATGAAGCAGAAGACCAACAGGGCACAGGCAACGTAGGCTCCGAAGCGGGGATCCACCTTCCGGGAGTACTGAGGGAGAGGAGGCTGAGCTGAGTGCTGGGCCCTCCCTAAGGAAGGCAGGGACAGCAAGGACAGGGCACTACCAGGGGTCTCAACAGGGAGGAGATGCAGTTGGCTCAACTGATGAAATCCTCACCCTGCTCTGTGGTCCCTTCTCCATCCCCCAGAAACACCTGTGCCCTCACCTGTGCTCAGCCTTCCCTGCTGCGACCTGCCCCTCCCCCAGCCCTTGTCCTTCTGCCCTGTATCCCTCAAACCTTCTTCTCAAGATCCTCTCTCTGGAAGGTGAGCAGAAACCGGCGCACATGGTCCTTCCGCAGCTGATCAATGCTGCGGGCATCGATGGCACGGCTCAGGAACTCATCCACCTCATCCTCAGGGTTCAGGGCATCTTGGGTGCCCCGGCTGAGGGCAGGAGACATGGTTTCACCAGTTGCATGGGCATGGCCATGTGAGAAACAATGAAAGGAAAGGTATGGACAGCACCTGAGGGAGGGAGGGAGAGCCAGGGGGGTGGCTCCTGCTCCCACACAACACTCCTAAGGTCAGGGAAAAGGAGGATCTCGGCTCCCCCCAGCCCCATCCCAGGGTGCAAGTGCCTTCTCCCTCCTCAGTAACCTGACTTACTTGTCTTTGCTGGAATCATCAATGCCCTGGAGAAAGGGACAGAGTGTGGAGTGAGGTGAAGGGCCAACAACCTTCATCTCTGCAGCTCCTTCCCCCACCCCAACACTGTGCTGAGGGTGTCCCCGTCATATCCTCTGGGGGCACTGGGACCCGAGATGAAATCTTCTCACTGCCCCAATACCAGAAAGCATACATGGAAATGGCAGTCACAAGAAAGGACAGGGTCAGGGACAGGGTATTGAGGGAGCTAAGAAAATGAGGCCCTAGGTCTGGTGCTGAGGGCCCCTCACCATCTGGCGGAAGGCCTTGGAGTCCTTGGTCCGGGAGAAGGCACGATCAGGAACCCAGCGCGGCATCAGCCCTTCCATGGAGTTGGCCCGAGTCCGCTGCAGCTTGGCCAGCATGGCCTTCTCCTCTTTCTGTGCGGGCAGCATGGGTACAGGCTCAGAAGAGGGGCCCAGAGGAGGCCTTGGCCTGCTCCTCCCCATTTGTCCCTCTTCTTGCTCCCCTGCCCCCAGCCCTGCCCTGGCCCTGACCCGTTTCTGGCTGGCGCCCAGGATGAGGAAAGTCTCAATGTGCTGCTCCTTGAGGTACGCGTTGCGCTCGCCACCACGGCCTGGCTCCACCTCGTAGTCCCCGTTCAGGTACTGCAGTGTTGCCCGAGTGATGTGGATGCGGCTGTATGTGGCCAAGAGGGTGAGACCCTGGCTCTCCCACCTTGCCCCCATCCCCCCCACCTGGACCCCCCTACTCACCCAGCCCGGCCTCCTGCCTCCATGTGGTTGGCCAGGGTCACATCATTGGACCACACATCGAACTGCCATTTCCGCAAGCCAAGGACGCCGCAGTGCACGCGCCCGCTGTGGATGCCCACGCGCATGTTCACATTCACACCTGTCACCTCACGTACCAGCCTGGGAGGATGCAGCCCCAGATCAGCTCCTGGCAGTCTTCCCCTCCCCCAGCCCACAACCCAGGCCCTTCACTCCTCTCAGGGCCCAGCGGGCAAGGACAGACCCAGATGCAGGGGACGGGAGCACAGCCTTGGTTGGACATGAGCAGAAGGCTGCATGGGGCTCAAGGACAAATGTTAAGGCTGTGTTCAACAGCAGGGGCCCAGCAGCATCTTATGGAACTGAGCTAGGAGAAGAGGAATCACTGTTATCCCCTCTGGCCTGCACAGATGGCATTCCCTCTAGCCCAACTCCCCTACTGCATAGGCTCTCCCGGCCCCATCTCGGCTGGCTGGGAGTCTAGGGGTCCGCATGGGTCTTTGCACAGGTTGGAGAAAGATTCCCCTTCCCAGTGACAGACAGACCTCAAAGACAGAGAAAGCCAAAACTGAGGAAATCTCCTGAGGTCTCATCAAAAAGTAGGAGCAGTCTGGGGCACCCGCAATTCCAGGAAGCCTAGGAATGGGGCACTGCTTACGAGATGGCCTCAATCATGTCTACCCCCATCTCCACACAGCAGTGGGCATGGTCGGCCCGGGCCTCCGGCAGCCCTGACACACAGTAGTAACAGTCCCCCAAGATCTTGATCCTCAGGCAGTGATTCTCCTGAATGGGAAGGAATTGGAGGGAAGGGTAACCTTTACTCTCTTGCCCACCCAGCCTGCATGGCCCACCACCCTCCACGCATACTCTATCTGCCCTCAAATCCCCAGCTGCTGCCAGCAAAGCTATGCTCTCACCACGGTCAACACCCAGGCCCAATCCCAAGGCCCAGCACCCTCACCGCAGCCAGCTTGTCAAACCGGGCAAAGAGCTCATTCAGGGTCATGACCAGCTCCTGCGCAGTGCACTGGGATGCCAGGCTGGTGAAGCCCTCAATGTCTGCAAACAGGATGCTGTAGATGACAGCAGAGGATGAACAGAACACATAGCCCTCAAAGACTTCCAGACCCCCCGCCCTGCTGGGCATCCTCCTACCCTCACCCTACCTGACATTGTCATGCTTCTGTATGTAGATCTTGTGGAACATCATGTCTTCTTTTTTTGTGTTGATGTCTTCTTTCATCTCCATGGCAACGTGCTGGGGCAATACCGACAGCAGCAGCCGCTCCTAGCCCAGTGGTTCCAATAGGGCATCACTATACTCTTGGTCTCACATTGCAATCCCTCCTGGTCTCTCCACATCGCCAGAGCCCTCCTAGACTTCTCTGAAGACCTGACCTTCCCTTCTGGACTGTGGCCTGACCTTCCCCCATCAGAGCCCCCTCTGACCACCCTCCATTGAGCCCCCAGATGTGCTCCTGTCTACGCCCTCCTTCCCTTGGACAGGACAAAACCCCAGTATCACAGGGCCTCTGTGACGCACAACCCAGGGGAACCATCACACTGTGCTGCACGGAACTGGACAAGGCAGCAGATCCAATGTGCAAGTTATTTGGGGGTAAGGTGGGGGCAGGCCCTGGTCACGGGGAGCAGCCCCACCTGCTGCCGATTCTCATGCTGCAGGTGGAGCCGGGCCTGGATGTAACCGCGGGTCTCCTGAAAGGCCTGGCGCTGAGACACCTCTGCTGGATAGTGTGTGCAGATGCCAATGACGTTGGTGCAGAGGAACAGCAGCACATTGGCACCGAGCTGCAGGAGGTGGCAGAGGCAGACAGTGACCATCTCCTCTGCCTGCCCCCCTAAACACACACACACATTCACACAACTTGCTAGGTTCTCTGAGGAAGGAAGCCAGGGTCCTGCACCCTGTCTGTCCCCAAGCCACTGCCACCCCTGCAATATATCTCTCCCATTACCCACAGGACCCCAGATCCCAGCCAACTGCCTGAATCCTCCATGACTAGAAATGAGATCTTTTCACAGCTTCTGGAAGCAGAAGACCAACTAGGGCCAGATAAGTCATGGGGCCCAGCCCCAGCACCCTGTATCTCCTGCTCCTCAAACACCCCACACAAAAGACAAACGCTGCTCCTTTTGCAGGTGCTCCTCCTTAAGGACAGCACCCAGGAGACCTGAGCTCTACATCCTCCTGTGAGTGACCCAGGACAAGTCACCTCCTCTCTCTTGGGTTTGCTCATCTATAACCCAAAGAGGAAGAATGAGAAGATCTCTAAAGCCTCTCCCTGACTTGACATAACTTAGTAACAATAATCACCATTGTCATTATTATTATGGTAGCTAGTTTGTTGGCTGCCTACCATATGCCAGGATTCTGTAGGTGTCTTCTATACACTGAATAACACATTTTTTTTTTTTTTTTTTTTTTTTTTGACAGAGCCTTGCTCTGTCACCCAGACTGGAGTGCAGTGGCCTGATCTCGGCTCACTGCAACCTCCGCCTCCCAGTTCAAGCGATTCTCCTGCCTCAGCCTCCAGAGTAGCTGGGATTACAGCCACCTGCCACCATGACTGGCTAATTTTTGTATATTTTTTTAGTAGAGACGGGGTTTCACCATGTTGGTCAGGCTGGTCTTGAACTCCTGACCTCAAGTGATCCGCCCACCTCGGCTTCCCAAAGTGCTTACGGGCATGGATTACAGGCATGATCCACCGCACCTGGCCCCTAACACATTTCTTAAAACTCTGTGAAATAGGTAACAATATCCCATTTTAAAGGTAAGGGAATGAGGCACAGAGAGGCCAAGTAACTTCCCCAAGATCACACAGCTGTTAGTGGCTAGTGTGAGACTTGAACCCAGGACAATCAGATTCCAAATCCTGTGTCCTAATCCTACTATCTATCTACTGCATTCCATACTTTGTAGTGCATTCCAGGTTTCCAAGATTCCTACTCACTCTACTGAGTCAAGCTCTCAAGCCCAACCTCAGAGCCCTGGCTTGAGAGTCATCAGTTCTACTGATACAAAGGATGTCCCCTAATTGGAGATGGGGTCCACCATGCCTGGCCACCCCTCAAGGTGTAACTCCCTCTGACACTCAGCCCTGCCAGGCCCTAGGCCTAGGGCCCCACCCTAGGAATGTTCAGCCCCCAATCATCATCAGCGGCACTGGCTAGAGAGCAAGTCTAAGGGAAGCTGGCCTCAGTGTTTCTGGAAACTCAGGAATTAACCTGGAGCTTG
Source organism: Homo sapiens (assembly GCF_000001405.40). NCBI lineage: Eukaryota > Metazoa > Chordata > Mammalia > Primates > Hominidae > Homo > Homo sapiens. The sequence goes on from NC_000012.12 coordinate 48,779,708, forward strand.
CGGCTCCACCCCAGAGTTGGATGGGGCAGGGCTCTGGTTTAAGGAGAAGGGAGAGAAACAGCAGAAGCACTTCCTGGAAGCCAGAGGTTCTGGGCTCTAACTTGAACTAGAACTAGTCCTGCAAAATTGGGCAGGTCACTTAAACTTTGGGACCTCAGTTTCCTCTTGGGTAAAACTGAGGGGGAGGCCTGGCTCACCCCTAGCCATTTCCAGCTCCAGCCTCTGGGATGGGCCTCCTAGCTTCCCTTCCCAGTCCAGCTCACAGGCCCAGGATCAACTAGGCTGAGCTCCCCCTCCCAGCAGCAGGGGTGAAGAGAGGGGCACACTATCTCCCTTGGGGGTTTCTAAGAATAGCCCCCAGTGGGGGAGAAGGGAAGGGGGGCAAACCAGGCAACTTCCCTTCCTGGCCCCAGGAGCCCAAGAGGAAAATGTGAGTCACGGTGGAGGGAAGGGGAAGGGGGACGAGACTGAAATAACTCTGTACACACACATCCCTATCTGACTATGAGAAAAAATGGATGCCAGGGGACCGGAGGAGACTCCAAGCTGGGCCTGGGTCACTGGGTGACACTGTTCAGTATGTCTAAATGAGTGGGTCGGTAGGGGACAAAGTCTCCTTCCTGTGATTGTGAGTAGGGGTGGATCTGGGAAGGGGCTGCCCAAGTAGACGAGGAAGGAGGCCACAAACCCCACCTGTCTAGAAACCCACATACCCAAATGGGCACAGGGAATGTTTCTCAGCCCAGAGGAAGTTGTATGGGCAGCTCTGGCCCCAAGGACTGGCACAGGGGCAGCAGTGAATTTCGCCACTGCCCCAAGAATGTGCCTATCGAGATCCACTACATGAAGCTGTAGCCAGACACTCCTGGGGAGACGGGCACAGTCCTGGCCTCCCTGGGACTGCACCTCCCCAGTCAGGCACTGGGCCTGGCTCTGGGCACCATGCCAGTCGAGAGCAGGGAACAGATGCCCACCCAGCCCATGCCTGGCCAGAGAGGAAGGGGGAAAGGAGACACCACCTCTAAGCTCCTTCCCCAGGAGGGCAGTCCAGCCATAAAGCCCTGGTTGAGAGCCACCCTGGAAGAGAAGCTTTGGGGCAGAAGGACCTGGCCCTTTAAGATGTCTGACAGTGCCCTAAGGGCACGTGCTCCACAAACAAACGGGCTATAAAGTTACTTTTAAAAAGGTACGTTCTGGCATTCTGGCATTCTGGCCAGGTGCGGTGGCTCACGCTTGTAATCCCAGCACTTTGGGAGGCCAAGGCGGGTGGATCATGAGGTCAAGAGATCGAGACCATCCTGGCCAACATGGTGAAACTTGTCTCTACTAAAAATACAAAAATTAGCTGGGCATGGTGGCGCGCTCCTGTAGTCCCAGCTACTCAGGAGGCCGAGGCAGGAGAATCGCTTGAACCTGGGAGGCAGAGGTTGCAGTGAGCTGAGATCGCGCCACTGCACCACTCCAGCCTAACGACAGAGCAAGACTCCGTCTCAAAAAAAAAAAAAAACCACAAAAAAAACAGGTAAGTTCTGTTCTGCAGCACAGGCTGGGTGGAGAAGGGCATCATGCCAGAGAACCTAGCTTCTCACCCTGGGATCCCCAGGCAACTTCCTCTCTGTGCCTGAGGCAGGGTGGGCAACAGGCCACAAGCCTTCAAAACCTTGAGCAAGACAGCACTCTCTAGTTAGGGTCCAGTGGAGGACCCAGGCGCTGTGCTGATGGCGGGGCTGTGCCTACAGCAGCGCCTGAAGGACCCTGGCCTCTGCTCCCTGGGCAGGGGGGTAACAGGAGATGGCAGATCCACAAACTAACATCTCTCTGAAAGGGACTTCCCAGAAACCCCTTCACTGGGTACCATGCCTTCCAGCACTCCCCAAACCTCCCTGCCCCCAGGTGTGAACACTGCCCAGTCGGGTTCTACTCCACTCTAGGAAAGGGTGGGGCCCCAACAGCAACATGAGCTAGATGCTATTTTTATTCCAGCTTTGCAGACTGGGAAACTAAGGCTGGGAGAGGTGAGGCTAGTTGTCTAAGATCCCACAGAAAAGAATACAGCCCACTGGATAAGCAGGTCAGCCTACAGCCACTCCACACGGAGCCGTGGAGTCCCACCTCACACACACTTGGAGCCTGGAGGCAGCAACAGGCATGGACAGAGAACCTCAAGGAAAGGCGCCCAGGTCCCTGGTGCCCAGCATGGGGAAGGTGGGATACGATCAGACTTAACGCTCCTCTCTTCAACAGTCCAACCCCATTCAAACCACATCCAGCCCAGAGAGAACTGACCCCAGCTCTTCACCTTCCCTGTCCTCCCAGAAGTGGCCTTGGTCCAGGAAAGAGGGGACTCCTCTCTTGCTGACAACATCCAAAACCTGCTCTATACCTCCAGATCACCACCTAGAGCTGCTCTTCAGGGATAGCACCAGCGCCTCAGTCTCTGGTGTCAACTTGCCTGCTGAGATGCTAAGGCCTGGACACAGCCTGCACTGCCTTTTCAGCCCCACGGTGGCCCTGGGGCTATATACCACACCCCTGCCTCCAGCCCCACATTCTGTCTCTACAGACTGCACTATTTCAGCGGGCTAAAGAGCCGGAGACTGGGGCCCATGGTGACAGAGTTCAGGCTTGGGTCCTGGGGCCCTCCCTCCCCTCAGCAGTGTCCTCTACCCCAGATCCCACATGGAGGCAGACCCCTCAACCCTAGCCTCCCACCTCCTGCTCCTCCTCCCAGATACAGCCAGACATCCCTGCACCCAGCTTCCACCCATGACTCACCCGCCCTTCCTCACTAAGCCCCCACCTGCTTATGAGGTGAGAAATTCCCCACCTGCTGCCCTCCATCCCTACCTCCCTGGCCACCTACCTGCTTCCAGAGGAAGGCATCACCACGGTTAAGTTGCCAGGCCAAGATCAAATGCAAGGTGGAGAGGCCCAGGCCGCTGAGGACGGCAGCCCGCATGCGGATGGGGAGGAGCGTGTAGGCGATGTAGACAAAGAACACAGGGCACCAGAGGCCCGCAGAGGGGCTGCGCGGGTCTGCTGCGAGAGCGCCCCCGACCTGCACTGCCGCCAGGATGCCCAGCACCACGTAGCTCACCACCCACATGGAGTCCTGGCGGAAGCTATGCCGGTTACACACCACCATGAGCCCCACGAACAGGGCGGCGGCACAGGCCAACAGTGCCACATAGGCAGGCTGAGGGCGGGCGGGTGCGGCGTGGAAAGCCAGCAGCACCGCTGTGAGCAGCACCAGCACCGCCATCAGCAGCGTCAGGCTGCTCTGGTTCATCTGGAAGAAGTACCGCTGGTACAGGCGCTCCAGCTTGGCCGAACGGAACTGCTTCGACTGGAACACCTGCACCAGACGGCGCCAGCAGGATCGCCCACTCCTGGGCACCGCGTCGGGCGCCACCTCAGCCGTCCCGCCCGCTGTCGTTGTCACCTCGGTATCCTCGAAGCCCAGGGCCACTGCCCGCAGCCCCAGCTCCTTGCCCTTGCCTGGGCCGCCCCTCCGGATGAAGGCGTCATCCTGCCAGGGGCACCGAGGGGGGCCCGCAGGGGTGGGGCTGGGTGGCTCTGCATCCCGGAGGCAGCTCATATAGCGGGGCGTGCAGAAGCCACCTGCCCGAGTGCCACGGCGCCGCGAACGCTTCTGCCCATTGCGTTCACCCCAGGCTGTTTTCCGTTCATCCACTTTAGGGACCAGGAGGCCACTAAACCATGACATGTTGCTGGTAGGGAAGGAAGGAGATAGTATTAGAGACCATCCAGTAGGAGTGGTATTAATACCACCATCACAGCCACTGCCACCACTAGTAGCTCATTACCTAAGCACTTCCCACTGACAAGCTATGAGTTTCATCCTCATAAAATTACTTGGAGGTAGGCAACAAGGGTATCCCCAATCAACAGGTGAGAACCCAAGACACAGTCAGGACAAGAAACTTGCCCAAAACCAGGCACAGTGGCTTACACCTGTAATCCCAGCACTTTGTGAGGCCGAGATAGGAGGATGGCTTAAGGCTAGGAATGTGAGAGCAACCTGGGCAATACAGCAAGACCCTGCCTCTATTAAAATTTCAAAAAATTAGCCTGGGCCAGGCGTGGTGGCTCACGTCCGTAATCCCAGCACTTTGGAAGGCCCTGGCAGGTAGATCACAAGGTCAGGAGTTCAAGACCAGCCTGGCCAAGATGGTGAAACCTCGTCTCTACTAAAAATACAAAAATTAGCCGGGCGTGGTGGCGGGCGCCTGTAATCCCAGCTACTCAGGAGCTGAGGCAGGAGAATTGCTTGAACCCGGGTGGCAGAGGTTGCAGTGAGCAAAGATCGCGCCATTGCACTCCAGCCTGGGTGACAGAGTGAGACTCCGTCTCAAAAAAAAAAAAATTAGCCTGGTGTGGTGGTATGCACCTATAGACCGGGCCATTCAGGAGGCTAAGGCAGGAGGATTGCTTGGGCCCTGGTGGTGGAGGCTGCAGTGAGCCAGGATTGTGCACCACTGAACTCTAGCCTGGGCAATAGCCATAGCCTGAAAAAAAAAAAAAAAAGGAAGGAAGGAAAAAAGGAGGGAGGGAGGGAGAGAGGGAAGGAAGGGAGGGAAGGGAGGGAAATAAAATAAAATAAAATAAAATAAAATACAAAGAAAAGAAAAGAAGAAAGAGTTGCCCAAAGATCCAGCAGCCACATAAGTGAGAGAACCACGATTCTAAACCAGATTTGTCTGACCCCAAAGCCAGTATACTTGAAAATTTCCCTAAAAGGCACTGTTTGTTGGTGGTCACAAACTCAAGTGCCCAAGTCAATGAGTGAAGCAGCTTATGGTTCAGAACTGGGAGGAAAAGAGTTCATACCCTGTGCATGGGGCAGGCACCACCCAGCAGCTGTAGACTGTTGCCACTGGGTCCCAGTGGGTCCCGATCTGATTTTTCTCAACAGAAGCAGAAGAAAAAATCTGGAGTTTTTTTTTTTTTTTTTTTTTTTTTGAGACGGAGTCTCACTCTGTCACCCAGGCTGGAGTGCAGTGGCACGATCTTGGCTCACTGCAAGCTCCGCCTCCCGGGTTCACACCATTCAGCCTCCCAAATAGCTGGGACTACAGGCGCCTGCCACCATGCCCAGGGAAATTTTTTCTATTTTTTAGTAGAGACGGAGTTTCACTGTGTTAGCTAGGATGGTCTCGATCTCCTGACCTCATGATCTGCCACCAGCTAACAGTGATAATCCTAAGGCTCTTCAGCTTCCTCACTGCACCCCAGTCACAAGAACCTCTTTGCTGTTTCCCAACACACCCCGCACAGGCCAGCCTGGGACCTCAGTGCCTGCTGTTCCCTCTGTCTGGAACAAGAGCTCCTCCAGGTCACATCCCAAATGTCCCCTTATCAGTGAGGCTCCCTCTGACCACCCTATTAAAATAGCAACCCCCTTTCCTGGAGCTCTCTATCTTTTTCCCAGCTTTATGCTTTTTCTCCATAGCTCTAATCAGCAACTGCCATTCTATATATTTTTCTTATGTGTTCATTTTCTGTCTCTCCTGACTGGAATGTCAGCCTTATGAAGGCAAGGATTTTGACCTGCTGTGCTCACTGCTGTATCCACAACCCTTAGAAGGACCTAAACAAGTGTTCATTGAGGCCAGGTATGGTGGCCCACACTTGTAATCCCAGCACTTTGGGAAGCCGAGGTGAGTGGATCACCTGAGGTCAGGAGTTCGAGACCAGCCGGACCAACATGGTGAAACCCCATTTCTACTAAAAACACAAAATTAGCCAGGCATGGTGGCGCATGCCTGTAATCCCAGCTATTCGGGAGGCTGAGGTGAGAGAATCACTTAAATCCAGGAGGCAGAGGTTGCAGTGAGCTGAGATCACACCATTGCGCTCCAGCTTGGGCAATAAGAGCGAAACTCCATCTCAAAAAATAAAATAATAATAATAAATGTTCATTGAGTAGATGGATGACTGGATGGATGGACGAATGATACTCCATGCACTTTCTCTATGCTTTAAACTGTTCAAGATCTTTTCACATCCCTAATTCCATCTGATCTTCACCAAAACCCTGAGAAACTGGTCCTGTTGCCCCCTGGGGCACAAGACAAATTTGAAAGGAAAAATATATATAAACAAAAACTGAGGTCCATGGCAGTTTTATATGGCTGGCCCAAGTTATAGAGATCATGGTAACCAAATCAGTCCCAGATCCCACATTTCCTGGAGGAAATGTCATGAACTGAGGTGGGAGGACTCCATGATGATACCTTTAATGTGACTCCTGGCTGAGCCCAGGTCAGAATAAGATGAGGCTGACAGCACTGTCATCCATGCATGCCTGTGTCCCCACCAGGGCCACACTCCTCTATGCTCACAGAGTACCCTGAGGGGTCCCTTGTAATTAAACCTGCTGAGCTAGCAGCACTGACATTTGTACTCACTCGGGGACAGGATGGAGGAATACTCAGCACTTGCCCCAGGTGGCCATAGAATGAGAGCTCAAGCCAGATGGGCAGCGCTTGAAGCAGACACCCAGGGACCCACACGCAGAAGGCAGGCTGGGGAATTCTCTGCATACCCCAAACCTCCCATCCCTGAGTCACCCTCAGCCAAGATCTGTCAGCACCCCTTCTCCTATATCCCACAGAGCAGCACGTCCTTCAACCTCCTTTTGTTTTTTGGTTTAAGACGGAGTCTCACTCTGCCCCACCTAGGCTGGAGTGCAGTGGCACAATCTCAGCTCACTGCAACCTCTGCCTCCTGGGTTCAAGCAATTCTGCCTCGGCTTCCCCATAGCTGAGATTACAAGCACCTACCACCACACCCGGCTAAATTTTGTATTTTTAGTACAGACAGGGTTTAACCATGTTGGCCAGGCTGGTCTCGAACTCCTAACCTCAGGTGATCTGCCTGTCTCGGCCTCCCAAAGTGCTGGGAGTATAGGCATGAGCCACCATGCCTGGCCCCTTCAACCTCTTAACATCACCAACAGCACCATCTGGAAGGACAGATCAGGAATACAAGACTTTTGGTCAGGCTGGCATTTGGAAAAGGTCACCAAAGAAAGCCTTGCTCTTCAAAATACTTCATTAGAAGCATGATCTTTGGCATGAGACCAGGGTTCCAAACCTTAGCGTGATTATTTGCTAGCCACACTGCCTTGGGCAAGTTATTTAACCTCTCTGTGTCAGTACCTTCATCTGCAAAATGGAAATGATAATGGTCCTCAGGAAAGAATCTAATAATGCCTGTCAAGAAGTACACACTTGAAAAATATTAGTTCTTCTCCTCACTCTACAACACTTTAAACCCAAACCTCTGTCATCGTCAAGAGATGGAAAGATGAGGAAATCATGAGCAAGAACACACGTCTTTCTAGCCAGTCAGATGCCTGGTTCTATCAGTCCCTGTGTCCTTGGCTGTCAGTCCCCAGAGCTGCTGGAGACAGAGCCCAGAGTGAGCAGGTTTCCCACCACCATCCACCACCCACAACATTTTGCTTCAGCCTCCTCCATTCACCAGTCCCCTTCCCTGTTCTTATCTCCCCCAACACACCACCCCCACCAGCACTGGCCCGGACCTGTTCCCAAAGGACTAGTTTCTGGCCATGTTCCAAGCCCCCTGGAAACACATCCTAGCATCTGGCTCATACTCACAGAGAAAGGGGCAAATGCTATCCAGGAGAATGCATGACCCTCCCAGGAACACTCTGACCCCCCCCAAGGGGATAGCTTCAGAGCTATGTAATTGTCCAACCAACTGCAACCATCCCACCCTGGGCTCCACTCCAGGCACTGCCCATCCCGCAGAACTTGCCGGCCTCCCAACATTTCTGGCACCCCATGCCAGACTGGTATGGCAGGAAACAGGGTAGAGCACTGTTCCAAGCCACAAAATTTCTCTATATGGTCCCCCAACCCACTTTGTCCAGCAACCCATCACTATGAGCCCTGGGAGCACAGACCACCTCCCTCCTCCCCAGAGTCAGGCTCCTAAGCCTTGTGCCTCTACCTTCTCCTCCCCTGAGTGTTGGTCCATTTGCACTCTCACAGATCTGCTGTTCTTCATACCACCGGCTCCCACAGCCACAGCCATGTCCCATTCAGCCTGGCAGGCCCAGGCTCAGTGCCTCCCAGACCTCAAGTCCCTCCCAAACCCTGATCAGGCTGAGACCAGAGTTTGGAACCAGCCAAGGCCAAGGCCCAGCCCTAAGGATGGCTCTGCCCACTGCCTTGCCAAGCCTTCCTGGCCACCTCCTGTCTATCCCATCCCCAGGGCCCATCTGCCCCTGCCCTCCTTGGCAAAAGGAGGCTCCAGGGGATTAAAAACGACTTCAGAAAGTTCATGGTAAGAGGCACTGCCCAGGCGGGGCCCAGCAGTGCCAGCACCACCCACCATACTCGGACATGGGCCTCAATTCTTCAATTCTGGGCCTTTCCAGATGTAGAGGAGCCTACCCAGGGCCTGTATCTGTCGGTCCAGTGCCCGCTGCCGCCTTCTCCCATCCCCAGTCCTCACTCTCCCTAAAGATTACAGAGGGCTCCCACATCACCCTTTACTATGCAACCCCCACCAGGTCCCTCCAGCTCACAGGGGTAATCTGGTAAGGAGAGGATATGGGCAAAGAGGCTCCCACGCCTGATTCCACCTCTAGCCTTTCAGTCGAGCCCCAGAGTCTGCTTTGAATAAAGTCAGCTCCCCTGCCCACCCTGCGGCAGGCCTTGGGGGATGTGGGGAGCCGACCCCACCCCTTTCATTCCCAAGGTTTTGGGTGAGGGGAAGGAGAGGGACTCCCGCAGACAGAGGGCATCCCTCCCTCTGCCCAGGCCGGTTCCTCTCCCCTAAATGGAATCTCCCCCAAACTCGGAGACACCCCACAGCCCCGCAGCAAAAAACTCAGGCCAGCCCCTCCCCCAGTACGTGCCAGATCCTCCTGGCCTCCGGGCCAGCCTGGAACTCGCCCCGTGGAGGGAGGCAGGCGGCGGGCGACGGGGGTGGCGAGCGCCGGACCTAGGAGTCCTCGATCCCACTGCCTCCATGACTTCCCTTTGCCAACCCCAACTCCCTCGGGCAACACTGCCGAGACGACCCGTCCAAGGCTTCGGCGCCCCCACCCACAAACTCTTGTCGAGAGCCGCTCGGGTGCGTTCCAATCCTGGCGCACCGGGAGCCCGAGCGGCCACTTCCCCTAGCCCTCAGCGCGCTCACCTGCCGGCCCGGCTCCGCGCCTGCCCTGGGCCCCCGCCCCGCCGCCCCCGCGGGCTCCGGCCGGCCGGCCGGCCGTCCCGCGGTCCTCCGAGCCCGCGCGTCCTGGCCGTCCCGCCCGCCGTCCGCCGTCCGCCGTCCGCCCGGCCCTCGCCCCCTCCCGAGCTGTCCAGCGCAGCCGCCCTCTACCCCGGATCCAGAAGTCCCCTCCCCGCTGGCTCCCGGACTCCCCGCCTTAAAGGCACAAGCTCCTTTTGTCTGGGCATCCCCCTCCCCCTCCCCAGAAGTGGGGGCCGAGTTGCCCACTCCCCTTCCTAGCAGCGGGGTAGGGGCGGAGGAGGCCAAATAATGGGACCCCTCCCTCCGCGCGCCCCCTCCTCTCCTCCGGCCGCTTCCTCCCCCAGTCCTGGGAAGACAAGCAGCTACTGTTCTGGGATCAAGACCCCGCGGGGAGGGGACCTCGCAGCCCGGTCCCCTTCCCTTCACCCCGGCCGCCTCCTCCGGCATTCCTCTCCCGCCCTCACCCCGGGGGTCCCCGAGCGCGCCCGCAAACCCACCCCTCACGGCTACATCCCCCGCCCCGCCCACCGAGGGTCGCCTTCCTTCCTGTCAGGGTCCCAGGGGTTGGGCCGGCGCCCCGCGCCCACTCTTCATCCCCAATTCCTCCCTGCCCCTGCCCCAGCCCCAGCCCCCACCTAGCCATTCCCGCCCTGCCTGTCACGGCCCTGCGCCCTCCCGCGGGAACTCAGTTTAATAATTAATTAAGCTCTCATTCCACAAGGCGCCAGGTGTGTGCGGCCTGCTTGCCCGCACACCACTTCTTTCCTCTTCCCCCCAGTCTCTGGGGCAGCGGCCCCGAGGCGAACCTCGGGGCCCAGTGGAGGGACCCAGGGAAGGGGCACTCTCCCTGCCGCCCCCACAACCCCCCGCCCTACTCTCTGGGAGCCCCTCCCCCGCACCTGCCAACTTGCAGCCTCACCCCCAGGCATCTTTTACCCAAAGGGCTGTGCTTCTCTGCTGGGGGTTGGAGGGGCTACTGGGGTGCATTGCTAAGTGCACGAACTGAGAAACTGGGTCTTTAGTTATTTCCAGCACGGAGCAGCTGCCCAAGTTACCTGGGAGATGGGAAAATCGTGTGAAAGCTGGTTAACCCTTTGAGGATTAGAGTAATGGTGGAAGCAGAAAGGAGAAGGAGTTTCACTCCAGGATGTACGTAGGTGAGTGTGACTTTAGAGGGGGTGCCATTCTGGAGCTGGGAAGAAGGCAGCCTGCCTGGCTTCCTTTTGAGGCCCCCTCTCCATTCCCTCAGTCAGACCTCTAGCTCCTCCTTCCAATTCAGCCCTTCCCCAAGCAGCCTATTCCCCACCCAAGATCCCAAGACCTAGGTATCTGAAGATGCTTCCTCCTCAGGACCAGCCCTCCCTGCAGTCCTGTCCTTCAAGACTCAAGTCTTGTCCACTCCAAATCACCACTGGGATTCCTAAGTCCAGGACAGAGCTTCAGGCAAGGAAAAGAAGAGTTGGGAAAGCCAGTTTCCAACATTTATCAGCCACGTGTACCTGCAAACTATATACCTTGGGTAAATCATCAATCTCTTGAAATGGGAATAAAACCATCTGCCTTGTCTTTCTTACAGGGTTTTCAGAATCAGATAGAGAAATGTTTGTTATAATGTTTGAAAATGGGAAAGTGGTACTTTCTCATTTCTCAGTTGTGCAGGCCTGGCCTGCAATTTGATCTTTGGGGCCTCTTTGCCTGACTTCTCACTTCAAAATTTCCTTAAAAATTGTTTTTGCTGGCCGGGCGCGGTGGCTCACGCCTGTAATCCCAGCACTTTGGGAGGCCGAGGCGGGTGGATCACAAGGTCAAGAAATCGAGACCATTCTGGCCAACATGGTGAAACCCCGTCTCTATTAAAAATTAGCTGGGCGTGGTGGCGGGCACCTGTAGTCCCAGCTACTCGAGAGGCTGAGGCAGGAGAATCGCTTGAACCCGGGAGGCGGAGGTTGCAGTGAGCCGAGATCACGCCATTGCACTCCAGCCTGGGAGACAGAGCGAGACGCCGTCTCAAAAAAAAAAAATTGTTTTTGCTATCAAAATTTCCTCTTCAAAATACCTGAATCAGGTTATCTACCACTTACGCTTAGAATAATGTGCTCATGAGCCACATGGGGAAAATGCAAAAAACAATTGAGATAAATATGCGTTAAAAAATGAAATTTTAGGCCGGGTGCGGTGGCTCATGCCTGTAATCCCAGCACTTTGGGAGGCTGAGGCGGGCGGATCACAAGGTCAGGAGATCAAGATCATCCTGGCTAACACAGTGAAACCCCATCTCTACTAAAAACACACAAAAAATTAGCTGGGCGTAGTGGGGGGCGCCTGTAGTCCCAGCTACTCGGGAGGCTGAGGCAGGAGAATGGCGTGAACCCGGGAAGCGGAGCTTGCAGTGAGCGGAGATTGCGCCACTGCAGTCCGCAGTCCGGCCTGGGCGACAGAGCGAGACTCCGTCTCAAAAAAAAAAAAAAAAATTAAATTTTAGCTGGGCATGGTGGCTCATTCCTTTAATCCCAGCACTTTGGAAGGCCAAGGCAGGCAGATCACGAGGTCAGGAGTTTGAGACCAGCCTGACCAAAATGGTGAAACCCCGTCTCTACTAAAAATACAAAAATTATTGGGGAGTGGTGGCGCGCGCCTGTAATCCCAGTTACTAGGGAGGCTGAGGCAAGGGAATCGCTTGAACCTGGGAGGCGGAAGTTGCAGTGAGCTGAGATTGCGCCACTGCACTCCAGCCTGGGCAACACAGCAAGACTCTGTCTCAAAAAAAAAAAAAAATTAGCCCAGCGTGATGATACGTGCTTATAGTCCCAGCACCTTCCAGGCTCAAGTGATTCTCCTGTGTCAGCCTCCCGAGTAGCTGGGATTACAGGCGCCCACCACCACACCTGGCTAATTTTCGTATTTGTAGTAGAGAGACGGTTTCTCCATATTGGCCAGGCTGGTCTCAAACTCTTGACCTCAGGTGATCTAACTGCCTCAGCCTCCAAAAGTGCTGGGATTACAGCCGTGAAGCCACCGTGCCTGGCCTTAGAATCTTTTTTTTTTTCTTGAGACCGAGTTTCGTTCTGTTGCCCAGGCTAGAGTGCAGTGGCACGATCTCTGCTCACTGCAGCTTCTGCCACCTGAGTTCAAGTGATTCTCCTGCCTTAGCCTCCCCAGTAGCTGGGATTACAGGTGCATGCCGGACATGAATATTAGAGTCTTAAGTTCCGACAGGGCAGGGCCACCATCAAATCTATTTCTAGCACTACAGAATATTAGGACTTTTTTTTTTTTTTTTGAGACAGGGTCTTGCTCTGTTGCCCAGGCTGGAGTGCAATGGCACGATCTCGGCTCACTGTAACCTCTGCCTCCTGAGTTCAAGCGATTCTACGTCAGCCTCCCAAGTAGCTGAGACTACAGGCGCTTGCCACCATGCCCGGCTAATTTTTGTATTTTTAATAGAGACAGGTTTCACCATGTTGTCCAGGCTGGTCTCAAACTCGAGCTCAAGCAATCCACCCGTTGTGGCCTACCAACGTGTTGGGATTACAGGCATGAGCCACCGCGCATGGCCAATTGGAAGGTTTTAACTCTGACAAAGAGAAGAAAGAGAGAGGCAGTCAGCAGGAACTGTATTTCTCCACGTCTAGCTTGCTTGATCTCAACGACCTTTTTTTTTTTTTTTTAATAATACAGACCATAGTCACAAGAGTGATGTATTTTCAATCTCTCATTTTCAGGAAGAGGAAACTCTTACAAGCAGAATGTATTATATGTAAGTGTAAGCTTCACACAGCCAAAAGTGTATCTGGACAACACTCTATACATAAGCAGTGTTGAAAACACCCTGCAATGTAACTAACGGATAGGCTTGAGTGCCCTGAGCCTTCCTTGGGTTGTTTGGGTTACAGCTAAACTAGCCTCTGCCTACGCCCTTTTACAAAGCAAAGATTCCTTTTACAATGCAAACAACCATTCCCTAGCTTTTCTGTCTTAAAGATCAAAAGTCTGCACAATTTGGCCAGGCGCGGTGGCTCACGCCTGTAATCCCAGCAATTTGGGAGGCCGAGGCGGGAGGATCACCTGAGGTCAGGAGTTCATGACCAGCCTCAACATGGAGAAACCCCGTCTCTACTATAAAAATACAAAATTAGCCGGGCATGGTGGTGCATGCCTGTAATCCCAGCTACTCGGGAGGCTGAGGCAGGAGAATTGCTTGAACCTGGAAGGCGGAGGTTGCGGTGAGCCAAGATCGCGCCATTGCACTCCAGCCTGGGCAACGAGAGCGAAACTCCGTCTCAAAAAAAAAAAAAAAGAAAAAACACCAAAAGTCTGCACATTTTATTTTCTGAAAGTAAGAAAGACATATAAAAACAATTCACAGCTGGGTGCGGTTGCTGGTGCCTGTAATCCCATCACTTTGGGAGGCCAAGGCGGGCAGATCACCTGAGTCAGGAGTTTGAGACCAGCCTGCCCAACAAGGTGAAACCCCGTCTCTCCTAAAACTACAAAAATTAGCCCGGTATAGTGACACGCGCCTGTAGTCCCAGCTACTGGGGAGGCTGACGCAGGAGAATAGCTTGAACTCGGGAGGCAGAGGTTGCAGTGAGCCGAGATTGCACCACTGCACTACAGCCTGGGGAACAGAGTGAGACTCCGTCTCAAAAAACAAAACAAAACAAAAAAAACACATTCATTCAATCTAGCAAATATGCCTTGTCCGTTTCACTACCCCTAACATCACTGCTGCTACCACCACCACCACCATCACCACTCCAGAGACTCACAACCCCTTCTACTTCCAGGGTTGGAATAGGCTCTGGCCAACTCCATTTCCACCGCCACCACCACCACTACCCTTGAGAATGGGCTCAACTCCAGGGGGATACAAAATCCCTTCCCCATCCCCTTAGATCCATTATTCATTCATCCCATATTTATTTATTTATTTATTTATTTATTTATTTATTTTTGAGATGGAGTCTCGCCCTGTCACCTACTCTCGCTACTATGTGTTAGGCACTCTTCTATTAATAGGTGCTGAGGATACAGTAATTGAACTCAGCAGACAGAGTTCCTAGTCTCATTAAGCTTACCTTCTAGTGGGAGGAAACAAGAAATAAATGAATAGATGAGGCTGGGCATGGCAGCTCACACCTGCAATCCCAGCACTTTGGGAGGCTGAAGCACAAGGATCACTTGAGCCCAAGAGTTTGAGACCAGCCTGGGCAACATGGTGAGACCCCATCTCTACAAAAAAAAATTATTTAAAAACTTATGAAAAAATGATGAGCCAGGTGCAGTGTCTCATGCCTATAATCCCAGCACTTTGGCAGGAGGATTGCTTGAGCTCAGGAGTTTGAGACCAGCCTGGTCAACATAGCGAGACCTCATCTCGACTAAAAAATTTTAAAAATTAGCCAAGTGTGGTGCTGTGCACCTGTGGTTCCAGCTTACTCAGGAGGCTGAGGCAGGAGGATCACTTGAGCCCAGGAGGGCAAGGTTGCAGTGAGCCGTGATTGCACCACTGCACTCCAGCCTGGGTGACAGACCGAGACACTGTCTCAAAAAAAAACAAAACAAAAAAAAGAATAAGCTGGGCATGGTGGCTCATGCCTGTAATCCCAGCACTTTGGGAGGCCAAAGCTGGTGGATTGCAAGGTCAGGAGTTCAAGACGAGCCTGGCCAACATGGTGAAACCCCATCTCTACTAAAAATACGAAAATTAGCCGGGTGTGTGTAATCCCAGCTACTCAGCAGGCTGAGGCAGGATAATTGCTTGAACCCTGGAGGCGGAGGTTGCAGTGAGCTGAGATCCTGCCACTGCACTCCAGCCTGGGTGACAAAGCAAGGCTCCATCTCGGGAAAAAAAAAAAAGAATAGATGAGAAGATAGTTGATGATAAGTGCTATGATGACAATTAGAACCCAGGATCGATAGGAAGTGACTGGGGTAGAAACCTAGGTATGGCTGTCAAGAAAGGTCCCTATAAGGAAGTGCTATGTACATGCAGACCTGAATGACAAGGAGTCAGCCATGCAAAGAATCTGGGTAAAGAGCATTTCAGAGGGAACAGCTAATGCAAAAGCCCTAAGGCAATAGCAAGCTCACGGTGCTTAAGAAACAGAAAGTCAGTGAGGCTGAAGCCCATGTGTTGAAGGAAGAAAGTATAAGATGAGGTCAGAAAGGGAGGCATGCCCTAGCTAGTGGAGAAGCTCTTAGGCCAGGGAAAGGAGTTTGGATTTCATTGAAAGTGTAATGAGAAGCCTTTGGAAGGTGTTAAGCTCAGAAGTGGCACGATCTGATTTATGGTTTTAAAGGATCATGGTAGCTGCTGAGTGGAGAATAAATTGTGGGATCAAGGGATGCAAGGGAAACCACTTAGAAAGCTATTATAGTGGTCCAGGTGGAAACAGTGGCTTGGACAAGGATGGTGATAGAGGGCGGGGCTGCTGAGAAGTGGAAGGACTCAGGAAATGTTTTGGAGTTGGAGTACCCTAATGACCTGCCTTGGCTCTCTCTGCATGGTTTATGCATATCAAATAATTATCAACAATCGACAAATATTTATTGAGTTCCTACCACGTCCCAGGCGCTGTGCTACGCACTGGAAGTTACAGCCCAGAGGAGAAGGCCCACTCCACCTCCTTCTGCCCTACTGCCATAGGAGCTCTAGTTTGAGGAAGCTACTGCCCATCCCAACCTCACCCCATTTGCAGGGCGAGAGGCACACCCATTACCCCACCCTACCCACCCCTGCACTCTATTCCAATGCCGATCTGGAACTGATGGGGTGGGGGCAGTATTTACAGTTGGAGAATTGATGCCATAAAAAGAAGAGTCCAAAGTCCTCTTAAAGGTCTCAGAGCAAAGACCAGGAGAGCCCAAAGCTTCCAGAGTGGAGAGGGAGTACAGCTAGGGCCATGAGGATGAGGCAACTCTTGGTGCCCACACCACTGCTAGTCCTTCTCTGGGTTTCCAGAGCCCAGACTTCCTCAGTCTTCACTATCCCATTCCGCCAGCACCTATTCCCTCGTCCCCACCTTAGTAAATGTCTGGGTCTTGTATGCCCTCTGGTGGCACAATCATGGTACTGCAGCCCATAGTTAGTTCCCAACTTTTCGCTACTCAATCTATAGTCTTCTCTGGCTCACGGCTCCTAGGGGCAGTATGGGAAATTCTGGAAATCAGGGAAGGGCTGGAACACTGGTCTCTGGGTGTTGGAGGGATGAGCGCACCCTCCATCTAGTTTTATACGCAATGCCAGATTCGTCTTTTATGAGTTGAATTAACCATGTTTGAGCACCTACTGTGAACTGATCCCAGTCACCAACCCGCTGACCCAAGCTCAGATGACTGGCCACTCCTACCAAAAGCTTAGAGTCTGGAGCTGGGGGGTGTGAAGAAGCAAGAGCGGTTTAGAATTCATTCTGCTTTCAGCAGCAGTGTCAGAAGCCCGAACTTGACCCTCCTATCATTCCTGCTGCCTAATTTCTCTTTGTTCCTGCCTGTTTTTTACGCCTTATACTCTTGCCTTTCTATCAGTTCTGTGAGCAAGTTATTCACTATCCTTCCAACAAATGTCATTTCTGCTCCCATTAGTTGGAGTCTGTTTCTGTTTTTACAATCAAGATGACTGGTATGTGTTGGGCAATTCATCAAGCCTTTCTGGGCCTTAGTTTCCCCCTTAGTAAAAAAGGGAGGATAGCAATGACTTCCATGCACAAGGCCATTTTTATTAAACAAGTGTATTAGTTCTCTATTGCTGCGTAACAAATTACCACACATTTAGCAGCCTAAAGCAACACACGTTTACTGTTTCATAGTTTCTGCCTATCAGGAGACTGAGCATAGCTCAGTGGGGTCCTCTACTTCAAGGTCTCACAAAGCTACAAGCAAGATGTTAGCTGAGGCTTCAGTCTCATCTATGGTTGGAATAAGGAAGGATCCAATTCCAAGCTCATGTGGTCGTTGATAGGATTCAGTTCCATATGGGCTGGGCTGCTGGACTGAGGGCCTCAGGCACCTTTCCCTTAGGCCTCTGCCACATGGCAGCATGTCTTCATCCAAGCCAGCAAGAAGAGATTCCGCTAGCAAACAGAAGTCAATGGTCTCTTATAGCCTCATTATAGAAGTGCCGTCCATCACCTTCTGATGGATCAGAAGTAAGTCTCTAGGCCAGCCCACAGTCAAGGGGAGGGGATTACTCAAGGGCATGAATACCAAGACGTGGGGATCATTTGTGGCCATCTCAGGTTTGCCTGTCACAATGTGGTAGCTGTTAGTCATCTTTCAAGGACTCCTCAAAATGCCACTTCCTTCTTGAGGGCTTTTTAAATTCTTCCCCCACCCAAACCCATCAAAGTTAACCCCTCTTACAAATGATGAAACTTGAAAGTGTGCTGGATATTAGATGGAATTATGTTTAATTGTGTTAGGGAAGGGTAATGTTATTTTTTTATTTTTTTATTTTTTTTTGAGACGGAGTCTCGCACTGTCACCCAGCTGAAGTTCAGTGGCAGGATCTCAGGTTCGCTGCAACCTCCATCTCCCGGGTTCAAGTGATTCTCCTGCCTCGGCCTCCTGAGTAGCTGGGATTACAGGCGCGTGCCACCAAGACCGGCTAATTTTTGTATTTTTAGTAGAGACAGGGTTTCACCATGTTGGTCAGGCTGTTCTTGAATTCCTGACCGCATGATCCGCCCGCCTGGGCCTCCCAAAGTGCTGGGATTACAGGCGTGAGCCACCGTGCCCGGCCGGGTAATGTTATTTTGACACTAAGAAATTCCCCCTAATTTTAACATTTATTTATTTATTTAAATTGACAAATAAAAATTATATATATGTACGTAAATTGTGTACAACATGTTTTGAAATATGTATACATTGTGAAATGGTTAAATCAAGCTAATTAACATATGCATCACTTCACATGCTTATCTTTTTTTTTTGGTGGTGAGAACACCTAAAATCTACTCTTTTAGCAATTTCAAGTATAAGATGCATTGCTATTAACTCTATTCACCACGTTGTGCAATAGATGTCTTGAACTTATTCCTCTCATCTAACAGATTTTGTATCCTTTGGCCAACTTCATTTCGGCCCAATCCTCCCACTCCCCAGCCTCCGGTAACTGCCATTCTACTTTTTCTACAAGTTCAACTTTCTAAGATTCCACGTATAAATGAGATCATGGCCAGGTGCAATAGCTCATGCCTGTAATCCCAGCACTTTGGGAGGCTAAGGCGGGCGGATCATGAGGTCAGGAGTTCGAGACCAGCCTGGCCAACACAGTGAAACCCCGTCTCTACTAAAAATACAAAAATTAGCCGGGTGTGGTGGCATGCACCTGTAGTACCAGCTGCTTGGGAGGCTGAGGCAGGAGAATCATTTGAACCCAGGAGGTGGAGGTTGCAGTGAGCCAAGACCACACCATTGCACTCCAGCCTAGGTGACAGAGAGATTCCGTCTCAAAAAAAAAAAGAGATCACATGGCATTTGTCTTTCTGTGCTGGGCTCATTTCACTTAGCATAATATCCTCCAGGTTCATCCATATTGCCATAAATTGCAAAATTTCATTCTTTTTTATGGCTGAATATTATTACATAATATATATACTGTATACTGCATTTTCTTTATCCATTTTTCTGTTGATGGACACTCAGGGTGATTCCATATCTTGGCTATTGTGTGTGTTGTTTTTTGTTTTTTTTGTTTTTTTTTTCTGAGACGGAGTCTCGCTCTGTCGCCCAGGCTGGAGTGCAGTGGCACAACCTTGGCTCACTGCAACCTCTGCCTCCTGGGTTCAAGCAATTCTCCTGCCTCAGGCTCGTGAGTAGCTAGGCGCTCGCCACCACGCCAGGCTAATTTTTGTATTTTTAGTAGAGACGAGGTTTCACCATATTGGTCAAGCTGGTCTTGAACTCCTGGCCTTGTGATCTGCCTGTCTTGGCCTCCCAAAGTGTTGGGATTACAGGCATGAGCCACTGCGCCTGGCCTTTTTTTTTTTTTTTTTTTTTTTTTTTTTTTTTTTTTAATAAGGACAGATCTTGCTTTGTTGCCCAGGCTGGAGGGCAGTGGCTATTCACAGGCATGATCATAGTGCCCTGCAGCTTCCAACTCCTGGACTCAAGCAATCCTCCTGCCTCAGCTTTCCAGAGTAGCTGGGACTATAGATGTGAGCCACTGTGCCCAGTTACTATATCTTGGCTATTGTGAATAAAGCTGCAATAAATATGGGAGTGCAGATATCTCTTCAACATACTGGTTTTATTTCTTCAGATATATACCCAATAGTGGGATTGCCAGATCATATGGTGGTTGAAATATGTTCTTTCTGAGTGATACTACTGAAGTATTTCTTGGTGGACTATCATGATGCCCACACTTTTCTTTAAGATATTTTACTCAAAAAAGAAAAAAAAAAAAAAAAGGCCAGGCATGGTGGCTCACACCTGTAATCCCAGCACTTTGGGAGGCCAAGGTGGGTGGATGGCTTGAGGGCAGGAGTTCAAGACCAGCCTGGCCAACATGTCGAAACTCCGTCTCTACTAAAAATACAAAAATTAGCTGGGTGTGGTGGTACACACCTGTAACCCCAGCTACTCAGGAGGCTGAGGCACGAGAATCGCTTGAACCCAGGAGACGGAAGATGTAGTGAGCCGAGATCACGCCACTGCACTCCAGACTGGGCAACAGCGCAAGACTCCACCTCAAAAGAAAAAAAAAAGATATTTTAGAGTAGTAAGGAGAGGGTCATAGGGACATCCTCCCTTTTACTCCCAGTCTCCTTGGCTAAATAGTTGCCATGGAAAAAGTAGATTTTGCTCTTTCCAGAAGTGGTCCAGGAAGCCAGCTCTGTATATGTGTGTAAGAGGTGAGAGAGACTGAAAAGATTAACAATATCAAACTTTCTCATCTCACAAGCCTCAAAGGGCCTGTATGTGAGTGCAGATAACTGAAATCGGTTATCTCCCTGATCCTTGCCGGCATATCACACAAATGTTTGGGAGTAACACTGGGGACAAGGGTCGTCTCCCCCCCACCCCGCCCCCACACTGGAAGTTTTATTTCTTTAGGATTCTATCCCAACCACTCGCTTAAAAATCAAGTAACACAGACCTGAGGGGTAGGAGCTGGGGACTGCACCTCCCTGCTACTCATGGAGGACAGCAGTGCGAACGAGGGAGGGGCAGGAGAGGCGGCTGAAGCAAGGCAGCAGCAGAGGTAACGGGGCCACGACCTCAGAGAACCAGCTCCGTCCTCTCCCAGACCCTGGCTGGAGCCCCTATGGCTTGGGGTGGGGAGTGGGAGTACCCACCCCAGGCCCTCCCCTTCCTTCCTCAGACAGCCTCCTTGAGGGCTCAAGCCATTTCTTCTGGCAGGAGACTGAGGCACACGGAGAGGAGGAAGTGGAAGAGGAGGATGCAGGAGAGGCAGGGTGGTGGCTTGAATGAAGGCAGAGGTGACAGGCGTGGGCAAGGCCACTCCATCCCACCCACCCTGGAGAGGGGCAAGGAAGCCACACCATCAGGCAGCATGTCGGGTATGGGGGAACAAGGCAGGGTTTAAGGCTGAGCAGCCCAGGGCAGGCAGGGCAGCCCAGGGCAGGCAGGACCTCGGGCCTCAGTCAAAGCCGTGCCAGTCGCTGTGCTCCGAGTAGTATTCCAGCTTGGCACCCATGCATTTGACACCGTCCAGCAGCATGCATGTGCCATGGCGTCAGCCCATGATGCAGGCTTGCACCTTCCGCGCACGCAGGTGCTGGTGCCACCTTCCCAGACTAGTAGCATCCCCTCTTTGAGGACCCCTTCTTTGTGCGCCTAGTACTCGCACTTGACACTATAACCTTCAGGGAAGGGTAGGACGCTGAGAAGCTTCAGGTGCAGGCTGGGGACAAGTGCCTGGCGGACGTCCTTGCTCAGCCTGTGCACTGGGACGGAGCAAAGGTAATCTCATACCTGTGCAGGATCTTCAGGAACCTTGACCAGAAAGCTGCTGTCCCTCTCCTGGATGACCATGACCACCGAGTCCTGCAACTTCTCATCAAAGTGGACGTGGCTTTGGGAGCCCTCTGCATCGTGGCCTGTCACAAAGTGGATACTCCGGAATCTGGGCTTGCTGCCTTTGTTGGTTGCAGCCATGGACCCCCTCCCTGCCACGCAGCTTCCGCAGGACCAAGCCACTCATGCCCAGCAGCCTCCCATGCTCCGGGGACAACAGCAGGAGCCTTGCAGGGTGCAGCCCGGGGCGGACAGGGCAGGGACGACCGCTGAGGCGGTGGCAGGGTCTCAACGCTGAGCACAAGGAAGGGAGCAAGGCTCCTCTTTTAATTTGGTTTTCAGTCAGTTGGAACTCAGTCCTTAGTTTAGGACTGGAGCTTGGGAAAAGAGAAGCGAAGAAGAGGAAGATTTTCAATTACTACTGGGCTTGCTTCAGACTGGATCCAAGGCTCACTGCCTTTGCAGCAAGGAGCAGGAATTGCCTAGTCACGTCATGCAGTCATGTCCCCAGGAAAAACATGAACAATCACAGCTTTTCCTTTCTGGGCCTCTCCTCTTTGTTTTGTTTGTTTGTGTTTGTTTGTTTTTTTAGAGACAGGGTATCATCGCTGTTGCCCAGGCTGGAGTGCAGAGGTGCCTCGAGCTCCTGGGCTCCAGCGATCTTCTCCTCTCAGCTTCCCAATTAGCTGGAACTACAGGCAAGTGCCACCATGCCTAGCATTTTTTTTTTTTTTTTTTTTTTTTGAGATGGAGTTTCCCTCTTGTTGCCCAGGCTGGAATGCAATGGCGCGACCTCGGCTCAATGCAACTTCTGCCTCCCGGGTTCAAGCAAGTCTCCTGCCTTAGCCTCCCGAGTAGCTGGGATTACAGGCACTTGCCACCACGCCCCGCTAATTTTTGTATTTTTGGTAGAGACGGTGTTTCTCCATGTTGGTCAGGCTGGTCTCGAACTCCCTACCTGAGGTGATCCGCCTGCCTCGGCCTCCCAAAGTGCTGGAATTACAGGCGTGAGCCACTGTGCCCAGCCACCTGGCTAATTTTTATTTATTTTTTTTTTTTGAGATGGACTCTCGCTCTTGTCGCCCAAGCAGGAGTGCAATGGCGCGATCTCGGCTCACTACAACGTCCGCCTCCCGGGTTCAAGCGATTCTTGTTACTCGGCCTCCCAAGTAGCTGGGATTACAGGTGCCCTCAACCACGCCCGGCTGATATTTGTATTTTTAGTAGAGAGGGGGTTTCCCTATGTTGGCCAGGCTGGTCTCGAACTCCCTACCTCAGGTGATCCACCTGCCTTGGCCTCCCAAAGTGCTGGGATTACAGGCATGAGCCACCGTGCCCGGCCTATTTTTTATTTTTGAGACGGAGTCTCACTCTGTCGCCCAGGCTGGAGTGCAGTGGCGCGATCTCGGCTCACTGCAAGCTCCGCCTCCCAGGTTCTCACCATTCTCCTGCCTCAGCCTCCTAAGTAGCTGGGACTACAGGCGCCTGCCGTCACGCCTGGCTAGTGTGTGTGTGTGTGTGTGTGTGTGTGTGTGTGTGTGTGTGTGTGTGTGTGTGTGTGTTTTAGTAGAGACGGGGTTTCACCATGTTAGCCAGGATGGTCTCAATCTCCTGACCTCGTGATCCACCCGCCTCGGCCTCCCAAAGTGATGGGATTACAGGCATGAGCCACCATGCCCAGCCCGCCTGGCTAATTTTTAAAATTTTTTTGTGGAGACAGAGTTTTGCTCTGTTGCCTAGGCTAGTCTCAAACCCTGAGCTCAAGCAATCCTCCCACCTCAGCCTTCCAAAGTGATGGGATTACAGGTATGAGCCACCACATCTGCCTCTGCTCTTTGTTATCCTCATTTCTCTCCTTCTTTCTAAGGTAACATCCTCCCTGATTAAGAAAAATACCACCGGCCCGGCACGGTGGCTCATGCCTGTAATCTCAACACCTTGGGAGGCCAAGGTGGGTGGATCAGCTGAGGTCAGGAGTTGAAAACCAGCCTGACCAACATGGCGAAACCCCATCTCTACTAAAAATACGAAAATTAGCTGGGCGTGGTAGCATGCACCTGTAATCCCAGCTACTCAGGAGGCTAAGGCAGGAGAATCGCTTGAATCTGGGAAGCGGAGGTTGCAGTGAGCCGAGATCATGCCATTGCACTCCAGCCTGGGCAACAGAGCAAGACTCCGTCTCAAAAATAAGAAAAATGCCACAGACGCTGCCTTAACCAAGTGATCGAATTTAAGAGTGCCAAAAATGGGACAAACCGATATCATATGCCCCCAATGTGAGGCACTGGGAAGGACACAACATCACCTACGTAGTATTGTTTTTAAGATGGGAGTCCTGCCCTGTCACCAGAGCTGGAGTGCGGTGGCGCGATCATAGCTCACTGCAACCTTCACCTCCCAAGTTCAAGCAATTCTCCTTCCTCGGCCTCCCAAGTAGCTGAGATTATAGGTGTGCACCACCACACCTGGCTAATTTTTTGTATTTTTAGTAGAGACTGGGTTTCACCATGTTGGTCAGGCTGGTCTTGAACTCCTGACCTCGGGTGATCCGCCCACCTCGGCCTTCCAAAGTTCTGAGATTACAGGCGTGAGCCACCTCACCCGACCACCTATGTGGTATTCTTACCAAGAATGTTTAACCTGAATCGAGGAAACCAATTGAGGGACACCTCTAAGACAATTAGCCTGCATTCTTCAAAAATATCAAAGTTATGCAAGAAAAAAATTGGGAAACTTTAATAAGACTAGAGAGACACAATTAAATACAACACATGATGCTTTATCAGAGCCCAGATTTTTTAAAAAAAACTATAAGGACATTATTGGGACACTTGGGGAAATGTAGATTAGATAATGATATATCACTGTTAGATTTCCTGAGTGTGATAATTATCTTGTGGTTATGTAGAAATGCCCCTGTTCTTGGTAAATACCGAATGAAGTCTTTAGGAAGGAAGTTAATGTCTGCAACTAACTCTCACATAGTTCAGCAAAAACACACACCTACATAGTGATAAAGCAAATGTGGGATAATGTTAACAACCAGTGAATCTAAGTGAAAGGTTTATGTGTTCATTGTATTATTCTTGCAACTTTTCTGTAGGTTTTAAAATGTTCATGGGTAGGCACCATGTAATCCCAGCACTTTGGGAGGTTGAGGCGGGCAGATCGCTTGAGCTCAGGAGTTCCAAACCAGCCTGGGAAATAAAGCGAGACTCCATCTCTTTCTTAAAAAAATTAAAAATTAAAAAAAATGTTCAAGGCCGGGCATGGTGGCTCACGCCTTTAATCCCAGCACTTTGGGAGGCCAAGGCAGGCAGATTACTTGAGGTCAGGAGTTCGAAACCAGCCTGGCCAACATGGTAAAACACTATCTCTACCAAAAATACAAAAATTAACTGAGTGTGGTGGCACATGCCCATAGTCCCAGCTACTCAGGAGGCTGAGGCAGGAGAACCGCTTGAACCCAGGAAGTGGAGGTTGCAGTGAGCTGAGATCACGCCACTGCACTCCAGCTTGGGCAACAGAGTGAAACACTGTCTCAAAAAAAAAATATTTTTAATTAATTAATTAATTACATTTAAAAAATGTTCAAGATAAAAAGTTAGGGAGATGCCAAGCGTTCACAGTTTTTATGCCAGCAGGAAAGTACTCCAAATGAGGAAATTAACAGTGTACTATGTTTCCTCTACATTTCATATTTCCCATGGAGGTAGGCATAGGGGGAAGAGTGAGTATCTACCTAATAGTCACTCTGAGTGTTAAGTGCCAGCAAATCAGGGGCACTGAGTAATATTTATTTAGAAATAATGTGATACTTGACATTTTCCCCAAAATGTCAAATTTGTCATGGAAATTTTCAGAACATTTTTAGCATTCTTAAATTTTTTTTTACAGTTGAATTGTTTGTTGAATTAAGTTGTTTTCAACTGCATGGGGATCATCGTAGTCTCTTGAGTTCTTAGTGCACCTAAAAGTCTTTAGCCAGGCATGGTGACACACACCTGTAGTCCCAGCTACTCAGGAGGCTGAGGCAGGAGGATCGCCTGACTTCAGGAGTTTGAGGCTGCAGTTAGCTATGATTGCACCACTGTACTCCAGCCAGAGTAACAGAGTGAGACCCTGCCTCAAAATAAATGTTTTTAAAAATACATAAAAGTCTTAATGTATCCCCATACCCATCCTGGCAAACAGGCTGGGAGCTGGGAGGCAGGGAAACTAGGAGACTGGAAAATTGTGAAAAGCCCTTTGGAATTGGGCAGCAGTTATCTAGGAGGCAAGACACACAAAGGACCCGAGTCTGAGAGTCCAGGGAGTGAGAATGGAAACTTTACACTTCAGACAACGCTGAGCTGTTTTAGAGTTCATGTATTTTCATTGTTTATTTTCTTTTTGTGTTTCCTTAGTATTAGGTAAAGTTTTTTGCTCACTCGTTTAAAGTGAGCCTCTCTTGGTATGTTGAGAAGGACCAAGACAAGAGGACTATGCCCACTTTGGGGCAGAATTCTAAGGGGAAAAGAGAGCCTTCTGAGCTGCCCCCTTGGCCAAGTGTGTTTTACAGAAAAGCCATTTGCCCCCTCCTCTCCTCTCTGGTTGTCACTCCTCCTGCTGTCTCCCTTCTCTGGGCTCTATTCCCACCCCACCCCTCAGACACACCTTTCTTCCTTACCAGTGTGGTGTAATGAACAGATCAGTCTAGGCTGTCAAGTCAAGGAGACCTGGATTCCAACCAATTGGAATGTGACAAGGACAAACTTCAAAACTTATTCTTTTTTTTTTTTTTTGTAGGTGGAGTATTGTTCTGTCGCCCAGGCTGCAGTGCAGTGGCACAATCTCGTCTCATTGCAACCTCTGCCTCCCAGGTTCAAGTGATTCTCCTGCCTCAGTCTCCTGAGTAACTGGAATCACTGGCGCCTGCCACCATGCCCGGCTAATTTTTGTATTTTTAGTAGAGACGGGGTTTCACCATGTTGGCCAGGCTGGTCTTGAACTCCTGACCTCAGGTGATCCACCCACCTGAGCCTCCCAAAGTGCTGAGATTACAGGCGCGAAGCACTGTGCCCAGCCAGAAACATTCTTCCTTTCAACAAACATTCATTAATGCTTACTAGGTGGCAGGCACAATTCTAGGCACTGGAAATACAGTGATAAGTAAAGAAGACAGACAAAGTTCCTGCCCTCAGGCAACTTGCAGTCTCATCCAGAGAGGCAGCTAATAAACAAGCAGACAAAGGAATGAGATTATACAGCCTGAAAAGTGTGTCGCAGAATCTGGTTAACATACTGCATGATGGCTGGGCGCGGTGGCTCACGCCTGTAATCCCGGCACTTTGGGAGGCCGAAGCGGGCAGATCACAAGGTCAGGAGATCGAGACTACGGTGAAACCCCGTCTCTACTAAAAATACAAAAAATTAGCCAGGCGTGGTGGTTGGTGCCTGTAGTCCCAGCTACTTGGGAGACTGAGGCAGGAGAATGGCGTGAACCCGGGAGGCAGAGCTTGCAGTGAGCTGAGATCGCGCCACTGCACTCCAGCCTGGGTGACAGAGCAAGACTCTGTCTCAAAAAAACAAACAAACAAAAAAACACCATACTGCATGACTCCAACTATAGGACATTCTGAAAAACACAAAACACTGGAAACAGTAAAAACATCAATGGTTGCCAAGGGTTAAGTGTAGGGAGGGATGAAGAGGAAGAGCACAGAGGATATTTAGGGCAGTGTCAGACTAATCTGTGTGATACTATAATGGTGGATACATGTCATTTAGACATTTATCCAAACCCACAGAATGTACAACACCAAGAGTGAACCCTAGTATAACTGTAGCACTTGCAGTTCAGTGGTAGAACTAGAACTCTCCCCTGCCTAGTGTAAATTGTGGACTTGGTGACAGTGATGTGTCAATGTAGGTTCATTTTAACAAATTTACCACTCTGCTGCAGGATGTTAATAGGGGGTAGGCTGTGCATGTGTCAGGGCAGGAAGTATGTGGGAACTCTGGACTTTCTGCTCAATTTTGCTGTGAATTTAAAACTTCTAGGCCGGGCGCGGTGGCTCATGCCTGTAATCCCAGCACTTTGGGAGGCTGAGGCAGGCGGATCACAAGGTCAGGAGATCGAGACCATCCTGGCGAACACAGTGAAACCCCATCTCTACCAAAAAATATAAAAAATTAGCGGAGCATGGTGGCAGGCGCCTGTAGTCCCCGCTACTCAGGAGGCTGAGGCAGGAGAATGGCATGAACCCGGGAGGCGGAGCTTGCAGTGAGCCGAAATGCGCCACTGCACTCCAGCCTAGGCGACAGAGCAAGACTGTCTCAAAAAAAGAGTCTATTTTTTAAAAACTGTGTTGCAGGAAATTAATGTGTGATAAAGGGTAACTGAAGGGGCCTACTTTAGGTAGGGTGAAAAAGGAAGCTCTCTTCAAGGCTGTTTTCTCATTGATAAAATGGAGGTAACAATATCTGCCTTCACACAGTTGTTAAAGTTCAAATAACATATATATGAAAGGCCCTTTTAAATTGCCAGGTGCAGTGGCTCATGCCTGTAATCCCAGCACTTTGGAAGGCCGAGGCAGGTGGATCACTTGAGGTCAGGAGTTTGAGACCAGCCTGGCCAACATGGCAAAAACGCTGTCTCTACTAAAAATACAAAAATTAGCCAGACGTGGTGGTGTGTGCCTGTAATCCCAGCTACTTGGGAGACTGAGGCAGGAGAATCACTTGAACCCAGGAGGCTGCTGTGAGGCAAGATTGTGCCACTGTACTCTGGCCTAGACAACAGAGCAAGACTCTATCTCAAAAAAAATAATAAAAATAGGCTGGGCTCTGTGGCTCACGCATGGAGAAACCCCTTCACTACTATAACTACAAAATTAGCCTAGCATGGTGGCGCATGCCTGTAATCCCAGCTACTCAGGAGGCTGAGGCAGGAGAATCACTTGAACCTAGGCGGCGGAGGTTGCAGTGAGCCAAGATTGCGCCATTGCACTCCAGCCTGGGCAACAAGAGCGAAATTCCATCTCAAAAATAATAATAATAATATAAATAAATTGCTACGTATCTTCTCATGTGATAAAATATGGAATATTACCTATAATATACTGGTAGGCAGCTCTGAAATAGCTCCCAATGATCTCTGACTGCTGATATTCAGGCCCTTATGTAACTCCCACACTCTGGGCATGGGCTGGGTCTAGTGACTCAATTCTAAGAAATAAAATGCAGCAAAAGTGATCAGATGCCACTTGCAAAATTAGGTTACAAAAAGACTGTGACTTCTATGCGATCTCTCTCTCTCTTCCTTAAAAGTAGGCTGCTGGCCAGGCATGGTGGCTCATGCCTGTAATCCCAGCAGTTTGGGAGGCCAAGGAGGGCAGATCACAAGGTCAAGAGTTCGAGACCAGCCTGACCAACATGGTGAAACCCTACTAAAAATACAAAAATTAGCCAAGCATGGTGGCACACGCCTAATCCCAGCTACTCAGGAGGCTGAGGCAGGAGAATGGCTTCAACCCGGGAGGCGGAGGTTGCATTGAGCTGAGATTGCGCCATTGCACTCCAGCCTGGGCAACAAGAGTGAAACTCCATCTCAAAAAAAAAGACATTTTGGGGCCAACCAGGGAGATTTAAATATAGACTATGATTAGATTAAATGAAAATTGGCCAGGCACAGTGGCTCACGAATGTAATTCCAACACTTTGGGAGGCCGAGACAGGAGGATTGCTTGAGCCCAGGGGTTTGAGACCTGCCCAGGCAACATGGTAAAACCCCATCTCTACAAAAAATAACAAATAAAAAAAACTAACCAGGCATTGTGGCATGTGCCTATAGTCCCTAGCTACTAGGGAGGCTTAGGTGGGAGGATCCACCTGTATTATGCACCTCCCATGTATAATACAAAGGAATGAAATGCTAATCACTGTGGTATCTGGGTGTGGGGGACTTTCAGGGGAGGTCCCAGCGTGCTGAGCCCATGGAAGGTCAGGGTGGACTAGAGTACCCGGCCCACAGGCTGTAATGGAAAAAAACCCAGGAGGTAGATTCTGAAGATCTGGGTCTGAATCCAGATCCGAGCGTTGACTAATTGGCCTTTGAGAAGTCATTTAATCTCAGAAGTGGAAGGGACCTAAGAGGTCTTTCCATGGGTTAGTCACAGGCCAGATGCCAAAACCTAGGCCACTGACCCTGTGCAGGTTCTTTCCACTACGTGCTGCTTCCCTGTTTATGATATTCTTACCCGCAATAACAACTAACTTTGGTACAGCAATTTACATCTCATGAAGCGCAAGTGTTCCTCTTGAGCTCTCACAGAACCTCTTGTTAAGCCACCATCGTTCTTTTCCAGTTTTAAAAGAACTTGGGAGGCCAAGGCAGACGGATCACAAGGTCAGGAGTTCGAGACCAGCTTGACCAACATGGTGAAACGCCGTCTCTACTTAAAATACAAAAAAATTAGCTGGGCGTGGTGGCACACGCCTGTAATCCCAGCTACTCAGGAGGCTGAGGCAGGAGAATTGCTTGAACCTGGGAGGCGGAGCTTGCAGTGGTGAGCCGAGATCACACTCCAGCCTGGGCAACAGTGAGACTCCTTCTCAAAAAAAAATAATAAATAATAAATAAATAAATAATAAGCAACAGGTTGTGGGGGCCAGGCACGGTGGCTCACACCTGTAATCCCAACACTTTGGGAGGCCGAGGCAGGCAGATCACCTGAGGTCAGGAGTTTGAGACAAGCCTGGCCAACATGATGAAACCCCATCTCTACTAAAAATATACAAAATTAGCCCGGTGTGGTGGCACGCACCTGTAGTCCCAGCTACTCGGGAGGCTGAGGCAGGAGGATCCCTTGAACCCAGGAGGTGGAGGTTGTAGTGAGCCAAAATCACTCCACTGCACTCCGGCCTGGGAGACACAGTGAGACTCCAACTCAAAAAAAAAAAAAGAAAAGAAAAGAAACTGAGGCTAGTACAAAGGTAGCAAGCAATCTGAATTGATTGTTCAGAGTCAGATCAAACTCCTTGTTCTACTCTTCCCCCCTTCTCACTATTGCAATTAACTAGTCTTAAAAAAATTTTTTTAAGTAAAAAATAAAAGTAAGAAACTGAGTTTCTGAGATAATAAATGGCTTGCCCACAACCAGCAAATGGCAGAATTAGGACTTGCCCTCTGGTCTTCAGGCTCTAAATCCTGCATTCTTTCCAAGGTACCAGATGAGGCCTGTCTAGGACCGTGACACTAACTGCACTCCTCACACCACACATGCAAGACCTTATTTGCAGGGAAGGGACAGAGGCCTCTCTGCACAGAGCATCCCTGAATGACACTTACCGGTGCTGACTTCAGGTCATTCAAGGAAAAATCCAGACTCCTTCTGGCTCTGTGTTACCCCAGAAGCATATGAGAGTCCAGACCTCCAATCCTGGGAAACCACTCCAGTCAAAAGTCTTCCAGTCTCACTTCCCAACCTGGTTGCAACCAAGTGGTTGCCAGCTCCCTCTGTCCTATGACTACCCTCCTGATCCATCATGAGGGGCCACAAGTCTTTGCCAGCCCACCTCCCTCCACCCCAGGAGGCTTCTCTCCAAGGCCCACTTCCTCAACCTTATTCAGTCCCTGCCTCTCCCCAATACCCTCTTCCCAGGCCCCAAGACTCATACCCCCTTACAGCAGTGAGAAGCACAGTAAGAGGCAATGGTGGGCCCAAGGGGCAGCAGCTGTGAACAGCTAGCACAATGCTGTCTTCAATAATTCATTCCCAGGGAGGTTGCAGGCACCATGCCCTCACCCTGAGCTAGAGATGGCTACCACAGCTCAGATCCTTAAACTGAGAAGGGTGGGAGTCAAGGGTGCGGCAGAGGCTAGTGGGAGCAAGTAGAAAGGTACCCAGCCTGCAGGCCAGACACTGGCACCTCTTTGTTAGAGAGGGGCTCTGATGTGGGCTCAGAGCAGGGATCCCGTGAGATAAAGGAACACGCAAATTGCCATGAGCTAGAGGGGCAGAGAGGAAGAATCCAAACACATTGCCTCACTCCCACTCCCTCCAGCTGTACATGCCAGGGTCAGCCTCTTCCCTCATGGCTCTGACCTTCTCAAGGCCACCCTCAGCCTCTTGTCAGCAGCCCCACCCTCCTAAAGGCCCAAGTCCTCTCTGCTCCAGCTGGCATGTTTCAGCTGCCCCTACTTGGGGAACTCTTTTCCCAAAGAACTCCCACCACATGTGCCTGTAATCTGAGTCAAACATCGCAGAACCTTTTCCAAGGATCCTAACCCCCACCTCCATCTCTTTTCAGCCCAGCTTCCCTGACTAACCTCTGATGTTTACAAAGCTTGTAAACGTGTGGGGGTGGAGGAAGGACTTGAACTGACCCCTTGGGCTGTGCTGTGCTGTGCTGTGATTCAGAGTCCTAAAGCTTTAGGAATTTAGCGAGAGCAGTTCCTTGCTTCTAGTGAGGGAGAGAAGGTGGTAAATTCTAGGCCAGCCCCCACATTCCCCTGGCCACCCTAGAGATCCTGCCATCAATACCCATTCTCCATGTGGGGCAGCCCTAGAGTTCCACTCATGTTCCAGGCTCATTGCTCACTGCAATCCGTTCTGTGAGACTGGAATCACCTATCATGTGCATCAGCAGACCCAGAGGGGAAACTGGGATCTAAGACTAAAAGAAACATATTATCAAGCACCTACTATGTGCTAGGCTGAGCCGGATTCTGGGCAGCAAGAGCATGAAGCCAATCACCTCAGCCCTCTCACCTTCCCCTCCTTCCCAGGTACCAGGAGGAACCTCCAAATGCACACAACAGTCATACTATCTGTCCCAGAGTGAGCAAGAGTTAGGTCTTGAACCCACAGCTGACTCCCCAGTCTGTCCAGAGGCCTGATTTGGGAAGGAGGGTGCGATCTTGCTGGGCATTGTCGCAAGAAACCCTTCAGACATATTTATAGCAAATGCTGCATCAGGGGATGGAATCTGAAAGTGCCTCGAAGCATCAAATAACACCATGAGTCCAGAGGCAGAGCCCAGAAAAAGAAGGCACTGCAGCAGGAGGGATTGAGGTTTGATATTGGAGGAACTTCCCCCAGAGTAATATCTGGAACTGGCAATGGGGATTCCCTGTGGAAGCTACTTCCACAGGATTTTCTCAGAAGAGAAGGGATAGGTACCTTTTTCTGGTCTAGGTAGAAAAGATAAAAAGGGATGGACATGGTGATCTCTATCTTTGTAGTATACAGACTTTCAAATATCAAGGCCACTAAGCACAGTTGTGCAGATTATGCCTTGCTGAGGAGGCAAACGGAGACTGAAATCCAGCTCTAGATCAGTTACCTCCTGCTGCAGAGCTGTGTCTGTACAGACTAGCCAGAGTGGCTTGTAGGGGCCCTGCCAGATATCCCAAGTCCTGACAATCTTGGGGTCTGAGGACAAGGTGAGCAGGGAGAAGGGATGAAGGCTGCCTGGGAAGCCCTGGGGGCCTGTTTGCTAGAGCTCAGAGCCTATATGGGCCAAGTTAGAGGGCATAGCTTCCAGGAATGGATCCAGGGTAGAGGCCCCTCTCAGCAGGGTGCCCTGCCCAGATACTATGAGGTTTGAGCCAGAGATGAAGGCCCTGAGGGAGCTTGAGTGGGGAGGAAGAGGATATGCGTCTTGGGCAGGCCCTGGAGAAGGATAATCCTGCCAGTCACGTCACAGAGAAGGGCCTGGGAGAGGGCAGTTCTGGGGACCTGGAGGATGGGCTGCTGGCTCTAGCTCTGAAGTTCCTACCTTCTCTGCAGAGCAAGATGGAGAAGGGGCCTGTGGTCCAGCAGCTGGGGTGGAAATGAGAAAAGTAAGGGGTGGGGAACTGCCCCTGTGCACCTCAGATTTCCTGTGATAGGCTCATGGAGGAGTAATTTTTTTTTTTTGAGACAGAGACTCTGTCCCCCAGAGTCTGGAGCGCAGTAGGGCGATCTCGGCCTGTCTCCTGAGTTCAAGCAATTCTCTGCCTCAGCCTCCCAAGTAGCTGGGACCACAGGTGTGCACTGCCATGCCCGGCTAATTTTTATATTGTTTGCAGAGATGGGATTTCACCACGTTGGCCAAGCTGGTCTTGAACTCCTAGCCTCAAGTGATCTGCCCGCCTCGGCCTGCCAAAGTGCTGGGATTATAGGCGTGAGCCTCGGCGCCAACCTCAGGGAGAAGTAACTGATATTTCTATTTTAAAGTGGAAGGTGGGCCGGGCACCGTGGCTCACGCCTGTAATCCCAACACTTTGGGAGGCCGAGGCGGGCAGATCGCTTGAGATCAGGAGTTGGAGACCAGCCTGGCCAACATGGTGAAACCTCGTCTTTACTAAAAATACAAAAATTAGCCTGGTGTGGTGGCGTGCCTGTAGCCCCAGCTACTCGGGAGGAGGAGAATCTCTTGAACCCGGGAGGCGGAGGTTGCTGTGGGCCGAGATCGCCACCGCACTGCGACCTAGGCGACAGAGTGAGACTCCGTCTCAAAAATAAATAAATAAATAAATAAAAATAAAGTGGAAGGTGGAGAGATGGTTTCTATGCTATAGTTTCAGGCAGAGAATGTGGAGGGAGGGAAGGAGAGAAGGTTGCGGGAAGCCAGGGACAACTGCTTGCCTGGGCCAACATCCCCTCTCTCCCCACCTCCCTTCTCCTATGGAAACTTAAGCTGCCGCAGGGCCCAGCGGAGCTAGTCCATTAGCTGTGGTCAGCAGGGGAGTGTAGGTGGGGAGGGCCCTCTCTCCCTCCAGGTCTTCTTGCCAAATGAAAGGCAAAGCGTTTGCTCCCTCTACTAGAGTCAAAACAAAACAAAACCATAAAAACCTCCACACGCATTTTTAACACACACAAATAACATAACTTCTTTCCTCTGAATGGTCGAAGCTGAGCAACTTGGAGGTGGGTGGGTGGTAGGGGCTCCGTGACCCACTAGACTAGACTACAGAGGGAGTGGGGGAGGAGGTGCCTTCTCAAAGCACTTTCCAGGTTAAATCCAGCCTCGGGAGGAGGGAGTGGAGAGAGAATTTACTCTCCCCCAACTTACCTCCCTCAGAAATGGGGGCAAGTGGAGGGTCAGCTGAGCAGAGAGGGAGGAACAGTCTCCCGAGATCCCGGGGATGGGAGGATTGAGGGGAGGGGTCCCGGAAACTCCCAGGGGAAGTGGGTTAAAAGAAGGGCCGGGAAGAAGGGTGGGACGCCCTCCACTGGAAAGGGGAGAGCGTTCTAGTTAATGCTGAGGGGAAGTTGGGGACCTGGGTCAATCGGAGTCAGCGTGTGTCTGTCTCCATGAAGGGGGGTCCGTCTCTCCCCGCCCCAGGCGCCGTCTTTGGTCTGGAGAAGGGTCCAGCCTGGGGTCGTTGGGGGTGTGAAGGGACCAATGAGCGGTCTGTCCGCTCAGAAGGGTCCAGAGAGAGAGCCAACTGGAACTACACCCCCGCTCCCCCTTCCCCCGCCAGAACTTGGGCTTGTCCTGTTTGACGCACCCGCAGAAAGGGGCGGGAGGGGTACTGACCCGAGGAGCGGTCCCGCGACTCTGTACTCCCTGCTGCCCAGTCCCGGCCAGGACGCTGCCCGGCTTAGCTGGGGCGCCCCTCGAGACCAGGATGGAGGTAGGGACGGGCTAGGGTCCCGGAAGGGCGCGGGTGTCTCGAAGGAGCCCCACGGGGTGGGAATAAGTAGAGCGCAGCCTGGGGTCTCCTACTGGGGGTCTCGAGCTGGGACTGCAGTTCCTGGAGAAAGGAGGGGGAGAGGGGTTCGTCCTGGGCTTGGGCGGTGTCTGGATCCGGGGTGCGTCCCCCCTGCTCTGGCCTGGGCAGCGCCGCCTGCTGGCAGGGCCGGACCCTGCGGCCCCGGGACCGGACACCAGGCGGTGCCGCCACCTGGAGGGCGCGTGTAGCCGCCGGGCCAGCGAGCCCAAGGGGCGCTGCAGCGGGTCGAGAAGGAGCCGCGTCGCTTCGCCTCGCCCTTCCCCTTCGCGGAGCTGAGACCCGCTGCACCAGAACCCAGGAGAGGGGGGAGACGGCAGAGACTCCGCGGGCGCGGGGCGATCCCAGCTGGGCTCTCTCCACAGGGATGCCGATCCCTCTGGAGACACAGAGCCGAGCCGGGGACGGGTGGATGGGCGCCTTGACGCTTGGGCGGGCGAGCAGAGCACCAGCACTCTTGCTTTTCGGTCCTTTCCCCCGCCGAGGTCGGGGTCGCAGCCGCCGCCGGAGGATGGGCGGCCGGCGCACGGAGCAGGGCCGGGAGGGAGCAGAAGCTTCCGCCAAGAGCTCAGGAGCTGGGGCAGCCCTGGAGCTCTTCCTGCCCTTCTGCCCGCGGCGGCGGAAACTCCAGAGTCCCTACTCTTTCTCGGGAGGACTTTAGGGAAGAAGCAGAGCGGCAGGGGAAGCCGAGGAGCGAGGGTGCGACGTGGGGATGGAAGGACAGTGGGAGGCACACGGAAAAACAGAACGAGGACCTTAGACAGGAGAGACGGAAGTGGAGAGAGGCTGGGCTGAAAGGCAGGGAGAGCCAGAGACTGACAGAGGCGGCGAGAAAGGAAGGGAGAGGGAGGGAGGGAGGAGGGAGGAGAAAGAGGGAGGGAACCAGGGGAGAGGGAAGGGAGCAGGCGGCGGAGCCCGGCGGGCGTGGGGCGAGGCCAGGCGTGCAGGCGGGAGCAGCGTGCAGAGCAGCGGCCGGGTTTTGCTCCCGCCTCGGAGCCCCTGGCCCGGGGGAGGGGGAGAGGCCGCTAGCCTGGTCTATGTCTTTTTCTGACTCCAGTGCAACCTTCCTGCTGAACGAGGTAACCGTGGGGGGGGTGTGGGGTCGTGGGAAGGGGGTTCCCCACTGGGTGGGAGGAGAGCTCCGCTCCAAGCTAGGAAGGGGGCACGCGTTTGGGGGAGACTGCACCGATGGGGAGGCAGGGAAACCGGAGGAAGTGAGGCCAGGGGTGGAAGAGGCACCGGGTTAGAGAGGAGGGAGCGGCCAGAGCTGGCAGCTTCCTAGTACTGGGATTGGATGAGAGGAGAGGACTGACTGAGGAGCCAGAAAAAAAGGGGCTAGATTACAAGAAGGGCTCTGCCAAGCTCCCCTAGCGCCTGTCCCTGAGTTCCCTGGCAGCCTAGCAGCCAGAATGGTAGGGGCCTCCACCTGGTCCAGATCTTAAAAACTGCTGGGGAGGAGTCTTTAAGTCTTCCCAGAAGGCCTAGCTTCTGTCTCAGTTTCCCCATTCAGTGCCCAGGGACTGGGATCTGCCCAGCTTCCTGGTACACTTAGAGGAGAAGCTAGAATATATTCTGAAACCTCCCAAGAAGGTTTCAATATATTCCAGCTCCCAAACCTGATTATTCAGGCTTTTCCTCTTATGTCTTGCTTCTATGACTTGGGTACCTGCCAGCTGCCAGTCTAACAACTCTCTCCTAGAAAGAATCAGCAGGAGGAGCCTCTCCCCTGATCCTTTATTGCCCTCAGCTCTCTCCCTTTATGCCCAGCCATGAAAAAGAAAAGAGGTTAGGGCTACATGGACACTGACAGGCACATGTCCTGTCACAGGACAAGAAGTCACCAAGTTGGTATTAGAACTAGAGTAGGCAGGTGTGGGTGAGAAATGAAAGGAACATTGGGTAGCAACCCAGAGATATGAGAAGAAGGAGGGAAGCTCTGAAGCTACTGCAGGACCCAGGGGATGGGCCCAGGTATGAGGAGCTTGAACCCATCTCCTGGGGATGGTTGGCATGGCAACACATGCCTCAGGAGCAGACTTAGACAACCTTGTCGCAGGAGATTACAAGGAGTGTGAGGAAGGAGTGCTGCCGATGGCAGATCCGCTGTTACCTACAGCCCCAGGACCTTCTGTGGGTGGAGAGAGTCCCAAAAGGAGAGGCCAGGAGAGTGGATGCAGGGATGGGAAGAGAAACAGCTGCCTCCACCACTGCTTTCTTCACTAGAGCCATCTCCCAGGAGAAGAGCACCTTGAGGGTCTTACTCTTTGACACCTCTCCAGGCCCCTGAAAGAAGGAATTGAAGAGAAAGGATGAAAGAGGGGGATACAAGGAATACTGCGTAACTGGGTGAGGGCACAAAAGTGGGCAGTGTCTGGGAACTTCCAATACAGAAGAATCCAGTATATGACCAAACCCCAGTTGGTGCTGGACTCAGGAGAGGAGACAGTCCCTTCAGCCACAGGGGCTGCAACAAAGTTGTTTGTCAAACCCAGCATGAGGAAGGTGCTGGGCAGGGCTGCTCTGGGCCACCCACAGTAGACAGACTAAAGATGTCAGTCTGAAGATGCAGCTCTTCTTTGTCTTGCCAAGATAACACCGATAAGTGACCCAGGTGGGAAGCCACTTGGTTTGGGTGGGCTTTCTCTCTCCCATGCACAGTGCTTTCTACCATAGATCTTACTAAGCCATGTCAGAGTTTTGGATTTCTGATTCTCCTCAAGCCAAGGAGGGATGAGCAGATTGCTGAACTCCCGGGTGTGAGAAATTGGGAAGGAAAAGGACTGAGCTCAGGGCCAAGAGCATGGGCACCAGGAGGCCTCCAAGTGTAACCCCTGTCTACGCACATCCTCCTCGTGGGGCACAAAGGTAGGCAGTCAAAAATCAAAGAAGGAATTTTGCTCAGGAGATGAAAAAAGGAAAGAGCTCAAATGGGTGGATCTTTGGGGAAAGTTTCCTCAAGATAAGGGCTGCGGCTCTCTTACCCCAAATCTCAATGCTCCTGTAAAGGAGACTGAGTGGTGCAGAGTGGTACAAGCCCTTCTGCTAAGGGGAGAATCTGGCCTTACCCTAGTGACTCCGAGGAGACTGGCCCTTTCCTCTCCCAACCCGAGTGTAGCCAGGATCCCACCCACAACTATCCCCCTACCTCCACCCTCTGGCTTCTTTCCCCTTCCCTTTAGGCTCACCTAAAACAGCCCCTTTCTGCCCCAGTTCCCACGGATGCCTTGGCACTGTCTGGCACAATCCTTGGCAGGGAAGTGGGGAAGGGAACCCCCATCCTGGCAGGACTAAGACAAAATCTATCCGTGCAACAGGTGTGGGGAGGCCTACCCAGCTCACGGAAAGTTCCCCCCTTCTCAAGGGTTGGGCAACACCGCCTTTGCCGCAGCGTCCCCGTACTGAGGGGGCCGGGCACCTGTTGGGGCAGGAGCTGCCGTCCTGTCATTAGCCTGGGGGCACCAAGCCCATTCCTCCCCGGGACCACTGCGGGGTTTGCTTTCGGAGCCTCCGGGACGCACGGGCCCAGACCCGCCCTGCTGTCGCCTGGGACCCCTCCCCCGTCTGCCGCTCGTTCCCGCGCCTCTTCTGTCTCCCACGGTCTCCCCATTTTCCTGTCCTCTCCGTCCTCCCTCTGCCTCTCTCTCTCCGGTTTCCTCGACACCTGCGCCCTCTCCAGTCTCCGCCCGGGTCGCGTCTCCCTCGCGGTCTCAGCGCCCCCTCCCTCCCCCGCCGCAGCCCTTTGTTTCCCGGCGGAGTAGTTCCTGGGTTGCCGAGCGTCTCTGTCTCCGCATCTCTCCTCGCCCCGCCTCCTCCCTGCCTGGATCCGCCCTGCCCGCAGCCTCTCCTCCCCTTCCTCCCCGCCGCCACGGCCCCGTAGGTGCTCGGGGACCCACCTTCCACCTAGCACGGGTTCGTTCCCCTCTCCCGGCCTGGCCCGGGCTCCCCG
Source organism: Homo sapiens (assembly GCF_000001405.40). NCBI lineage: Eukaryota > Metazoa > Chordata > Mammalia > Primates > Hominidae > Homo > Homo sapiens. Next base: position 48,818,596 of record NC_000012.12, read on the forward strand.
GTGGCCGCCGCCCCCTCGCCGCCCCCGCCTTCTCCCGGGGAGGGGGTCAGGTGGGCGGGCACTATTGTTGTAGGAGCCGGCGCCAGATTCCTCAGCCGCGCTCGGGGTGGGACCGGCTGGGTTTGGGGGGGTGGGGTGGGGGGAGCGGTGATCTGAGCTCCGAGCAGCTGGTCTTCGCGGCTCGCTCCCTCCTTCGCGCTCTCTCGCTCCCTGCCGCCGCCCGCAGGGCTGCGGGGCTCGGTGGCATCTCCCGGGCGCGGCCCGCAGTCCTTGCCCCTGCCTCCGGGCCGCTCCCGCCCCCGGCGCCGCTCGCTCCCCCGACCCGGACTCCCCCATGTATGACGACTCCTACGTGCCCGGGTTTGAGGACTCGGAGGCGGTGAGTGCCCACGATGAGGGTGGGGGCGGGGAAGTTGGGGTGACACCTCCTCTCCCTTCAACCCTTTCCCCGGTTCAGGACTTTGAAAAACGCCTCAGTGGCAGGGCAGGGTTTGTAGGGGGGCGCTCTAAGAACGTGGGGAGATGGATTTTCATGCCAAGCGTTCCCCAGCGACCCAGACTCAGACCCTGGGGCATCGGGTGTGTGCAGAGAGGGGGCAGTATAGGGGAAGGGCTCAAGCAGGTGGCTCCACGGCCCAGGAAAGAGGGGTGGGAGAAGGCAGGGCTGGAGGCCGAGGGCACAGAGGCTCTGGAGAGGGAACACGCCATGTCTGGAGTTCCAAATTCTGGATTTCTGGGGTCTGAACACAACAGCTAGGAGAGCCGCCGAGGTGGTTGGGGAGGCAGACATTCTAGACCTCTTGTGCCTCAAGCAAACGACACATCAGGGAGCTGAGAGGACATCAGGGAGCCAGGGGCCAACCTCTTCAGACAGACGGATCCTAAAACTTGAGGAGCTCCATTATTCCCTTCCACCCCCTCCATCTCTGCGCATTGCCTCATCTCCTCACCCTTTCTCTAGCCCAGTTTCTCTCCCAGGCTGAAACCTGGGCGCCCAGCACATGGGTAGGCCAGGTGACTGAGCCCCATCTATTCCACAGCCCCCTGCTGAGGCTTCCTCTGCAGCGGGCATCCTGAGCTCTTGCCCAGCATGGAGGGCCTGGAGGTGAGGCCAGAGGAGCTGAGGGCCTGGGGATGGAGAGGAAGCGCTTTGCTCAGAGAAACAGGCAACCGATAAATATTTAATTCTCCTCTTTGCTTTTATCTCCTGACCCACTGAGACAAATCAGCTCATTAAGCAGTGATTCCCGGAGCTCAGACAGCAGGGAGAGTGCCTGGAAAGATGGGGCAAGAATGCGGAGCAGCTTCTCAGCCCCTTGGAGCTGACAACTTTCCCTCAAATGTCCTGTAAGAAGGCCTCCTTAGGAGTGGACCACTAGATGGCTTGGAAGGGGCCCCAATAGGTTGGAGCACCCCTGGGTCGGAAAGAGGAGTTCATGTTCAAGTCTTCTCCCATCACTTACTGCCAGGCCCAGGATAGATGAATGCTGATGTTCAGAATAGGCAACTGTCCTTTTCTGGGACTGGTCTCCTTCTGGGCCCAATTCTCCATGGGGCCTCTGGGGCTAATTACATTGCCGCTAGATCAGATCATTTTCAAGGCTCTGGTGGACACCTCTTTCTGACAGTTGAAGGGACAGCTGGTATAGCCCAGGGTGCCAAGGTGAGCTTGAAAACAAACCTCTCTGTGGGGCTGGATGGCCCTAGGAGGTTCTTCCCATCCCTGGTGAGAAGGCAAGGGCTATTGCAAGGAGCAGACTGACATGTGGATGGTGTTGGAGGGCAGCCTGCTGACCCATTGCTCCCTCCCATCTCTCTCTGGCTCTGATCACCCTCCCCCACTTCCCTTTCTCTTGCCTGGCTCCTTGCTCTCCCTGAGGCCCCCTCTGAAGCAGTAGGAGGGAGATCAGGCTCTAAATAAATCCAACGGCTCATCTCCCTCCTCTCCTTCCCCCGTGCCAGGCAAGAGAGGAGCTGCAGCCTGCCCACACACTCACTAGGCAAGGGGGGCACCACCAGGGCACTGTGCCAACTCCTGGCAGCTCCAAAGTACTGAAACTCTGGCTATTTTGGCGTAGCAGGGTACAGGAAAGGTAAGACCCTAGATCATGCTTGGCAGGGCAGCCCTGGCCTCCCCAAGTAATACTGGAGCACTAGAGATGAGTGAGCCTGGAGGACTTGGGAGTAATGGAGAGGGGGTTCCATTCTGAGCACAACTCATTAAATATTTAGGAAGAGATCCTGTGATTCCCATCCCAGGGTGAGAGGTCAGGTAAGCCAGATGCCTCAGGCGTTATGATTACTAAATTAGGCCGCCAGCGGTGCCTCACACCTGTAATCCCAGCACTTTGGGTGGCCGAGGTAGATCACTTGAGGTCAGGAGTTGGAGACCAGCCTGGCCAATATGGTGAAACCCTGTGTCTACTAAAAATATAAAAATTAGCCCAGCATGGTGGCACATGCCTGTAGTCCCAACTACTCAGGAGGCTGGGGCAGTAGAATTGCTTGAACCCGGGAGGCAGAGGTTGCAGTGAGCCGACATCGCACCATTACATTCCAGCCTGGGCATCACAGTGAAACTCCATCTCAAAAAAAAAAAAAAAATTACTAAATTAAACCAGGCATAGAGACTCATGCCTATAATCCCAATGCTTTGGGAGGCTAAGGTAGGAAGATGGCTTAAGCCCAGGAGTTTGAGACCAGCCTAGGCAACATAGCAAGATCCTGTCTCTACAAAAAACTAGTAGGCATGGTAGCGCATGCCTGTAGTCGTAGCTACTCAGGAGACAGGAGGATCGCTTGAGCCCAGGAGTTCAAGCCTGCAGTGAGCTACGATTGTGCCACTACACTCCAGCCTGGGTGACAGAGCAAGACCTGTCTCTAAGTAAATAAATAAAATAATAAAAATAAAGATTACTAAATTGGGCTGAGAGCCTGGAGCACAGGCAGAAAAGGTCAGACTCCTCTTTTAGCACAGTTCTGGGCCTCTGGGAGGTACCCAATGTATCTGTACCAAAGCGAGTGGTCATCTGCCTTGCCTCCTGCCTCCCAGTCTGTTGGCCCCTGTCTGGTTGCTTCAGACACCAACATCCCACAGAGGTTTCTCTTGTGTCCTAAGACCCCTGGGAAGGAGGTCCCTCACCCTGTGCAAAGATTATTTCTGGGGTTCATCCCCCACTTATCCTGCTGCCATCCAGCCTCATTTTGTTCTCAGGAGAGATGAGGAACAGTCGGCGGACTACTCTTCTGTAAAATGAAAGATCTTTCCCCCTTGTGCTATCTTCAGGCCTTTGGTCTACTATAGACACTGTCTTTAGCCTAAGGCTCGAGAGCCTGGGCTGACCCCTAGCTGAACAGCCCTCTTGCCCACGGCAGGGTAGGGGTAGAGGGCATGGTTGACAGCAGGTATGTGATTTTGCCTTCTTCTCTGAGAGTCTGGCCTCTGCTGCCTTCCGTAGGTGGTCATGCCCAGTGAGCTTGAGAGAATGTTCCTCTACCTGAGGACATTCTAAAGCCCCTTCCCCTATACACACACACACTCCTGCATGAACCCCTTATCTAGGCTTATCCCTTCTCTCTGCCACTGGCATCTCAGAATTGTGGGAAGTATCACTTGAGGCTTCTCCCCACAGAGAGGGAAAACTGAGGCAGGAAACGAAAGACTCCCTTTCCCTGACAGAGGAGGAAACCCAGACATTGTAACCTCTGGGCTCTTGTCTCAAAGTCCAGCGTCCCTTACTCATTTGTGCCTCTCCCTCATGGTCTTGAGGCTGAACTCTGTGACCGTCAAATGCACCCTCATTGCCCAAGACCTTTCCTATGGGCAGGACTCAGAGACTCTCCTTGCTCATGTTACCCCCTCCCCACATCCCCGGGGTCCTGCTCCGTAGCTAGGTTGCCTGGCACTAGCATAGCCTTCTTCTAGGGCTGATGTCCCCTGGGCCTGGGAAAGGACTAGGGAGATGTAGGCCAAGTGGTAGGTGTGGCCCAGCCTCACCTGCACCCAGGGAGACAGCTTTGTGTTCTTGGTCTGTGTCTTGTTTGCTGCCCACACCTGGCTAGTTGCCCCAGCAGGTGTGGAAGGAAGAAAAGTAGGGGGTGGGGAGAGCAAAGGGGAGGTAACTTCTAGGAGCTGGCAGCTTTGTGTCCTCCTCTTCACCCTGGAAGGGTAAGGGCTCACCATTTGGGAGCCTTCAGAGCCTTGTTGGAGTAGGGAAAGTGGAATCTTAGGGGGCAGATGGCTGGATCCCCACATTCAGGACTGGTGCTGTGCCAACCAGCATCTCTTGACTGTTGCGGCTGGCTGGACTCCTGACAGGCATCTTAAAGGGATGATGTCCAGGCTGCTTTGCAGGCTGCTATGAACAAGAGGGCTGGGTCTCCTGGATCCAGAATCATCTCTAATACATCATCTTCAGCACACCTCCCTTCCCTCGGCTCAGAGGACATGTTAGAGGGGAGAAAAGGGAGGAAAGAGAGAAGTGAAGGCTCTATTCAAAGCTGCAGTATTAATAGGCTTGGGGGAGGAGGGGCCCAGATCTTTGCACCTATGGATTGGGCCAGCTTTCCTGTAGCCTCAGAGGCACTGGGGCCCTTCTCAGGGGATAGGAGGGGCCATAGGGACCCAGCTATCCCCTTGGAGATGGAGAAACTGGGGGCAATAGAGGCAACACTGTAAGGTGAGGAGGGTGCCTCCATGGCATCCTTCATGCCGGAGCCTGGGAGTCACAGCCTCTTTCCCAACCCAGGGTTCAGCCGACTCCTACACCAGCCGCCCATCTCTGGACTCAGACGTCTCCCTGGAGGAGGACCGGGAGAGTGCCCGGCGTGAAGTAGAGAGCCAGGCTCAGCAGCAGCTCGAAAGGGCCAAGGTATACTTTCTGGGCATGGGGCAAGACAGGAGGCCAAGCTAGGTGGAAACCTGCACTCGGTCCTAAGTCCCAAGGGGTCCTTGGGCAGGATGTCCTTGAGTGTGAGAGGGTGTGTGTGATGGGCAGAGGCCACGGCCTTCTGCTGTTGGGGCACTGAAGCTGGAAGGGGTGCTTCGAGCCTTCTCTCACTTGCACTAATGGGCAAATTCTCCAGCACAAACCTGTGGCATTTGCGGTGAGGACCAATGTCAGCTACTGTGGCGTACTGGATGAGGAGTGCCCAGTCCAGGGCTCTGGAGTCAACTTTGAGGCCAAAGATTTTCTGCACATTAAAGAGGTGATCGACCCCCCTACTTCCAGAAGCCTCTAACTTCATTTTCTTGCTCTTGCTCCAGATCCTAATGCTTCTGACTTGAATCCTCAGTCTAATTCCCCAAGCTAATCAGCTCTTCTCCTTAACACACACCTGTCCACCCCTCATATCTAAGATCTCATCCCCAGGGTCTCCATCCTTCTGAGACCTGGCTTGGGCATCAGTCTCCATGTCTGTCAAGTGAGCAGTTAGATTAGCTGCCTCCGAGGTCCCCTGTGACAGCTGCAATGCCTCACTCAGAAATCCTGGGTGGCCCGAACTTGGCTGTCCTTTCCCCTGGCCCCTTCTGCCCACCGCCCCTTGCATTGCATTCCTCAGACCAGCTCAGTGACTGCCTCGCTGGCTCCTTCACATTGAAGAGCCAGGACTGGGGCGGGGCGCTTCTCTCACCACCCCTTCCTGCTCCACCTGCCCCCAGAAGTACAGCAATGACTGGTGGATCGGGCGGCTAGTGAAAGAGGGCGGGGACATCGCCTTCATCCCCAGCCCCCAGCGCCTGGAGAGCATCCGGCTCAAACAGGAGCAGAAGGCCAGGTGAGAGTTGGGCCATGAGTCAGTAAACACACCCCAAACACTTGCACTGTACCCACAGGACACGTCACCATGCATGCCATACACATGCATATCCCCCTGAAATACACATACACGTATGCCCAGCTCTACACACTCAACACTAAACAAATCTACAAACACACACACATATTGCATGTACACCTGTCTCACTAGATAAAGCATATGGAATTGTGTACAATTATTAAATAATGCATAGAACATACATACACAGAGACACATTCTTCTCTCTCTCTCTTTCACCTCCCTTTCTTCTCAGGAGATCTGGGAACCCTTCCAGCCTGAGTGACATTGGCAACCGACGCTCCCCTCCGCCATCTCTAGGTAGCCTCCCCCCAACCCACCCATTTTGGGTAGGTGGGTAGCTAAGACACAGGGAAAGAGGGGATCCTGCCCAAGTGAACTGTGTGGGAAGGGTTTGTGGAGGGATTGGAAGGGGTGGGGAGAAGCCAGTATCTCCCCTGGGGACGGGGATACCATGCCCCCAGGGACCTTTCCCCCTTCACCAACTTTAATCTTGTATTTCCTTTTCCAAAAAGCCAAGCAGAAGCAAAAGCAGGTGAGTCAAGGAAGGGACCTGGGCTGGGGGGATCATGGCTTATGGCTCTGGGGACAGTGTTCTAGGCAGTCATTGTTGGAGGGCAGAACAGAGAGGGGAGGGAGCCCAGAACCTCTGGATCTGCCCTGACGCCAACCAGGCATGAGACAGGCACCAGGGCCATGGTTTCTACTGACCTCATGTCCATTCTGCAGGCGGAACATGTTCCCCCATATGACGTGGTGCCCTCCATGCGGCCTGTGGTGCTGGTGGGACCCTCTCTGAAAGGTTATGAGGTGAGAGGAGGTCCTTGACCCCAAAGAGTCACCTCTACCAAGCCTGCCACAGGAAGTCCCTAGGGAAAGTGGAAGGGGTGTGTCTCCTCCGTCCAGGGTGTGTATGTGGAGCGCATTGACTCTGGGGCCATGCATGGGGAGGCTGCTTCTCTCCAAAGGGGCCCTTCATCAGTGCCATGCCTTCCCCCAGGTCACAGACATGATGCAGAAGGCTCTCTTCGACTTCCTCAAACACAGATTTGATGGCAGGTAAGCTGCCCTGGCCTGAGGTGGCCTGAGAACCAAGGAGAAGCTCATGGCCTACTTCCAGATGCCTGTAGCTAGTCTTCTCTAAGGGAAGAGTTAGTGGGAGCTGAGTAAGGAGAGGCTGAGGCACAGGTTTAGAAGCAAGCTGTGATTCTCCACTCCCACCCCAGGATCTCCATCACCCGAGTCACAGCCGACCTCTCCCTGGCAAAGCGATCTGTGCTCAACAATCCGGGCAAGAGGACCATCATTGAGCGCTCCTCTGCCCGCTCCAGCATTGGTGAGAAGTCCCCACCACCTGCTTCTGTGCCCACTCAAGTGCCAGTGAGAACCTTCCTCCTCCCTTTTCTTTTTTTTGAGATGGAGTCTCGCTCTGTCACCTAGGCTGGAGTGCAGTGGTGAGATCTCGGCTCACTGCAACCTCCACCTCCTGGGTTCAAGCGATCTTCCCATCTCAGCCTCCTGAGTAGCCGGGACTACAGGCGCCCATCACCACGCCCAGCTAATTTTTGCATTTTTAGTAGACGTGGGGTTTCACCATGTTGGCCAGGCTGGTCTCGAACTCCTGACCTCAAGTGATCGGCCCACCTTGGCCTCTCAAAATGCTGGGATTACAGGCATGAGCCACCATGCCTGGCCCCTCTTCCCTTTTCTCTTCCTTACCTCCTTGTCTTTCTGCCCAACTCCTCTACCTGCCCCCAGGATTGGCAAGAACACACCCCTCCTCCTCAATTCCCATTCCTCTGCCTGTCCAGGCTTCGATGAATGCCCTTTTCCTCCAATTCCTTCCTGTCCACCATTCGGGAGCCCTCAAAGCCTGCTGGAGTGAGCAGTGGGCAGAGCTCCTGGTGAGCACTGCTGCTGCCTCCCTCCATAGCGGAAGTGCAGAGTGAGATCGAGCGCATATTTGAGCTGGCCAAATCCCTGCAGCTAGTAGTGTTGGACGCTGACACCATCAACCACCCAGCACAGCTGGCCAAGACCTCGCTGGCCCCCATCATCGTCTTTGTCAAAGTGTCCTCACCAAAGGTAAGTCAGCTGGGCTCATGGAGGAGGCCCACAGGGCTATCCTACTAGAATGTGGCATGATTCTACTTGGTCCCTGCCTGGGGCACCTGAGTTCCCTTTTCCTGCTGCCCTTAACACAACTCTGAGTCATCCTCACCTGCTACTGATGCCACAAGTGGAAGAAATGCCTAGCTCTGCCCGGGCTCAGCTCTGCCCAGAGTCCTGAGAGACTCCAGGCCTAGCTCTGCCCTCCCCGCTCAGGTACTCCAGCGTCTCATTCGCTCCCGGGGGAAGTCACAGATGAAGCACCTGACCGTACAGATGATGGCATATGATAAGCTGGTTCAGTGCCCACCGGTGAGTGCCTGGGTCAGCTGCTCCTGTGCCCACTCCCCCAGGGCTGCGGCAGTGATAGAGATGGGTGGGGGGCTGCTACTGAGGGGAAACCAACGTTGCGCCTTCCTCCCCCTCCCCAGGAGTCATTTGATGTGATTCTGGATGAGAACCAGCTGGAGGATGCCTGTGAGCACCTGGCTGAGTACCTGGAGGTTTACTGGCGGGCCACGCACCACCCAGCCCCTGGCCCCGGACTTCTGGGTCCTCCCAGTGCCATCCCCGGACTTCAGGTAACCATTTCCAGTGGGCAGAGATGCTCAAGCTAAGCCAGCCAAGGCACTGCCCCTCCCTGCCCAGAGGACTGTCCTTGGCCTCCAGTTCAGCATGCCAAAGGATTGTAGAACTCTCAGCTCTGCTGTACAGAGCTAGCACAGACGGGCAAAGGAACTTCCTGAGGAGAGAGGGAATCAATCAATGAGATGGATACGTCAGAGATTAGTTTCCTAGGGGTCAAGAGAAACACAATCTCCAAACCTTCTCCCAGGCTGCCTTGAAGGCAGAGCCTGAATTTTGCGGGAGTCGAAGCTCCAGTTTTCTCTCTCGGAAGAGGAAAAATGCTCCAGCATGCTTTTTCCTTGCACTATTTCCTTTACCGGGGAATTGAGAGTTGAGGGGGGAAGAATCTCGCACCTCACCAGAAGACAAGGTGAGGTCTGTACTGCCTCACTGAGAGCTGTTGTATGGCCCCCAGAACCAGCAGCTGCTGGGGGAGCGTGGCGAGGAGCACTCCCCCCTTGAGCGGGACAGCTTGATGCCCTCTGATGAGGCCAGCGAGAGCTCCCGCCAAGCCTGGACAGGATCTTCACAGCGTAGCTCCCGCCACCTGGAGGAGGACTATGCAGATGCCTACCAGGACCTGTACCAGCCTCACCGCCAACACACCTCGGGGCTGCCTAGTGCTAACGGGCATGACCCCCAAGACCGGCTTCTAGCCCAGGACTCAGAGCACAACCACAGTGACCGGAACTGGCAGCGCAACCGGCCTTGGCCCAAGGATAGCTACTGACAGCCTCCTGCTGCCCTACCCTGGCAGGCACAGGCGCAGCTGGCTGGGGGGCCCACTCCAGGCAGGGTGGCGTTAGACTGGCATCAGGCTGGCACTAGGCTCAGCCCCCAAAACCCCCTGCCCAGCCCCAGCTTCAGGGCTGCCTGTGGTCCCAAGGTTCTGGGAGAAACAGGGGACCCCCTCACCTCCTGGGCAGTGACCCCTACTAGGCTCCCATTCCAGGTACTAGCTGTGTGTTCTGCACCCCTGGCACCTTCCTCTCCTCCCACACAGGAAGCTGCCCCACTGGGCAGTGCCCTCAGGCCAGGATCCCCTTAGCAGGGTCCTTCCCACCAGACTCAGGGAAGGGATGCCCCATTAAAGTGACAAAAGGGTGGGGTGTGGGCACCATGGCATGAGGAAGAAACAAGGTCCCTGAGCAGGCACAAGTCCTGACAGTCAAGGGACTGCTTTGGCATCCAGGGCCTCCAGTCACCTCACTGCCATACATTAGAAATGAGACAATCAAAGCCCCCCCAGGGTGGCACACCCATCTGTTTGCTGGGGTGTGGCAGCCACATCCAAGACTGGAGCAGCAGGCTGGCCACGCTCGGGCCAGAGAGAGCTCACAGCTGAAGCTCTTGGAGGGAAGGGCTCTCCTCACCCTGCCAGGAAGCTTCTTAACATGTGACAGGACCAGGGACCAGGAGCATGGTGAAGCCAAGTGGCAGATGGGAGCCAACCTGGATGGGGGTTTGGGGAAGGAGGGCATGTGTAGCAGAGAACTTAGGGGGGCCTCCTTGCCTTTCTCATTCTTTTGCCCTGCATCCTGTCATTTCTGTTCTTGTCCCTCATACATCTTTGGAGAACCGGGCTCCAGACTTTGTTCCCTGACTCATAGCTGCCGCTTGTTAGGTTAGGGTTAGATGGGGAGAGACAGGGCACAGAGGACCTGTCTCCCCGGCTACTCTTGCCTTATGGCTCTAGTGTGTGACCTACAGAGCATGCTCCACAAGCCCCTGCCTCACCTCACTGTCATCACTAATAAACATCATGCACAGTCCCTCCGGCTTCTGTTCTGTCTGTGATGCGGCCCAAAGTCTGGTGGAGGGAAAGATGTGTTTGGGCCGCCCTTCTCTCAGAGGATCTGTCCAGCGGGAAGGGGACAAAGGCAGAGCTGGGGAGGCACTCCACTCCCAGGCATCCCCACTCCTCATGCCCAGGTGTCAAGAGGGAGACATCCAGCAGCACGGAAGGGCTTGTCCTGGGATGTGGGGAAGACGCTTGGTCACGGCTTTACAGTATCCTTGCGCCAGGCCAAAAAGGCCCTAGAAGCAGCTACAACTTGAACTCTATGTACTAGGCCAACTCTTTCTGTGGGGTAAGAAGAGCATGTGAACAAGAGGGGTATGGGGGGAGGACTGCAGCCCTGCGTTCCTCTCACCACAGCCTGATACAGCTGGGTCCACCCGTTCTGCACCATCCCCTCCCAGGAGCAATGGGTCCAACTAGGGAGCCACAAGCAAAGCTCCCGAGACCAGGCGTTGGGCACACAGCGGCAGAGTGGTTCCAACTGCCTCACCTGCCAAAATTTCACAACTGCTTTCCTTTCTCACCTTTGCCTAAAGCTCCCTAGAGGGTGTCCAGGCCAGGGCCACACATTACGCGAGGCTAGAGCAGGGGCGGAAGATGCATTACAGTCCTGCGTGGCTTCTGCATCTCCTCTCAAGTCCACCTACAGACTCAAGACTATCAGCAGAGACCCCTCTACTCTTCTCTTAATGTGGCTGTCTCTCATTTTCCAAGCCAACCCACCCCGCACCCAGTGGTGTCCCTCCTGCCAGGGAGAAGCTGGGAAGTTTAACTAGAACTAGATCTAACAGTCTTAATATTCATGTATTTATTCTCAGAACATACAAACTTATCTTCTCAGAGAATAGAAAACAGAGATTTCACTCAGTGACAAAGATGGACACAGCCAGTTCACCGTGTCCCCCCATCTACTTAGAAAATCCCCTGGGGGAGGGGATGCCTAGAGCATACAGCACCCCTTGGTGCGGGGCTGTGCACAGGTCTAAAGACTCTCAACTTCCTTTACCATCCAAACAGGAAAACAGCTGTCCAGATGACAGTAAGATTCCACTGTCTGTAATCCTCATGGTGCCAGGTCTCCTGGGGCATCTAGGGCAATGATGCTACTGCAGTTTATGCAGTTACACAGTCAAGTCTGTGCCAAAGGAGGTCCCATCCGGCGGCCAGGTTTCTGTTCAGTCTGGGGAGCAATGCCAACTGGCTGCCCCCATAGCCTGGCATGAGCTGATGGCCCAGTGCAATCCCAAAGCAAAGAAGGGCAGAACTGGGCCAAGAAGCTGTGGTAATTTGCTCTCCCTGCCTCCGACAGCGTCGTCCTCTCCTTTTGCAGCCCCACACGCAGGCCTCCTGACCTGAGGGTCTGGGCTAGGGAGTTGGATTGTTTTCCTAAGCCCCCATATCCCAAGAGTGAGGACCTGGAAAGAGGGATGTGAGGGTTCTGAAAAACAGGCATCAGGCAGCTTTGGAGATGCCCTCAGCCCACAGGAAGAGTGCTGTGTCAGGCAAAGATGGTCTCTTCCCGGCGCTTCTTGGTGAGGATGGTGCCTGGCTTATGCTGGGCATCTGGGTGGTTGGCTAGTTCGGGGGGACAGGAAGACACTGGGCTTTCCAGGATAGCTTGCTTCAGCTCGTAGAACACAGCAGAGTCCTCTTTTGTGAGGAAGGTGATGGCCACCCCACTCTTGCCTGCTCGTCCCGTGCGGCCAATGCGGTGGATGTAATCTGGGGAATGGGAAGAACGTCACTCAGCATAGCCCAGATGCCCTGGGGAGCCGTGTCTGATGCCTCCACTTCTAGAGGCATCCTTCCCACCCCATCTCCAAAGGCAGGAATACAGCACATGCTGCCTGAACCTGAGGCGCCCACAGTGCCCTCTCCAGGTGCCCATCTCCCCTGTCCTCCTACTGACTGTGGTCCCTACCACACTAAGACCCACAGCTGCCTAGCTTCATTCTTCACACTCCTGAGGACACAAGTGTCATCCCAGCTGCTGGGACAACAAACCCAGGTAAGATAAAGGACAGGAGTGCTTCTCATGGGAGCAAGCAATCCCAGACTTGGAACTGAGGGAGGCAGTAACAGCCTTCCATGGACAGCACCCTGACTTCCAGTGGGACACCATAAGGAATCTGACTTCACCCTGGATTGAAGCTGCTTTCCCTGGAACTTACCTTCAATATTTTTGGCCATATCATAGTTGACAACCATAGACACATCTTGGATGTCAATACCACGACCAGCCACATCTGTAGCCACCAAAATATCCTTGGCCCCAGCCTTGAGGTTGGACAACGCAAACTCTCGCTGCTCCTGGCCTTTTCCACCGTGCAGTGTGCAAGCATTGTACTGTTGGAAGAATGGTGAAGTGAAGAGTGAGCAATGCAATCAAGGAGAGACACAGGAGTTCAGAGGAATGGGACACAGATGAAGGGAGGGTTGGAGAGAGCAGCAGAGTACGAGAAAGGAAAGGAAACAAGAGAATGATTGCAGTGAAAGAAGGAGAGAACAAGTGAGCTGAAGAGAGGGATGAGAGAAAAAGGTGTGGTGTGGCAGGGACACACAGAGTAAGGTCAAAGGCAAAACAGCTGGGAGAGCGGTGGAGCCAGACAGATGAAAAGTCCTCAAAGAGAATTAGGGGCGAGATCAGGGTAGAAAGCAGGGATCAAGAAGTTTAAGGAAGTTGGAGAGCTGAGTGACAGGGACACACCCCTCCCCTCAAGCACCAGTGACAGGAGTAAAGGACACTGATTATCAGCTCCCTTCTGACCATATCACCTCCTCTCAACGTACCTAAGCAGTTTTCACCTACTCTTTTCTACATCCTCAGACTGCCAGGATATGGGTCTCAAACCTTTCCCTGGCTCCACCTCACCAGGATGAAGACCCAAGGCAGCTTTGGCTGGCATTACTGCAGCAGACAGGGGGTCCCAGCAATTGATTCCATTCTCTTTATTCCCTCAAACCACCCTTCACCCTGGTCCTAACTTGTTGATTGCTGGACAGGCTAAAGAAAGGGTGAGACTTGAAAGGAAGAGCCTAGGGGGCCCTGCTAGATTCAGAAAGCAGTGCCACAGAGGCTAGACTTTGTTCTCCCCTGCCAGACACACCCCCATCTTCTCCAGGGATTTGGCCAACACGTCGCAGCCCTTCTTCTGGTTGACAAAAATAATGATGGGTGGGTCAAAGCCTTGCTCCAAGATTGCCAGCAGCTTTTTCCTGGAAGGAAGAGGAGAAAAACAAGATGCATAATACCTCCCACTCCAAGTGAAATGCCCAACCCTCATCTATGAACACTACTTTCAGGGTCTTTAATGCCCATGACATTCTGCCCAAGAAAACAGCAGCTCTTCAACACAGCAGAGCAATTGCCCTGCCCTGCACCTGCACTAAAAAAGTTCTCAGAGCCATTTTATTCTCCACCCTGTTTCCCCTGGCTCAGCTGCCCTCATACCTCTTTTCTGACTCTGACATGAGGAAGACCTTCTGTTCCACACGCTCATGGGGCTTGCCTGCGGAGCCAATGTACACCACAGCAGGTCGCCGAAGATAGCTCCTGGCCAGACGCTCCACCGCTGGGGGCATGGTGGCCGTGAACATGACTGTCTACGAAAACAGGAGGCTCAGCCCTGCACCCAGGCAGGAATAATCATATATCCCACTGTCACCGAAGGCAGGTCAGCCCAGACTAAAGAATCTAAAATGGGCCACAGTATAGGCTTTGATAGCCACCACCTTAGAAAATAGTGTCCTCTGAATTCCCATCCTTCCTGAGTACCTGCTCATCAAGGCACTTTCCATCTTATGATGACAGGAAGGATTGAGAGCATTTGCTAGCACCTGTGGTCCCGGTAGCAGCATGAGTCTTTGGAATCGTTTTTCCAGGGCTAAGCTAAATGGCTCCACCCTTAGGACTGTCAGAGGACTGTACCTAGGCACACTTCATTCTAGAAACATGTACTCTGAGCCCACCTAAGGCAAGAAAGGCCCAAAAGGAGGTTGGCAACCTTGTACAACTTTTCTTTTTTTTTGAGACAGGGCCTCACTCTGTTGCCCAGGATGGAATGGAGTAGTGGCACGACCTCAGCTCACTGCGACCACTGCCTCCCAGGCTTAAGAGGTCCTCCCACCTCAGCCTCCTGAGTGGCTGGCACCACAGGTGTGCACCACCAATGCCCAGCTAATTTTTTAAATTTTTGTAGAGACGGAGTTTCGCCATGTTGCCCAGGCTGGTCTCAAACTCCTGAGCTCAAGTGATCCACCCGCCTTGGCCTGTCCAACTTTTCCCAGCCCAGGGAAGCAGCCTTACTTGGCGGTACTTATGTTTTCCCGACTCAAAGTTGGCCAGCATCTTCTCAGGGTCCTCAGCCTCATCCGTGTCTGGCTTCTGGTTGCTGACAGGCATGTGCTCCAGGATCTTCTGGACATCTGGCTCAAAGCCCATGTCAATCATCCTATCTGCCTCATCCAGAACCACATAGGTACAGCGGCTCAGCACCAGGTAGCGGTTCTCCAGCACATCAATCAAACGCCCAGGGGTAGCAATCACAATCTGAGGAGTACAGTATAATCATTTATAGCCCAGCAGGTGCCCCTTCTTTTCTTTCCTGTGAACTATCCACCCACTTGGGTGACAGACCTCCAATGCTGAGGAACTTGGACCCCAACCTCTGGTTATGTTTAGCAGTAAAGGCTCCTGCAAACTGGCATGAAATCACTTGTTGCCTGGATTTTCTCAGGAATGAATGAGGTCTCTGAGTAAGGTGCAAGGATTAGACAGAGGAGGCAAAATCAGTAGAAACTTTTTTTTTTTTGGCAAATCATTTCAGATCCTGAAGAAGGAACTTCTTAGATGGGAGAGACTAAGGGGTACTATGAAGGGGGTTGTATAAAGACTAAATTTTTTTAAAAAATTGTAAAAAGACTAAATTTCTACAGCAGACTTCTCATAAAGAGCTCTCCTCCACTTTCCTGAGATGAAGGCAATGCACAAAGTCAAAGATTTGGTCTGGCAGAGTAAAGAGTAACTAAAAGCACAGGCTATGGATATGAGTCTCAGCTCTGCCCATTGCCAGCTGTTTGTGACTTCAGGCAGTTATTAACCTGAACCTCAGCTTGATCTATAACAAGGAAATACCACTCTCATACATTATTGTGAGAATTAATGAGCTAATATATATGATATATACTATTTGTGATATAAACCCTGGTGCATAAGTTCTCAATAAATAGCACATATATATAAACCAGCTCCTTTCTTCATACTACTGCACATATATTCCAGAAACTAGAAACAAAGCCCCAAGATAGCCTTCCCAGACAGCAGGCTGGCTGCTAGATAGAAAAACAAACCTCACAACCCATGCGCAGCCTGAAGCCCTGGTCTTCTCTGGAGATGCCACCAATGACAGCCACAGTGCGGATACCTAGCGGTTTCCCAAACTTGATGGTCTCTTCCTCAATCTGTTGAGCCAACTCACGGGTGGGAGCCAGGATGATGGCATAAGGGCCTTGGTCTGACTCTTCGATCCTGTGGTAAACAGGGTGCCCCACAGCTTCGTGAGCTTTGGTTCTTATCCAACCACAAGCCAGAGCAAGACAAAGTCACTCTTACGGGGAGCAATGGGAATGGGGAGGATGATGAGAAAAGAATGCAATGATCTCACTTAAAAATCAGAGGCCAGGGCTGGGCATGGTGGCTCATGTCTGTAATCCCAGAACTTTGGGAGGCTGAGGCAGGCGGATCACCTGAAGTCAGGAGTTTGAGACCAGCCTGGCCAACATGGTGAAACCCTGCCTCTAATAAAAATACAAAAATTAGCCAGGCGTGGTGGCCGGCGCCTGTAATACCAGCTACTCGGGAGGCTGAGGCAGAAGA
This sequence comes from Homo sapiens, assembly GCF_000001405.40. Classification (NCBI taxonomy): domain Eukaryota; kingdom Metazoa; phylum Chordata; class Mammalia; order Primates; family Hominidae; genus Homo; species Homo sapiens. Next base: position 48,834,846 of record NC_000012.12, read on the forward strand.
ATCGCTTGAACCCAGGAGACAGAGGTTGCAGTGAGCTGAGATCACGCCACTGCACTCCAGCCTGGGTGACAGAGACACTCTGTCTCCAAAAAAAATAAAAATAAAAATAAGTCCAGAGGCCAGGCAAGGTGGCACAAGCCTATAATCCGAGCACTTTCGGAGGCTGAGGTGAGTGAATCACTTGAGCCCAGGAGTTTGAGACCAGTCTAGGCAACATGGTAAAACCCTGTTTCTACAAAAAATACAAAAATTAGCTGGGCATGTTCGAACACACCTGTAATCCCAGCTACTTGGGAGGCTGAGGTAGGAGGATATGAGCCTGGGAGGCAACGGTTGCTGTAAGCCAAGATCACACCACTGCACTCCAGCCTAGACAATAGAGCGAGACTCCATCTCAAAAAATAAATAAATAAATAAATAATAAATACATAAAAATCAGAGATTCAGCCAGGTGCAGTGGTTCACGCCTGTAATCCCAGCACTTTGGGAGGCCAAGGCAGGCAGATCAGTTGAGATCGGGAGTTTGAGACCAGCCTGGCCAACATGGTGAAACCTCATCTCTACTAAAAATGTAAAAATTAAGGACAGGCACACTGGCTCACGCCTGTAATTCCAACACTTTGGGAGGCTGAGGCAGGCAGATCACTTGAGGTCAGGAGTTAGAGACCAGCCTGACCAACATTGAGACCCCGTCTCTACTAAAAATACAAAAAAATTAGCCGGGCATGGTGACGGGCACCTATAATCCCAGCTACTTGGGAGGCTGAGGGAGGAGAATCACTTGAACCTGGGAGGAGGAGGTTGCAGTGAGCCGAGATTGCGCCATTGCACTCCAGCCTGGGCAACAAGAGCGAAACTCCGTCTCAAAAAACAAAACAAAACAAAAAACCAAAAATTAGCTAGAAGTGGTGGCACACGCCTGTAATCCCCAGCTACTCAGGAGGATGAAGCAGGAGAATCACCTGAACCTGGGAGGCAAAAGTTGTAGTGAGCTGAGATCGTGCCACTGCACTCCAGCCTGGGTGACAGAGTGAGACTCTGCCTCAAAAAAATAAATAAAATAAATCAGAGACTCCAGGATAGCAAAGTTCTCCAGGTCTTTGCCAGCAACATATACTTCTTCGATATCATGATCCAATTATTCCCTAATATCCAACAAAGAATAAAGAAGAAAGCTTCTGATTATAGACGTAAAACAAAAATCAAACATTCATTTGCCACTTTCACCTTTCCTACCCAGACAAACCCACTCCAGCTGGTGCTAGCTGACCTCACCTGTCAATTTTGGGAAGTGTGGTGATCCAGACCAGCAGAGGGATGAGGAAGGCTGCTGTCTTGCCACTGCCAGTCTCAGCCACACCAATGATGTCACGATTCTGTAGCCCAATGGGAATTGCCTGACGCTGTATAGGTGTTGGTTCCTGCAGTGACCCCAAGAAAGAGTAATAGGTACAGGGAGAGTTATACCACCTGGGCAACCACTGATAGTAGTAAGCACATCTGCTAGCACAATGGAAGGATGCCAAGTACAGTTCACAGAAATAGGGACCCCAAGAAGAAACCTAATCACTAAAAGCCAACACTTCTACCAGAAAGTGACAGAAAAGGTCACATTGGTGCCCACTAGCAGCGATGGCTCCAAATAGTCAAGGAACAAAGTTCTCTATTCCCAAACTAGTGTAGGAACATGTCAGATCTCTTGGGCCAATCTATCCCTCCTTACCTTGTAGCCACACTTATCAATGACCTCCAAGATGTGTGGGGGCAGAGAAGAGTCTTTCCAGGATCGGATGGGATTGGGGATCTTGCCACCTTTGGTGGTGATGCTGTAGTCCTCACGGAAGATCCGCCAGTCCCTGTCCGTCATCTCATCTAACTTTTTCTGAGACCAATGACGATCATCCCAGCGCTGCTTGGCTTCCTTCTTACGAAGTTTGCGGAGTCTTGCCCTGGAGCAGGGTGTGAGGAGTAAGTAGAATCAGTGCCCTCCAACTCCTTTCTGTAGAGCCTCTGGGCTCTGTCCAGCCACCCTAGCCTTGATCACTCACTCCTCCTGCTCCTTTTCTTCCAGGGTTCGCCTCTTCTCCATTAGGTCTCCATAGAAACGTGACTGCTCTCGCTTCTGCTGCTTGAGGTCAATGCCTGCAATGAAGCCTCGCCCTAACAACTGCACCTGGTGCCGTTCTTTGTACCTGGGATTGAGATAGAGGAAAAGAAAAAAGAAGGAGCTGTTAACGGCAGTAGGAAGGAAGGGCAGACTACTAGTATGAAACAGTTCTTCCCAGACAGGGTCTTTCTTCCACCAGAGGGCTGGCTGACTACCAGTCTACCAATTTTCCATCCCAGCTTATCTTACTTCCTCCACCTCCGTAGTCATCAGCTCTCTAGGACTGCCTAGTGGAAAAGACCTAGAACTCAGGCCTGAAGCCACTCACAGGGGGTTGTAGTCAATGGATGTGTCCTCAGATGCATCCCACTCAAAAACAAATTTCCGGTCATTGAGATGTCTCGTTCGGCGCCGCTTTTTGATGCCACCCAGGTAACGCTCCTACCCAGGGACAGAACACAAAGCACATGAGCTTTGAGGCCCAATTCTCACATGCAGAGATCACAATGGCCAAATAACTAAACCTCATTTTTGTGTGGGAGAGAAGTGAAGATGGAGCCAAGGCCTGCACCTTAATGGCATGCAGTTCCTTGCTCTTATCCTTCTCTTCCCGGATCTTCTGCCGCCCTTCCTCATCCTCATTTCCATTGGTCTCCCGTTCCATCCTCTCCCTGCGTTCCCGACGTTCCCGTTCCTGAGGATCTTCTGCAGACCAAAGAAAGCAAAGCTGCAGAAGAGCTCATGGAAGAAAAGAGGAGAGGGAATGGAGGGAATCCAGACGAGGAACCCCAAATGAAGAAAAAAAGGGGTAGACTTATGATATGGGGTAAATGGAGATCTAACAGAAAAATGTTTTCTCATAAACTCCCACCATCCTTCCCCTTTCCAAACTCCAGAGTGAACAGGTTTCTATCTCTCCTAAGAGACACTGTATCTCATCCCACTCTTTCCTCTTCCATCTAGGGGCTACACAGGGTAGAATAACAAACCCAACATCTTCCTGCCCAAGTCTTGGAACTGTTTCCTTTTCTTCCTCTCTTCTTCAAGCATCCTCTGCCGCTCTTCCACCTCCTGCTGCCGTCGCTTTAGAGCTTCAGCCTCTCGTTCTGCTTTAGAGAGGAACTTGGGCTACAAAAGAGATTGGAACTGTCAACAAAGGATCTGGGAGCAGGGTACAATCACATCACTGATGGGGAGATGGCAGGGAACCCAAAAGTATTTGCTCAGGCATTAAGCCTGTTGAGGAAAACACAAATAGGCCTTGGACTCGGTTATGGACTGAACTATGTCCCCTACAGAATTCATATGTTTTTTCAGGCTGGACGTGGTGGCACATGCCTGTAATCCCAGTGTTTTATGAGACCTAGATGGGAGGACCGCTTGAGGCCATGAGTTCAAGACCAGCCTGGGCAACATAGCAGACCTTGTTTCTACAAAAATAAAAAAACTCAGCCAGACATGATGGCATGTGCATATAGTCCCAGCTACTCAGGAGGCTGAGGCAGGAAAATCATATGAGCCCAGGAGTTTGAGGTTACAGTGAGCTGTGATTGCACCACTGTACTTTAGCCTGGGCAAACGAGCAAGACCTTACCTTTAAAAAAAAAAAAAAAATGTGGCCGAGTGCGGTGGCTTGTGCCTGTAATCCTAGCACTTTGGGAGGCCGAGATGGGCGGATCACGAGGTCAGGAGTTCAAGACAAGCCTGGCCAGCACAGTGAAACCCTATCTCTACTAAAAAAATACAAAAAATTAGCCAGGCATGGTGGCACGTGCCTGTAATCCCAGCTACTCAGGAGGCTGAGGCAGGAGAATTGCTTGAACCTGGGAGGCAGAGGTTGCAGTGAGCCGAGATCATGCCACTGCACTCCAGCCTGGGCAACGGGGCGAGACTCCATCTCAAACAAACAAACAAACAATGCATGTGTTATATATATTTTTTGAGACAGACTCTCGCTCTGTTGCCCAAGCTGCAGTACAGTGGTGTCATCATGGCTCACTGCAGCTTCAACCTCCTGGGCTCAAGCAATATCCTTGCCTCAGCCTCCTGAGTAGCTGGGACTACAGGCGCATGCTACCACAGATGGCTAATTTTTAAAATTTTATAGAGATGGGTTTTCACCATGTTGCCTAGGCTGGTCTAAAAATCCCTGGCTCAAGTGATCCTCCCATCTTGGCCTTCCAAAGTATTGGGATTACAGGTGTGAGCCACTGTACCCAGCTCAAAATTCCTATGTGGAAGCCCTAACTCCTAGTACCTCAGAATTTGACTATATGTGGAGACAGGACATGTAAAGAGGTGATTAAGTTAAAATGAGCCCATTAGGCTGGGCACAGTGGCTCACGCCTGTAATCCCAGCACTTTGTGAGGCCAAGGAGGGCAGATCACTTGAGCCCAGGGGTTCGAGACCAGCCTGGACAACGTGGTGAAATCTGGACTCTACAAAAAATACAAAAATTAGCTGGACGTTGTGGCACGCACCTGTAGTCCCAGATACTTGGGAGGCTGAGGTGGGAGGATTGCTTCAGCCTGGGAGGTGGAGGTTGAAGTGAGCCGATATCATGCCACTGTACTCCATCCTGGGCGACAGAGTGAGACTCTGTCTCAAAAAAAAAAAAAAAAAAAAAAAAAAGGGCCTTTTAGGGTGAGCCCTAATCCAACACAAGGGGTACATGTGTACAGAGGGAGGACCATGTGAAGAGCTGAGGAAGAAGACAGCCTTATAAGCCAAGGAGAGAGACCTCAGAAGAAATAACCCTGCTGACACTCCGCTCTCAGACTTCCAGCCTCCAGAACTGTGAGAAAATTAACTTCTGTCGTTGAAGTCACCCAGTCTGTGGTATTGTGTTATGGCAGCCTGAGCCGATGAATGAAGACCCTCAAGTACTTACCTTAGCCTCAGCTTCTTCCTCAGCCTTTTTCTTGGCCAGAAGCTCCTCCAGGGATAATGGCTGGGCCTGAAGATAAAACAGAACTTTAGTCTATAAAGGCTCTCTCCCTTTAAAGATCAACAAAGCAACGCACGAGTTGAAGATGAAAAATATCCTTCCTCTCCTTTACCTTAGGCTTCTTATCACCATGTTCATCCTCTTCATCCTTCTTAGAGTCTCTGTCCTTCCGAGATTTAAAGTCTTTTCCTCGACCAGGAGATAAGCTTTGAGGAAAAGGAACAAGGTCCACATCACTCTTACTTCAGTGCCTGGATGAGGTTCAAGTTGAGCCCCGAAAAGAGAATGGAAGTTTCCCCATGACTCAACAAGACTGGCCCATGGTCATCTATCATGTCTTGAAACTCTCTTAGCAGGCATGGTCATTCTGCCAGCTCTGAAACCTAATTATGGCCCTGTCTTGGCCCCTTTCTACCCAAATCTCCTTTTGAGACTAATCTCTTTTGGGAAGTGGGACTTTACTACTGATGTCAAAAATATTTCCCCTAGGCCAGGCGCGGTGTCTCATGCCTATAATCCCAGCACTTTGGGAGGCTAAGACAGGTGGGTTACCTGAGGTCAGGAGTTCAAGACCAGCCTGGCCAACATGGCAAAACCCTGTCTCTAGTAAAAACACAAAAATTAGCCAGGTGTGGTTGTTTAGAGAAAAATTTTTTTTTTTTTTTTTTTTGAGACACAGTCTCACTCTGTCGCCCAGGCTGGAGTGCAATGGTGTGATCTCAGCTCACTGCAACCTCCGCCTCCTGGGTTCAAGAAATTTTCCTGCCTCAGCCTCCTGAGTAGCTGGGACTACAGGCGAGTACTGCCACCACTGGCTAATTTTTATATTTTTAGTAGAGACGAGGTTTCATCATGTTGGCCAGGCTGGTCTCGAACTCTTGACCTCAGGTGATACATCCACCTCGGCCACCCAAAGTGCTAGGATTACAGGTGTGAGCCACAGCGCCTGGCCCTCCTTAACTCTTTAATATACAATGAATTTAGCCTACATGGCCACCACCACAAGCCAAGAAGATACTGCTATCTATATTCCCTCATCATTTTTCATTCCTATCAATCCCAACAATCCTTTCCCCATACCTGCTCTAAGCTTAATCTACAAGATAATTCAAACAACCCCACTGAGTTTCTGTTAGGAGCATTCTGTCCTCTGCCTTGAATTCTAACCTATACTTTCAGGGCCTGATAAGAACTCTGTATACAGGCCAGGCACAATGGCTCACGCCTGTAATCCCAGCACTTTGAGAGGCCGAGGTGGCCGGATCACCTAAGGTCAAGAGTTCGAGACCAGCCTGGCCAACATGGAGAAACCCTGTCTCTACTAAAAATACAAAAATTAGCCAGGCATGGTGGCGCATGCCTGTATTCCCAGCTACTTGGGAGGCTGAGGCAGGAAAATTGCCTGAACCCAAGAGGCAGAGGTTGCAGTGAGCCGAGATCGTGCCATTGCACTCCAGCCTGGGCAACAGAACAAAAACTCCATCTCAAAAAAACCCCCAAAGATTCAGAGAAGAATCCATAGATAGAAAAGCTTCAGGCTCCCTCTCCCCTCTCCCCTCTCCCCACGGTCTCCCTCTCCCTCTCTTTCCATGGTCTCCCTCTGATGCTGAGCCAAAGCTGGACCGTACTGCTGCCATCTCGGCTCACTGCAACCTCCCTGCCTGATTCTCGTGCCTCAGCCTGCCGAGTGCCTGCGATTGCAGGCGTGCGCCGCCACGCCTGACTGGTTTTCGTATTTTTTTGGTGGAGACGGGGTTTCGCTGTGTTGGCCGGGCTGGTCTCCAGCTCCTGACCGCGAGTGATCCGCCAGCCTCGGCCTCCCGAGGTGCCGGGATGGCACACGGAGTCGCGTTCACTCAGTGCTCAATGGTGCCCAGGCTGGAGTGCAGTGGCGTGATCTTGGCTCGCTACAACCTCCACCTCCCAGCTGCCTGCCTTGGCCCCCCAAAGTGCCGAGATTGCAGCCTCTGCCCGGCCGCCATCCCATCTAGGAAGTGAGGAGCGTCTCTGCCAGGCCGCCCATCGTCTGAGATGTGGGGAGCGCCTCTGCCCTGCCGCCCCGTCTGGGATGTGAGGAGCGTCTCTGCCCGGCCGCCCCGTCTGAGAAGTGAGGAGACCCTCTGCCTGACAACCGCCCCGTCTGAGAAGTGAGGAGCCCCTCCGCCCGGCAGCCACATCGTCTGAGAAGTGAGGAGCCCCTCCGCCTGGCAGCCACCCCGTCTGGGAAGTGAGGAGCGTCTCCGCCCGGCAGCCACCCCGTCCGGGAGGGAGGTGGGGGGGGTTAGCTCCCCACCCGGCCAGCCGCCCCGTCCAGGAGGGAGGTGGGGGGGTCATCCCCCCACCCGGCCAGCCGCCCATCCGGGAGGGAGGTGGGGGGGTCAGCCCCCGGCCCGGCCAGCCGCCCTGTCCGGGAGGTGAGGGGCGCCTCTGCCCGGCCGCCCCTACTGGGAAGTGAGGAGCCTCTCTGCCCAGTCAGCCGCCCCGTCCGGGAAGGAGGTGGGGGAGGTCAGCCCCCCGCCCGGCCAGCCGCCCCATCCGGGAGGGAGGTAGGGGGGTCAGCCCCCCGCCCGGCCAGCCACCCCGTCCGGGAGGAAGGTGGGGGGGTCAGCCCCCCGCCCGGCCAGCCGCCCCGTCCGGGAGGGAGGTGGGGGGGTCAGCCCCCCGCCCGGCCAGCCGCCCCGTCCAGGAGGTGAGGGGCGCCTCTGCCCGGCCGCCCCTACTGGGAAGTGAGGAGCCCCTCTGCCCGGCCAGCCGCCCCGTCCGGGAGGGAGGTGGGGGGGTCAGCCCCCCGCCCGGCCAGCCGCCCCGTCCAGGAGGTGAGGGGCGCCTCTGCCCGGCCGCCCCTACTGGGAAGTGAGGAGCCCCTCTGCCCGCCCACCACCCCGTCTGGGAGGTGTACTCAACAGCTCATTGAGAACGGACCATGATGACAGTGGCGGTTTTGTGGAATAGAAAGGCGGGAAAGGTGGGGAAAAGATTGAGAAATCGGATGGTTGCCGTGTCTGTGTAGAAAGAGGTAGACATGGGAGACTTTTCATTTTGTTCTGTACTAAGAAAAATTCTTCTGCCTTGGGATCCTGTTGATCTGTGACCTTACCCCCAACCCTGTGCTCTCTGAAACATGTGCTGTGTCCACTCAGGGTTGAATGGATTAAGGGTGGTGCAAGATGTGCTTTGTTAAACAGATGCTTGAAGGCAGCATGCTCGTTAAGAGTCATCACCACTCCCTAATCTCAAGTACCCAGGGACACAAACACTGCGGAAGGCCGCAGGGTCCTCTGCCTAGGAAAACCAGAGACCTTTGTTCACTTGTTTATCTGCTGACCTTCCCTCCACTATTGTCCTGTGACCCTGCCAAATCCCCCTCTGCAAGAAACACCCAAGAATGATCAATTAAAAAAAAAAAAACCCAAAAAAAACAAAATCTGGTGGCAGATGCCTGTAGTCCAGCTACTCAGGAGGCTGAGGTGGGTGGATCACCTAAGCCTGGGGGAGTCAAGGCTGCAGTAAGTTGTGATCACACCACTGCACTCCAGCCTGGGCAAAAGAGACCCTGCCTCAAAAAAATAAATAAAAATAAATAAGAAAGAGAGCTCTGTAATAACTACCAACAGAATCTGTTAAGAGAAATCTACTTTCTTTCTTTCTTTTTTTTTTTTTTTTTTTGAGACAGAGTCTTGCTCTGTCGCCCAGGCTGGAGTGCAGTGGCGTGATCTCGACTCACTGCAGGCTCCGCCTCCCGGGTTCACGCCATTCTCCTACCTCAGCCTCCTGAGTAGCTGGGACTACAGGCACCCGCCACCACGCCCGGCTAATTTTTTGTATATTTAGTAGAGACGGGGTTTCACCATGTTAGCCAGGATGGTCTCGATCTCCTGACTTCGTGATCCACCAGCCTCAGCCTCCCAAAGTGCTGGGATTACAGGCGTGAGCCACCACGCCTGGCGAGAAATCTACTTTCATAAGAAGCTGAGCAAACTCAGGTGCAGAGAAGAAATGGGAGCATTCCCCTAAAGCCCCCTCTCATTCCTTCATGTACCTGGATCGTTTACGGTCCTTGTCCCGTCTGTGCCCATCCTTGTCTCGATCTCGGTCCTTCTTATTCCGATCCCGCTCCTTATCTCGTTCTCGTTCTTTGTGCCGTCGTTCTCTGGAAGACCGCAAATTTAAGAGTTCACTTGGTATTTCCAAAGTATCTTGCTTCACTGCAGCCCTGAGAAAGTTCCTATACTCTCGTCCCAAAGTAATGTTTTACAAATTAGAGAATGTATCTCTCACGGAAATAACGAGGGAATTCTAAGAAGCTTTTATAGATCAGAGATGTACTGTTAAATATTAACGGCAATGACAGGTCACGGACTATGTGAACAGATGAACCTTCCTTTTTTATTTTTTTGAGATGGAGTCTCACTCTCACGCCCAGGCTGGAGTGCAGTGGTGTGATCTCGGCTCACTGCAGCCTCTGCCTCCCGAGTTCAAGGAATTGTCATGCCTCAGCCTCCCGAGTAGCTGGGATTACAGATGTGCACCACCATGCCTGGCTAATTTTTGTATTTTTAGTAGAGACGGGGTTTTGCCATGTTGGCCAGGCTGCTCTCAAACTCCTCACCTCAAGTAATCCACCTACCTCGGCCTCCCAAAGTGCTGGGATTATAGGTATGAGCCACCGCGCCCGGCCACAGATGAACCTTCCTTGATAACCCGGACCTTCACCTTACTAGTTCCCTCTCAACTTTTTTTTTTTTTATTTTTAGTAGAGATCAGGTATCACTGTGTTAGCCAGGATGGTCTCGATCTCCTGACCTCGTGATCCACCTGCCTCGGCCTCCCAAAGTGCTGGGATTACAGGCGTGAACCAACCGCGCCCGGCCCCCTCTCAACTTTTAAGAGTTGGGTCACTGAGGAAAACTGAAAACACCTGCAGGTCCAACTGGGCTAGGAGTAGATTAATGTACAAAAAGTAGATGCCTAGCCGGGCGTGGTGGCTCACGCCCGTAATCCCAGCACTTTGGGAAGCTGAGGTGGGTGGATCACCTGAGGTCGGAAGATTGAGATCAGCCTGACCAACGTGGAGAAACCCCGTCTCTACTAAAAGTACAAAATTAGCCAGGTGTGGTGGCACATGCCTGTAATCCCAGCTATTCGGGAGGCTGAGGCAGGAGAATTGCTTGAACCTGGGAGGCAGAGGTTGCAGTGAGCCGAGATCGTGCCATTGCACTCCAGCCTGGGAAACAAGAGTGAAACTCCATCTTTTAAAAAAAAAAAAAAAAAGGCCAGGCGCGGTGGCTCACGCCTATAATCTCAGCACTTGGGGAGGCTGAAGCAGGCAGATCACGTCAGGAGATCGAGACCATCCTGGCTAACACGGTGAAACCTCATCTCTACTAAAAATACAAAAACATTAGCCGGGCATGGTGTCGGGCGCCTGTAGTCCCAGCTACGCACTCAGGAGGCAGAGGCAGGAGAATGGCGTGAACCTGCGAGGCGGAGCTTGCAGTGAGCTGAGATCGCACCACTGCACTCCAGTCTGGGTAACAAACAGAGCGAGACTCTGTCTCAAAAAATAAAAATAAAAAGTAGATGCCTAATACTGGAGGCATCAGAAGAACCAAGAAGGAAGAAATCTGAAACGTACTCTCCCTTCCCATGTAATAACATACAAAGTTACTTTACCTTTCTGCAGATTTGGAACGGGAACGAGAGCGAGAACGGCTGCCTCCTCGACGTCTATCCCTTGAACGATGCCGCTTTCTATCTTTAGATGGGGAAGACTTCCGGTCCCGGTCTCTATCCCGCTCTCTGTCAGGAGTCCGTGATCGCTTCCTTTCCTCCTTGGAAGGTGATGCATCACGGTCCTTTTTGTCAGCCAGCTCTCCTGCCATCTGTAATGAGTAGGAAGAGTACTTACAATGTACTAGGCACTGCTCTAAACTGCTTATATATAATTCAATTACCCTCAAAACAACCCTATGAGGTGGATATATTAGTATGTCTACCGTACAGATGAGAACGGTGGAGCTCAGGTATATAAAGGAACTTGTCTGAGGGCAGACAGGTAGTGGCAGAGTTGCAGGCAGTCTGGCTCCACAGGCCATCGTTACTCACTATATTGTCTCCCTGTAATTCCTTTCAGAGTCTCACTCTGTCACCCAGGCTGGAGTGCAGTGGTGCAATCATAGGTCACTGCAGCTTCAACTTCCTGGGCTCAAGCCATCCTCCTGCCTTGCCTAGCTAATTTATTTTTTTTATAGACAGGGTCTCACTATGCTGCCCAGGCTGGTCTTAAATTCCTGACCTCAAGCAATCCTCCTGCCTCAGCCTCTAAAAGGCTGAGATTACAGGCGTGAGCCACAGTGCCTGGTCGATTCCTTTTTATATATTCATTTCTAAATATGTACAGTGAATATACCATGTTTTTGTAATTAGACTACAAAAGAGTATTAAAAGAAGTGTTAGTGTATGAACAGTGTACCAACTATTTCTAGAAACATCCTATATTGCTTACTTTGAAGTTTATTAGGTCTGCCAACCCACTAGGATCAGTTAGCACTCATACGTCTGAGAGAGATAAATTTTCTTGAGCTCATAAAGAAAGCTCAATGGAGAAAAAAGTTTAACTTTGAGATCTGGATTACGTTATAATTAGCACCACAAGGAAAACCTGAATTTAAGTGGAGAAACACACTTTTACTCAGATTAAAAGAAATGTACCTCTAATTATGCAATGGGAAGAACTTGGTGAAGGGTACACAGAACCTCTATACACATTTTTTAACTTCCTGTGAAACTATAATTATTTCAAAGATATATATTTTAAATACCCAAAACTAGAGGTTGCAGAAGTCCTGATTGACATTCCCTATTCAGATTTTCACAACCTTGGTCATCTGCATAACCCAGTTTTGTGAAAGGTTTCAGCAGGAATTTTTTCTGTCTCCCTCCTACCTGGGAGACACCGAACACCACTCCCACACTGTCAACTCTTCTTTGGGCTATGAACTCTAGTTCAGCCAGGAGCTAAAACTGCAGCAAGCCTGAATCTGCAACCACCTCATCATCATCCCAAAGACTTGGGATACATTTCTCGCAACTTATTTTATCCCCAAATGGTTCAGCTCGAATGGTTCCTTAAGCTTTAGCTTACAAGCCCCTTTCTCATGCCATTCCCTGCCATATATCCTTAAGAAAGATTGTATAAAGATGAGAAAAGAAAAATGAACAAGAAGCACTTTCAAAAGGTGAGGACAACCCATTTTATCTCACAATCACCTGAGAAATGACTGATTGTTCTGTATCAGTACATCATGGCTATCACACAGAAATACCTATGTCTTGGGCTGGGCATGGTGGCTCACCGTGTAATCCTAGCACTTTTGGAGGCCAAAGCGGGCAGATCATGAGGTCAGGAGATTGAGACCATCCTGGCCAACACGGTGAAACCCCATCTCTACTAAAAATACAAAAATTAGCCAGGCATGGTGGCACGTGCCTGTAGTCCCAGCTACTCAGGAGGCTGACGCAGGAGAATCACTTGAACCCAGGAGGCGGAGGTTGCAGTGAGCCAAGATCATACCACTGCACTCCAGCCTGGCAGCAGAGCGTGATCCGTTTCAAAAAAAAAAAAAAAGAAAGAAATACCTATGTCTTGACTGGGTGTGGTGGCTCATGCCTGTAATCTCAGCACTTTGGGAGGCTGAGGTGGGTGGATCGCTTGTCCAGGAGTTCGAGACCAACCTGGGCAATATGGCAAAAACCCATCTCTACTAAAAATATAAAAAATTAGCCACGCATGGTGGTACACGCTACCCAGGAGGCTGAGGTGGAAGGACTGCTTGAGCCCGGGAGGCAGAGGCTGCAGTAAGCCGAGATTGTGCCACTGCACCCCAGTCTGGGTGACAGGGCAAAACCCTGTCACACACCAAAAAATAAAAAATAAAAAAAACACTTACAGCCCTAAGAAAACAATCCCAAAGGAAGGCTATTTTCTCTGTACAGCATCCTGGATTTCATTCATTCTTTCAACAAATATTCACCGAGCACCTACAAGGTGCCAGAAATTGTTGTAGGTAACGGAGACAAAGCAGTAAAGAAAACAAAGTCTCATGCTGGGCGTGGTGGCTCACGCCTATAATCCCAGCACTTTGGGAGGCTGAGGCGGGCAGATCAAGAGGTCAGGAGATCAAGACCATCCTGGCTAACAGGGTGAAACCCCGTCTCCACTAAAAATACAAAAAAATTAGCCGGGCGTGGTGGTGGGCGCCTGTAGTCCCACCTACTCGGGAGGCTGAGGCAGGAGAATGGCGTGAACCCGGGAGGCAGAGCTTGCAGTGAGCCGAGATCATGCCACTGCACTCCAGCCTGGGTGACAGAGTGAGACTCCGTCTCAAAAACAAAACAAAACAAAAAACAAAAAAAAAAAGAAAACAAAGTCTCCTACTTCATAAAGCTTAAATTCTAGTGTAGCGGAAAGGATTTTAAATAGTAATGAATGCTAATGAAGAAAATAAAACAGTGATATGATGGGTAGGGGTATAACAAGAGATAGATGGCTCAGGGAAGAAGTTTTAGTTGACATTTAAGCTGAGACTTGAATGATGGGAAAGAGGGCCATGAAAAGATCAGGGTAAAAAACCCTTGTTAGATACAAGAAATGTGAACTAGCTTAGCATGTTTGTCAGGTTTGTTTTGTTGTTGTTGTTGTTGAGACAGGGTCTCACCCTCTCACGCAAGATGGAGGGCAGTGGCACAATCACGGCACACTGCAGCCTTGACTTCCCAGGCTCAAGCGATCCTCCTGCCTAGGCCTCCCAAGTAGCTGGGACTATAGGCGCATGCCACCACACCTGACTAATTTTTTTTTTTTTTTTTTGAGATGGAGTCTTGCTCTGTCGCCCAGGCTGGAGTGCAATGGCATGATCTTGGCTCACTACAACCTCCACCTCCCAGGTTCAAGTGATTCTCCTGCCTCAGCCTCCTGAGTAGTTGGGATTACAGGCGCGTGCCACACCACGCCTGGCTAATTTTTGTATTTTTAGTAGAGGCGGGGTTTCACCATGTTGGCCAGGCTGGTCTCAAACTCCTGACCTCAGGTGATCCGCCCTGAGTGCCCAAAGTGCTGGGATAACAAGCATGAGCCACCATGCCCGGCCCCAACTAATTCTTAAAATTTTTATTAGAGACAAGGTCTCAATTTGTTGCCCAGGCTAGTCTTGAACTCCTGGGCTCAAGGGATCCTTCGGCCTCAGCCTCCCAAAGTGCTGGTATTACAGGTGTGAGCCCAACTACACGTTTGTCAGTTAAAAACATATTTGTTTGGCCAGGCCTGGTGGCTCATGCCTGTAGTACCAGCACCTTGGGAGGCCAAGGCGGGAGGATCACTTAAGCCCAGGAGTTCGAGACCAGCCAGGGTAATATAGCAAGACTTCCCGTCTATTTTGAACAATAAAATTTTACATTTATAAACAGTTAAAAATCAGCCGGAGGCCAGGAGCAGTGGCTCACGCCTGTAATCCCAGCACTTTGGGAGGCTGAGATAGGCAGATCATGAGGTCAGGAGTTCGAGACCAGCCTGGCCAACAGGGTGAAACCCCGTCTCTACTAAAAATACAAAAATTAGCCAGGCGTGATGTCAGGCATCTGTAATCCCAGATACTCGGAAGGCTGAGGCAGAACTGCTTGAACCCAGGAGGTGCGGGTTGTTGTGAGCCGAGATAGTGCCACTGCACTAGCCTGGGTGACAGAGCAAGACTCCCTCTGTCTCGAGAGAAAAAAAAAAAAAAATCAGCCAGGTGTGGTGGTTCACACTTGTAATCCTAGCACTTTGGGAGGCTAGGGTGGGTGGAATGCCTGAGCTCAAAAGTGCTCAAGAGCTCATAGGCAGAGGCCTGGGAGGAAAATATCGTCCAGGAACACGGCTTGTGCCCCCAGGAGCCAATACTACCTATGGGGCCCATGCCCCTTCGCTCCTGCCTGGGGAGGATCACCTGAGCCCAGGCTGAGGTGGAAAGACTTCTTGACCCTGGGAAGCACTAATGCAGGAGGAATACTGATTCAGGATGAGTTCAGTGAGCTGGGCAGGAGTCAGATAATGAAAATGTGTTACAGGTCAGAGTAGAGTTAACTTGGATTTTAACTGCAATGGGGATCTTAGAAGAGCTTTAAACAGGAAGCAATCTAATACTTTGGTGACTTGCAAGAAAATATATAGCAGAGAGACAGAGTGAAAACACAACCACTGAGAGTGCTATTATGGTACTCTAGGCAAGAGATGGCAGTGGCTTGTTCTAGGAACGTGGCGATGGAGATGGAAAGAAGTAGGCAGCGTCAGAGTATATTTTGGAGGCAAAGCTAACAGGACTTACTAAGGAAGAAGCAGAAAGAGCAGACACAAAGATAGCTCCTAAATTTATAGTTTCAGCAACCTAATAGTTTGTGGTGCCATAGCAAACAAACTGGAGAAGACTAGGGAACGAACAGATTTAAGAGGAAATCAAACGTTTCATTTTGGCCAGGTTGAGTGTGAGAATATCTGTGGAGATTCCCAGAAGGCAAAGAGAAATGCAAATCTGAACTTAGGGGAGAGGGTCTGTAGACAAAAACTTGAGTCACCAATACACAGATAGCTTTTAAAGCCATGGGACACTAAATGATATTACCTAAGTAGGCAGCATAGTGAAAGAAAAAAAATAGAGAAGAAGCTCCAGAATTGAGCTCTGGAACACTTTAACAGGAGTTAGCCACGGGATGAACCAGAGAAAAAGACTGAAAAGAACTAGCAGCCAGTGAGAAAAGACAAAGAAAAGCATGGCAACGAAGAAGCCAAAAACATGTTTCAAGGAGGGAGGGGTCAACTGTGTCAAGTACCACCGAAGTGGAGAGGGAATAAGGGACAGGGAAGTAACCACTGAATTTGGAAAAATGGAGATTATTGGTGACCTTGACAAGAGCTGTTTCAGTTGCATTGCGGGAATGGAAGCCTGAGTGGAATGAGTTTGGAAGAGAATGAAAAATGAGAAGAAGACAGTAAATACAGGCAACTTTTATTACAGGTTCTATTATCACAAGGGCCAAATAACCAGGCTGACTCTGGCCATGCTTCCCAGCAGCCTTCCTCTCAAACCTCCAGATCTTCAGGTCCTCAGTTCTTGCAGGGCAGGGGCACATTCTTTTTTTTCACTCAATGACGTATTTAACAAGCATCTACTGTACGCAAGGCACAGTGCTAGGTGCTATGTGAGTTACAAAAATAAATTCTGTTCACAGGAAGTGTTTAGAACAACAGGGTTATGAGGTCGGACGCGGTGGCTCACGCATGTAATCCTAACACTTTAAGAGGCCGAGACAGGTGGATTGCCTGAGCTCAGGAGTTCGAGACCAGCCTGGGGAACACGGTGAAACCCCGTCTCTACTAAAAATACAAAAAATTAGCCGGGCGTGGCGGCGTGCGCCTGTAATCACAGCTACTCGGGAGGCTGAGACAGGAGAATCGCTTGAACCCGGGAGGCGGAGGTTGCAGAGAACCAAGATCGTGCCATTGCACTCCAGCCTAGGCGACAGAGCGAGACTCCGTCTCAAAAAAAAAAAGAAAAGAAAAGAAAAAAAAGAACAATAGGGGGTATGAGACACATACCAAGAAGAGTATCAAGGCTCAGATGTAGTAATACAGGTGTTCAAAGGCGTTTCCTTTCACTTGTAAAAGGTGATGTGGAAGGCTTGGAAGAGGAAGTGACGCTTGAGCTTTTAAGTATAAGTAGAATTTTAAGATATGTAATTAAGGACGCGGAAAAGAAGTCATTCCCGGCAAAAGAAATAATACGGCCGGCGCAGAGGCGGGAAAACATGGACTGACTGCGAGAGAAAAGCCAGAGTTCCAGTTTGGCTGCACCAAAGGCTACTTTAAGCATGAAAGAATAAGGTCAGACTGGGGGTATCAGAGGCGCTGTGCCCATAGGCAGAGTCCTGGGAGGAAAATATCGTGCAGGGACGTGGCCTGTGCCCGGAGGAGCCAACACTACCCCTGGGGCCCGCGCCCCTTCACTCCAGCCCGCCCGAGCTTCCCGGGTTCATGCCCCTTCTCTGAGGCGTTCTTTCCCGCCTCATCCAGGAGGCAGGGGCCACCGCCGTGCCCTGACTCTAGCCCTTTCTGTAAGCTCGTGGGAACCGCCTCCACCGCCCGGGACTCACCACCCTGAGTCTGAACCGCCCAACGCGGCCTCAACGTCGCGGAGCCGTCGCCATCTTTCCCGTTTCCTGGTCGCGGAGATGAACACCCCCCACCCCCCCGGCCGCGAGGCAAGCTGGGAAGGCGAGTTCCTGGAGCTGGGCGGCACAGGCCGACACTGAGGCCTGGAAACTACCAATCCCAGAATGCATGACTTGAGCGCCGGCCCCAGGCTGCGGGGTCTGCCGGGCAATGTGGTTTGCCAGACGTTAGCGTCCGGGAAGGAAGAGTTTTTCGCCAATAGGCTTTCGGCATTAGGTTCTCCCGCCGAGCACCCTTCTTGGAATCGGCTGGTCTTCCTAGAAACTACGGTCTATGACTGTCCTTGCCCGTGGCTTACAGTGGAGGAATTTAAGGGCTTCCTGAGATATCTGTAGTACGTAATTATAGCTAACAACCGCAGTAACAATAAATACCATTCGTGGAAAAGCGGTTTTTATAATAATTCTGTGAGAATGGGGCTAGCCCCATTTTACAGTTGGACAAACTAAAGATCAGGTTACCGGAGTAGGTTCACAAGGAGGGTGATGCAGTTCTCCATTGTGTGTGGAACTATCCCAGGCTTAGGAGGACGTTTTAGCAACCTTGGCCCCTGCAGCCGGGTGAATGCCATAACAACCCCCAGTTATTGTTACAGCTCCAAATGAGCCCACACAATGGGCTCTAAAGTCCTCCCGGAAGGATGGTATCTCCTGGGCTCTAGCACCTGTTTTCTCAACATTCCAGATGGAACCCTGGTTTCCTCAATTTCTTGCCCTTTGGAATGTGACCAATTGTTGAGCTATCTTGGTATTTTTGCTTCTTTCTTCCCCCAGATTCCCCTACTTCAGTCTTCCACTGAGTTTTGTTGTTGCTGTTGTTGTTGTTGTTGATGTTGTTGTTGTTGTTTTAACCTCAAATCGTAAGTTCACTTTGTGTTTCTCTTTGGTCTTATGGGTTCATAACTCTTTCCCTCAAAACAAAACAAAACATTGCAGTTGCGGAAACGGTTTAGATAACCAGAAGTATCTCGGACCTCCCTTCCCATTTTGCCAGCAGCAGGTTTGTTGCTTCAATTCCACATGGCTGTAGGTCTGCCTTTTCTCTCTGAATATGCCCAAGCTCTCAAGCAGAGCCTCAGGATAGACCCAAGTAATCCTAAAGCCCTGAGCATCACGTACAATGGCCCAAAGTAACCCTCGGAGACACACACTTCTCTTAGAACCTGCAGCCTTTCACCTCCCAGCTTCTACTCCAGAGAGAACGCAAGGGAAAGAAGAGAGCTCTGAGATCTGTTAGGTGTAATTCACCACAAAAGCACGAGAGGGCGCTCGACTCACAGATTCACAGATTAAACTAAGAATCAGACCAACCATGGTAGGCCAGAATCTTCAAAAACTGCAGCCACTTTTTATTGAGAATCTTCTAAGTGCTCAGCTCTGGGCTGGACACTTAACCTACCTTATTTGTTTTACTTAGTTCTCATAGCAGTATGAGATGAGTGCTATCTCCATTTTACTGGTAAGGAGATTGTGGCCCAGAAAGAGTAATTATGCCTTCAAAGGCCACATAGTTAAAAGAATGGGCCAGGTGAGGTGGCTCATGCTTGTATCTCAGCACTTTGGGAGGCCAAGACAGGAGGACTGCTTGAGCCCAGGAGGTCGAGGTCGCAGTGAGCCATGCTCGTGCCACTGCACTACAGCCTGGGTGACAGAGCAAAACCCTGACTGGAAAAAAAAAAAAAAGAAAGAAAGAAAAAAGAAAAGAAAAGAATGGAGCCAAAATTCAGGTTCATTTAACTTCAGAGTCCATTACCTTTCCCCATTTTCAGGCTGCCATCTCAACTCTCTTTAAATTGAGCTCCTGGAGGGTGATAAAGCTTGTCCCAGTTCATAGTGGCAGAGTTCCTCTAGTACTTGTGCGCACATCTCATGACACATGTAAGACATTGGGCTTCAAGGATACTTGTTATTTGTCTTGCCCCACTAGTTCTCTCACAAACATGAATCTTTGTTTTCTTATTTGTTTGTATTTTTATTTTATTTTATTTATTTATTTATTTTTGAGATGGAGTCTCGCTCTGTCGCCAAGCTGGAGTGCAGTGGTGCAATCTCGGCTCACTGCAATCTCCACCTCCCTGGTTCAAGCGATTCTCCTGCTTCAACCTCCCAAGTAGCTGGGATTACAGGCACATGCCACCACACCCAGCTAATTTTTGTATTTTCAGTAGGAACGGGGTTTCATCATGTTGGCCAGGATGGTCTCGATCTCCTGACCTCGTGATCCACCTGCCTCGGCCTCCCAAAGTGCTGGGATTACAGGCGTGAGACTCCACACCTGGCTTATTTACTTATTTATTTTTGAGACCGGGTTTCACTTTGTTGCCCAGGTTGAAGTGGAGTGGCACAAACAGCTCACTGCAGCCCTGACCTGGGCTCAAGTGATCCTCCTGCCTCAGCCTCCCAAGTAGCTGGGACCACAGGTGCACCCCATCATGCCTGGCTAATCGTTTTACTTTCTGTAGAGACAGGGTCTTGCAATGTTGTCCAGTTTGGTCTCAAACTCCTGGCCTCAAGCAATCCGCCCGGCTCGTCCTCCCAAAGTGCTAGAACTACAGGCACCAGTCACCACACCTAAACCATCATCTTTGGAGACAGAGACAGAGGGATGGTGTTCTAGTAAGAACCATAACTGGAGATACCTATTTAGGTACAACATGCCTACCAGTAAGGGGTCCATGGGATTTTGGTGAACAGTGAGTTCTGGTTTGAATCTTGGCTCAATTGCTTACTAGTACTGTGATCTTGTGCAAATTATATGGCATCTCTGGCTTTTCTCTTTCCTCATTACAAAACAGAGATAATAATACCACTTCCCTCACAGGACAGGACAGCAGAGCAAGTTAGAGTGCATGATGTGAAGCCAGATTGCCTGGATTTGTATCCATGTTCAACCACTTCCTAGCTGTGTGACCTTGTGCACGTTACCTAATCTCTCTGAACCTCGGTCTTCTTTTCTGTAAAATGAAGTAGATAGCGGCGGGGCGCCGTGGCTGACACCTGTAATCCCAGCACTTTGGGAGGCCAAGGTGGGTGGATCACCTGAGGTCGGGAGTTCGAAACCAGCCTGACCAACATGGAGAAACCTCGTCTCTACTAAAAAAACAAACAAACAAACAAACAAAAACAGAATTAGCCGGGCATGGTAGCACATGCCTGTAGTCCCTTGGGAGGCTGAGGCAGGAGAATCACTTGAACCCAGGAGGCAGAGGTTGCGGTGAGCCAAGATCGTGCCATTGCACTCCAGCCAGAGTGAAACTCCGTCTAAAAAAAAAAAAATAGCACCTCATAGGCTCATAGGGTTATCACAGGAATAAATAACATAGAAAGAACTCGTAAGTGGGGCCGGGCACCATGGTTTATGCCTGTAATCCCAGCACTTTGGAAGGCCGAGGCAGGAGGATCACTTGAGCCCAGAAGTTCAAGACCAGCCTGGGCAACATGGTGAAACCCCATCTCCACAAAAAATAGACTACTACTGTGGTACTCCTGTAGTCCTAGCTACCCAGGAGGCTGAGGTAGGAGGGTCAGGAGGGTGATCAGGACGGTGAACCAGGAGGGTGAGGTTGCAGTGAGCAGTGGTCATGCCACTGTACTCCAGCGTGGGCGACAGAGTGAGACCCTGTCTCAAAAAAAAAAAAAGAAAAATCTCGTAAGTGCCCCGACCCATAGTAAACATTTAACAAATGTTAGCTCTTATCATTTATGAGTCTAAATGTGATCATGTAAAGCCCTCAACACAGTGCACAGTGCTGAACACTCATTAAGTACATGCTAACTTTATTTATTTATTTATTTATTTAGAGATGGAGTCTCCCTCTTTTGCCCAGGTTGGAGTGCAGTGGCGCAATCTTGGCTCACTGCAACCTCTGCCTCCCGGGTTTAAGCGATTCTCCTGCCTCAGCCTCCCGAGTAGTTGGGATTACAGGCACGTGCCACCATGCCCGGCTAATTTTTGTATTTTAGTAGAGATGGGGTTTCACCGTGTTAGCCAGGATGGTCTCGATCTCCCGACCTTGTGATCCACCTGCCTCAGCCTCCCAAAGTTCTGGGATTACAGGCTTGAGCCACCGCGCCTGGCCTAGTACATGCTAACTTTATTTCTGGCACTAGCACTACACTATGGCACTTGGAAAACAAGAGCTATAAGTCACTGAGAAAGGAAGTTAAGAGTTAAGGCCCCTGAGCTGCCATCAGTAGGCATCGGAATTGGAAGGTCATGAAGGCAAATGTCACCTCTCCTTGAACTCAGAGGAGACCAGAATCCCAGGAGCCTCCCCCAGCTTTGGCTTAGTCTGTCCACCTTCTATGTGGGGTGGAATCTCAGCAGCTTGGATCCTCTACTGATGATTTCATCCAACCTTTTTCTCTCCTCTAGACTCTCCAGGGCAGTGGTTCTCAACCAGAATTTTTCCACAGGGGCCATTTAGCAACGTCTGGAGACATTTTTGGGTGTGATAGCTGGAGAGTGGGGTGCTGTCTTCTAGCATCCACCAGATCAGGGACACTGCTAAACATCTTGGGCTGCATAGGACAGTCCCTCACAACAAAGCATTATCCAGTCCAAAATGTCAATAGTTCCAGGGTTGAGAACCCCTGCACCCCTGCTCTCGGGCTAAGGAGCCCTTCCTTGGTTTAGTAGGTCTTGGGTGGGGCTAGGGCAGGGGGATGGGGGAAGAGAGAAGCTCCTTCTTGGAGGAGCTGGGGAATGGTGGAGGCAGCCCCTCTGCAACCCACAGAAAGGGTCCCAGGACAGCTTTTCTCTCATTATCATCAACCAAAGGGCTCAAGCACGGTGGCTCATGCCTGTAATCCCAGCTCTTAGGGAGGCAGAGATGTGAGGATAGCTTGAGCCCAGGAGTTTGAGACCTGCCTGAGCAATATAGCGAGACCCTGTTCTCCACAAAAAGGAAAAAAAAAAAAGACCAAAAAAAA
Source organism: Homo sapiens (assembly GCF_000001405.40). NCBI lineage: Eukaryota > Metazoa > Chordata > Mammalia > Primates > Hominidae > Homo > Homo sapiens. The sequence goes on from NC_000012.12 coordinate 48,857,094, forward strand.
AAAATACCAATTGTAACAACTAAAGAAAACAGAAAAAAATACGGAGCCAAATTCTTTATATGTATTATATTTTTCATTAATAAATAGGTTTTCTTCATTAAACACAGAACATATAACAGATTGAAACACTCCCCCCCTCCCCCCAATTCCAAAGACAAGAGTCTATAAAACAAATGCCAGCTGTACTACCCTAAGGGCAGAAAAAGTCTGGTGACCCCCACCCAGCCCTGCCCCTGCAGCACCACCACCCCCACACTCTGCAAGAGAAGGGGGTCTGGGGCTTCTCCCTTGGACCCTGGGGACTTAGGTGAGAAGCATGTGAATGTATGATGTCACCTCTCCATGAGGCATGGGCTATGCAAAGATGAGGTTTCCTTCTCATTGGCTCTGACCAGCTCCTGCACTTCCGATTGCAGTTACGAAGCACCTGGGCTAAGCCCCCAAGGGAGCTGCCGCTCCACTTCCCCACTCTCCGTTGCTGCCTCCTTAGAGGGGAAGGGAAGGGCTCAGGGACCCCTCCCATCCCCTGACCTGCATGGAAACGCTGTGTGGAAGAGGCATGAAGCTGAAGGTGAGGCTGCTGTAGGCCCCCAAGCCCATGAGGCCAGCATGCCCCCCGTCCCCCACAGCTTTCCTTCCTCTGGAGCGGGGGGGGCACTGGGGTAGTCGCCCCCTCCAAAATCTAGTGCCTGGCTTGGGGTATGATGGTTCTCTCTCAGCGTCAGGTCCTCATGCCGGGCCTGGCTCCTTCCTCGCCCCATTCCTGTCTCCTTCCAAGCCCTCACCGTGGCCATCTGAAAAACTCATGTCCAGTGTCCTAAATTGTCTCATCCTCCCTCTCCCCGTGCCTCTGCACCCCAAGGGAGGAAGTAGGGGGTTGTCTCCCCCCTCCAATTTCCACTTCACATAATGGAACAGCTTTTGGCCTTTTCCTTCTTGAAGGTAGAAGAGATGAGTTCAGAGCGACTGGGGAGGTGGAGCAGTCGTTTGGAGAGGCTTCGGACAGGGCTCTTCTGGGGCAGTGGGCTAGGCTTGTTCAGACACAGCATGGATGCCGTCCGAAAGATGCTGTGGATGCTCTTTTCTGAGGTGAAAGCTGAGCCTTCCAGGTAGATTTCTGCACCCAGCTGCTTTGCTATTGCACAACCCTGCAGGAGGGGGTGAGGGCATTAATGCAGTGGGCCAAAATGGCTCTGGGACGCTGCCTCTGTGCGTCACTCCCCAGGGCCACTCCAGAGGGGACCCAGCTGCCAGTCTCCAAACACCACCCTCTGCAGATTATTCGATTATCTTTTCTTTTTTTTTTTTTTTTTTGGCATACACCCTGTCTGATGATGCCTCTTTTTCTTAAGACGATGCCTGACTGCACATTATAAATCATCTGGAATACTCTTAAAACTATATTGATGCCAAACTAAATTAGAATTTCTGGGGATAGCTGGGGCAGTGGCTAGTGCCTCTAATCCCAGCTACTCAGGAGGCTGTGATGGGAGGATCACTTGAGGAGGCCAGGAGTTCAAGACCAGCCTAGGTGGCCGGGCGCGGTGGCTTACACCCATAATCCCAGCGCTTTGGAATTACAAAAATAAATCTCAAAAATAAAGATAATAAAATAATAATAAACACTTTTAAAAAATGTTTAAAAATTCACTGGAAGTGGGCACACAACTATAGTCTCAAATACTAGAGAGGATCCCTTGAGCCCAGGAGTTCTGCACTGTAGTGAGCTAGGATCACACCACTGCACTTCATTCTGGGTGACAGAGTAAGACCCTGTCTCTGGAAAAAAAAAAAAAAAAAAAAGGAAAAGGAAAAAAAAATTCTGGGTATAGAGCCAAGGCATTAGTATTCTTCTTTTTCTTTCTTTTCTTTTTTTTTTTTTTTTGAAACAGTCTCGCTCTGTTGCCCAGGCTGGAGTGCAGTGGCGCGATCTCGGCTCACTGCAAGCTCTGCCTCCCGGGTTCACACCATTCTCCTGCCTCAGCCTCCCGAGTAGCTGGGACTACAGGCACCCGCCAACACGCCTGGCTAATTTTTTGTATTTTTAGTAGAGATGGTGTTTCACCATGTTAGCCAGGATGGTCTTGATCTCCTGACCTTGTGATCTGCCCGCCTCAGCCTCCCAAAGTGCTGGGATTACAGGCGTGAGCCACCGCGCCTGGCCGGTATTAGTATTCTTAAGAGCTCCCCAGGTCAGGTGCAGTGGAGGCCAAGGCAGGTGGATCACCTGAGGTCAGGAGTTCAAGACCAGCCTGGCCAACATGGTGAAACCCCATCTCTACTAAAAATAACAAAAATTAGCTGGGCGTGTTGGCAGGCACCTGTAATCCCAGCTACGCAGGAGGCTGAGGCAGGAGAATCTCTTGAACCCGGGAGGCAGAGGTTGCAGTGAGCTGAGATCGCACCACTGCACTCCAGCCTGGGTGACAAGAGCGAAACTCAGTCCCCCAACCCTATGCTCTCATGCACATAAGAAATTATCCAGGGGTCTTATAAAAAATGCAGATTCCAGGCCAGGTGTGGTGACTCACAACTGTAATCCCAGCACTTTGGGAGGCCAAGGTAGGAGAATCACTTGATGTCAGGAGTTCAAGAACAACCCCGGAAACATACTGAGACCTTGTCTCTACAAAAAATGTTAAAAGATTAGCTAGGCGTGGGGCCCATACCTATAGTCCCAGCTACTAGGGAGACAGGAGGGAGGATCACTTGAGTCCGGGAGGTCAAGGCTGCATAAACAACTATTGTGCCACTGCACTCCAACCTAGGCAGATCACACTTTTTTTTCTTGAAATAGAGTCTCACTCTGTTGCCCAGGGATTACAGGTGTGCACCACCATACCTGGCTAATTTTTTGTATTTTTTGTAGAGACGGGGTTTCACCACGTTGGCCAGGCTGGTCTTGAACTCCTGACCTGAAGTGATCCACCTGCCTCCGTCTCCCAAAGTGCTGGGATTACAGGCATGAGCCACCACACCTGGCCTTTTTTTTTTTTTTTTTTCCTTGAGACAGAGTCTCTCACTCTGTCGCCCAGGTGGGAGTGCAGTGGCACAATCTCAGCTAACTGCAACCTCCATCTCCCAGGTTCAAGCGATTCTCCTGCCTCAGCCTCCTGAGTAGCTGGGATTACGGGTGCATGCCACCACACCCAGCTACTTTTGGTATTTTTAGTAGAGACAGCGTTTTGCCATGTTGGCCAGGCTAGTCCTGAATTCCTGAGCTCAAGTGATCCATCGGCCTTGGCCTCTCAAGTGCTGGGATTACAGGCGTGAGCCACCGCACCCAGTGCCCCTCCTCCTTTTCTTTTTTTTTGAGACAGGGTCTCACTCTGTCACTCAGGCTGGAGTGCAGTGGCATGATCACAGCTCCTTGCAGCCTCAACCTCCTGGGCTCAAGCAGCGGTCCTCCCACCTCAGCATCCTGAGTAGCTGTGACTACAGGCACTCACCACCACACCCAGCTATTTTTTTTTTTTTTTTTTTTTTTTTGGTAGAGACAGTCTTGCTTTGTTGCCCAGGCTTATCTCAAACTCCTGGGCTCAAGCTATCCTCCTGCCTCAGCCTCCCAAAGTTCTGGAATTACAGGCATGAGCCACCTTGCACCTGGCCTCTTTTTTTTGTGTGTGTGAAATTCTAACAAACACCTCTAATGATTCTAACGCAGGTGGTCAGAATACAATCTTAGAAATGTGGGCACACACAGGAATAACTCACCTGCTAACTGACAGCATACATCTGGGTAAGCAGGTGCCCACCACCTCTCTCCAGGTGACTCATTTGCTAATTATAACAGCAATTCTCTCTTGCCATAGTGGAAGAATTTGAGCCAGGGCCATATTTCAAGCTGTCTGCCTCTAGCCTTCCTCACTCCACCCCACGACATGCACTTGCATGCGCACACACCTGCTCATAGGAGATGGGCGCCTGCTTCTGGTGGGACAGCTCCATCAGAGTACTCAGGTCTGTTCGCAGGTCTGTCTTGCAGCCAATGAGCAAAACGCGGGTGCTGGGACAATAATCTAGGATTTCTGTCCTCCACTGAGGGGTGGAGCAGGAAGAAGGGTAGGAGAAGGAGGAAGGAAGGAGAGTTAGTGGCAGACAGATACCAGGAGAAGCTTGGCTGGCAACGTCACACACATCACCTCACTCATCACCAGCCCAGTCCTCCCTCTGAGTCACAGCATCACCGTTGCACTAATTACATCATTTTCCTGCCCATGAGGCCTTTGGGGCCCCCAGAGTGCTGACCCAGGAGCCTGTTCCCCCAGTCTATGGCTCAGTCACCAGAGAGGGCACAAGGGCAATTCTCCTCCCACTCTCTGCCAACCATATAGGCATGGATCTGCCCCCTCACCCCAAAGGGCCTCACAAGTCCAGAATGCCAGGGGGAAGCCAACCAGTCTCTTCTCAAGGGAAGAACATGATCCCAGCATCTTCTATACTATGCTAGATACACAAGGTTTCCTAGGACTCCTCAGCATTGGTGGATCTGCCCAGACCTAAGCATTTCATACCAGCAGCTCAGCTCAGACCTGCCTGGCTTGCCCATTCTCAGTGGGACTGGGATCAGGGTCTATAGAAGCTGCCTCCAAAAGGTCCCATGCCTGACCCTCATACCGTATCACCTAAAGGTTCTCTGACTCTCCGTCCTCTGCTTCCTGAGTCTTCAATACCACCCTCCCTTGCGGGGCCTCTGGCAAGGCAGCATGGGATAACAAAAAGGGCGGGAGGCAGTGGGGTAAGGAGACCCAAGTTCCAGTCCCAGAGCTGTAGCTAATGGTGTGGCCTTGGGCAAATCTCTTCCTTCCCTGGCTTCCATTTCTTGATGTTATACAAGAGGGCATTCATGACAAGGTCCCGATTCCTTCTTGGTCCTCATGCTGAGTTAGAGATTAGAGAGTTGATCTAGTCTTACCTTCTTGAGTGCGCTGTCCACTGTCTCTGGACGGCTGATGTCAAAACATAGTAATACTGCATCCGAGTCGCTGTAGCAGAGTGGACGGACATTATCGTAGTAGGGAGATCCTGGTGTAGGCCAGAAAGAGCTGATGGTGAGCCATGGTGTTTTCCTTCCCCAATAGGCCTAAGCCCTAAAGCCCTGGGAATACCATCCTCAATCCCTGAGGATCCACCCATCTCCCAGGGGGAATGTACTGCGGCTGGAAGCTTGGGACCTGACTGTCTGCCAGAAGGTCATGAAAGAATATCATCCCCCTTAGTCCAGAAAAAGGGAAAGAAGACAAAATAAAGTGGGTGGAGTATAATTTGGCCCTGTTTGGGTCTCCTACAGCAGGCTTAATTGGAGATCTACTAGTTTTCTGAGTCCCAGAAGATGCTTCCAGCCCTGCAGAGAGACAGCACTTATTTCAGGGCTTCTCTCTTCTAGAGCCTGCCTGCTGCCCAACTTCACTCCCTTCTGCTCCAGGGTCTCCCCAGTGAAGAGAAAAACCTCCTTGTTACATAACCTGCCTGCTGCTTTTCCATGGGGTCAGAACTTTAGGAGGCTAGCAGGGGAGGGAGAGAATCAAGGGTTCAGTGCCCCACTTCTCCACCCACCCAGATCGGCTTACACTGAAAAGGGCAAAAGGAAAGCTGTACCTCCTGACCGCCCCACATCTCAGGAAGGCAGTCTCAAAGACAGCAGCACCGATGGCTGGGGATTTAGAGGCTAGAGCAAGAGTCCTTCGTTGGAAGGGAAATAGGCAATGCAGACCCAGGTGGTCCCATATGGGAGAATGCTAGGAGCTGAGCCTGCCCCCTCCACCCTGGGGAAGGAGCAGTAGCGGATTTGGAACCCAGACAATCCGTGCTCAGAATAGCAAGCAGCCCCTCTCCCTGCACCACAATCGCCATGGAAACTGGGGGGAATCCAAGCTGGTGGGGGGATGTTGGTCATTAAAAAAAGGAATACAGGGGAGTTGGGATAGCTGCCTGCTCCTTCAGCAAGCCTCCTCCATCCCTTTCTGAGGTGGGGTCTTACCACTGCAGCACTGAGGAGCGGAAGCACTGCAGCACTGGGGAAGGGGGAGGGGAGGAGGCCTCCATTTTGGCTCCAAGCAATCCCCCTCCCCTAAGACTAGCAAGTAAATAATGGGAACAGGGTCAACCCTGAGCCCAACATTGGGAAACCCTATCCCACACACCATGGCCACTTCCTCCTTCCTTATGGGAACCTAATCTGAAAGAGGGAGTTTGAGAATAACTGACAGCCTTTATCCTTTCGGAAATTGGGGGTGGGGGTGTGACACAGGGAACAGAGACTACACTTGCTGATTTTCCATGATCTGGTTTGGGATTTGAGGGCTGCATTCTGACTGTCAAAGGAGGGAGGAGGTGGGGGGAGGGCGTTTGGGCGGTGGTAGTGAAAAGAGATGAGCTGCAGTAAGATTCTGGGAAGATTGGAAGGTGGGAGGGTACAGCAGATGAAAAACCAAAAATTATACATCATGCCATCAAGCTGCATTCTAGCCCAATCTTGCCAGCATAGCACAGCCCAGGAGAACCAGAACGCTGCCTCCCAAGCCCTGAAACTGCAACAGGGAAAAGCATACCAGATTGGGGAATTTTTGTTTGGGGAGGAAAGGCTCATTGTCTGTCTAACCATTCCCTAGCCCCAATCTTTTCAGACCTCAGAATTAGAGCATGGGAACAACAGCTGTTGAAGGAGCAGGACAGCATATTTATTATATGTAGCAGGAAACACCTAGTGATTTACGGTCCCTTTTTAAACTCAGCCTGAATATGCATTTTTGGGGAGGGGTGGATTTTATTTTCTTTCTCTTATTCCCGGCTTTTACTCCTTAATTATGACTCTGAGCCAGTCTATTGAAAAAGGTCTGGGGTAAAGAGATAATGGGAAGGGGTCAGAATCAAGGCAAAGGATAGCCTAGCACTAAGGGCTTGGGGCTGAGAGGCTGGAAAAACATTGTTTCTACATTCTAGAGAGACAGGGCATATTCTACCTCACCCCAGTAGAGGGAAAACAGTCAGAGCCAACCTCCCCTCTGCCCTGCCGGCCACTATTCACAACTGACTATGCCCTATATTAAGCCATCTCCCCCAACTTCCAAAACATCGATGATGCATTGCTTCATCCCCGAGCTGCAGCGGTGTGACGAGTGGGGCTGAGCTGCGGCAGGAGGACAGCAGTGGCCCAAGATGGAATGCAGGAGACAAAACTGAGTCTGAGCAACCTTTCCCCAAAGCAGACTTGTCTCTCCGCCCCAACCACGCTGCCTCCAGCAGCACTGCCTCTTGCCTCTTATTTGGCTTTGCTCTGGGGAAGTAAAAGGTGTGTGTGTGTGTGTGTGTGTGTGTGTGTGTGCGCGCGCGCGCGTGTGTGTGCATGTGTGTACGCGTGCATGTTGGGTGGTAGGGAATGGAAATGGAGAAGTCCTGTTTTACTGCCCACCCCCAGGACTATTCATGGGTCCCTTCACCTCACCATCCCAGCCCTCTAAAGGGTGGAACCAGACCCAGGGAAGAGAGTGGCTCCTGGGGTTCACCCACTCTGCACCCTTGGACCATGCAACTGAGTCCACCAACTGTCAGCCCTCCCCACAACTAATGAGTCTTCAGATCCTCTTTTTTCACTTCTCCCCACCAAAGGGGAAAACAATTTCTAAAAGACAGCAGCTACACAGCAGACCAGTAGGGGTGGGAAAGGGGTATTTGGAGCAGAATTCTTACCTGAGGTATCCCAGAGACTAAGCTCCACCCTCTGTTCCTCTGTCTCCAAACAGGCTGTGTAATTTTCGAACACGGTGGGCACATAGGTCTGTGAAAAGAGAGGAAACATTCACCCCATGCACCCCTACCCTCAGATCCCCTGGTTAGTGCTGGCTACACACGCACTCACCAGAGAGACAGTAAAGTCACAGGAGACAAGAAACCAGAGGAGATGCCTGGGGCAGGAGGGAAGGGACTGTGGAGGACCAGGCACTTTGCTCTGCAGCAGTGAGAAATGTGAATGACACCCCCCCACACCACCACACCAGGGGTAAGCCCCCCATATCCTAGGCGATCAGGGACACACACACACACAGATTCCTCCCATCCCCAGATTTGTGTTTCCCAATTTGAGAGAGCCACAGGCCAAAGCCAATCCTAGCTCATCTCCTCTCAAACCCCTCCCGGCCAGGTGAACAGAGGGGCTGCAGAAGCCTGCCTGAAGGCACAGGCATAGAGCCTTTGAGGAGCAGGTGAGCGGATAGGCAGGGATTACGTCAAGAAGAAACCCCAGACTTTCAAATGCCTCCAGTGCCCTCACCTGAGAGCAGACTCCAGGGACGCAGGAAGGTGGAGGGGATCTGATGGGTCCTCTGGGTGAAGAGGTGAGGAGGAGCCAGCGGGGCGGCAGAAGTGGAACAGGTCTCAGGGGAAGCTAAGGCAGGGCAGTCCTCCAGCCAAAAAGCAGCTGAGGATGGTAAAGCCTCAGAAAGCGGCTGAGGATGGGCTGGGGCTGGGGGAGCCACGTCTCCTGAGCAGGTGGAAATCTACCCCAAGGCGGGCAGGCAGGGAGAAAAGCCGGCCAGCGGGCGGGCGGGCAGCTCACCTCTGGATAGCAATCCTTCGCTAACACTTGCAACATCGCGGTCTTCCCACACTGCACGTCCCCGACCAGAACGAGCTTACATCTGGCCACGACTGGCTGGGGGGCCCGTCTCTCCTTCATGGTTGCAGTGTCCGCGGGACTTGAACTTCGATTCAGAAGGGAGGGTTGCGCCAGGTGCGTCTCAGCACGCCAATCAAGCCAGATTCCCTGCCTCCCTCCAACTGAGGAGGAGGCCGGCACAGCCGCCTTTTATTTTTCTGGCTGAGCCAATCACAAGAGGAGGCGGACTCTGTTACGCCCAATCCCTGAGGTGGGATTCCCTCCAGCAGCCAATGGATCTGAGGATCTGAGTCAGCGCCCCCTTCCTCCCTTCTCTTTCTCTTAAAGCTGCACCGTTGTTTCCCCCTGAAAGGGGATTCCCAGGTTGTTTTGCATTTGTATTAGGAAGTGGAAAGGGTACTGGAAGCAAAATGAAATGATCTGGAGTGTCTACCAATAAGTGTCAGAAAAACAAACTAGCTATGGAAGCAGGAAGTGAGGTCAGGCTGGAGTTGCAGGGACTGTCCCGGGTGGGTTACAAAAGCAGGACCTGCTTAGACTATAGACAGGTGTGTGTGTGTGTGTGTGTTTTGGAGGAGTAGGGGATGGGGGAGGTGGCCCAGAACTTCTCTGACATTTTTTTTCTTTTTTTTCCTTACATCTTTTGTTTTAAATAGAGACAGGGGTCTCACCATGTTATCCAGGCTGGTCTTGAACTTCTGGGCTCAAGCAATCCGCCTGTCTCAGCCTCCCAAAGTGCTGGGACTACAGACATGAGCCACAGCGCCTGGCCTGATGTCTGACTTTTTTGTTTTTTCTAATTCCCATCCAAACCAGTTCTTACTTCCCTTTATTTCCCCTCCCAATATCAGCTCCTGCTGTACCTCTTTTATTTATTTATTTATTTATTTATTTATTTATTTATTTATTTATTTATTTATTTTGAGATGGAGTTTCGCTCTTGTTGCCCAGGCTGGAGTGCAATGGCACGATCTCAGCTCACTGCAACCTCCATCTCCCGGATTCAAGCGATTCTCCTGCCTCAGCCTCCCGAGTAGCTGGGATTACAGGCATGCACCACCATGCCCAGCTAATGTTGTATTTTTAGTAGAGACGGGGTTTCTCCATGTTGGTCAGGCTGGTCTCGAACTCCCGACCTCAGGCGATCCGCCCGCCTTGGCCTCCCAAAGTGCTGGGATTATAGGCGTCAGCCACCGTGCCCGGCCTGTGCCCCTTTTAAAGCCTTCTCTTCTTCAAGAATCACCTTCACCACCAAAGACAGAGAGAGAGAAAGAGAAAGAGAAAACTTTCTAGAGTCATCCATAAAAAAAACACACAGCACCTGACCCAGTGATGGGCAGAGAGAAATGAGGGACTCTGGCAAGTGGGGGTGGGAGAGAGGAAGAAGACAAAGCAAACACAGTCACTGTTTGGCCAGACAGCCTCTCACCCATGCCTAGCAGAAGCTGCTTAGGGGTGTTTGTTCTGCGGCCTAGGCTCAGCTTCCTGGATGAATCAGGCACAGGTCCAGTTCCATGTTAACGCCCACTGAAACTGACGCACTAATGTGTGTCACCTGGTTAAAGTCCAGACTGGGCCCAGGATTTTGGGATTAGAAGCTGGAGGACAATCTAAGGTTGAGATGAACTACATAAATTTTTTTTTTTTTTTTTTTTGAGATGGAGTCTCGCTCTGTTACCCGGGCTGGAGTGCAGTGGCTTGATCTCAGTTCACTGCAACCTCTGCCTCCCGGGTTCAAGCAATTCTCCTGTCTCAGCCTCCCGAGTAGCTGAGACTACAGGCGCACGTCACCATGCCTGGCTAATTTTTGTATTTTCAGTAGAGACAGGGTTTCACCATATTGGTCAGGCTGGTCTCAAACTCCTGACCTTAAGTGATCCACCCACATCGGCCTCCCAAAGTGCTGGGATTACAGGCGTGAGCCACCGCGCCCAGCCGAGCTTCATAACTTCTTAACAGCCCTGACTGATGGGGCCCCTGTATTTTGGGGAGCCTCTACTAGACAGAACTATGGGCTGTCCACAGCTTAAATAAACCACTGATTGTCCAGGAATCAAGACCGTACAAATAAGGGCTCCTGGAGATTTGTGATTGAAGGAAGACCAACTTTGGGCAAAATTGAGAGTAGTCCCTTTCCCTTGTCAAGCCCAGTGTCTCCTGGGCCTTGTTTCATCTGAGCTTTACTTTTTTTTTTTTTTTATACAGAGTCTTGCTCTTTCACCCAGGCTGGAATGCAGTGCCACAATCTCGGCTCACTGCAAACTGTGCCCGCCGGGTTCAATCGATTCTCCTACCTCAGCCTCCCGAGTAGCTGGGATTACAGGTGCCTGCCACCACACCCAGCTAATTTTTGTATTTTGAGTAGAGATGGGGTTTCGCCATGTTGGCCAGGCTGGTCATAAACTCCTAACCTTAGGTGATCCACCTGCCTCGGCCTCCCAAAGTGCTGGGGTTACAGGCGTGAGCCACTGTGCCCCAGCCTGAGCTTTACTCTTAATTCACAGTTGTTGCTGCCCCACCCAGGGATAGTTTCCCTGTGATAAAGGATGCTTGAAAGCCTTTCACAGACCCAAAGGGACAGATCTCTAAGAATGAGATTTCTAGTGCCCACCACAGGCAGTAGGAGAGTGGATGTTGTTTTGAGAATACAGCCTAACCAGTGTTCCTCCAGTCAAACCTCGTCGTGGCTCTGGGGCCAAGGCCTATACCTGCTCTCCACCCATGTCCTAAGCTCCATTCACTTCCAGGGATGGGGAATGGCCTGAGGGAAACTTCAGGGTGGAAAGGCCAGATGTTACCATTAGCTGGCTGCCGTCTCTCCCAGGCTTTCTGAAGGTTTCTGCCCTTTATCTCCCCTCATCCTCCACCCTCAGATAATGTTCTGTGGATAGAATTTGTCCTCTTCTTGCCCTTTTCCAGCAGCCTGACAGCCTCTGTGAGCTGTCTATAAGTGGGGTTTGGGATAGTTCCAGGAACAGCTGTAAGATCATAGACTGCCTCAATCTGGAGTCCTTTCCCTCAGCCTGACCTTCTCCTTCTGTATCCTCCTGTCCCCTACCTTCAGTCTCATCTGGGCTTAGTTCTGGAAGCATCAGTAGAGTTCCTATGCATCCTCTTTTTTTTTTTTTTTTTTTCCGAGACAGAGTCTTGCTCTGTTGCTCAGGCTGGAGTGCAGTGGCACAATCTCCGCTGACTGCAACCTCCGTCTCCCGGGTTCAAGCGATTCTCCTGCCTCAGCCTCCTGAGTAGCTGGGATTACAGGCACGTGCCACGATGCCCAGCTAATTTTTGTATTCTTAGTAGAGACGACGTTTCCCCATGTTGGCCAGGCTGGTCTCAAATTCTTGACCTTGTGATCCGCCTGCCTCGGCCTCCCAAAGTGCTGGGATTACAGGCATGAGCCACCGTACCCAGTCCCCCATACATCCTCCTAACCCTTAACTGAGTTCCCTCCAATCACAACCCCACAGGTGTTAGCCTTCTCTCCATGTTCTCTACCAGCCTCCCCCTACACACACCATTCATCCACCACTCCAAATAAACTTTCAGAATAAGTAAAAATTGTTCCTGCTAAGCAAACAGCTTCTTCTGGCTTCTAAGAACATTGCCATTCCTGAGCTCCTCCAAGACAGAAATTCTGAGAGCTGGTGCCAACACTGATTCTTCCCTGGGTGGCTGCATTTCAGGGTCAAGTAGCAGAAGGCCCGAGCCATTATACAGAGCAGCCTCCACCATGGCTGAGGCCCAAGATGTGTCTCCAAGGATATTTTGTGGGTCATATGTTTATGAGTTTTGGTGGAAAGGGTGTTATGTGTGTGAAAGCGTGTGTGTTAGATCAGTGGGCAGGGAGGTAACAGGAAAAGGATGGAACTGAAGTTCAGCAGGTCTAGGCCTTGGACCTCGCTCTGCCTTTAACAAGCTGTGTGCCTTTGGGTAAGTTACTTCCCTCTCTGGGTGCCTATTTCCTTAAATGCAATGTGAGGGATTTAACTAGAGAAGAAGTTTTTAGATGTTATTTAGTTTATTTATTTATTTATTTTTTTGAGATAGAGTTTTGCTTTTGTTGCCCAGGCTGGAGTGCAATGGCACGATCTTGGCTCACCTCAACCTCGCCCTCCCGGGTTCAATCGATTCTCCTGTCTCGGCCTCCCAAGTAGCTGGGATTACAGGCATGTGCCATCACACCCAGCTAATTTTTGTATTTTTAGTAGAGACGGGGTTTCTCCATGTTGGTCAGGCTGGTCTGGAACTCGTGACCTCAGGTGATCCACCCACCTTGGCCTCCCAAAATGCTGGGATAACAGGCGTGAGCCAGCGTGGTTGGCCTAGATGTTATTATTATTATTATTATTTTAGCACTTAGATTCTCTCCTCCAAATTTGTTTAAACCTCTTTTAAATAACTTTATTTCAAACTCCATAGCCAAGACCAGGTGTTGTGGCTCACACCTATAATCCCAGGATTTGGGGAGGCTGAGGTGGGAGGATCACTTGAGCCCAGGAGTTCAAAACCAGCTTAGGCAATAGAGTGAGACCCCATCTCTACAAAAAAACTTTAAAAATCAAATAAAAGTCTGTAGCCAGATTAATACATTAAAGTGGCTCTTCCGGGCCAGGCGCAGTGGCTCACACCTATAATCCCAGCACTTTGGGAGGCCAAGGTGGGTGGATCATTTGAGGTCAGGAGTTCGAGACCAGCCTGGCCAACATGGTGAAACCTCATCTCTACTAAAAATACAAAAATTAGCCAGGCTGGTGGCGGGTGCCTGTAATCCCAGCTACTCAGGAGGGTGAGGCAGGAGAATAGCTTGAACCTCGGGAGGCAGAGGTTGCAGTGAGCTGAAATTGCGCCACTGCACTCAAGCCTGGGCGACCGAGGGAGATGCTGTCTCAAAAAAACAAACAAACAAACAAGCAAACAAACGAAAAAAGGAAAGGTGGCTCTTCCCTATCAAGATCAGAAAAATTTAAAACAAGGTTATAGTTGAAAACATTATGCCAAGGTGGAAGAAGCCAACCACAAAAGACCATATAGACTATGTCCATTTATATGAAATGTCCAGAATAGGCAAATCCGAAAAGACAGAAAGTAGGCTAATAGTTGCCTGGGTCTGTGGGGTTGAGGAGGAAATGGGGAGTGACTGAAAACCATCGAATTGTATAGTTCAAACTGGTGAATTTAGGGTAGGCACAGTGGTTCATGCCTGTAATCCAACACTTTGGGAGGCCAAGGCAGGCAGATCGCTGGAGCTCAGAAGTTCAAGACCAGCCTGGGCAACATGGTGAAACTCTGTATCTACAAAAAATACAAAAATTAGCTGGGCGTGGTGGCCTGTGCCGGTGGTCCCAGCTACTCCGAAGGCTAAGGAGGGAGGATTGCTTGAGCCTGGGGAGGTTGAGGCTGCAGTGAGCTGTGATCATGTCACCTCACTCCAGCCTGGGCAACTGAGTGAGACCCTGTCTCAAAATAAAATTTTAAAAGTAAAATAAAATAAAATAAAATAAAATAAAACTACTGGTCTGGATAATACCCTCTAGCACAAATATGTGTGTGTATACCACATGCTCAAAGTTCAGGGCTGCCCTATCTTTTTTGGTTCTGATTACTCTGATAAGTTCCCTATCTGGGACAGTGGCATAATATACAAAGATGTTCAGGGTTGTAACAAATTAAAATTCATGCTGACTTGTACTAGACAGTACACAAGCCCCATATTTTCTCTGCCCTAGGGATTCTTTGCAAAGAACCCCCAGGCACGCTGCCACCTGCATCTCCCAGAACAAGGCCCATTATCCCCTTCCCTTCATATGACGCAGGTGCTCCACTCCTCAGTCCTAAGCAATAACTTGGGATCTCAGGGGTCTCTGGTCCCTGGCACCTGGGAACACCTGACCTTTTGACTGCTGATCTTTTGACTGAGCACTCTAAGACACAGTCCTGCCTTGGGGGAGTTTACAGCTAAGCAGGGAGATAAGAAAGAAGCCGGCCAGGAGCAGTGGCTCACGCCTATAATCCCAGCACTTTGGGGGGCAGAGGCAGGTGGATTACTTGAGGTTAGGAGTTCAAGACCAGCCTGGCCAACATGGTGAAACCCGTCTCTACTAAAATACAAAAATTAGCCGGGCGTAGTGGCGCATGCCTGTAGTCTCAGCTACTGGAAGGCTGAAGCAGGAGAATCACTTGAAGCCAAGAGGCAGAGGTTGCAGTGAGCCAAGATCATGCCACTGCACTCCAGCCTGGGCAATAGAGTGAGACTCCCTCTCAAAAAGAAAAAAGAAAGAAAGAAAAATCTGCTAATTTTTTTTTTGAGACGGAGTTTCACTTTTGTTGCCCAGGCTGGAGTGGAATGGCATGATCTCAGCTCACTGCAACCTTTGCCTCCCGGGTTCAAGTGATTCTCCTGCCTCAGCCTCCCGAGTAGCTGGGATTACAGGCAGTTGTCACCACGCCTGGCTAATTTTGTATTTTTAGTAGAGACGGGGTTTCTCCTTGTTGGTCAGGCTGGTCTCAAACTCCCGACCTCAGGTGATCCACCCGCCTTGGCCTCCCAAAGTACTGGGATTACAGGCATAAGCCACCGTGACCGGCTAAAATATCTGTAAAAGCACTTCAAAGCCTGGGCGCGGTGGCTCACATCTGTAATCCCAGCACTTTGGGAGGCCGAGGCAGGCAGATCACCTGAGGTCAGGAGTTGGAGACCAGCCTGATCAACATGGTGAAACCCCGTCTCCACTAAAAACAAAAAATTAGCCAGGCGTGGTGACAATTGCCTGTAATCCCAGCTACTCGGGAGGCTGAGGCAGGAGAATCACTTGAACCTGGGAGGCAGAGGTTGCAGTGAGCCAAAATCATGCCATTGCACTCTAGCCTGGGTGACAGAGCGAGACTCCATCTCAAAAAAAACAAAAAACAAAACAAAAACTGGGTCTCAATTCGTCTCCCAGCCTAGAGTGATGCAGTGGCGAGATCATAGCTTACTACAGCCTTGAACCCTGGGGCTCAAGTGGTCCTCCCGCCTCAGCCTCCCAAAGTGCTGTGATTAGAGGTGGGAGCCATTGTGCCTGGCAGACTAATTTCAATAAGAACACATGCCATGGTGGAACTGTGGCACATCCAATAAATGAGTGTTAGAAAGGACTTAGGATCTGAGCTTACATTTGGTGATTTGGGGAAGAGGTCAAGGAAGTGAGGCTTTTCTCAGGATTGGATGCTGGTCAGAAAGTGACGTATCCAGGAGGCAGAGGCTGCAATAAGCTGAGATCGTGCCACTGCACTGTAGCCTGGGTAACAGAGTGAGACTCCATCTCAAAAAAAAAAAAAAGAAAAAAGAAAAGAAAAGAAAAGAAAAAGAAAGTGGAGTATCAATAAATCTTCTGTCCTGTGCAAGGTGGGAGGAATGAAGCAAGGCTAAGTGTGATTGGTAAAGAAGTAGCATTGGCTTATGTTAGCTTGGATGCATGGATGGTTGGTTATTCTTGTGGTTTGGACAATGTTCTTGTTTCTCTCTTTGTTCAGATATGATTACTGAGAGATCTTATTTCTGTCTGGATCTCTCGAGGTCGGTCACAGCATTGCCTTGCCTAATGTTGGTATTCTGTGAAATGCTTACGAGAAAACCAAAGCATTGCTAAGACTGCCAGGCAAGTTCCTGGCTGCCGGGAGCTGCTTTCTCCTTCTCAGCTCCTCTTCTGCTCCTCTTCCTGGGAGCTGAGCATTGTTACATAAGTGGTGAGAGAGCTAAAGGAAAAACAAAAAGAAGGAGAATTTTCCAGTAAAACTTTCTGGAAAAAGTAGCACTGAGCTATGAGGCAAAGCAAGAATAGGATGCTGAGAGGTGGGCCAGAGGGAGTGTTCTAGGAGAATGGGATGGCTTGGAAGCAGGAGAAGGAGGCCTGCGGAAGAGGACCAGTGCATGTGTGTGTATGCATGTGTGAATAGGAGGAGAAAAAACAAAACAAAACAAGCCACCTGAGCTGGACTAAGAATGAGGAGGGAGGCTGGGCGCGGTGGCTCACGCCTGTATTCCCAGCACTTTGCGAGGCTGGGGTGGGCGGATCACCTGAGGTCAGGAGTTTAAGACCAGCCTGGCCAACATGGAAAAACCCTGTCTCTACTAAAAATACAAAAATTAGCCGGGCATGGTGTGTGTGCCTGTAATCCCAGCTGCTCGGGAGGCTGAGGCAGGAGAATGAATCCCTTGAACCCAGGAGGCAGAGTTTGCAGTGAGCTGAGATTGCACCACTGCACTCCAGACTGGGCGACAGAGTGAGACTGTCCCAAAAAAAAAAAAGAAGAAGAAGAAGAAAAGAAGAAGAAGAATGAGGAGGGAAGACTGGAGCCTTCTCAAACTAAAAAAAAATTAGGAGGAAGGTATGGAGGTGGCCGAGGATGGGGCCAGAGTGAAAATAGAGGAAGGGGCCAGGTACAGTGGCTCACGCCTGTAATCCCAACACTTTTGGAGGCCAAGGCAGGAGGATTGCTTGAGCCCAGGAGTTGGAAACCAGCCTGATCAACCTGGTAAGACCCATCTCTACAAAATTAAAAAATGAAAAACTAGCCGGGCACAGTGGTGCACGCACCTGTAGTCCCAGCTACTCAGGAGGCTGAGGTGGGAGGATCACTTGGGCCCAGGAGGTCAAGGCTGCAGTGAGCTGTGATGGAGCCACTGCACTCCAACCTGGGTGACAGAGCAAGACCCTGTCTCAAAAAATAAAATTAAATTAAACAACAACAACAACAAAAAAAAAAAAACAGAAGAAGGTGGTGAAGATAGTGATGGTGAAGAAGCCTGTGTTCCATCTCGTTCTGGCTGAGTTGGGGGTAGGGAATGGAAGCACAGAGAGGAGCAGAGGGCAGCTGAAGGGAGTTCAGAGTAGCCACACTTGGGGTCAGGAGACTGGAGACCACACATGCAGGCCTTCCTGCCTTCTCTTGCCACTACCCCAGGGCTTGGCCAAGACTAAGGTGAACACTTGCTGGGTGAATGGGAGAGAGTAATTCCGAGGCAGGAAAGGACCTCAGGAGCACCGGAGTGAGTTGGGAAATGATGTGGACCCTGAGCCAGGCCTACTTCCTCTTCAGTTCCCACCTCCTCATCCTCCTAGGTAGCAGCAATTCCCTCAGCCTGTTTTACCCTCTTTTTTTTTTTTTTTTTCCTTCAGACAGTCTCGCTCTGTCGCCCAGGCTGGAGTGCAATGGCACAATCTTGGCTCACTGCAACCTCCACCTCCTGGGTTCAAGCGATTCTCCTGTCTCAGCCTCCCCAGTAGCTGGGATTACAGGCAGGTGCCACCACACCCAGCTAATTTTTGTATTTTTAGTAGAGATGGGTTTTCACCACGTTGGCCAGACTGGTTTTGAACTCCTGACCTCAGGTGATCTGCCTGCCTTGGCCTCCCAAAGTGCTGGGATTACAAGCGTGAGCCACGGTGCTCGGCCTGTTTTACCCTCTTTTGATCCTCCTCCTTCTCACCCCCTGTGACAGCCTCCCTGGGGATGCTCTTGCATCTACTCTCCTGGGCCCCTCTGGGAGGTCTTTCTTGATCTGGCAAAGGTGGACATAAGTCTAACCCTCCCCTGCCCATCCCTGGATTTCTCGCCTGCAAAAGTGAGGTAAACCAGCTATGGTAGGAAAATGGCTATAAGGAGATTTAGTTTCTCTATTTCTAAATGGCTAGGTTAAAAACAAACACAAGAGGCTGGGCGAGGTGGCTCATGCCTGTAATCCCAGCTAAACCCCTATTAAAAATAAAAAATTAGCTGGGCATGGTGGCACGTGCCTATTATCCCAGCTACTCCGGAGGCTGAGGCAGGAGAATCACTTGTACCTGGGGCGTCAGCGCAAGACTCTGTCTCAAACAAACAAACAAACAAAGCACAAGAAACTACATAGATAACGTTCATCCTCTGCTTAAAGTCTTCCTGTGGCATCAAGTCCACTTTTTTTTTGAGACAGTCTCACTCTGTCACCTAGGCTGGAGTGCAGTGGCTTGATTACGGCTCACCTCCATCTGCACCTCGGGAGGTGCAGCCTCCACCTCCCGAGCTCAAACAATCCTCCCACCTCAGCTTCCCAAGCAGCTGGGACCACAGGCATGCACCAGCACACCTGGCTAATTTTTGTATTTTTTGTACAGATGGGGTTTTGCTATGTTTCCTAGGCTAGTCTCAAACTCCTGGGCTCAAGGGATCTCCCACCTTGGCCTCCCAAAGTGCTGGGATTACAGGCCTAAACCACTTTGCCTGGCTTTTTTTTTTTTTTCAATTGAGTCAGGGTCTCACTCTGCCATCCAGGCTTGAGTGCAGTGGTACGATCATGGCTCACCGAAGCCTCAACCTCCTGGGTTCAATCAATCTGCCTATCTCAGCCTTCTGAGTAGCTGGGACTAAAGGCATGAGCCACCATGACTGGCTAATTTTTTTATCTATTTTTTGTAGAGACAGGGGTCTCCCTATGTTGCCCAGACTGATCTTGAACTCCTGGGCTCAAGCAATCTGCCCACCTCAGCCACCAAAAGTGCTGGGATTACAGGCGTGAGCCACCGAGCCCAGCCATCAAGTCCATTTTGAATAAAATCCAACTTCTTATCCTGGTTCCTAGAGCCATACATGACTTATGCTTGCCCCCTGGCTGACCTCATCTCCTGCAGTTCTCCTCTCTCCAGCTATATTGAACTTTTTAAAATTCCTCCAATAATGGCTTTAAAACTTTTCTATTCACAAGTCACAGTCAGAAATACATGTTATATCACAGTCCAAAACATACACTCATGCTATATTTAGAGATATAGATATATCAATATATATCACACTATATATATCTCTGCATGCATATATGTATATGTCTCCTAAAGTTTCCTCAAACATTAACCTTTACAATGCATTCTGATATTTTCTTTTCTACTTCTTTTTCTTTTTCTTTTTTTTTTTTTTTAAGATGGAGTCTCATTCTGTCACCAGGCTGGAGTGCAGTGGCTCACTGCAACCTCCGCCTCCCGGGTTCAAGTGATTCTCCTGCCTCAGCCTCCCAAGTAGCTGGGACTATAGGAGTGCACCACCACGCCCAGCTAAATTTTTTATTTTTAGTAGAGACGGGGTTTCACCATGTTGGCTAGGATGGTCTCGATCTCCTGACCTTGTGATCTGCCCGCCTCGGCCTCCCAAAGTGCTGGGATTACAGGTGTGAGCCACTGTGCCTGGCTACTTCATTTTTTGAATGCTTGTCAGGACTCACTACATTGATTTCACTATCCACTGTGCTCACACACCAAACTTATACTCAGGGCCTTTTCACTGGCTGTTCCCTCTACCAACAATGCCCTTCCCCCTGACTGCCCGCATTGGCACCTTTTCATCCTTTACATCTCAGGTTAAGTGTCTCCTGTCCAGAGAAGTCAGCTAGCCTGAAGTAGCCACCTGATCCTTCTCTTTCATGTTCTCAGTATGGCCTTTATCACTCTGATATTTTTCTAGTTTATGGTTTTTGTTGACCTATTTTTTTGTTGATCGTCTTTCTCCCTCACTATGATAAGGTGGACTCTGTAGGTGCAGTGACCTTCTCACTTTGGTATCATACCTAGAACAGTGCCTGGGAACAGCAGGTACTCGGTATTATTAGTAGACTGTGGGAATGGGCCTAGTCAAGACTCTTGCTCTCTTTGGGCCTCGGCATTCTCCTCTATACAGTGTGAGGTCGGAGCCACTCCCCAAGACCCCTCCAGCTCTATCAACCCAGTTTTCCAAGAAGCACCAGAGGATGTGCTCCAGAAACCCAGCGTTGGGCCAGTGGGTGGGACAGAGATGGCCAAGCAATCAACTGAAGCCAGATACTGAGATGGGGCCTTGCTTCCAGGCTGCTGAAGGCCAAGGATATAAACCCAGGCACAAAACAAAGAATGGAAAGGCAGAACTGGGGCCAGCCAGACATCAGGAAGACAACCGTGTTGATGTACTTCCCGTGTGCTAAATGCTCTGCCTGCATCGTGTCATTCAATGCTTGGTCCTCTGAGGGTGGAAGAGGTGGTACCAAACATCATGATGCATTCTGGCTCCGGAGTCAGCCAGATCAGATTCAAAACCTGACTACAACACTTGCAGAGGCAGCACAGGTGGAGAATGCAGGCTCAGGCCACAATGCCTGGGTTTAAATCCTGGCCCTGCCAGTTACTACTTATATGTCTTTGTATGACTTTGAGTAAATCACTCAACCTCAGACTGTGCTTTTTTTTTTGAGACAGAGTCTCACCCTGTTGCCCAGGCTGGAGTGCAATGGTGCGATCTCGGCTGACTGCAACCTCCGTCTCCTGGGTTCAAGCTATTCTCCTGCCTTGGCCTCCCGAGTAGCTGAGATTACAGGCTCACGCCACCACACTCGGCTAATTTTTTGTATCTTTAGTAGAAATGGGGTTTCACCAAGTTGGCCAGGCTGGTCTCGAATTCCTGACCTCGTGATCCACCCACCTTGGCCTCCCAAAGTGCTGGGATTATAGGCGTGAGCCACCACGCCCGGCCCTCACTGTGCTTTCTTATGTCTTTTTTCTTTTTTTCTTTTCTTTTCTTTTCTTTTTGAGATGGAGTCTCACTCACTCTGTTGCCCAGGCTGGAGTGCAGTGGCACGATCTCAGCTCACTGCAACCTCCACCTTCCAGGTTCGAGCAATTCTTGTGTTTCAGGGTCCCAAGTAGCTGGGACTACAGGTGTGTGCTACCACGCCCGGTTAATTTTTGTATTTTTAGTAGAGATGGGGTTTTGCCATGTTGGCCAGACTAGCCTTGAACTCCTGACCTCAAGTGATCTGCCCACCTCAGCCACCCAGAGTGCTGGGATTACAGGCGTGAACCACAGCACCCAGCGTTAGCTTTCTTATGTCTTAATGGGGGTATATTCATTGCATTAACTCATGCTCTTTCCAGCACATCTCTGGAAAGCTTTCCTGGGGATTAGGAATGCTAAACAAACTTGGAATCTCCTATTGGCTTCCATCCTACCTGACCCTGTGGGCTGCTGGCCTCTGAATACAGTTTGCCGGTTGGAAGGCTCAAAGCTGAGGTCTGAGTCCAGGGTTCAGCACTTAACTAACCTGTGACCTTAGATAAGCCACAACCTCTGGGAGCCTCAGTTTTCTCACAAGCACTTAGGATTTTCTGTGCCAGGGTTCTATCCACAGCTGGAAAGTTCTGACAGCCAGCCTCAGTCTCCCCTACCTCAACACTTTCTCTTCCCTGAAAGAGAGAAAACAGAATTGCCACAGAGAGCCCTAAACTCTGTTATCATCAAGAATCTTGGCCAGGAGTGGTGGCTTGGCCAAGATTCTTAATTCCAACACTTTGGGAGGCAGAGGCGGGTGGATGGCTCGAGCCCAGGAGTTTGTGACCAGCCTGGACAACATAGGGAGACCTTGTCTCTACAAAAAATAAAATAATTAGCCGGGCATGGTGGTGAGCACCTGTGGTCCCAGTTACTCAGGAGGCTGAGGCAGGGGGATCGCTTGAGCCCAGGAGGTTGAGGGTGCAGTGAGCTGTGATGGCACCATTGTACTCCAGCCTGGGTGACAGAGTGAGACCCTGTCTTGAAAAAAAATCTGCTGGGCTTGGTGGCTCATGCTTGTAATCTCAGCACTTTGGGAGGCTGAGGTGAGTGGATCACCTGAGGGTAGGAGTTGAAAACCAGCCTGGCCAACATGGTGAAACCCCGTCTCTACTCTCTACTAAAAATACAAAAATTAGCCAGACGTGGTGGCAGGTGCCTGTAATCCCAGCTACTTGGGAGGCTGAGACAGGAGAATCACTTGAACTGGGGAGGTGGAGGTTGCAGAGAGCCAAGATTGCGCCATTGCACCCCAGCCTGGGAGACAAGAGTGAAACTCCATCTCCAAAAAAATAAAAAATATTTTTTCCTCTTCCAGCTTTCTCCAGGTGGAATAATTAAAATCCTTTTTTTTTTTCTTTCTTTCTTTTTTTTTTTTTGAGACGGAGTTTCACTCTTGTTGCCCAGGCTGAAGTGCAGCGGTACAATCTCGGCTCAGGTTCAAGTGATTCTCCTCCCTCAGCCTCCCAAGTAGCTGGAATTACAGGTGTTCGCCACCATGCCCAGCTAATTTTTGTATTTTTAGTAGAGATGGGGTTTCACCATGTTGTCCAGGCTGGTCTTGAACTCCTGACTTCAGGTGATCCTCCCGCCTCGGCCTCCCAAAGTGCTGGGATTACAGGTGTGAGCCACTGCGCCCAGGCAAAAAATCCCTCTCTTGCCCTCACAAATCTAATTCTCAGTCCTTTCCCACATCTCTCCTTTGCCACCTCCCTGTATCACCTGTGTCTTCTGACACTGACAACACCAAGTCCAACTTCAAACCCCTTTGGCTGGGGTTTGAACTGAATTGAGCAAGAGAGCTGAGAAATAACCCTGTGTCCCTTAGACCTCTCAGATCCAGGGAATCAATGGCTCCATTCCTGAGGTCTTTGGCACCTGGAAGGCTCTGTGCTAAGTGCTGTTGGGGCTCAGAAACCAATATCCCAAAAAACAGTGTTTTGTCACGCTCAACTGAAGAAGCCGCCAGGTCTCTCTGACCCTCTCCCCACCCACCGTCTCCCAAAGTGAGCTTCCTTTATCTGCCTAAGATCCAGACCCACCAAAAGGAACAACTGTTTTTTCTTCCCCTCTCTGTAAGAACAGGAACCTAAGTAACCACACCTGAACAGACCCTCTTGCAAGATAATGCACAGGATAGTTTCTGTTCCCCAGATGTATTCCTTCTCCCTAGAAATCTCCTCAACAGAATTCCTCTTCTCCTGCCTCCCATCCTCTGTTTTGCCAGGATGGGATACAAGCTCCTGAATCCCACCAGGGAGTGGGCAGTCACCGTGATTCTCCTCATGTACATGTGTTAAATACATTTGTATGCTTTTCCTCCAATTAATCTGCCTTTTGTGATTTGAGTTTTCAGCGAACCCTTAGAGGAAGAAGGGAAAAGTTTCTCGTGGCCCCTACAGTGCCCTCCTTGCATGATCTCATATAAACCTTTCTGCAACTCTACTAAATATAATACTATTGTATTAATGATGAAACCTAAACATAATTGGTGGGGTACAGGGTTCTAGGTTCATCTGACTCTGTTAGGGAAACAGCATAGGAGAACCAGGGTGACACCATTTTAAAATCAACTCCATATTAAAACTAGCCAGGCATGGACCGGTCGCGGTGGCTCACGCCTGTAATCCCAGCACCTTAGGAAGTCCAGTGGGGCAGATCACATGAGGTCAGAGGTTAGAGACCAACCTGGCCAACACGGTGAAACCTCGTCTCTACAAAAATACAAATATGAGCAGGGCGTGGTGGCAGGCACCTGTAATCCCAGCTACTTGGGAAGCTGAGGCAGGAGAATCAGTTGAACCCAGGAAGTGGAGGCTGCAGTGTGCTGAAATCATGCCACTTACTGCACTCCAGCCTGGGTGACAGAACGAGACCCTGTCTCAATAAATAAATAAATAAAAATAAAACTAGCAAGGCACATTCCTTGCCAGTCACAACCCATGGTCATAAGATGTTTATGGCTAAGGAAGCAGCTTAATAATGCCTGCAAGGACAAACTCTATCACAACAGAATGTCTAGATACGCTGAGACTGGATAACAATTATGCTTGTAAGATAGTCATGGTTATGCTTTTATGTACTTATGCCCTAAAAAAGTAACAATAATAAGGATAGTTTTCTTTAAATCAACAGAATAACACAATTTGCCATGCTATCAGCCCACCCATATGTAGACATAGCTTAGTTTTTACATAGATAAGGCCCATATATAAGAAGAGCTGGCTGGGCATGATGCCTCATGCCTGTAATCCCAGCACTTTGGGAGGCTGAGGCAGGCGGATCACTTGAGGTCAGGGATTCGAGACCAGCCTGGCCAACATGGTGAAACCCCATCTCTACTAAAAATACAAAAAGAATTAGCTGGGCGTGATGGTGCACACTTGTAATCCCAGCTACGTGGGAGGTTGAGGCAGGAGAATCACTTGAACCCGGGAGGCGGAGGTTGCAGTGAGCAGAGATCATGCCACTGCACTCAGCCTGGGTGACAAGAGTGAAACTCAGTCTCAAAAAAAAAAAAAAAAAAAAGAAGAGTCGGCACATTCCTCCTCTTATTGCTTTCTAAGGATGCCCTTACTCTGTAACTGAGTAGCTTTCAATCAACTATCTCTTCTCACTGCGCCCTATGGCTTGCCTTGAATTCCTTCCTGCACGAGATCCAAGAATCCTTTCTTGGGGTTTGGATGAGGACCCGTTTTTCTGGCAACAACTTCACAGCTCGTTTGAATCAGGGTGCTACTGCAGTGGGACAAGCCAGAACCGCAGGGATAGACTTGCCTTTTCTGAAACAAGGGGAAAATGTCACAGTGGGAAAGGAGGAGGGATTTCTAGAAGGGAAACAAGATGAAAAGGATAAGGAACCCAGAGACTCAGAATTGTGTCACAATCTGCATATATCAGTCCAGCCTGGGTGGGAATATACTCAGTACTGAGGGGACAGGAGAGACAGAGAGATGGGAGGAGGGTGGGATAAGTCTGGGAATTCTCAACAGAAGGTAAGGATGTGTGCTGGGGGGTGGGAGTCTGGGAACAGGAGACAGGGTTGAAGAAAGGTCAGGGGAAGAAGTGGCCCCACCCCCATGCCTGCGGAGAACCGAAAGATCAGGAAGGTGCTAGCGTGTGAAATGTGTTTATTTTTTCCAAAGGCTAAAAATACAGTGAAAAGGAAACACACACACAAACTAACCTAACCAGAAATGGGGAAAAGTGGTCACGGCGACGGCTGAGAAATCTGAGACAAGAATTTCAGGAACTGGGATAACTCAGTGACCTGAGCTCGGAAATTCCACCCCATGACGAGTCTCTGGAGAGCGACTGCTTCCCATCAGCGTCTGGAGCACTTTCCAGCAGCCTGAGGTGGAGCAGAGAGGGAATAAGAGAAGGAGCCAGGAGGAGGTGAATGCCCCCTATTGAGAGGGCAGACCTGTTACCTTCAGGGAAGGTGGGTATAGGATGGATAAGGCGAGGACCCTCTATTTAGCCCACTCTCAGAGTAATCATAACTGTCTTAACAACCTCTTACTAAGATGCCAACAGTCTTGTGAAGTAGTATCATCCCCACTTTATAGATGAAGACACAGAGACACAGAGAGGTTAAACAATTTGACTGAGGTCTCACAGCCAGCAAATGGCAGTGCTAGGAACCTTTCTGAGATCACAGAGCCCTTTCCTGGGGATCTAATGAAAGCTATGTACCCAGTACCTAGGAAAAAGCCTTATAATGAATTTATACATATTACATTCAATTTCAGGGAGTTCAAAGAGCCCTGAAGCCCATTCCACGGCAAAGAAATTGGACAGTATGCCAGTGTTGAATGATCTCCCACCCTTATCCCTGACCCCACAGTCCAGTAAACAAAGCGACAGTGCATATAGGGGAGGGGTGGCTTACAGCAATTGCACACCATCCCTTCCTTGAAACCTCTACTGGCCTGGGACCTGGGTTTTGCCCTAGCTGATCTGAGAGGCCTCCCCAGCCTGCTCTGGCATGAGGTGGTGATCGGGGTGGCAGCTGGGAGGGGGTAGGCTGGGAAAGCCATAACAGACTTTGTGGGGAAGCCGGAATTATGCTATACTGGAGGACAACACTTCTTCCTCACCCCCTCAGGGTATCCTTTTTCGGGTTGAGATTTGGAACTGCCCAGCCTGGAAAATGAAGGCCTCCTCCCTTAATTAAATGCCCAGGGGTTGCTATGGTAACCAGAGCTTCCAAATCCTGGCCAGACAATAGGGAGAGGAGCTGTCTCCAGCCTAGACGAGTGAAGCTTCAGGGGCCTTGCTGGGGACAGGAATGGGGCCAGAGGGTGAGAAAAAAGGGGGTGCCAAATGAGAAGATCAGCCTCCTCTCTCCCTGGAGCTGTGGGAATGGGCCTGTCAGAGCCAAGGGGTCTGAGACAGGGGCAACCCTCCTGGAAAGGGGAGGCGATGGGGGCGGGTAGCTGGAGCCAGGCACTGCCCAGAACCAAACACCTCCTTTGTTCCCAGAGGAGAAAGCCAGCCAAGTTGGTAAACAAAGGGAAGAGGCCAGAGGGCAGACAGCTAAGTGATAAGGCCTGGGACCGCAGAGAGCTGAGTAATGGAGCCCCAGAGACGAGGGGAATCTCCATGGTCCCACTAACAAGCAGGACACGCGGCAGGCCTGCATACCTTGCCACACTGACACACACAGTCACAGTGATCACACAGGACACACAGGTGTTCCTACAGAAACACTGATCTTTGAGGACACTTGGATCCCCTGCTCCTTTGTCCCCGGCCTCTCCTCCGGAGCCCATTAGTCTCCCTCCTTTGGAATGTTTATGGAAGGCAGAGGGCAGTCCTCACTTTCATGAGCGTGGGCTCCCACAGGTGGGAGAGCTGCACGCAGGTTCAGGGACGTCAGGTCATGGATCCTGTTACTTCACTTTGAGAGGAGAGACCCTCGTTTGGAAAACATCACAACACAGATCATTCACTTACGTGCCAGGTACTGTGCTGAATGCAATACAGTCTCTAGCTTAATGCCCCCTACAACTCTGTGAGGTAAAAAATGACTGTCCTCTTTTACTAGAGAGAGGAATCTGAGGGGAACTTAGGTAAATCAGGCACGCACTCACAGCCGGTAAGTGGAAGAGCTGGGATTAAACCCAGGTTTGTCTGAATCTTCCCATTTTTCCTACATTTGCTTCAAAAACTTCTTGGAAACTTTTCTGAGCGAGCCCACTCTGTTCTCTCCCTTCCCTCTCCCACTCGGTGTTACCTAAATACTTCTCTAGAAGCAGTTCCCAATTTGCAAGCTGGTTATTTAAAGGGTTTATATATAACTTGGTTGTTTGGAACCCAAACACATTTTTCCCAGAGACAAAATGTTAAATGGGCCGGGCGCGGTGGCTCACGCCTGTAATCCCAGCACTTTGGGAGGTCAAGGTGGACGGATCACGAGGTCAGGAGTTCGAGACCAGCCTGGCCAACATGGTGAAACCCCGTCTGTACTAAAAACACAAAAAAGTAGTCTGGAGTGGTGGCACGCACCTGTAATATCAGTTACTCGGGAGACTGAGGCAAGAGAATCGCTTTAACTTAGGAGGCGGAGGTTGCAGTGAGCAGAGATGGCACCATTGCATTACAGCCTGGGCGAGAGAGCAAGACTCCATCTAAAAAAAGTTAAATGGGTCCAGAAAGGCCACTTGACCCAGAATTAGCTGACAATGCTACATCTAGTTCAGGATTAGCCTGGGGACCCAACCATCAGTAATAATAGTGTTTTCTGGGAAATATATCTGGTTACAAAGTGAGAAAGAAACAGCATTCTTTTCTCACTTTCTCCGCCCTCATCCTGCCACATCTGTATTGCATTTACTGGAGTGCCTGGGGGAATGAGAATGGATGGCAAATCTGGTGCTGACCAAAGGGAGTTTCTTGAGAAGGGTAGAGAAGAAGGGTAGAGGCCGGGCGTGGTGGTTCACGCCTGTAATCCCAGTACTTTGGGAGGCCAAGGCAGGCGGATCACCTGAGGTCAGGAGTTTGAGACCAGCCTGACCAACATGGTTAAACCCCGTCTCTACTAAAAATACAAAAATTATCCAGGCTTGGTGGCGGGCACCTGTAGTCGCAGCTACTCGAGAGGCTGAGATAGGAGAATTGCTTGAACCCGACAGGCGGAGGTTGCAGTGAGCCGAGATCATGCCACTGCACTCCAGCCTGGGTGACAGAGCGAGATTCCATCTCAAAAAGAAAAAGAAAAAGAAAAAGAAAATAAAAAAGAAAGAGAAGAAAGGTTGAGAAGGGAGTTTCTTGAGAAGGGCAGAGAAGGGAGTACCTTGAGAAGGGAAGGAAAGGGTTGAGAATCCAAGCCTTCCTAAGCTGGAAGAACTGTTGAGATGGCACAGTGAAAGCTGAGGGCAGAGGGAGAGGCCAGCAGGACAGCTGTCTGTGCCTGTTTCAAGGACACAGGTCCAGAGGGCCAGTCTAGGAATGAGGGGTGACAGGTGGTCAGAGTTTTCTTCAATAAGAAGAACTTTCTAACTATTAAATCTCTCCAAAAGCAAATGGGCCTCTTGGTGAAGTAGTGAGTTCTCTGCTGCTGGGAATATTCAAGGAGAAGGTAAATAGCCTATTGAACATATGGTGAAAGGAAAGAAGCATTGGACAAATAGACTTCTAAGATTTCTCTAAATTTATAAACCCATTTAGCAAAATGTTATATAGTATCTACATGTGCCCAGCACTATGCCAGAAACAAAGTTTATAGCAGGGGTTCTTGCCCTCATAGAGCTTATAGTCTAATGGGAGAGTCAAGCATTGAATAAACACAACTGATATATTTTTATTTTTATGTACTTATTTTTTAGTGACAGGGGTCTTGGCTATGTTCCCCAGTCTAGTTTCAAACTTCTGGCCTCAAGCAATCCTCCTGTCTTGGCCTCCCAAAGTGCTGGGATTATAGGCATGAGCCACCACACCTAGCCCACAACTGAATATATAATTTCAAATTGTGATACAGATTACAATGGAAAATAATAGGGTACTACTATGTGAGACTAAGAGAAGGGATCTAATCCAGAGGGATTGTTTGAGGAACTGACCGTGAGGCCGAGATCTGGAGGATGAGTGGGGTCAGCCTGGAAAAGGGCAGGTATATGTGTATGCATATAGGGAAGGGTTCAGGGTAGAAGCAACGTCAAGGAAGAAGGCCCTAGGGCAGAAAAGAACAGTGTGACTGGAAAATTGTGAGTGAGGGGAGAGCAGCGAGAGATGACATTGACAAGAGAGGCAGGGCTAGATCTCATAGGTGACGGTAGGAGCTTCCATGCTGCCTAATACCCTGAGCTTTTTTCTCTCTCTTTTTAATATTTAGAAATGTAGGGGGAGGGTCTCACTGTGTTGCCCAGGCTGGAATGCAGTGGCTATTCATGAGTGCAATCATAGCACATTGCAGCCTTAAACTCCTGGCTTCAAGTGATCCTCCTGCCTCAGCCCCTGAGTAGCTGGAACTACAGGCATGCGTCACCATGCCCAACTTGACCTTATCTCTTTTTTTTTTTTTTTTTTTTTTTTGAGATGGAGTTTCACTCTTGTTGCCCAGGCTGGAGTGCAATGGCGCAATCTTGGCTCACTGCAACCTCCGCCTCCCGGGTTCAAGAGATTCTTCTGCCTCAGCCTCCTTCCTGAGTAGCTGGGATTATAGGCATGCACCACCATGCCCAGCTAATTTTTTGTATTTAGTAGAGATGGGGTTTCACCATGTTGGCCAGGCTGGTCTCCAACTCCTGACCTCAGGTAATCCACCTGCCTCGGCCTCCCAAAGTGCTGGGATTACAGGCATGAGTCACCGCCCCCAGCCTGACCTTATCTCTTAACTAGCTGTCCCTCTCCAGTCCTAGACCTCTAGGCCTTGGTCTCCACCAGCTCCCTGCAGTTGCAAGGCCTCACCATTTCCCTGTGGCTCCTCCCACTTCCCCAGGACCTCTTCATAGTAGTAGGTGCTCCTTGTACTTTATGAGTGTCCCCAGGAGGTGGAGTGGTAGAATTCTCATGTCTTGTGTGGGACATTCAGGTTCAATTCATTGCCTTTGCAAAGGCCCTCCCTCTCAAGAAGTAGCATAGTTTGGTGGTGAAAGCACAAACTCTGGAGCCAGACTGCCTGGGTTCAGACAGTGGCTTTGTCACTTACTTGCTGTTCGACCTTGCCAAGTTACTGAACTGCTTCATGCCTCATATGTAGAATGAGGATGACCATGCTTATCTCCTAGGAGTGTTATAAGGTAATATTTGCTAAGTGTTTAGGACAGAGCCTGGCATATAAGTACTAGAACAGTCCCCCCTTATCTTCAGGGGATACATTCAAAGACCCCAGTGGATGCCTGAAACTGCAGATAGTACCGAATTATATATGGACCATGTATTTTTTTTCTATACATACATACCTATGATAAAGTTTAATCTTTTTTTTTTTTTTGAGATGGAGTCTCACTCTGTTGCCCAGGCTGGAGTGCAGTGGCGTGATCTCGGCTCACTGCAGCCTCTACCTCCCGGGTTCAAGTGATTCTCCTGCCTCAGCCTCCCGAGTAGCTGGGACTACAGGCGTGTGCCACCACGCCTGGCTAATTTTTTGTATTTTTAGTGGAGATGGGGTTTCAACATGTTGGCCAGGATGGTCTCGATCTGACCTCATGATCCGCCCACCTCGGCCTCCCAAACTGCTGGGATTACAGGCATGAGCCACCATGTCTGGCTTAGAGTTTAGTTTTTAAATTAGGCACAGTAAGAGATTACCAGCAATAACTAATAATAAACTAGAACAATTATAATGATATGCCAGTATCACTACTCTTGTGCTTTGGAGCCATTATAAAGTAAAATAAGGGTTTTTGTTTTGTTTTGTTTTTGAGACAGTCTTGCTCTTTCGCCGAGGCTGGAGTGCACTGGCGCGATCTCAGCTCACGGCAACCTCCACCTCCCGGGTTCAAGTGATTCTTGTGCCTCAGTCCCCCGAGTAGCTGGGATTACAGGTGTGTGCCACCATGCCTGGCCAAAATAAAGGTTACTTGAACACAAGCACTGTGATACCAAGGCAGTGGATCTGATAACTGAGATGGCTACTAAGTGATAATGGGTGGGTAGCATCTAAAGTGTGGCTACACTGGACAAAGAGATGATTCACATTCCAGGCAGCATAGAGTGGGATGGTGTGAGATTTCATCACGCTACTCAGAATGGTGGCAATTTAAAACTTATGAATTGTTTATTTCTGGAATTTTCCATTTAATGTTTTCTTTTTTTCTTTTTTCTTTTTTGAGACAGAGTTTCACTCTTGTTGCCCATGCTGGCTGGAGTGCAATGGTGTGATCTCGCTCACCGAAACCTCCGCCTCCCAGGTTCAAGCAATTCTCCTGCCTCAGCCTCCCGAGTAGCTGGGATTACAGGCATGCGCCACCATGCCCGGCTAATTTTGTATTTTTAGTAGAGACGGGGTTTCTCTATGTTGGTCAGGCTGGTCTCAAACTCCCAACCTCAGGTGATCCGCCCACCTCAGCCTCCCAAAGTGCTGCGATTACAGGCATGCGCCATGGCGCCCAGCCTTATTTAATGTTTTCAAACCATGATTGACCACAGAAGGCGAGACTACATACATAGACATATACAGTAGCCCCTTTTTATCCATGTAACTGAAACCATGGAAAACAAGACCACGGATAAGAAGGGGCTACTGTATATGAGTGTTTTTTTTTTTTTCTTTTTTTTGGAGGCAGGGTCTCACTATTTGCCCAGGCTGGTCTCAAACTCCTGGGCTCAAGTGATCGTCCTGCCTCGGCCTCCCAAAGTGCTGGGATTACAGGCATGAGCCACTGGGCCCGACTCAGAGTGTTTCTGAAACAAAATCACCAGCAATAAATCACTACAACATCTCCTGTTTTCCTAGCTCATCCCATGCTCTCCCAGTCCCATCCCTAGGTCCACAGCAGGGAGCAAGAGGCCCAGCTTGCTGTTATCTCTACTCACCACTTTTTTGTCCAAGGCTTCCTCCGGTCACAACTCCGGTACTTAAAAAAACAGCCAGGTGTGGTGTCATGCACCCATAGTCCCAGCTACTCAAGAGGCTGAGTGGAGAGGATCGTTTGAGCCCAGGAGTTTGAGTTTAGCCTGGGCAACATAAAAAAGGGAATAGGTAGACCTGAGCTCATCCCCACCCAGCCCTCCTCACCCCCAGAATAAAAGATGTTCCTAATGGTAGGTTGCAGTCAGATCAAGGTATATTGGTGACTCCCCTTCCTTCTCTCTCCCTCCTCCTCTCCCCTCACCTCTTCCTTCCAGCTGTTTTCAGGTTCTGAGAGTATTCTGAATACACTAAATATATCACTGATCCACCTGCACCTGGAGCCCCGCTTTCTGGGCCTTGGTCCTGATCCCCATGGCTGAATTCAGTGCTCATCCACCTACTCCCATACCACCAAATGCTCATTCCCAATGTGGAACTTAACACTTCTGCATCATAACCACCGGCTTTCTTGTTGGTGTCCTTGAGGGGAGCAGCTGTCTGCCTATTCTCTGTTGCATCCCAGGGCCTACATATGGCACTTACCACTCTAGCCTCATTTCTCACCAGTCCTGCTCCTGGCATCTCTGAGCCAGCCACGAGGGCCTGCTGTCAGCTTCTCAGGTCTGCTGAGAGGGAATCTCAGGGCCTTTCCAGGTGCTTCCCTCCTGCCCAAAGTGCTCCTCCTCAGGTCCTCGCCTGGCCAGCTCCTACTTCTTCTTCAGGTCTCTCAGCTTACCTGTCACTCCAGGAAGCCTTCCATGAAGCCCCTGTGTCTAGATAAGTGGCCCTCCTTTGGGGTCTTCCAGCACAGGCATTGGCACTGTATTTTAAGCATCTCTTTGTGCCTCCCACTTGCCTGCAGAACTCAGGCAGGGCAGGGACCATGCTTATCTAATTTGCTGTTGCATCCTTAGTGCCTAGCCCAGAGCCCAGCTCAAAATAGACCAGGGTTTATGCCCTGGGGCCCGTGGATGAGCTGCCAGGGGTTCCTGATGCTCCCAAAATCACATGAAAATGTTTGTAGGCTTATAGTGCATTCTTTTTGGGAGATAATCTGTATTTTTTTATATCATACTCTCAAAGGATATGTGACACCCCTGCCCCCTAAAAAAGGTTAAGAATCAGTGTGTGTAAGCTTTCTGTAAATACTCGTTTTTGATTGGATGCATCCATCGTGACAATAATAGGTGATACTCAATAAACATTATTGAATGAATGAATGAGCCTCCTCTTCACAATTACAGTGTTTTAAATGTTTTCAATGGATTGAGAAAAACCTCAGAAGAAACCTTTGCCAGAAAAAGTTAAAGTGCCCGTTGCTTCAGCCCCTGACTCTGTGGTCCTAAATACGCGGCTCCTCAGTGGGGCCCACAGCTTAAGACCAACGCTTCACAGGCTCACAGCCCCTGTCAGAACCCATCTCCTGCCCTGAAATCCACCTACTGCGCCTTTGCAGCCTGTCAGCTGAAAATAATCCCAGTGAAAGCAGGGGCGAGGTGGAAGCAGAGGAAGCAGGCCCACACACGCCTTTAATGCGGGGGATTCTGCCCCCTGCTGGCTGCCCGGCTCCCCTTCAGCGCCCGGCCGAGAGCCCGGTGGCTGCGACTGAGGTCAGAGCCGGGAGAGGAGAGGGAGGGAGCGAGGCGGAGGCGCCTCGGGAGGGGGCCATCGCCCACCGGGCAGTCTTCCCACCGACGATTAGGCTTTGTCTTCAAAACAAGTTAGAGGTGGTGGCTTCTGCTTTGGAGCCCCCTCGCTTCTTTTCCCGGCTCTCCCGTCTTCGACTTCCAAATTAGGAGCTTAGGGAGGGCAGGGGGCGTGGTGGGGGTGGAGGTCCTTCTGGAGCTCAAGGGAGGTCCAGTCATCCAGACTTGGCTTTCTCATCGATCCCTTTTCCCAGAGCCTGGTTACTGCCGGCACCTTTGGATCCTCGGCCAATTCTCTGCTTCGCCTACACTTGGCGTGCGGTGTACCAGCCTCCCCGCGTCACCATGGAAACAGGAGCCTCTGCATCCATCCCAGAGCTGATCTGTGAAGCTATGAGAAGAATCTGGAGGTGTGTGTGTGTGTGTTTGGGCGGGGCGGGTAGAGAGATAAAGGAAGGGCAAAAGGGGAAAGGTTCAGAGAAAATATGGAGAGAGAAAGAAATCTGGGCGAAGGGGCGGGATTGCTTTATAAGGGTTATTGAATAACTGGTACCCTGTGGAGACGGTCAGCTTCCCTGACAGACCATAAATGCTGTCCTCTCATAGTCAGTCTGAACTGGCCGAACCTCCTTACGGACTGTC
Source organism: Homo sapiens (assembly GCF_000001405.40). Lineage (NCBI taxonomy): Eukaryota > Metazoa > Chordata > Mammalia > Primates > Hominidae > Homo > Homo sapiens. The sequence goes on from NC_000012.12 coordinate 48,891,598, forward strand.
AGTTAGTAGCCATGTAACCTTGAGTGAGTGACTTAGCCCCTCTAAGCATCACTTTGCTTATCTGTAAAATAAAAATAATAGCAGCACTCCACAGGGTTATTGTAAAAACCAAGGAGGGGGGATTCATATACAGCACTTAATACAGTGCTTAGCACATAGTGAGTGCTCAAAAATGTAGTTACGGTTGTACATGCTTATGTATCTTTAGTAATGATTTCTGTTATTTCTGTATTTTTCCTCTGCTGAATCAATCGCCAGCTCTTCAATAATAATACCTTAAAAATAATTTAGAATTTTTTTTCTCAGCTTACTGCAACCTCTGCCTCCTGAGTTCAAGTGATTCTCCTGCCTCAGCCTCCCGAGTAGCTGGGACTACAGGCACATGCCACCACACTCGACTAATTTTTTATTTTTAGTACAGACAGGGTTTCACCATGTTGGCCAGGCTGGTCTCAAACTCCTGACCTCAGGTAATCCACTCACCTCAGCCTCCCAAAGTGCTGGGATTATAGGTGTGAGCCACCGCACCCGGCATACTTTAGAATTTTTAAAATCATGTCATCCTTGCGCAGGGACCATGCTAATCTCTGTATCGTTCCAATTTTAGAATATGTGCTGCCCAAGTGAGCACTACTTTACAATTTTCTTTCTCCTTTCCTTCCTTCCTTCCTTTCTTCCTTCCTTCCTTCCTTCCTCTCTCTTTCTCTTTCTCCTTCTCTTTCTCTCTCTGTCTCCTTTTTTTTTTGAGACAGTCTCGCTCTGTCACCCAGGCTGGAGTGCTGTGGTACAATCTCAGCTCACTGCAACCACCTCTGCCTCCCAGGTTTAAGCGATTCTCCTGCCTCAGCCTGCCAAGTAACTGGGATTACCGGTGTGTGCCACCACCCCCAGCTAATTTTCACATTTTTAGTAGAGACAGGGTTTCACCATGCTGGCCAGGCTGGTCTTGAACTCCTGGCCCCAAGTGATCCACCCGCCTTGGCCTCCCAAAGTGCTGGGATTACAGGCATTAGCCACTGCACCTGGCCTCTTTTCTTTTCTTTTTCTTTCTTTCTTTTTTTTTTTTTTGAGACAAAGTCTCACTCTGTTGCCCAAGCTGGAGTGCAGTCAGTGGCATGATCTTGGCTCACTGCAACCTCCACCTCCAGGGTTCAAGTGATTCTCCTGCCTTAGCCTCCCGAGTAGCTGGGACAACAGGCACGTGCCACCATGCCCGGATAATTTTTGTATTTTTAGTAGAGATGGGGTTTTACTATGTTGGCCAGGCTGGTCTCAAACTCCTGACCTTGTGATCTTCCTGCCTCAGCCTCCCAAAGTGCTGGGATTACAGGCAGGAGCCACCGCACCTGGCCACTTTCTTTTTTTAAAGACAGGGTCTCACTCTTATCACCCAGGCTGGAGTGCAGTGGCGCTATCATGGTTCACTGCAGCCTCGACCTCCCAGGCTCAGGTGATTCTCCCACCTCAGCCTCCCAAGGGGCTGGGACTACAGAGGCACGCCCCTATGCCTGGCTAATTTTTTGTGCTTTTTGTAGAGACAGGGTTTCCTCCTGTGGCCTAGGCTTACAATTTTCAAGCGGCCAGGCGCGGCGGCTGATGCTTGTAATTCCAGCACTTTGGGAGGCTGAGGCAGGTGGATCACCTGAGGTCAAGAGTTTGAGACCAGCCTGGCCAACATGGTGAAACCCCATCTCTACTAAACAATACAAAAATTAGCCAGGCGTGGTGGTGCAGGCCTGTAATCCCATCTACTCGGGAGGCTGAGGCAAGAGAATCACTTGAATTGGGGAACCGGAGGTTGCAGTGAGCCGAGATTGTGCCACTGCACTCCAGCCTGGGTGACAGAGACTCTGTCTCAAAAAAACAAAAACAACAATTTTCAAGGTGCTTTTACACACATTTTCTCATTTGGCCCACTCCAATCCTGAAAAATACGAAGGGATTACTCACCCCACTTTGCAGATGAAGATAGAAATTCAGAATTTAACCTTGTTCAAAGGCTTGTCTCTGACCTGGTGCTAAATCTTAGGGTTCTATAGAGCCAGGATTCAGTGCCCCATCCACTTATATCCTTTCTGTGTCTCTGTTCCCAGCATGGTGCCACAAACAGCACCTCATCATTGTTTGGTGCCAGTCAGCACCTCATTGTTTGGTGGCATTGATTCTGTGGAGCAGACCTCTCAGGGAAGAGCTAATCCTGAAATGTGGGCACTTGGGTTTGACCATGAAGGAAGGAGAAAATGCTTAATTAAATACATATATATATATATACACATTTTTTTTTTTTTGAGATGGGGTCTCACTCTGTTACCCAGGCTGGAGTGCAGTGGCGCAATCTCGGCTCACTACAACCTCCGCCTCCCAGGTTCAAGCAATTCTCCTGCCTCAGCCTCCCGAGTAGCTGGGACTACAGGTGCCTGCCACCACTCTCAGCTAATTTTTTGTGTTTTTAGTAGAGACAGAGTTTCACCATGTTGGCCAGGCTGGTCTCAAACTCCTGACCTCAAGTGATCTGCCCACCTCAGCCTCCGAAAGTGCTGGGATTACAGGCGTGAACCACTGCGCCCGGCTGGGAATATTTTTAATGTATATATTAATATTTTAATATTAAGATATTTTAATTATAGATTTAATAGCCTTTGTGAAAGAGTGAGACTCCGTCTCAAAAAAAAAAAATTCCCACAGAAGGGGAATGACTGCTAATGGCTAAGGTTTCTTTATGTTCTAAATTTGAAAATGTTCTAAATGTTGTAAATTTGGTTGTGGTGATGGTTGCACAAGTGTGTGAATAACTAAAAATCATGAAATTGTACATTTTTTTCATGCCTCTGAGACAAGTTCAAGAATCGTACATTTTAAATGGGTGAATTGCTTGGTATGTGAATTATGTCTCAATACAGCTGTTATTTTTTAAATTCACACAAATCAAATCCCAGGCCCAGATGTGGCACCAGTGAATTCTACCAAACATTTAAGGAAGAAATAATGCCAACTGGACATAAATGCTTGCAAATAATAGAAATAAACAGCTGGGCCCAGCAGCTCATGCCTGTAATACCAGCTCTTTGGGAGGCCAAGGCAGGTGGATCACTTGAGCCCAGGAATTTGAGACCAGCCTGGTCAACATGGTGAAACCTCATCTCTACAAAAAAATACAAAAAACTAGGCGGGCAAGGTGGCATGCACCTGTAGTCCCAGCTACTTGGGAGGCTTGAGGTGGGAGGAGTGCCTGAGTAGGGGAGGTTGAGGCTGCAGTGAGCCGTGATTGTGCCATTGCACTCCAGCCTGGGTGACAGAGTGAGACTGTCTCAAAAAGAAAAACAAAAACAAAAAACAAAGAAGAAGAAGACAGAAAAGAAAAGAAAGGCTACTCCCTTCAATTCATTTTATTAGACAAACATAACCTTGATATTAAATCCCATAAAGACATTATAAGAAAGAGGGGTGGGCATAATGGCTCACACATGTAATCCCAGCACTTTAGGAGGCCTAGGTGGGAGGATTGCTTGAGACCAAGAGTTCCCAACCTGGGCAACATAGTGAGACCTCATCTCTACGAAAGATTTTTTTTTTCTAATTGGCCAATTAAAAAATATTTTTAGGTTCAAGTCTGTAGTCCTAGCTACTTGGGAGGCTGAAGCGGGAGGATCTCTTGAGCCCAGAAGTTAGATGTTAGTGAGCTGTGATCATGCCACTGCACTCCAGCCTGGATGATAGCAAGACCTTATCTCAAAACAATAAAATAAATAAATAAAAATTTCTGCAGAAACACATTCAGATAGGCAGATTCATTGGCTGGCTTCAATTTTATTCTTTTTTTTTTTTTTTTTTTTTTTTTTTTGAGACAGAGTCTCTGTCACCCAGGCTGGAGTGCAATGGCACCACGATCTCGGCTCATTGCAACCTCTGTCTCCAGGATTCAAGCGATTCTCCTGCCTCAGGCTCCCTAGTAGCTGGGATTACAGGTGCTCGCCACCACACCTGGCTAATTTTTGTATTTTTAGTAAAGACTGGGTTTCACCATGTTGGTCAGGCTGATCTCAAACTGACCTCAGGTGATCCGCCTGCCTCAACCTCCGAAAGTGCTGGGAATACAGGCGTGAGCCACTGCACCTGGCCAATTTTATTCTCATATGTCCGCAACAAACAGAACTTTGTAAAGATATCATTTACATTTGAATAAAAAATATCAAGTACCTTAGAATAATTCTAACAAAATATGTTTAAGATATCTTGCAGAAAAACTTTACCAGGCAACACCAGCCTGACCAACATGGAGAAACCTCTACTAAAAATACAAAATTAGCCGAGCGTGGTGGCACATGCCTGTAACCTCAGCTACTCGGGAGGCTGAGGCAGGAGAATCACTTGAACCCGGGAGGCAGAGGTTGCAGTGAGCCGAGATCATGCTATTGCACTCCAGTCTGGGCAACAAGAGTGAAACTCCATCTCATAAAAAAGAAAGAAAGAAAGAAAAGAAAGAAAAACTTTACCATGCTTGGCGGTGGCTCACGCCTGTAATCCCAGCACTTTGGGAGGCTGAGGCGGGCAGATCAGCTGAGGTCAGGAGTTCGAGACCAACCTGGCCAACATGGTGAAACCCCGTCTCTACTAAAAATACAAAAAATTACCTTGGCGTGGTGGCAGACACCTGTAATCTCAGCTACTTGGGAGGCTGAGGCAGGAGAATCGCCTGAACCCAGGAGGCGGAGGTTGCAGTGAGCTGAGATTGCGCCATTGCACTCCAGTCTGGGCGACAAGAGCAAGAGTCCGTCTCAAAAAAAAAAAAAAGAAAAAGAAAAAATTTATAACAGGCCGGGCGCAGTGGCTCATGCTTGTAATCCCAGAACTTTGGGAGGCCAAGGTGGCGGATCACTTGAGATCAGGGGTTCGAGACCAGCCTGGCCAACATGGTGAAACCCCATCTCTACTAAGAATACAAAAATTAGCTGAGCGTGGTAGTGCACGCCTGTAATCCCAGGTACTCAGGAGGCTGAGGCAGGAGAATCGCTTGAACCCAGGAGGTGGAGGTTGCAGTGACCCAATATCATGCCACTGTGCTCCAGCCCGGGCAACAGAGCAATACTCTGTCTCAAAAAAAAAAAAAAAAAAAAAGAAAAGAAAGAAAAAAGCCAGGCACAGTGGCTCATGCCTGTAATCCCAGCACTTTGGGAGGCTCAGGCGGGTGGATCACAAGGTCAGGAGTTCGAGACCAGCCTGACCAACATCGTGAAACCCCATCGCTACTAAAAATACAAAATTAGCTGGGCGTGGTGGTGCGTGCCTATAGTCCCAGCTACTCAGGAGGCTGAGGCAGAAGAATCTCTTGAACCCAGGAGGCGGAGGTTGCAGTGAGCCGAGATCACGCCATTGCATTCTAGCCTGAGCGACACAGCAAGCCTCTGTCTCAAAAAAAAAAAAAAAAGAAAAAAGAAAAAAAAGTAGGTCAATGGGATAGAATAAAAAATCCAAACACAAACCCACACATAGATGTACATTTGATTTATGACAAAAGGGACGACAGTGCAGAGCAGTGAGGAAGTATCTCCAAGGCATATATAAAATCACAATAACAAAAATCAACCCAGGTAAATTGTACATATAAATGTAAAAGGCAGAACAATAAAGCCTCTAGAAATAAGGTAGAAACCTATCTTCGTGAACTTAGGATAGAAAAAAGACATCTTTTTTTTGGAAAGACTTCTTAAACAGTATACAAAAACCAAATAGTAAGCCTAAAGAAAAAGACTGAACACTTGACTACATTTTAAAATAATTATTTTAAATTTGTGTGGGTACATAGTGGGTGTATATATTTATGGGGTACATGAGCTGTTCTGATACAGTCATGTAATTGACTACATTAAAAGTTTTAAATATTCTATTGGCCCAAACCAAACAAAACGTTATTAAAAAGGTGAAAAAAACGGTTGAATATTATGGTATGTGAATTAAATTTTTGAAAAAGAAAATAAAGTGAAAAGGTAAGCCACAGACTTGGAAAAGAAATTTGAAACACATATACTGATAAAAGACTTACACATCCAGAATACTGTATAAAATGAACTACTATAAATCAGTAAAAGACATACAATCTAACGTAAAAATTGGTAAGAAACTTGATTAGATACACCACAAAAGAGGATGTTCAAATGGCAAATAAACATGAGAACGAGCAAATCCGGATTTGTCTTCTCTATACGCAATGCTTCTGCCAAAACTACCATCCACGGATTTACAGGATGTTTCATTCACCTTCATGGTGTTCCACACAGCATTGCTTCTGATCCAGGAATTCATTTTACAGCAAATGAAGTGTGGCAATGGGCCCATGCTTATAAAATTCACTAGTCTTACCATGTTCCCCACCAACTTGAAGCTGGTTTGACAGAATGATGGAATGACTTTTTTTTTTTTTCTTGAGACGGAGTTTCACTCTTGTTGCCCATGCTGGAGTGCAATGGCATGATCTCGGCTCACTGCAACCTCTGCCTCCCGGGTTCAAATGATTCTCTTGCCTCAGCTTCTTGAGTAGCTGAGATTACAGGCATGCGCCGCCATGCCCAGCTAATTTGGTATTTTTAGTAGAGACGGGTTTTCTCCATGTTGGTCAGGCTGGTGTCGAACTCCTGACCTCAGGAGTTCCCTTCCCTTCCCTTCCTTTCTTTCTCTCTTTCTCTCTTTCTCTCTCCCTCTCCCTCTCTCTCTCTTTTTTTGACTGAGTCTTTCTCTGTTGCCCAGGCTGGAGTGAGGTGGCACAGTCTCGGCTCACTGCAACCTGCACCTCCCAGGTTCAAGTGATTCTCCTGCCTCAGCTTCCCAAGTAGCTGGGATTACAGGCACCCGCTACCACACCTGGCTAATTTTTTGTATTTTTAGTAGAGATGGGGTTTCACCATGTTGGCCAGGATGGTCTCGATCTCCTGACCTCATGATCTGCCCGCCTCAGGTGATCCGCCCACCTTGGCCTCCCAAAGTGCTGGGATTACAGGTGTGAGCCACCGTGCCTGGCCTGGAATGACCTTTTGAAAACACATTTATGTTATCAGCTAGGTCACAACACCTTGCAAGGCTGGAGCATGGATCTTGTCTTTTTTTTTTTTTGAGCATGGATCTTTAGAAGACTGTCTATGTTCTGAATCAGTGTTCAATACATAGGGCTGTTTCTTCCACAGCCAGGATTCATAGGTCCAGGAATTAAAGGATGGAAATGGGAATAGCACAATGCACAATTACCACTAGAGACCCCTGGCCACTTTGGGATCCTCAGGGCTCTGTGTCGGCAGGCGAAGAAAGAAGTTACTGTGCTGGCTGGGGTGATTGATCCTAACTAGCAATGAAAAATTGGAGGCCGGGCATGGTGGCTCATGCCTGTAATCCCAGCACTTTGGAAGGCCAAGGCAGGCAGATCACCTGAGGTCAGGAGTTCACGACCAGCCTGGCCAACATGGTGAAACCCCATCTCTACTAAATACAAAAATTAGCCAGCCATGGTGGCGCATGCCTGTAATCCCAGCTACTCAAGAGGCTGAGGCAGGAGAATCATTTGAACCTGGAAGCCAAAGGTTGCGGTGAGCCGAGATCATGCCATTGCACCTGTAATCCCAGCTACTCAGGAGGCTGAGGCAGGAAAACGGCTTGAACTGGGGAGGCGGAGGTTGCAGTGAGCCAAGATCGCACCACTGCACTCCAGCCTGGGCGACAGAGCAAGACTCCATCTCAAAAAAAAAAACAAACAACAACAACAATAAATAAATAAATAAAAATACAAAAATTAGCTAGGCATGGTGGCGCACACCTCTATTTCCAGCTACTCAGGAGGCTGAAGCAGGAGAATCGCTTGCACCCAGGAGACCAAGGTTGCAGTGAGCTGAGATTGCACCATTGCACTTCAGCCTGGGTGATAGAGTGAGACTCCGTCAAAAAAAAAAAAAAAAGAAAAAGAAAAATTGGAATATTACTTCACAATGGAGGTAAGTATGAGCATATCAAGGAGATTCCTTGATATACTAAGGAAGATTCCTTAGGTCATCTCAGTATTACTGTGACCTGTGATTAAGGTCAATGGAAAACTAGAACAAAACAATCCAGGACTACTAATGGCCCAGACCCTTCAGAAATGAAGCTTTGAGTCAGTCCATCAGGTAAAGAAACAGGTCAACACCTGTTAAGGTGCTTGCTGAAGGCAAAGGGAATAGGATAGTAGTAGAAAACGGTAGCTATTAATACCAGCTATGACCACGTGACCAGTTATGGACCCTAGGACTATGATTGCCATGAGTATTTCCTCATTTTGTTATTTATATGTTTATGTGTGTGTATATCAAGCAAATATCTTCATTTTCTTTTCTCTTTTATTCCCTCATAATGTAACATAAGATGTATTAACTTTATGTCATAGTTTTAAGTATTATTAATTTTGCATCATAATATCTGAGTTATGGGATATGAAGAAGAGTAAACATCACTCAAGGATTTTACCTCCTCTTCTGAGGAAGGGATTAGTGTTTTATTTTTCTTTTTGAGACCGGGTCTTGCTCTGTCACCCAGGCTGGGGTGCAGCATCAATGCAAAGCTTCGAAATGCAGGCTCAAGTGTTCCTCCCACCCCAGCCTCCTGAGTAGCTGGGACTACAGGTGTGTGCCACCATGCCCAGCTAATTTTTTTTTTTTTTTGAGACAGAGTCTTGCTCTGTCGCCAAACTGCAGTGCAGTGGCACAATCTCTGGCTCACTGCAACCTCCGCCTCCCGGGTTCCAGCAATTCTCCTGCCTTAGCCTCCAGAGTAGCTGGGACTACAGGCGTGTGCCACCACGCCCAGCTCATTTTTATATTTTTATGAGGGGTTTCACCATGTTTGCCAGGATGGTCTCGATCTCTTCACCTCGTGATCCGCCCGCCTCGGCCTCCCAAAGTGCTGGGATTATAGGCGTTAGTCACTGCGCCCGGCCTGTAATGGTTAATTTTATGTGTCAACCTCACTGAGCCACGGAGGGCCCAGACATTTGGTCAAACATTAATCTGGAGGTCAGGCACAGTAGCTTGTGCCTGTAATCCCAGCACTTTGGTTGGCTGAGGTAGGAGGATCGCTTGAAGCCAGGAATTTAAGACCGGCCAGGGCATCATAGCAAGACCCAGTCGCTACAAAAAAATTAAAATAAAAAAAAATAGTTGGCTGGGCACGGTGGCTCACGCCTGTAATCCCAGCACTTTGGGAGGCCAAGGTGGGTGGATCACCTGAGGTTAGGAGTTCCAGGAGTTCGAGACCAGCTGGCCAACATGGTGAAACCCCGTCTCTACTAAAAATACAAAAATTAGCTAGGCGTGGTGGTGGATGCCTGTAATCTCAGCTACTCCGGAGGCTGAGTCAGGAGAATTGCTGAAACCTGCGAGGCGGAGGTTGCAGTGAGCCAAGATCATGCCATTGCACTCCAGCCCAGGCTGACAACAGCAACAGCAAGACTATGACTAAAAAAAAAAAAAAACACTGAGTATGGTGGTGCACACCTGTAGTCCCAGCTACTCAGAAGGCTGAGGTGGGAGGATCCCTAAAGTCCAGGAGTTCGAGGTTGCACTGAGCTACAATTGCATCACTGTACTCCAGCCTGGGTGACAAAATGAGTTTTCTGTCTAAAGAAAAATAAACAAAAAAAAATTATTCTGGTTTTGTCTGTGAGGGTGTTTCCAGATGAGATTAATATTTGAATTGGATTGAGAATTAATTAGTGGTAGATTGAGTAAAGCAGATTGCCCTTGTAACATGGGTGAGCCTCATCCAATCATTGAAGACATGAATAAACCAAAAAGGCTGAGTAAAAGCAGCTCCTCCTGACTAACTGCCTAAGCTGAGGCAGTCTTTTCTGGCCTTCTGACTCAGACTGAAACTCAGACTCTTCTTGGACCTTGAGCTGGCTGGCTTTTAGTCTAGAACTACACATCGGTTCTCCTAAATCTCCAGGTTGCTAATTGCAGATCTTGGGACTTCTGAGCCTCCAATAATAACACCGATTGCTTATAATAAATAAATACACACATCCTATTGGTTCTGTTTTTCTGGAGAGTTCTGAGTAATGTATTATATTTCATATTTAAAACAACTTTATTGGGGCACATGTTGCATATCACATAATTCGCTTTTTTTTTTTTTTTTTAAATACGGAGTTTCGCTCTTGTTGCCCAGGCTGGAGTGCAATGGCACGATCTCAGCTCACCGCAACCTCCGCCTCCTGGGTCCAAGCGATTCTCCTGCCTCAGCCTCCTGAGTAGCTGGGATTACAGGCATGTGCCACCACGCCCAGCTAATTTTGTCTTTTTAGTAGCGATGGGGTTTCTCCATGTTGGTCAGGCTGGTCCCGAACTCCCGACCTTAGGTGATCCAACATGGTGAAACCCCATCTCTACTAAAAATACAAAAAATTAGCCGGGTGTGGTAGCGGGTGCCTGTAATCCCAGCTACTTGGGAAGCTGAGGCAGGAGAATCACTTGAACCTGGGAGGTGCAGGTTGCAGTGAGCCGAGACTGTGCCACCTCACTCCAGCCTGGGCAACAGAGAAAGACTCAGTCAAAAAAGGAGAGAGAGAGGGAGAGGGAGAGAGAAAGAGAGAAAGAAAGGAAGGGAAGGGAAGGGAGAAGAAAAGAAAGTAATCTACTTTCTGTCTTTATAGCTTGGCCTTTTCCGGATATTTCATATAAATGGAACCATACAATATGTAATCACTTGTGTCTGGCTTATTTCACTGAGCATAGGGGTTTTTTTGGCCGAACATGGTGGCTCACGCCTGTAATCCCAGCACTTTGGGAGGCCGAGGTTGGTGGATCATTTGAGGTCAGGAGTTTGAGACCAACCTGGCCAAGATGATGAAACCCCGTCTCTACTAAAAATACAAAAATTAGGCAGGCATGGTGGTGACACCTGTAGTCCAGCTACTCGGGAGGCTGAGGCAGGAGAATTTCTTGAACCCGGGCGGTGGAGGTTGCAGTGAGCCGAGATCACGCACTGCACTCCAGCCTGGGTGACAGAGTGAGACTCCAGTCTTAAAAAAAAAAAAAGGGTTTGTTTGTTTTGTTTTTGTTGTTGTTTCTTTTTGATACAGGGCTGCTCTGTCACCCAACTGGAGTGCAGTGGCTTGACTATGGCTTGACCTCTGGGGCTCAGGTGATCTTCTCACCTCAGCCTCCTGGGGTAGCTGGGACAACAGGTACGCACCACCACGCCCAGCTAACTTCTTTTGTATTTTTTGTGGAGAAGGGGTTTCGCCACATTGCTCAAGCTAGTCTCGATCTCTTGGGCTAAAACGATCCTCCCGCCTCGGCCTCCCAAAGTGCTGGGATTACAGGTGTGAGGCACAGCGCCCAGCCTGCATATTCTTTTTGAGGTTCATCCACATTGTAGCTGGTATCCATAGTTTGTTCTGAATAATATTCCATTGTATGGACATAGCATATTTTGTCTACTCATTCACATGTTAATGGACATTTAGGTTGTCTCCAATTTTTCCAACTGGGCTATTATGAGTGAGACAGATAAGAAAATTCCTGTGCAAGTTTTTGTGTGTATACATGCTTTCATTTCTCTTAGGCAGATCCCTAAGAGTGAAATTATTGGGTCACATGGTAAATTTATGTTTAACATTTTAAAAAATTGCCAAACTGTTTTCCAAAGTGGCTACACCATTTTACATTTCTACCACCAATATATGAGGGTTCTCGTTTCTCCACATTCTCTCCAACACTTATCTTTTTAAAAAAGGTTTTTGTTGTTGTTGTTGTTTGCAGTTTTTACAGTTTTATTTAAACAGAAAACATACACATGAGCTGTCTACTCATTTTCTTTGCTGCGCAGCCTGGGATTGGGGTTGGTGACTCTGACGGCCAGCTGGGCAGCTCTTTTCCACGATGGCTTTGCGGTTCTTGGAGGAAACATTGTGAGCGATCTCAGCACAGTAAGATTTGTTGCACAACAGCAGCACTTCCAGCTCCTTGACGTGTGGACCAGGAATTTCCGGAAGCCACTGGGCAGCATGTGCTTTGTTTTCTTGTTGCTCCCATAATCAATGTTGGGCATCAAGATCTAACCCTTGAACCTTCCACGAACCCTGTTGTCAATACCTCTGGGTTTCCGCCGGTTACGCTTAATTTTGACATATCGGTCAGACTGGTGCCGGATAAACTTCTTGGTTCTCTTTTTGACGATCTTGGGCTTCCCAAGGGTTCTGAGGACGGTTTATAAAAGTGCACTGAGGGGAGGCTGAGACAGGAGAATTGCTTGAACCCGGGAGGCGGAGGTTGCAGTGAGCCGAGATCGTGCCCATCCTAGGCGACAGAGAGAGACTCTATGTCAAAAATAAATAAATAAATAAATAAATAAATAAATAAATAAATAAATAAAATGCACTGAGGAGACAGATTTTTGAGAGTTAAAAGGACCCTCTCAAAAACCGACCGCGGTCCTCCACTGGGTAGGGGGCGCTCCAAGACAGGGACTCTTCTAGCCTGTTGCCTCTCCATGTTAGCGATATCCTCGTTGCTAGGAGACTAGACGCGTCTTACAGTGGGAGAGCTCAGCCTCACTGATAGCCGGGGATCTCTCCTGTTCGAGGGCTGAGATCTCCGGTCCCACAACCGCCCACAACCAGGGGCACTTCTGGAAGTCCCCTTTCTAGGGACATTTTTCTTCTAAGCTCTGTAACGCGGGCCGAGGCAGACCGAGGCTTCTTTCCCGGATCCAATCCCCTGCCCCCATGCCTAAGAAAGAAAAAATGGCCAAGACGCCCCTGTCCGATGAGAAGCAGCTGCTTCTGTTTCAGCAGAAGTTGCTGGCAGAGGAGGAGATGGCCAAAAAGAAGGAGAGGCTCCTCAGCCAGTTCTTGAAGGTGATGGCCTTTTGCATTATGTCCTGCTCAACCCCATCCACCCCCTGCCCTGGCCCTGTCACTGAGGAAACCTCATTTTCATCCTGACCTCCCCTCCTCCGGAAATCCTGAGACCCAGATATACTTAGATTTCAGGCAACATTGTTTGGGAGGCGGGGGTGTTCTCTGCGAAGCACGGAGGGGGTGCGTGGTATACGGCTTGGCAATCTTTACTGAATCCCAGAACTGGGACCGTAGGTCCTGTCAGCTGTTCCAGCTGTCTGGAATGCTGATATTCTCCCTGGAGATAGGTCATTACAAACAACATCCTACTCTGATGCTCCCACCCTGAAGGAAATTCACCCTTGCCCTCCCTAAATGCCATCAGGCCGTTCCCATCGAAAAGGGGTAAGGTGTCAGCTGATAAATTAAGAGTGATCTTGTTTGTTGTACTGAAAGGCCCTGACTTCCTGGAGGTATATTTATTCCTTCACACAGGACAAGCTGGCCAAGGAGGAACACAACAGTGCTCTGAACCTTAATAAGATTAACACACAGTGGAGAACTGTCCTTCGGGAAGTCAAGACCAGAGAACTTCATAAGGACATTGAGATCCTCAGCCAAACATTTGAACGAGTGGTGGACTGTAAGGACAATGTCATCAAGGTAGGCACTCTTTCCAAGGAAACCTTGAGTATGGCTTCCTGACCTCTTAATAGAATGAGCCTAGTGAATCCATCTTAAAGCCCTCACAAGACACAGGCTGTGAGAAAGCCAGGCTATTGGTAATAATGGTTTTCACAGAAATAAAAAATAGAATATTGGGCTTTCATCCCTCTCTCCCTTAGAGGACCCACTCTTCTTGTCATCTATTGCCCAAAACCAGTACTATCCAATAGTAGAGTCATAAGGCACAGTAGACATCACCCAGTGACTTGAAATGAGTCCCACACCTTCATTTCAATGTCAGAAGGCTCAGTTCCAGAGGGGAACTGACTTGCCCAAGGTCACATAGCTAGTCAGTGAGAGAACCAGGACTCCAGCATGTGTTTATTGATTCCCACTGCAGTGCTCCATTCAACTAAATTGTTTGGCCTCTTGATTCAACTTCAGTGGCCCTGGATAAGGTTGAGAAGATCTCCATGGGTAAGAGCAGTTCTGGATTTCTAAGCAATTCAATCAGCCATCCTTATGCTCTTGGGAGGTTCTTGAGTTCTTGATTCCATCCTATCTTTTCTTCTAAGGGATTTTCTGTACCCCTTCTTTTGTCTTACTTTTAATATTCTGCCTCCATTTACTGCCTTCTCCTTAGTCTTTTCCATTATTTATTTATTTATTTATTTGACATGGAGTCTTGCTCTGTTGCCAGGCTGGAGTGCAGTGGCACAATCTCGGCTCAGTGCAACCTCTGCCTCCCAGGTTCAAGTGATTCTTCTGCCTCAGCCTCCCGAGTAGCTGTGACTACAGGCATGTGCCACCATGCCTGGCTAATTTTTGTATTTTTAGTTGAGATGGGGGTTTCACCATGTTGGCCAGGATGGTCTCGATCTCCTGACCTTGTGACCCACCCGCCTTGGCCTCCCAAAGTGCTGGGATTACAGGCGTGAGCCACTGCACCCAGCCAGAGTCTTTTCCATTTTCAACAAAACAAAGCCCACAGTAACAGCAAAATATACATTGCCAACATGGTATTCCCCCTCTAGAAAACACACATTTCTCTTTCATAGCCTAATCCCTGGGGAAAGAGCTCAGCAGACCCTGGGCAGCTTCCAGAGATAAATATTAAGAGTCCTCAAATTTGCAATAACCATTATTCATTAGAAGTCCACATACCCCACCAGTTACACCTTATGGATTTTTTTTTTTTTTTTTTGAGGCAGAGTTTCACTCCTGTTGCCCAGGCTGGAGTGCAATGGCGCAGTCTTGGCTCACTGCAACCTCCGCCTCCCGAGTTCAGCCTCCTGAGTAGCTGGGATTACAGGCATGTGCCACCACGCCCACTAATTTTGTATTTTTAGTAGAGATGGGGTTTCTTCATGTCGGTTAGGCTGGTCTTAAACTCCCGACCTCAGGTGATCCGCCCGCCTCAGTCTCCCAAAGTGCTGGGATTACAGGCATGAGCCACCACGCCCAGCCACTGAGGAGTTTCACTCTTGTCACCAGGCTGGAGTACAGTGGCGCGATCTCGGCTCACTGCAACCTCTGCCTCCTGGGTTCAAGCGATTCTCCTGCCTCAACCTCCTGAATAGCTGGGATTACAGGCGCCCACCACCAAGCCCAGGTAATTTTTGTATTTTTAGTGGAGACGGGATTTCACCATGTTGGCCAGGCTGGTCTGGAACTCCTGACCTTAGGTGATCCACCTGCCTCGGCCTCCCAAAGTGCTGGGATTACAGACGTTAGCCACCGCGCCCAGCCCATACCTTATGGATTTTTAAGAGGCTTTTTCAGACACTTATTGGAAGTTATCAAACACTTGATAAGAGGGCCAGGCACGGTGGCTCAAGCCTGTAATCCCAGCACTTTGGGAGGCTGAGGCAGGCGGATCACGAGGTCAGGAGATCGAGACCATCCTGGCTAACATGGTGAAACCCCATCTCTACTAAAAATACAAAAAATTAGCCAGGCGTGGTGGCGGGCACCTGTAGTCCCAGCTACTCGGGAGGCTGAGGCGGGAGAATGGCGTGAACCCGGGAGGTGGAGCTTGCAGTGAGCAGAGATTGTGCCACTGCACTCCAGCCTGGGTGACAGAGCGAGACTCCGTCTCAAAAAAAACAAAACAAAACAAAAAAACACTTGATAAGAACAGCAGTGTTCATTGCCTAGTGTTCCATTATTGGAATGCTAAGTTTGTGGGAGTTATGTATCTCGTACTGTTCAAGGTCATCGCCAAGATCTGATTTTTCACAAAAAATATTTGCAACCTCAGGCATGAATGGGTTAAGGGAAGCTGAGTAGTTGGCCAGGTTCACCCCGAGACAATTAACTTCTTCCTACACAGCAGCCTTGCAGCTTATGATAACAGTTCTTGCTTAGGTAAATCACACACTGTTAATATTAACCACCTTCAGGGTCATTCCTGAATGAGACTACACATATTAAATGTGGAAATGTTAGTGATCCTCACTATCTCTACTTCTTCACTTCCATTTTACCCTGTATCCCACAGCATCTGATTTCTACCCTTCTCTAGGAAACTGCTCAGGTAAAGGCCACTGGTTCAGAATTGTGGCTACTTTTCATCATTTAGTCTTTATCTAACCTAACCTCTCTATGGCACTGACATTCTTGGTCATGCCCTGGGTCTTGAAATTCTCCTTTGGCTTGCATGACACCATTCTGTCATTTTTCCTACCTCTGGGACATAAATCAGTCACTCCAGTGAGTTTATCTTCCTCTCTCCATCCTCTGAACTTCAGCATTCCCCGGATTTCTGAGTCTGGCCATCTCACCCTTTAACCAGTTTTCTAGGGCCAATCTTACACATTACCCTGGCTTTATTTTATTTTATTTTTTGAGACAGAGTCTCACTTTGTTGTCCAGGCTGAAGTGCAGTAGCACAATCATAGCTCACTACACTCAAGCTCCTGGGCTCAAGTGATCCTCCCACCTGAGCAGTTGGGACTACAGGCTCTCACTATGACTGGCTAAATTTTTAAATTATTTTAATTTTTAGTAGAGACAAGGTCTCGCTGTGTTGCCCAGGCTGATCCTCCCACCTCACCCTCTGGAGTAGCTGGGACCACAGGAGCATACCACCTCACCTAACAAATTTTTAAATTTTTTATAGAGATGCAGTCTCGTTATGTTGCCCATGCTGGTCTTGAACTCCTGGCCTCAAGCAGTCCTCCCACTTCGGCCTCCCAAAGTGCTAGTATTACAGGCATGAGCCACTGGGCTCGGTCCATCCTAGATTTTGCATCTATCCCTGACCTTTGTTACTAAGTGTTGTATAAGTCGTCTACTTTAAAGTAGTTTTCAAAGCTATACCCTGCTGTCCTTTTCCACTGTCCTCCTGTAGTTGAGACCTGGGCATCATCTCTAACCTACACTATTAGTAATAGTTTCCTGTTTTCCACCCTTCACATTGAACTGCCTCTAGATTCTCTGCAGAACTACCAGGATTATTATTATTATTATTATTATTATTATTATTATTATTTATTTATTTATTTTATTTTTAGACAGAGTCACCCAGGCAGGAGTGCAGTGGCACAATCTTGGCTCACTGCAACCTCTGCCCCCCGGGTTCAAGTGATTCTCCTGCCTCAGCCTCCTGAGTAGCTGGGATTACAGGTGCATGCCACCACATCCAGCTAATTTCTGCAATTTTAGTAGAGATGGGGTCTCACCACATTGGCCAGGCTGGTCTCTAACTCCTGGCCTCAGGTGATCCACCTGCCTCGGCCTCCTAAAGTGCTGGGATTATAGGCATGAGTACCAGGATTATCTTTCTAAAGCAGAAATCTAATCCTGTCACTCCACTGTTTAAATCTTAGTGGTTCCCCCATCTACAGGAAAAAATCCAGACTCCATAGTAAAAACATCAAAGCCCTCATGATCTGGTTCCCACCTGTACTTTTCTTTCTCTTTTTTTTTTTTTTTTTTTTTTTGAGATGGAGTTTTGCTCTTGTTGCCCAGGCTGGAGTGAAATGGCGCAATCTCGGCTCACCGCAACCTCCACCTCCTGGGTTCAAGCGATTCTTCTGCCTCAGCCTCCCAAGTAGCTGGGATTACAGGCATGTGCCACCACGCCCAGCTAATTTGGTATTTTTAGTAGAGACGGGGTTTCTCTATGTTGGTCAGGCTGATCTCGAACTCCCCACTTCAGGTGATCCACCTGCCTTGGCCTCCCAAAGTGCTGGGTATTACAGGTGTGAGCCACCACACCTGGCCTCTGCCTACCTGTACTTTTCATAGCCAGCCTTGTTTCTTACCTGTGCCTTTGCACATGCTATTCCCCGTATCTGGAATTCTCATCTCCATTTCTTCTCCAGTCGTCCTGGCAAACTTTCTTATTATTTTTATTTTTATTTATTTATTTTTTTGAGACGGAGTCTCATTCTGTCTCCCAGGCTGGAGTGCAGTGGAGCGATCTTGGCTCACTGTAACCTTCGCCTCTCGGGTTCAAGTGATTCTGCTGCCTCAGCCTCCCAAGTAGCTGGGATTACAGGCGTGCGCCACGACACTCAGCTAATTTTTGTATTTTTAGTAGATACGGGGTTTCGCCATGTTGGCCAGCTGGTCTCGAACTCCTGACCTCAAGTGATCTGCCCACTTCGGCCTCCCAAAATGTTGGGATTACAGGCGTGAGCCACCGCGCCCAGCCTCTTTTTTTTTTTTTTTTTCCCGAGACGGAGTCTCACTCTGTTGCCCAGGGTGGAGTGCGGTGGTGCAATCTCTGCTCACTGCAGTCTCCACCTCCCAGGTTTAAGTAATCCTCCTGCCTCAGCCTCCTGCATAGCTGGGACTACAGGTGTGCGCCACCATGCTGACTAATTTTTGTATTTTTAGTAGAGACGGGGCTTCATCATGTTGGCCAGGTTGGTCTGGAACTCCTGACCTCAGGTGATCCGCCTGCCTCAGCCTCCCAAAGTGCTGGGATTACAGGAGTGAGCCACCATGCCCGGCCATCCTGGCAAACTTTCATTCCTCCTTCAAGAGTTGTTACAAATGACAGCTCTTATGAAGCCTTTCCCAGTGCTTAATCAGATGTAGGCACTCAGTCCTTTATATCTCATTGTCACTCAATAGATCATCAACCTTAGAGCAATTTCCATGTTATGTTGTGATTTTCTATTTATGTAACTCTTCCTACTAGACTGTAAGCTCCTTTGGGAGCAGTGGGCATATCTTTTTATCTCTGAATCCTCAACATCCAGCACAGTGCTGGTACATAGCAGGGGTTAGGTAAACATTTGTTGAGTGAGTGAATAGTCTTCCATTATCAGAACCTATTTCATAAGATCCTTTTATCATTGTAAACATATAAGGTAAAAGCTATCTCTGTGTAGAGGTCATGGTAGTTTACAGTGAGTGGACTCAAGGTGCCTGGATCATGTGGGCAATTCTGTAAATGCTTTTCTGTTTAATCTTGTTTTACTTTTTTGAAGGTAATACACTCACATTATTCAAAATTCAAAAGAAAAAAAGGTTATATAGAGAAAAGTTCCTCCCCACCAGTGCCTTCCAGGTACCCAGTGTTCCTTCCAATAATTCTAGTTTCATAAGGAAACTTTTTTCTTTTTTTACATAAATGATCTTATTATATACTATTCTGCACCTTGCTTTTTTCACTTAATAATATATCTTGGAGGCCGGGCACAGTGGCTCATGCCTGAAATCCCAGCACTTTGGGAGGCCAATGCAGGCGGATCGCTTGAGCCTAGGAGTTCGAGATCGGCCTGGGCAACATGGTAAAACCCTGTCTCTACTAAGAATATGTAAATTAGCCGGGCATGGTGGTATGTGCCTATAGTCCCAGCTACTGGGGAGGCTGAGGTAGGAGGATCACCTGAGCCTGGGAAGCAGAGGTTGCAGTGAGCCAAGATTGTGCTCATATATGTAAGAGATTGTTCCATATTTTCCCATAAAGAGCTTCTTATTTTACAACCGCATAGTATTCTGTATTGCAGTTTAACACATTACTTTCTCCTCTGTATTTTTATTTTGGTAACTGGATTTAGATGCTTAGCGATGTTGTATCAAGAGGCACATATTGTCTAGCTCTCTTTTTGTGATGTTAGCAGCTGTTGATCCATTAAATCATTGGGAGATGCAAAAATGCTTATTTTAAAAATGTTTAAATTTTATTTTAGAAATAGAGATGGGGCCAGGCACAGTGGTTCATGCTTGTAATCCCAACACTTTGGGAGGCTGAGGCGGCAGATCCTTTGAGCCCAGGAGTTTGAGACCAGCCTGGGCAACATGGCAAAAACCTGTCTACAAAAAAACTTAAAAATTAGCTGGGCATGGTGATGTGTGCCTGTAGTCCCAGCTACTCAGGGGGCTGAGGTGGGGGATCAATTGAGCCTGGGAGGTTGAGGCTGCAGTGAGCTGTGATCATGCCACCTGACCCCAGCCTGGGTGACAGGACAAGACCCTGACTCAAAAGAAAAAGAAATAGAAATAGAGATGGGGTCTGGATGTAGTGATCCGGTAAGAAAAAAAAAAGAGAAAAAGAAATAGAGATGGTGGCCTCACTCTGTTGCCCAGGTTAGTCTCAAACTCTTGGCCTCAAACCCTTGCTTCAGATGATCTTCCTGCCTCAGCCTCCCAAAGATCTGGGATTACAGGTGTGAGCCACTGTGCCTGGCCTGATTTCCTAATAGTATTATTCATTTTTTGTTCATTAGCTTGAGTATTTCTGAAAAGAGATACTTCCCCTCATTTTCTATTCAATTACTCAGAGCTATATAGGAAAGGCAAGATAAATGCTTGATTCTTTCTCTTGCCTTTATTTACCAGTTTTAAAAAAAATTGGTTGTCTGGTATCCTCCAGTGATAACTGATTTAAAAAAAAAAACTTCTGGCTGGGCACGGTGGCTCACACCTGTAATCCCAGCACTTTAGGAGGCCGAGGATGGCGGATCACGAGGTCAGGAGTTTGAGACCAGCCTGACCAACATGGTGAAATCTCATCTCTACTAAAAAATATAAAAAATTAGCCAGGTGTGGTGGTGTGTGCCTGTAATCCCAGCTACTGTGGGAGGCTGAGGCAGGAGAATCACTTGAACCTGTGGGGAGGAGGTTGCAATGAGCCAAGATCGCACCACTGCACTCCAGCCTGGGCGACAGAGTGAGACTCCATCTCTCTACTAAAAAATAAAAAAATTAGCTGGCCATAGTGGCGGGCTCCTGTAGTCCCAGCTACTCAGGAGGCTGAGGCAGGAGAATGGCGTGAACCCGGGAGAGGGAGCTTGCAGTGAGCCAAGATCGCGCCACTGCGCTCCAGCACTCCAGCCTGGGCAACAGAGCGAGACGCCGTCTCAAAAAAAAAAAAAAAAAAAAAAATTCATGTGCACTTGGCTTCTCACAGCATGACTGTTAGGCTCCTGGAGGGACCATCCTAAGAACAAGCATTCTAAGGGGCGGGAAGCAGAAACTGCCAGGCTAGCCAAGGGTTATGCCTGGGACTGGCATAGTGTCACTTCCACCATATTCTGTTGACCCATGTAGTCATAGGGTCTGCCCAAATTCAAGGAGCTGGAAGAAGAGACACCACCTTTTGATGGGGAGTGGCAAGGTCACATAGCAGAGAATTGTAGGATGGGAGATATTGCTGTGATTTTCTTTGGAAAATCTGCCTCAGTGAGGCACTTCATGTTGGTTCCTGGGTCCTTCTGACATGACCCTTTTGGTCTTTTATAGTTTCTTTGCTATTTTTTATGATAAGATACCCCAGGTTCTGCCAGGGGCGGTGGCTCACGCCCATAATCCCAGAACTTTGGGAGGCCAAGCCAGGTGGATCACAAGGTCAAGAGATCGAGACCATCCTGGCCAACATGGTGAAACCCTGTCTCTACTAAAAATGTAAAAAATTAGCTGGTCGTGGTGGCATGCATCTGTAGTCCCAGCTACTTGGGAAGCTGAGGCAGGAATCGTTTGAACCTGGGAGGCCAAGGTTGCAGTGAGCCAAGATCGCGCCACTGCACTCCAGCCTGGTGACAGAGCAAGACTCCGTCTCAAAAAAAAAAAAAAAAAAAAAGATACCCCAGGTTCAACTTATTTTCTGCATCAGGCCTCAAAGCACCCATTTCTCCAAGAATCCCTGATTCTTTTCAGTGGTAGCTACATCACTGCAAATGTTAGTCATCCACAGGACACTGGCTGGCTTCATGGGGCTCTTTGCTATCACTTCTTTTTTTCTTTTTTGAGACGGAGTCTCGCTCTGTCACCCATGCTGGAGTGCAGTGGCGTGATCTCAGCTCAATGCAAACTTGGCCTCCCGGGTTCAAGCGATTTTCCCGCCTCAGCCTCCTGAGTAGCGGGGATTATAGGTACGCATCACCACACCAGCTAACTTTTGTATTTTTATTATTTATTTATTTATTTATTTATTTTGAGACCGAGTCTCGCACTGTCACCCGGGCTGGAGTGCAGTGGTGCAATCTCGGCTCACTGCAACCTCTGCCTCCCAGGTTCAAGCAATTCTTCTTGCCTCAGCCTCCCAAGTAGCTGGGATTACAGGCACCTGCCACCATGGCCGGAATTTTTTTTTCTTATTTTTAGTAGAGATGGGGTTTCACTATGTTGGCCAGGCTGGTCTCGAACTCCTGACCTCATGATCCACCCGCCTTGGCCTCCCAAAGTGCTGGGATTACAGGCTTGTGCCACCGCACCCGGCATTTTTGTATTTTTAGTAGAGACAGGGCTTCACCATGTTGGTCAGGCTGGTCTTGAACTCCTGACCTCATGATCTGCCCACCTTGGCCTCCCAAAGTGCTGGGATTACAGGTGTGAGCCACCGTGCCCAGTCTTTTTTTTTTTTTTTTTTTTTTGAGACAGGGTCTTGTTCTGTCACCCAGGCTGGAGTGTAGTGGCATGATCACAGCTCACTGCAACTTTGAACTCCTGGGCTTAAGCAATCCTCCTGCCCAGGCCTTGTGAGTAGCTGGGATTACGGCCTGGGTAATTTTTATGGGTTTTTTTGTTTGTTTGTTTGTTTTTGTAGAGATGGGGGGGTCTCATTATGTTGCCCAGGCTAGTCTTGAGCTCCCAGGCTCATGTAATCCTCCCACCTTGGCTACCCAAAGTGTTGGGATTACAAATGCGAGCCACCTTGCTCAGCCCTTGCCATCACTCTTGCTTTACACAAGAGTGAGGGGGACAGCCAGCATTCTTAAAGTCAAAGAATTGGCATTAGGAACAAAGAAAAAACTGCCAGCTGAATATATTTTTATTTTCTCACAGAGATGCTATTCAGCTGGAATGGTAACTCTCTCTTTCTGGCCTAGTCTTTAGCTAAAGACCTGTCCGAAGCCGAGGAGCAGTACGCCCATGCCCTGCGCAGCCACTTGCACAATGTTGACCAGCTCTTGGCCCTGCAGAGGCACCGGCTCAGTCTCCTGGAGGAAAGTTACAACATGGAGCTGGAAGCCCTAACCAAGGAGTTTGAGACAGAAAGGTATGGGGGCCTAAGAGAAGATGGGGAATTGAATCCAGGGGAGTGCCCAGAGTCCGTGTCAAGGAGTTGCCTGTAAGCAAGTGGCTAGTATCTTGGAGCATCCCACATTGATTATCACGGGACCCCCAGCAGAGAATATCTTGGTTCCTTTTAAACAAACTCGGGCTTAAGTTTGCAGCTCTAGCTTCCCTTTACTCACGTCAGGTCCCTGTCTGTGTACCTTCACCACCCACTTTCTTCTTTTTTTTTCTTTCACTATTTTTTTCTTTATTGTTTTATTTTTTTATTTTGTTTTGTTTTTTCAAGACGGAGTGTCGCTCTGTTGTCCAGGCTGACATGCAGTGGCACGATCTCAGCTCACTGCAACCTCTGCCTCCCGGGTTCAAGCAATTTTCCTGCCTCAGTGTCCCCAGTAGCTGGGATTACAGGTGCGTGCCACCACACCTGGCTATGTTATTGTTTTACTTTTTTAAATAACTTTTTTTTCTTCTTTTTAAATTTAACTCCTCAAATTCCTTTTACCAACTACCCACTTTCTTTCTTTTTTTTTTTTTTTTATTGATCATTCTTGGGTGTTTCTCACAGAGGGGGATTTGGCAGGGTCACAGGACAATAGTGGAGGGAAGGTCAGCAGATAAACAAGTGAACAAAGGTCTCTGGTTTTCCTAGGCAGAGGACCCTGCGGCCTTCCACAGCGTTTGTGTCCCTGGGTACTTGAGATTAGGGAGTGGTGATGACTCTTAATGAGCATGCTGCCTTCAAGCATCTGTTTAACAAAGCACATCTTGCACCGCCCTTAATCCACTTAACTCTGAGTGGACACAGCACATGTTTCAGAGAGCACAGGGTTGGGGGTAAGGTCACAGATCAACAGGATCCCAAGGCAGAAGAATTTTTCTTAGTACAGAACAAAATGAAAAGTCTCCCATGTCTACTTCTTTCTACACAGACACGGCAACCATCCGATTTCTCAATCTTTTCCCCACCTTTCCCCCCTTTCTATTCCGCAAAGCCGCCATTGTCATCCTGGCCCGTTCTCAATGAGCTGTTGGGCACACCTCCCAGACGGGGTGGTGGCCGGGCAGAGGGGCTCCTCACTTCCCAGTAGGGGCGGCCGGGCAGAGGGGCTCCTCACTTCCCAGTAGGGGCGGCCGGGCAGAGGCACCCCTCACCTCCCGGATGGGGCGGCTGGCCGGGCGGGGGGCTGACCCCCCCACCTCCCTCCCGGACGGGGTGGCTGCCGGGCGGAGAGGCTCCTCACTTCTCAGACGGGGCAGCTGCCGGGCGGAGGGTCTCCTCACTTCTCAGACGGGGCGGCTGGGCAGAGACGCTCCTCACCTCCCAGACGGGGTGGCGGCCGGGCAGAGGCGCTCCTCACATCCCAGACAGGGCGGCGGGGCAGAGGCACTCCCCACATCCCAGACGATGGGCGGCCGGGCAGAGACGCTCCTCACTTCCTAGATGTGATGGCGGCCGGGAAGAGGCGCTCCTCACTTCCCAGATGGGATGGCGGCCAGGCAGAGACGCTCCTCACTTTCCAGACTGGGCAGCCAGGCAGAGGGGCTCCTCACATCCCAGACGATGGGCGGCCAGGCAGAGACGCTCCTCACTTCCCAGACGGGGTGGCGGCCGGGCAGAGGCTGCAATCTCGGCACTTCGGGAGGCCAAGGCAGGCGGCTGGGAGGTGGAGGTTGTAGCGAGCCGAGATCACGCCACTGCACTCCAGCCTGGGCGCCATTGAGCACTGAGTGAACCAGACTCCGTCTGCAATCCCGGCACCTCGGGAGGCCGAGGCTGGCGGATCACTCGCGGTTAGGAGCTGGAGACCAGCCCGGCCAACACAGCGAAACCCCGTCTCCACCAAAAAAATACGAAAACCAGTCAGGCGTGGAGGCGCGCGCCTGCAATCGCAGGCACTCGGCAGGCTGAGGCAGGAGAATCAGGCAGGGAGGTTGCAGTGAGCCGAGATGGCAGCAGTATAGTCCAGCTTCGGCTCGGCATGAGAGGGAGACCGTGGAAAGAGAGGGAGAGGGAGACCATGGGGAGAGGGAGACCATGGGGAGAGGGAGAGGGAGAGGGAGAGGGACCAACTACCCACTTTCAACTATCAAAATCCTACCCATTTGGCAGGGAACAGGGATGGGAGAGAGACTTCTCACTGTAACCTTTTGTACTTTTTTTGTATCACATGAATGTATTACCCATTCAGAAATCAAAATAAAATAACCTTACTCATTCTTTCTAGCCCTAAAAAGAGTAAAGCCTTCCCTCTCTCTTTTCTCCATCAGTACCTAAGAGTTTGTACCATTCACATAGATTACATACTGCTTTGAATTGTCATTATTGGTCAATATCCTGTATCCCTCAGAGCAGGGACAGTGTCTTGTCTCCTACAGGAAGACAATTATTGACCAACATGAGAAAGAGATTCACTATCTGCAAGATATCTTCATGGCCATGGAGCAGAACTATATAGATTCTGAGTATGAAAGCAAGCTGGAGTTCCAGAGCATGTGGAATGATCTCAAAAACATGGTACGGAGGGAGAGTAGATAGGCAAGAAGTGGGAGGAGGTGATAGAAAAATGCTCAAGGAGGCTGGGCACAGTGGCTCACACCTGTAATCCCAGCACCTTGGTAGGCCAAGGCAGGAGGATCACTTGAGACTGGGAGTTCAAGACTAGCCTGGGCAACATAGGGAGTCCCCCCCATCTCTACCGGCCCCCCCAAAAAAGAAAGAAAATAGCCAGGCGTGGTAGTGTGTGCCTATGGTCCAAGCTACTTAAGAGGCTGAGGTAGGATGATCGCTTGAGCCCAGAAGATGGAGGCTGTAGTGAACTGTGATAGCAACACTGCCCTCCAGCCTGGGTGACAGAGCGAGACCCTGTCTCAAAAAAATTAAAAAAAGAAAAAAAGAAAAATGCTCAAGGCTACTAGAAGTAGAAGAGACCCCTTTAGCCAACACAGTCAATAAAACATCTATTGCCCCCTGTAGGTATCCCTAATGCTTTTTGTAATTTTGTGAAAATTGGTTGGGAGGGAGGACCATTCTAAATTGTCAAGGGAATGCATTTTAGAGCTAAAAAGCACCAAGGAGATCATCTGGCTTCACCCCTGTGATTTTCAGATGAAGAAAGTAAGGCACAAGTAAGTAAAATGACCTGCCAAAGTCATGCTGCTGGTTTGTGGTAGAATCAGGAGAATCTAGGTCTCCTGCCCCTTGATCCAAAGTGCTTTCCACTGTCCTCGAGGTTGCAATCTTAGCCAGCCCACAGACCTAGGTTTGGGTATGGAGTTCTTTGTTTTTATTTACCCCACAGTGTTTTATACAATTTTTTGAATAAGCATCCTACACTTAAAAATTGGAGATTTCACAAAAACATCCAAATTTTCAGCTTCCCTTGAAAAATTTAAAGATCTGGCAACACTGGGCCACATTTCCAAATGGCAAGGCTCACGTGGAGCTCAGTGACTGCCCCTCCTCCTCCCAAATGCAGCATTTCCTCTCCAGTTCACCACAGGCCCCACCCGGCCCACAAAACATATTTATATCATCTGCCTGGTCTTGTGTAGGCATTTTCATGGGAGACCTCTGTACTAAACTATGCTACAAACAGTTCAAGAGGGTGGGATTGCTGGTAGAAGTGAAAGGGCACTAATAAGGTAATTCCAAACATTTGCTATTTTGGGGTCACTTGCTAGAATTTAGAAGAGAAGCACTTTCTAAGACTGCACCTGGAGAACAGAGTAGAAGATCTGTGGAGAAAGTTCCAGGATGTACTCAAGAATTACACTGATGCCACAGAGGATCGAAAGGCTGCCTTTGAGACCCTGCAGGTGAAGGATGAGAAGAGCTCCAAAGAGATTGAAGTACAGATGAAAAAAATACAGAAACTACAGGTTAGTGTAGCCACCTGGAAATACTCACTGCTTTAACTGCTCTATTATCCCCTCTTTTGCTTCCCCTTGTTTCCCCTGGGCCTCATCACTGATCATTGGTTGGGAAAAGATGATATGCTCTGATTTCAGTCCCCAGGCAGCCCTTTTACCTGTCTCACTGAAGACCCTCAGTTGGTCAAGTAGATTTCCCCTAATCTACTCTGTTCCTCTAGGATGCCATAACTATTTCAAAAGGCAAGATCATGATACACAGCCGTGAGAGTGAAGATGAGAACCGGTATATCCGTAATGACAAGGAATTGGTCCTTGTACAACTGCGAAAACTTAAGGCCCAAAGAACTCAGGCCCGGGCAGCATCCCAGAAGAACTTAGTCAGACTCACCCTGGAAAGTAATGCCACCCTCAAGGCCCTGAGAAAGATTGTTGATAAGGTAACACAGGGGAGAGGACTATCAGAATAAAGTCAAGGAACCTGCCTCCCTGCAAAGTGAAAGGGATTTGGAAAGGATAGCGGGGGCTTCTTCCTGCTTCCTGGCTGAGTGGACACTTGGAATACCTTTTTTATTCCATGTTTCCTCCCCTCTTACATTAAATTAAATTAATTTATTTATTTATGTATTTCTACAGATGGGGTCTCACTGTGTTGCCCAGGATGGTTATGAACTCCTGGCCTCAAGCAGTCCTCTTGCCTTGGCCTCCCAAAGTGCTGGGATTAGAGGCGTGAGCCACCCTGGTGAGCCCCTTCCTACTTTTTTTTTTTTTTCTTTTTGGTGAGACAGGGTCTCACTCTGTCTCCCAGGCTGGAGTGCAGTGGCACCATCTTGGCTCACTGCAACCTCTGCCTCCTGGGCTCAAGCATTCCTCCCGCCACAGCCTCCCCAATGCACAGCTAACTTTTGTATTTTTTGTAGAGATGGGGTTTCGCCATGTTGCCCAGGCTGGGTCAAACTCCTGGCCTCAGACGATCTTCCCACCCTGGCTTTCTAAAATGCTGGGATTACAGGCATGAGCCACTGCGTTGAGCTCCCCCTTACATTTTAATTAATTATTTTTTTTTTTGAGACGAAGTTTTATTCACTCTGTTGCCCCGGCTGGAGTGCAGTGGCATGATCTTGGCTCGCTGCAACCTTTACCTCCCCAGTTCAAGCAATTCTCCTGCCTCAGCCTCCTGAGTAGCTGGAATTACAGGTGCGCACCACCACACCCGGCTAATTTTTGTATTTTTAGTGGAGACAGGGTTTCACCATGTTGGCCAGGACGTTCTCGAACTCCTGACCTCAGCGATCCACCCACTTTGGCTTCTCAAGTGCTGGGATTACAGGCGTGAGCCACCGCGTCTGGTCTACATTTTAAATTGAAATGAATTGGCCAGGCATGGTGGCTCATGCCTGTAATCCCAGCACTTTGGGAGGCCAAGGTGGGAGGATTGCTTGAGCCCAAGAGTTTGAGACCACCCTGAGCAACACAGGGAGAGCCCATCTCTACCAAAAAAAAGCTGGGCATAGTGGCACATGCCTGTGAGCCCAGATACTTGGGAAGCTGAGATGGGAGGACCACTTGAGCCTGGGACATCGCGGCTGCAGTGAGCCAGGATTGCACCACTGCACCCCAGCCTGGGTGACAGAGTAAGACCCTGTCTAAAAAAAAAAAAAAAAAAAAAAAAAAGAATTAATAATGAATGAGTTTTGGCTGGGCGCAGTGGCTCACACCTGTAATCCCAACACTTTGGGAGGCCGAGGCAGGTGGATTACTTGAGGTTGGGAGTTCGAGACCAGCCTGACCAACATGGAGAAACTCCATCTCTACTAAAAATACAAAATTAGCCAGGCATGGTGGCACATGCCTGTAATCCCAGCTACTCGGGAAGCTGAGGCAGGAGAATCGCTTGAACCCTGGAGGCAGAGGTTGCGGTGAGTCGAGATCGCGCCACTGCACTCCAGCCTGGGCAACAAGAGCGAAACTCCATCTTAAAAAAAAAAAAAAAAAAAAAAAAAAGAATGAGAGAATGAGTTTGTTTTTTTTTTAAAGGAATGAATTATTAATAATGAATGATTTTTTTTTTTTTTTGAGACAGGGTCTCGCTCAGTTGCCCAGGCTGGAGTGTGGTGGCACCATCTCGTCTCACTCCAGCCTCTGCCTCCTGGGCTCAAGTGATCCTTCCATCTCAGCCTCCCCAGTAGCTGAGACTGTAGGCATGTGCTACCATGCCTGGCTTTTAAATAATTTTTTGTAGAGATGGGGTCTTTCTATGTTTCCCAGGCTATGAATCAATTTTACAATAAGAAAATACTTGGAATAGTGTGTGTTACATGGTAACCTCCATTTGCTATATGTATTTATTGCTATTGTTTCCCACTTGGATGAGTAGCTTCCCTGGGTTCAAACAGGGGAACCAACTCCACTAGCTTCCCTCTTCACTCCCTTTCCTAATATAAACTCTCTTCCCGCTTCAAATAGGGTGAAAAGATCCTTAAACTTGCTGAAATATGTAGGAAATTTGAAACCGAAGAAGAAAAAGTGCTGCCTTTTTATTCATCAGTATTGACTCCTAAGGAGCAGGAGGGGATTCAGAAGAATAATCTAGAAGAGCTTACTGAGGAGCTCACCAAGGTAAAGCCCGGGGGATGGTGGGGCATTGGGCAGCATTTGCTAATGGGTCTCGCTGCACACCTTCTCCCTGTAACTCCACTCCCAGGTGATGGTGGACTACATAGGAATGGAGAATTTCTGGAAAAGGTACAACAAAGTGAAACTGGAGCAACTGAGCCTCCAACATAGACGAGCCCAGCTGCTAGATATCAATGGGAAGCTGCGGGAGATGCTGAAGCAGTACTTGGATGGCATCTCAGTGAGTGACGAAGTGCTGAGCCAGCTCAACCCACTCTTTATAGTCAACTATCAAAGCAACTTACTCCAGCCCTTGTCCATACGTATAGCCCATCCAGGTGATAAACAACATCCAACCACTTAAAATATAATTGAAGCAGCCCAGATGATCTTCCACAACCTGTGATCTAAGGAAAAAAATCTTTCAACTCCTAGAGATTTTTTTTTTTTTTTGAGAAATGTAGGGATGTTGCTATTAAAAATTTCCATGGAGTTTATGAGCTCTTTATATCTTTTCCATATTGGACAGAGCAGTTCTCTTTGAGGACACTAGGAACACTGTGGTCCCAGGGAACAGAGAGAACAGCTAGGCAACTACCAGGAGGCTCACTGCTCAATTAAGCATCCCTCCTCAGAATCAGGGCACCATGAGAGCCAAAACCCATACCTTAAGGACCTAGAGATCCTATGGGAAGACTCAAGACCAGGTCCTTAAAGTCAGTTAGGACAGCAAGAGGAGGCCAGGGGAAGAGGTGATCCAGGGCCTACAACCACCCCCATGCCAGGCAAGATGCAATTCACAATGCTTTTTTCCTCAGCCCTTTACCTCATTCCCACTTTCAAAGGCAGTCTCAGAAAATATCAGATGAAGAATGCAAATAAGTTTTTTAAAATTTATTATTTATTATTTCTTTTTGCTCTTGTTTCGTTTCTCTTCCTTGAGCTTCTTTTTGGAGACTTTGGGTCTATTGGCCTTTCTGTATAGGTGATACCCAATGAGGCCCAGGAGGGCTGGCACCATGGCCATCCCTACCAGAGGCAAAATGCCCTTCACCAGCTTTAGCCAGTAGTTGGCTCGGATTAGTGCAATCAGCTCCACGTCATACTGCACCACTGCATCCGCTGGAGAGGCAGAGGGGTGGAGAGGGTTAGACTCTCTGCATTTTATCCAGGGCTCAGAATCTGAATGAAAATAGGGAGCGTAGGCCACAGCAAAGCCAACAACTATGAAGCTGACAAGATTTAAATGTGGGCTTGAATTCCTTTAGACAAGAGTAGAGGAGGATTTACGAGCAGAGTCCAGTGATAATCATGTTGACCCCAACTACACATGTGGCTTGGGTCCAGTGACAAGTCTTTGAATGCAGGAAAACTTTCTGTGAATATGAAATGTACAGGCTCTTCTCCATTTGTAAGTGGGAGAACCCTCTATACTAACTACTAATTTATCGTATTTCCAAATAACCACACGGATAGAGTCTTTGCAGGGCTGAAATTAAATGGATTTAAACTAGACTTTAAAAAATCAACCAACCAATGAGCACATTCAACGTGATTATGAGATAACAGGAGTTTCAACATAAGAGCTGAAGAGGAAGAAGGATGAGGATGCTGCTTAAGAAGTAAAGGGGCAGGTGGAACAGAAATGAGTGGGCAGAAGAGGTACAAATAAGCAGCACTGGGAATGGGGAGGTAATAGGGCTTTGGGTAAAAGTTTCTCCTTGGTCCCCCTACCCTCCTTCCAGGCCTTCCTCTAAGCTGGAACTAGGATAAGAATTAACGAGCCCAGCCAGGCGCGGTGGCTCATGCCTGTAATCCCCGCACTTTGGGAAGCCAAGGCAGGCGGATCACCTGAGGTTGGGAGTTTGAGACCAGCCTGGCCAACATGGAGAAGCCCCATCTCTACTAAAAGTATAAAATTAGCCGGTCGTGGTGGCGCATGCCTGTAATCCCAGCTACTCGGGAGGCTGAGACAGGAGAATTGCTTGAACCCGGGTGGCGGAGGTTGTGGTGAGTGAAGATTGCACTATTGCACTCCAGCCTGGGCAACAAGAGTGAAACTCCATCTCAAAAAAAAAAAAAGAATTACGAGCCCAATACTCTGTGGAGTACAACACATTTTAGCTAATAGAACATTTGTTAGAACTGAAAGCAAAAGATATGCATCTTGGGAAATCTGTCCATCTCAACCCTTCAAAAATAGACATCGGCAGTGACCAATGATGGCTTTTAAAGTTATGGGGCAGACTTGGCTTTAACAGTTGCTTTTTGTTTTGTTTTGAATCACTTGACTGTGATTATTTTTACTGTCTCTTCCCTGATGGAGGCTGAAAGGAAGGGGTGGGGGGTGGCTGTACAGCTGACACAGCGTAGAGTTGTAGAAAAGGGCAGGAAAGAAGTCCAGTGTTCTGGGAAAGGTGGTGGCACAGGCAGCAGACCCATGTGGCCCAAGCAGGTCTCTTCCCTAACAAGTTACTGGCTGCTGGAGGTCATGCCAGGTGGCCTCATCAGGTTGTCTTTAGTCCCTGTTGGTGATATGAGGAGGAAAAAGGTGGCCCTGTAGATGGAGGCCCCAGCCACTCCTATCTGTCTAAACAAACTTGGTCTGGATCTTCTCAAGCATCAAACAAAGTATATAGCTCCTTATAGCTCTTAGGGACTGGGTATTTTGATGGCCTGAGAGAGAGTCCTAGTCAGATTACCTGGGACAGATGGTGGAAATCCCCGTTTTCCATAGGCCAAGTGAGAAGGAATGATTGCCCTTCGCTTCTCTCTGAGGGAAGGAATGTCAGTCACAGCCAGAGGCAGGAGAGGTAGGCCAGCAGCCTCAGTCCAGCTGAAGCTCCTTCAGCAAAACCCCCTGAATCTTCACACCCAAAACACGAATTTTTCCACCTGAACACCAAACAGGCTGGCCAGCAAAGGTGTCCATCTCCCCATGTGCCTCAACTCCCCCGACAAAAGCAACAGCGCAAGAGGCACAGAGGCTTTGAATGCCCTCAGAGGTCCCACTGACCTGGACCTGTCCAGTGGGAAGCAGGGTCCTTTATTCCACATTCTCCTGCTTAAGGAGTGAGGATGGCCGAGAAAGCCTCTACCCATGCAAAGGGGGTACCCAGGCCCACCCCTGCCGAGATACTCACCCCACACACATGTCGAGAAGACTCTGCTCCAGACCTTGAAGAAGAAGACACAACTGAACTGGAAGCTATCCACCTTCCCCAAATCCCATGACATGAAGATCAAAGTCTTCCTCCTCCATCCTCAATTGACCTTTCCCTCACTTCTTAAATCTCTGGCTTCCAATAGGATATGGGACAAGTGGAGTAC
Source organism: Homo sapiens (assembly GCF_000001405.40). NCBI lineage: Eukaryota > Metazoa > Chordata > Mammalia > Primates > Hominidae > Homo > Homo sapiens. The sequence continues at coordinate 48,924,410 of NC_000012.12, forward strand.
TAGAAGTGAGGTTTGAACCTCAGGAGGTAACTCGTAGAGCCCTAGGGTCTTACTCATTTCAGGGGGGATTTCCAGGGCAGCTTTGGAGCCGAAGAGGCTAAGAAAGGGCTTAGGTTGGGAAGAGGTGGAATGGGAGGCACAGGTCACATACCTGGAATCACCTGCTTTTGGCCAAGTTCTATAACCAGAGGGTCTCTGGTCAGGGAGGTGTCAATAATACGTCCATCTACCAAGCTTCCCTGGGGGGAGAGAGCATCAAGAGCATACATCTAGCACCCTCTCCCTCCCAGCAGGCGCGCAACACACACCTGGACCGCTGGGCGGCGGCAGCCCCCTTAGTGCGGCAGCCTAGCGTTCCCCTTACCGCTGTAAGGAACAGGAAGCCCCAGAAGGCTGGCGCTTCTCGGAGATCTCTCCACCCTGCACTTCTCCGTGCCAGGTAGGAACTGGCAGAAAAGCAAGGAGGGAAAAGAGGCACGGAAGAGCAACGTCTCTCCCCTCGCCACGTGCTCGACGACCCCAGAGCCCCGAGTTTCTTCTCCCGAACCGCTTGCCACGTGTCCAAGCCAAAGCTGACGTGTTTCAGCAGGGCGCCGCCCCCTCCCAGGCCCCGCCCCGGCCCCCCAGACCCCTCACCGTGTAGTGTATGTGAAGCGTGTCTCCAAAAGCAGCGGGCTCGGCACATGGTTCTGGGGGCTCCACCTACGATCGGACTACAGGGGTCACGGATGCTCTTCCAAAGATCCCGTTCTCGCCCCTAGACCCGGCACCACCCCCAACTCAGTTCCCGCACTTCCTCTCCTCCCGGCTCCCAGGTTCGCTGAGACCCCAGTATTACCACCCAACAAGGCTCGGCCCACGGGGGCTGAGGGTCGGGACTATCTCCTCACCAGGGTCTCCACTTGGAGGGTCCGGACGGGACTTTCGGTTTCGAGCCCAGCCTCAGCCCGGCACACCGCCGCACTGAGCAGCAGCAGCAGCAGCAGATGGAGCGGGAGGAGTGAGGGGCGCAGGGTCATGACTGGGCGCGGGGCAGGGAGCCGGGGCACCAGGACAGGCTGTTCGGGTGGCGGCAGCCAGGACAGCGTTCCCGCGGCGCCCAGGCCAGACTGGACGGGACGGGGCGGGTCGCGATGCTAGAGCTCCTCCTCCTGCAGCCCTTCCTCCACCTTGTCCCCACCTCCGAAAGGGAGGAGGCCGAGGGGCGCCCTCTGTACCCTCCAAGATCCGGAGGGCGCAGGTTCTGACGCATCCGTTAGACGTTCTGTCCTATAACGTGGGTCGGGCCAAACAATAGCACCCATTTACGATTACCTACTGTGTGTCAGGAGCTAGTCTCTAATCCTCAAAACCACCCTGAAAGGTCGGCATGATTGTTTCCATTTTACAGATAAGGCACAGGGTGCTCAGGATGTGCCCAAGGTCATCAGGCTAGGTGGTGACAGAGACAGGATTCAAACCCAGGACTGCCTGAGTCCAACGTGGTTGCTGTCTGTTCTTCCAAGTCGTCTCCTTGTGGCTATCCTGGCAGTGTCTGGCTGGCAGACCCCACCCAGGCAGTTCTCATTCCTCTCCGACCTCCAGCTACTTCAGCTTGAATTTCTGGAGGTTATAGATCCAAGTATCCGAAATAAGGCAGGGGGCTGTCCTATCCCTGTCCTTTGAAAAGCTAGCTGAAAAGAGCAAGGAGCTGTTATCCTGTAAGAACAGGGTAAATCCCTGATCTTTTCCTCTGGTGCTACTATTTCCTTTCTCCTTTCATCAACAAACTTCTCAAAGGGCAGCACACGTAATCCATTTATGTAAAGACTTCACTTTTTTTTTTTTTTTTTTTTTTGAGATGGAGTCTCGCTCTGTGGCCCAGGCTGGAGTGCAGTGGTGCCATCTCCACTCACTGCAACCTCCGCCTCCCAGGTTCAAGCGATTCTCCTGCCTCAGCCTCCCAAGTAGCTGGGATTACACCCGCCACCACGCCCGGCTAATTTTTGTATTTTTAGTAGATAAGGGGTTTCACCATGTTGGCCAGGCTGGTCTCAAACTCCTGATGTCAGGTGATCCGCCTGCCTCGGTCTCTCAAAGTGCTAGGATTACAGGCGTGAGCCACCAGATTTCTTTTTTTTTTTTTTTTTTTGAGGGGGAGGAGTTTTGCTCCTGTTGCCCAGGCTGGAGTGCAATGGCGCGATCTTGGCTCACCGCAACCTCTGCTCCCGAGTAGCTGGGACTACAGGCATGCGCCACCATGCCCAGCTGATTTTGAATTTTTAGTAAAGACAGGGTTTCTCCATGTCTGTCAGGCTGGTCTCGAATTCCCAACCTCAAGTGATCCACCCACCTCGGCCTTCCAAAGTGCTGGGATTACAGGTATGAGCCACCACGCCCAGCCCACTTTTTAAAAGTTTTTGTTGTTGTTGTTTGTTGAGACGGAGTTTCACTCTTGTCGCCCAGGCTGGAGTGCAATGGCACGATCTTGGCTCACTGCAACCTCCACCTCCCGGGTTCAAGCGATTCTTTTCTCTCAGCCTCCCGAGTAGCTGGGATTATAGGCACCCACCACCACGCCTGGCTAATTTTTGTATTTTTAGTAGAGATGGGGTTTCGCCATGTTGGCCAGACTGCTCTCAAACTGCTGACCTCGTGATCCGCCAGCCTCAGCATCCCGAAGTGCTGGGATTACAGGCGTGAGCCAATGCGCCCAGCCAACAGTCTTAACTGTACTCATTCTTCCAATCCACCTGCAACAACCTAGACTTCCTCCCTATCTCCTGTTTCTGTTAGTGGCTCTGCTACCAGCATTCGTTCTTCTCTCATCTCCCACATCCAACGGGTCTACTCTGGATTCTCCTTCCAAAGTCTCTCCAGCTCTTCCCTTCCATTCCCATAGCTACAACCCTCCCACCTCAGGATAAGAAGCCTTCATTATCTCTCATTTGTATTGTTTAAAAAAAAAAAGTCCCCTCAGCAGGAGGGAATTTCTAGGGGTGATGAAATGCTCTATATTTTCAGAAGGATGTGGGTTACATGGGTGTATGCATTTGTCAGAACTTATCAAACTGTATACTTACAATCTGTGCATTTCACTGTTTGCGAATTACGTATCAAGATATTTTTTAAGTTAAACAAAAAAACCACAAAACTCCAAGTCTCCCTTAAAGCTGGATATGGCCAGTTGACTAAGTTCTGGCCAAGAGAACATAAACAGAAGTGTTGGAAGTATTGTCCTGGACTTCCAAGAAGGCCCTTTAAAGAGTTAACTAGAAAGCGTCCTTCTGTGCTGCTCTCTCTCCCCCTAATCATCTTTCCTTCCTTCTGTCTGCTATCTGGAATGCAGATGAGATGAATTAAGCTCTAGAAGCCATATTAGACCATGAGATGACCATGAGGATGGAAGCTGCACGCTAGGATGGTGAAGCAAAAAGAAGCATAAGTCCTTGTTAATTGCAGAGCCACCATGCCAGCTCTGGATTGCCTACCACCAGACACTTTTATTTTTCAGTTCTATCTGAAGCCCCATTCTTTGTGGGGGAAAAAAAAAAGACTAGTCAAGTGCAGTAGTGAGAAGGGGGAAAGAGTAGTTCAATCTGTAACTGGCCGTGAACAATTGAGATGCCTATCTTCAGACCAGCTGCCAGATACCTTTTTTTTTTTTTTTTTTTTTTGAGATGGGGGTCTCTGTCATCCAGGCTGGAGTATAGTTGTGTAATCTTGGCTCACTGCAACCTCTGCCTCCTGGGCTCAAGTGATTTTCCTGCCTCAGCCTCCCAAGTAGCTGGGACCACAGAGGCATGCCACCACACCCGGCTAATTTTTAAATTTTTTGTAGAGATGGGGTTTCGCCATATTGCCCAGACTGGTCTCGAACTCCTGGAGTCAAGTGATCTGCCCCCTTCGGCTTCTTAAAGTGCTGGGATTACAGGCATCAGTCACCACGCCCAGCTCACCTTTTTTTTTTTCTTTTGACCGAGTCTCGCTCTGTTGCCTAGGCTGGAGTGCAGTGGTATGATCTCGGCTCACTGCAACCTCCGCCTCCTGAGTTCAAGCGAGCATATCTGGCTAATTTTTGTGTATTTATTATTTGTCTATTTATTTGAGACAAAGTCTCACTCTGTCTTGCCCAGGCTGGAGTGTAATGCTGTGATCTTGGCTCACTGCAGCCTCCACCTCCCAGGTTCAGGCAATTCTCCTGTTTCAGCCTCCAGAGTAGCTGGGACTACAGGTGTGTGCCACCACACCAGGCTAATTTTGTATTTTTAGTAAAGATGGGGTTTCACCATGTCGGCCAGGCCGGTGTTGAACTCCTGACCTCAAGTGATCTGCCTGCCTCAGCCTCCCAAAGTGCTGGGATCACAGGTGTAAGCCACCATGCACGGCCCCCAGACACCTTTTAACTGAGGCAGAAATAAACTTCTATCTTTTTTTTTTTTTTTTTTTTTTGAGACAGAGTCTGACTCTGTTGCCCAGGCTGTAGTGCAGTGGTGCAATCTCGGCTCACTGCAAGCTCCGCCTCCCGGGTTCACGCCATTCTCCTGCCTCAGCCTCCCAAGTAGCTGGGACTACAGGCGCCCGCCATCACGCCCAGCTAACTTTTTGTATTTTTTTTTTTTAGTGGAGACGGGGTTTCACTGTTAGCCAGGATGGTCTCGATCTCCTGACCTCAAGATCCACCTGCCTCGGCCTCCCAAAGTGCTGGGATTACAGGCGTGAGCCACCGCGCCCGGCCTTTAAACTTCTATCTTGTTTAAGAAAAGAAAAAAAAAAGTCTTGGTGTGGTGGCTCACACCTGTAATCCCAACATTTTTGGGAGGCTGAGGCAGGAGGATTGCTTGAGGCCAGGAGTTCAAGACCAGCCTGGGCAACATGGCAAGACCCTATCTCTACAAATAATTTAACGATTAGCTAGGTATGGTGGTGTGCACCTGTGGTCTTAGCTACTCAGGAGGCTAAGGTGGGAGGATCACTTGCGTCCAGGAGGTCAAGGCTGCAGTAAGCCATGATCACGCCACTGCACTCCAGCCTAGGTGACAGAGACCTTGTCTCAAAAAATAATAAGCCCCTGATCCCTAGCCTCTCCCTACTTTGGACCACTGTGTACACTGCTGCTATCTACAGTTTCAGTCCCATCATCTGCCCACTAAAAAGCCTACCATGGCTTCACATTGCCCACGTGAATAAAATTCCAACTCCTTGACATGACAACTGAAAGCTTGTCATCCAGCCCTAATCTGCTTTTCCAAACTTGGCTTTTATTCCATTAAACTGAATCCCTCTTAGAGACAGGAACCTCATGTTTCTCATTTCTAAATCTTCATTGCTAGTATAGTGTCTGACACATCAATGCTCAGTAAATGTTTGTGAATTGAGCCAAATTCCCTTCCTGCTCATGGACTGTGGTCTGGCATCAGACAAACCTACATCTTCTGTTTCCATCTCTGTGCCTGAACTCATACACTTCTTTTACCTGTCAAGCTCCCTCCAGGCTAAGCTCAAATATCATTTCCTCTGTGAAGTCCTGATTCTCTTAGCTAGGATCTCCAGGCATACACTTGTGGACATTATTATATTTTTCCTTTTGTTGCAGTTATTTGTGTATGCCCCATTCCTCCCTTCCTATCTCCCCCAAAGAGCCAGCTAACTGATGGCAAGGTCAAGGTTGCAATCATGTCTGGAGCTAAGTACTAGCTACACGATAGCCTCCAAATAATAGATTCTAGACAGTATGTTTTACTTTGAAGAAATTATACTATGAAATACTGAGAAGCCATTAAAAGGAGATCTAATTACACTAATATAGAAAATCTCTAAGACAAATGTATATATACCCTAAGTAAAAAAGCAAGTAGCAGAATAACAGATGTGATATGAGCCCATTTATATTTTAACCCCTCCACAAACATGTGTCAGCACATACATTTAAAAAAGGAACTAGAAGGATGCACATCAAATAGCTGAGGATGGTTACGTTTGGGCATGGGAGAGAGAAGAGTAAGGGCAATGTCCCACATGTTGCTCTGTATATTTTTGTATTGTTTGGATCTTTTACAATAGAAATTACTTTGGTTATAATTTTTTTCCTGCTCAGATGTTACTTCTCAGGTTATAAAAATAATTTTTAATATTAAATATTACACGAATAAACAAGATATATAGCAATACAAGGGAATGAGTGGGAGGTGTTAAATGAGTTGTGCTAACAGAGCTAAAGGAGCCAACGTGGGGAAAAACTATAAAAGTCCTTGTAGTTGCAGAGGGCACAGGCAGCTTTGTGGAGGAGGTGAAACTTGAGCTAGATCTTGGAGTGGGATTTTTAAACAAGTGAGAAAGGAGGTGAAGGCAGAGGGCCAGATGTTTGGGAAAAATGAATGGACTGATTTGGCTAAAGTAAGGGATTTGGCCAGAGACTAGAGAGAGGTGGCTGGAGAGGGAATTAAGGGCTAGTTGTAGGCCGGGTGCAGTGGCTCACGCCTGTAATCCCAGCACTTTGGGAGGCCGAGGCGGGCGGATCACGAGGTCAGGATATCGAGACCCATCCTGGCTAACACGGTGAAACCCCGTCTCTACTAAAATTACAAAAAATTAGCCAGGCGTGGTGGCGGGTACCTGTAGTCCCAGCTACTCGGGAGGCTGAGGCAGGAGAATGGCGTGAACCCAGGAGGCGGAGCTTGCAGTGAGCCGAGATCGCGCCACTGCACTCCAGCCTGGGCGACAGAGCGAGACTCCAGCTTAAAAAAAAAAAAAAAAAAAAAAAAAAAAAAGGCTAGTTGTGAAGAACCTTGAATGTCAGACTAAGGCAGTGGGAACACATTGCAAGTTTCTAAGCAAAAGGATGACACAGCATACTGCACTGATGTATCAGCAGACTCGAACAGTGTGGTGAAGGTGGAAGGCTATTGTCTTATCCAGGTCTGAGGCTCTGTTCAGGAACCTGAAGGGGAAGAGGAGTGGAGTAGGAGAAGGTGGTAGTAGAAATGGAAAGGGCAAAACTATTAAACACAATATCCACCCACAGGCAGCACAAGCCCATCTGCACCCTGGAGGGACCAGAGAAGGAGCTTTTTCCTTGGATCAAGTTAGAAGAAATCCAAACAACAGAGAAAGGTGAGATGATTCTTGGAAAGATAGGAGAGTTGGCCCACCCCTGGCTGGAGATACAACTTAATCACAGAACCATTGCTAGAAAAGCCTCCACACTCAAAGGTGTCTCTGTCAGTGTGTAGGAGAAACCCTACCACAGTACCTGGGCTTCCAAGACTCATGGGGCACCCACCATGCCCAGCTTGATTAAAGACAATGGTGTTTATTAATTCATCCATTTGTTCATCAAGGTTGCATGACTATTATGTGCCAAAGAATAAGCAGAACACTGCTCTTTAAATGTTCTTAAGTGTTTATTTATAACAGGTTGTTAATAAAGTAAAAGCCTGAGTTGGCATATATAAATTTGGGTTTAAAATTTGATTTTGGTTGAGACAGGGTCTTGCTGTGTCACCAGTGCGGTGGCGCAAACACAGCTCACTGCAGCCTCAATCTCTCAGGCTCAAGCAATCCTCCTGCCTCAGCCTCCTGAGTAGCTGGGACCACAGGCACGTGCCACCATGCCCAACTAATTAAAAACATTTTTTTTTGGCCGGGCACAATGGCTCATGCCTGTAAATCCAGCACTTTGGGAGGCTGGGGTGGGAGGACTGCTTGAGCCCAGGAGTTTGAAACCAGCTTGGGCAACATAGTGAAATCCCATCTCTATTTTTTTTAAATAAAAGTAAAAATATATATATATATATAATATAAACATATAATTGTATATATATCATATAAACATATATTTATATATATATATATATATATATATATATATATATTTTTTTTTTTTTTTTTTTTTTTTTTTTTCTTATAGAGATGGGGCCTCACCATGTTGCCCAGGTTGATCTCAAACTCCTGGGCTCAAGCTATCCTCCCACCTAAGCCTCCCAAAGTGTTGAGGTTATAGAATTGAGCCACCATGCCTGGCCTGGTGTTGTATTTTCAAGGGTATACATACCCCCAGCTGACTAGATGTTTTCTTTCAGGTATGTTTATGCATATATTCATCCAAGAATGAAGCACTTACTTACTTCCTCCACTCTTCCCCTATGGCTGTTCTAATCAAAGAGGTATCATCCCATAAATGCAAGATTTGGCAAAGACAAGAACAGATTCCCCATCTCCTATCTATAACCTAAGGCCAAGAGTGCCCTTTATTACTATATTCAGAACTCAGAAAGAATTCCTGTGGGTTAGAGCCCCAAGCTAAGCCCTCCAAGCCTTAAAAGTCCTTCTATTCAATTCTGTGCTGGGAGGACCCTGAACGATATATGGGATGGAGGGGTGAAGGTGGAAGTGGGGGGAAGCAGGTGCCAGGCGGACAAGCCCATTCTCAAACCTGCTGCCTCGCCTGGATTGACTGCCAGACAGCTCTCAATATGCCTGGTTTGTGAGGAAGGGTGAGGGAAGGAAGGGTACATGGGTAGAACTGGTCAGCCCTCTGCATAGATAGCCAGGGTTTTGGATTGAGTATCCTCTCTTCTACACCATGTTCAGCTCAGAAGCCGGAAGTGCTCCTCAACTAGAGGCCAGATACTCTCTTCTGCAACTCACAGCCAACATGACACACACAAACAGACACTCATCTTCAAGCCTTGATGGTGAATGGTCTCAACCCAACTTCCTCACATCTACACCTCCAACCACTGCCTTCGGTGGCTTTGCTCCCTTTACCTGACTAAATGATTCCATTTCCTCTGTCCTAACCCTCTTCCCTTTTCTCAGGAATTCAGAGTCATTCTTACCCATACCAGCAATCAGGGTCAGGAAACCCAATCAGAAAGAAAAACTTGAAGAGGAAGGCGGGCATCCGGATCCTATCACTCCCCAGTGACCAGCAAGACACTCTCTCTCCAGGTACTGGGTTGGAAAGTGAGAGAACTGAATTCTGGCTCTCCTACCTTCACACTCTTCAGAACTGGAAAAGAAGCTTTTCTGCCAGGCACGGTGGCTCATGCCTGTAATCCCAGTGCTTTGGGAGGCCAAGGTGGGCGAATCACTTGAGGTCACAAGTTCAAGACCAGCCTGGCCAACATGGTGAAACCCCATCTCTACTAAAAATAGAAAAATCAGCTGGGCATGGTGGCACATACCTGTAGTCCCAGCTACTCGGAGGCTGAGGCAGGAGAATTGCTTGAACCTGAGAGGCAGAGGTTGCAGTGAGCCGAGATCACGCCATTGCACTCCAGCTTGGGCAAGAGTGAGACTCCGTCTCAAAAAAAAAAAAAAAAATTAGCAGGGAGTTGTGGTGTGCACTCATAATCCCAGCAACTCGGAAAAGGCTGAGGCACAAGAATCGCTTGAACCTGGGAGGCAGAGGTTACAGTGAGCCGAGATCACGCCACTGCATTCCGGCCTGGGTGACAGAGACTGTGTCTCAAAAAAAAAAAAAGCTTTTCTTAATAATATTACTGCTGCCCAAAGACATGACTCCCTACACTAAGCAGCAGCAATGGAAGGGGTGTCCCCCAACTCTCACTACCCAACGTGGTATACTACAGATGTCCCAAAAGGATTCCACAGCATCCTAGAAATGGATCCCCAGCCCCCTCCCTGAGTTCAGTGGTTTGACCTACTTTTAGCAGATGCCTAAAAACATCGAATGTACTAAATACATACTTGTCAACTTCCTGCTGTAACCAACCTAGGCGCTTGAACTGGAAGTGGTGTATGCAGTGAATCCCCAGAGCCTTTAGACCTTATACCTCAAGGCTGAGAAACCCACACATACATTCATTCTCTGCCACTGCCCCTATACTCTGCAATGAAGGGGAGGGTTTTGCCCTCCATCCCACCTTAGCCAACCTAAGCCCTTCCACTGGCTTTCTACAGGCTCATTTGGGAAGCTCCCTTGCCCAGATTATCCTGAAGTGGACCCTGGGTCCAAGTCTTCCGCCAGTCCATGACTGATGCTATGCATGTTCTGGAAGATGGGATTGCTGTTTGTCCTAAGAGCTGGGTGCTAAGTATCTACCTCCCAGGTTCAGTCTCCTCTTCATCCCCTATCCCCTCAAAAGAACTGGAAGGCTTCAGCAACTGCCACAAGAGGGCTCCCCTCTACTTCCTTCCTGGCATTCTAAATTGAGTACTAAGGGACAGATGGGAATAGGTCATCCTCTTCCCCAAGTTGTTCAGGGGTCCAAAGACCCCCCAGTGGCCCACCATTCAGCTAAAGTCCTCTCCCTTATCATTATGAGAGGTTGTAGCTCTGAAAGATATCTATTTGCTAATATAGAAATAAAACACCTGGCCGGGCGTGGTGGCTCACGCCTGTAATCCTAGCACTTTGGGAGGCTGAGGTGGGCAGATCACCTGAGGTCAGGAGTTCAAGACCAGTCTCACTAACATGGAGAAACCCATCTCTACTAAAAATACAAAATTAGCCGGGTGTGGTGGCGCATGCCTGTAATCCCAGCTCCTCAGGAGGCTGAAGCAGGAGAATTGCTTGAACCCGGGAGCCCAGGAGGAGAGGCTGTGGTGAGCCGATATCGTGCCATTGCCCTCCAGCCTGGGCAACAAGACCAAATTCCGTCTCAAAAAAAAAAAAAAAAAAAAAGAAGAAGAAGAAAGAAAACACTTGGGAAAGATACTCTTATCAGCACCCTGTCACCAAGCAGAACTTTGGAGAAGCCTGGAAGGAGGAAAGTGTCATCTGATCTTGAGGAGTAGGTGGGTAATGTTCAAAGTCATTGGGATTGATAAGACATGTCTGGTTGGAGTAGTTTGAGAGTTATATATGGGTGGAAGCACTGGTCCTTGAGGGTGATGGCCTATTAATAATAGAAGTGCTGAAAAGGAAAATTGGCAGGGGAGGCAGCAGGGAAGTAACTGAATATAAATTATATGCTTCACACTGGTACTTGGGGCTCTCAAACTTATTATATGCCTAAATCCTATCCCTTTCCCACAAAAGCAGGCTGGGAAGACCTCTGTCCTCAAAGCTTAAGAAAATATTAAGATTGGGGAAGGCTTGCCTGGCTCACCCAGACCTCACCCACCCTAAAGGTAGCACCATCCCTTTCTTTGCCTGGAGCCAGACACTGGTAGCAGGGGAGGAACAGAATAGTGGTGGGAGTGCGATGGGAGGATGGAGGCTTTATGGAAAAGGTCTATTCCTCAAGACATTTGTGGGATCTCTGGATGAGGCTTGGCATCCTGACAATGAAAAACCACACGCCTGAAGTAGAGCTGATGCAGGGCCATCAGTTGTAAGAAGGATTAAGGTCATTACACTGCCCAGACGTTTATCCTTCATGTTTATTCACTGCCAAAGTCCAGAACTAGACTAGTGAGGGGGTCTCTGTTCAAACTAGAAGCACCTCATGTGCAAGGCTGAGGAGATCTGAGAGTAGAGGCACATGGGGCCCTCCAAGTTCAGGGCCCTTCAGCCAGTGAAGTCCATACAGTCTACCAACAGGTGAGAAATACAGCTGATTTCAGGTTTAAACCCTTTAGAACTAGAGGAGGAAAGTCACGAAGCCCTCACACTCTGATGCCCAATTCATTTGGGCTCCCCCGCCGCGGGGTATGATGGGAAGAAATAACCAGTGTGGAGTGGCACTAAGTTCCTCCATAACCTTACTCTCTATCAATCAAGTGTGCCTTTTACCCCTTTGCTGAAAGAAGGAGCACTATGGAGAGAGGGACCAGAAACAGGACTCCCCTCACCATGAAACTACTGTCCCACGGCTGCTGCACAGCAAAGATGAAGGTCGGCTCCAAAGCTGCATAAAACAAGTTTAATTTCCAACCAGGGTCACAGTCATCGCGTTATCCCACATTTTGAGCAAGGATAGAGAAGGTGAGTTATTAAACATATACAGTCTACATTCCAGAGGAGGAACTGCAGTTACCACTATAACACCACAGACAAACTTTGGGGTGGGGGGAGCGGGAGTCCTCAGGAAGCAGAAAGCTGGAATCAGGGAAAGCATAAAATTAAACCTACCAGAGAGGAGAGGAGAGGGAGTGGGCAGAAATGGAATGAAACACCCAATCCCAAAAGAGCTGTTAAGTGAATGGGAATGTAGAAAGGACCACCCCTGCCAAGGGCTTAGCAGCCAGGGATACTACCAAGATCACTTACTGCCCCCTGCTGGACAGATCTGGGGCAGCACCAAGGCAACCTCCTAACATTTCCAGCCCCAGATTGGTCCCTGGAGCCCCCAAAAAAACAAGGTGAGGGGTGAGGCCTGAAGTGAGGAAAACCTATTTAGGACTGACATCTAACTAGAGAAAGTCAGGGAATGAGGCAGGAGAAGAGGCAAAGTCCTCATGAACCACAAAGATAGAGTGGAAAATCCTAAGTAGGAAAAAATACATGGAAAAGGGCAAATGAGCAACAGCAGTGAATGAGTTGAGATTGAAAAGGAAAGAGTTCAAGGAAGGAGAGGCAATGGGGCAAGACAAAATAAATCTGAGGAAACAGAGCAAATAAAAAGTATGGAGGGAAGCATCTGTGGGGCCAGGGAAATGAATACATTTTTAAATGAAATAGAACCTCCAACACCCCCCCCACAACCACCACACACAAACACACCCACACCCATATACACACACACTCACACACACACACAGGCCTAGAGAGCAAGATACCTGCACACACCTGCTGCATCCTGGGTAACACATCACTAAGTAACTGGCACTGAGGGAGATACCCCTGGAACCTCTCTTTCACAGTTCAATCTTGGATGGGGTTACTAATATTGATCCATCTGCTATCAACAAAAGTGGCCAGGAAACCTGGCCCCATGGAGTGGGGCTTGGGACAGCCCTACTGGGAAGGGGTCCCTCAGCCATGCTGTGGGGGGCCCTGGGCCCTGACCTTAGCAGGTTATGGGCAGCTGTCTCGGAGCTCAGGGCGCAGCCAGCACACACAGGAGCCCACAGGACAGCCACGTCTTCACAGAAACTACAGAAGTCAGGACCCAGGCGAGGACCTCAGGAACAAGTGCCCCCTGCAGACAGAGAGACGCAGTAGCAACAGCTTCTGAACAACTACATAATAATGCGGGGAGAATCCTGAAGACCACTGCATCCCACAAGCACTGACAACCACTTCAGGATTTTATTTCCTCCACTCTAACCCCCAGATCCATTTATGAGAAGTGAGTGAGGATGGCAGGGGCATGGAGGGTGAAGGGACAGCAAGGATGGTCTGAGGGCCTGGAAACAATAGAAAATCTTCGTCCTTTAGCATATCCTGGACTAGAAAACAAGAGTTGGAGAAGAGGGGGGTTGATACTAAGGTCAGCTATGTCACCCCACTTCCCAGCTCCTCATTAGAATACCCAGTCAGCCCTGGTCAGGCCAGTAGGAGTACTAGGGTGAGAAAATTCTGACCAAGGACAGATGACCCATCCAACCCCTAAGATCAGAAGGGTGGTGGGGCACTGGAAGGCAGGAATGGGATTGGCCCATGCCTCACCTTCTCCTAATAACAAAAGAGAATGAAGATGGAAAACCTCAGGCCTTCGCCTCCCTTCCCCCAATGCCCTGGGTCCCTAACACACACCATGGACTTGCCATCCCCACCCCCCAGTCAAGCTCCAGAGGAACAGATCTGAAGATGGTGGGGAAGGATCAGTTGAACACTCTAAGCTGATAAGAGTGAGTGGGTTCCTCTCTCCTTCCCAACAGTAAGGCAGAGCAGAGTGGCATCTCCTTGGGAACAGTCATCTAGAGATAAATGCCATCCTCCAGCCCTAAGAAGGGTGGAGAGAAGAGTACAAGGAAAATGGTGGTGAAGAATCCATCATCTGTCCTATCATCCAGAAAAACCTACCTGCAGAGAGGAGGGTAACCAGTCAAAGACTGGGGCAGTCCGGCTTGACTAATGCCCTCCCACCTTCTTCCCTTAATCTCACCAACACGGAAGGGGCAGATGACAGGCTCCAGTGGGCAGTGTCCTGGCTGCAAGCCCTGAGCTTCACTCCACCCCCTCCCCGCTCCCCCCGGCCCCCACAAATATATCTCTCTATACATGTATATACAGGCGCACACATGCACGCAAACACAGAGAGGCCCGTGCAATTTCCATGTAAAACAGGGAGAGGGTGGCAAAGGAAAGGCAAACAGGGAGTAGAAGGGCTTGTGGGGACAGGGAAAGGACTCAGATGCCAAGAGGACAGCAACCACTGCCAAACAAAGAGAATACCCCACTCGACCTCCCGAAACCCAGAGGGTGAGAGAGAGAGGGGCCACCCCATGAAACCGTAACAACTTTTTGTTTTAAATCCAGTAAATTGGAATGACTCATCATCAGGACAGCAATTAGGGATTGGTCATATAGGTGGACAGGAAAAAGGAGGGGAGGCAGGGGAGGCAAGGCTCTTGCTGGGCATGTGGACATGATACCCAGGGCCCTGGCCACACTTGCATGGAGAGGAAGGGGTAGGACTGGGGCAGGGTGACAGTAGGTATGTCAGGGGTGGGTGGGGTGCTTTGTTAGGGCTGTCTGGCTTTCACTTCTTGTTTTTGAGCTGATTGGCCAGCCAGTCCAGGCCTTCGTACAGCCCGTCCCCGCTGGTGGCACAGGTGGCCTGAATGTACCAGTTACGGTGACGAAGGGAATGCAGGCCCAGCTTGTCTGTGATCTCAGCAGCGTTCATAGCATTAGGCAGATCCTGGAGCACGTGGGAGACACATAAAAAGAAGCCTCAGGATTTTTTAAAGGCTTCTAGAACACCCATCTACCAAAGAAATGTGTACCAGCACCTTCCCCTCCTCCTTTATTTTAGGAAACCCAGAACAAGATCCTAAGGAGCTACTTTGGATTTAGTCACCTAGAACTCAAGATCCAAAGCACTAGAGGTCACTGTACTGAAGAATTGGAAACCAAATACGAGGATGGTGGGGAAGCAAGAGACGTGATTCAGACTGACCAAAGAATCAGGTCTGTCTGACAGCAGGAGTGAGGCCAATTCTCCTAAAGTAGATAACAG
The DNA here is from genome assembly GCF_000001405.40 of Homo sapiens. Lineage (NCBI taxonomy): Eukaryota > Metazoa > Chordata > Mammalia > Primates > Hominidae > Homo > Homo sapiens. Next base: position 48,939,427 of record NC_000012.12, read on the forward strand.
GCAAGATGAAAGAAAGATTTGAGACAATTCCTGAGGACTGAAATGTTGCTAAATAAAGCTTGGGGTGGGGCACAAGAAGAGGGGCATAAAGAAGCCAAGTGCTCAGTTTCCCACGCTTCTAACATTGAGAGCATACTAAAAGGGTTAACCATATAATAGGCCCAAGAGCCAACAATTTCCACAGCCAGTTTGCTGTCTCCCAAATTCAGGGGTGGGAAGAAGTCTCACCTGTTTGTTTGCAAAGACAAGGAGTACAGCATCCCGGAGCTCGTCCTCCGCCAGCATTCTCATCAGCTCTTCCCGGGCCTCATTTACTCGCTCCCGATCATTGCTGTCGACCACAAATATCAACCCTAGGAAGGCAGAGCATGGGCTGCACTAAGATGACAGGTAACCCCCTCCCCCCAACCAAAAGACCACACCTGCCTGACACCCTCCAAATATTTGCTCCCTTTCCTCCCTTTCTTCTGCCCCCAGGAGCTGCAGCAGGGTAACAGTTGGCCACCCATTAACAAAGACAGCCACACTCTCTGCTCATACCCAACCAACCCACGCTAGGCCTGAGCATACCTTGGGTGTTCTGGAAGTAGTGTCTCCAGAGGGGTCGAATCTTGTCCTGGCCACCCACATCCCACACTGTAAAGCTGATGTTCTTATACTCCACTGTCTCCACATTGAACCCTTTGGAAAAAAAACAGGCAATGGCCACTTGGCCTCAAACACTAGCCCCGCAAACACCACCACAATGAGTTTGGTTCTGCTTTCCCCCAGTGGTGGCCATAACACCAACAATGGAACAAAAGCTAAGGCTTCCTCAGACCTGATAATCGTTAAGCTAGCAGCCTGAAGGCCAAAATGAAAACCTAAGAGAAGTCAAAGAGGATGAGGAAGTTGGTTGAGAGGTTCACAGTTGCCTGGGTAACGTGGGCCAACTTTCCTGACTTTTCCACTCAGTCTTTGGTGCTCCCTCCTACAAAATGACTCAGCCCTGCTCTGGTACTTTGGCTACCAGAGTCGGCCTCAGCTAAGATGTGGGGCCTGAGAGGCAGAGTGAAGAAAGGGAAGTAAGCTGGCATCCTGGAGCCCCAAAGGCAGAGCCAGCTGACAATGCTGACTGGAGCCCCCATCTACATAGCAAATGTAGGGAGACCTCCCTTCAGCAAACTGTAACCAAGATTGGCCACCAAAGATCTAAACCCAAGTAATTCCAAGCCTTTGGCAGGAACATCAAAGCCTTTTACCTGCTTTCCAAACAACACAGAGAAGAAACCAACTCCGTGCCTGAGGGCAGCTGTTGAGTGCCAGGCCATGGAAGTTCCCGCATCAGGGAGAGCCAGGTTAGGTGGGCAAACAGCAGCCTCAGCACCTGGTAGTAAGCTAAACAACACCACCCTCTTTTCTGAACCCCACAAATTGTATGGACTTGCCTGGGGAGAAGAGGCCAGGTTGGGGAACCAGGAATAGGTCCCTGCCCTGCCTCAGCTGCCGGCGTGAAAGCCCACATCCAAGCTGTGCTCTTACCAATGGTAGGGATGGTGGTGACGATCTCCCCGAGTTTCAGCTTGTATAGGATGGTGGTCTTTCCTGCGGCATCCAGGCCCACCATCAGGATGCGCATCTCCTTCTTCCCAATCAGGCTCTTGAGAAGGTTTCCAAAGATATTGCCCATGATCACAGCAGCTGCTTTCTGGGGACAGTGGGGCCCAAGTAGGGGCAGTGGCAGTCTGGTTTTGGCCTGGTCCCTGGTATGGAAGACTTGATCCTAGACAAAGGAAATGTAAAATCATACCATCATTTGCTTGTCAGGACTTCCAAGTAAATAGAATTTCCCAAGGTCATGGCTAGAGTTCATTCATGACAAACGGAGAGCCTGAGGGGACTATAAATACCAAGGCCCACTCAGATACATACTGAGTCTTTGGGAACAGAGACAAAGCAGTAAACACTAAGGATCCCTGCTCTGCCAGTAATCTAACCATGTGACTCTGGGCAAGTTACTTCACTTTTCCATATCTGCACCTGTAAATGGAAGGGGGATTGAACTAGATGATTTCTGAAGTCCCTTCAGTTCTGACATTCTACCCTATACCCAAAGGCATTGTAAGATCATTAATGCCCCTCCCTCCCCTAACCTTACTTACCCTGAGACTTCTGGCAAGGGTGGGAGAGGAGGGAGCGGAATAAGGAGTGGCTCTCTGTGACTCCTGACAAGGTTCAGGCTTGCCAGTTTCCCAAGGTTTATGCTTTCTCCTTTAATCAAGAGACTCTGCCTCTTCCCTTCCTATATTTTTGCAACTCCATCTTTCTTCCACACCAAAATAAAGGAGGAATAAGAAAGCCGCACTCTTAAAAGAAGCCGATCCTTTACACTCTGTGGAATGCCAGCTGCTAATGTTGTGCCCTGTTCAAACAACAGTGCACTGGCAGTAGAGAGGTGGGGTATGGCGGGGCTACCCCTTTACTCCTCAGCTAGGTGCATCCTTGGCTTACTGTGGCCCATCCAAGGAGGGGGCTGTCCCACATGGTCGCTGCAATGAGGCAGTCATCTCATTGGTTCTCTGCTTCTTCCCTAAGCCTTTCGGCCTATTCTCCATATAGCATCTAGGGTGGTTTTAAAACCAAACTCAGGTCATATGAGTCCTTTGTTCAAAACCCACTCGTGGCTTCATAGCTCCTTTTCAGTAAAACCCAAGGCCCAAACCATGGCTTACAAGGTCCTACAAGACCTACACTCCCCTACTTCTCTCATGAGATCTACTACTCTCTCTTTGCTTACTCCACTCCAATTCCCCAACACTTTCCTTTCCTGCCTCAAAGCTTTTTTTTTTTTTTTTTAAAGAGGCGAGGTCTTACCGTGTTGCCCAGGCTGGTCCCAAACTCCTGGGTTCAAGCAATCCTCCTGCCTTAGCCTCCCAGGGCACTGGGATTACAAGCATGAGCCACCATGCCTGGCCCAAAGCTTTCATATTTGCTATCACCTCTGCCTGGAATGCTTCTCTTCCAGATAACCATCATAGATTACTCCTTCACCTCCTTCAGTTAGTTGTCTGTTTCAATGTCACCTACCAAAGAGGCCTCCCACAACCACATGTATAACACACACACACAGACACACACCACTCCCTACCCCATTTATCCCACTTTACTTTTCTTCACAACATTTATCACCATCTGATACATTATATATTTATTTCTTGCTGATTGTTTTATTCTGCCTAAGATATCAGCTCCTTATGTGTTTTGTTCACTGCTCTGTCTCCAGTACCAAGAATAGTGCCTAGCACACAGTACTTCAAAAACTGAACTAATCCCCAGGGTCTCTACTGACTTTACTGAAAGCTCACTCAGACTGGATGCTATGCCTGGCATATGGTAGGCACATAACAAATACCTGCTGAGGCCGAGCGCAGTGGCTCACGCCTGTAATCCCAGCACTTTGGGAGGCCCAGGCGGGTGGATCACCTGAGGTCAGGAGTTTGAGAACAGCCTAGCCAACATGGTAAAACCCCATCTCTACTAAAAATACAAAAACTAGCCGGGCATGGTGGCACACTCCTGTAGTCCCAGCTACTCGGAACGTTGAGGCAGGAGAATCACTTGAACCTGGAAGGTGGAGGTTGCAGTGAGCCGAGATCACGCCACTGCGCTCCAGCCTGGGTGACAGGGCGAGAATCCATCTCAAAATAATAATAATAATAGTAATAACAACAACAAATACCTGCTGAAAGGATGAACAGGACCAAAAGAATCATTATGAAGGTATAAAATGTCTATCTGCTCACCCCAGCCATTGCCCCAACAGACAGAATCAGATTCATTCATTCATTCCCTTTCTTCTTCCCTCTCTTCTCTATGGCACAGGATAGCCACAGAAATGCATCTTTGAAACAATAATAAAATGAGGATTCAGAATCACCCATACAAACCAGTTCTCTGTGCCTGCAGGAGGCATGTGTCAGCGGGCAGCTTATTCAGCAATCACCATATGCCAGCTGCTGGCATTCTCTAGAGTCTGGGAACCAGAGACACACACACACCCCAAACTCAGCAGCCAAAGGGACAGGTCAAGACAAAGTGCGCCCAAACCCAAGAATGTGAAAGGTGGACGGGGAGGAATCCTATTTACAAGCTAACGCATGGGGGTTTGGTGGGAGTTTGGTTGTTTTTACAAAAACTTCTGACATTTCCCCCACCACCCTTCTCAGTTTGCAGCAAATTCCAGACTAGTGCAACTGAGCCAGATCAACAGTCCCTGAAGACCAAAGTACTAGTTTGTCCGAAAAAACAGAAACAATGAGTGCTTATGAAGTGTTTCATCTTCAAAAGGCCTCCCCAGACAGCCACTAATGAGCCAGGCGTGGCACTCTCAGTAGGTTCCCCAGATGAGCCCTACCCCTGACCTAGAGGGTTCACACACCAGGAAGAAGGGCTAGCTCAACCTTAGGGTTCAACTTCAGTCAAGCCACCCGCTAGCCTTCCTCCCTACTCTTCCTGCCTCAACCCACCCAGGTGGACAGACTCCTGAGGACCCCTGAGCGACCTACCCAGCTAAGAACAGCTCTCACCAACCTTGGCAATTTGTAGTAGTGACTTTTGGTCATACTACTAACACCTCATGAAATTTAAACCTTTCCCAAGTCTTCCTAGTCTTCTAGCCTTTATTCTGCCTCTTGCTCAGGCAGCCTTTCCTTCAGCTCCAGATGACACTTTGCTTTAAAGGTTTGGTATCAGGCTTTGGCCCAGATTCTGAATTAAATTTATGCCACACATTTATCTTGCTGTCCTTTATGACTGAAACTATTGCTGATTAAATGCTTACCAACTGTGAGTATAGTGGTGGCTGAAAAAGATATAACTAGCCAATATGCCTTGCCCCAGAACACAGGTACACTGTCCTTTGATTTGCTTCTTTGCTCGGCTGTCATGCTGAAGTCCTGGTTCAAAAGCTGATCCCAGTGTTACACCTATTATTTCCTGGCATGCCACATCAAGGCCTTACTTTGAATGACCTTAACCACTCAATGTGGCACTTACTACCTTGTCGAGTTTTTCTTCTTTTATAAGTCTGTGTATTTACTGCTTCCCACGTTAAGCTGTGTATTCCCTATGTGCAAAGACTATGTCTACTTATTTTGAATCTGTCCTCCCTCTAGTGCCAAGTAGATTGTGGGAGTTCAATTAAGCACATTGGCTGATTTAAGCCTCATCTGAGGATGTCCTTATATTATTTCTTCTGTCCAGTAGGATTTGGTATCTCTGTGTAATGCACAGCGAGTTGCTTAGCTATCCTGTCCATTCTCAGCCATTTTCCACACATATTTGACGCAGGACTGGTTTGGGAACAACATAAAAGGACTAGAAGACTAGAATTGGTGGGATTCTCTCTTGCCATTTAATATACAGTGGGACTGATGAATAACTGATAAAATATCTAAATAGCTGGCCAGGCATGGTGGCTCATGCCTGTAATCCCAGCACTTTGGGAGGCTGAGGTGGGCGTATCACCTGAGGCTGGGAGTTTGACACCAGCCTGGCCAACATGGTGAAGCCCCATCTCTATTAAAAATATAAAAATTAGCTGGGCATGGTGGTGCGCGCCTGTACTCAGGAAGCCGAGGCAGGAGAACCGCTGGAATCCAGGAGGCAGAGGTTACAGTGAGCTGAGATCATGCCGCTGGCACTCCAGCCTGGTTGACAGAGGAAGACTCTGTCTTAAAAAAAAAAAAAAAAAAAAAAGGCCGGGCACAGTGGCTCACGCCTGTAATCCCAGCACTTTGGGAGGCTGAGGTGGGTGGATCACCTGAGGTCAGGAGTTCGAGACCAGCCTGGCCAACATGGTGAAACCCCGTCTCTATTAAAAACCCAAAAATTGGCCGGGTGCGGTGGCTCACACCTGTAATCCCAGCACTCTGGGAGGCCAAGGCGGGCGGAACACGAGGTCAGGAGATCGAGACCATCCTGGCTAATACAGTGAAACCCTGTCTCTGCTAAAAATACAAAAAAATTAGCCGGGTGTGGTGGCTACTCGGGAGGCTGAGGCAGGAGAATTGCTGGAACCTGGGAGGTGGAGGTTGCAGCGAGTCGATATCATGCCATCACACTCCAGCCCGGGCAGACAACAGCAAGACTCTGTCTCAAAAAAAAAAATTAGCTGGGCGTGGTGGTACATGCTTGTAGCACCAGCTACTCCAGAGGCTCAGGCAGGAGAATCGCTTGAACCCAGGAAGCAGAGGTTGCAGTGAGCCGAGATCACGCCACTGCACTCCAGCCTGTGTAACACTGAGACTCCATCTCAAAAAATAAATATCCAGTAGCTATCATGTATCTCCCTGGCACAGCCCAGGACCTTGAAACTAATGGATGTTATGACTCCTCCTCTTTATTTATTTATTTTTTTTGAGACAGTCTCGCTCTGTCACCCAGGCTGGAGTGCAGAGGCAGAGGTTGCTCACTGCAACTTCTGCCTCCCAAGTTCAAGTGATTCTTGTGCCTCAGCCTCCCGAGTAGCTGGGATTACAGGCATGTGCCACCATGCCTTGCTAATTTTTATATTTTTAGTAGAGACGGGGTTTTGCCATGCTGGCCAGGCTGGTCTCAAACTCCTGGCCTCAAGCAATCCACCTGCCTTGGCCTCCTGAAGTGCTGGGATTACAGGCACGACCCACCACGTCTGGCCATGACTTTTCTTTAAGTATAATCTGGAGCTTGACTTAAATGAGCATTTCAAAGGGGATGCTGGCTTTCTTGTCTTGGTTTTCCCTGTCCCTTGCTAATACCAGAGAGCATGCTGCCCTACCACCAAGATGGTAGCAGCTTTCTGCTTTGTGCCATGAATACAAATCTCTGGCTATACAGCCTATTCTCACTTTCACAATACATTCCTAAAAAAGCACTAGGAAGCAGAATGGCAAAGCAAACAAACCATGAATTGTTTCTCCATGTATTATATAGCCTATAGTTACTCTCTTTCACCACAGATGGTACTCCTGTGTTTATAGGGCAAAATGCCAGGGTTCCATTGGCTGTTGGATACCAAGAATAAGCAGTTAAGACTGAAAGTGAGTGGCTCAAGATGAAAAATGGAATATACTAACATCTCTGTTAAAAAGATATCTGCAGGTTCTGTTTTACAGTCAGAAACTTTATTATCACAGGTAAAAATAACAATAGGAACCCAAATATGTGCTCTAGTACAATCTGTGTGGGACACTGTAGGAATTCAGTTAAGCACATCAGTTGATTTAAGCCTCATCTAAGGATATCCTCACTTGAGGACAACTCACTGCTCCCACCTCATCCCCCCAGGAGAAGCAGGCTGTTGCTGTAACTGGCTACTCAGCCATCTTTCCTTACATATGTTGCAGGAACGTGCCTGCCTCAATCTCCAGGTGCTTTTGAGAGTCACACATCCCAGTCGGCCACACATACTCCCTCTACCTGATTCCAGTGAATGATCCAAGAATGTGCTATGAGACACCTCTGAGGGGACTCCTGATCTGGCACTACCTCCTCCTCTTCAGCGTCCAGGGGAAGGAAGACCAGGGTCTCCCAAACCCTCTGCTGCCAGGCAGAGTGCAGTAAAAACAGCTTTGTTCTTAGATAATTTTCAAATTGAAATATCACTAAGAGATGCTATTTTTAGCACAGCTAACCAAACAGACCAATACAATTTAAAGAAACAAAAGCAGAGTACGCCCGTACTGAGTTTTCTTGGTGCAGCTGGCTCGTGACCTGTGTAAACTCCAAGTTTTTGTCTCAAGAGCACTGAAATCAGAACATAAGAACTCCTAGATGATATCTGAACTATTTCGACTAGACTTAAAGATTTCCCAAAGTTAAGAAATAGCTTCTGATACCAGCTTTCATCCATTCATCAAACTTTTTTTTTTTTTTTTTTTTTGAGACAATCTCGCTCTCTCGCCCAGGCTGGGGTGCAGTGGCGCAATCTCGGCTCACTGCAACCTCCGCCTCCCAAGTTCAAGCGATTCTCCTGCCTCAGCCTCCCGAGTAGATGGGACTACAGGCGCATGCCACCACACCTGGCTAATTTTTTGCATTTTTAGTAGAGACAGGATTTCACCATGTTAACCAGGATGGTCTTGATCTCCTGACCTTGTGATCTGCCCACCTCTGCCCCCCAAAGTGCTGGGATTACAGGCGTGGGCCACCGTGCCTGGCCTCATTCATCAAACATTTATTGGGCATACTGAACTAGGGATACAGAGAGGGAGACAGTTTCTGCCTTCATGAAACTCAGTCTTTAATGGAAAAGACTAGTGAAGACAGGACTACAAAACAGTGTGAGAGTAAGAGTAAAGCACATAGTATTATGTGAACAGAAAGCTGGAGCAGTAAATCAACACTGAAGGGTAAAGGGTGATTCTGAAACCTAATTCTCAGGTCATACCTGAGCTGGCTCCTAAAGGAAGACGAGGAAGTAATCAGACAATAAAGAGGGAGTTGGGCAGGGGAAGTGTGTGCAAAGGCATAAAGACTGAGCCAGGCACAGCAGGACACACCTGTAATCCCAGCACTTTGGGAGGCTGATGCAAGAAGATTGCCTGAGGCCAGGAGTTCAAGGCCAGCCTGGGCAACATGGCAAAAGCCCATCGCTACAAAAAAAAAAAAAAAAGCTGGGTGTGGTGGTGCACGCCTGTAGTCCCAACTACTCAGGAGGCTGAGACAAGAGAATCACCTGAGCCCAGGAAGTTGTGGCTGCAGTGAGCCATGATCACGCCACTGCACTCCAGCCCAGGTGACAGAGTGAGAGAATATGTCTCAAAAAAAAGAAAAAGAAAAAAAGACCTAAGTTTCAGATAGCACTTTAAAAAAATTTATATAATCTTTTTTTTTTTTTTAAAGAGATGAGGTCTCACTCTGTCACCCAGGCTCACTGCAGCATCCAAATCCTGGGCTCAAACAATCCTACTGCCTCAGCTTCCCCAGTAGCTAAAAAGACCTACGGGCCCAAATCATCGTGACGCAGCTAACTTTTTTATTTTTATTTTTGGTAGAGATAGAGTCTCACTTTGTTGACCAGGTTGGTCTCGAACTTCTGACTTCAAACGATCCTCCAGTCTCAGCCTCCTAAAGTGAAGAGTACAGGCAAGGTGTGGTAGCTCACGCCTGTAATCCCAGCACTTTGGGAGGCCGAGGTGGGCGGATCACAAGGTCAGAAGATCAAGATCAGCCTGGCCAACATGGTAAAACCCCGTCTCTACTAAAAATAGAAAAATTAGCCGGGTGTGATGGTGTGGGCCTGCAATCCCAGCTACTCAGGGTGCTGAGGCAGGAGAATTGCTTGAACCCAGGAAGCAGGGGTTGCAGTGAGCCAAGATCACATCACTGCACTCCAGCTTAGGTGACAGAGTGAGACTCGGTCTCAAAAAAAAAAGAAAGAAAGAAAATGATGAGGGATGGGGCTGGAGAGATAAGCAGGGACTGGATCATGAAGGGCTTTAAAGGCCATGCTGAGTAACGTGATCAGGTATGTGCTTTAGAAGTTTCAGGAGTAAATTAGAAAGGGGAAAGACTGGAGGCACAGACACTGCTTAGGAGGTATAGTAATACAGGTGAGAAATCGCAAGTTGTCAACTACAAGTGGAGATAGAGAGAAGAGGACAGATTTGAAACATCAAAATGGTAGAATCCACAGGATTTAATGAGTGCTTAAATGTACGCAGAAGAGTAGAATAATCAAAGATGATTCCCAGGTTTCTGGCCTAGGGCTGGGTGGCATTTCTTCAGAAAGAAAATACAAGAGGAACAGATCTGAAGGTGAATATGTATGTTTGTTTGTTTGTTGTTGTTGTTGTCTGAGACAGAGTCTCGCTCTGTCGCCCGGGTTGCAGTGCAGTGGCGCGATCTCGGCTCACTGCAAGCTCTGCCTCCCGGGTTCACACCATTCTCCTGCCTCAGCCTCCCGAGTAGCTGGGACTACAGGCGCCCGCCACTACACCCAGCTAATTTTTTGTATTTTTAGTAGAGACGGGGTTTCACCATGTTGGCCAGAATGGTCTCGATCTCTTGACCTCATGATCCACCCACCTCGGCCTCCCAAAGTGCTGGGATTACAGGCATGAGCCACTGCACCTGGCCTGAACATGTTTGTTTTTATTATTACTGTTGTTTTTAGAAACAGAGTCTCACTCTACCACTCAGACTAGAGTGCAGTGGCATGATCATGGCTCACTGCAGCCTCCATCTCCTGGGCTCAAGAGATCCTCCCACCTCAACCTCCCAAGTAGCTAGAACTACAGGTGTGCATCACCATGCCTGGCTAATTTTTAAAGTTTTTTTGTAGAGACAAGGTCTTGCTATGTTACCCAGGCTGGTCTCGAACTCCTGACCTCAAGCAGTCCTCCCACCTCAGCCTCCCAAAGTACTGAGATGACAGGCATGAGCCATTGTGCCTGGCCCCTCAATCTTAGAAAAGGACCTATGGCAATGTTCTCTTGTCCAGCCTTTGGATGTTGATGATGTAGAAGGATGAGAAGCTAGAATAATCTGGAGACCATAAAGAGAGGGAGACAGACATTAAAAACTCCAGGATGTCAGAGCAGAAAAATGGGAAAAACTCAGTTGGGTCCTTAATTACAGTATCAAGCTGGTAAACTAAACTTTTTCTTTTTTAGAGATGGGGTCCCACTATGTTGCCCACGATGAAATACAATGGCTATTCACAGGTGCCCTCATGGTGCGCTACAGCCTCAAATTCTTGGGCTCACGCAATCCTGAGTAACTGGGACTATAGGCATGCACCACCACGCCTGGCATCTTTCGTTTTCTGAGATGGGTCTTGCTCTGTCACCCAAGCTGGAGTGCAGTGGCGTGATAGTGGCTCACTGCAGCCTCCACCTCCCAGGCTCGAGCAATCCTCCCACTTCAGCCTCTGGAGTAGCTGGGACTACAGGCATGCACCACCACGCCTGGCTAATTTTTGTTTAACTGAAGTTTCGCCATGTTGCCCAGGCTAGTCTCAAACTCCTGGGCTCAAGTGATCCGCCCACCTCGGCTTCCCAAAGTTCTGGGATTACAGGCATGAGCCACTGTACCCGACTGGCTTCTTTTTTTTTAAATCATAGTAAAATATACACAAAATTTACCATTCTAACCATTTTTTTAAGTATACAATTCAGTAGCGTTAAGTACATTCACACTGTAGTGTAACTATCACAACTATTCATCACCTCAACTTTTTAATCTTCCCAAACTGAAACTGTACCTGTTAAACAGAGGATCCCCAATCCCCCTGTCCCTCCAGCCCCTGGCAACCACCATTCTCCTGTCTCTATGAATCTGTTACTCTAGGTACTTCATAGAAGTAAAATTGTACAATATGTGTTCTTCTGTGTCTGCCTTTTTGTTTTTTTTTTGAGACGGAGTTTTTGCTCTTGTTGCCCAGGCTAGAGTGCAATGGCGCAATCTCGGCTCACTGCAACCTCCATCTCCTGGGTTCAACCGATTCTCCTGCCTCAGCCTCTCAAGTAGCTGGGCGATTACAGGCACCTGCCACCACGCCCGGCTAATTTTTTGTATTTAGTAGAGACAGGGTCTCACCATGTTGGTCAGGCTGGTCTCGAACTCCTGACCTCAAGTGATCCACCTGCCTCAGCCTCTCAAAGTGCTGGGATTACAGGCGTGAGCCACTGCACCCGGCCTATGTCTGCCTTTCTACTAGATGTCTTGCTATATGATTTAATAAATCCTCTCAGCGTTTTAGACACGTGTGTTTTCTATTTTTGCAACTAATACATCCTAACTGATATATCTAGGGATAGTGTACACAGTGGGATAGAAGAAAAGGGCAAAGGCAGAAACCTGCCTGACATTTCAACATTTAAAGTAGTGGGAGCCAGGCGCGGTGGCTCATAGCTATAATCCCAGCACTTTGGGAGGCCAAGGTGGGCGGATCACCTGAGGTCAGGGGTTTGAGACCAGCCTGGCCAACATGGTGAGACCCCATCTCTACTAAAAATACAAAATTAGCTGGGCATGGTGGGGCATTCCTGTAATCCCGGCTACTCAGGAGGCAAGACTGGAGGACTGCTTGAAGCCAGGTGGTGGACGAAGGTTGCAGCGAGCTGAGATTGCACCATTGCACTCCAGCCTCGGTGACAAGAACGCAACTCCATCACAAAAATAAATAAATAAATAAATAAATAATAAATAGGCCGGGCGCGGTGGCTCATGCCTATAATCCCAGCACATTGGAAGGCCAAGGCGGGCGGGTCACCTGAGATCGGGAGTTCGAGACCAGCCTAACCAACATGGAGAAACCCTGTCTCTACTAAAAGTACTAAATTAGCCAGGCGTGGTGGCGCACGCCTGTAATCCCAGCTACTCCATAAGCTGAGGCAGGAGAATGGTTTGAACCTGCGAGGTGGAGGCTGCTGTGAGCCAAGATCGTGCCATTGCACTCCAGGCTGGGCAACAAGAGCGAAACTCCGTCTCAAAAAAAAAAACTAATTAAAATAAATAAATAAATAAATAAAATAGCGGGCAGAAAAGCAGGCCAGGAAAGAATAAGAAGCAACCAGAGAGGCAGAAGGGAAATCAAGAGAGCAAGACATCATAGACACCAATGGGGATAGAACATACAAAAGAAAAGAGGGAGGATCCAAAGCTAGAGTTTTGGTGTAAACTAAAACGTACCTAACTAAATAAGTTCCTATTAGCTCAATTAGTGGTGTTTAGGCTCAGGCCAGAATTGTTATGCCAGCTTCCCATCTAGGCAAAGAACAATCCTGGAAAAGACTCCAGGACACGCAAACCTGAAGGACGCCACAGCTGTGAAGTGAAGAAGGATCCCGAACCGCCCTGTCTGATGGAGACCCAAAACGCCTGGGAAGGGTCTGGCTTTTACCACAGACAACCCTTAGCAAGTGAGTCAGAAAAGATGACAAGGTCTGTTTTAGAATCCTAGTCAGATAAAACAGTGACAAGATAAAAACTAGACTCATTTGTTTCTTTGGAACATTCTGTGGTACTGCCCTCTGCCCAAAAATTACAGCTTGCCTTGTTCTTAGAATCTGACCAGCTTACAACCACTACAGCTCCTGATATTCTATGGCTGTACCAATCCAATGCCCACCTCTACAGTCTTGGATATCCAGAACACTATAAATTCCTAATCACAAAATCACTGAAAGTCCATCAATAGCCTAGACTCCTAATAATCTTCTGCCCCTAATCTGGTCCCATTGTGCAAGTCAAGATGGAGCTGACAGTAAACTGCTTAAACAGGAAGACATGATGTGGACAAGGCCAACCATTATACAGAGCAGCCTAAGGACACAGAGGAACAGAGAACTGCCTACTTAGGGAATAAGAGTTACCTGCGATCCCTCGGCATCCCAAACACACTTCTACTCTAGGACTTGCTGCAGTATTCACGTTTGTCTGTTTTGCTTTCCAGAGCTGCAACTGCCCAATGTGCCTCTAGTGCATTACAGGTCAGCTGGAGATACTGATCCTATCAGCCACTGGATGGCTGGGCAGGGCTTGGGGTGGCTACAGCCCTTGGGCCAGCCATCTCAGATTTCAAGTCTCACTATTACCATTTTTTGTGTATACCATGATGAGAAAAAGGCTGGAAAGTACCTCACTAGACTGTGAGCTCTTTGCCAGCACAGACTATGCCTTATTCATATTTCACGTCTCCAGCATCCAGCACCAATGACTGACCTATAGCTAGTGACTGACAGGCGTGTTGAGAACGGTTCTACTGAGGGTGGCAAAACACTTGTGGGGTTGAAGAAGACTGTATTCTATAGGTGGTCTCTGATCCTTTTCCCTGTATCTGACAAACTGAAGAAATGGTTTCCATGTCCTCAGAGCCCACAGGTTCTGCTTGAAGAGAGGAGAGATCATGTGAGGGGCTGTAATTATACCCCACCCCCATTTTCCACCACCAGTAGAGAGTAACTCCACTTTTGTCCATTTTATGTATTAGAATTCAAATAAAATTTTATTTAAGGTTTGACTATTTTTTTTTTAAAAAAAGGACATAAACCATTGCAACAGAGAGCAAATGCTCTCCTACATCTTAAGCTCATGCTGAAGTTTAAGCATTCACGCTTGACACTCCTGTGCATAAGCTAATAAAGGAAGGATTATGCCAGGCTTTCAGCAGTAATGGGAGAACTAAAAGGTACCAAGAGACCTGCCACACCCAGTCATCTCAACTTTCTTCAGGAATATGGTAATAATGGTGGATCTCTAACATTCTGAGCCATTTCCTTTCTGGTCCACATGGTGTGGCAGATCCTTTGCATAAGTCCATGGTAAAGCTCTAACACATTCATGAAATCCCTACTTTAGTCAGTTCTTTACCAGACTATAATATGAAACCTTCAAACATCTGTGGGACCCTTTCCAAACGCTCCTCATGTCTTTTCATTATCAAATAGTTTTATTAGCACTCTATCTATATTTGCAACAGATGTTCAAGTGAAGAAGGTACGGTAGACAGATAATTCTACAGATATCACAATTTCTAGGCCATGATATTCTGAAACAGATACTCAAAAGCAGACATTTTTTATTAAGATTGGACTAAATGAAAAGAGTGGACTAAATGAAGATCCCCATATACTGACTGAGACCTAAAATAAGGGCATCTAGGAATCTAAATCCCTGACCTAGGTCATCAGGGTGCTCTTTTCTGGAAGAGTGAACCATTATCTCAGAGTCACACTGACTTTTCTAATATGAATACTATTCTTGTGCCCCCATATCTTCACCCTACATCCAAATTGATGGTTCAGGGCCCCTGCCTTGCTCCAGCTTCACCTCCCACTCAGGCAGCAGGAGCTGTCTCTGCGATGCTGATGCTGAAGCTGAAAAAAGATTTCGCTGCTCATAAGCCTACGACCAGCACAGAAACTCATGGTAACAATCATCCCTCTACACAAGCACCTCAGGCAGCAAGTTGTTCTTCTGTAAACCTCTTTTCCTCTAAGGCAGCCCTGAGTGTTCATATTATTAGGATTATGATAATGGATTATTAATAGCAGCTAACAGTTATTTGGTACTTACTATATGCTTTGTACAATACCAGGTGCTTTACATTTATCTCATTTAATTCTACTGACAACCAAAAAAATAATAATTCTCTTGAAAACCATATGTCATTACCTTCTTTACAGATGAAGAAAATAAAGAGAGAAGACAAGCAATTTTACAAGAAACATGCAACTGGTAATTAGCAGAAGCAGGATTTGAATCTAATTTTGTCTGATTCCAAGATCCACTCTTAATTACTATACCATTCTG
This sequence comes from Homo sapiens, assembly GCF_000001405.40. NCBI lineage: Eukaryota > Metazoa > Chordata > Mammalia > Primates > Hominidae > Homo > Homo sapiens. The sequence goes on from NC_000012.12 coordinate 48,954,703, forward strand.
CCTCTAAATTTACCTCAACAAAAATGGTGAGGAGAGTTCAGGCATGGTGGTTCATGCCTGTAATCTCAGCACTTTGGGAGGCCAAGGTGGGAGGATATATTGGAGCCAGGAGTTTGAGACCAGCCCTAGCAACACAGTGAGATCTCTACAAAAAGTAAAAAAAAAAATTCGCTGGGCATGGTGGCACACGCATGTGGTCCCAGCTACTTGAGAAGCTGAAGTACAGGATGGCTTGAGGCCAGCTCGAGGCTGCAGTGAGTTATGATCACACCACTGCCCTCCAGCCTGGGTGGATAAAAATAAAGGTATATAGGGAAGCAGATTCTACAATTTCCTTCAGTTACATACTCAACTTTAACCAACCTGGTTTTAAAGAAGTTCCTCCTTCTAACCAATAAATCCCACCCTCTATCCTGAGTCCACTTCCTCTTATTATGACTCTAGTGTAAAAGAGTAGGGTGAACACACACTACAATATGACTCTTTGTGCACTTAGTATTTCACTCACTTCCACTCTTTCCAGTCTGCTCTCCTTTATACTTGCATTCAGTATAATAATAGCAGCTACCATTCACTGGTACCAATTCTGTACCTGACACCACACATATACATATATTGGTCCCTCCTCCAAACTCTCCAGGATCCCAATTCATATATAACACTTTGAAAGACTTAGGTCTGATGGAGAGACCCCTTTGCCCACAATGGGGAAGCAGGAAATCTGGGACTGCAGATAATGACTCTGTGTTCTAGTAATATTTTTCTTTTTGGGTCTTAAGTTTCCATTATCTATGCCTATTCTGTGCCTCTTAGGAAGGCAGAGACACAAAAACTTCTTAATTACAAAGGCTAAGGGTCTTTGTACCCTTGCTAAGCTATTTCCAGGCACTTCTGCTGACAGCCAAGCCATCTCTTGCCCTTTCCTTAAACTACAGTTAGAAAGCTTGTTGAGTTCTATCTATTTACATTCTAAATTCATCATGGGTACCTACTGTTTGCATGGGCATTGTGGAAGAGGAGACGAAATCCAGTTCCTGCAGTCGAAAAGCGTCTAGTCTCTTTGGAAAAGCAAGATAGACAACTATAAAAATTCTAACTATGCAAGGTAATAATTCTATGCTGGGAAACAGGACGCATGTGAATATGTGATACATGGGAGCCTTTCCTGGCTGAATCCAAGGTCAATCATTCATTCGGTGAAAAGCTGAACCTTAATGGATTAGTTTCTTTCTTAGAATGAACTTTTACAGACATGTTTTTCAAACTCAAGTCCAATGGGCTATGATAATCCACTGTCCCATAACACTGTCCCATGTCCCAAGTCACGGCAAGTGGAAACACCTACCCCAACAACAAGCCCAAGACAAAATAGCAGCAAAGACTGTTACTACCTACCTGATTGAGGACAGGGAAGGAGGTATGCAGCGACTAGATTCTGTCCTGTTGCACTGACCCAAGCAATCAGACTCTTGCAGCAGATCTCCTCCCAATAAAACTTTCATGCCATAGACCAGGGGTGACCCAATCCAACAACAGCAGAGACAGGTTTTAGGTTACATTTCTCCCTCACCGGGACGGCCTTACTATTTCTTCTCACTCCTGACCACATACCACAATCCTCCACCTCCACCACCACATTCCTCCTGGCCTGGAAAGATGGAGACCCGCCTTAATGCAATCAAGACGGGAATTCCCCCAAAATAACAGCTACCACTTTGCTAATCAAGTGGCCCGTTTTAACAGGGAACTCCACCTCCCCAACTCCCGCCCCTTCCCTCAAACGATTCGCGTAAGCAATGGCTCCATTTTCTGTTCCGGGAATCCTGGTACTTCCTAAAGAAAGAAAGCGGATTGGAAGACACAAACTGAGGGCCAGTGACAAGATGCTCCCTCCTCCTGTGAGACCGCCCCCGCTCCGCCTGGGGAGGAAGGCCCCACCTCTCTTCTCCCAGGAAGATCAGATCCCCCTCCTCCTTCTCCTGCCTCCTCTCCACCCTCTCCCCACTTGCTGCCCTCTTCCCAACCTGCGGTTCCCTAGACTCGAAAGCGCAACCTCTACCACAATAGCGCCCATGTGGTGCCCCAGCAGCCTGCCCTGTTGGCTAACCCCCAACCCCCCTACGCACCCCTGCCCTATGATGGGGGAGGGGGTGTAACCACAGCAAGGCTTCTCTCCCGTCTCCTATTGCTAAGGTGGGGGAGGGAGAGGGAGTAGAAGAAAGCAGCATTCCCTAGCCCTTTAACAGAAAAGATACAAACAGCCATCACCGCCCCCTCATCACCTCTCCTCGGACGGTTTTCCTCTCCCTCAACAGCACACCTCCTGCAGGCGACAACCTAACTGCAGCCCAGGTCGCCCCCTTGAGCGAGGCGGAGGACAAATCCGTGTGCGCCCCCCACCCCCACCCCAGCTCTGCGTCCTTCAAATGCGGGGGCAGGCGTGAAGCTGGCCCGACGCACCCTCTCTGAGCTCTCGGGTGGGAAGAATCCCACCGCCCCACGCCAAGCAGTGCCGGGCGGGGCCCGGGAGGCGCTCTATCTCCTCAGCCCTCACCCTGACCGAGCCTCTTCTCTACCGGGACCCGCCTTCCCTTCCCAGCCTCTCACCTGTTCCTGCTATCAGCTGCGCCGCTGCGGCCGCCGCCTCTGCCCCGCAGGTTCCGCTCCGCTCCCTCTGGCTCCCCAAGCCGACTTCAGCCCGGCTGCTGCCCTGGCCCACTCCCCGGCTCCCTCCTTCCTTCCCTCCACCTAGCACCGGAAGCCGCGACGGCGACTGGAGCTGTGCGGCGTACCCCCACCCCCAGCCCGGGATACTTCCCACCTCCCCGATCGCGCGATAGCTGCGCGGTAGCTAGCGGCAGTTCTCGCGAGACCCATCACCATGGCAGCGGCTGCAGCACCGGCGGCCGGGCGCTGGAGCTGGAGTCAGGGCGGGGGCAGGTGTGGGGGCTGTGGGCGGCGGAGGCGGGAGCCGTGAATGGGGATGAGACAGTGAGGACTGAGGTGACAATCCCAAGCTCCAGGGTTGTGCCTGGAATTTAAGGACTGAGGCGGCAAGTTGGCTGCGTAGGAGACGGGCTGGGCTGCGGGGCCCAGGGGCTCCTTGGGCAAAGCCAGCATCGGGATATGGGTGAACAGTCGTTGCTGTGGCATGCCTTACCCAGCCAGACTTCATCTTTATTTCTTAATCTGGGCTAGCTGCCATCCCCTGAAAGCCCTCACCGCACCATTGTTGTTGCTCACTATTCCTGAGACTAGATTACTGTGGGGTCTGAATCAAGAGATCCTTTCCCATAAGGAAGAGGAAGGAGAGTGATGAACTTAAGAGGCTAAAGGAAAACAGCTGGACTCTGAGCCAGTTAAGTTGGAACTTGAAAGACGGAGAGTGGAAACCTAATATTCAGAAGTGTGGTTTGAGGAAGTGTGCCTAGATGAGTAGGGATTTTAGTATCCCAAGGAAAGGTGAAGGACTTTGCACCCATATTTCTTGCTTCCTACCCACTCCTACTTCCCTCACACTCCGTTTTGCACCTGGTCTAGACATGCAGAACTGCCTTGAAACAAAAATAGCTGTGATAGAAGGGCACTAGTAATGCTAAGAACAGAAGGTTCCTTTTTTTTTTTTTTTTTTTGAGACAAGAGTCTCACTCTGTCGCCCAGGCTGGAGTGCAATGGCACCATCTTGGCTCACTGCAACCTCTGCCTCCCGGGTTCAAGCGATTCTCCTGCCTCAGCCTCCTGAGTAGCTGGGATTACAGGCGTGAGCCACCGCGCCCGGCCAATAGAAGGTTCTCTAAGTGCCCTCTCTCCTCATTTACAGCAGTATAAGGGAATGAACACATGGCTCTTCCCTAAGGCTTGAGCCCAAATTGTTGCTCTTATGAATTTATTGCCTTGGTTGATTTTGTTTGTTTGTTTCCTTGCTTCCAAGAAGAACTAAGCTGGGGCCAGGCCCTGTGTTCACACTTGTAATCCCAGCACTTTGGCAGGCTGAAGTGGGCAGATCACTTAAGGTCAGGAGTTTGAGACCATCCTGGCCAATATGGTGAAACCCTGTCTCTACCAGAAAATACAAAAATTAGCCGGGCATGGTGGCACATACCTGTAATCCCAGCTACTTGAACTGAGGCCAGAGAATCGCTTGAACCTGGGAGGCGGAAGTTGCAGTGAGCCAAGATCGTACCACTGCACTCCAGCCTGGGCGACAGAGTAAGACTTTGTCTCAAAGAAAAAAAAAAAAAAAGCTGGTAGGTGCCATATATGTCGATCTCCTTGTCCTCATCAATCCCTGGTGTATGCACTTACAGTCCCTTAACCCAGTCTGTTCTCTCTCTTATGTTAACCTGATAACATGACCCTAGAATGTCAAGCTAAGGGGACCTTAATTTAAGATGGTAAGGGATGAGATGGATGACAAGGAACCTGTTTATAACAAGGAATTATATCTGTCCTGGGCACTGCTATTAAGGGCTGCTGCCCTGCTAATCTCTGTGGGTTGTTTTTGTTTTTGTGTGTGTGTTTGTTTGTTTGTTTGTTTGTTTGTTTTTGAGATGGAGTCTCGCTCTGTCACCCAGGCTGGAGTGCAGTGGTGCAATCTCAGCTCACTGCAACCTCCGCCTCCCAGGTTCAAGCGATTCTCCTGCCTCAGCCTCGCGAGTAGCTGGGACTACAGGTGTGTGCCACCATGCCCGGCCAATTTTTTGTTTTTTTAGTAGAGACAGGGTTTCACTGTGTTAGCCAGGATGATCTCAATCTCCTGACCTCGTGATCTGCCTGCCTCAGCCTCCCAAAGTGCTGGGATTACAGGCGTGAGCCACATCTCTGTGTTTTTTTAAGATACGGGGTCTCACTATGTTGCCCAGGCTGGAGTGCAGTGGCTATTCACAGGAGCGATCATAGCACACTTCAGTCTTGAATTCCTGGGTTCAAGTGATCCTCCTGTCTCAGCCTCATGAATAGCTGGGATTATAGACATGTGCCACTGTGCTGGGTAGTTCTGTCGGGTGTGTTTTTGTTGGTGGTTTTGTTTGTTTGTTTCTTGCTTTTTTTTTTTTTTCTGTTTTTGAAACTGGATCTTGGCCGGGAGCGGTGGCTCAAGCCTGTAATCCTAGCACTTTGGGAGGCCGAGGCAGGCGGATCACGAGTCACGAGGTCAGGAGATCGAGAACATCCTGGCTAACACGGTGAAACCCCGTCTCTACTAAAAATACAAAAAATTAGGCAGGCGTGGTGGCAGGCGCCTATAGTCCCAACTACTCCTGAGGCTGAGTCAGGAGAATGGCGTGAACCCGGGAGTTGGAGCTTGCAGTGAGCCGAGATCGCGCCACTGCACTCCAGCCGGGGCGATAGAGCAAGACTCCGTCTCAAAAAAAAAAAAAAGAAGAAAGAAAAAAAAAGAAACTGGGTCTTGCTGTGTTGCTGAGGCTGGAGTGTAGTGGCGCAATCGGCTCACTGCAGCCTCAACCTCCTGGGCTCAAGTGATCCTTACCACCTCAGCCTCCCAAGTAGCTGGGACTACAGGTGCACGCCACCATGCCTGGCTAATTTTTTTTTTTTTTTTTGAGACAGTTTCGCTCTTGTTGCCCAGGCTGGAGTGCAATGGCACAATCTCCGCTCACTGCAACCTCTGCCTCCTGTGTTCGGGTGACTCTCCTGTCTTAGCCTCCCAAGTAGCTGGGATTATAGGCATGTGCCACCACGCCCGGCTAATTTTTATATTTTTAGTAGAGACAGGGTTTCACTGTGTTGGTCAGGCTGGTCTTGAACTCCTGACCTCAGGTGATCCACCTGCCTCAGCCTCCCAAAGTGCTGGGATTACAGGCGTGAGCCACCATGCCCAGTCACCCAGCTAATTTTTATGCTATTTGTAGAGACAGGGTTTTGCCATGTTGCCCAGGCCAAACTCTTGAGCTCAAGCAGTCCTCCCATCTAGGCGTCCCAAAGTGTTGGGATTACAGGCATGAGCCACCGTGCCTAGCCCAGCTCTGTGTTTTTAAGGACAAAAGACACCTCCAGTATTTTGTTGTTGTTGTTCATGTCAAATGGATAGTGTGCCAATGTAACAAGGTTTGAGGGTGGCACATCTCACATGTGTGTAAGCACCCAGTCATTATGCTTATGAACTACAAAAGGATCTTCCTCCAGTATTATTACTCCTAGAGTGGGTTTTTTGATATTTCCATGTGATTACTCTTTCATTTATTTCTCTAGAAATTTCTAGTAACACTCCACCAGGTTATCCCACCATGCTGTCCACCAAAACTATGATTTATAAAACCTCCCTAGTGCCCTTACCACGTGCACATGCCTGTGGAACTCAGACAAGGAGGTGGAACCTGTTGATATTCCTGCCCAGTGCTTCAGATCTTCTCAAGGTTTTATCCCCAGTGCAATAGAAAGATGGAAATGGTGACAGTCTAATGTAGTAAGCAGCAGGTACCATGGTATGTCAGTCAGGACTGATTAATGGGACTAGAGAATCTCCCAGCGCTTCTGTCCTTCACCTGTCTGGAGTCTGAAGAAGAAAACGTCTGTTGCAGCATCAGAGTGCGCTGCCCATGGAGCAAACAGGAGCAGAGATAGGAGGAGTGCTGCCCAGCTGGCAATTAGCTGGCCACTGCCCCTCCCTAACTTCCCAGCCACTTGGTAAAGGCCAGCAGGAGTAGAACTCATCTGGAGCTGAAGAGGGACAAGAGGCCCGTCTTACAGTTCATCAGCCTTTCTCCCTCCCTCTGGCTGCCATTGGAGCCTAGTAAAAGCTGAAATTGTAGCCACCAGCTCTGTGGGTTGCATACTCCAACCCTGTCGCTGACCCCAGTGCATGTGCTAGGAGCAGGGATAGGGAGTGGCGAAGGGGTGTGTTGGCCTTGCTGACAAAATCCATTTGGAATTTGTCAAGGTTGTGGTTTGGGGCTTAAGTTTGCCACACAGTGTGTCTGATGAAGGAAGAGGGAACGCTAGAAAGGAAAGAGGGACCCAAAGTACAGAGGAAGGAAACAGGAAAAAGCTGAAATAATCATGCTGTGACTCTGTTAGAGATTCTCCTTCCTCGTCCTGAGTGTGAGAAGTTCTGATTATAAATATTCTTTATCATTATTCTCTTATATCCTATGCCCATTCTAAGTGCATCCCCTCTTCCTTCCACATACACTAGGTTCAGTAAGTGCCTGAAGTAAGGATGGGATTTCTCCTGTCTCCATCAAATTTCCAAACCCAGAATTCTCAATGCTCAAGTGGAAATCCAGGACATAAAATTTGGCCACAAAGTTCTGCCCTAGAGCCCAGTGTGGTGACTCAAACCTGTAAATCCCAACACTCTGAGAGGCTGGGGCTGGAAGTTCACTTGAGTCAAGGAGTTCAGGGCTGCAGTGATCTTGCCACTGCACTCCAGCCTGAGTGACAGAGCAAGACACTGACTCTAAATTAAAAAAAAAAAAAAAAAGTACTGGCTGAACACAGTGGCTCACACCTGTAATCCCAATACTTTGGGAGACCAAGGCAAGAGAATTGCTTGGGTCCAAGAGCTTGAGACCAGCCTGGGCAGCATAGCAAGACTCTGTCTCTTAAAAATAAGACAAAAAACAAACAAACAAAACTGTCCTATGGCCAGGCACAGTGGCTCATGCCTGTAACCGTAGCACTTTAGGAGGCAGAGGAGGGCAGATAGCTTGAGTCCAGGAGTTCAAGACCAGCCTGGACGACATAGCGAAACCCCATCTCTACTAAAAATACAAAAATTATCCGGGCCTGGTGGTGCACACCTGTATTCCCAGCTACTCAAGAGGTTGAGGCAGGACGATCGGTTGAGCCCAGGAGGTGGAGGTTGCAGTAAGCCGAGATCACGCTACTGCACTCCAGCCTGGGTGACAGAAACCCTAAGACCCTGTCTCAAAAAACAAAAAAAAGTACTGCCCTAACCTAATACTCCTCAAAATGTCCTCACTACCTTGGTACTACTCTCATTTCATCTGATTTTGAGGGTAGCAGAAGTGTCTATTGTCTAGAGAAGTGGAGAGAACTATTTCTACATTCTCTGGCCAAAGAAATAATCTGTTAGAGTCAGCATCTGGCAGCTGCATAAGTGTGCAGTCATTTGTGAAGTTCTAAATGTGTGATGCATATTCCTTGTCTGCATTGAATCTTAGAAAGATAACAGCTTAGGCCAGGCTTGGTGGCTGATGCCTGTAATCCCAGCACTTTGGGAGGCCAAGGCGGATGGATTACCTGAGGTCAGGAGTTCAAGACCAGCCTGGCCAACATGGCGAAACCCTATCTCTATAAAAAATACAAAAATTAGCTGGGTGTGGTGGCCAGCACCTGTAATCCCAGCTACTTGGGAGGCTGAGGCAGGAGAATCGCTTGAACCTGGGAGGCAGAAGTTGCATTGAGCCAAGATTGAGCCATTGCACTCAGCCTGGAAGACAGAGCAAGACATTGTATGAAAAAAAAAAAAAAAAGAAAGAAAAGAAAGAAGAAGGAAAGGAAAGGAAGAAAGAAAGAAAGAGAAAGAAAGAAAGGAAATAAAGAAAGAAAAAGAAAGGAAGAAAGGAAGAAAACAGTTTACGTATGTATGTATGTATGTATTTATTGAGACGGAGTCTCACTCTGTCACCCAGGCTGGAGTGCAGTGGCACGACCTTGGCTCACTACAAGCTCCGCCTGCCGGGTTCACGCCATTCTCCTGCCTCAGCCTCCCAAGTAGCTGGGACCGCAGGCGCCCGCCACCACGCCTGGCTAATTTTTTTTTGTATTTTTAGTAGAGACGGGGTTTCACCATGTTAACCAGGATGGTCTTGATCTCCTGACCTCGTGATCTGCCCATCTCGGCCTCCCAAAGTGCTGGGATTACAAGCGTGAGCCACTGCACCCAGCCCAGTAAGAGTTTATTTTCAAAGATGTTGGGCTAGGGCCAGGCACAGTGGCTCATGCCTGTAATCCTAGAACTTTGGGAGACTGATGCGGGTGGATCACCTGAGGTCAGGAGTTTGAGACCAGCCTGGCCAACATGGTGAAACCCCATCTCTACTAAAAATACAAAAATTAGCCAGGCGTGGTGGCACGCACCTGTAGTCCCAGCTACTTGGGAGGCTGAGGCAGGACAATCGCTTGAATCAGAGAGGTGGAGGTTGCAGTGAGCCAAGATCACGCCATTGCACTCCAGCCTGGGCAACAAGAGTGAAACTCCATCTCAAAAATAAATAAATAAAAATAAATCCTGTTCTGTTGAGTTGATGTTATCTCTTAAAAGATAAAGGAATTATTTTACTAAGATGACATACAAAAGAGCTCTAAATGAGGAAGGTCATGGGAGGCTTAGACAGGCATATCGCTTAAGGTCAGGAGTTCTAGACCAGCCTGGGCAACATGGTGAAACCCTATCTCTACAAAAAAATACACACACAAAAAAAAATTAGCCAGGTGTGGTGGCATGTGTCTGTAGTCCCAGCTACTCTTGGACCCAGACTTGAGCCCAAGAAGTGGAGTTTGCAGTGAGCCAAGATCATGTCACTGCACTCCAGCCAAGGCAACAGAGCGAGATCCTGTCTCAAAAAATAATAATAATAAATAAGCCAGGCACAGTGGCTCACGCCTGTAATCCCAGCACTTTGGGAGACCAAGGCGTGTGGATCACTTGAGGCAAGGAGTTCGAGACCAGCCTGGCCAACCAACATGGCGAAAACCCATCTCTACTAAAAATACAAAACTTAGCCAGATATGGTAATGCATACCTGTAATCCCAGCTACTCGGGAGACTAAGGCACAAGGATGGTTTGAACCCAGGAGGAGGAGGTTGCAATGAGCCAAGATCTCACCATTGTACTCCAGCCTGGGTGACAAAGTGAGACCCTGTCTCAATCAAATAAATAAGGACAAAAAACATGCAAATAATTCCATGAGAGAACATGCTGGTTTTGCTAGTTTCCAGAGGGAAAAACTCCCATTTCAAGCATATGAATCTCTTTTATACGTTTCCCATCAGTCTTGCATCTATATCCCAAGTTCACTCCTTTGGAACCAGAGAAAAAAGTACCTGTTCTTTTGGGTCCAAATTCAGTGTTGAGATACATTTAGGACTGAAAAACTCCAGAACAAAGGCAACCTCGTGGTCTAGAATGAGGGTCAACACACTGCAGCTAGGGGACCAAATTTGGTCTTGCAGCCCATTTCTGTGAATGAAGTTTTACTGGACACGGCCACGCTCATTCGTTTATGTGTGGTCTATGGCTGCTGTTGATCTATAACAGCAGAGTTGAGTAGTTGTGGCAGAGTTGAATAGTTGGGACAAAGACCACAAGTGTAATGTATTTACTATCCAGCCCTTTACCGAAAAAAAACAAAAAAATTGCCAGCCCTTGTTCTAAGGCAGTGATCAAGGTGAAATCTGGAGTTGAGGCGCATAGAGAGTCAATAGGGCCTACATCTGGAACTCTAGCCCTTCCCACCTAGGAGTCCTTCCTGGTTTTACAAAGGAAAAGTTGCCAACAAAGTCACTGAGATTCATTTCAAATCCTTTGCGGAACTCAGCAGGATATACATAAAGTCACTGAGTGTAGGAAGGTAGGAGAATTCACCTAGAAAAGAAGCTATGGACTGGGATCCCAAGTGTGGGTACATACATCACCATCTGCATCCACCAGTCCAGTAACTTAATTTATTTTAGTTTCAAACAGGAACCAAGAACAAGTCTCAGTATGATAAATTATCCCTTCCCACCCTTCCTGCTGAAGAAGGAAAAAGAGGCTCCAAGAGTCATGGGAAAACCCCTTCCTTTGGAGGGTCCCCATTAACATCTGAATGGAAGGAGACAACTTCCCTAAGGGCCTGGACAGACAACTCTCTGAGGATTCAGGGGAGAGTGCCCCTCAGCACTCTGTCTCTTTCCCAAGAAAAACCTCTCTACCACTGTCTCCCATTATCCCACAAGAGGGAGCCCAGGCTGCAGTAAAGGAGTTTGGGGATAGTACATAGGAGTGGGTGATCTCTTTCTAGATACAGATCTTATGGCTCCAAACAGTGCCTGGGGTTATCCCTCAAGGGAGAGGAGTGGTGAAACTATAGGGACTCCCCAGCCAAAAGGAGTATGAATCAGGGTTAAAGGGGCTCTGGAGTTGAGAAGTGGGAGGAGCAATACAGTGCATTTCATCTTAGTCCATTCAGGTGTCTAAGGAGCAGAAGAGGGGTGGCAGCTTCCCCTCAAGACCCTCCAATTGTTGGGGAGAAGGCTACACATCCCAGAGTCCACCTGACCCCCACCACCCCTAAAGCTGTTTCCAGGTAGATACTTTAAGCTTCCAGGGACCAAGAGTGACCTTGGAAGGAAATCAGAGCAAAGGGCTGAAAAGGCGCCCCTCTCACACAGTCCTCTTCCCCAGCCCCAAGGTAAGGCTGACCCTCACTTACACACATTCACCCACTCTGTAACCTTGCACTCATCACACAGCACATAGCAGCACCAGTGGAAGCGGCAATGGCAGCGCTCAACTCGTGTCTGCCGGAGCACGTTGTGCCCACGGCCACAGCACAGGCTGCCACAGCCATCCAACAGGCGGCTGGTCTTGTTGCAGGCCCGGCCCCTTGTCCCTGGGGAGCCCATAGTGGGGTCTCGCTCACAGAAGTCAGGAGACTTCTCAAAGTAGACCAGCTCTCCTGAGAGGCGACGGGGACGCAGACGGGGCTGGAAGGCTCCAGAATTGCGGTTGTGGGTATCAATGAAGATGGCCCGGCCCAGCCGCTCCCTCAACGCCGCCCCCACTGCCCGGAACTCTGGGGCCGCCCTCCAGCATGTCTTGAACTGGCAGCTGCCTGATGTGCCATGACACTTGCATTTCCGCTTCAGGTTTTCAGTTACCACCTAGAGCATCAGGGGGAAAAGAGGTGAAGCAGAGGGCAGCAAATGGACAGAACACAGAGGCACAGGAGAGGGAAGGGAACAGAGAACACAGGGAGGGACAAATGGAGGCAAGAATAACATGGTATATCAGAACAGAAAGGACATTGCAGTTAGCTAATAGCCAACTTCCTCATTTTATGATGGCAGAATTGAAGACAGAGCAGTGTGATTTGTCCATCTTCCATCAACAGCTAGTAATAGAGCCAAGACTCAACTCAAGTTGTCCTGACTCCCAATCCAGTGCTCTTTCCATTGTAAGCACTTATAAAATTGGGAGTCTGGCCCACAGCATGCCTAAATTCTGTAGGGAAGGTAGCTGTAATAAGAGCTACTATGCAGTCAGCCAACGATGAGGCACTATGCTGGGTATACTATTTGCTAGCTCAGTCTGTTTTTTTGTTTGTTTTTGTTTTTTGAGACGGAGCCTTGCTCTTGTCGCCCAGGCTGGAGTGCAGTGGTGCCATCTCGGCTCACTGCAACCTCCGCCTCCCAGGTTCAAGCGATTCTCCTGCCTCAGCCTACTGAGTAGCTGGGATTACAGGCGCAGGCCACCACGCCTGGCTAATTTTTGTCTTTTTTTTTTTTTTTTTTGAGAGGGAGTCTTGCTCTGTCGCCCAGGCTGGAGTGCAGTGGCACGATCTAGGCTCACTGCAACCTCTGCCTCCCAGGTTCAAGCGATTCTCCTGCCTCAGTCTCCCCAGTAGCTGGGACTACAGGGACATGCCACCATGCCCGGGTAATTTTTTGTGTTTTTAATAGAGACAGGGTTTCCCACGTTAGCCAGGATGGTCTCGATCTCCTCACCTCTTGATCCACCCGCCTCGGCCTCCCAAAGTGCTGGGATTACAGGTGTGAGCCACTGCACCCGGCCTAATTTTTGTACTTTTAATAGAGATGGGGTTTCTCCACCTTGGCCAGGGTGGTCTGGAACTCTTGACCTCAGGTGATCTGCCTGCCTCAGCCTCCCAAAGTGCTGGGATTACAGACATGAGCCACCGCGCCCGGCCCAGTCTGTTTTTATATGTATAATTTTTTTAAATATAGAGATGGGGTCTCACAACGTTGCTCAGGCTGTTCTTGAACTCCTGGCCTCAAGCAATCCTCCCCCCTCAGCCTCCAAAAGTGCTGAAATTATAGGCGTGAGCCACCACACTGGCCTGCTAGCTCAGTCTTAATAACATTGTAAGATAAGTATCATTAGGTTCTTTACAGATACAAAACTGAGGCTGGGTGACTTGCTGATGGTGAGTGTCAGTCACTCATCACACTTTATCCTATCATTTCCCTATGCCTCTCAAACTCTAACCAGGCCTCAAAAGCTGGGGAGACCCAGGACAAGATGTACACACATACCTGGCGCCCCACCCTGTTGTTGTGGATTCGCATTCGTGCCTGGATGTCCCGGGGAGCTTCCCTGGAATCCAAGAAATCCCGAGAGAACTTCTCTCCAAAGTCCATGTCATGGTTACAGCCACCCCATTCCCATGTGTCCTGGGGGCCAGGGCTGGGGCTTGAGCCAGGGCCAGGGCTGGGCAGAGAGTGGGGGAAACTCTTGCCTCGGGACAGTGCCTGCAGCTGCAGCAGTTTGGCCCTCAGCCGATCCTGCTCACCACTGCCCTTCCAGCCACAGCCACAGCTCACCAGCTTGCCCAGGCTGCAGGCCGTGGCTACTGCGTGCATGACCCCAGCAGCCAGCATGGAGAAGGAAAAAGCACTTTCTCGGAAACCTGGGGATGAGAAGGGTGTGATGGTGGAGGTAAGGTTGACAGGCAGCTGAGAGTGTGGAGGCAGAAAGAAATAAACAGCCCCCCTCCAACTCCAGAAATTCCTAACTGAATCCTGACCCTGCCATTCACCAGCTGAGTGATTTGGAGGAAAGTCATGGGACAAGGAAGGGTACAAAAAGCACAGAGCCTCAGATTCTTCATTTCTAAAGGGAGGCAGGAGACGATGGGTCAAGATGATCTCTGAGGCCCATTCTCATTCTGTAAGTCTGTGATTTTCAGGTGTAGATGAAAGAGCTAGCCCACAGGGAGAGACCCCTGGAGTCGGGAGATGACTAAGAGGGAGTCCCTGAGGTCTTTGAAGATGTGTACAACCGAGTTCTACATCTGAAAGCCTTAGAAATTCCCCCAACCCTGCAGGGAGCTTGGGTGGGTGAGGTGGGAGCAGAGCCTTTGTGGTTCTGTTTTTTTGTTTTTTTTTTTTTAAATTCACTTCAGGGTTAATCAGTCTTTTAACCAACCTACCTACCACCATCCTAGCACCCCCAAAGCACTGGAGCTATGGAGCTGCCCTTCCGCTTCCCAAGATGTAGTTTTATATTTGCCCTTCAAGACTGCCCTTTTTATGTTTATCCTAACCTGCTATTACCCTATAAAACACTGAGAGGAGGAGAGAGGTTGGGGAGTGATTTTCCCTAAGGCCCTCTTAAAAGGTTGGCTTCTTTGTTATGTTTTGGGGGTCACAGAAGCTCAGGCTGCCAAGCCTTTCCCAGACTTAAATAAACATGCTCACCATTTGGGTGTCCAAGCCTTCCCCTACACCAGGCCCTGTGGGGAAGGAGGGGGACCCTCACTTCATTTTAGGCAGGGGCTCTCCGGAGCCCTGAGAAGACGAGAGACAGCACCCGCTTAGAGACCAGGCCTCTGCTACCCCAGGATCTAGGGCTCCTGGGCCAGCCTTCTGATCCCCCTAACTCCAACCCTCCAGGGGTGAAGCTGTTTGCACAAGTCTTGGGAATTCCCCTGCAGATGGCAGCTGCCTATTAACCCCATAGTCCCCAGAGCACTGCCCCCATCTCTGGGCTGAGCCCCCATGGGTCTTTACACCTCAGGGAGTGAACTCCAGTGGGAAACCAGGAGAGGCAGCCATGCCTCCCAGACCAGGCCAGCAGTGACCTGTTCTCTGCCTCTCCAGCCGTTCTTCACCTGCTCAGGTGAGCAACACCTGGAGCCCCCACAGCACAGAGGAGGGGACTGGCTCCCCAGCTTCAAAGTCATCAGGGTCTTTGTTCCCAGCTTTGGCTCCTGGGAACCCCAGCAATTAGGGGAGCAGATTTAACCCTTAAACGGTTGGGGGCGTCACCCCACCCCCGCTGAGACACTGGGGACACCAGCCTGGGCTTGTCCAGCCAAGATGGGGGGAGAGAAAATGGTGGAGGGAATAGGGGGGCGTTTGAAGCTTCCAGGACTGGGGGCATCTCTTGTTCACAGGTGCAACCCAGATTAAGCTGAGCGGAGGCAGGAAAGGGGGGCCCTAGGGTAGGAGAGCAGGGACCCAGCTGCCTCGCTGGCAGCACGCAGGTGGAAGTTAGGCGCGCAGGGGCCCAGACGAGTGGCCAGACCTGGCTCAGAGCGGCTCCGGGGGGGGCGGGGAATTCCAGGAGAGGCCCCTCCCGGAGCCGCGAAACCATCCCTTCCCGCCTCCGCGCGCCTCGCCCTGCCGCCCACCCCCTAGCCTCCGCGGCAGCGCCGACCCGCCCAGCCAGGCTCACCGCGCTTGAGGATGGCGCTGTGGTGCGGCAGGCGGCCGCCGCCCTCAAGCGCGGAGCAGTTCCAGCGCTGGTCGCGCAGCTGGTGCTGACACTCGTGGACCGCGATGTGCAGACCCTGAAGCGCGGACGCCGTCACGTCGGGGTTGCGCAGGCACAGGCCTAGCTGCCGCTTGCTCAGGCCGGACAGCGTCAAGCACACGGTGTTGGCCGTCAGCGGCGGCTCGCCAGGCAACTTCAGGCCCAGAATCTCATTGCTTAGAGCCCTGGGAACCAAGAAGGCGTCTGGGGTCTGCGGTCCAGACCCCTCCAACTCTCCCCACCCCGGGTCGGTGTTTCTATGGCCTGGGAGACAAGGGGAACTGCTCACCGACTGCACAACGCCAGGAACAGGAGACCCGCGAGGCCCGAGGGCGGAGGCCGCGGCCGGGGCTCCTCCAGCATGTCGAAGCCCGGAGGCTCCGGTGGGCAGATCGATCAGGACCTGCGGGACGGGAGACTTGATGCGGGTTCAGGAATAGGGCGGCTCGCTTGGGGAACCAAGTGACGCCCTTCTTCGGGCTCCTAACCCACCGGTGCCACCCTACTGACCCTTCTCATTCCTCCTCAAACAAAACAAGAAGAAACACCCCTTGATTCCCAGAGTCCCTGAGGCTTGGAGGTCTTAAAGAAGAAGAGTCAAGGCGTTGTCCCAGCTCAGGACTCAAGCGAGCACCCCTGGAACCTTGCCCAATCAGACACAACGCCCGGCACACAGACACACACTCACTTGCAAACTCAGACACACAGACTCACAAACACTTGCTCCACAACCTCGCCTACTGCTCCCTTTTCCAGGGCCCCACGACTAGCTTCCCCGCCCTCACAGGGCTAGGGAGAGGGATAGGGAGGAGGTTCCCCACCACCTAAGGGGGTGTCACCTCCAGGTGTCATCAAGGGCAAGTAGGCTCCATGAGAAAGGTCTAAGAATGAGTTCCCCACTCACACTGCCCCCTCCCTGAGCAGCAAGGAAAGAGGAGAGGCTCCAGGTGCAGGAAAGATGGGGAGGAGAGCCTGGCTCCCTCCTAAAAGGGACCGTGGCACAGACTGAGTCCTCTTCCCTATCCCCCACCTTGCCTAACTACAAGCTCCCCTCCTCCATAGTCGCCCGTCTGGTCCTCACCCCTTGGCTCTCACATTCATTGCATTCTAAATCTGGGGGCACTCCTTTATTCTCTGTGTCTTTATCTCTAGCAATATCTCTGGCTCTCTATGCGTCTCTGTGCTTCTGTGGGTGGATGCGTGTCTGTCTGTCTGTCTGACTACACACGTGCCTGTCTCTTCCTCGTGTGCACGTCCCTGCCCTCCCTGCTTTCCC
The DNA here is from genome assembly GCF_000001405.40 of Homo sapiens. Lineage (NCBI taxonomy): Eukaryota > Metazoa > Chordata > Mammalia > Primates > Hominidae > Homo > Homo sapiens. Next base: position 48,971,443 of record NC_000012.12, read on the forward strand.
AGGTCTAATTACCTCCAGTGGTTTGGGTGCGGGGTCCGAGACAGGCACGGTTGGGTTGCCTGGGCTTCACTAGTGCTGCTTAAACCGTGGGGAGACTGCGCTGGGTTCTGTCCCCTTGTCAGAGCCGCATTCTTCCAGGGCCGGGCCACTCCTCTTCACCGCTTCCCCAGCGCCGCCGCGGCCGCCGGGAGGAAGGGAGGGAGGAAGGGAGGGAGTGATCGAGAGAGCTAGCAAGCCGGCGAGCAAAGGACTGGGGGCTCTGGCTTTGCTCTCACCGAGCTCAGGGTGGCTCTGCCGGGCTGACGGAGCTGCAGCCCCTCCCCGAGCCTGGGGCTTCCCCACCCTACCCTCCACTCCCAGCCTTGACCAGGCGAATGCAGCCTCCCCCTCCTCCCAGCGCGCGCGCGCGCGCGCGCGCGCGCACACACACACACACACACACACACACACACACACACTCTCTCTCTCTCACACACCCTCTCCCCCGACGCCTGGGTTCAGGCTTGGCCCCACTGAAGAAGGAGGTGGCCAGAGTTCCTCTCACCTGATCTGGGGTCGCCAAGGCTGCAGGGAGGGTGTAGTAACCTTCCTAGGGAGCCAGAATGGGGCCCAGATGGCCACATCTTTCATCACTCCTCTTTGCGTCAGTTTCTCCACCAAGATCAGGGTGGCTGGAAGGTGCCTTTGACAAGATGAGGATGGAGCCAGACAGTCTTTGGGCTTCTCGGTGTGGGACAGTCACATGTGGCACCCACAGCCTGAGCGCACCCGGGGTACTCAGAGCGGGCAGGAGAAGCACACGTCTGGGCAGCTTGGTTCCCACCCTCCTCCAAGCCCTGCGCCTGCCCCTTTGGAGGGGACAGCTTTGGCCTCAGAGTTTGGCCCTAGCAGAGGTTCAAGTAGCACCAAAGATTGTCAGCCTGCCCCGATGCTTCCTTGCCTGGCAGGGATGCTTGCCAACAGAGGTATCCTACCCTTCTCGGGATTCCCCCGGTCTGCACTTTGGGTGGCCTGGATTCCTGCTCCAAGCTGTAGACTTGCTTCTTATGGGATGAGGAGGGCCTTGGGATCCAAAATTGAGCCAAGCCCAAGGGCAGCCGGGAAAGAGCCTGGTCTTGGGGTGCACAGGCAAAGGCAAACCGCCTTAGGGAGACCCAGTGGCAGCGAACGGGTTAGGCGCCACCGTGCTCCCGCCTGACTCACCCTCGAAGCTCTAACCACTGTGGGCTATTTTTGCCAGAGAGGGGCCCCAGGCTTTCCAGCCGCCCCCCGCCCCTGCCAGACCGCAGCCCAAGGCACGGCTGGCCCCACGCGCCCCAGGCACATTGACTCAGACTGCCCCCAAGCAAGCAGAGGAACAGGGATGATACCCACAACCACAGTCACCTCTTCCTTGGTGGTGGCGTTGCAGCTCTGCTGGGCAGCCAGCCTCCAGTCTGTGCTGCTGGAGGTCCTGCCCGTGCTGCAGGGGTCACTGTTGGATAGCGGGCACAGCAGTCTGAGACAGGAGATCGAGCAAACTTACATCTGTTGGGATATTTACAGATCACCTTTACGTGCCAGGCTGTGAGCAGTCTGGGGAGGTGAAAGTGCCATGGTCCCTGACACTGGACAGCCTGGACCAGACTGCTTTTCTCTGATTCCCTACCTCTGGGATGGGGAAGTGGGAGCACTAGAGTTCCTGACCCTCCTTCCCATTTAGAGGACAAGAGCCAAACCATGTGTGGTTTTGGAGGTCACCAGAATCTGCAAGCCCCATCTCATAGTTTTCATCCTTACACCTGGATTCATGATCCCCACCAGTGTCCTTATCCTTTTTCTTGCAGTCACCCTGGGATTCCTGCCAGGTCCTTGGAAGAGGGGAATGAGGTTGCCTAAGCCTCTCTTCTCCATGGGGACCTCATGGACATTTGTATTTCTCCATGTGTCTCTGGGTCCCCCTTAGGTTTGGGATTATTTTTTGCCTTCTGATTCTACCCTTGTCAGGCTCCAGCATACAGCCAGGTGCCAAGAAGGGGCGAGGGGCAGAACTACTACAATAGGTTTCAACTTCCTGGTGACCCTAGGTCTCCCCAAGCAGGACTGTTCCAAATCCAAGGACCCAGAGTCCTGCTCCTTCTCTCTACTGAAGCCCAACTCTGGGACAAGAGGCCACAGGCCGGCAGACTGGGTGGCCTGAGCTGGCCCGCAGTGCCCTCAGCCCGACCGGCTGGCCTGAGCACTGACCCGCAGGCGGCTAGAGGGCGGTGGGACAGGCGGGGCCTGGAGAGGGCTGTGGGTGCACACCCATTGCCTAATACCCCAAGCACGCGGCCAGCTCCAAGAAAGGGGAGGGACGGGAACCAGAGAGACCTTGACGTGGGTCAGGGCCAATGACAGGAGGGGGAAAGTGGGGGGCTTTCATCACTGCAGGGAGGGACTAGGAGCAAGCTGGTTCCCCTTCCCCTCAATGAGAAGAGTGGAGGGCTGCCCTTCCCATCCTAGGGATGGAGGGTGTAACGAGAGCAATGTGGGAAGAACACTGGGGCCCTGGAGGGCGGGGGTCAAAGAAAAGAGTGGGGGCCCCTGGAGATTGGGGGATGTCGAGCAACTGAGGCGGTGGCTAAAGCCTCAGAAGCCTCCTCCTCCTCCTCCCCCCATGTTTGCCTTGGCCCGGGGTCCCGGGTGACTCATCTGTTGCTGAGCCGCTGATAGGGGAGGCCAGACCCGGGGAACCCAAATTATAGGCCCAGGAGGGATGGATGCGCCCGTGGCGGTGAGCTCAGCTGCGCTGCCCACCCTCCGCTTAATGCGCCTTCTGCTGCAGCACCGTAGGCCACCACCTGGAGGCACCAAAGGGTCTGCGGGCCGACTGCATACTGGACTCTCAGGAAGGCCCCACTTTCAGCAGTCCACTCCAACAAATCCATGGGATTACCTTAGACAGAATTTTGCCCCCTTCTGTACTCAGGCCTAATGGATGGGCTGTGCCTTCCCAGCCCAAGGGGGCAGTGCTGCCTGCGGGTGCTTCAAAGGAGGGTAGGCTCCTCTGCCCACAAACTCTAAACCCTGGAGCCCTGCTTCCTCCCCAGATCCCAAAGTCAAGGCAAAGCCCCTCTCCCCTCTAACATCTCACCTCTAACCCTATTCCAGGGGGGTGGTTTGCTACTGATTTTCAACTTCAAGCCTTTAAAGTCATCCACGGTCAAAACTGATACAGAGAAAAATGAAGCAGGGTAAAGGAGATTAGTAGTGGGATTCTATTTTATAAAGGGGGAGGGAAAACAAACTGAAGGAACAAATACATGGAGAGATCTGAGGAAGAGCATTTTAGAAGACAGAAAAGCAGGTGCACAGACCCTTAGAAAGGAGCATGCTTGGTTCAAAGGATTAGAAAAGAGGCCAGTGAGGCTAGTGGGGAGAAATTCGCAAGGAAGAGAGTGGTAGGCAATGAAGCTGGAGGGCTAGGAAGGAGGCCCCTTTACTTTGAGTGACATGGGGTCTCGCTGGAAAATTTTGAGCAGAGAAATGAACTAATCAGACTTCTGTTTTAGGAAAGATGGCTCTGGGCTGGGCGCAGTGGCTCATGCCTGTAATCCCAGTACTTTGGGAGGCCGACGTGGGCAGATCACGAGGTCAGGAGTTCGAGACCAGCCTGGCCAACATGGTGAAACCCCACCTCTACTAAAAATACAAAAATTAGGTGGGAGTGTTGGTGGGCGCCTGTAATCCCAGCTACTCGGTACGCTGAGGCAGGAGAATCGCTTGAAACCGGAAGGTGGAGGTTACAGTGAGCCGAGATCATACCACTGCACTCCAGTCTGCACAACAAGAGCAAAACTCCGTCTCAAAAAAAAAAAAAAAGAAAGAAAGAAAGAAAGAAATTGGCTCTAGTAATTAAATCAACCCTTTTGATTTTTGCAGTAAAATGGAGCACTGAAATGGAGCAATCTTGGGCAGTAATGTGGGGTCTAATGAAGTTTTTGGGTTTTTCAGATGGGTACTATTGCAGCATGTCTGCATGCTTATGTGTATGTTCCAGGAGAGAGATAAGTGGATGATGCAGGAAAGAAAGAGGGGACAGTTGATATCATGATTATTTGATCTAAATAGAAAGTTGGGTGCTTGTTTTGGCAGCACATATACTAAAATTGGAATGATATAGAGATTAGCATGGCCCCTGCACAAGGATGACATGCAAATTTGTGAAGCATTTCATATTTTGAAAAAGAAATGTCAGCCAGGTCATAAACAGTGTGACCCAGATCTAGGGGCCTTACCCTCTTGCCCCCTACTCCTGGTGTGTGGAATGTTGGAACAAAGCACAGTGGCTCCTTTCCTCTCTTCCCACCTCTGCTTGACAACAGTCGTCAAAGACAGGGCTTCCATATTTTCCAGCCAGCCTCCCACCCTCACGGTGTTGTATCAATCCACCAGGCCAAAAGATGTGACCCAGGCCCCAGTGGGAAGAAACTCATAAGGGATAAAGGACAGGCTCCCCGTGATACATTGTCCATTTACTTGAGCTATCTATGCTGGGTGCTCTCTGCAGGGACTACTGGCTTTTGGATCTACGGAGGGTGCTGGACCACTACACCTTTTCCCTCTGGGGTGGATCCTTGGAAGGGCCAGATATACTAGGCTGGGCAAAAGGGAAGAAAAAAGGGAAAGAAGGACATTTCTTTCTAAAATAACTTCCATCAGGCTTCATTTGGGTTAATATGCATCTCATTTAAAACACAAGTGCCCGGGAATATTAATGAAACTTACCTGGCATTTATTCCTTAGAGTGATTTCCCTGCCTTAGAAGGGAATCCTAGTCATTTCTGGGACTTGAGACTTTAGGTTCAGGCCTGGGGAAATTTCTCAGTCAGAAGGCATCCTAAAAGACAAGGGAGATGAAAAAAATGAGAGCTAGAACTCAAAAGGGAGGCAGAAAGGCCCAAAAAATTATTTTTACCCATCAATTTTGAGAAGGGTTCCCAGCCTGTAATTGCTGCACACTGGCAAGCAGCTGGTAAGGTCGAAAGAGCATGGGCTTTGAGTCAAATTGGTCTGGGTTTTAATCTGGCTCTACCATTGATTCATTTATTAGACGTGGACCTTGGACAAGTGCCTGATCTATTTTTAATTCTGCAAAATGGGGAGAGAGAAGAGATCTTCCCTCCTTCCAGGGGCCATGTGTGTGGTGGTGGGGCATGATAACCAGGCTGGCAGTGCCCCCTATTCCCCATATAGGGAAAAGCAGCCACTTTTTTTTTTTTTTTCAGATGAAGTCTTGCTCTGTAGCCCAGACTGGAGTGCAATGGCGTGATCTCGGCTCACTGCAATCTCCACCTCCCGGGTTCAAGCCATTCTCCTGCCTCAGCCTCCTGAGTAGCTGGGACTACAGGTGTGCGCCACCACACTCAGCTAATTTTTGTATTTTTATTAGAGATGGGATTCCACTATGTTGGCCAGGATGGTCTCGATCTCCTGACCTCATGATCCACCTGCCTCGGCCTCCCAAAGTGCGGGGATTATAGGCATGAGCCACCGCGCCCAGCCTGTCACTTCTTCAATAGGAGGCCTAAATGGCCTTGAAGCTGAGTAGGAGTCCCTGGGAGAGAAGAGAAAAGTGTACAATGGATGAGATGGTCACAGGCACTCTGGGTATCCCAGTGTGGTGGGAACTAGAGCTTTAGGGAAAGACAGAAACTTGGCAGAAACATCCAAAGAGAAGCAAACACATGGAGGCACAAGTTTCCTCATCTAGGTTCAATGTAGCCAGCAACCCTTGTCTTCCCAGTCCTCTCCATCACCATACATACAGTGGACATCCGCACCATTTCCCATCCTTTCTGAGCCTAGGCCTCAGAGACTTAGCCACTCCAGGCTGGGTTCACCTCAATACCATCTTGGTTGTAGGCTCGGCTCTCTCCCCCAATGACATGCACTGGTTGACACATACCACAGTGTGACACGCCATAGGATGCCACGAGGTACAAAGGGCAACAGAATGACGCATACACACATATTTAATCTTCCCATGCACATGCTCATCCACCCACTCCACACACAGTCCAGACACTCTGCATCCCTCAATCATGCTTCTGAGTCTCCTGTCGACAGTTGCCACCTCCTTCCTGACACACTGCCCCAGGCGGTGACTGTGACAAGGTGACTCCATGACCTTTTCTGACTTGAGCTAAATTCCAAAATTCTTTGGAAAGTTTCCTAACATCCTTCGTCAGAACAAGGAGTTTCTGCACGTACCAACACACAGGAGGATGCACCCTCAGAACACAGCACATTCTCACTCCCACCCATATTCACGTTGTTCCACTTCACACACACACACACACACACACACACACACAGCCACTTGTGCGCTTCTTCTGGCGCACATGAGCAAACTGCCTGTTGCTTTAGGTTTCTCTCCACCGCTAGGCTCCTTTTGGTTAGCTCACCCCCACAACTCATCCCCGGGATTTCCCTGACCACAGCCGCACTCACGCCCCCGTCTCCCCTTTTTCCTTCTCTGTCCAGCCATCGGGGGTTCCTGGGCGGTTAAGCATCTCCCCGGAGTCGCTGCCCAGAACCACAGCTTTCCTTCCGACACTCAGGATGGGGGAGAGAGGGGACGTCGGAGGGGCCCGGGGTGACGTCGAGGGGACAACCCCACCGCGGGCGGCGAGGCGGGCTGGGCCCCTGGCGGGCTCTCCCCGCAGCACACTCTCGCCGCGCCCCCTGGCGGATGCTAGTCCTCGACGGGCTCCGGACGCTCAGCTGAGTGAGGCGGGCGCGCGTGGGAGGGTGTCCCAAGGGGAGGGGTCCGCGGCCAGTGCAGGCCCGGAGGCGGGGGCCACCGGGCAGGGGGCGGGGGTGAGCCCCGACGGCCAACCCGTCAGCTCTCGGCTCAGACGGGCGGGAACCACAGCCCCGCTCGCTGCCCATTGTCTGCGCCCCTAACCGGTGCGCCCTGGTGCCACAGTGCGGCCCGGAGGGGCAGCCTCCTCCCGTCACTTCAGCCAGCGCCGCAACTATAAGAGGCGGTGCCGCCCGCCGTGGCCGCCTCAGCCCACCAGCCGGGACCGCGAGCCATGCTGTCCGCCGCCCGCCCCCAGGGTTGTTAAAGCCAGACTGCGAACTCTCGCCACTGCCGCCACCGCCGCGTCCCGTCCCACCGTCGCGGGCAACAACCAAAGTCGCCGCAACTGCAGCACAGAGCGGGCAAAGCCAGGCAGGCCATGGGGCTCTGGGCGCTGTTGCCTGGCTGGGTTTCTGCTACGCTGCTGCTGGCGCTGGCCGCTCTGCCCGCAGCCCTGGCTGCCAACAGCAGTGGCCGATGGTGGTAAGTGAGCTGGTGCGGGGTCGCCACTTGTCCCGCGGCACAGAGCCAGGGGCCAACCCTACCCAGCTCCCACGCTCTGGGATCCGTCTGCCGACAGGCTCCCTCCCCGCTCTGACTTCCCTCCGCGACACCGAAGGGCGATCTGGCATGAAACTGCCCCAGACTCCAGCTCTGTACAAGTGGGGCGAATGATCCGCCCGCGGAGGCCTAAGATACCCCAGGCAGGGAGCCCACTCTCATCTAGCACCGCCCTTCCCCTTTGAGCGCCAACTCCAGCCTCACGGCGGTGGCTCACCACAGGTTTCCCCACCTCGGGAAGTGAAGGGCCAGGAGTTCGCCTAGAAAGGAGGGGAGAAGAGGGTGGGACTCCTAAGCATTTCACGCCTTGGGTGGGCAAGAACTGCAGGCCATGATTATCTCGCTCAGGCTGACCGGAAGAGGCTCGGAGATCCAAGGTAGACACTCGGTCTCCGGGTACCTCCTCTGTCCAGTCTCCGGACCTAGGGCTCAGGCGAGCAGCCCTGGGACTACTGGGCACACACAAGTCTGGACGCCCAGTTCTTTCAAATTAGTGAGCCTGGGAGAGCGGGTATTATTAATCTCCCGCCATTCTCTCCAGCCACATACCCCCAGGAAGAGGACCGGGTGGCACAGTTTTTATGGTTAGGGTGCGGATCCCCTTCCTGAGCCTGAGCTATCATACGTCCCACCAGGGGTATTGTGAACGTAGCCTCCTCCACGAACCTGCTTACAGACTCCAAGAGTCTGCAACTGGTACTCGAGCCCAGTCTGCAGCTGTTGAGCCGCAAACAGCGGCGTCTGATACGCCAAAATCCGGGGATCCTGCACAGCGTGAGTGGGGGGCTGCAGAGTGCCGTGCGCGAGTGCAAGTGGCAGTTCCGGAATCGCCGCTGGAACTGTCCCACTGCTCCAGGGCCCCACCTCTTCGGCAAGATCGTCAACCGAGGTGGGTGCCCAGGAAGGCGACGCTTCCGGGAGCAGGGGAAACGCGGGGTCACCCCCAGGGCATGGGCGGGCGAGTTCAGAGAAGGTGTCCCAGGCGCCTGGAGGGTCACACAATCAACCTTGCCAAGTGCCTCGTGCCCAGCGCCAGCTCGGGGCCAGACTTCTACCAGGCGTTTTCCAGCCGTGCACCCTGGAAACGAAGCTTAACTTTTCTGAGCTACTGCCCCAGATAAAGAAAGTTTCGGGTCGCGGACGCCGGCTGACCGCCGCTTTCCCCCAGCCTCTCTCAAAAGCGCCTGGGAAGCTGCTCTCTGCAGGCGTGTGTCTGGCCTCTCGCCCAGCAAGGCTTGCACCGCCAAAATGGGCCGAAAGTTTTGGGCTGCGAAGAAGTCTTGGGGATGTATGGTTCTTCCGCTCCCCTCTCTTCGGTTTGTCTCTCTGGGGCTGCTCCACTTCCGCTATCGAGCCAAAATGCGCCCTAGAATCTCCCAGTAAGGTGTGATTACGCCCGTGGACGTGGCTGCGTGCCCACGCACCTGCTTTCTCTACTAGCCCTAGAGACCAGCTTTCCAGCACTGCCGGCCCTGGCTCTCAGGACTCAAAGTGCGGAGTCGGGGGTGGGATTCCGGTCCCAAGCCCTTCATGAGGGTGCTGGCCGCGCCCCGCGTACCCCCTCGCTGATCCCCGCTCCCTTCTCCCACAGGCTGTCGAGAAACGGCGTTTATCTTCGCTATCACCTCCGCCGGGGTCACCCATTCGGTGGCGCGCTCCTGCTCAGAAGGTTCCATCGAATCCTGCACGTGTGACTACCGGCGGCGCGGCCCCGGGGGCCCCGACTGGCACTGGGGGGGCTGCAGCGACAACATTGACTTCGGCCGCCTCTTCGGCCGGGAGTTCGTGGACTCCGGGGAGAAGGGGCGGGACCTGCGCTTCCTCATGAACCTTCACAACAACGAGGCAGGCCGTACGGTGAGCTTTGAGAGGCTCCGCACCCTAAGCGGAGCGGCAGGGGCCAACCTCGGGCTGGGGAAGTGACGGTCGGTGAGATAAGGCAAGGGGCACCAGGAGAGGGCGTCCTGGGAGAGCCGGAGGCTTGGAACGAAGACGGAGAATAGAGGAGACAGTGGCTGAGGGCAAAGGTATGTCTGGCCCGCGGACAGGTAGAAGAGGTTGCAAATCAAGCACAGTCTCTTCGCTGTACAGATTCGAAAAATAAGCCTGAGAGGCCGAGACTGACTCGCCGCGGCGGAGCAGGGTTGGGCAGGGTTTCCAAATCTCAGCGGAACATTTCGCGCCTCCCTTCCCCTGGGCTCAGCTAGGCCTGGGCCTTTGCTGAGGTCCGGCCCCCGTGGCGTCCGGGAGAGGGCAGTGTCTGGGAGGGTGACTCTGGCCCGGTGCCCTGGGACACTCTTTCTTCCCCTATCCCCGCAGACCGTATTCTCCGAGATGCGCCAGGAGTGCAAGTGCCACGGGATGTCCGGCTCATGCACGGTGCGCACGTGCTGGATGCGGCTGCCCACGCTGCGCGCCGTGGGCGATGTGCTGCGCGACCGCTTCGACGGCGCCTCGCGCGTCCTGTACGGCAACCGCGGCAGCAACCGCGCTTCGCGGGCGGAGCTGCTGCGCCTGGAGCCGGAAGACCCGGCCCACAAACCGCCCTCCCCCCACGACCTCGTCTACTTCGAGAAATCGCCCAACTTCTGCACGTACAGCGGACGCCTGGGCACAGCAGGCACGGCAGGGCGCGCCTGTAACAGCTCGTCGCCCGCGCTGGACGGCTGCGAGCTGCTCTGCTGCGGCAGGGGCCACCGCACGCGCACGCAGCGCGTCACCGAGCGCTGCAACTGCACCTTCCACTGGTGCTGCCACGTCAGCTGCCGCAACTGCACGCACACGCGCGTACTGCACGAGTGTCTGTGAGGCGCTGCGCGGACTCGCCCCCAGGAACGCTCTCCTCGAGCCCTCCCCCAAACAGACTCGCTAGCACTCAAGACCCGGTTATTCGCCCACCCGAGTACCTCCAGTCACACTCCCCGCGGTTCATACGCATCCCATCTCTCCCACTTCCTCCTACCTGGGGACTCCTCAAACCACTTGCCTGGGGCGGCATGAACCCTCTTGCCATCCTGATGGACCTGCCCCGGACCTACCTCCCTCCCTCTCCGCGGGAGACCCCTTGTTGCACTGCCCCCTGCTTGGCCAGGAGGTGAGAGAAGGATGGGTCCCCTCCGCCATGGGGTCGGCTCCTGATGGTGTCATTCTGCCTGCTCCATCGCGCCAGCGACCTCTCTGCCTCTCTTCTTCCCCTTTGTCCTGCGTTTTCTCCGGGTCCTCCTAAGTCCCTTCCTATTCTCCTGCCATGGGTGCAGACCCTGAACCCACACCTGGGCATCAGGGCCTTTCTCCTCCCCACCTGTAGCTGAAGCAGGAGGTTACAGGGCAAAAGGGCAGCTGTGATGATGTGGAAATGAGGTTGGGGGAACCAGCAGAAATGCCCCCATTCTCCCAGTCTCTGTCGTGGAGCCATTGAACAGCTGTGAGCCATGCCTCCCTGGGCCACCTCCTACCCCTTCCTGTCCTGCCTCCTCATCAGTGTGTAAATAATTTGCACTGAAACGTGGATACAGAGCCACGAGTTTGGATGTTGTAAATAAAACTATTTATTGTGCTGGGTCCCAGCCTGGTTTGCAAAGACCACCTCCAACCCAACCCAATCCCTCTCCACTCTTCTCTCCTTTCTCCCTGCAGCCTTTTCTGGTCCCTCTTCTCTCCTCAGTTTCTCAAAGATGCGTTTGCCTCCTGGAATCAGTATTTCCTTCCACTGTAGCTATTAGCGGCTCCTCGCCCCCACCAGTGTAGCATCTTCCTCTGCAGAATAAAATCTCTATTTTTATCGATGACTTGGTGGCTTTTCCTTGAATCCAGAACACAACCTTGTTTGTGGTGTCCCCTATCCTCCCCTTTTACCACTCCCAGGCTTGGAAGCTTACCTCTCTCAAACAAATAGAATATGCTGTTGGGGGACTGGTTTCCTAACCTTGCCAGAGGACCCTGAGATTCTGACCCTTGGATGACCCTAACGAGGCCACTGGGAATCCAGCTCTCCTGAGAGAGGAACCTGGTCAGTAGCCAAACAACCCTGCAGGGTTCTTCTTCCTCGTGGAACAGCAACTGGCTGTGTGATATGGACAGGTGCATATACTTGGTGAATGGGGGTTAAACAACCTCAGTGCCTGCTTTTCCTGCCTGGAACAGCTGTTCAGAAAATAGCTACTATTGAATGATAACTGTGACCATCTTCCAAAAAGTAGGAAGAGAAACTAAAGCAGAGTGCTGCTGCCCCTAATGTGGAGCTATTGGTCCCTGAAGCTTGGCTTCTTCAGCTGTGGTCAGGGCATTGGACAGGGGTGAAGCCCTTCCACCAACAGAAAAGTAAATACTGGCCTGGGGCAGTGGCTCATGCCTGTAATCCCAACACTTTGGGAGACCGAGGTGGGTAAATCGATTCAGCCCAGGAGTTTGAGACCAGCCTGGGCCACACAGGCAGCCCCACCTCTACAAAAGAAAAAAAAAAAAAAAAAAAAAAAATATATATATATATATATATATATATGTGTGTGTGTGTGTGTGTGTGTGTGTGTGTGTGTGTGTATATACACACACTATTAGGTATTATATATGTATATCTATCTATCTATCTAATAAATACCTTATCAGGAGCCCCACTCCCAATCTTGGGCTCAGGGAGATCCAGATAATAGGTGATGAGCCTGGTGCTGGACCGAGAAGCTCAGAGATGCTGGTGGGAGAGAAGGGAGCAGGTAGGCTAGAATCCAAATGCAGGCTAGGCTTAAACCGATGTAACCAAAGGAAACCCTAATGTGGTCCATAACCAAACTACTAAGCTAGCCATTCCCATAAAGAACCAGAATGAGGATTTTGTTACTAACACCACCAGTGTGATACCTCTGTGTGCACATTCACCAGAGTCAGTGGGAGTTCTAATCCTACCCACGGCCCTAAACCTATCTCTAACTCTAACCCTCTTCCTGTTCCTAGGTCTAGGTTGAACCTTAGCCTTAACCCTAACTTCAGACAAACACTAACCCCTTCTAAGCTCTAATGTCTGTCCCTAATCCTAACCCCTCCCCACAGGGGAGGATCAGAAGGGCAAGGGGAGCTGTGAAACACCCAACCTATCCCCTAAGAGCAACAACTGCTCCCAGCCAGCTTGAGAATTTCCCCTTCTCCCCTATTCCCTCCTCTCCTGTTCAGGCCTCTTCTGCTGTTGGTGCCTCCCACCACCTTTGGGATATGTGTAGGGGTAGGGGAATGGAGCCAGGAACTGCTCAGTCCTGCAACGACATCCCTTTCCCTTCCTTTCCACCTGCCAAGCTAGCACCATCTCAGTTCTGATTCCTCACCCTAGGGGAAGAAATAAAAACCTATTGATCCTGGGGAAGAGGCACCTGAAAAGCTTTGGGTTTCCATAAAGAGCACCCTGCAGAGAATGCCCAGTCTATAAGCCAAAGGGCTATTAGATCCCTCAACTCCCCAAATAAGAAGTTAATAGGCTGCCAGAGGTGGGAGGGGGGGCTTGGGCCCCTGCTGGACAGTGCCCAGAGTTGAGATGAAGCAGCAGGGTAGAGTCAAAGCATTGGCAGCTGTCTCCAACTACTTTTGCCTAAATTCAAACTCTAAGAATTGGAGTCAGTATCAGCTTTCAGGCTTGGAAGCTGGGGCACTCTGAACCAGGTTGACAAACAGGAGCTGGAGGAAGAGCAAGGGAAAGTGGTGAATTCTTTTCTGCCCCTACCCAGACTTTCAGCAAATCTCGTACTTTCTCAGACTCAGTTGCCTTGCCTATCAAACAGGGATGGTTATTGTTACTTAACCTTTCAGGGAGGTGATGAGGTTCAGATGAGATGATGTACATGAAAGCCTGGGTCATTTGAATACTCACTGACACCTCTTCTATACCAGGCATCTGCCAAATGTTGGCAATACAATGATTTATAAACCATAGTGCCTGCTTGGAGGAGGTTGACAGTCTGGCCAGGGGATCAAGCACATCCTCAGATATTGTTAGCATATGGAGGGAGTGCAATGAAGGCTCAATGAAGTGTAAAGCCTTCTGCACATAAATGAAGTTTAAGGGCAGACTCCCATACTCAAGCCCTCGGCATGGAGGCTCTTCTCTTCCAAGGGCTGGAATTTCAAAGGTGATGGTGCTGGGAAGTGCAGAATTAGGCTGGGCCCTCAATGGGCACTAATAAAACACAAACACACATACACACACACACAAACAAGTAAAAGGGCAGAGGGATCTGCAAAGCACTACATAAAAGCTAATCATTTTGTTATTGTGATCATCTATGCTATCCTCACACAGGGCTGGAGCGGGTACATCCTGAGGAGAAGAACAATTATGCATAGAAAGAAGACTCACAAAGGTCTCAGGAGCCACAGTAGGCTCAGGGTGGTGGCCATAGGATGGTGTCATCAGGACTGTGCTTGATGCGCCACCTCTCACCACCTCTGATCTTCAGGTGCCAGGGCGCTGGATACACGTTGGCCTGAGCAAGTGAGGGAAAGACTAGTCCTGAAATATCCTGGGGGGAGTGGAAAAGCTGAGAAGAAAGGCAGGCTGTGCACAGTCCCCAGGGGGTCAGCAAGCCAGCACCACACACACTCTGCCACACGCACCCTGGAAAAACCCTGTCAGTGGGGCTGCAAATACCCTAGGGTCCAGCCTCCCCCAAAGCCTCCCCCCTCGCCCCAGGCTGGCTCAGTCCTCCTCTCCAGCGCAGAGGGAGAAAAATAACAAAACGAGGAGAAAATAAGCTGTTTGGCTGTGGTGTGAGCAGGAATATCCATGCAGGGCTGCCCACCACTCACCCTTACTCACTCTTTCCACACCCAGCCGGGGCGCCCAGCATGAGACAGACCACCCCCCTGCCCCCTCCCCCGTCTGGTCTAAAAGCAGACGCTGGTGAGCGAGCAGCAGGTTATAAATATGCCCAGGGAACTGCCGCCAACTCGCTCCCTTGTCATCCCCTGGGAGGGGCAGGGTGGGGTGGCTCCCAGGGAGGAGCCAGGGCTGCCCTGTTCCCTGAGGCCCAGGAGGAAGTGGGGCTTCCTAGAGGCTACCATATTTTCCCCCCTTTTCAAGGTGAAGGAACCACTGCCACTCCATTTTCCCTGAACATTTGCTCATCTCTTCAGATATGTGGTCCCTACCCTCCCTGGGCCCTGGCTGGAGGCTCGGAATGAAAGGGCCCAAAGTACTCTGTGTCATGGCACAGCCCGCTGCTACTTCTCTTCTTCACATGCATTTGCTCTCAGCAAAACAGAAGTTCATTCATTCATTCAACAAGCATTAACTGAAAGCCAGCTGAATGCCAGACCCTGTGCACAGGCCCACCTGTGTGCACAGTGTCTGCACACACAGGTGCAAGCACACACAGCTGCCCCTACTCCATGTGCTCACATCACCTCCAGCCCCCACTAAGGACTTCCTGGCTTCAACCTGCCAGCCTCATCAGGAAAGCAAAGCTTCAAGCTCCTGGTTGTGCCTCAGAGTAGGTTAGGGGGCATGGGGTAGGGGGTGGCTGAGAACAGGACCCCAAACACTTCTGCTTCCACTACTTCCCCTGTAAATGAGGGGGTCCTTTCTCTCCTTCCTGCCCAATCATCCTCCCTAAGTAGGTGCCATGTGACGAAGAAAGAGCCATTCTTGGGATGCTGAGGGTACCTGTCCAGGCCACCAGAGCCTCCCACCTCCCAGCAACTTGCCAACTAGGTGCCAAGCTGGGGCAAGAGGGGGCACTTCCACCCTGTGAAGCTCCCAGCTCTCCTCCCCCAGGGCTGAACCCCTCCCTTTTCCCTCCTCCCTATTAATCCTCGGAAGTTAAGGGGCCGTCCCTGGCGGCCCCTCAGCCCTATCGTGGCCCCTCACCCTCCTCGGCTGGCGTCTAATTAACTCCTCCTGCCCCTGGTTTTGTATGCCCCCCTTACCCCACCTTGTCGGCCCCGCCCCTCTGCTCGGCCAGCTCCCCCCCACGGACATTCCAGCCAGGCCGGGCCAGTGTGCCAGGGCAACCAGGGCCGGACCGAGGCCTAATCCTCCCGCCGCCTGGCCCGGCTGGGGGAGCCCCACTCACCTCCCCACTCTCTGGGGGCTGCCCGGCTCTGCTGTGGCGGAGACACACAATCGGGACAAAGGCACAGCCCCCAGGGGGCTAACTCAGCCTTCACGCCCAGGTTGTGCGGCATTTGGGGAGTTTAATGAATTGTCCATCACGCCTTTCAGGGCCCGCCCGTCAGCCTGGATTAATCTTCGGAGCCCTGGTGGGGTAGGAGACACTAAGCCTGTATTTATTACTCTCCCATTGTCACTAATTGAGGTAATTATCTGTGACTCTGGCCTGGCCAACAATGAGGCATTCACTCCTGGGACCTCGATGGGCCTGGCTCCCACTCTCAGCACCAGCCCTCCCTCCCCTCCTCTTCCAAACCCGCCAAGGACTACGATGGGCCCTGGAGCATGTTGGGAAAGTGGACAGCGTCCCACAATGCCTCACCTCCCCACCGGCGTCTCCCATAGCCATCACTACAGAGCTGTCTCCTGGTCCCCCCAGAGAAGGTGAGAAAAGAAGGCAGCCTCTGCCAGGGGATGGATTTGGCTGGCAGAGCCCTCAGGCCAGAGAGGGACCTGTTTCTGAGGACTTTGGTTTTCTGGACTCTCCAACTCCTCATCTCCAGATGCATGACACCAGGGTCTCACAAGGTGCTTTTGCAGATCCATCCTCATGTCCCTATAGCCTCTAGGGTGTTAAGAGGCTCTAGCCTGTACCAGGCCTACTCTGGGGAGGTCCCTAAACCTACCAGTGCTGGCAGAGTGGCTGTGGATGTGATGGGAGATGTTAAGAGAGACAGCAGGAAAGGTTCTGTCAGGGGAAGAGCAAAAGGAGCCAAGTCAAGAAGGAGCAGTCAAGAGTCACAGCATTCCCGGGGGTCACACTAATGTGGCCATGCAGCAACTTCAGGGAGAAACTTGGATTTGGAGGGGCAAGAGTTCCAAAGAGCGGATTTCACGTGGAGACAGCTTTCTGGGTCAAGGTGGTTGGCCCTGGGGAGCAGGTATGTGTGTACAAGAAAGACAGAGAGAGAGAGAGAGAGAGAGAGAGATAAGAAAGGAAGATTTAGGCAGAACTAGATTGTGAACTCCTTGAGGGCAAGAACTATGTCTTTGTGTCTTGGTCACTGTTGCTTTTATGAGAGCTTAACATTGTACCTTGCACGTAATAGGCACCGTCAAGTGAATGGATGAATACAGATGAAGCCGGCACTTGCTTTAAAACTGGGATCTGTGAGCTATTCTCTTCCACAGCTGCACTCAGGCTCCTCATTCTCTCAGGACTTGCTGGAAGGAGATGTCTAGACCATCCCTGGACGGTCAGCGGTGGGCACTTCACCAGCTGTTGACACGACAGACCCTGGCCGAACTCAGAGCGGTAGTGGGGATAGCGCCACCTTGTGGTGACTCTTGGGAGAGCTCCTGGAGAGACGCTAGCCAAGAAGGCAGGGTCATCTCTCAGGAGCAGGGTATCACCCCGGGCTGCAGCCATCCTTCTTCCTGTATGTCTGAACTGCATTGTTATGCCAGCGGTCCTGTGGCACAGTTTTATCATTTGTTCCTTCTTTATTCCAGCATTTTCTGAGAGCCTGCTCCACGCCAAACTTGTCGGGTATACAGAGCTAAATCAGCTAAATCACCTCCAGCAGCTCATGGTCCAGCAGGGGATTCCACAAGGTAACAAGACCAACGAGGTTACGATCAAGCCGCAGGAAAAAAAATTATCCAGGTGTTGAGGAGGCACTAGAACATTCCCAGCTCAAAAACTCCATCATTCACCTCTCCCTCAATTCCTCTCACCGAAGTGCAAATGGTTTATCTTCATTACCAAGAAACAGTCTGGGCATGGTGGCTCACAGCTGTAATCTCAGCACTTTGGGAGGCCGAGGCGGGCGGATCACTTGAGATCAGGAGTTCGAGACCAGCCTGGCCAACATGGTGAAACCCGTCTCTACTAAAAATACAAATAAAAAATTAGCCAAGAGTTATGGCGCCCACCTGTAATCCCAGCTACTCTGGAGGCTGAGGCAGGAGAATCGCTTGAACCCAGGAACTGGAGCAGAGATCACACCACTGCACTCTAGTCTGGGTGACAGAGTGAGACTCCATATCAAAAAAAAAAAAAAAAAAAAACCCAAAAAGCAAAAAAGACAAGAAATACTTCAAGTTCTGGCTCCCACACATCTTTCCAGGACTCACTCTTCTGCCCCACTGCATTCCCTAATGCCTCTGCTCCCTGTGAAAGCCACGTGTTTTCCTACCTCTCTGCATTTTCCCACCTCTCTGCATTTTCCCACATCCTAGAATGTCCCCCTTCCCTGTATCCCACTGTTGGAACCCATCTCAGATGTTCCTTCCTCCATGAAGACTCTTCTGATTTCCCTTGGTAGAGTGGTCTTGCCTGTTCTAGCTCCTGAAGCACCATGTAGGTAGGTGCTTTCATTAGCAGCACATACTGGGTGTCCCATTGGTGGTTGTCTGTGTATATTACTCATCCTCCTACTAGGCTAGCCCTTGCAGCACTGACCTGGGCATATCATATGCCTTTGTTAAATGGTGAATAGACGGATACATGAATAAATGGATGCACGGACAGAGGAATAAATCGATGGAAGTATAAATGGGGCCAGGCGCGGTGGCTCATGCCTGTAATCCCAGCACTTTGGGAGGCCAAGGCAGGCGGATCTCCTGAGGTCAGGAGTTTGAGACCAGCCTGGCCAACATGGTGAAACCCTGTCTCTACTAAAAATACAAAAATTAGCCAGGCATGTTGGTGGGCGCCTGTAATCCCAGCTACTCAAGAGGCTGAGGCATGAGAATCGCTAGAACCCTGGAGGCGGAGGCTGCAGTGAGCAGAGATCTCACTAATGCACTCCAGCCTGAGTGACAGAGTGAGACTCTGTCTTAAAGAAGAAAAAAAGTATAAATGGCCAGATAGATGACAAATAGGTTGGTGGATGGGTGGATAAGTGGATGTGGAATGTATAGATGGATGGGTGGGTGGATGGATGAATAGATGGATGAATGGAAAATCTATCCATAAAAGGACTCACAAAAGGCTATGTAGGCTGAGTGCAGTGGCTTATACCCGTAATCCCAACATTTGGGGAGGCCAGGATGGGAGAATCGTTTGAGCCCAGGAGTTTGAGATCAGCCTGGGCAACATAGGGAGACCCCGTCTCCACCAAAAAAAAAAAAAAAAAAAAATTAGCCCGGCATGGTGACACGTGCCTGTGGTTCCTACTATTCAGGAGGCTGAGGTGGAAGGATCACTTTTGCTGGGGAGGCTGAGGCTGCAGTAAGTTGTAATCGTGCCACTGCACTCCAGCCTGGGTGACATAGCAAGACCCTGTCTCAGAAAAAGAAAAAAGAAAAAAAATGGCCAGATGTGGTGGCCCATGCCTGTAATCCCAGCACTTTGGAAGGGTGAGGCAGGCAGATAGCTTGAGGTCAGGAGTTCGAGACCACCCTGGCCAACATGGTGAAACCCTGTCTCTACTAAAAATACAAAAATTAGCTGGGCGTGGTGGTGCGCGGCTGTAATCCCATCCACTTGGGAGGCTGAGGCAGAAGAATTGTTTGAACCCGGGAGGTGGAGGTTGCAGTGAGCTGAGATCGCACCACTGCACTCCAGCCTGGGTGGCAGGAAAGAAAAGAAAATTTTAAAAAAGCCCAGGTAGCACCAGAGGCTTCAAGGGAGGGAGCACACCCCATGCTAGGATATGCAGAGGCAGAGGCAGTATCCAGGCCAAACTTTCCTTCACTAACATCTGCACCCTCAGCAACTTGTCTCCCAGAGGCCTAGATACATTCCACTCCCCATAAGAAGTCATGGTCTGGGAGCTGCTCCTCTTTTCATCCTCCCTGGTCCCTCAGGAATGCTTTCATTAACATATATTATGCCATCTTCCTGCACTGCAATGACTGTGGGTTTCCTCTTCCACATCTCTTTCCCTATATCATACACACCCTAGCTTGAGAGCTCCCTGAAGGGAGGAAGCATGCCTGAGTCTCTTTTGTGTCCCTAGCACCTGGCATATATGTTTAATGAGTGAGTAAACAAATGAACAACTGAGTGAGTGCTGCCTCTTCCCCATAGACACATTTTATACACTTCCTGCGTCCTCTTGTTCAGTTATCTCTCCTGGCCCTCTCCTCCTTACACACATCACACTCACACTCCTGACCTTGACACTCTGAAATTCCAGAGTTATATGCTGGGGCTCGGTTTCCTTACCTATTTGTGGCTGATCTAGGGAAGTCCCAGCCCTCCCCTGAGAGTCTGAAAGAGACGGCTCTTGACTCCTCTAAAGCCATATTAACTGGGTCCCATGGAGGGCAGAAAGGGGCTTCCCTAGGAAGAAGCTCTCTATTGGGAGGGTAGCAGGATCCTGCACTAACCTGAGGTCTGCTGCCCCAAATTGACCACATCCTCCTGTGTCTGCTGTCCCTACTCCTGACCAGTGAGGCTGTCCCAAGGTAGGGGGTGGTTGTGGCCTCTGTCTCAAGGCTGGCTGGCAGACACAGCCAGATTTAGAAGTCATTTTCGCAGCAGGGAGCCTCCAGTGTGCCACCCACAGAGCCCTGGAAGGTCAGTCTGAGATATGGCTCACCAGGGGCTGGCCCCTAGACCTGGAGTCACTCCTCCCCTTCTTGTCTCTCTCCTTTTTTTGCCCAGAATTTTGGCAGCTGGTGCTGACTCTATCCTTAGGCAAAGATGGAGTAAGTTCTGGGGGAAGGGGTGTGCTGCACTGACACTCTAACCGCCCAAGCACTGCCAGGGCACCATTCACCCAGGCACTATTCACCCAGGCACCATTCACCCATTAAAAGGGCTGTCCATACCCACCCCAGGTTTCCCCCCTCCTCTCTACTGACATCTGCTGCCTGGTTCTCCTCCTCCCCTACTTTTTTTTTTTTTTTTTTTTTTTGAGACAGTGTCTTGCTCTGTGGCCCAGGCTGGAGTGCAGTGGTACGATCTTGCCTCACTGTAAACTCCGCCTCCCAGAGTCAAGTGATTCTCCTGCCTCAGCCTCCCGAATAGCTGGGATTACAGGCATGCATCACCACACCCAGCTAATTTTTTTTATTTTTAGCAGAGACGAGGTTTCACCATGTTGGTCAGGCTGGTCTCGAACTCCTGACCTCGTGATCCACCCACCTCAGCCTCCCAAAGTGTTGGGATTACAGGAGTGAGCCAGCGCACCCGGCCTTTTTTTTTTTTTTTTTTTTTTTTTTTAAGACGGAGTGTCGCTTTGTCGCCCAGGCTGGAGTGCAGTGGCCTGATCTCGGCTCACTGCAACCTCCTCCTCTCGGGTTCAAGTGATTCTCCTGCCTCAGCCTCCCGAGTAGCTGGGACTACAGGCATGTGCCACCACACCCGGCTAATTTTTGTATTTTTAGTAGAGATGGGGTTTCACCATATTGGCCAGGCTGATCTCGAACTCCTGACATCATAATCCACCGGCCTTGGCCTCCCAAAGTGCTGAGATTACAGGCATGAGCCACCACACCTGGCCGTCCTCCCCTACTTCTAATTCTCTCTGTCCCATCATCCTGTTCTCATACCCCAACACTAATAAAATAGCCCTAGGGAGAAATAATAATCAGAGCTAACACTTAATCACCTACTATGTACCAGGTGTTGTTTTTTCTTTTCTTTTCATTTTTTTTTCTTTTTAATTAAATAAATTTAAAAAAGAGAGAGAGAGAGACAGGGTCTTGCTATGTTGCCCAGGCTGGTCTCTAACTCCTGGGCTCAAGCAATCCTCCCACCTCAACCTCCCAAAATGCTGGTATTACATGGGTGAGCTACTGTGCCTGGCCAATTGTTCTAAGTGTTTTACATATTGAATTATTTACTCCTCCCAACAACTCTAAGAGAAAAGCACATTGTTTGTTTGTTTGTTTATTTATTTATTTATTTATTTATTTATTTATTGAGACAGGGTCTTGCTCTGTTGCCCAGGCTGGAGTACAGTGGTGCAATCATAGCTCACTGCATCCTCAAACTCCCGGGCTCAAGCAATTCTCCCACCTCAGCCTCCTGAACAGCTGAGAGTGTTCAGGAGTGGGACTACAGGAGAGTGCCACCACACTCAGCTAATGAAAAGCACTTTTAATAACCTCAGTTTATAACTGAGGACACCAAGGCACAGAGAGGTTGAGTAACTTGCCCATACATAGCTAGTATGGGGTAGAAGCCCCAGAAACCATATGCTAAACACATTAGTCAAGTTGTTCAATTATGTTAGCAGTGTGGGTGAGCTTTTAGAAATTGGCTTCCTGTGTATTCAACCTCAAAGGGGCTCAGGCAGCATGGTAAAGCCCACCCTCATAGGGCCAGCCCTTCCACTGTTGCATACAGCTCACCTCCTCTACCAGTCCCAGAGCTCTAGAGCCCTTTGGTTGTAGAAAAATCTAGGCAGATGCTTTCATCACTGCCCTGGTCTTTCTCAACTTTCTTTCTTTTTTTTTTTGTTTTTTTTTTTTTGTTTGTTTGTTTGTTTAAGACAGAGTCTCACTTTGTCACCCAGGCTAGAGTGCAGTGGTGCGATCTCGGCTTGCTGCAACCTCCGCTTCCCAGGTTCAAGTGATTCTTGTACCTCGACCTCCCCAATAGCTGGGATCACAGGCATGCACCACTACACCCAGCTAATTTTTGTATTTTTAGTAGAGGTGGGGTTGGACCATGTTGGCCAGGCTTGTCCCCGTCTCAGGTGATCTGTTCACCTCAGCCTCCCAAAGTGCTGGGATTACAGGTGTGACCCACCACACCCCGCCCTTCCTCAACTTTCCCCTTCACCTGAAGTCCAGCCTCTTCCCAAGCCTGAAGGTCCAAGGCACATACTCCTCAGCTGGACCAGGCTTACCCCAATCTGGCCTCAATTTTCACTCTTGCCTTATCTTCTACAACTGCCATAAATGTACGCTCAACTGCAGGCAAATCAGACCATTGAGCAATTTCCTAAACATACCCTGCTTACCTGCATCCATGCCTCTATTTTGGCTGATCCCTCTACTTGAAATGCCTCTTCACCAAATTCTACCGCTGAGGTCATCTCCTCCCCTCCATGGAGCCTTCCCTTATCTCACAAAATCCATACGATCTCCCTTGTTTGACTCCTTGTAATACTTAACACATTGCTCACCTTCACCCCATTGTCAGAAAGGCCTTACTCATCCCTATCCTGTATCCAGCACAGTTTCTTGCTCCCAGTAGGTGCTCAGTACATGCTCATAGTTAGAATTGGTAGTAGGTAGATGGAATTGTAGGTGAAAGGGAGACAGGTCTCAATAACCTTTATTTGTTTGTTTTTTTTTGAGATGTGGTCTGGCTCTGTTGCCCAGGCTGGAGTGCAGAGGCCCAGTCTTGGCTAACTGCAACCTCCTCCTCCCAGGTTCAAGCAATTCAGCGATTCTTGTGCCTCAGCCTCCTGAGTAGCTAGAATTATAGGTGCACACCACCACACCTGGCTAACTTTTGTATTTTTGGTAGAGACAGAGTTTCACCATGTTGGAGGCTGGTCTGGAATTCCTGACCTCAAGGGCAGATCTCAGGAACCTTTGATCTCTGCCCAAGGTGACACTCCTCCAGCTAGAGCTAACTTGAAACCTGGCAGTCCGGGTTCCTGGAAGTCTCTGGGATGAATCTTCCTGGATAGCTCTGACCAGTGTCTTCCCTCCGGTTCAGAAACCCAAAGAGGACACCTTCCTCCACTGAACCAAGGCCAGCGGCCCAGCTCCTGTCAGATCGTCGCCACCCCCCACCGCAGGCGGTCCTGCCCCACTCCGAGTTCTGCCCAGAGTCCCTCTGGGTGCGGGCGGGAGTGAGGTCGAGATAATTGGAGACTAAAGCCATAAGTGGTTTGAGAGCGGGGTTGGGGACCTGAACGCTGAGCGGGAGTTGGAGTTGAGGGGTCTGGGTTGGAGTGGGAGCAGAGGCGGGCAGGGGGCCGGGGGCTGGGGGCCGGGGCAGGACCGGGCGACTGAGTCTGGGAGAAGCCCCCGCGCCCGCGGAGCCGGCAGCTAAATTTACCCCGGCTGACTCAGCCCTTGCCCGGAATGGGGGGTGGGGGGAGGGCGCCAGGGCAGTGGGAAGAGCCGACAGGGGTGGGCTGGGGGCAAGGAAGGGAGAGTCCCGGCTGGGGGAGAAAAGAGGTGGGCCAGGAGCTCCCAACGAAGAAAGCAGCCCCCTCCCCTCACACAGAGCGGGAAGTAGCAGAGGAGTCCCGGGGGAGGGCCACTGTGGGGAAAGGGTCAGTGAAAGGAAGACGATGCCAAGGCTGGATAAAGGGAAGCTTAGATTTATTGAGCGCCTACTGTGTGCCAGGCAGTGTGCAAGGCGCTTTACATACATTATCGCATTAAATCCTCACAACAACCCTGCGAGGTAGGTGTTTATAAACCCCCATTTGACAGATGAGGAAACTGAGGCTCAGGGAGGTGAAGTGATGTGGCCAAGTTCACATGGCTAATAAATGGCAGACAGAGGAGGTGTCCAAGGATCGGAGAGAAAAAAAAAAAGACTTCGGTGTCTGAGTCCCAAGCCGGCTGGGGTGGATGAGTACAAAGATGGGCCCGGCGGGCTCTAGAAGTCTGGGAGGCCGGAGGCCTGCTCCCGGCCCCGCACGGCTGGAGACTGCAAGGCGGGGGACCCGCGCTCGGGAACTAGGGATAGGATTGAGTGGCAGAGCCGGGATTAGCAACTGGGGAGATCCGCGACCTGCGCGCGCCCTGTAGTGGCTATAGAGAGTATCACACCCCACGCCTGCTGGCTTCTGGTGACCGGCCTCTTTCCTTGCCTGGCCGGTTTCTGGAAGAGGCCAAGATGGGAGAAATTCTCAGGATTTTTTCAGGTGGGCGATACCACCTGGGAGGGAGATCGTGGCCACGCCTCAGAGCATCACTAAGGAGCATCGGGGTGGAGGAAAAGGGGAAGGCCTAAAGAGGTCCCAAGCTGATTCATTGGTGTCCTTCCCTCCCCAGCTCAGACCACCACAGGCCAGGGTCAGTGACAGGGCCGCTATCTTGCCCTGCCTTGGGGAGCCCTCAACCAAACCTGGGAGACTGGGATAGGAGTGCCTCACTCCCTTACCTCTTCTGCAAGCCTTGGGCAGTCTCCTGAATTGATCATGACTTTGGGTGACACGGAGGCCGCCCAGAAACCCTCAAACTCTGTTCACTTATTCCCAATTCTCATTCTTGGCTTGTCGAGGGGAGGATGAGATAGAGTCCTTTCCAAAGATCTCAAAATGTCAGAGACGGAAGGATGGACCTTAGAATACCATCATTTTATATACCAGGAGGCCTGGAGGCCTGGAGAGGGAAAGTGACTGGCCTCAGTCAACCAGCAACTCAGTGGCAGAGTTGGGATTGAAATCCAAGACTTGTGACACCAAGGTGAGCCCTCCTTCTGCTTTGTTGGTTGTTGCTGGACCTATGCCTCTTCTCCCAAGAACCCCTCTGTCATCTGATCACTCTGTCACCAGGTCCAAAGCCTCTCCTTCACTTTTTCCCTCCTCCTCAGAGGCCCTACCCTACCCTGCCCTCCTATGGCTGCCACCATCCCTGCCCTCCTGCCTGATCCTGGTTAGGCCTCTCTGCTCAGCTCCACACCCAGTGCATCAGCCCCTGCGAAGAGCTCACCCTTGTGCCCTGAACATAACAGACATTAATTAAATCTGCTCATTCTCACCTCTCCTGAAACAAAATCATTAATGGGCATATGCTTCCCTTCCTTTCATTTATATTTCAAGGATGAGAACAGGTATGGGTAAAGATACAAGGAAAAGAGAAGCAAAGGAAGTCTGTGGGGAAGAATGGGGACCAGTGGACCCAAGGATGGATGCGTTGGGGACACAAATACAAGAAGGGGCCTCTCACTGCCTCTTCCTATTTCCCTGTTGGGTCCCTCTGATGTCCCTCACCCCGAAGAGGACCTCCTCGGTTTGGCTTATGACATCTAGGATCTCCCCGACACTGTCGCTCAGTTCCGCTGTCTTCCCATCTTCCTCTGGCGAACTGTTTCCAACCTCGGGCAGGGTCCTCTCATTCCGCCAGGAGGCGCCCGGGGCTTCTGTGTCGCTTCCATCAGAGGAGCCGCTATGGACGCTGAGCTCCTCAGCTTCGTCCGTGTCCGAGTCAGGGGCTGTGTGGCGGCGGATACGGGACACGGCTTCTCGCAGGGCCCCGGCGTAGGGCCCTGGGGTCCGCGCCCAGCCCCGGCCGGCGCGCCGCTGGACCACCGCCACTTCCGACCCCTCGGCTCTGCCCTGGGCTCCCGAAGCTGCTGGGCCTAAGGCTTGGTGCTCTGGGCTACCTGGCTGCGTGGGGGCGTCCCGCAGGTTTACTTCGGGGGCCGGGAGCCCCAAGATGCGGAAAGTGCGCTCCTCCAGTGTGGAGTCCCCCGGCCTCCCGCCCTCAGCTTCGCCCCCGCGGCCCCCGCCGGGCTGGTGTAAAAGGCGACTGCTCGACAGCCGCTTTTGACAAGGGGAAGGAAAGACCGTGGCCCCTTCACCCTCCTCCTTGCCGGGCTTCGATTGGCTGGGGGAATCCCCCACCACGCGTGTCACCCCAGAGGGCAAAAGCTGCACCTGCTGGGTTCGGGGGGTTGGAACATATTGGGATCGTATCACTACGCACGTGGCGTCAATGACAAAGACGCCTTCCCCACGGGACAGGCCCTGGGAACTGCGGGGCAAGGTGTGGGCACGGCGGGTCGCCTTCCAACCCTCCAGGGTCTCCGGTCCTGCCCCCTCTCCAAGACCCAGAGATTCTCTCCATCCGGTGCCTCCGGGAGCCCAGGGTCTGGGGAGTGTCTGGCTATGGCGGGGCGGCTGCTTTTTAGGGGAGGGAATCCAGCATTTGGGAAACCAGATCTGTTCTCCTTCTTTCCCTTCCCTCGAGCCCTTGAGGTGGTGCCTGGATCTGGGAGCGGGATGCGGGGCACAGGGAGCCGCAGTTGCAGACCCCGCAGGAGCTATCTCGGTGCCTGCGCTCCCTGTAGCTTTGGCTTGGGGATGGCTGTCGCTACCACTGTTCAGGTCAGCAGCAGCCAGCCCCAGGCTTTTCTCCACGACCCCCTTGCCGGGCTCTGGCCTTGCTCTGGCCGCTCCACAGCCTGGGGATCCCCCCAAGAGACCTTGCCCCTGTCGGAGACCCCAAGCCCCGAGGACGTCCCGGTAGATCCGAGGATCCAGCCTCTTCTTTGTGCGCCCTCCGTCTGTCCTGGCTGGAGTCGCAGCTGGGGCTGATGAAGTGGGCACCTGAGAGTTCCCGGGGCCTCTCTTAGTCCCCAAGGTCCTATGGGGGCCTTCGTAAGAAGGTGGAGCCACGTAGGGTGGCGGCCGGTCCCAGCGGCGTCGTGGGGCGGTCCCGGCAGAACCTCTCAGCAGCAGGTGAGCCTCGTAGCTTGGGGGCCCGGGCCGCCGACCTCCCCAGGGCCCCGCCCACGCCGACCCTGGGTCGCTCTGCGGCTGCGCGGATGGACGGGGCGCTCGCCCCACAGGCGCCAGGCGCTCCGGCCGCAAGGGAGCAGGGAGCCCTGCCAGCTGGGCCACCCGAGGGGCGTTGCGGGGCTCCGGGCGGGGTCGACCCGGGGGGCTCCGTCGGGCCCCACCAGCCTTGCGCCTTTTTCGCTCGGTCTCCTTGGCCTCCCGCTCCTGCGACGCCGCTTTCCTTTTCTCTTGCTCCCGAGCTCGGACCTCGGCCAGGGGCCCCGCCCGCCAGTTGGTCGCCTCCTGCAGCACCCTGGAGGCCCAGGGCCGGCGGGGCGGCGGCTGTGGGGATCCCGGGCGCGGCCCACACCTGGGACAATGAGCAGGAACCCAGGTGAGCAGTTTGTGGGGGAAGGGAGCCGAGGTCCGGGGAGCTGGGAGCACTGGAGACCACTTGGGGCAGCCATGTGAAGGGGTGTGTGTGAGTGTGTGCGCGTGTGCACGTGCGTATATGTTAGGACTGAAGTCGAAGCGGGACTCCTCGCCATCTCTCCATGCACACTTTAACAGCGTCTGCCCCATCTCACCTCCTGCCCTTTCTCACACCCACTTCTGTTCCCCCAAACAACGGGATGAGTCAGGCCCCAGCCCTCGGGAGCGGGCAGAGGTGGAAGGCGTGGGAAAGAGAAGGGGGACCAGCAGTGCTCGCTGGTGCCTGCGGGGAGGTCCGGACCCCACTCCCCGCCCCACCACTCTCTTCCCCTCACCCCTGCTTCACTCACGTGCGGTTCTGGAACCCGCGAGCCCAGTGGCTGGCCTGGAAGTCCATGGGCTGTCGAGAAGGGGCGCGGCGACTATAATGACAGGAAATAGTCTTCACTTCTATCACCAATAGCTTGGACTTCTGCACCCAGAGGCAGCTGCCAGACTCCTCATCCTGGAGCTCCCGGGGGCTGTCAGGCCCCTCGGAGAACAGTGGGCCATCCAGCATCCTGCCCCACCCCACCCCGGCCCCCCACCCTCCCACCCGCCCCAGGAGCCCCCTCCCAGCCCAGGGAGCCGGCGCCCACTGCAGAGCCGCGGGCCCGGGGACTGGGAACTATATATACCCGGGCACACGTGTGTGTGCCTGTCTCTGTGTGTGCGCGCGCATGTGACACCGCGCGGACTGCTCCGCGCTGCTACCTCCCCCATGTGCACGGCCGCCCCCTGGGGCCCGGGATTGGACGCCCCTTCCCACTGCTGTTGTCCCCCAAGCCTGATGGGATCGCACGAGTGGGCGGGGGAGGGACTTATGATTCTTGCCAAGCTGACAGTGCCCCCTCCCCCGCCCCTATTTCTTCAACCTTCCTGCCGTTTTAACCCTTTACTCTCCTGCTTGTCAGGTTGCCTGACCACCAGGGTTCTGCCCCTGGCTTCCTGCCTCAGATTTCAGTTTCCCCAACATAGAGTGATGAGATTGGAACTCAAGGTCTCTGCCTGCCACTCTGCTGGTTTCCATGGGGCTGGGGTGCAGGAGGGGCTGGCCCACGGCTGGGGGGCTATTTTTAGCGGCAGTGGCTGTTCGGGTGCAGAGATGAGATGAGTAACCAGCTCCCATGCGGTGGAGAGAGGAGGCGGTGGCTTTTACCAAGCTTTTGTGCGACTCTGAGGGAGAGCTGCCTTCCCTAAGCTCAAAAAGGGTGACCCCTACACCCGTATCTCCTTGTCAGCTCAGTGCTGCAGCCTAGGACTGCTGGTACAGCAGGACACAGGCGTCTGCCTTGGCCACCCAAGCTGCCCTACCAGTTCCATTCTACATGTTTGTCCTTGGGCAGCCAGGGAGCCCTCCCACAGCAGCAGGCTTTCACCTCCAATCCAGAAGCCAGGATTTGGGGGTTATATTGTTCTGTGCCCACACAGCCTGCCCAGCTTTATGGAGGACAGAGTAAGTGCTTATGCACTCTCACCCTTCCAGAGGGGGATGGAGGAGAAATGATGTGTTTGCTTGGCAAAACTAATCCCCTAGCAACTGAAATGATAAAAGTGGCCTTTATTTTTTTCAATGTAGAACTCCCCCTCACCACCACCACAATGCCTAGTTCACTCAGTCCCCACCTTAAGTGGTGCTCCAGATGCTCACCTTTTGGGCTGCCTCTGTCCTGGGGGGCTGTTGCTTATATCCACATGATCCCTCCTCCTAAGCTTATACCAGGTGTCCCCTGATTCACCATGGTAATGTTAGTGGCAGCACAGCCCACGCCAACCCTTCCATGCAGAGACTTAGCAACCATGCCTGGCAACCATGGCAGCAGCTTCAGTGGAGGGGAGCAGTGCAGAGAGAGGGGAGAGTGTGTGGGGCATGGTTCCTCGGGAAGAAGGGATAATTTGCCTCTCTGGAGAGGAATAGGTAAGAATAGAAGCTTGTGAGTCTCCCAAATTTCATCCCTTGTCTCTCCCTCAGCTTCATCCTCACACTGAGACGGATAGGTTGGGTTTTAGAGGGAAATGGGAGAAGCAAGAGTTCCCAATTAGTTTTCCACTAATGTACATGGAGCCCTTTGGGTCCAGACCCTTCCTTTTAAGGGGATGGGGAACAACCAGAAAGGTTGTGGGGCAGAGACTGACAGACTGAGAAACAACTCAACAAAACCAGGTCTCTGCTCCCTAACACAAACCTTTAGAGAGAACGCAAACATCCCGTCCCATCCACCCTACCCCCCTTGATTCCACACACCTGCCAGCTGCACTGATGACTTGACTCGAAGATGCTTCCTTCCACCCTAGGTCCCACTAGAGTCCTGAGGCTTTTTAAAGCCCTTGCCTCCTCCCTAGGCAAATCTTCCTTAATGAGGGAATGTGACATAAGGGGCCATCTGTCCTTTCCACCATGTGCTTACCCTCCTGACACATAAACATACTCTAATTCTAATAACTTGGAAGCCTTCCTCCCCCAAGGTTGAGAATGTGCTGTGAGAGCTGTAAAGGGGTGAAGGCAGAAGCAGGGGCTCCTCCACAGCCATGATGCAACACTGAAAGCTGAGCTCTGATGAGGGCCACCTTCTTTTTTTAAAATAAGCTTCCTCAGGTCGAATCTGATGAGGGCCTTGATGCTTTTCCCTGTGTTCCATCAGGAGAACCCAGTATGCCCTGGCTGGAGGGTTATCAGAGGGGTTAGGCACTGTGGGGCAGGGGCAAGGAATGACTCCGAAATTGCTCCTGGCTTGGATGGGAAACTGTATCATACCTGCAAGGCTGGGGTGAGCTGGCACCCAAATTTAGCTCATACTCCAGTCTAGCAGTTCTTCTGATGTTGGGTGCTGACTGCTGTTTGGGTCTACATGCTTTCAATACAGGGAATGGATCTGATGGAGTGACCACTGCCCTGCTGTTCTCCCACCATCCAGCTCATTCTCACCTTGGAAGAGGCAAGGGATTTGTAGGTTTAAAGATAGTGCTGGCCGGGTGCGGTGGCTCATGCCTGTAATCCCAGCACTTTGGGAGGCTGAGGCAGGTAGATCACAAGGTCAGGAGTTCGAGACCAGCCTGGCCAATATGGGTGAAACTCCGTCTTTACTAAAAAATACAAAAATTAGCTGGGCGTGGTGGCGCGCGCCTGTAGTCCCAGCTACTCAGGAGGCTGAGGCAGGAGAATCACTTGAACCCGGGAGACGGAGGTTGCAGTGAGCTGAGATTGCGCCATTGCACTCCAACCTGGGCAACAGAGTGAGATTCCATCTCAAAAAAAAAAAAAAAAAAAAAAAAAAAGATAGTGCCAACTCAGCAAAAGCCAAACAGTCCAACCTTCCCCAACTAAGAAAAGCTGATAATGGTGGCAGGATTCTCTGCCCAAAGGAGACCCTCAAGTCTGTCTACTCGTGTGTGTGTACGTGTGTGTGTGCGTACACACGTTATTATTATTGTTAATGACCAGTTGAAGAAGCCATATAAAGTAGGAAGGTAGTACCCATCAACTGTAAAAATCAAACACTGCAATATCGTGAAGAGATTCCTGTCATTTAATTAGATTTGCCACAAAAAGCAATAACCTTAGCTAACCACGCTGCTCTCCTCCTCCACCTAACCCCCATCTCCCTTCATATGCACAAACACAGGAACCCAAAGCCCCTCCTCCCCACAATCCTCCCCACTCACATTATGGGAAGAAATGTCACTAAATGGACTTGGCCTCCTCCATATAGCACGGAACAGGTGAATAAAAATATCTTTATGAAGAATTTTGTTGTGCTATTATCTTAGGGTTGAATCAGGGCCAAGATGGAGGCAGAGGCAAGTGAGGTCTGGGGATCTCTTAGAGATCAGAATTTGTCTGAGAGGCACAGAGCCTATAGTTCACCCAGAAAGGGGGATATATCTAAGAGGACAGGGGCTAGAACTGGCTAGGCTGAAAGTTTTTTCAAGTGTATGTGTGAGGGTAAGGGTAGCTATAAATCCATTCTCTTTCCTCCCCCATACCTTCCCTAGCTCCCAGATAGAAGGGCAGGGGACCCTGAACAGGGAACAGAGTCACAATTCCCTCAAGTTTCATCTGATTCCCACAGAGCTTCCAGCAGGCAGTGAGTTGGGCATATCCCCTGGTGCTGCATGACCCCTTCCCCCAGCTCAGGGCTTCTTCTCTCCACCTGTGAGCACCAGGGCCTGCAGGATGTCAGACAGTGATACAATTCCCTTGACCACATCATTTTCATCCACCACTACAAGTCGGTGAACCTGGCACAGAGCAACAAGGGAGAAAGGGAATGTTTAGTGCTGGCCTCAGGGGAAGCCCCTCTGCCCCTACTCTCCTTGCCAAACCCCACTCTCAAGGCTGCTCCCCTCAGCTCCTTTAGGGTTGCTGGCCTCCCTACCTCTGCTTCCACTAGCCTGTTGATGATGGTCTCCAGAGTCTCATGCAGGTAGCACTTGAGAACACCCTCAAAGTAATGTGATCGATGTTGCAAGGCTTTAGTCACAGATACATCTAGGTTGTTGTAGGTCTTTTCTGCTGCCAGATTCTGGGGAGACAGAGGAAGGAGCTTGCAGGGAAGCAAGAGAGCCAGCCTCCAAACCCTGAACCCATCCAACCTCAACAGAGGGATTCAGGGCAATTGTCAGCCACAAGCCACACCCAACTCATTCAATTCCTTTTCAAATAGGATTTGAAAGCCTGGAAGCTTCTAAGACCCTTAGATCACAGAAGAGACTCCCTTCTCCCTCTCCATATTTAACAGTGCCCCCCCCCCACCACTTCCCTACCTCCCAGACCCTCCACAATCACTCACGATAACATCAAACTTGGAGTAGATGTCCACCACACGCCCTAGGGGGACAGAGGCAGCTCAGTAAGGAGGATCTGGGATCTAAAGCTCCCCCTACTCATAGAATCACCCTCCTGGCTAAGCTGAGGGGAAAGCAGATCTTCCCAGAGCCACCCTGACTTGCCTGGATCTTCCCTCCCTCTCCTTCTGCCCAATCTCTCACCCTTCTCATCCACCACTGGCAGGGCTGAGACTCGATGCTGTACAAAAATCCCCAGAGCCACATAGACGGGGGTGGTAGTGCGAACCATAGCAATATTGGCATAGGTGCCAATCTGTAGCTCTTCCAGAGACTTGGACATGAACTCTGGCTTGGGGAACTCAGTGATCTGAGGAAAGAACCATCAGCTTAACTTTCAAGGCACCCAAAGCCACCCTTGGATACCCCCTCCAACCCAGTATATTAGAAATAAGGGCTGGGTGCGCCGGCTTATGCCTATAATCCCAGCACTTTGGGAGGCTGAGGGGGACATATTGCTTGAGCCCAGGAGTTCGAGACCAGCCTGGGCAACATGGCAAAACCCTATCTCTATAAAAAATACCAAAAAATTAGCCAGGTGTGGTGGTACACACGTGTAGTCCCAGCTCTTCTGGGGGTTGAGGTCGGGGGTCACCTGAGACCAAGAGGTTGGAGGCTGCAGTGAGCCATGATAGCGCCTCTGCACGCCAGCCTGGGCAACAGAGTAAGAACTTGTCTCAAAATAAATTAATAAATAAATAAGAAGTGGGGCTGGATGCAGTGGCTCACACCTGTAATCCTAGCACTTTGGGAGGCTGAGGCGGGAGGATCACTTGAGCTCAGGAGTTTGACACTAGCCTGAGCAACACAGTGAGACCTCGTCTCTCTTTTCAATCAATCAATCAATCAATCAATGAAAAAAGAGAAAAAAGAACTGGGCTGAGGAGCACTTACAAACAATTTGAGGAACTTCAGAATGCGCTTGTGGGTGAGGATGTACAAAGTATTGCCTGATTCTGGGTCAATAACTGGCAGCCTGTGGATCTTGTTCCGAATTAATGAAGAGACAGCATCAAACAAGCTGTGAGAGGGTGGGAGATAATAAGTTCCACAGTGCTGGGGCTGGGGGTGATTAAACAGGTCCATACAGTGTATTGCTCAACAGGGAAAACTGATGGTTAGGGAAGGGGGGCAGTGTACAGGCCAGACTTAAAGAGAAAGAGAGAGAGAGAGAGAGTGAGAATGAGAGAGAGAGAGAGACTGTGTGTGTGTGTGTGTGTGTGTGTGTGTGTGTGTGTGTGTGTGTGTGTCTTTTCTCTCTTCTTCCCCTTTCCCTGGGTGTCTAGGGCATTAGCTAGGCTGATGACAAAATCTCTTCCGCTTTTTGGACAGATGGGTAACTGGAACTCACCTGGCATTAGGAGAAATGCAGACAAGCGGTTTAAAGGAGTCCTGGAGATACACCTCTGAAGGGAAAAGGGATGGGTCACAAAATACCACCATGGAAAAGTGTTTCCCAGAAACCCGCCATCCCTTTATCCTTTTATAACCCCAATTCTCTACATACCTCTCCAAGTTTCTATCTTGTGTTCTTCTAGCTCATAGATCTGTACCTGAAAGCAGAAGCAACAGAATTTGAGACCTGATCTCTCTGCTTCCTTAAGCCCTCGTGGCTTGCTTGGAGAAAAAGAAATGAGAATGAGGGATTTAGGGCAGGGAAAGTGATTTTGGTCATTGGGTTAAGGTTCCTTACCAAGGCTGATTTATAGTAGCGGTGCAGGATATTGATGAAATCAGTGATGGTCAGCATGCCTAGAGGACAAGACAGAGCCCTCAGCACTGCCTGAAGCTTGTCTCCCTGCCCAGCACAAGATGCCAATAATATTGTGTTCCAGAAACTTTTGCTTACCCACAAAACTTTGCTTCTTACTATCCCATAAAGGGGCAGCTCGTACACCGTTAGTCACCAAAGCAAAAAAAGCTTTCTTCACCTGTAGCCAAGACAGTAATAATCATAAAGGCAAATCCACAGGGGCAGGACTGTAAAAAAAGAACAGTGTTTGGGCATGTTGGGTAAAACATGAGACTAACTTCACAGAAGGATAAGGATATTACCCTTAGGATGAGATAGGATGAGAGGTATTAAACCACAGGCTCCAAAGGGGGAAGGGAAAAGAGGATTTCACCCACCTGCAGGGACGTATCAAATACAACCAATTTGGAGCTTGTGGGAATCAGGTCATAGCAGCGATGAGACTTCATGAAGGAAGTATACACGCTATTGTTGGATTCTGGGGTCTCTGCATAGGGTGGGATAGTTAGTAGCTTCCTTCCACATAAAAACTCCCAATCAAAAGAGACAGAAAACAAAATAGTGTTCTAGTATCTCAAATATTTAGAGCATTATTTTTTAATAAGACCCCTTATTTTATCTGTCTTGTTCCTATTGTTTCCACAAAACCTGGATAAACCTCTTAGAAACCATTTCATCCAACCCCTGTCTCCAGGTTAAGACTTTATCTATTGGTCCCTATAGGTAAAAGAAGTTGACTAAAACATAAAGCCTATAGTATCTCTCTTTAACATGTTATAGTCTAAAAATGTTTCTCATCTTTAATCCAAGCTTTCCCTTTCATATACTTAGCACATTTTCACTTTCCTCTTTTTTCAATGAAGTAAGCTTCTTAAAATTCTTCCAAGACTGTGCTGGGGATGGTGGCAAGCACCTGTAATCCCAGCTACTCAGGAAGTTGAGGCAGAGGATCACTTGAACCCAGGAGCTCGAGGCCAGCCTGGGCAACACAGCGAACCCCTGTCTCAATTAAAAAAAAAATTATTCTAAGACCTGCAAATGGGAAAGTCATGGTCCAAGTTGGGCCATTTCTCATTAACAATAAGTTGGAGCCCAGTGCTCAATCAACCTGGCTCAAAACACCCTGATAGTCCATTCTGGGATCACCCTGTAAATCAGAAATCATCCCACCTACTCTAGACAAATGGGAGATCCTGGCTAGTTTACCTTTTTCTATTCCTGTGATTTTAATTGCTTGCTCTAAACTAGGGAAGTAATCTCCCAAAATAATAGCTTGAATGTGCTACATACTATACTACGTGCACTTAAAAATATTACATTGAGGCTGGGCGTGGTGGCTCATGCCTGTAATCCCAGAACTTTGGGAGGCCAAGGTGGGAGGATCACCTGAGGTCGGGAGTTCAAGACCAGCCTGACCAACATGGATAAACCCTGTCTCTATTAAAAATACAAAATTAGCCGGGCATGGTGGCGCATGCCTGTAATCCCAGCTACTCGGGAGGCTGAGGCAGGAGAATTGCTTGAACCCGGGAGGCAGAGGTTGCGATGAGCCGAGATCGCAACATTGCACTCCAGCCTGGGCAACAAGAGTGAAACTCCGTGTCAAAAAAATAAATAAATAAATAAATAAATTACATTGGCTGGGCGTGGTGGCTCACACCTGTAACCCAGGACTTTGGGAGGCCAAGGTGGGTGGATCACCTGAGGTCAGAAGTTTGAGACCAGCCTGGCCAACATGGCGAAACCCCGTCTCTACTAAAAAAATATAAAAATTAGCCAGGCGTGGTGGCACGTGCCTGTAGTCCCAGCTACTCAGGGGGCTGAGGCAGGAGAATTGCTTGAACCCAGGAGGTGGAGGTTGCAGTGAGACGAGATTGTGCCTCTGCACTCCAGCCTGGGCGACAGAGTGAGACTCCGTCTCAAAAAAAAAAAAAAAAAATTACATAATTTAATCCTTACAACAAATGTGTAAGTAATGTCCTCATGTTTCAGATGAGAAAATAGGTGTAGTTAAATAAACTGCTCAAGGTCACACCATTAATAAGTGGCAAGAAAGACTCAAACAAACCCAGATCTGTTTCCAAACTTCATGCTCTTAAGTCTTTAATCAATTTGGTTTTTAATATTTATTTTTTTAACCAAAGTTATATAGACACACAGTTAAATCAGTCCAACAGTTTTACAAATTTTGTTAAGAAAAAATTGCACTCCTTGCAACCCACCTCCCTGTACTACCCTTCCCCAGAGATGAGAACATCTATCTACCTTAGTTGATTATTTTGGTACTTAATTCTATGTCCTTAAATAACATGCTTGTATTGCTAGTTTCCATTTTTTTTTTCATTTTGGGGCATTATTTATCATCTATCTACCAAAGAAGATGAGAATTTCTAGTTCTCTCTCCTACTAGGACTCCACCACAAACACGTACTTCCCATTCTCCTCATTATTCCAGGAGCTAAACCATAATGTTGGTTATATCCGTATTTCAATCTTTTTTTTTTTTTTTTTTGAGAGGGAGTCTTGCTCTGTCACCCAGGCTGAAGTGCAGTGGCACGATCTCAGGTTACTACAACCTCAGCCTTCCAGGTTCAAGCGATTCTCCTGCCTCAGCCTCGCAAGTAGCTGGGGTTACAGGTGCCCGCCACCATGCCCGGCTAAATTTTGTATTTTAGTAGAGACAGGGTTTCACCACATTGGCCAGGCTGATCTCGAACTCCTGACCTCATGTGATCTGCCCGCTTTGGCCTCCCAAAGTGCTGAGATTACAGGAATGAGCCACTGCACCCGGCCAGTATTTAAATCATTTTGACTGAATATTTATTATTCAGAGATAAGCCAAATAGTAAACTCTGATTTTTTTTTCTTCCTTCACAACTTTGTTTTACCTGGAGTTAATGTCTTGTCCTTTTGTTTAATTTTCTATGTATAATTCTTATAACTAATCCAACCCCCAAATGCTTCACCAACTATTTAAATCTCCTTTTAAGAGGTTCAAAAGCATTAGACAGTCTATCAAAATTTAAACTACCCAAAGAAATCTCCCTGGAGCCTTCTGACCTGCTCAAATCTGGGCTGGTTTGTCTGGTGTGCACTGCTGTCATCCTGGGATCTTTCTTCATCACCATCCTGGGTACCCCTTTCACGTCTGTCCTCTACTGGTGCTCCTATATCGCGTTTTTATCTTTTTTGATTACTCCCTTATTTTGGTGGAACACATCTTCCAGTAGCTTCCTGAGAAAGGGTGCATGGGAGGTATGTGTTTTTGAGACCTTGCAGCCTGTAGATATCTTTATTCTACCCTCATCCTTGGATTTATAATTCGGCTGAATAGAGAATCTGCAGGAAAGCTTGGAATGTGTTTTCCTGCAGAATGTTGAAGGCATTGCTCCATTGCCTGCTAGCTGCTGGTGTTGTTGAGAGTCCAAGGCAATTCTGACTTTTTGTATGTGACTTTTTTTTCCTCTCTCTGAAAACTCATAGGATCTCTGTTTCCAGTGTTCTGAAATCTCAGGATGACTGTGCTTTGGGTGGGTCACTTTCATCCATTGTGCTGAATATTCGATGGGTCCTTTCAATATGAAAACTAATGTCCTCAAGTTCCAATAAATGTTCTTGAATTAGTTCCTCAATTATTTCCTTCCCTCTGTGTTGCCATTTTTCTTTTTCTATGACTCCTATTTAGATACTGGACCTCCTAGACTGATCCTTTAAATGTTTGTTTGTTTTGTGGGTTGTTGGAATCTTTCCTCTCCTTTTTTTTTTTTTTTTTTAAAGAGACAGGCTTTCATTCTGTTACCCAGGCTGGAGTACAATGGCGAGATCATGGCTCACCTGCAGCCTTGACCTTCTGGGCTCAAGCAATTCTCCTATCTCAGCCTCCTGAGTAGCTGGGACTACAAGTGTATGCCACTATGCCTGGCTAATTTTTATTTTTTTGTAGAGACAGGGTCTTGCTGTGTTGCTGAGCTGGTCTTGAACTCCTGGCCTCCCGCCTCAGTCTCCCAAAGTGCTGGGATTACAGGTATGAGCCACTGCACCTTCTCTCCTATTTTCTACTTTGTTGATTTTTAACTCTCCTTTCTGGGAAATTTCCTCATGTTGATTTTTGAAACCTCCAGCTGGGTTTAAATTTTTGCTACTATATTTTTAATTTCCAAGAGTTCCTTTTTGTTTTCTGAAAATTCCTTCTTTAAAAAATTGTATCCTATACTTGTTTCATGGTGGAAATAAGGTTTTTTGTTGTTGTTGTTTTTGTTTTTTTGAGACAGAGTTTCACTCTTGTTGCCCAGGCTGGAGTGCAATGGTGCAATCTCGGCTCACAGCAACCTCCACCTCCTGGGTTCAAGCGATTCTCCTGTCTCAGCCTCCCGAGTATCTGGGATTACAGGTACATGCCACCATGCCCAGCTAATTTTTGTATTTTTAGTACAGACAGGGTTTCATCATATTGGGCAGGCTGGTCTCAAACTCCTGACCTCAGGTGATCTGCCTGCCTCGGCCTCCCAAAGTGCTGGGATTACAGGCGTGAGCCACCGTGCCCGGCTGTTGTTTTCTTTAAAGATATACTACTTTCACAGGTATTGAGAAATATGTTCCTTTATCTAAGATTATATTAATGTTATTAAAGTTTTCTTCTCATCTTTTCCTTCCAGTTGCTTTTTTCCTGTTTGTTTCTTCTGTGTGTACATGAGGTTGGGAGAGGCAGTTTGCTTTTTCATTTTTATTTATTTTTTACCAGGGAGATACAGCCTTCAGAGTAAAACAAAGGTACATTCCAGAGTGGGGTGGGGGGCAGTTTGGATCACTTTTTTTCACAGATCCTTTCTTTAGATGTTTGGTAATCCCTAGTTTAAAGGAGAACTTAAACCATAACTTAAGAGTGGAGGCTTTAAAGCTGAGTGGAAGCTCTAAGTGTGTAAGTGAGCCTTGCTGACAGTGAGTCATTTGGATAGGGAACATTCAATACTTATATATTTTAGGACTTCCCTTCAAGAGGATTCTGGAGAGAAGGATTATTCAATTTCATGCTTGGAGGGTGAAGGCTCTTCTGCCAGCGCTCTGGAAACTGAAAAGGGGGAAAGGGCTGGAGGCTCAGCATCGAGTATAGTTCACTACATGCTCCTGTTTTCAGTGCAGTACTTCAGCCCTAAGCTGTGCCCGAGTCCCTTGCCAGATTTCCA
Source organism: Homo sapiens (assembly GCF_000001405.40). Classification (NCBI taxonomy): domain Eukaryota; kingdom Metazoa; phylum Chordata; class Mammalia; order Primates; family Hominidae; genus Homo; species Homo sapiens. The sequence continues at coordinate 49,010,549 of NC_000012.12, forward strand.
GTCTCTGCCACAGTTGGGAGGCAGAGTTGCCCACTGTACTCAATGGGGTAGGGTGTCTTGGGATCTGACTGTTTCTTAGACCTTCAATGCTTCTTGGCTTTCCTCACTGCTAGTTATAATTCAGTTTTCTCAGGTCTAAGTCATTCATCACTCTTTTGTCTGCTTTTCAGCTTCCAAAAATTCATTGCTATTATCTCCTCTCCTGTTTTCCCTATGGTGTGTTTGTGTCTTTTTCTTTAAAAAAATTCCTTTATGGTGGTTTTAGGGGAGTTTTTGGGAATATATATTCAATGTACCACCTTTTTTTTTTTTTGAGACAGAGTCTTGCTCTGTCACCCAAGCTGGAGTGCAGTGGTGCGATCTCCACTCACTGCAACCTCCTCCTCCTGAGTTCAAGCGATTCTCATGCCTCAGCCTCCCAAGTAGCTGGGATTACGGCACATGTCACCATGCCTGGCTAATTTTTATATTTTTAGTAGAGACGGGGTTTCACCATGTTGGCCAGGCTGGTCTCAAACTCTTGTTCTCAAGTGATCCACCCGCCTCAGCCTCCCAAAGTGCTGGGATTACAAGCATGAGCCACTACGCGCAGCCCAATCTACCAATCTACCGTCTTTAACTGGAAGCCTACCATTGTTATTCAAACTTGAGAATTCAGACTCCCAAGAACATGTCTTTGGACACCAGTTGAAGATACATACACTACATTGATAGTTAAATACTATCATTCAGGCCACAGGCCCATAAACATATTGGATTTGGCTTTCTCAGTGTTTGTTTGTTTATAATTGAGACAGGATCTCACTCTCTGCCCAGGCTGGAGTGCAAAAAATTTTTAATTTTTTGTAGAGACAGGGTCTCACTAAGTTATCCAGGCTGGTTTCGAACTCCTGAGCTCAAGTGATCCTCCTGCCTTGGCCTCTCAAAGTGCTGGTGTTACACTGTGCCCAGACTTGAAGATCTGGCAAAAATAGGTCTTAGTTGACCAGACCTAGATAGTTGTCGCCTTTTTTTTTTTTTGAGACGGAGTTTCACTTTTGTTGCCCAGGCTGGAGTACAATGGCATGATCTCGGCTCACTGCAACAAAATCTGCCTCCCAGGTTCAAGCGATTCTGTGATTCTCCTGCCTCAGCCTCCCAAGCAGCTGGGATTATAGGCGCCCACCATCAAGCCCAGCTAATTTTTTCTACTTAGTAGAGATGGGGTTCCACCATGTTGATCAGACTGGTCTGTAACTTGTGACCTCAGGTGATCCACCTGCCTTGGCCTCCCAATGTGGTGGGATTACAGGCGTGAGCCACCACACCCAGCTGCCTTTAGTTTTTTGAGACAGAGTCTTGTGCTGTCGCCCAGGCTGGGGTGTAGTGGCACAGTCTCGGCTCACTGCAACCTCTGCCTCCCAGGTTCTAAAAATTCTCCTGCCTCAGCCTCCCGAGTAGCTGGGATTACAGGCATGCAGCTCCACGCCCAGCTAATTTTTTATTTTTAGTAGAGACAAGATTTCACGATGTTGGCCAGGCTGGTCTTCAACTTCTGACCTTAGGTGATCCACCCACCTTGGCCTCCCAAAGTGCTGGGAATACAGTCATGAATCACCATGCCCGGCCCAGCTGTCGCCTTCTTTTCATATGTAGTTCACTTCACTGCTTGGTCCATGTAGGCAATTTGAGTTTCTAGTTTCTGCCTTGGTGCTAATGCAAATGTACTCAGAAACATAAAATAGGCACTGGCCAGCATTGGAACTGTCTTCCCTGTGCTCTGGATTTTAGAGGTTTAGTGCTTCTATTACTAGATTAGTTCTAAGAGCCTTTTCCTAATTTTTTTCTTTCTTTTTTTTTTTTTTCTGAGACGAAGTTTCACTCTTGTTGCCCAGGCTGGAGTGCAATGGCACGATCTTGGCTCACTGCAATTTCTGCCTCCCTGGTTCAGGCAATTGTGCTTCAGCCTCCCAAGTAGCTGGGATTACAGGCATGCGCCACCACACCTGGCTGATTTTGTATTTTTAGTAGAGACAGGGTTTCACCAGGTTGGTCAGGCTGGTCTCAAACTCCTGAGCTCAAGTGATCCACCTGCCTCGGCCTCCCAAAGTGCTGGGATTACAGGTGTAAGCCACTGCACCAAGCCCTTTGCATAATTTTTGGTGTACATTCAGTGGCTTTAGTGAGCTTGCTGGGTGATAAAATCCTGGTAGCACTGTTTCTGGACTATGCAGAAAATACCCAGGACTTCTAAAACATGGTAGCCAGCCCAGAGTTGCCTATGGAAGTTTTGCCTGTACCTCAGATGTTTCTCTCAAGTGGTTTGATAATTGAAGATATTAATCATCCCCACTCTGCCCAAGATTTATTCCTGGGTGATCTTGCCAAACTACTGTCACTGATTTTTGTGGTTTGGCACATTATCTGGCCCTGCTTTGATTTTTCCAGGGGAGAGATTCAAAAGCATTGTTGAAGACATTGTTAGGGTCAGGCTATTGTTTTCATGCCCAGTTTCCTTTCTTCAGTAAACTTACCTTGAGGATGCTCATTTTCCACAGCTGGGGAGCTATCTGAAGAAATGACCTGGAGAGATAAGAAAACAGATTCAGCTTAACCTGGTTCCATCCATTTTAGCCTAGCAACATTAGGGGAAGGGCTGGTGAACAAATAATGACTTTCTTTAAAGCACTATAAAGCCACTGCCCCCGCCAAACCCTTTTTTTTTTGTTTTTGAGACAAGGTCTCGCTCTGTCACCCAGGCTGCAGTGCAGTGGTGTGATCACAGCTCACTTCAGCCTTGACCTCCTCGGGGTCAGGTGATCCTCTCTCACCTCAGCCTCCTGAGTAGCTGGGACTACAGGTGCAAGCCACTATACCCAGCTAATTTTTGTATTTTTAGTAGAGATGGAGTTTTGCCATGTTGCCCAGGCTGGTCTTGAACTCCTGGGCTCAAGTGATTGCCCTCCTTGGCCTCTCAAAGCACTACGATTACAGGCACGAGTTACTGCACCCAGCCTTATAAGGCTCTTCAGAAATATGATCTCATTTAATCTTCATAACAACCCTGAGGTAAATACTATTATTAGCCTTATTTTCACAGATTGTCTCTGAGGGTCAAGAGACATTAAGCAACTTGCCCAAGGTCACATGGCTGATAAGGGGTGGAGTAGGCATTCAAACACCTATCTTCTGGTTCCAGAGCTTGTGGTTTGCTTTTGTTTACATCAAAATTTTAATAAATAACATACTTGAAAAAACAAATTTTTAAAAAACTACGTATACCTAACAAAATAATTTCTTATAACTGATGAAGAGTTTGGTTGGGTTTATCTTGGCAGTGTTCATTTTTGTAAATTTTTTTGTTTGTTTTGTTTTGAGGCAGAGTCTTGCTCTGTTGCCCAGGCTGGAGTGCAGTGGCGTGATCTTGGCTCACTGCAACTGCCTCCTCCTGGGTTCAAGCAATTCCCGTGCCTCAGCCTCCTGAGAGCTGGAATTACAGGCGTGCACCACCACACCCACCTAATTTTCATATTTATAACAGAGATGGGGTTTTACCATGTTGGCCAGGCTGGTCTCAAACTCCTGACCTCAACTGATCTGCCCGCCTCAGCCTCACAAAGTGCTGGGATTACAGGCATGAGCCACCACGCCCGGCCATTTTTATAAAATTTTTGAATGTATTTACTCCATTCTGATGAAATTCTACCTCTCTGGAATCACAGAAGAGAAGAAACCAATACTGCTACAATATTGTGCCTTCCAGAAATGCTTCTATCCACTTCTGAGCTGAACGAGCATTATCTGCAAAGCTCATGTTCTTGTACACTATACTGCCTAATGAAACACTAGGTCCTAAAAGCTAAGACTAAAGATCTGAGCTTAGGGCTAACCCCTACAAGATTCTCACAGATCTACTTTATTAAAACATGGAAGCCAGAGAGACAGCATTGTCTTCCCCAAACACAGACACTCACTAGGCATAGTTGTAGGCACTAGAACCACAGACACTGGTTCCACCATTGTCTAGCTCCATGGCAGAGAGAGAGCCACAACTGGGGAGGATCCCAGTAGCTGACTGTCAGCCAGTCAAAACCTGAATGACTGAGAGGTGGATAAGGAACACGAATGTACTGAAACTGGGAACTTGAGTCCACTCAGCACCCTTGTGAGTCAAAGGCTGCTATAGCCAGGGGATGCTGGTTTTCCAAGTTTCCCTTCCCAAGATAGTCTGAGATTAGAGAGTGCTTTGACTAGACAAAACTTAGAACCATTTCTGTGCTCCCTCAAGTGGGAACATTTGGAAATGCCATTGTTATTTAGGAACCCAGAAGGGATCACAACAATTTTCATCTGCTAGCATCAACAGTCTTGGCTCCATTTTCTCTGGGTGATATCTCCAAAATAAAACCATACTTCATCCCCATAGCTTCTGTAGTAACATGACATTAAAAACTTCAACCTGGGAGGTTGGCTGACAAACTTCCTAAACCAGGGAAGTTTAAGACAGCCCTAAACTTTTCTCCCTTAATGGGCTAGGGGAGAGTGCAGGGAGTAAGGGGGATAATCTCCCTCTTCCCACTGGACTGCATAAGACTGTCAGCTTGGCCTGCCATTTTGGCAAGACTATCAGAACAACAGCCTCATCACTTATAAGTGGGAGAGAGGGCTGTGATAAAGATAGACACATGATATATCAGAGTCTCACAAAGATCTACACAAAGGCACAAAAACAGCTACTTCTGTAGAATTTACCCATCATATGATATATACTGTACTGTGCTACAGTTATTTTGTTCATTATCTATCCAAACAGATTATAAATTCCTGGAAACCTAGAACTATCTTATACTTTGTATCTCCCATACCACCAAGCACAGGGTTTTGCATATAATTCACAGTTGTTTTGTTTTTTAATTCTCAAAGAATGATGCACACTGATATGAACAGATATGCCCAAGACTAAGTTACAGAGGGAGGAAAGAAACATAGAGCTAACTAGAGATACAGATACCAACATAAGAGAGTCAAACACAACTGCATATGTGACTTTTTTTTTGGGCGGGTGGGCAGAGTCTCGCTGTGTCTCCCAGGCTGGAGTGCAGTGATGCGATCTTGGCTCACTGTAATCTCCGCCTCCGGGGTTCAAGCGATTCTCCTGCCTCAGCCTCCCAAGTAGCTGGGACTACAGATGCCTGCCACCACGCCCAGCTAAGTTTTTTTTTGTATTTTTAGTAGAGACGGGGTTTCACTATGTTGGCCAGGCTGGTCTTAAACTCCTGACCTCGTGATCCACCCGCCTCGGCCTCCCAAAGTGCTGGGATTACAGGTATGCGCCACCGAGCCTGGCCGTGACTTTTAACTTTCTGCCTGTTTCACCATATCAGAGGGGGGATTATGTAATTACATCTACTCCTTTCTACCTTTTTTTTTTTTTTTGAGACAGGGTGTCACTCTGTCATTCAGGCTGGAGTGCAGCGGCATGATCACAGATCACTGCATCTTCAACTTCCCCAGCTTCTCCGACTTCTGCCTCCCGGGCTGCTGGGACTACAGGAACATACCACCAGGCCCAGCTACTTTTTGTATTTTTTTGTAGAGATGGGGTCTCGCTATGTTGACCAGGCTAGTCTTGAGCTCCTGGGCTCAAGCGATCCGGCCACCTTGGCCTCCCAAAATTCTGGGATTACAGGCAAGAGCCACTGCTCCTGGCCTCCTTTCTACTTTTAATAACATAAGGGACCTGAGAAAGTACCACTGTACCACGCAAGTACAAAATATTACAGAGACACAGTCTACATCTGACAAATAGACTCGCAATTTCTTCCAAACTTCTGATCTACATTTCCAATTATTTGTTTGACAACCATAGATGTCACAGAGACTCCTCAAATGCTTGAATACGAAACAAAACATTTGTCCCTCCAATCCTATTATTCTCGCTGTGGTTCCCATCTTGTTTTTTTGTTTTGCACAGCTGTCTTCTTAACACTTATCAGCTAAGCTGGTATGTTAGAAATGTCTCAGATCCATCTCTCTCATTGCCAATATCACAGCCTTAATTTAGGCTTTTACCTCTCACCTCTGCAACGTTGTTTAAACTGGGGTCCTTGGCCCAAATCTATCTGTTCTTCAATTTATCTTTCATGCTTTCACCAAGTTTGTTCACCAAAGCATCTCAGATTTGGAAGGGACTTTCATCCCCATTAACAAGAAACTTTACTTTTCGAAGTAGCTCAGTCCATGTACAGAAAGCTGCTATGAACATTCCTAAAGGACATTCACTGACTTGCTCATAAATCTTCCATGGGTCCCCTATTACAAAACAAAGTTCAAATTTAGCATGGTGTGTAATACCTTCAACCTGATCTTAGCCTGCTTTTCCAGTCTTTTCTCCCACTGTGACCAAAATCCAAAGCCAGCAACATCATGCCGCTGGCTCACCCCCAGTTCTCTACATACCCCAATTTCAGTGCCCTTGCTCACACTGTTCTCTCAATTTGCAGTGCCCTCTCCTAGGTCCAAAGTAATTTTTCTCTCAGCTATTCTGTCACAGTCCTCTGTTTTCATATTGATGACAGCATTTATTATAGTCTACCTTTAAATAACAGCTGTTGCTGGCTTGCCCTCACCATCACTCCAGTTAGGCTGAACATTTTCAAAGCAGGAGTTTTCTTTCTTTTCTTTTTTTTTGGAGACAGGATCTCACTGTGTCACTCAGACTGGAGTGCAGTGGCATGATCTCAGCTCACTCCAGCCTCCACCTCTTTGGATCAAGCGATCCTCCCACCTGAGCCTCCCGAGTAGCTGGGACTACAGGCACACACCACCACCACCACGCCTGGGTAATTTTTGTATTTTTGTTTCTGTCGAGACAGGCTTTCATCATGTTGCCCAGGCTGATGCTGAACTCCTGAGCTCAAGCAATCCACTTGCCTTGGCCTCCCAAAGTACTGGCATTACAGGCGTGAGCCACCACACCTGGCTGAGTTTTCTTTTTCCTCTTTTTAACTTCTACCCCAGAGCCTAATCCAGTACATAAAGTGTAAAGGCTAAATTAGAAAATCTATATAAAAATGCTTTGTAAACCATAATACATTTACAAGTAAGTAGAATATGACATGTCATTTTAAATTTAATGGAATTAGACTCCTTATTTTTGTTTAAGATTATCCTGATTAGTCAGAATTGGCTCCCTTGCCTGGGAGACCAACTGCGAATCATTTTAGTACTTTGGTCGGTTTTCTTTTTGAAAACCTGAAAGAAACAACCTCTCTGTGAGCAGAGAAACGGTGTGGCAAAGAATTACTCTGGGCATGTAATCCAAAGCAAAGTGAACCTGCAGTCCTTTCGTAACTACAGTAGCAGATGATAAAAACCAAGATGGAAAGAGTTACTCTGCCTGAAAGAAGACACATGGTTAAAAACTGTGGAGAGGGAAGTGTATGGGAGGGGTTACAGAGCGCTAGAAAAAGACTCCTGAGAGTGAGGGTGGGTGCAAACATGTAGCAGGCAACCCGCAGCATCTGTGGGAGGGTGACAGGGCCCTGCCACAATTGGTCAATGCCTGCTCGCCAAGAATGAGCTATGCCAAAACCCCTGCTTAGAGTCGCAGAGCGGGCCATGACCTAAAATTGTCCAGGGACACATCGGCCTCTAACACTGCAAGATTTCCTCTTTCAAGCAAACCTCAATTCTCGGTCTTATTAAGGGAATGTGACTTCACTGGACGCAGTATAAAGATCTTCAGATGTCCTCCTGCCGGGGATTGCAGGGATCACAGAAAGACCATCGAGGTCCAGGAGCTACCTGCAAGCGGAGATCCCTCTGGACGCCCCGTGCCTCACCCAGCAAAGCCGGCTCACAACCCTGCGCTCTCAAACCTCTAAAAGGGCTTGAGGTGCCAATAGGAAAGGAGGCCCGAGATTGCCACGGCATACGTGGGCCCCAAGGAGGGAGCCAGGAGTCACTGCCTGCTTGGGCTAAGGGTACCGCGTACGGAAAGGCGGCGGGGACGCGGCCCAGTTCCAGGAGATGCGCCCAACGAAGAAGCGGAGGAACAGGGTCACGGGATAGGGCAGACACCCGGCTGCTTTTTGTTTGCTAGACACCAGCGCCAGCCCCTGCCCGGCCCTCCCGGTCTCCTAAGGGTTGGGGGGGTGTCTTAGGCTCCACAGCGCCCCCGACCGCCCTCCTGCACTCCTCACCGTCTCCATTGCAAGAGGCGCCCGGCTTGGTTTCCTCGCTTTAGGAAACTCTCTTGGGGCAGGCCCCGCCCCACATCCGGTGCGGCGACGCCACTTCCGCCCACGTCATGGCAGTCGCCAGACTGGGGCGGAAGGCAAGGAACCCACCCTTCCGGCGGTGGCGGGCCTCGGTAACCGCCCTCCCCCGGGTCCTCGCGGACCGCACGGATCCGGCTGACGGCGAGGGTCATGGGACGGAGCCGCTTGTATTTAAAATGTTCTTTTTTTATTTGTCGTTTAAAAACAAACTTGGAAGAAGCAAAATCCAAAACTTGCCCTTTGCCTCTCGCAACATAAATATGTACAGTTCAGAATGATCGCTGATACAAAACATGCCAAGGACAGGGGCGCTGAGGGTGGAGGGAGAGAGGGCGCTTTAAAAAAGGGAACCATTTCATCCGTTGTTACGAAGGACCAACCTTGCTGTACAGGATACACACAACACAAAATAAAGTCTTCACGGGATTCACACTTGTCAGCGATTTATTTTTTAAAAAGGGGGAGGGTCCTGGAGGTGAGGGGAGAAGACTGTAAAGGGGAAAACTGAAAACTGAGTATGTGCGAGTGTAAACCAACCCAAAATACAAACACGGGGGCGGGGGGTGGGGTGGGGGATTCTGATGCAATTATACAGGCAGGGTACTTAAAAAAAAAACCAACCAAAATTCCAACCTTGTAGCTTGGGTCTGAGTTATAGTTTATATAAAAATTAAAAACTGTATAAGGTTTCTTCACTAAATTCTACAGGACTATCGGATACCTAGCATATGCTTACAAAGTCTGCCCCATCCCCTTTTCCCAATCCCAGGGCCCAAGCCCCAAACACAGCCTGACTCACGGGAGCCAATCTCCCCCTCCCTGTAGCCTAGACCTTCTGCTCTCGGAAAAGGAACATCCAAGGGCTGTGGCTTTGAGGGCAGCAGCCCAGTCTTCCTACTGTCTGATTTAATTACAGCGGTTCCTGTGGGAGTGGGGGCTGTTATTCTCTTAAACATTTGCAGCTTGAAACAGTTGAGGAAGCAGCTTTAAAAAAAAAAAATCTCCCTACCCCCAACAATCCACAACCCCCCAAATTCAAAACAAAACAAAAACAAACCTAAAATCACAACAGCGACCAAGCTCCCCCTCCAGCAGGCCCGCCCGTCCACCACCACCAAGCCCACCCCTACACTCCAGACATCTGATTCTTGAAAATATTAATTACAAAATGCCCTTTGCCCACAGCCCCTAGAAGAGAACTGCATATAAGCTTCATCTTCATCCCCACGGTTCCCTACCAGAGAGGGGTTTGGGGCCTCACCCACCCCTTACCTACTCCCACCCCCAGGAAGAGGTTCAACTGCAGCACAAGCTTGGGCAGAAAGGGGAAGGAAAGGGAGGCAAGGAACCCATCACCCTCTGGCTCCCCCTGGGGTCAGCTCTCTTTTGTGCGTTATAACATAGTCCAACTATACAACAGGGGGTGGGAATTGCCCAGCCTCTATACCCCCATCTTACAGCAGTCACAGCCAGGGGGTGGGGAGTGGGGTGGGGGGTGAGGAAAAGGGCGGTAGGTCGGGTAATGGAGGGGGCCCCCCCACAAGGGGAGCTCCATGTGTCCGCCCCACACCCCCCTACCATTTATAAACTGGTTTTGTAAAAAGAAAATAGATATATTTATATAGAATATATAAAGCACAAAAATTAGTAGTTTTACATTTGCTCTCCCCGGGGGGTGGGGGGAGAGGGGAGGGTTCTCACCTCCAGCCGGCTCCCCCATGCCCCACAAGACTATGTACAATCCCATGTATAAATAGATAAATACCCCCCACCCTCCCCGCGCTGACACTAAGCTCCCCCACCCCCACATCACCACCCCTTCCCACCAGACCAGCAGCAGTTTGGTGACTGAGGGAAAGTGGGAGCTCCGGGCCACACCCTGCCTCACTAGGTATGGGCATGCCACTCAGGGATAGCCCTCACCCTACCCCCCACCCAACCCGTCCAGGGGCTGGAGGGCAAACAGGCTCATGATGAGGTTGGGAAAACAGGAGGGAGATATCCTGGTCCTAGGTTTAGCTCCCTCCTGCCCCCATGTCCAGATGGAGAAGGAAGTCCTAGAGCAACTAGGGGCCAGTCATCCCCAATCTTCATCATCATTTGCCTCAACCACCATCCCATGCCCATAATTAAAAACAAAGATGGATTTTTTGTTGTTGTTTTTCTTCCTCCTCCTACCCCCCTTCCACCCACTCAGAAGAGGGCAGTGAGGTGGGGGAGAGGGTTGGGGCAGTAGGGGGCTTGGAGAGGGTCTCACATTTCAAAACAGCAAAAAATCCAACACTTAAATGAGGTAGGTGTGGGTGCGGGGTCTCCTTGCCCGGCTTGCCCAGCTTGCCCTCCTAGGCAGCTGGGCGCCTCTTTCCCGTTCATGTTGCATTTGTCAGAGTGGAAAACAAGGAAACACAACCCATAGAGAGACAGAAACACAGAGGAAAAGAGGGAAACAGAGACAGATCAAGAGGGAGGGGGATGGGGGTGAGGGTGGGGGCAGGACCCGGCAGGCAGGGCCAGGTGTGGGACCCGGCCTTTGGGATTGTCAAGCTTAGTCAAGTCTCTTTGCAGCCGTGAGTTGGGCCGGAGAGGTCAGTGGGAGCAGCAGGGCTGTGAGGCCCGGCCACACATCCTCTTCCCCCACCCTGCTGCCTCCCAGATGCTTCTGGGTAGTTCCCGGCCCATATCCCCCTCAAACCTGAGATGCCCAATGGCTGCTTCTGTCTGGCCCCTCCTGGAGCTGGGGGCAGAGATGCCAGCCTGAGGGCCGGTGGTGGGGAAGAGGATTGTCCCTGGTGCCCAGGGTGGGCTTGGCCTAGGGCCCTCTGCCCCAGCCTCCTGCTCCAGGGGCTCCGGGTCAGCCGGCAGCCCCAACCCTGGGTCCTGGCTCTGGCTGCTACCTCTCTTCCCCCTCATCCCTTTCAGGGAAGAGGTTGTGGGTAGGGGGACTCCCCTGCCTGGTAGCCTCAAAGCTTCTTAGTTCATCCATTTCCGACAATTCCAGGCTCCACAGTGGCAGGGGATCTTGTGCTGATCGTCCTCAAAATCAAACTGATAGTCATAGGTTAGCTGAAAAGAGAAGAGGGCAGAATCAATGCTAGTCCCCCACAGGAAGAGGGGAGGCCAGAGAAGATATGATCTGAGGTGCCCAGCCTAGGAATCCACATTTAGGGAATGGCAGAGAAGGGGTGAAAGGAGGAGGAGCTGCTTTGTCACTCAGTCAGGATACTTCCTCTCACCTCCTCTCCTTTGGGGATTCGCCGGCTGGAGATGATGATGATTTTGTCCTCTTTGTCAAATGTCACGACTTCGGCCACACAGTTAGGGGCACAGGAATGGTTAATGTACCTGGGCAGTGGGACAGAGTCAGGGATGTCAGGCAACTAACTTGGGACAATTTTGATTCCTTGTTCGTCTATCCCCCAGAGTGCCACTCTCAGGGACCACTAAATCCCTCCTTCCTCGTCATCTCTCACCTGGCAGGGCCGCCGGTCAACGTAGCATCAATCACATGTTCATTGTTTATTCGGAACATGTAGATGCCTCGATTCTAGAAAGGCAGAGGTTGCAGAAGAAGGGACAAGAGTATCAGAGAGTGGCAGTGGTGGCTGTGGGATCAGGTAGGAGACTCAGGCAGTGGGGGCTTTTGTTGCATGTACTTCATTTCTCCTGCCTTTCCCTTCTCCCCACCACAGCTTTCCTCCTGCTCTCCTGTGACCAATCCTGCCCTTGCTCCTTGGTTGAGTGCAGACTATGCACCACAATGGCCCCTCTGCCAGCTCATACCTGCTCTTCGTAGATTTTCTCCCGCCGGTTGGCCACCTCGTTCCGAATGATGGTGCCAATGTACTCGATAACCATTGTGTGCTTTTCTAGGTCCTTGGCTGCATAGAGCCCCAGGCCCTGGATACGGGAGCGAGCCAGGTACACGTTGTTCTTCCATTCGGTGCGCAGCCGCCGGTACTGAGATGACTTGGAGTGCACAAACTGCTTGCTGTAGGGGGTGTTGGTCTCGCCTGTGAAGGTGCTCTGATATGCCTTAGACATGCTGGTGCTGTTCAGGGTATGGGGCCTGGGAGGTGATATAATCCATGACAAGACAGCTCTCCCTCAGACCAAGTACATACCACCCACCTCCTCTGCCACCTCCTGGGATGTGCAACACACCAGTTAGGGGCGTGTGCTGCTGGCAAGCACTGGAAGTGCAGCCTTGGGAAAGGAGTAGAGGCAACTGGGTCTCAGCTCTGGTGAGGAAGCAACTAGCTACAGGGACCCTTCTGACACCCTGGGTGGCACAGAGAGCCCAGGGTGAGGGGTGGGGTGTGGAGGGAGATGGGGGGCACCAATTCCCCTACACTGAGCCTGTTCTCCCATCTCCCACTTCCTACCACTCTCCTGCCAAACCATTCTCAAGGCCATGCTCCTCTGGGAAGTTTTCCGCAAGCAGCCCAGGCCTAGAATTTAAGCTGATGGTTTGCTTGAATGTCTGAATCCTACCTCCTGCACATACTGGAAGCCCTGAAAATGGGGACTGTGCCTACCACGCTGGGCTAGATTTGAATTAAAACTGGCTGTGAACTCACAGCCTAAAGGTGGTATCCTTTCTTCGGACTGTCCCCTTCTCTGACATAACATTGGGCTCTGTGCAGATGGCTCAGTGCAGGGGAATGACGGCTGCCTGGCAGGATGCCTTTTACCACCTTAGGGCACCAGCCAAATTCTTGCCATCCCAGAGCAGTGGTTTTCAAACGTTTCTGGTTCTTTTTTTATTTAGCAGAAATCTTTGCTTTTTTCTTTAACAAAATGTTGACTGGAACTCCAATACATAAACTAGATGACAATGGAGCTCTTCTGGTTTAATCCAATTTGGGGAAGGAAGAGATATGCATGGGAAGGAAAAGTTCAACCCATCAGTTTAAGTGATCCAGGACTTTTTGGAACACAGGCACTCACAGTTTGAAAACCACCATTGCAGGGCATCAAGGACAAGGCTGGCTAGGGATGGAGAGTCTCTGACATTCTACAACAGCCTAGGAGCCACCAAAGACCTTCGAGAAAGCCCTGCTACCACAGATTCTGCCTCCCTCTACCCAGGGACTAAGGTCCCTGGTACACAGAAAGAACAAGGACCTGCAGTGAAGAAGTAAGGGTCTGGTCCCAGCTGTGTGACCTTTGCCTAGTCATTTAATCTTTCTGGGTCTCAGTTTTCTCAGCTGTAAAATGGGGGTCATACCACCTGCCCTACCTACCTCATAAGGTTGTTGTGAGGATCAAATGAGATAATGGATGTGAAAACGCTTTGAAAAAAAAAGTATAAAGTGCTATACAAATGTAAGGTTTTATTATTTTTCTATTATATCTCTAACTATTTATTTTTGACACCAACACTCATGGGGAAGGGAAGGTGACCCTAGCACCCATGGGGTATCTGAGGTTTGGGAGAATCACAGGCCCTCCCCCAGAAGTAAAACAGGAGAAGAAAGAGGTGACCAAGTCCCTTATATATTTCATAAAATTTCACCAGTTTACCCATTACCTCCCCAGGGTGCCCAAGATAATTCTGTCCTATATCCCAAGTGCATCTGAGCAGGTTGGGAGAGGAGGAAAAGGATACCCTACTAATACCTGCATGCCCTCTAATTAGGAAGTCTAAGAGTGATTCCCCATTTTCTCCACGGGAACTCTGATCTGTATCCTAAATCCTCATAATGGGACCAGAGGATCCCTGTCAACACCCACACCCACATCCCTTGGCTCCAGCATCACAAGCTCACCGTTTGTAGTGTGTGAGGATTTTAGGCTCTGATCGGGCACAGCCAGTGGGGTTGATCATGAGTGGCAGCTCCATAAGGGGGTGGCGCCCATAGCGGAATAAATAGTTTTGACAGCTCTCCACCCCGGGCAGCTGTGGGCACAGTTCATACTCACCTTAGCCTGAGTTTTTTTGGGGTTAGGCCAAAGTTCTCAGTGCCCGCCAAGCCCCCCAGCTCCCAGCCCCTTCCTTACTGATTCAGCTATGCGAAGCACGGCATGCACCGTCAGCCCAAAGAGCTCCTCGCCCTTCAGATACTCAGGGAAGAGTCGCAGCATGTCAGCCTCTTTTCTCATGGCAGCCACAGGCTCAATGATGCGATTCCACACGGCTAAGAAGCAGGGAAGAGAGCAGTCCTCAGAGGCAACTTCTGCTCACTGACCTCCAGTCCCTAACCCCAATCCAGAACTGCAGTTTTCTGAGGCCTTCAAGCCTCCCTATCATGAAGTTGTGTTGGTCTTCCAGATCCTCTCTTGGCCTCCTAGTCTCACTCTCTCTTAAGAAGCAGGAGGTTTCCAACCCCAAGGGGTCATCACAGAGCCTTGAGATACAAACCCAGGGCCCAGGAGACCCAGCATAGGCCATGGAAGGTCCCTAGTGAAAGAGCAGGCATGCTTTGGAGTTGGAAAGACTTGGGTTCAGGTTCTAGTACTGGTCATGAGACCTTGAGCCAAATACAGTCACGTGCAGCTTAACAACATTTCATTCAATGAGGAATCATATATACAACAGTGGTCTGGTAAGATTATAATACTGTACTGTATTTTTACTGTATCTTTTCTATGTCTAGATGCACATACTTACCGTATGTTACAACTGCCTACAGTATTCAGTACAGTTACATGCTGTACAGATTTGTAGCCTAGGAGCAATGGGGTATACCGCAGAGCCTAGGTGTGTAGTATGCTATGCCATCTAGGTTTGTGTAGTACACTCTATGAAGTTCACACAATGACAAAATCACCTAACAATGCATTTCTCAGAATGTATCCCTGTCATTTAGCAATGCACGACTGTACTGAAATCTGAGACTCAGTTTCTTTATGAACAAACTGGGCATAATCGTAGTATAATACTTACCTCATAGGGTTGTATGAACAAAATAAACTACACAAATCACTTAGCTTAGTTTGTGGCTCACAGTACACACTCAAAAAAAGGTACCTGCTCTTACTGTTATTTTATCATTAACACTAAAACTAAAATCAAAATAATTCTGATTTCGTCCAGGGAAAAACAACCCCAAGGAACTTGGTTAGGATTAGGTTGGGTGAGGCAGATGATAGTCTCAGAACTGTTTCCTTTTGTTCCACTGGGGATAGCAACAGAACTAGAATATGTGAGATTAGACCAGCAAAATATTTTCAACTACAAGGGAATTTAGGGTGACAAGAGAGGCTCAAACACTTTCACTGGGAGTTTTCAAGAGACCCCCTGCCTGCCTGAGGTGGGGGAAGGAGGATCATTCACATAGAAGCTACAGGTCCTCTTATAGACATTGTAACAGTGACCCTGGGAGAAACTTTTCCCATTCCATATTATCCATTTCAAGGGCCCACTGCTCACCCTGGGGAGAGGCGTCAGTGAAGACCAGGTCCTCCAGGCCCTGCTCGATGACTTTGATTACAAACTCCGGCCGCCCGTTGTTCTCACCAATAGAACAGCGATAGCAGCAGCGACGATTGTTGGTGCGGAGGCTCCAATAGATGCGCGTGGCCTCGTAGCCCACGGGATAGAGGGCAGTGGCACTATGAAAGTCAGCCATCTGGTGAGGCAGCAGCTGTCCGATGGCGTGGAACACAAGGCCCCCCACACGGAACATGTGCAGCCGTTCTCCCCGCTGAATGATGCTAGCGATTTGCTTCACCTCGTCCCGCTCAATGTAGACCCGCCGGAAGACAGCAAAAGAGCTCAGCTCTTGCTCACAGGGCCCCTTGATCTTATGCATTGGACACAGCATGGTCTTGTCCTTGAAGAACATGCACTTGGCACGGATGGCACAAGCAAAATGGTAGACATTGGGGCAACGCATGCGATTGCAGCTGCTGGTGGCACCAGTTCGCTGGCACAGGGAGCACTTGGTTAGCAGTCCTCGGTGCAGGGCAACCTCCACATTCATCAGTGCCCCGCCCTGGGTCTCATACACCTCCGTGGACCAAAGGGCACAGTTGAGGTGCACCCACAGGTCCAGGTCCAGGTTCAGCAGACGGGCAGGCCCATCAGTGGCCCCGTCACCCTCCTCATGACAGAAACAGCAGCGACGCATGTCTCGCGGTACCTTGTCAGGTCGCAAGGCTGTGCCAAGCTGCTCCATAAACTCTGCCACTTCCCGCTCATCCTCCTGCCGCCCACTGCCCTTCTGGATGGTCAGCAGCAGCCGAAGCCGCTTCCAGCGCACTCCTTTCCATTTCTTGAGGCGAGGAGGACGGGAATCTTCACCTTCTTCAGGGGGCCGGGCACGGGGCTTGGGTCGGGCTGATTCAGGGGATGAGGCCAGTGGCAGAGGTGAGGGGACGGGTGGCTCAGCCAAGGGTTCGGTGGGAAGTTCAACCAAGGGCTCAGTAGGGGGACTGGCAGGAGAAGGTGCCAAGGGGGAAGGGGGCGGGGAGGGTTCTTCAGGAGGTGGGGCCGAGAGCTGTCGCACATCCAGATTGGAGACATTGTAGGTATAGCTGTGCTGAGTGGGTGGCTCTGGGGCGGGGCTCTCCTGTAGGAGGGTGCCCTGTATCATTAGTGCCAGCTCCTCATCTAACTAGCTCCCTCCTTCCCCTCACCCATATGCCACCCTCCCAAAAGGCCTCCACATTCTTTGCCCTAGACAGCCTCTTTTTTCTTTTCTTTTCTTTTTTTTTTGAGACACAGTCTTGCTCTGTTGCCCAGGCTGGATCCAGTGGCACAATCTTGGCTCACTGCAACCTCTGCCTCCTGGGTTCAAGGGATTCTCATGCCTCAGCCTTTCGAGTAGCTGGGATTACAGGCACGCACCATCACGCCTGGCTACTGTTTTGTTTTTGTTTTTAGTAGAGACGGGGTTTCGCCATGTTGGCCAGGCTGGTCTCAAACTCCTGGCCTAAAGTGATTCACTCGCCTTGCCTCCCAAAGCACTGGGATTACAGATGTGAGCCACCGCGCCTGGCCGGCAGCCCCTTTTTTCTAACACCCACCCCTTTTTCTCCCCCAGACCTACCTGTTTCAGGAGGCTCAAGATGTCTAGTTGGCTCTTCAGGGTATAGCCAGGCAACACTGCATCAAACTGCTTCAGCCAATCAGGGCCAGTGTCTGGGCTCTTGCCTTCCAGACCCTTTTCCTTCCCACCTGCAGAAAGGAGTGGATCAGAGCCTCCCACCAGAATCACTCCCCTCAAGTCCCAAAGGGCTTCCCTGCCACACTCACCAGGACCCTCAGCTTCCCCCTTCTTTGGCTCAGTGCCTGCCCGGGCGGGGCTCTCTGGGAACAGCACCTCATAGGAGTTGGGGATCTTCATGCTCAGCAGCTCCGCCACTGCCACCATCACGCCATTCAGGTTCTGCCAGGGCCAGGGAAGGGATGGAAGAAACATATCAGCCAAGTGTCTGAGGTGAGCTCTACTACCAGCTGGGTGGGGACAAGGACACCTAGAACCCACTCCCCAGGGTAGTTCTATCCTATGTCACCCAGCTCTTTTCATACACTTCCCTCACAGCAGCCTTTCCCAAACTGCTGTGGGCACTGACGGGAGCTCCACGAAAAGGGAACTACATCAACTACGTTTAGGAAATGATGCATGCTCTATCCATGACTTGGAGGCTCATGATACACGTTAGCAAATTAAAAGGACCTGAGGACTCTTGTAGTAAAGAAACCCATATTGTCATTTTAACTGTGTTTTCCAACTTTCTTTGACCACAAAAGCCCGTTAATATTTTCAAAACAGCTGACAGAGTCCCACCAAACATGACTGGGGCAATGCTGTCATGTAGTACCTGTGTCATTACACACACAGGTGCTCCTTAGTTGTTGACTTGTCTGTCTTTACCATGGGACTACGAGCCCCGTGAGGGCAGGAACCATGATTCATTTACCCGAATCTCACAGCCTCTAGCCCAGGCTTTCACATACAATAGGTACTCAGTACATGTGCTTGAACGACTACATTTTTCCTTATCCAGACAAATTCCAGGGACTGCCCTCTGATCAGGTTCCCCTCAGCCTCGAGGTACCCCTAGGACACACCTTGGCTGCAGCAGCAGAGACTGTGAGCATGACTGACACCTCACTTCCTTTGCCCTTTTCCCAAGTTGTGACAGGCAGCTTTCCAGGGACCTCCAGGCCAAGGGCCCCATAAGGTTTGGTATCTGGGAAGACTGAATGAGAAAGAGGAATTTGTGTAACACTTGGCCGCCTCTCCCCCAGCTTCGGACAACCCAGGTGAACTGGGCCTGGCCCACATCCAGAGTAGCACATACCTGGGATGCTGGCCCGAGGAATGAGGGGGATGACAGGGGAGAGGGCCCGGTCCTCTTGCTCCCACCGGCCTGAGCCCAGATGAGGGAAACGAGGGGCCTCCTCCCCCAAGATGCTCTCAGGGGATGAAGCTGGCACAATGCTGTCAGGAGAATCGCTATCCTCATCACTCTCCATCCTGGGGACCAAAAGTAGACATTTGTTGCTACAGCCCTGCAGACTCCCCTCCCAAATCTAGAGATGAATAGATGTCTTACTTGAAATCTCCATTGGCCAAAGGAAATATGAGGCAACCTGTACCCCACCCTTGTTCCTCATCCCCATTTCTGGCCCCGCCCCTACCTGACATCCTCAGTCTGATTGTGAGGGGGTGTAGGCAAGGCAGCCAGCAGGTCTAGACTCTTCACCTCTGAAGTATCTGAGGGGTGGGTAGGGAGAAGAAAAGTCAGGTGAGGGTGGCCAGGGCTGATGGTACCTTCTCCCAATATTTTAGGCCTAATTAGCATGAGATCTCAGCTATCATGATTAGCTGTCCTCCCACCTACCAGTTTGGGGCAAACAAGGTATATTTATTGAGTCTGTCCTGCATGCCAGGCACTGTTGTTTTTTGTTTTTTTTGTTTTTTTTTTTTTTTTCCCGTAGAGATGGGGTCTTGTTATATTGCCCAAGCTGGTCTCGAACTCCTGGCCTCAAGCAATCCTTCCATCTTGGCCTCCCAAAATGTTGGGATTACAGGCATAAGCTACCAGGCCTGGTGGCAGCTGGCTTTAGATATACTCTTTGGAGTTTGTTTAGTCATTTAATAACTCCATTAAGTGAGTACTACAATAGCCATTTTACAGTGAGGAAACTGAGGCTCACACAAGTCAATCAAGTTACTTGGATACAGTAACACAGTTGAATGAATGCAGGAACCAGAATTCAAATCCAGATCAGAGTCTAGCTCCACACTCACTAAAGCTGGACTGTTCCTTCTATACAAAGCTTCATAAAGATGCTCCCTGCCACCCACCTCTCCTATTGCATTTGCTCTAGACTCCAAATGTCCATTCTGGCCCCCAAGAAATCAGTCCTGAAAGGGCCCTTCCTACCTCAGGTGCCCTGTTATGTAAACACACAGGACAGCAGGCAACCCACTAATTTCTAAACTGTACAGCATACTAACTGGTTTGGACTCCAGCTACCAAACTCCACCAGGGGTGGCATCTGCTCTTGACTTACCCCTCAGTGCCCTTTCACTATCCCGGGCAGAGGCAGCATCCTTGGGGTGCTCCCCCAGCTCTTCAGATGGGGTGACGCCATTCACCATCTTCTGCTGCACCGATGGGGGTGGGGTGGGGGGCAGCGACGAGGGTGGTGTCGGCGGGTTACTCAGGTTATTCTGAGGGGTGGGGGGTGGGGTGTTGTGTGCAAGATGGCATAGGGAGACTGATATAATCTCCTGGCCCCACTCTACGTCAGCAATTCCCTCAAGTTTTCTATTCCCACCCTCACCTTCCCAAGAACTTCACTATTCCCAAAAAATATTGCCATTTTTCTGACCTTGGTAAGCAGCTGGGAATAGTAGTCAGGGCCAGTGGGCAGCGCCCCACTTCCAAAGGCCCCCCTCAGCTGGCTCTGCCCATTGACTGGGCAGCCACTGCCAAAGGGGGCAAAGAGGCTAAAATTGGCGGTGATAGCAGGCTCCGTTAGGGGCAGCAGGGACAGCTCCTACAAGGGGCAAGATGACAAAGTTCAAAACCTGCAGCGTTTGCATCGCTGTCTTGCACAGCTGGGGGACAGGGTGCCCCCTATCCTGGGATGGGACCAGGGGGACTGTCTCCTGGGGGGTCACCTGTTTCAGCTGTTTCAGCAAGGCCTCGCTGGCCCTGACCCCGTCCTCCTTCCGCAGCTTCTTTCGGGAGCTCACCAACCTGTCGCTTGCCTTCTGTACCCGCTTGGGCTTCGGTGTCAAAGGCTTCCTTGCTGCTGCATCCTAAGCCAAATAAGCCCATTGAAGGCTGCTACCCTCCTCCTCAGAGCCCTCATCTCTTCTGTCTGACCCAGGCTCACTCATTCTGCCCCCCGCTGGCTCTAGGACCCACTCTACCTGCTCCACTCTACTCAGAGTACTCACCTCCTTGTTGCTGGGGGTACCCTGTAGTTTCTGCTCCAGCCCAGCCAGCTTGCTGTCAATGTGCCCGTTGATCTCAGCTCGCAGCCCCTCGGACCCCCGCCCAGTGCTGAGTTGCACATTCTTTGCCCGGAGTAGCTTCTGCAAGAGCAGATGCCCAGCTTCTGAGCGAGGGCCTGCCAGCAGGAGGTGGTTGCTGGTTCCTGGTGCCCCTATTGGCTCCCCATTGGCCTCCCTCTTCACTGACTGGGCTCCCAGGGCACATGGCTCTTCCCGAGGTTCCTGCTTGATGCTGAGTTGGGATGCCTCAGGCACCACCTGTCCATTCACCTGGTCCAGATGCCCAGGTACCAGGCTGCTCTGCTCTGGCTTCTGGGTTTCTGCTAGGTTGTCTGGGGGATCCCAAGGTCCCAGACCCTTGCTAAACAAGGTATCTGCAAGCTGGGCAGCAGCAGGTGAGACCCTCCCAGGAGGCGGCTCCAAGGTTGGCCCCTGAGGTTTGGGGGTCCCTGGATGGGTGGGAGGGAGCTGGGCCTCAGTGGGAAGCTGGGAGCTGGGGGAAGGTAATTGTGAAGGTCTCTTTGGCTCTTGAGGGCTGGATGGTGGAGGTGTGGGATGGACAGGGCCAAGGACTGGTCCTGTAGATAAGGCTCCTGGTGGGGCAGGGAGCCGGGGTGGGCCCTGAGGTCGAGGCCCTGCCCCTAGCTCCTGGAGGGGGCCTGTCTGTGGTCCAGGGAAGCCCCCAAGTTGAGGTTGGCAGCCCAGGAGGCCCTGGAGGGGAGAGGTCTGGGTCCCAGGCTCCTGGTAGGGTGGGGTCTGGCGTACTGCCTGACTCTGCTGCAGCTGCCGCTGCATGAGGAGTGCCTGTAGCTGCTGCTGCTGCTGAGGACTTAAGTGCCGCAGCTGTGGGTTTTTGGCCAGGACTCCTTGGAGCTGTGCTCGAAGCTGACCCACCGTAGGCATGATTCCAACCCCAGGCAGACCCTGCCCAGACTGGAGGACAGGTCCTGGTTTGGGAGGTTGTGGCCCTGTATTATTTTGCATGGGCCGCTCTAGCATGGGCTGTTGGGGGCCCAGAAGGTTCTGGGTCATGGACCCAGGCTGATCCCCTAAGGAAACAGAGGGCTGAGCCAGCAGGTGGGGCACAGATGAGGCCTCAGAAGATGATCCACTGCCTAGCTGCCCATGGCTTCCTCCACCTGCTGTGTGGAGCAGGCTAACTTGCTGCTGCTGTTGTCCTGGAAGCCTCAGAGGTGGCTGCAGCTGCAGAGAGCTGGGCTGAGGCTGGGGCTGGGGTTGGACAAGCAGGAGTTGTGAGTCCCCAGAGAGTGAGGGCTTTACCTCTCCTGGTTCAGTGGCCATTGACTCAGGGGTAGTTCCTATTGCTAACGGCCCTCCCTGATGTGTAGAGGGCCCCTCAGTGGCCTCTGAAGAAACGGCTGGGTCTACGGTGTTTTGTTCCTTGCCCGTCAGGAGGAGGGTTGGACCCAGGGCTCCAGGGCTAGAAAAGTGTTGAAGAGGCTTTGCTGGCATGCCAGGGCCAAGTGCCACTTGCTGCTGCTGTTGTTGCTGAGGAGACAGTAAAGTTCGACTCTGGTTTAAAAGGCCCATCTGCTGCTGTTGCTGCTGCTGTTGAAACTGCTGCTGTTGTTGTTGCTGTTGCTGTTGTAGCTGCTGTTGCTGCTGTTGAAGCTGTTGCTGCTGCTGTTGTTGAAGCTGCTGCTGCTGTTGCTGCTGTTGAAGCTGTTGCTGCTGAAGTTGCTGTTGCTGTTGTAGCTGCTGCTGCTGCTGCTGCTGAAGTTGCTGTTGCTGTTGCAGCTGCTGCTGCTGCTGAAGCTGCTGTAAAGAGCCCATGGGCTGAGCGCTCAGTTTGGGCTGCCCACTGTGTGACATCAGACTCTGCTGAAGATGGGACAGCCCTGCCATGGACCCTTGCTGTTGGTGCTGTTGTTGCTGCTGCTGCTGCTGGGCTGTGACCAGCCTGTGTCCCATAAGGCCCTGACCCTGCTGTGCCAGCTGGGGGGAACTGAGCACCCGGGACTGGGTCATAAGCACCTGTCTGTGAGGGCCCTGGGGGCCCAAAGCTCCAGGGTGCTGCTGCTGCAACACAGCCACCTGGGCAGGGCCCAGCATGCCCTGGGGCCCCTGGGGTGGTTGAGGGGACAGCTGCTGGACCAGGAGGCCTTGGTGGCTGCTGGGAGGCATAAGGCCCTGGGGCTTGGGACCCAGAGCTTGGTTTGTCTGTACTCCAGGACCCTGCTGCTGTTGCTGCTGGATTGCCACCTGTCCTAGAAGGTGCTGCTGCTGCTGTTGCTGCTGCTGCTGCTGCTGCAGTTTCTGGGCCAGCTGCATACGTTGCTGCTGCAGCTGCAGCTGCCTTTCCTGTAAAAGCCTTGAATCAGGTCCGAGGCTTCGAAGAGCAAGGTTGCCAGGGAAGAAGCCCCCTGAAGGGCCAGCCAGGGATCCAGCCCCACCAGAATGTTGCTGTTGCTGCTGTTGGGCCAGAGCTGTATTAAGGAAGGGGCCACCAGGCTGTCCAGGTAGTGCCATACCCCCAGGGGTCAGGCGAAGACCTCCGGCTTGCCCACCCGGAGGCCCCTGTGGTGGCTGCAGCCCATGGCCAGGGAGCAGCTGACCAGGGAGCTTGGTGAGCAGCCGGGGACTCTGGGAAGGGCTGAGAGCCAGCACAGCTGAGTGCTGTTGCTGTTGTTGCTGCTGCTGCTGCTGTTGTTGCTGCTGCTTGTTCCGATATTCTGCCATGAGATTAGTGTGCTCCTTCTGCTGTTTCCGGACCTAACATGGGAGGGTCGGAGAGGTCAGGCTGGGGCATGCTCCCCCCATGCCAACCCTCTTCCCTGCCTTCTGGGTGCTAGGCTGAAGTTTGCTTTCCCCCACCTGATCCAGTTGTTTCTGGATCTTGCTCTGCTGCTCTGTAACCAGCTTGAGCTTCTCAGCATCAGCTTCTGGGAACTCACGGCCAGCTTTTTTGGCAGTGCGCTGCTTGGCACACAGAGCCTTCCGGGACTTGCGGTGTACACCAATCTGCTCCTCTAGCACCTTCAGCTGCATCTGTAGGAGCTGCTGGGTATGGAACAGCCACTCCTCATACTGCCGCTGGTCAGCTTCATCTGGGAAAAGAAGCTGGGTGTCAGGACCTGCAAAAGGGTAATCCCAATCCCTCTTCCTCCATATGACCCAAACCACTCCCCTGCACCTTCCTCCCACGCCCCATACTCACTGATCACTCCCTGAGCAAAAGTGGGCGGGTTGGGACGAGGCTGGGAGGGATCACCAGCACTCCGCTCCTGCAATGAGAGAGGCTGCTAAAGGGTCATTGTTCCCTGCTAGGCCCTAAGAAGGGTGGCCCAGTGGCATAAGACACAAGTTCCTACTCCCACCTGACCACTTACCTGGCCACTCCCAGCTGCCACATGGTTCTGCAGATCACTGCTAGGTCCCCCCGAGAGCCTCTGGGCTAGCAGAGACACTTGCTGTCTGGAGTCCACCAAAGCACAGAAGATAAGTGTTGGCAATAAGAAAGTTGGAAAGCAAAGAGACGTGGGACAAGTAGGGAGGGGAGCCAAGAAGGGGTGTGACTGGGAAAGAAAAGGGCCAACCCCATTCCAGCCCTGAGTCTTACCTGTTCATACCAGGTGCCACCCCAATGCTGCCCTGAGCCATCACTTTCTTGATGCCTTTCAAAGCCACCATCTTGGCCTTTGCAATGGGATCAATGATATCTTCTGCAGCAAATTTGTCCAGGTCTGGAGAGGGGAGAACCAAGTGAGCTGGGCTATGGGGCCAATGCTCCAGTGAATATCTGCGATTCCCTTCAACATCCTGACTTCAACCACGCCAGGCAGAACAATGGCACGGCAAGGCAGAAAGACCACTGAATTAGGAGCCAGTCGGCCTGGGTGAATCAGCTCTATTCACAGGACATGTGGGCCTGTTTTTACTTGCACCGTGCTACAAAAAGGGGCTCCGTAAATATTTGTTGAGTCAACCTGTGTTATTTCACCTCAGTTTACCCTTTTATTTGATACAGATGATGATCCCTACTCCGTCTACCTCACAGAGGTGTTAAGAGGATCAAATGTGACAAGAATATAAGTACACTTTATGACTCGGAAAGCATTCTTCAAAGGTAATGTTCTTAGTCCAACTAGCACAGCCCAAGCACCCAAGATGCTGGCACTGTTGCAAAGCCCTAGATTCCAGAGCTGTTTTGGGCATCACCTGTAGTCCACTCTCCTGTCTGTCTAGAATGCTGGGCAAAAAAGAAGAAACAACCAACCACCAAAAACTTACATCATCCTAAAATCCCACACTTTGTATATTTCTCCACTGCTCAGAAAACTTAACTGAGCATCCACTTTCTTTTTTTCTTTTCTTTTCTTTTTTAAAGACAGAGTCTTGCTCTTGTCACCCAGGCTGGAGTGCAATGGTGCAATTTAGGCTCACTGCAACCTCTGCTTCCTGGGTTCAAGCGATTCTCCTGCCTCAGCCTGCCGAGTAGCTGTGATTACAGGTGCCCACCACCAAGCCCAGCTAATTTTTGTATTTTTAGTAGAAACGAGGTTTCACCATGTTGGCCAGGCTGGTCTGGAACTCCTGACCTCAGGTGATCCACCCGCCTCAGCCTCCCAAAGTGCTGGGATTAAAGGCGTGAGCCACAGCACCTGGCCAGAGCTCCCACTTTCTTAAGGACTAACCCAAACTCCCTCTCCTGGAATCCTGAGGCAGTAAACAGTTAAGAGGAGTACCGACCAGACTTCAGATCTAGCTCTGCTAGCTGCTGTGTAATCTTGGACAAGTTACTTAACCTCCACTTCTGTTTCCTCTTCTGTAATCAAAGATAATAACAATACCTATTTAATGAGTCTGCTATAATGATTAAATTGGACAAAAAGTATAAAGTGCTCAGTAAACTCCTTGGCAAATAGTAATTACTCAATAAATGCTATTATAATTTGAGGTCTTTTTCAATCTGGCCCCCATCTTATCTCACCAAAATTATGTCACTTACTTCACTCGAAACAGTTTACTCCAGCCTAACCAATTCACTCACTGTTCTTGAAACATCCCATAGGTTTTCCCACCATTGCAGCCTCAATGAACTTTTTCACCTATCCCAATCGCTTTTTTTTTTTTTTTTAAGACAGAGTCTCGCTCTGTTGCCCAGCCTGAAGTGCAATGGCGTGATCTCAGCTAACTGCAACCTCCACCTCCTGGGTTCAAGCAATTCTCCTGCCTCAGCCTCTCGAGTAGCTGGAACTACAGGCGTGCACCACCACACCCAGCTAATTTTTTTTTTTTTTTTTTTTTTTTTTTGAGATGGAGTTTCGCTCTTGTTGCCCAGGCTGGAGTGCAATGAGGCGATCTCGGCTCACCACAACCTCTGCCTCATGGGTTCAATCAACTCTCCTGCCTCAGCCTCCCGAGTAGCTGGGATTACAGGGATGCACCACCGCGCCCGGCTCACACCCAGCTAATTTTTGTATGTTTAGTAGAGATGGGGTTTCATCATCTTGGCCAGGCTGGTCTTGAACTCCTGATCTTAAGTGATCCACCTGCCTTGGTCTCCCAAAGTGCTGGGATTACAGGCATGAGCCATTGTGCCTGGCCTCAACTGCTTTTTTTTGCACCACTTCTCTTCAAGTCTTAAGCTTTCAACTTCACTACAGCTACAAAGGCTCTGCTAATTAGGCTTCATTCATACATTCATTCCATTTATTCAAACATCTGCTACATGCCTACTATATGCCAGGAACTGTTCTCTCTCTTCTTAAAAGCTACAGTGTTTCTGCCTCTACCACTAGTATGATATTTAGCCAAAGTTCTTTGTGTCCCATCTTAAGTAGGGATTATCTGAGGTCTCTAGCCTCAGTGCCCATTTAGGGATAACAATAATCACCCTGAGTAACTTGGCTATGTTACCAGCTGAGGTTACCTGTATCTGGGAAGAAGCTGTTTGCCAGCTGCTGCTGCATTGCCAATTGCTGCGGCTTCATGCACATGGAAGGTGGCATGGTGCCCATGGGCTTCTGTGATAGCACTGGCTGTGAGCTCTGCTGGGGTACCAAGCCTGCCTGCCCTCCATGCTGCCCACTTAGCATATGCCCTTGATTGGACACCATAGCCATGGATGGAGCCAGGCGTTGCTGGAGGGCATGAGCTGGTGGCTGGGTGGGCATCAGTGGCTGGGGCAAACCTGGCTGTCGGGCACCTGCAAGACCCAGGGAAAGCTGCTGTTGGGACCCAGCCAAACTGGGAGAAGAGCCCTCATGTGGCAAAGACATGGCCTGGGCAGGGCCTGGTGCAGACAGTAGGGAATGCTGCTGCTGCTGTTGCTGCTGCTGCTGGGCAGGCTGCAACTGTGCTGAAAGCTGCTGCTTCTTCTGCAGCTCCTTCTTCTCATGCTCCAACAGGTCCTCAATGAGCAGGGGTAACTCGCTGGCTACCAGTGAGCTCTCCATCTTGTCTAGCTCATCCCCAGATGCTGCAGGTCCACCAGGCAAGGTCAAAGCCCCACTCTCGAGCTCAAACTTTTCCAGCAGGGAGGATCCTCCTGGGCCACTCAGTGGGCTGGGGGTCAGCAGGTGAGCTGGTGGTCCTCCCGTGGCCCCAAAGGAGGCCTTCTCAGCTGTGTGCCCACTGCTAGAAAATGGCCCTGTGCCCATCCGGGTATCCCGGCTGCCCATCATGCTCTGTCCTGGCTTTAGCCCCAGGCCAAGGGAATTGGCAGCAGGTGCGGGCTCTACCTTGGGGGTAGCAATGGTGAATTGGCAAGGAGAAGGGTGGCGTCCACCCTCCTCCACCTTGGGCTTCACCTCAGGGAGCACAGATGCCAGGCGGGGTTCAGAGGCATCAGCAGCAGGGGGAGGGCGCTCCTCAGGGCCCAAGGGTCCTGGCTCCACCCCCCGCAGCAGGGCCTCCCGTTCAGCCTTCTCATTAGCCGATTCTACCAGCCTCAGGTGCTCATTGAAGATATCCTTCTTGTCCCCAGTGTCCAGCTCAGGATCAGTATATGCCAGCAGGTCAAACTCGTCTCCATTGAGCAGGTCATCCAAGTGGGGGTCATTGGTCTCCAGGTTTTCTAAGGTGCCAAGTTCATCATCACCCTTGGCCACATCCACACCCAGACCCAGGTGAGCAAGCTCTTCATCATCCTCTAGGGCCTTGTGGGCATCAAAATCGTCATCCAGCTCGGGATCCTCACAGGGCAACTTCCCAGCTTCCAGGGCCAGAGGATTGGGGCGGCCAAGCTCAGTGCTCGACGGGGGCCGGTTGACCAGCTCCAAACCAGTTGGCAGGGTAGGACCCTTGGTGTGGGGTGTTGGATGAAGACTGTTGTTCAATTCAGGGGCCGGTGGGGCTGAGGGTTTCTGTGGGGGAAGACCTGATACCGCCAGGCCCCGAAGCCCTTCAGGAGCCAGTCGGTGGGGGTCCTCACTTACAGGGTAAAAACGGGGTCTCTGAGGTGGGCCCTGACCAGGAAACGGAGTGCCCCCAGGTCCCAGTCCTTTCTGTACATTGTGCCGCAGCTCAATGAACTGGGCAGGACCAGCTGGACCAGGCACTGGCTCACCAGGGCCTGGCAGACGGGTGGAAATTCCCGCCAACGGGGAACCTAGGGCTTGGCGGCCAAGTTCAGGTCCAGGAGTTGATGGAAAGCGAGCTGACATGGCAAATCGCATGGAGGTTGCTGCTGTTGCCTGTTGTTGCTGCCACAGTTGTTGCTGTTGCTGCTGTAAGGGCAGGGACCCAGGATAGGGTGCTCGCTGATAGAAAGCTTGGGAGCCTCCTACCAGTTGCCTGGAAGAATATACAGTAGTCAGTAGGATGAAATCAGATGAAAAGGAGCAAGAACATGGGCTTAGGGCAGTGAGGAAGGATAGAATTAATGCAGTGAGGGAGAAAAGGAATGAGGAAGAAGAGAAAGTGATACTGGAAAAGGATTAGTGATACAGGAAAATCACAAGAGCTTCCAACAGTGATAAAATCCATCCCCCTTGGTTTACCCCCAGGGAACCTCCTGGAGCCTCACCGGCTGTTCACATCCATAGAGGAAGGCGTGGCTGGTGGAGGTGGCCGGGAGAGTCGGTCATCGCTAGGGAAGGACCCTGGCCCCAGGATGGGGCCACTCAGCTTGCTTGGGGGCAACCCCACAAGGCTGCTCTTGTCCTAGAAGAGACAAGGTAGATGAAGGTGGAGCAACCTTCAATATCCTGGCCCCACTATCCCTTGCCACTCTACCTACCTGTGTCCCAGCAAAGGGGGTCTGGCCTCGACTCAGCTGCTCAAAGGCAGGGCTGCTGGGCTCAGCACCCCAGCTGCCTGGAGGCCCCACTGCTCCTGCAGCTGCTGCAGCTGTTTCCTTCTCCTGCCGCAGGGTGTTGCGCTGGATCTGCTGCCGAATCAGCAGCTCTCGTAGTCGCTGGCGCTATGCAAAAAAAAGAGAAGAGGAATAAGCCCATTCTACTCCAATCATAGGGCTGCCCCAGAGACAGGAGCGATATAGGGGGCTTAGCTCCAGGGTGTCAACTTACCTGCCGTTGCTTCTCCAGCTCTGTTTGGCTAAGGCCGGACATGCCTGGGTCCTGGGTACCTGGGAGTTCAGCTGTCGCCAAAGAGCTACCCATTCCAGTCCCTGGGTCTTCTCGCTTTTCGACAGGAGAGGTGATGCCTGATCGCTGTGAGGCTCCATGGGACAGGTAGGGGAGGGATCCGTCGGGTGCAGGTGGTGGCAGAACCGACGGAGGGCGTAGTGGGGACAGCCCATAGCTCTCCCCTGTGGACCCGCTGCTGGGCCCCAGGGGGCTGCCCGATGGGTGGAAGTTCCCTGTGGCTACTGTGTAGTTTGTGCTTTGAGGCTTGCCCAAGGTGGGGCCGGGCCCAAAATGGCTGTTGATCCCATGGGGTGGCGGGAGACCAGGCTGAGGGACAGGGGGCTTTAGGGAAGGCTCCCCTACTGCCTGAGGGAAAGTGAAACGCATGGGAGAGGGGGTGCCCACAAATGCACCCGTCCCAGGGGACCGGACAAAATTGGGGGGCTGCCCACTTGGGACCTTGGCATGGAGCTCACCTGCTGGCCCCGCGGGCAGGGCTGCTGGGAACCCCCCAGCCCCCAGCGAAGTGTGGGCTAGAGACCCAGCCTTAAAGGCAACTTCAGGGGGCTGGGGTCGGGGTGGCTTATGCAATGGGGCAAATGGGTCACGGGACTGAGGGCGTGAGGGTGGGCGAGAATAAGGGTCAGGGGACTGGAAGCGAGGGGTAACGGGTGATGGGCAAAAAGCTTCAGCAGACAGAGGCCGGGGTGTCAGTGGAGACTGGGAGCTGGACTGGGACTGAGGACTGGCAGGCACTCGGGAGAAAGGGTCGGAGGGCAGTGAGCGAGGGGGCAGAGCACAGCAGCTCTCAGGGGGCGGAGGTTGGGGCCGAGGAGTCAATGGGGGCTGAGCATATGGGTCAGTGTAGGAGCCAGGGCGAAAGATGTCTGGGTGACTTGGAGGAGAAGGTGCCAAAGCCTGGGCAGGGGGTGGCTCCTGGGGCCTTAGGCCCAAGCCCGGGCTCTGGGGCTCTACCTGAGATGCCCGAGGGGTCAGGGGGGCTTTGAAGACATCAGGTGTCTTTAACTCCAGGCCACCCAGGTGGGTGCCTGAGGAGGGTGAGTCAACAAAGCCCAGGTTTGGGGGCCCATAGCTAGGAGAGGATGCCCCAAGCTCTTCCTTCTTCACCTCTAGGGCCTTCCGGGACTCCCCAAAAGGTGGGGGCGAGAGCAGGGGCTCGGAAGCTTTGCCTCCCCCTACCCCAGGGCTCTCAGGCACAGCCAAGTTATCCAGCGAGGGGCAGCGGGGTTTGAGGAATGGGTCAGGTGTGGAGGGCTGGTGTCTGGGGGTGCCAGGTGGGGTAGTGTGGAATTCCCCTGGCTGGCCAGCCCCAGGACGAGATGAGGCGCCCAGCATCGGGGGCTGCGCAGGGGCCCCCGTAGGACTAGGATAGGGGGGATAGGTGGGCGGTGCCGTGGGGAAGCGGGGCTCCAGGGGATAGGCAGGGGCCAGTCCAAAGGGGTCCTGCGAAGGCACTTGGGCGGGCACCTGGGGTGGGAGCTTGAGGAAGAGCTCACCAGGCGAGTCAGGGCCAGGCACCGAGCCCGCCGGCGGCTTCAGGAACCCGTCCGCAGAGGTAGACAAGCCGGCGGGGGTAGTGGGGCTGCCAATGAAAATGGTGGGGGCAGCAGCGGGGGGCGGGCTGCCCAGTGCCCCTGGCTGCGGGGGAATGCGGAGATGTAGGGCCGGTCGGTCAGTCTTACGGGCTATGTCGCCCACCTTGGTCTGCTTGTTGATCTGGCTCTCAGCCTGCTACAGGGGGAGACCAGGCATAGGGCAGTCAGGCTGCTGCAGGCAGGCCCCATGGCCCTCCACCCTCAAGAGAGGCCACCCACTAGAGGACTGCTACACCCCAGCCCAGCCCCACTCACCTTCTGCACCTTGTTGATGCGGTGAGCTGCCCGGTTATCTTTGGCCTTTTGCTGAGGGATATGGGACACAGCCTTAGGGCCTAGTGCTTGGTCTCATGCCCCGCCCCCATACTGTAGTGTTTTCACACTCCCTACCCAGAAGCAGATCCCTTCTGGCCCAGCTGCTTTAGGAGTGGGGAGCGGAAAGAACTGAGGTAAATTACCCAAAGATCCCTCCCTCCCTCTCAGTTCCCACGCTAATCCATGCTCCTTTCTGCCTCACCAGGTAGGGGGCTTTGTCAGCTGCTGGAACCTTTCTCCAGAGCTTCATGATTTGTTTGCAACGGCTTGACCAGTCTGGAGGGCAGAGAGAGTGAGTCAGAGAAGACTTGGCAGGCGACTCCTCCACCTGCCATGTTGCCAGGCTGTCTCCCTTGCCCTCATCCCACAGGTACCTGGGTAGTCTTGCTTGAGATTAGGAAAATTAATGTTGGCATAGAGCACAGGTGAGATGGTGGACAGCTGGCCCAACTCCTCATCCTTCTCCCAGCGCTGAAGACTCCGCTGGTTATAGGAGAGTCCGTCGCCCTCACCCTCCGTGGTGGGGGTTGTGGGGGTGGAGGGCGTGGTGCCACCTGAGCCCGTCCAGGGGCTGTCGGGCTCACCGGGTTCCGGGCTAAAGAAGCCCCCGCGCTCCCTGGGGCGCAGGGGCAGAGAGTCACAGGGCGCAGGGATGCCAAGTCCCACCCCAGACAAACTGCCTAGAGCCCCAGGCCACTGCCCTGCCCCAAAAGAGGAGGGTCACTAACAAGGGAATGGGGAGGAGCAGGGGAAGTGCTGCAGGAGTCCGAGGGAGGCAAAGCATGAACTCAGATGGAGGGAAAGGACAACGAGGACTGCCCACAAAGGTTACGCAGAGACACCAACCTAGAATCCAGGAACGGGGACTGGCAGAGGCCTGGGTAGGAGTCCATTGGGCTGCTGGAGGGCAGATTGCCCAAAGGGAGTCCACCTACAAGACGGACAGGATCAGAGAAAAGAGCAACTGGCCCATCCTGGAGGCAAGCTTGGTTATGTCAGTCTTCAGACCACTCCCACCTGTATTACCTTGAAGAAAGGGCCTCTGCAGTGGCGTACGGCTGCCTTCTAGGCCAGGGGTTCCACAACCCAGATGCTGTTCTCGTTCAGAGCCCAGAACATCCTTGAAGAGCTGCTGCAGGTCCTTGGATTCCATCTTGGGCAGTTCTGTGGGGGAATGAAGGACACTGTTGAGGAAGACTGGGAAGTTCAGGTGACACCACAGGTCTACAAATGATCATGGCCAGGAACAGTCCAGGACTCCCCACCAGAGAAGCTGTACAGATCACAGTCCCAAAGATAGGACCTCCTCCTTCTCCCATAGAAAACCCTTATACACAAAGAGGTACGGGTCACAGCCTCACCTTCTGTGGAAATCCTGTCTAAGTCAGAGCTAAGCATCCCTTCACCTGGGGTGCCTGGCTTCTCAGGGTCACTGGGCACTGGGGATGCCTTCACGCCCCCATCCTCAGGTCCTGTAAATGCCAGGAGAAACCCATGGGTCAAGGCCAGGATGGGTCATGGCCACTCTGAACCACAGAGGGCCATGGGACAGTTTCCAGCCTCCAACACTGACAATGCTCAGGGGCACAGCAGAGGGACAGAGGCAAGCAAGGCCAAGACAGGACACAGTAACCCCGGCAGCCCTCACCTGGTGTATCGGCTTTGCCCTCGAGGCCACGGGATTCTTCATCTGCAATATCTGGACCATCATCTCCTATGAGCAAGAGTCCCCCCTCCAATCAGAGATGTCCTACATCTGATGCCCAGAACAGGTCTCCAGTCCCACAGCCCTACAGGCCAGGACCCTTGACCCCACCCTTGACTCCTGGAGGCCAGTCCATTTCCCATCAAATAACTTGCCAGCTCCTAAGCCAGAAGAAAGTTGGATTCTCTCACACCACTCACTCCCACATAACTAACCTTTCTGCGATGTGGGGAGTTCCTTCCTTTCTGAGCCTCCATCTCCCTTGGCTTTTGGGGTCCCTAGTCCAAAGCTTGGCCGGCCCACCCCAACTGCAAAAAGGGCCTTACGGCTCAGGTCCAGCAGCTCCTTCCCAAAGAAGGCTTCCTGTGGGGCAGTCAAGGAGAAACAGTTTTCTTCATGCCCTGCAGGGCACAGACACCTCCCTCACTGCTTGGAGCCTGAGACCCACCTGCAAGTAAGCAGGGAACATGTCCTCCAGTTTGCTCTTCTTGCGCCCTCGCCGCTGTTGCTTCTTCTTCTCATCCCCTTCAGCTAAGCTCTGCTCCACGGCGCCCTCTGCAGGCAGGTCAGCAGGTATCACTGTGGACAGAACGGAAGTGTCAGACTCGGGTTGAGAGCATGCTGCTCCCAACTTGCAGGGTGACACTTTGTGCCTACTCTCTCCCACAACACCAGCTGGGTCTACCACCCTCTTGGCCCTTTCAATGAGTCCACCCCCTGGGTCTCTCTAGCATTGCCCCACCTTCTCCCAGGCCCCACTGGTGCCCTCACCCGTCTCACCCTCGTCGGGCTGCCCATCCCCACTCAACACCTCCGCCTGTGCAGCAGGCCCCTTTTTCGTGCGTGTGTGGGATTTCCGCTGTCGCACCATGAAACCACCAATGCCTATGAGGAGGCAGAGTTGTGGATGAGAAGCCGCTGGGGGACCTATTGAGCTGCCCCGCACCACCCCACCACCCCACAACCCCATCCCAGGACCTCACCAGGCCGATATGGTTTACGCTTGCGTTTTTTGCTTTCCTCGGTCTCCTCTTTGCCAGGCTCCACATCAGGGCTGACGGGGCCCTCCAGTTTAATTTCGCACTCCATGTGCTCCACACCACCTGCGTATGGTGACAGAAGAGATGGAGGCAAATCAGAACTATAGGCCCTTTTAACCTTGTCATCCTGCCACTGAGAGAGCTGAATACCTTGCCTCAGAGCCACTTAGACGAGACAGCAGTGCTTAAGGGTAACTGAGTGGCAATGTAGCCCCCACCCAACATCCCACTCCCAGAGTCACGCTCCCCCTACTCTGCCGCTCCCTAAGATTCCCCAAGCTAACCTTCACCCTTGAGCAGCTCATCGGTGTCCAGGTCCCCATCCTTCTTGTCATCAGGGCCAAGGGCATCTGAGGGCTCAGAACCCTCCAATCCTGCCTCGCCTGGGAGGCCAAGCCGTCCTCGCCGTTGGCGCCGCTTGTGCAGTGGTGACATGGTCAGGTTACGCAGCAAGGCCATGCCAGTTTCTGTCAGCCACACACCTTCGAAGCGAAAGTACTGGGGCTCTGCATAAGAGGAAAGAGTATGTGATCCCTGGATGGAAGCCCCAGGGAAACCAGAACTGCAAGTTTCAACCTATGTCCTTAGCTGAGACAAAGGCAGTGACAAAAGTCCAGCTTAGGGTCTAAATGCTGAGGAGAACAGGCCACCAAGGGGCACTGGCTGAGGCCCGAGTTCTCTGTCAGTGACCCAGGGAGATTCAGAGAGGAACTGTAACTCAGAAGCCTGCCTTTGCTCATGATTAACCCTAGGTTCACTAAATAGATTCTCTTGCTGTCTGGGGCTATGAGGGCCCCTACTTGCTGAATGCCAGCACACAGTGTCCTAGATGCCAGCAGCAGTGCCATATCACGATGGAGATGTCCCTGGCCCCTTTCACTTAGGAAAAAGAGTTATGTTCTCAGCCGGGCGCGGTGCTCATGCTTGTAATCCCAGCCCTTTGGGAGGCCGAGGCTGGCAGATCACGAGGTCCGGAGATCGAGACCATCCTGGCTAACACGGTGAAACCCCATCTCTACTAAAAAATACAAAAAATTAGCCGGGCGTGGTGGCGGGCACCTGTAGTCCCAGCTACTCAGGAGGCTGAGGCAGGAGAATGGCGTGAACCCGGGAGGCAAAGCTTGCAATGTGCCAAGCTTGTGCCACTGCACTCCAGCCTGGGCAACAGAGCAAGACTCCATCTCAAAAAAAAAAAAAAAAAAGAGATCTGAAGACGAAATCCTAGCAGTGAAGAGACCATGGTGCCTGATGAAAGGAACATTGCCCGGGAAGCTGGAGACCTTGGTTCTAGGCATAACTTTGCCACTAACTTACTAGGTGACCTTGGGCAGGCCACTTAACTTCTCTGGGTCTGAGTTTCCTCCTCTTAAAATAAGGAGATGAAGCTAGGGGGTTGGAGCTAGACTAGATGATGTCCGACGTCTGGTCTGGCTTTGGCATTCAAAATTTCTGTGACTCACCTGGCTCTTTCACCTTCATGGGCACCAGCTCTGGAGGTGCAACAGGCGCTATGGAGAGAAGGACAAACGGAGGTGGCTGAGGTCCTGTCCCAAAGCAAGGTACCCCTGCTCTGACTCCTCCCCCTACCCAGCAGCTGGTACTCACCCACAGGCTTTACCACGTAGGGCTGGCAGGAGACACAGTCAAAGCCTTCATCGGCTGCCTGCTCCACATCGTCCTCTGTGAAGAGGCTCTCACAGCCTGCATGCATCCACCTGGAGAACAGAGACTGGAGGAAATAAGCTCAGGCAATGCGAGGCTGGCAACAGGGCCAAAGTGAGGAGAAAGGGATGTTCTCACCGTTCACAGTGGCGGCACTGGATTAGTAGGTCCTCTTCTACGTAAGGAGCATGACAGATAGGGCAGGTCACCAGGCTGGCACAGGGCCCACAGTGTGTGTAACTATTCTGCCATTCACAGTGGAAGCCAGGGGAAGCAGCCCCACACTGCATACAGGACACACACCTGATAGGAGCAGGAAAACAGAGCTTTAGCACCCAACCTACCCGAAGTACCCAGAAGTCCCCTCACCGGAAACCCAAGCCACCAGCCTGGCCTCCTAAACCCAGCCTCTGTCACATACTCAACATCATATCCACTTTAACATCTCAAGGCCCCAGGGCTCCACTGAAGATCCCAGTCTCCTTACCACTTGCACTTCCAGCCGCCCTTGGGGACGGTGAGCAGTGGGGGGTCCAGGCAGTATGTGTGGTAGCTAATATCACAGTCATCACAGAGCAGCAGGCGTGAGGGGTCGGAGGCCTGGCCACACACCTCACACACAATACACTCCACACAACGCCAGCCCTTGAGCAGCATCACCTTGGTGATCTGGGGCAGAAGATGGGAACTTCTCAGGGTGTGAGGTGGAAAAGAGGTAGAACTTCTTTTTATTTTTTTTTGGAGATGGAGTTTTGCTCTTGTTCCCCAGGCTGGAGTGCAATGGCGCGATCTCGGCTCACTGCAACCTCTGCCTCTCAGGTACAAGTGATTCTCTTGTCTCAGCCTCCCAAGTAGCTGAGATTACAGGCACCTGCCACCACACCTGGCTAATTTTTTTGTATTTAGTAGAGTCAGAGTTTCACCATGTTAGTCAGGCTGGTCACCAACTCCTGACCTTAGGTGATCCACCCGCCTCACCCTCCCGAAGTAAAGTGCTGGGATTACAGGTGTGCGCCACCGTGCCCAGCCTAGGAGGTGGAACTTCTAAGGGTGAGGCTGGAGGCAGCCCAATGCAGAGACTAGGCCTCCATTTGAGCACACAGAGACTTAGGCAGAGCACCCTTGTCCCCAAAACAGTGACTCTAAACTTAGGCTCCCAATGATCTCTGCTGATCAGAGAAGAGCTGCACTAGCCACTGCCTCATTGTGAATAGAATAGCAATCTTTCCACTAGCCAAGCCCCTAAAAAGAGACTGTGGACCGAATTAGGTCCCCCAGTTTTTCCTTTTTTTTTTTTTTTTTTTTTTTTTGAGACGGATCTCACTCTGTTGCCCAGGCTGGAGTGGAGTACAGTGGCGTGATCTCGGCTCACTGCAACCTCCGCCTCCTGGGTTCAAGCAATTCTCCTGCCTCAGCCTCCCGAGTTGCTGAGATTACAGGCACGCGCTACCACACTCAGCTAATTTTTGTTATTTTTTAGAAGAGACGGGGTTTCACCATGTTGACCACGATGGTCCTGAACTCCTAATCTCAGGTGATCCACCCACCTAGGCCTCCCAAAGTGCTGGGATTACAGGTGGGAGCCACCATGCCCAGCCATGTTGTTATTTTTTACGATGGACTGAATTATACCAGCAAGTCAGGGCCTACCACAAAGAAACTATCAAGTCCACCGTTGAGTTCCAAAGTACTTTTCCCCAAGAAAAGTTTGATAACCACTGGTGACTAATGAACAACCATGACCGATGGCCGCTTTAAGAGGTGGTATGGCCAGGACAAGGAACTAGGGTAAGAAATAACTGACCCTATTCCCCAGCCTACACCTCTTGGGCCCTGAACTCACCTTGCTGTTGACACAGTAAGGGTGATAGCACTGAGAGCACTGCGAACAGGCAAGGAGGTGGCCCTCTGCCCCCCGGCCAAAGCTGCCACATACCACACACATGTCCTGGGGAAACACAGAGAAACCCAAATGTCCAACTAGATCTCCCCATCCCACTCAGATCCAGTCTACTATGACGCTACAACACTGATTTGCGACCAGAGTCAGGAACCCCATCCCACAGCGTTAGGATGCTGTAAGCTACCAAGGGACCCTGCTCCTTCCTAGGATGCCTTACTCACCTAATCAGGTCACTTGAATTTATAAAGCCTGACATGGGTGAAGTTAAGAAGAAATTAAAGGAAGATAAGATGGAGTAAAGACTGGTCAGGTGAGAATCACATATGTGACAAAATTCTATCAGCTTCAAGATTATTCAAGTGAGGACACATGTAAGTTCCCTAAGCTATAAAGTTCAATAAGGCAAAGACTTTTTCACTGCTATTTCTCTAGCTCCTAGCTTAGTGCCAAGCTCAGAAGAGATACTCAAGAGAAATGTGATGGATGGACAAACCAATGAATAACATGATTAGAATTCATGGTCTGTTTTCTCATTAGCTGGGTATCCCCAAAGTAGGTCCAGTTTTCCCATCTATCCTCTCACCAAACACACACATACACAATGTTCAGTGTGCCAGGTCTCACTGTATGGTACCTGCATTAGGACAAATTTGTCTGTGTTGGAGAAGAGAACCACGGTATTCTGCATGGTGTCATCATCTTCTTCCTCCTCCTCCTTACTGGGAGAGCTATCAATGTCAGCAACCTGATGGGCAGAGAGTTATGGAAAGTGAGGCAGATAAATCTGCCCCCACCAAGCTACTTTCCTCTTTGGTGTTGGGGGAAGAAAGTGTGAACCCTTGGTTAAGATGAAGGCCAAAAGCCAGGAATAACAGACAGAACACCCCAGCTCCCAAATTGAGCCTCAGTCTGATAGCAGAGATTTCAGAAAAACCTGCGGGCCAAGTGGACAGGAATTCAGACATAGCCAGACAGGCCCTAGACGAGCAGGCAGGTAGGCAAGCATGCAAGGGACTGGCAGGACTCAGAGGGTGCTAAAGCATGGTTGGGGGATGGGAGGAATAGGAGGCATCTCCTTACTACCAGAGTCTCAATGGAAGAAGCAGTTGACTTTAGCCGGGCCCGTCCTCTACCACGTCCTCCATGGGCTCCTCCACGAGGCCGGCGTCTTCCTGGGAAACTGCTGCTGCGACCCTGAGTGAAAGAAGGGGACAATGACAGGAGCATGTCAAGGGCTAGTGTGTTGGGTTTACACACTTGAACAGAAGAAGTGACAAACGGACAGAGTAAGACAGGTAATAAGCCCAGGAGTCCCACTCAGGGCAAGGGAAAAGGCCAAACTCCCAGATATCAACAAGCGCATAGCTCTAGCCCAAACCCATTCTTCCCCTCCCAAGAGTGGTTGAGATGGGCAAGGAGAAAAAACAATGGCTTGAAAGAACCAAGTTTCTGGTCCCAATTCTATTACTGAGTAACCATGAATCTGGGCAAGTTACTTGTCCCTTCTACGTATTAGTATTTTCTCCTTAATAACTGGAATAAAGGATCTCCAAGTCTAGGATTCACAAAGCAAGGTGGGAAAGTATCAGTGACACAGGACTGTACCTCTGACAGTGGGCTAACTCTAATCACATCCCGCAGCTAGATAGCCCCTCACCTGTTTGATGCGGGAACGGGCTGGGGAGCTGCGCCGCCGCCCCTTCTCCCCCTCAGCTTTGCCTCCGCTGATAGCTGTCCCAGCATCGCACAATAGTGAGTCATCAGTCTCTGGCAGTGAGTCAGTACAGAGCCGTAGGGAGCCCTCATCTCGGGCTGGACTAACATCCGTAGAGACCCCCAACTCCATGGACAGGGAGCCACCCCCCTCCGGGTCTGGAGAGCCCAGGAGGGGCTCTGAGCCAGGAAAACTGGCACTGGCATCACCCTGGCTCAGATTAGAGATCTCGTTAACGATGTCGGATTTGATGAGAGTGGGTGGTGTGGGGGCCACCGGTGCACGTGGCTCTTCCTGTTCTTCACATGGTGAGCCCTGCCCTGCTGTCTGCTTGCATTCGGGGTAGACCTCCATAGGGGTCACAGGGGCCAGCTCCTCGGGGTCCAGGAGCACAGGGGAGCCTTTAAGTTCACTAGCCAAACTGCCAGGGGTCTGTCCAGGCTCTGGCTGTGAACCCGGAGCATCAATCCCATCCAGAGGGGCTGTGTCTTCCCCTAGGCCAGAGAAGTCATCCAGGGCTGGGGCAGGGCTGGGGGCGGGGCAGGAAAGGTCCCCCATTGGGGAAGGGAGAGGACTGGTGGCACTGGGTTCCAAGGCTGGGCATTCAGGTTCTGAAACTTTCTCAGTCTCCATCTCGTGCAGCTCAGCCTCATCTGAGACCCCCACTACCTTCCCTATGGGACTCAACGGGGAGGGAACGGACAGTGGTAGGGCAGGAGGAGAGCACTGGGAAGGAGGGGAGTTTTGGGGAACCAGGGAATGCTGAAGGAGTGGCGAACACTGAGGAGGAAGGGGCTCCATCAGGATGGGAGAAGCCGGCCCCACTGGGGAGCCTGGAGATGGGGGAAGGATCATAGGGGGGACAGGCTCAGGGTCAGTGCAGTTAGCTTCTGGTGGAGGGCTGATGGGTGTCTCCAGGATGGGGGCAGCCAACGGTGACTCAGGGTCACTGTCCCCTTTGGCACCAAAGGGGTACTCTAACTCCCCCAAAGGAGACAGGGCCGGTGGGGCCGCAGCTGTGATGATGGGTGAGAGTGGAGGAGGAAGGGGATCTGGAAGGAAAGAGAAAAAAGAAGGGCTCTTAGATTAGATGTGCCATGAAGAGTTACAGCTGTTCCAGAATAACAGAGTACTAACATCCCCTTACCTGGTGGCATCAGCTGAGGCGACAAGGATGGCTCCCCAGATGGGGACAACGGCAGCTCCTCGGGCAGAGGGGACAGAGGTGGTTCCCCAGGCTCAGACAGGGCTGGCTCTCCAAGCAAGGGAGATAAGGATGGTTCCCCAGGGGGAGGGAACAAGGGCAGCTCCTCAGGTGCAGGGCATTGGCCTGGCTCCTCAGGGGGCTTTTCAGGCCGAGGGGACAGGGGTGGCTTCTCAAGCTCAGGGGACAGATGCGATTCCTCAGGCCGGGGGGACAGGCATGGCTCCTCAGACTGGGGGGACAGGTGTGATTCCTCAGGTTGGGGGGACAAGCATGGCTCCTCAGGCACAGGAGACAGGTGCGGCTCCTCAGTCTGGGGGGACAGGTGCAATTCCTCAGGCTGAGGGGACAGATGTGGTCCCTCAGCCTGGGGGGACAAGTGTGGCTCCTCAGGCACAGCGCATAGGCATGGCTCCTCAGGCTGGGGGGACAGGTGTGGCTCCTCAGCCTGCGGAGATAGGTGTGGCTCCTCAGGCCGGGGGGACAGGTGCGGCTCCTCAGGCCGGGGTGACAGGTGCGGCCCCTCGGACCGGGGGCAGAGTTGCGGCTCCTCAGGTAGTGGCAACAGGGGTGACTCCTCCAGCGGCAGGGACATGAGCGAGTCCTCCGGTGGTGGGGAAGCAGGTGAGTCCTCAGGTGGTGGGGATGTGGGGGAGTCCTCAGGTGGTGGGGAGAGGCGTGAAGCCTCAGGTGGAGGGGACGTGGGAGACTCCTCAGGCGGTGGGGACAAGGGAGATTCCTCAGGCGGTGGAGACAGGCGTGACACCACAGGCAGGGGGGATAGGCGCGATACCTCAGGTGGGGGGGACATAGGTGATTCTTCAGGTGGTGGGGACATAGGCGAGTCCTCAGGTGGTGGGGACAGGCGTGATGCCTCAGGTGGTGGGGAAAGGGGAGACTCCTCAGGTGGAGGGGACAGAGGAGACTCTTCAAATGGTGGGAACAGACGAGATGCCTCCGGTGGTGGAGACATGGGTGACTCTTCAGGTGGAGGGGACATGGGTGACTCCTCAGGTGGTGGAGACAGGCGAGATGCTTCAGGTGGCGGGGAAGTGGGCAATTCCTCAGGTGGCGGGGACAAAGGAGATTCTTCAAATGGTGGGGACAGGGGCGATGCTTCAGGTGGTGGGGATAGAGGCGTCTCAAGTGCAGGAGATGGGGGTGACTCTTCCGGTGGAGACAAGGGCGACTCCTCCAGTGGAGAAAAAGGTGATGATTCAGGTGGGGGAGACAGAGGAGACTCCTCAGGCGGCGGAGAGAGGGGCGATTCCTCCAGCGGCCGGGACAGGTGCAATGCCTCAGGAAGTGGGGATGCGGGCAATTCCTCAGGTGGTGGTGACAGGCGTGATGCCTCAGGTGGTGGGGACGTGGGTGATTCCTCAGGTGGTGGGGACAGGGGTGACTCCTCAGGTGGGGGCAGCAGTGGCATCTCCTCGTTTAGGGGGGCCTCCAACTGGGGCTCAAGTTGGACCCCTGCTTTCCCTGCAGACACAACAACACGATGCTCCTATCTAGCTCAGATCTACTCCACAGAAAGTGTGGGGTCTGGGGCAATGCACAAACTGTCTCTTGCCATAGAATAAAAGGGGATGAATTTCAGGGACCCTCAAACCCTACTCACCTAGTGGTTTGGCTTCACATTGCAGGGGCCCTGGTTCCTTGGGTTGCATAGAGGTCACGTGCCCACCCTTTGGCTGCCCTTGGCATGCAACGTACAGAGCATCGGGCTCGTCAGTGGGGGTATCGCCAGGCTCTGGGGGTGAAAATCTGCAGAGGGTACAGGGGAGCAGGCACTGTGGCTCTCACCAGCTAACAAATCCTAGAGAGCACACTGGGGGGAGGCACGAATGCTGTGGATGGCACTGCCCACCTTAGGGCTCTCCTCTCAAAGTCCACTCAATTTAACAAGGCCCCTGCCAATGTCAGTTCTTCCAACCTGCCAGCCCAATCTCAGTCAGTCCCCACCACTTACCTGCTACACACCGGGGTATGCTGCTCAGCAACGGAGCGGATAGTCTGACCTCCCTGGGCTTTGTGACAGCGGTGACAGAGAGAGTAGTTCTCAAACCACTCCGAGTTGGGATTCAGTTCTGCTGAGCCCGCCCCACAGGCCCGGCACACCCGGCACGCCTAAGGGAAGGGAGTGGGCAAAACAGGCATTGGTCAGACAGCAAAGACTAAACGAAAGTACACAACTTGTCAAGACAGAGAATGCTGTAGCAGACACAGTTAGGGACAATAGGGCAGAATCAGGGTACACTCACCTTGCACTTCCAAGAGTGAGCAGGCAGTTCCTCCATGGGTGGTTTTAGGCAGAAAGTATGGTATCCTTTGTCACACGTCTCACAAACCAACATCTTAGAGTCATTCCCAGGTTTCCTGCAGGTGCACATGGAACATTACAGTGTCCTCTCTGCCCTCATTTCCTTTCTTTTTTGTTGTTTTCATGTTAACAGGCCTTCTCCGACTGCCCTCATTTTCAACCCTAACCTGTGTTGTGCCTAAGACTTTCCTCCTGCCCTTCCATTCCTACCTGCAGGCTTGGCACACTTTGCATTCAGGGCACTGCCAGCCAGCACGTTTGCGGGCAGTCAGAGCAGTGTCCAGGCAGGCCCCGTGATAGTGATGCCCACAGCTGGTACAGAAGAACAGGTCACACAACTCCCCTGGCCCCTCACACACTGCACAGCGAGCCTCCTCTGCAGGGGGTAGAGACACCACAGGTCAGCTATGGATTCCTTGTAAGCCTCAGCACATTGCTGTACACAAAACAGGCACTCCATGGGCACAGAATGAACAAACAACAAAGTTACTGAGTGCCTGCCCAACGTCTGCCAGCTACTGTTCTAGGCACTGGAGACAAAATGATAAATGAGACAGGCA
Organism: Homo sapiens; assembly: GCF_000001405.40. Lineage (NCBI taxonomy): Eukaryota > Metazoa > Chordata > Mammalia > Primates > Hominidae > Homo > Homo sapiens. The sequence goes on from NC_000012.12 coordinate 49,053,826, forward strand.
AAACCCTGGTGCTCACAAAGTTCACACCTATTTTAGTGGGGCAGACCAACAGTAAATAATGCTATACTTTGATCAGTGCTCTGTAGAGTACAAAAATCCAAGGCACATTTGGTCTCTCATTTGCCCTATGACCAAAGATCAGGACTTCTCACCCAGATATGCAGCCCCCTCACTGTGCTCTGGGCATAGCAGCTGCAGTGTTTTCATGGATAGGAAGGAACCGCTGGCAGTCGCGCAGGGGAAGTGGTAAAGCCGTGGACATCCAGGTGAGCGGCAAGGGATGGAGGCACCGAGCCTGGTGCAGTGGGAGCAGCGCTGCCAGGGTGAAAAAAGAGCCTCAGTGTCAGCCAGCTCTCCCCAGACAAACAGTTCAGGCACTAGCTCTGCCCCAGTATACCCATGGTCCTTCTCATTCCAACCTGACTCTCAGAAGCCCACCAGCCCTGCCCTTCACCTATGCAATCCCCTGGCCCAGCCCCACCTGTGAGATCCCTGAGAAGATGGCCTTGTCCACACCACATAGTTCTGGGCCCTCCTGCCCCCATACGCCTGCCGACCATGCAGCACACCAATGGTGAGCCCAGCAGGACCCTTTACAGGTGGGAAGAGGTAAAGAGAAAGGAAAGAATTAACAAAAAGAGGATTGCTGGCTCAGGACTACCCAGCCCTTATCCCATTTCCTGCCCCATTCTCCTCACTCACCTCCAGGTTCTCCTAGGTGGGCAGGTGTAAGGCCCTCAGGGAAACCAATCTGTGATAGGTCCTCACTGGGCAGCACTGCCTCATTGGGCCCTGGGCTCCCCCCAGGGGACACCACTGGACACCGGGGCCAATCAAATGGCAACTCAAAGCGCCGTAGCTCCCGCTGCCCGTGTAGACTGGGCTCCCCGCAGTTACAGAGAGCACAACGCCGCACCGGACCCCCACTGTGGACACACAAGCATCAGTACCACGCCAGGCCCCCAGCAACCCCATGATCTGGCATGCCCATGCTTCCCCAACACTCATTTTCCTAAATTCTCTTCCTTGAAAGCCCTAGACTCTCAAATCCTCATGTGCCCTCAAACAAGCTACCTGCAGTCCTGAGGAGTCTCCTGAAGCCTGGGACTCCCAGAACTAAGGACAGAGACCTCTCCCACATGTGGGTTGGGCAGGTCTGACTCAGTGGCACTTGGGTCCTCAGAAGCTGCAGGTCCATCAGCTGAATAAACAGACAAACAGCATGTGTCAGCCATCATCCCTATTTAACACAAAGTCCACTCACCAGACGCATGAGATTATCCAAAACCTGAGTGGATCAGAGTGATGATATTTCAACTGTTGTCCCAAAGAACAAAGTTGTTCCATTACTTATCTGCTACATAGACTTAGCTCATGTCCTTGTGCCAGGACCAGAAATGTAAGGTTGCCAATGAAATCTAAAAGCAAACAAACAATTTGTCCTACTCACCTGCCGGTTCTGAATCTTTATCCTCACCAGCCAGCTTCTGGCTGTCCATCCCTCTCTCCGACTGGGCAGGGCCCTCTCGGGGAGACCTGTTGGTGCCAAGAAAGAGATCTATATGCCTACTAAGTCTTCCCAAGAAGCATTTTTCCCAGAATCCTGGGAAGAAGGCATCCAGACCCTCCAGACATCAGAGCAAAGCCATACTACAAACTCCTATACTGACAAGAAAGTCATTCTCCCTAACCTGTAGGGTCACTTCCTCCCCAGATAAACACATACGCTCTTCTCACACTCTGGAGAGATTCTCAGGGGATCCATTTGACTTTCCCACTTCCAGGCTCCTCTGTAAGAGTTCCTGGGGCCATAGCATCCAACTAGAAGCATATCCATTTGTATCTAATACTGCTCTTTGGCTTGCCTCTGGGTTTTTGGCTTTTGGTGAGCCCTATTCCCACACCTTTCCCTCAAGTCTCAAGTAAGCTCCCATTCTAGAGGCCAGTCTGTGCCAACCCAGGGGTAGTCATGACCCAGGAAGCCTGAGTCCAGCAAAAATCCCTCTCCCAGAGGCAGAGTCTGAGGCACTGCAAGAGATGTAACACACTACTGGAACTACAGCCTAGCTATGGATGGATCTCCCCCACCGCCACTTGTTTCTACGAGGACATCACCATTACAAAAGAAGAAACTCCCTAATTTCCACCCACTTCCAACCCAAATCCAGCTCAGACCAACCCCCGGCCCATGCCCTAACTGAGCTCAGGGTCTCACCCAGCCTGAAGGTCTCAGGTCATTGCCCTTAGCAACACCAACTGCCCTTCCTCTTCAGATATCCCTAGTAGTTAACAGAAGTGGACCTTGAGAGTTACTGAGCATGTGTAGCCAGGCCTGAGGCTAAGCATGCTGGGAGTTGTAGTCTCAGGAAGCATAGAGCCACTCAGAGGAGTTCTAAACAGGGCAGGACATAGCACAGCACAGCGGAGTAGCTTCCTTCCTCTTCCCTCAAGCAGGGTTTCCACACACATACATGGGGGTGGGGAATAACGGTCCCTTGTCCCTTCTTCTAAGAAATGCGTGCCTGTATCAGAGCCAAATGAAACACACTAAAGTTATACCTAAAAAAGTTGAGACTTACACCTTTGGGCATTATTTTCCTAGATCTCAGAGGGAATTAAGCACAGTGGGAAAAAAAAAAGAACAATAATTACAGACACGAAGAATAGGAAAGGGATTCTATAGAAGGAGGGAGAAAGTGGTAAGTGTTAGCAGCTTGTAGTGGGAAATGTAGACCCTTTCTCTTAATCAGAGAAGGTATACAGTGTTCCTAGAGAAAGTGGTGGTGAGGTGGGGGAAATCCCTAAAACAGAACTCAAACAATAAAAGTTTGAGAAATTCATCTCTCGCCTTTTCCACTCTTCTTGACTAACCAGAGTGACCACACCACCCTTAGCAAGGACAGCCCGTCCTCCCAAACTGGAAGGCAAATACCCCAGTCAGCCACTTACGGTTGAATGACTGGGACAGATGAGACAGGGGGAACCCTCAAAGGTGCCCCAAATCAGTAAATCAATTCCCTAAGAACTACAATATCACTCTTCCTGCCCTGAACTCACCCTTTATTTCCAGATAGTGGCTATGCCCCTCTGGAGACATGTCACAGGAAAGAAACTTCCTTTTTCCCCTAACACTCTCAGAACTCACTGGATAAAGTAAAGCATCACCTGATACACATCATCTCCATTCCCAAGCCATCTTTCCCAAACCTGCCACACAACCACATTCGAAAGGAAAGCAGGGTGGGTCATCTGGCCGGCTCGTACAAAAGCTGCTCCAGAACTTCAAGGAGTCCTTAGAAGCTACCATGGGAAGTGGGAGGTGGAGATGAGGGCAGCAGCCAGGCCCCTCTTCCATTCAGTCATTCAAGGCCTGGCCACACCCGGAAGGTCCAAGGGGCCCTTAAAGTTTTCTAATTCTTTGCATCTTACTATATCTTACCACTACATACCCCTAAAGATCCTCTACCCGCTCTGGTCTCAAAGTTGAGGCCAAAAGAGTCACAAACATCAAGAAGTAAAAGGCAACAATGATAATACAGTGGGTAGGAGGAGGGCTGCCTCACACAAGGCCAGAGGGGCAAATTCCTCAGCCCTCCCCCGAGCTCAGCCCTCTCAGGCTGGTAAGGCTGGTACTGCTCAAGAAGGTACAGAAACCACCTTCATCTGGCCTTGAGAGAGTACTAACATCCTCCAAAGCCAGAGCCCATTCATGGGGCCATGGAAGATGAGAGATTAAGAAGCAAAGAGAAGAATGTCATACAACTTGTACCAAAAATAATCTAGGGGGCACCTCCAAAAAGCCTGAGCCCTCAGTCCCTATTTCCCCATCCCTGCAGTCCAGCACAGGGATCCCAATGCTGATTCCCAGTTAATAGGCCCCTGAACATATCTAAACAAAGACCCCAGGTTCCCCAGTCCCATCATTCACAGCCAGTAAACTGACACACATACACACCAAGGATTTTTTCCCTGGATCTAAACTGGGGTAGTGTCTCACCAGGCTTTCTCCACAGAACTAGAGATCCCAGACAGTAGGTACAGATCTAGGGAGTAAAACTGTGCTGGCACCCCCTCAGTCCTATACCTAAGAGGTCCAAAACAGCAAAGAAAAGGACAGGGATTTATCTCAACCCACTCTCCTTCCTGCCTCCCTCCCAGACCAACAGCTTTCACTCCATTTTCCCAGACAAGGGGGAAATGGACGCTTGGAGAAGTGTAAGGCTGAAGCAGGCCCTTGAGTGAACAGCTCTTCAGGAGGACTCAGGACTTCCTGGTTCCCAGCCTGGACTCAAACCACACCTCTTCCCACCCCCATTTTGGGTCACCCCTCCGAGATGGATCCAAATGGAACACTGGCCCTGCAGACCCTCTGAACTGTGTCCCTGGCTCATCCTGAGAGCAGGCACAGCTAACAGGGTGCAGTCCTACATAAGGAAGTTGTTTCGGGACAAACGGGAGGGACTCTCCATAGAATGCCGGAGTGGAGAGCAGGATTGACAGCTCACCTCACTCCACTACCCCTGTGCCACCTCTCACCTTTCAGAAATCTTTAAAAGGCAAAACCCCTATTTTCTCCTTTCCAAAACCAGACTCAAAGAAATCTAGTATATGTATGTTGGAGCAGATAAGAGTGAGGGAGCAAAATGCACCAGCCAAATCCCTGCTGGGTAGCATGACAGGTGTGAGAGGGGCAGTCCCAGCCCAAGCAAGGCCCACAGGATTGAGGCTCAAGCTGCAGGCACATACACACCCTTTCTCCCCAATACCTTCTGCCAGGGGTGGAATCACTGGTTTCCAGGAGAAAAGAGCTCTGATCAAGCAATTTCTCCTCCAGAGAGACACAGGCCACCCCATTCTGCACAGTTGGTACAGGATCAGAAAACCAGTTAACAATCCCTGGTCAAAAAAGGGTTGGAGAGGTCTGGGAGGGGCTTGCAGGACTGGCCAGGGACTCATGGGCAGCCAGCTCTCCATACCAGGCCGGGAGAAGGCAAAAGACAAAAGCCATTTTTTGCAGCCTACATTCGCAGGGAGCAAATCTCAACGGCCTCCTCTATAATCCTCTGGAGATTAGATCCATCCCAAGAGGAGGGGAGGCAAAGCAGGCTAAGACAGCACTCGGCCTCACTGGGGTCACTTTGCCAGGCAGGGGCAGTTTAAAGTTGAACAGCAGGGCCAGAACTGCCCCAGCCCCGCCTCCTTCTTGCCCCAGCTACCCCCTTCATCACAACTAGTCAGTTTCCACACACTCTCCCTTTGCCCAGTGAAAGAAGGCCTGGTGAAGGATCTGGGGTTCCTTGAGTTTTCCAGGGACTGCTTTGGGTGCCCAACTCGGTAGGAACAACCTTAAAGTCCAACTGGCATAAGTCTGACCTGGCAGTGACACCCTCCCCCACCATCCCAAGTTGCTCTGTCCCAAGGCCCACAAGGAACCCTGAGGGGAGAAGCAGCAGCCTGGGATTGGTGCTGGCATCAGGGCCCGGGTCCTAGTTTAGTCGAGCTCCCCCAACACAAAAATAAACAGGCAGAGAGGCTATCTGGCCAGGTTCCCAAACTCCCGTGGTTCCCTGAACCCCCAGTCTTTAAAGAGGCACACCCCAAGACACCAGGCCTCAGTTCTGCCCTGGTGACTGGCTCAGGTTCCCTTGACAGACCCTGCCAAAGGAACGCTCCCCAGCTCTGGCACCCCCTTCTCCAACCTAAAGGCCAGCTCCGGCTAAGATAGTCCATCTGGCTGTGCCCCCAGTCCAACCCTTTCTGGGCCCTGGCCGGGCGGACTTCACTCACCTCTTCACAGGGCGATCCAGAAATCCTCATCCGAGAACATGGCCAGAGCCCGGGCCGCTCCCCGACCTCCAACCGCCAGAGCGATCACAGCCGCCCCCCGCACGGGGGGGCTTAGGGGGGCCAAGAACGGTAAATCCAGGTCGGAGTGGCCACCCTCCCCCCACAAAAAAACAGCAAGAAGCCAAAGAGGGGTTCTCTGCCTCAGGTTCCAGCAGTTTAGGTTTCCATGGACAGCCCCAGGGCGGCGAATCCCGAGCGGACACAAAGAGAGCACCGGTGGCTTTGATCTTGGGCGAGCAGGCTCCGCATCCGCGTCGCCGGGCGGCCTCTCAGTCCTAGGGCCCGGCCAGCGCCCCGGCCGCCCGCGCCGGGCTCGGGCGGAACGTCGAGGCTCTCCAGATGGAACGTCGAGGCGCCTCCCCAGCAGCCCGGAAGGAATGCCGCGCCGCCCCGCGCCTGGCCCGGATGGAACGTGAGACCCTCGCAGGAGCGCCGAGCCCCTCTCCCCGCCCCGGCCGGCGCCCGGGGCCGCGCGAGCTACGGCGACGCGGGGCCGGCGGGGCCGCGGGGCTGAACCTGACACACACCCAGCGCCGGGCTTCTCGACCCCGAGCGCTCACCCTCGGCGGCTTCGAGCCCCCCACCTTCTGCTCCCCCCGGGGAAGGGAGGAGGCTAGGTAGGCGAGGAAAAGGAAGGGGCGGGCGGTGCGAGCCCTCTGCCCGCTCCCCTCCGGCCGCTCCAGGCCCTGCGCTCGCCTCCCTTCCCCTCTGGCCTCGGGAGCTGCCCCGCCCCCGGCCTGGCCGGCTCTGGTCGGTGGCACCCCCTCGACCCCCGGCTGACTGTGATCGCAGGCGGCCTAGAGGTGCATGGCCCAACCCCGGCTCCCGGCACCGGGGGGTCAGGAAACTGAGCGGAAAGTGGGGAACGAGGCAGCCATTTGCAACCGGAGAGGAAAGTAGTGCAGCGCGGCGCCGCTCCGCCTCCCCCCCTCCGCCTCCTGTTCGGCCGGTAGGGTGGTTCCTGCGAAGGGGCTATTTCCTGGCCCAAGAGCTGGGCAGCGGTCGTGAAGATTCGTGAAGCCTTCGGCGCTAGATCCGGGGGGGCCTTTTGCCCGGGGCACCCCACTCGAGAGGGGGAGAAAGGAGAAGAGGCGGCCCTATTTTGTGTTGGAGCGGAGCGGCGGAGGGATCCCGCCCTCTCGGAGGAAAGGCTGTGACTCTGCAGTTCTACGCACACGCTGCGGGATCCTTCCGCTCCGGGTTAACCCCGACCGCGCCGGGCCGGCAGCAGGGCAGACACGTGGGAACGAAGCCCCCCTCCTCTCCGCCGCGGCCCTGGAGCCGCCTCATTTACCGCCCAGGCCGCGAAACTAGGACTCTGGCCGCTGTCTAATTCCATACCCTTGCAGTCGTTGGTCCCTGAAGTTCCAACTGCCCCTTGCTTTGGCCAGGGGCAGTCTTTCCCGGGAGGGGGATGGAAGAAGAGCCAGGAGATTGGCCGCTGCTCAGCATCCTGGGAACTGGAGTCCGCAAATGGAGAAAGTGAGGTACGGCGCCTGGCGCTGCAGAGGGTGGACTCTTGCCACGTTTGGGGACCCGAAGAAAACTGGACGAGTCCCTAGTCGTTCCTCCTGACTCCCAGTCCCCCGTGTGAGGAAGGACTGTCGGTGCCCACACAGTCACTATACACACCTCCCCATCGAAACATAAAGGTAGAGCCTCCCTTTTCAGGGTGCCCCCACTCCCACCTCCAGTCCTTCCAGATATTCAGTACCCGTGTCCCTTTTTTAGTAAACTGAGGTAGCCTCGCTGCTACCTGGCCGGAGTACTGTCCTGGACAAGATCGCAAAACATACTCTTTGCAGGCACCACCCCCCCACCATAAGTCTGGATGAGAAAACATTGGAATGCCTCTTCTGCATCAACGCACACATGGGGTGGACAAAAGGAGACAAATTAACTATGTCCAGATACTTTATATATTCTTAGTTATTCCTCGCCTTCATTATGAGTTACATGGAATTATCTCCATATTACAGATGAAGATTAAGGCTACAATAGGTAAAATTGCCCACAGAACTACATCTAGTGAGAAGTTGAGCCATTATTCAAACCAAAGGCCACGTTTTTCCTAGGATTACAAATAATTATACTACGTTTTTTTAAAAGAAGATGTGGAGAAAGAGGCAGGCAGATTCGATCCAATGCCAGCTTTGTGAGGAAAGGGTTTACGATGCTGTCCAAGAGAACTTTTTTTATTTTTTGAGACAGAGTCTCGCACTGTCGTCCGGGTTGGAGTTCAGTGGTGCGATCTCGGCTCACTGCAACCTCCGCCTCCCTGGTTCACGCGATTCTCCTGCCTCAGCCTCCCTAGTAGCCGGGATTACAGGCGCACACCACCAGACCCGGCTACTTTTTTGTATTTTTAGTAGAGACAGGGTTTCACTATGTTGGCCAGCCTGGTCTCGAACTCCTGACCTCGTGATCCGCTCGCCCTGGTCTCCCAAAGTACTGGGATTACAGGCATGCGCCACCGCGCCCGGTCCCAACAGAACTTTTCTACAGTGATGGAAATGGACTAAATCTACACTATCTAATATGGTAGCCATCAACCACATGCAGCTCTCGAGCACTTTGAAATGCAGGTGGTACAAGTAAGGAACTTTTTATTTTAATGAAATTAAATAGCCACATGTGAGGTGATGCTTTTATATTAGACAGTGCAGGAGACCTTAATCCCTACTGGTAAGAGTAATAGGAGGGATCAGGACTAGGTTTGTCCTCTTCCAGCCACACATTGGCATCATGTTTTCTGCACTGACCATTCACACATATTTGAGCAAAAAAAACTCCAGCAGTGATCCCACACTTGTTTTAATTACAATAGAATAAGTTAACCAAGAAACAAGTTGGAAAATGGAAGGCCCCTCCCAGGTTTGCACCCAGAGGCAGGGAGAGGTAGACCCTCACCAGAAAGACCTCCAGTAATAACACAGATAGCCACCTACTATTTTGGTTTTTTTTTTTTTTTTTTTGAGATGGAGTTTCGCTCTTGTCGCCCAGGGTGGAGTGAAATGGCGCGATCTCGGCTCACTGCAACCTCCGCCTCCCAGGTTCAAGCGATTATCCTGCCTCAGCCTCCCTAGTAATTGGGATTACAGGCGCCCACCATCACACCCAGCTAATTTATTTTTAGTAGAGATGGGGTTTCACCACGTTGGCCAGGCTGGTCTCAAACTCCTGACCTCAGGTGATCCACCCGCTTTGGTCTCCCAAAGTGCTGGGATTACAGGCGTGAGCCACTGCACCCAGCCACCACCCCACTATTTCTTAAGGACTTATTATGTGTGAAGAACTGTAGTAAGCTTTGCATATATTACCTCGTTTAATTTTCATCTCAACTCTATGAAGCACACTTAGCCACTCTTCATAAATGAGAAATGGTGGCTCTGAGAAGTTAAGTGACCGCCCAAGGCCACACAGCTAAGTGGAGGAGCTATTAACCACTATCACTACTGTCCCCAGGCCTTGAGATTATTGATAAACTAGAAAACTTTAGATGTTTCTAAGTCTACCCCAGACCTCATGAAAATGGCAGCAGGAAGGTAGGCTCATGTAATGAGTATCCCAGGTCAGATGTGCAAAAAGACTTAATTTTAACATAAGGAGAGACAGTGGTGACCTACCAGAAGAACCTCCTAAGCCAGTGAGATTGTTGTTTGGAGTATGTTTCTTCTAGCAGCCCTTATTTCTTTTTAGATTCTGGATCAGAAAAGCAAAAGCAGCTGTCAGGACTTTTGAAAATCAGCATGACAAGCCATATCCCCAACTGTAAGCCTGGAGCCAGGCACTGACAAAGTCACAGCTAAAAATCACATCTAGGTTTTGTCAATCCTTCCCAAGTAAGTACATTGATAGGGTACCTCGGGCTCCCCCAGTTGTCAGAAGAGGTCTGTACCTTCTCTGTGAAGATCTACCATTCAAATAACCCTTACACATCCTTGGAGGAGGTATTAGACTAGTTAGGCAATCAGGCTGGTGGGAGGGTGGGGATCAAGAAAAGCAGAGGCAAACAGGACCAAACTTTCCTAGCTGAAATATCAATTCATTGAGGCGGTAGGCCCATAAAAGCAGAACCAATAGCCTTTGACACCTAAAAAAAAGTAGCACACCACCAAAGGTGTAAAAAGTACAAAAAGATTAAAGGTATGAAAACAGCAAAGAACGGCCATTTTAATGGAAGACACTGGGGACATGGAGGGCCAGGGGACTGATATGCACCGGAGGCATTATTTCTTACTTTACTCAACACTCTTGGGAAGTCAAAGTCTTCACAACACTTTAGTCTCTGCCTCTACACTCCTTCTCAATTCTTACATCATTAGGAATGAGGGGCTTCCTTTCTTCTCCTGAAACCCCATCATCTTTGAATCCAAGCAAATGCCGAGGCCCCAGGAAGACAGCTAGGTCAGCATGTTGCAGTTGGCCACTAGAGGGTGGTGTTTCTGTAATTAAGGGGATCTTGAAAGGCTACAAAACTTGGATGGGAGTGGCAGCCAACTGGACTTAGTATATGAGGAACCCAGCAGAATAGAAAGGTGGGAAAGGCAAGTAGTAAATCTTAGGATAATGGTCCTTAATAAGTGAGGAATAAGGAATAGGAACAAGGTAGGAGGAAAGATATCCCACCAAAGACCACAGCCATCACTCCTTGGAAAAAGAGATCTTGGCTCTGAGCTCTCACTAGATACATAGAAGTCAACAATAAAATAAGGCCGGGGGCAGTGGCTCACGCCTGTAATCCCAGCACTTTGGGAGGCTGAGGTGGGTGGATCACTTAAGGTCAGGAGTTCGAGACCATCCTGGCCTAGGTGAAACCTCATCTCTACTAAAAATAAAAAAGTTAGCTAGGCATGGTGGCGGGTGCCTGCAGAAGACTGAGGCAGGAGAACTGCTTGAACCTGGGAGGCGGAGGTTGCAGCGAGCCAAGATTGCAGCACTGCACCACTCCAGCCTGGGCAACAGAGTGAAACTCCGTCTCACACACACACACGAAAAAGAAGTCAACAACAAAAGATTTCTCAATTTATTTGCATATATACATTGTCACCCCAGGGAGCCAGCTCTATTTCAGAAGTCCCCGGCTCCCCTTACCCAGCCAACACCCAAAACCCACCCAAGAGGATGGGTCCTGGATAAATAATGCCCAGGACTCATATCCTGACCCCATAGGTTATAACAGAATTCATCAAACAAAAACAGAGGGCTAGAGGCCAGTGTCCATGAGAGGTCCTTGCCCCTTTGTAAACATTGACATCCAGGCCACTGGAGCCTGGGGAAAGTGTGCAAACATGAGGATGCCACACTGTGTGTCCAGGGGCCAGGAACACAGCTGGCAACCATACCCGTGAAGTCCTGAGGATCTGCCCCCCACTGGAACATGGCAAGTGCCGGGGGCAGAAGCAAGGCAGTTACCCCACACCCAAGGGCTCACATGAGATGGCAGCGACGCTCTTGCCCATAGGAATTCTCCACACGGGCAATCTCCTGGATGACTTTGGTGAAGATGCCTTGAGTCAGCTATAAGAGGAGAGGATTCAGGGCAAAAGTCAGTTCAGTGCCAATACCACCCAGCTCTGGGGTGAAAGCCCCATTCCCGCAACATTCCCACCACCAAGCAGTACAATAAGGAAAACACAGCTACCATCACCACCCTTCTAGTCTTCAGGCCCAGCACCTGATTCTCTCGAGCAGATGACTCCATAAATGTCGCACCCCAGGACTCTGCCAGCTTCTTTCCTTCAACTGCCTGTACCTCTCTGGAAGCAAATTTGGGACATAAAGATGGAGGATAGAAATGTCAGTAAGTGCTCTGAAAAATCTTCAGAATCAAGACTTCCTGGCCAGGCACAGTGGCTCATGCCTGTAATGCAGCACTTTGGGAGGCCGAGGTGGTGGATCACTTGAGCTCAGGAGTTCAAGACCAGCCTGGACAACACAGGGAAACACCATCTCTATTAAAAAAAAAATGGGCCACACGCGGTTGCTTGTGCCTGTAATCCCGATACTTTGGGAGGCCTAGGCGGGTGGATCACAAGGTCAGGAGATCGAGACCATCCTGGCTAACATGGTGAAACCCCGTCTCTACTAAAAATACAAAAAATTAGCTGGGCGTGGTGGCACGCGCCTGTAGTCCCAGCTACTTGGGAAGCTGAGGCAGGAGACTCGCTTGAACCCGGGAGGCAGAGGTTGCAGTGAGCCGAGATCACACCACTGCACTCCAGCCTGGGCAACAGAGCAAGACTCCGTCTAAAAAAAAAAAAAATAGAGAAGAAAAAGACTTTCTCTGACCCATGCCATTTCCCCAAGTTTTGGGAGGAGGGCTGTGGAAGGAGAAAATATAGGTAAACAAAGGAACAATGGGTGAATCTAGGACTGAGGCTTGAAATATGAAATTGTGGCTTTTAAGATAGAAGTATTATCTTCCTTAAGCTTCAGGTTAGAGACAAAGAGAGGTGAAATGACTTGTTTGAGTCAGTGGAAGAGCCAGGATGAGAGCCTGACTGATTCCCAGTCCATTTCACTTCCTTTTGCTCTGAGTAGCAGAGATTTACATACCTCTCTGGAGAGAGATCTGCCTTGTTCCCCACTAGAACCACTGGCACCCTGTGAGGAAACAGCAGTTACTTCAGAATCCCCTCATTCCCCGCATTCCCCAACTCCTTACATCAAGGCTGGACGACTCCTTATCAGACCAGGCAGGATCTATATCCGAGCCTCCTCTCTAACTTGACAATTCTCCCCTCTGCTCTCTCCCACCCCCTCATGCCCACACTATGTCCCTATCCCCCAGGGCCACTTACCGGGTTTTCCCATGGCCTTCATGTAGCTTTTGGTACAGACTCTCAATGACTTGGAAGCTTTAAACACAAGAATTGGAGCTATAACTTTATGAGACAGTCCTCAGGTTCTCCCAAGTCCCGCACTCACAACCTTGGTCACTTACCTATGCAGAGAGGTGACAGAATACACAAGCACATAACCATGGACCCCAATGATGAATGAATAGGGCAGAATGCTGTACTCATCCTGGCAAGAAATGGGAAACATCAGTACCTAGATCCAAACCACTAAGATGGCAAAGGTTGGTGGGACAACATCCAGGTGACCCTCCCTGGGGCACGCCCTACTATAGTCACTTCAACATGTATTTATGGAACAGCTCCAATGAGCCCTGCATACTGTTAGCAGGTAAAATGCTTTTAATACTACTTTACGGATGAGCCACAAAGACTACCAGACTTCATCTCCGAGGGCTGAACTGCCACATTTGGATACCATACCCCAACTGGTACCTGCCCTGCTGTGTCCACCAGATGTAGGTGAAACTCATCTTTGCCAAGAGTCACTATCTTGCTGTAAGCTGAAAAGAAAAGAAAACTTGACTGTGAAGTGCCTTATAGGACCAGCGATGTATGTCCCCTGACTTTTTTTTTTTTTTTTTTTTGAGACAAGAGTCTCACTCTATTGTCCAGGCTGGGCTGCAGTGGCATGATCTCAGCTCACTGCAACCTCTGCCACCCGGGTTCAAGCTATTCTCCTGCCTCAGCCTCCCGAGTAGCTGGGATTACAGGGACCTGCCACCATGCCCGGCTAATTACATTTTTTTTTTTTGAGATGAGGTCTTGCTATGTTGCCCAGGCTGTAGAGCAGTGGCTATTCACAGGCGCACTCTTAGCACCCTATAGCCTGGAACTCCTGGGCTCAAGCAATCCTGTCACCTCAGCCTCCCAAGTAGCTGGAACTACAGGTGTGCACCTCTGCACCTGGCTGTCTCCTTACCTTTTTTTTTTTTTTTGGCAGCATTTTTTAAAGTAGATTATTGGTTGGGCGCAGTGGCTCACACCTGTAATCCCAGCACTTTGGGAGGCCAGGGCAGGCGGATCACTTAAGACCAAGAGTTTGAGACCAGCCTGGCCAACATGGTGAAACCCTGTCTCTACTAAAAATACAAAAAATTAGTTGGGCATGGTGGTGCATGCCTGTAGTCCCAGCTACTCAGGAGGGTGAAGCGTGAGAATTGCTTGAACCCAGGAGGTGGAGGTTGCAGTGAGCTGAGATTGCGGCACTGCACTCCAGCCTGGGTGACAGAGCGAGACTGTCTTGAAAAGAAAAGAAAAATAAAGTAATTACTTTTGTTTTATTGATGAATAATAGATGTACCAAGTTTCAGGGTACATGTGACAATTTAATACATTCATATAATTTGTAAAGATCAAATAAGTGTATCTGGAATATTCATCACCTTAAATATTTGGCTTTTCTTTATGCTAGAACCATTTGAATTCTTCTCTTCTAGCTATTTTGAAATGTAAAATAGCTTATTGTAAGCTATAGTCACCCTACTGATCTACTAAGTCTTATTTCTTCTATCAAACTATATATTTGTACCCATTGATCAATTTATCTTCATCCCTCCCACTCCCTTCCCCCTTACATTCTTTTTATTCTTTTTTTTTTTTCTTTTTTTTCTTGAGACATTGCTTCACTCTTGTTGCCCAGGCTAGAGCGCAGTGGCACGATCTCGGCTCACTGCAACCTCCGCCTCCCAGGTTCAAGCAATTCTCCTGCCTCAGCCTCCCGAGTAGATGGGATTACAGATGTCCATCACCATGTCCGGCTAATTTTTTGTATTTTTAGTAGAGACGGGGTTTCACCATGTTGGCCAGGCTGGTCTCGAACTCTTGACCTCAGGTGATCCACCTGCCTTGGCCTCCCAAAGAACTGGGATTACAGGCATAAGCCACGGTGCCCAGCTTTTTTTTTTTTTTTTTTTTTTTTTTGAGACAGTCTCACCCTGACACCCAGGCTGGTGTGCAGTGGCACGACCTTGGCTCACTGCCACTTTTGCCTCCTGGGTTCAAGCGATTCTCCTACCTCAGTCTCCTTTGTAGCTGGGATTACAGGCGTGCGCCACCATGCCCAGCTAATTTTGGTATTTTTAGTAGAGATGAGGTTTCACCATGTTGGCCAGGTTGGTCTCGAAATCCAGACCTCAATCCATCCGCCCGCCTCAGCTTCCCAAAGTGCTGGGATTACAGGCATGAGCCACTGCGCCCAGCCTCCCCTTACATTCTTAACCTTGGGGGTGACACAGATAGATCAGCTCCAGGGAGTTATCCAGGTAACTGGAAAGACACGCTAAGGTTCTTAATGTCTACATCTAAACTATCCCAGACTCAATATCTTGCAAAATCCATACTCTAGCCATCCATCGAACAGGATTGCTAAAGAAGAAATCAGATGTAATGTCTAAATAAATCAGCCCCTTGGCACCAGAGAAATAAATTATGGAGTTGGGTGGGGTATCCAAGCCCTCCGGGTCGCATACCACCAGCACACTAGGGGAGAAGTCTACTCACTATTCTCCACTGTAGGATCGTAGCCTTCCGAGAACTCGCCTTCCACAAATTGATGTGCCAAAGATGTCTTCCCTGTGGGGAGCAGTGTGACAGTTGTATCCAAATCATCCATCCACATTCACATCCTCTGTCCTTTCGGACTGTGGCCCAGGACCAAAGGAGACCCCAAATTAACACCACAGTCTGTGAGTGCCTCAAGCAATGCTATCCTTTGTGTCTACCCTCACCCTCTTTTCACCCAGGGTCTCCGCACTTTGGCTACCGGATGCATTCAGAAGCGCAGCAGGAAGCCTTTCCCGCCGCCTTCCCCACCCCATCCCACTCGTAGGAAGATCCAAGATTCCCTAGGATCAAGTCCGCCCCGCCCCAGGACACCTGCGACTATCTGTCCCCACGGAGACCGCGTCCCGGTTTTCAAATTGTGACCCCACCCCTATCCCCAAAGTAACGCTGGGACCACTCTGAGATTCCCGCAGCCAGGTCCGCATTAACCCTTAAGTGCTCCCGCTTCCTGCAGCCTCCACACACCACCAACTCTTCCAATCCTCCACTCTTCCATTCCTCCACTCTTCCAATCCTCGCTCTACAACCCCATCCTTACGATGTCATCATTCCTCCCTGGGTCGCGTTCCCACGGCAGCGCGCCTCTTCTGGCTACAAAGCTGCTGCGCGTCCGAGCTCTGCAGGGCGGAGACTCACCTACACAGCGGTATCCGAGGATGACCACCTTCCTGTAGCGGACTAGCGGCATGGCAGGAGCCCGCCCCAGGGGCTTGCGGAACTGCGGGCTCAGAGAGCCCGAAAACGAGGTCAGGGTGTGAGCAGGCGCGGCAGCTGGTGCAGGAAAGTCGCTCACCCCGAAGCTGCCGTGGGCAAGTTAGAAGGAAACCAAAACAAGCGCCGCGCCCGGAGCTGCCCACGTGATCACAACACAGCACGTCTAACGCCAGGGAGCCGGGCGCCCGGGGAACTACTGAGCCGCGCCGCGCCGGGCTCCGCCCCCCAGGCCGCTCGCCATTGGTCCATTAGAATGGGTAAGGGCGGTGCCGCCAGCAGGAGGGAAGGGTGGGCCTCACGTGGAGCGGGAGAACTGGGAGCTGCGCGTGCGCAGACTGGAGCCGGTTCATTCATAAAGAAACAGAAAGGAACCCGGGGTCCTAAAGGCGTTTGCGCATTTACAGCCTAGCTGAAGTGGCTTCGAAGAATTATGGATGGAAAATACCCGTTTTGTGGTTTCCGGTCATAAGATTCTAGCCCTCCCTTTTGCATGGTCTCTGGGGTCCTTAGATAGGGAGAAAACCGCCAAAGTTCTAGTATATTCCTTCTGCTTCCCCCAGCCTTCAGCCCCAGACCTATCAAGGTTTCCAGTCTTCCAGCATCTAATTTCAAACTGCAATTCTTATTCTTGCAGAAATTGCTAGAATTTATGATCAAGTAGTCTGAGGTTTCTTCTTCATCATCATGATCCTCAAATATTCATTTTTCAACAAATACTGAGTATATACTACATGTTTCAGGCATTGCTCCAGCTTTGGGGTCAGAACATGGACATCACAGACAATGTGTCTGCTCTTATGAAGGGAGAAACAAACATACAACAAGGAAATATCAGAGAGTGTTAAGTGCTGTAGAAGATGGTGTGATGAAAGATGACCACTTTATTTTTTTTATTTTTTTATTTTTATTTTTATTTTTTTTGAGACGGAATCTCGCTCTTTCTACCAGGCCGGAGGGCAGTGGCTCTATCTCGGCTCACTGCAAGCTCCGCCTCCCGGGTTCACGCCATTTTCCTGCCTCAGCCTCCAGAGTAGCTGGGACTACAGGCGCCCGCCACCGCGCCCGGCTAATTTTTTGTATTTTTAGTAGAGACGGGGTTTCACCGTGTTAGCCAGCATGGCCTCCATCTCCTGACCTCGTGATCCGCCCGCCTCGGCCTCCCAAAGTGATGGGATTACAGGCGTGAGCCACCGCGCCCGGCCGACCACTTTATTTTTTAAAGACAATACAGCATTTTTAATTTTTTTTCTTTATTTATTTTGAGACAGGGTTATGAGACTGGCTAATTTTTGTATTTTGGGGAGAGATGGGGTTTTGCTATGTTGCCCAGGCTGGTCTCGAACGCCTAGCCTCAAGTGATCCACCTGACCCGGCCTCCCAAAGTGCTGGGATTACAGACGTGAGCCACCGAGCCTGGCTGAGATGACCACTTTAGTGATACTTTCTCTCATAGGAAACCCCATTTAAACTAAGATCTGAAGGAACCAACTAGGAGATTTCACAAGAAGAATCCACCAATGCTAAGGCGTTAAGATGGAAATAAATTGGGTAAATTCCAGGAAGAGGGGAAGAAAAAAAGAAAGCCAGTTAGCCTAAAGCAGATGAAGTCTAAGAGAATGGCAGAGGCCAGGCCACATAAAGGAGTCTGGGCTAATTCTAAGTACTTGAAGGTATTTAAGCTGGGGCATGACATGATCTAAATTGTCTTTCTAAAAAATCTCCCTGGCTGTAGTGAATAGATTGGGGTTTGAGGGTAACAGGAGCAAAAGGAAGCAGGGAGATTGGCGAGGAAACTGTTACCTGTAGTCCAGGTGAGAGATGAGAGCGCTTGACTAGAGTGATCATGTTGAATGAAGTTGAGAATTCAGGATATTCTGAAGCTAAGGTTAAAATGACTTGTGGAAGGATTGGTAGAGGAGGGAAGAAAGGAAGGAAATCACCTAGATTTATAGAGAGTTCGACTATACTATGTGCCAGGTGCATTTTATTGTTATCTCATTTAATATTCACAAAAGCCCTAGGCCGGGCATGGTGGCTCATGCCTGTAATCCCAGCACTTTGGGAGGCTGAGGTGGACGGATCGCTTGAGGTCGGGAGTTCGAGACCAGCCTGTCCAACATAGTGAAACCCCGTCTCTACTAAAAATACAAAAATTAGCCGTGCGTGATGGTGCATGCCTGTAATTCCAGCTACTCAGGAGGCTGAGGCAGGAGAATCGTTTGAACACGGGAGGCAGAGGTTGCAGTGAGCCGGGATTGCACCATTGTACTCTGCACTCCAGCCTGGGAGACAGAGTGAGACTCCATCTTAAAAAAATATATATATATATATATATATATATTCATCTTCTACTTTGTGCCAGGCACTCTTACTATGTGTTGCACACTAGGATACAGAAATAAATAACAGATGCCTTTTATACTGCTTGTCCCGTCCATATGAACTCTCCATTCTTTTCCACCCAGATTTATGTCCAGGAGGCAGACCTTGTCTCCTGGCTTTCAGTGAAGCTCAGCCAAAGGAAAGCACACACAGAAGATTCAATGGACAGAGGAGAGTGGCTCTGTCCCCCATTGAAGGTCACAGTACCTCTCAAGGCAGCTGCCTCCTCCAACACACACACACACAGCTCTCTCCTGGTTTTCAGTGACTCCCCTCAGCCTTTATGCCTATAGCAGTATCAGCCTCTTTTCTGTTATTCACCTTGGGGCATTGCTCTATCTGTTGTGGTCTCCCTATACCCTGCCCACATCTTTGTAAATAGTCTCTTTATTAAACCATCTGAATTCTCCTGTTTTGAATCAGAGAGAAAGCAAAAGAGCCAAGGCAAAGGGCTTTCTCCTCTTGTGACTTTTTCTTTTTACCTGGTAAGGGAAGCTCTCACAGCAGATATTCACCTACATCTCATTGAACAAGATTGTTTTATATAGTCATTTCTAGTTGTAAGGGAACCTGGAAATTTTAGCATTTTCTTTTCCAATGTCTATAGTAAAGGAAGGCAAAAGACAATGTGATTATAAATAAATGTTTTGGCCTGACGTGGTGGCTCAGGCCTGTAATCCCAGGACTTTGGGAGGCCATACAGGTGAATTGCTTGAGCTCAGGAGTTCGAGACCAGCCTAGGTAGGCAACATGGCAAAAGCCTGTTGCTATAAAAAATACAGAAAAAAAAAAGAAGAAAAATTAGCCGGGCATGGTGGCACGTGCCTGTAGTCTCAAGCTACTTGGAAGGCTGAAGTGAAAGGATCACCTGAGCCCAAGGAGGTTGAGGCTGCAGTGAGCCATGTTTGTGCCACTGCACTCCATCCTGGACAACAAAGACCCTGTATCAAAAAAAAAAAAAAAAAAAAAAAAAAAAAAAGAAGCTAGGCACGGTGGCTCACGCCTGTAATCCTAGCACTTTGGGAGGCCAAGGCGGGTGGATTGCCTGAGCTGAGCTCAGGGTTTCGACACCAGCCTGAGCAACACAGCGAAACCCGGTATCTACTAAAATATAAAAAATTAGCTGGGGCCGGGCACAGTAGCTCACGCCTGTAATCCCAGCACTTTGGGAGGCTGAGGCAGACGGATCACCTGAGATCAGGAGTTTGAGACCAGCCTGGCTAACATGGTGAAACCCCGTCTCTACTAAAAATAGAAAAATTAGCCAGGCATGGTGGTGCATGCCTGTAGTCCCAGCTACTCAGGAGACGGAGGCAGGAGAATCGCCTGAACCTGGGAGGTGGAGGTTGCACTGAGCCGAGATCACGCCACTGCACTCCAACCTGGGCAACAGAGCGAGACTCCATCTCCAAAAAAACAAAAAAATAAATGTTTCATGAGCCAATCTATAAAACCTGCACATTTTAGGACCAAGATATTGGTTGATTAAATAGTTGTTCATTAAATATCAATCACTTTAAAAAGTAATGCATAGGCCGGGCACAGTGGCTCACACATGTAATCTCAGCACTTTGGGAGGCTGAGGCAGGTGAATCATCAGGTCAGGAGTTTGAGACCAGCCTGACCAACATGGTGAAACTCTGTCTGTACTAAAAATACAAAATTTAGCCGGGCATGGTGGGAGGCACCTGTAATCCCAGCTACTCGGGAGGCTGAGGCAGGAGAATCACTTGAACCTGGGAGATGGAGGTTGTAGTGAGCCAAGATTGCGCCACTGCATTCCAGGCTGGCTGACAGAGCGAGACTCTGTCTCAAAAAAAAAAAAAGTAATGTACAAATGGTTTATTTAGTAAAGATCAAAAAAATAGGATCAAATAAAGGAAAAATAGAACTTGGAGATAAGTCAAAAAAATATTTTAAAATATTATATATAAATATTATTTAATAGATAATAAACATATTTATTATATATTATTTATATAATAATAATATAAATAAAGGAAGCAATTCATCCTAATGTTAGATAAATGGGCTTGGAATAAGATTTTTTTTGTTTTTTATTATTTTTACTTTTTTTTATTTATTTATTTTTGAAACAGGGTCTCACTCCAATTGCCCAGGCTGGAGTGCAGTGGCATAATTTTGGCTCACTGCAGCCTCTACTCCTCAGCTCAGGTGATTCTCCTACCTCAGCTTCCTGAGTAGCTGAGACTACAGGCATGCACCACCATGCCCAGCTAATTTTTGTATTTTCAGTAGAGATGGGGTTTCACCATGTTGTTTAGGCTGGTCTCAAACTCCTGGACTCAAGCAATCCACCCACCTCAGCCTCCCAAAGTGCTGGGTTTACAGATGTGAGCCACCGCTCCCAGCCTGTTTTTGTGTTTTAGAGACAGGGTACCACTCCGCCACCCAAGCTGGAGTGCAGTGGTGCCATCATAGCTCACTGTGGCCCATAACTCCTGGGCTCAAGTGATCCTCTTGCCTCAGCCTCCTGAGTAGCCTAAGACTATACAGGCATGCACTGCCATGCCCAGCTAATTTTTTTTTTTTTTTTTTTTGTAGAGATGGGGTCGCTCCCAGGCTAGTCTTGAACTCCTGGCCTCAAGCAATCCCTCCTCAGCCTCCCAAAACACTGAGATTACAGACATGAGCCACCAAGCCTGGCCTGAAATAACATTTCTAGGACAGCATCATACATTGCTATGTCTCAAACAACTGAGACAAAATAAAGATAAGATGTTCCCAGAAAACTGTTTTAAGTATCTCTGGGAAAAGTGAAAAATGTCTCTACTCTGTTTGCACCCAAATTATATGGCATGTCCTTTCTAATGGACTCCATCGCACAGGTATTCAAGGCTTCTTTGTTTTCCACAGTTATGGGTTTACCTCCCTGCTGATTATCAATTACCTATTGTTGCATAACAAACCACATCAAAATTATTTTTCTCAGGATTCTGTGGGTTGAATTCATGGTTCTTATGTTGCCTCCTCTGGACTCACTCTCGTGGCTAGTCAGTGGAAGCTCCACTGGGAATGGAAGGTCTAAAATGACCTCACGCACGTCTGGAGCCTTGGTGCTGGCTCTTGGCTAGGCCTCTGTCTCTCCACATGTCTCTCATCATTTATTGGGGCAGCCCGAGCTTCTTCTTGGGTGGCAGAAGCATCCAAGAGGGCAAAGTTAGGACAGTGCATGGCCTCTTGAGGCCTTAGGCTTTGAAACTCATTCAACACAAGTTCTGCCACATTTTAGTAGCCTAAGCAAGTCACAAAGCCATCCCAGATTCAAGGCATGGGGAAATAGACTCCATTTCTCCATGAGAGAAACTGGAAAATATTGTAGCTCTATTTTTCAATCTACTACAGAGCAGATTGATTATGGCAAGAAGTCCAAGCTGGAGTTCTCCATTTACCAAGGCCCCCAGGTATCCACAGCTGTAGTTGAGCCCTACAACTCTATGCTCACCACAAACATCACCCTGGAGCACTCAGATTGCACCTTCATGGTAGACAATGAGGCCATCTATGACATCTGTCATAGAAACCTCGATATTGGGTGCCTGACCTACAGTAACCTGAACTATCTGATATTGAATCTGTTGTAGTCACTTGAATATTAAGAACACATTTGGCTTCAATAACAGAAAAACCAAGTTGCAATAGCTTAAACAAATAAGGATTTATGTTTCTCAAGTAACAAAGTTGGAGGTAAGCAGCATCAGTCCAGTTGCTCCATGATACCAGGTCTGGTACCTGCAGTTCTCTTAACTCTTCCCTTATGCTTGTCGCCTCATAGCCACAAGATGAGTTCACCTTCAGGCATCATATCTAAGTTCCAAAAGAGGATCTAGTAATCATAAAGGCACTTATATTGAAAATGAGTATTTTAGCCAGGCGCGGTGGCTCATGCCTGTAATCCCAGCACTTTGGGAGGCCAAGGCGGGCGGATCGTCTGAGGTCAGGAGTTCAAGACCAACCTGACCAACATGGTGAAACCTGTCTCTACTAAAAATACAAAATTAGCCAGGCATGGTGGCACACACCTGTAATCCCAGCTACTCGGGAGGCTGAGGCAGGAGATTCGCTTGAACCTAGGAGGCGGAGGTTGCAGTGAGCTGAGATCACGCCATTGGACTCCAGCCTGGGCAACATGAATGAAACTCCATCTCAAAAAAAAAAAAAGAAAAGAAAAGAAAATGAATATTTTCATATCAATATGCAAGTTTGGGGCCAGGAGCAGTGGCTCACACCTATAATCCCAGCACTTTGAGAAGCCAAAGCGAGCAGATCACTTGAGATGAGGAGTTCGAGACCAGCCTAGGCAAAACCCCATCTCTACAGAAAATACAAAAATTAGCCAGGTGCAGTGGGTCACGCCTGTAATTCCAGCACTTTGGGAGGCCGAGGCGGGTGGATCACGAGGGCAGGAGATCGAGACCATCCTGGCTAACACAGTGAAATCCCATCCCTACTAAAAATACGAAGAAAAAAAAATAGCCGGCGTGGTGGCAGGCACCTGTAGTCCCAGCTACTCGGGAGGCTGAGGCAGGAGAATGGCATGAACCCAGGAGGCAGAGCTTGCAGTGAGCCGAGATAGCACCACTGCCCTCCAGCCTGGGCGACAGAGGGAGACTCCGTCTCAGAAAAAAGAAAAGAAAAGAAAAGAAAAAAATTAGCCAGGCATAGTGGTGCGTGCCTATAGTCCCAGCTACTTGTGGGGGCTGAGGTGAGAGGATCACTTGAGCCCGGGAGGTCAAGGCTGCAATGAGCCATGTTTGTGCCACTGCACTCCAGCCTAGGCAACAAAGTGACACCCTCTCTCAAAAACAAAAATAAGGCTGGCGCAGTGCCTCACGCCTGTAATCCTAGCACTTTGGGAGGCCGAGGCAGGCAGATCATGTGAGGTCAGTAGTTCGAAACCAGCCTTACCAACATGGTGAAACCCTGTCTCTACTATAAGTACAAAAATTAGCCAGGCATGGTGGTGCACACCTGTAATCCAAGCTACTCAGGAGACTGAGGCAGGAGAATTGCTCAAACCTAGTAGACGGAGGTTGCAGGGAACCGGGATTGCACCACTGCACTCCAATCTGGGCGACAAAGCGAGACTCTAACTCAAAAACTAATAATAAAAGTTTGAATAAAACTATGCTTTAAATGTAAGAATGGAAAATCAGTTAAATAATATCAATTTATTATTTTATAGGCTATGTACTTTTAAATGTGTACAGTATATATAAATAAATAAAATATTATAAATTAGACATTTAATTATGTAATTCCTAAAAGTTTGCTTAAGTTGGCCAAACAATACTTTTTGTTTTGGATCTTCTAATTAGGAAAATGGATGATTATCTAATTTTTGGCATCAACTGTTAAAAATCATGTGTAAATTGCTGGGTTCAGTGGCTCACGCCTGTAATCCCAGAACTTTGGGAGGCGGAGGCCGGTAGATTATGAGGTCAGGAGTTCAAGACCAGCCTGTCTGGCCGGCTGCGGTGGCTCACACCTGTAATCCCAGCACTTTGGGAGGCCGAGATGGGCGGATCACGAGGTCAGGAGATCAAGACCATCCTGGCTAACACAGTGAAACCTCGTCTCTACTAAAAATACAAAAAAAATTAGCCGGGCATGGTGGCGGGCGCCTGTAGTCCCAGCTACTCGGGAGGCTGAGGCAGGAGAAGGGTGTGAACCCAGGAGGCGGAGCTTGCAGTGAGCTGAGATTGTGCCACTGCACTCCAGCCTGGGTGACAGAACGAGACTCTAGCTCAAAAAAAAAAAAAAAAAAAAAAAGACCAGCCTGTCCAAGATGGTGAAACCCCATCTCTACTAAAAATACAAAAATTAGCTGGGCGTGGTGGTGGGCACCTGTAATCCCAGCTACCCGGGAGGCTGAGGCAGAGAATTGCTTGAACCTGGGAGGTGGAGGTTGCAGCAAGCCAAGATCGCGCCACTGCATTCCAGCCTGGGCGACAGAGTGAGACTCCATCTCAAAAAAAAAAAAAAAAAAATGTAAACACAGATTTAAGATAAAATGCAAACTTGAATTTCAGTCATAGCACCAATTTTTTTTTAATTTAAAATGCAAACTGCCATGCTTCTTAGATTTAAATTAGCTAATAAGTTATTTTCAGGTGCTCCCTGTCATGGTCATGTTCTTTCTAATCTGAAGACCCTTCTCTAAAGACTCAGACATTAGAGTTCTGGTTCTTATTAACTCACATTTTCCATTTACCCCTCCAGATCTTCCTTTACCCTTCTTCATCCTGCATTTGCTCCTGGAAGGCTGACCTTTATAGACAGCAGTAATGCCCTCTGGCTTCCAGCTAGCTTTAGCTAATAGGAAGTGTTTGGCCACAGACTGGAAGATAGAGGAGAGAAGGTTGGAATGTTGATTCCCCTACTCCCTCTCTGCTGGGCCACTTCTTTTTTTTTTTTTTTTTTTTTGAGATGGAGTTTCGTTCTTGTTGCCCAGGCTGGAGTGCAGTGGCACGACCTCGGCTCACTGCAACCTCTGCCTCCCAGGTTCAAACAATTCTCCTGCCTCAGCCTCCTGAGTAACTGGGATTATAGGCAACCGCCACCATTACCAGCTAAAAGAGTGATCTTTTTAAAATGCAAATTTTGCCAGCGCGGTGGCTCACGCCTGTAATCCCAGCACTTTGGGAGGCCAAGGCGGCTGGATCATGAGGTCAGGAGATCGAGACCATCCTGGCCAACATGGTGAAACCCCCGTCTCTACTAAAAATACAAAAAACTAGCTGGGCGTGGTGGTGCATCCCTGTAATCCCAGCTACTCGGGAGGTTGAGGCACGAGAATCGCTTGAACCCAGGAGGAGGAGCTTGCAGTGAGCCAAGATTGCGCCACTGCACTCCTGGTGACAGAGCGAGACTCCATCTATAAATAAAATAAAATCCAAATTTG
This sequence comes from Homo sapiens, assembly GCF_000001405.40. Taxonomy (NCBI): domain Eukaryota; kingdom Metazoa; phylum Chordata; class Mammalia; order Primates; family Hominidae; genus Homo; species Homo sapiens. Next base: position 49,079,119 of record NC_000012.12, read on the forward strand.
ATCAGACTACTCCTCCAAGCTAAAACCTAATTAAATTAATTTATTCCACTAAAATGACTGCCTGTGTCTCTAGAAAGATATCAAAATCCTTAACATGGTACAATGCCTATTAGTATTTGCAGGGGCTTAATAAATATTTGTGGAAGGGAGAGAGTCAGGTTTGGATCTGGGAGGAACTGCCTTGTGCCTTCTTGTGTTGATTCACCTTGTTTAAATCTCAGAGCACCTCTTCATTTCCAACTCCATGGAAGTACCTAATGGTAGCCTCTGTTTACTCAAGACCACACAGCTGGTGAATAGGAACCAAGCAGAATATATAGCCCTATTGTTTTTAACTGTAGAATCACAGTTAAGTGAGAAGCAATCAGTTTAAAAGTGACAACCACTGGCATGATGTTTGATCCTCCCCAGACACCCCACCAATAGTTTCTAGGCCTTGGTACAATCTTTCAAAGATAAAGGAAATACTCCTCCCGTCTCAACAAAGAAGTCCCTTCATCTTTGGACAATTCTAAGTTATTGAAAATCAGACAATTTAAAGACTACTCCATCCTAGTCAATTTATTGAAATATATAGAGAGGGAAAGGGGGCAGAGAGAGCGAGAAACCTATATCCTCCTTTCTGTAGTGGTCCTAAGGTGCTTTGGGCCAGCTGCTTCCAAGAGAAGGAGAAGGTGGGTGACTTTGTCTTCAGCCTATTTAAGGAAGAGATCTGCAATATCTATTCTCAAAGATTCTGCAAGATACTATAGACTAGCCAGGGACTAGAACAAGGATGGGATGTGTGTGGAGGAAATGGGATTAATCCCAGATCAAATGTTGGGTAGAATCCCAGCTGCTGCAGCTGCTGGGGGCTTAACCAGCTGTTCCCTGGGCAGCTGCAATGTTCACCCCAGGCCTGGTTCTTAGGGTGACAGCTCTATCTCAGCTTGTGGCCTTCAGCTCCAAGCTAAGCCAAGGCACTGCTGAACGGATGGCTGGAAAGCAAAAGAGAATAGCAGAGAAGAAGTACCCAGTTCAAAGGACTTCTGTTTGGACATCATATGGTTTGAAATCAGACAACTGTGTTCTTAGGTTTTGCAGTCCCAAGGAGAGATGTTAAGACACCGTTTAGGTTTCTGAGAGAAGCAAAGCCAGGGCTGGTGGTATCACCTTCAATTCTGTTCAGTTCCTATTCTATCCTATCCTGCTCCAATTTCTCTACACTGCTCCCACCATCTGCTCCCATAACACACTCCGTGTGGGAGTGGGAGCATTTCCTTCTTGTGATTGAAACTAGAGCAAGGACATTCAAATGCTCAACCGAGGACCAATCTACACAGGGATAAGGGCTATCTAAAAAGTCCTATCCGACCAAGTGTGGTAGCTCACACCTGTAATCCCAACACTTTGGGATGCTGAGGCAGGTGGATCACCTGAGGTCAGGAGTTTGAGACCAGCCTGACCAACATGGTGAAACTCCGTCTCTACTAAAAATACAAAATTAGCCGGGCGTGATGGCACATGCCTGTAATCCCAGCTACTTGGGAGGCTGAGGCAGGAGAATTGCTTGAACCCAGGAGGCAGAGGTTGCAGTGAGCTGAGATCACGCCATTGCACTCCAGCCTGGGCAACAAGGGCAAAAAGACTCCATCGAAAAAAATAATAATAAATAAGTAGATAAATAAATAAATAAATAAGGCTTATCCAATTGCCAGTTTCCCCGAATAGCTGGGATTATAGGCGCTTGCCACCACGCCTAGCTAATTTTTGTATTTTTTCAGTAGAGACAGAGTTTCACCATGTTGGTCAGGCTGGTCTCAAACTCCCGACCTCCGTGACACGTCTGCCTCAGCTTCCCAAAGTGTTGGGATTACAGGAGTGAGCCACCGCACCCAACCATGTTTTTTTGTCTTTCGTTGTTGTTGTTGTTGTTGTTTTGTTTGTTTGTTTTGAGACAGAGTTTCGCTCTTGTTGCTCAGGCTGGAGTGCAATGGCACGATCTCAGCTCACCGCAAACTTCGCCTCTGGGTTCAAGCAATTCTCCTGCCTCAGCCTCCCGAATACCTGGGATTACAGGCATGTGCCACCGCACCCAGCGAATTTTGTACTTTTAGTAGAGAGGGGGTTTCTCCATGTTGGTCAGGCTGGTCTTGAACTTCCTACCTCAGGTGATCCGCCCACCTCGGCCTCCCAAAGTGCTGGGATTACAGGCATAAGCCACCATGCCCGGCCTCAGTTTCCCTTTTAAAATGCAAGTTTGATTATTCCTCTCAGCAGGATTATTCCCTTGCTTCAAATATTACAATTGCTTTTCATCTTTAGGACAATATTCAAAATCCTTAAAGCAGGCTGGGTGCACTACATCACACCTATAATCCCAGTGCTTTGGGAGGCCAAGGTGGGAGGATTGCTTCAGTCCAATAATTCAAGACCAGCTTAGGCAACATAGTGAGACCCCATCTCTACAAAAAGAAAAACAAAGTTAGTTCATGCCTGTAGTCCTAGCTACAAGTTATTCAGCAGGCTGAGGCAGGAGGGTGGCTTGAGCTCAGGCATTCCAGGCTTCAGTGAGCTATGGTGGCACCACTGCACTCCAGCCTGGGAAATACAAGACCCAGATCACCTCGCCCTCTAGCTACACTGAACTTGCTGATGCTCCTTTGATGCTCCTCAGATTCATCTTACTCTTGCTCCCCAAATCCAGCCTTTTGCACATGCTGTTCCCTCTTGCACAACTCACACTCATCTTTCAGGTCTCAGTCTAAATGTCACTTGTTACCACATTCAACAACCTCTAACCATTTATGCTTGTCTTGCCAGATGAACTATAAGAGCCATGGGGAGAAGGGATTGTGTCCCTGCCTGCCTCTATTGTCCTATCTCCATCACACAGCACAATAATAGACACATAGTAGGCACTCATGAAATCTTAATGAACTGAAAATAACCTCCTCTCAGGGAGATGCTTATTTGTATACATCCACCAAGTCACATAAAGAGACAACAACAATGACAATGTGCTAATTGGCCACAAAATTCCTTGCAGGGAAATAGACCCTGACCACCTTCTTTCCCGTGATAGCTGCCTCAGTCTTCCAACCAAAGAGGAAAGCTCCCTCCAATATTACACAGACCACAAAAGCACAGTCAAAAATAAACATGTAGGCAAGGCCTGGTGGCTCACGCCTGTAACCCCAACACTTTGGGAGGCCAAGGTGGGAGGATCACTTGAGCTCAAGAGCTTGAGACCAGCCTGGGCAACATAAGAAGACCCCATCCCTTTTTTTTTTTTTTTTTTTTTTGAGATGGAGTTTCGCTCTTGTTGCCCAGGTTGGAGTGCAATGGCACCATCTCGGCTCACCGCAACCTCCGCCTCCCGGGTTCAAGTGATTCTCCTGCCTCAGCTTCCTGAGTAGCCAGGATTACAGGCATGCACCACCATGCCTGGCTAATTTTGTATCTTTAGTAGAGACAGGGTTTCTCCATGTTGGTCAGGCTGGTCTGGAACTCCCGGCTTCAGGTGATCCGCCCGCCTTGACCTCCCAAAGTGCTGGGGTTACAGGCATGAGCCACCATGCCTATGCTTTTTTTAAAAAAAAATAGAATAAAATAAAATAAACGTGTAGGCCAGGTGCAGTGGCTCATGCCTGTAATCCCAGCACTTTGGGGGGCCAAAGTGGGAGAATCACTTGAGGCCAGGAGTTTGAGACCAACCATAAACAACATAGTGAGACCCTGTCTCTACGAAAAATACAAAAATTAGCCAGGTGTGGTGGCATGCACCTATAGTCCTAGCTACTCAGAAGGCTGAGGTGGGAGGATCATTTGAGCCCGGGAGGTCAAGGCTGCAGTGATCCATGACTGTGCCCCTGAACTCTAGCCTGGGCAACATAGTGAGACTCTTTCTCAACAAATAAATAGCTGGGTGCAGTGGCTCACACCTGTAATCCCAGCACTTTGGGAGTCTTAAGCAGGGGGATTGCTTGAGCCCAGGAATTCCAGACCAGCCTGGACAACATAGTGAGACCTCATCTCTACCAAAAAATCAAAAAATAAGGCAGGAGGATCTCTTAAGCCTGAGAGGTTGAGGCTGCAATGAGCCGTGATCATGCCACAGCACTCCCACCTGGGTGATGGGAATGAGACCCTGTCTCAAAATACATAAATAAATAAATAAATAATTTTTTCTGTTTTTCTTTTTTTTTTTTTTTTTTTTAAAGGCCCAGCGAGGTGGCTCACACCTGTAATTCCAGCACTTTGGGAGGCTGAGGTGGGCGGATTACTTGAGGTCAGGAGTTCAAGACCAGCCTGGCCAACATGGTGAAATGCAGTCTGTACTGGCCAGACGCGGTGGTTCACGCCTGTAATCCCAGCACTTTGGGAGGCCGAGTCGGGCGGATCACGAGGTCAGGAGATCCAGACCATCCTGGCTAACACGGTGAAACCACGTTTCTACTAAAAATACAATTAGCCGGGTGTGGTGGCGGGCCCCTGTAGTCCCAGCTACTAGGGAGGCTGAGGCAGGAGAATGGCGTGAACCTGGGAGGTGGAGCTTGCAGTGAGCGGAGATCACACCACTGCACTCCAGCCTGGGGGACAGGGCGAGACTCCGTCTCAAAAAAAAAAAAAAAAAGAAAGAAATGCAGTCTGTACTAAAAATATTAAAAAAAATTAGCGGAATGTGGTGGTGGGAGCCTGTAATCCCATCTACTTAAGAGGCTGAGGCAGGAGAATCACTTGAACCCAGAAGGCCGAGGTTGCAGTGAGCCTAGACCTTGCCACTGCACTCCAGCCTGGGCGATAGAGTGAGACTCCATCTCAAAAATAAATTAATAATTAATTAAATTAAATAACCATGTGAAGTTTCTAGGTCAGAAATACTCATTTTTCAGCCGGGTGCAGTGGCTCATGCCTGTAATCCCAGCGCTTTGGGAGACTGAGGTGGGCGGATCACGTGAGGTCAAGAGTTAGAGACCGGCCTGGCCAACATGGTGAAACCCCATCTCTACTAAAAGTACAAAAATTAGCTGGGCTTGGTGGCAGATGCCTGTAATCCCAGCTACTTGGGAGGCTGAGGTAGGAGAATCACTTGAACCTGGGAGGCGGAGGTTGCAGTGAGCTGAGATCGTGCCATTACACTCCAGCCTGGGTAACAAGAACGAAACTCCATCTCAAAAAAAAAAAAAGAAAGAAAGAAAGAAAGAAATGCTCATTTTTCAAGGACAGCTGATTACTTTCACTAAGGAGAGACCCTGTCTCAGCACTGGTCTCTTTCTACCTCAAATATTTCTGGAAGCTTGAACTAGTTTGCTAGAGCTAACATAACAAAATACCACAGACTGCGTGGCTTAAATAACAGAAATTTATTTTCTCACAGTTCTGGAGGCTAGAAGTCCAAGATCAAGGTTCTAGCTGATGTGCCTTCTGGAGAGGGCTCTCTTCCTGTCTTGTAGACAGCCACCTTCTCTCTATGTCCTCACATAGCCTTTCCTCAATGCATGTGCTAGAGCGAGTACTCGAGCACTCTGGTGTCTCTTCTTATAAGGGCACTAACCCTGTAGGATCAGGGCCCTACCCTTATGACCTCATTTAACCTTAATTACTTCCTTAGAGTCCCCTTCTCCAAATACAGACACAGTAGGGGTTAAGGCTTCAATATATGAATTTGAGCTGGGGGGAGGAGACACAAACATTCAGCCATAACAAAGTTCAATCTTCCCTCTCCTTCTCTAGTCCAAAAAGAGCTAAGGGTCTTCTTATGCTTTCTGTGTTGGTCTACCAGCCTGCCATAGATTCCTGCCAGAAACCTGTATCAATATATGTGTTTCCTTAACTGGATGGCTAGAGAGCTTTAGTTAGGGAGCCAATGAAAATGAGAGAGAAATAACTGTCAGAAAGCTGGGAGGACTTTATAGTGACTCAGTGAAGTAAATGAGAAAAAGTGAAAAACAGCTTAAGGTCCAACAAGGTGGGGCCCCATTCTTCAAGGTGGTCTTATTTCTTTTTTAAAAAAATTATTTATTTATTTGTTTATTTATTTTGAGCTCTTGCTCTGTTACCCAGGCTGTAGTGCAGTGGTGTCATCATAGCTCACTGCAACCTTGAACTCCTGGGCTCATGCGATCCTCCCATCTCAGCCCCCCAAATAGCTTGGACTACAGGCATGCACCACCACACCTGGCTAATTTTTTAAATTATTTTTTGCAAAGACAGGGTCTCATTATGTTGTCCAGCCTGATTTTTTCCTTTTTCTTTTTCTTTTTTTTTGAGATGGAGTCTCACTCCGTTACCCAGGCTGGAGTACAGTGGCGCAATCTCAGCTCACTGCAACCTCTGCCTCCCAGGTGCAAGTGATTCTCCTGCCTCAGCCTCCCATGTAGCTGGGATTACAGGCTCCCGCCACCACGCCTGGCTAATTTTGTATTTTTAGTAGAGACAGGGTTTCACCATGTTGGCCAGGCTGGTCTTGAACCCCTGACCTCAAGTGATCCTCCCACTTTGGCCTCCCAAAGTGCTGGGATTACAGGCATGCACCTGGCCTAAGTCTTATTTCTTGTTACTCCTGTTTCATTTTGCCACTTACTGGCTGTGGTAACTTAGCCACGTGATTTAAGCCTCTCTTTGTCTCAATTTCCTCTCCTGCAACACCATCTTAGATGGTGATTGTGAGGATTAAATGAAAATGCAGGTAAAGGCCGGGTGTGGTGGCTCACGCCTGTAATCCCAGTACTTTGGGAGGCTGAGGCGGGTGGATCACCTGAGGTCAGGAGTTTGAGACCAGCCTGGCCAACACAGCGAAACCCCGTCTCTACTAAAAATACAAAAAATTAGCCGGACATGGTGGCGAGCGCCTGTAATCCCAGCTACTCGGGAGGCTGAGGCAGGAAAATAACTTGAACCCGGAAGGCAGAGGTTGCAGTGAGCCGAGATCATGCCACTGCACTCCAGCCTGGGCAACAAGAATGAAACTCCGTCTCAAAAAAAGAAAAAAAGAAAGAAAGAAAGAAAAGAAAATGCAGGTAAAATATCAGAGCAGGGCCTGGCATATCTTAAATGCTCAGTAACCATTAGCTACATATTGTTAAACTTCCAGTCTTCTGCTCTAAATAAGTTGCACAGCTTCATCTCAGATTCCGAGTCCTTGCTCATGATGTTCCTTCTGCCTGGAATGCCCTTTCCAGTCTCCTCCGCCTACACATGCTTCAACATCCTAGTCAGGCCCTCCTTTCTCCACAAGGCCTTCTCTGTACTAATATGGCATTTACCACCGGTTCAGCTCATCCAAATTAAGTAACAATGTTAAATATTTTCTGTGTTTATGTATACTTCTCCAGGGAAGAAGCTGTTTCTTAACCTTTTGTGTTTTTCAGTGGGGAATACAGGGCTACACTGCAGATGTTCAGTAAATCCTGCTTGAAGAAAGGAAAGAAGGAATAAAAGACTGGATTCTGGGCAGATAAACAGGTCACTTGAAACTTTTCGGCAGTGGTTCTCAACTCTGATTTCTCAATATGCAGAGAGGTATTGCCAGGGTGATCACAAAATGCTTCATAAATTCTCAAAACAAGATTACTTTTAATTATACTTCTTCAGAAAAGTAGTTTCAGGCACTACCTGGAACCCCATTATGCTTTCACCTCCTTGACTACTGAGCTCAAGGGTCACAAAGGTGAGGGACATGAAGAGTCAACTTCTATATGTAAGGAAGTCTGGACTACTACAGAAATGCTGCTAGTATACCTCCAGCTTCTGAAAGTGCTGTGACAAAACCCCAGAAAGTTTGCACGACTGATGCTTTTAGTGGAGTGGTGAGGAAAGAAGTGATCGGAAGGCAGCAAAGTCAGTCAGAAGTGGCCAAAGAATAGAAAACATTTACTGAGCGCCTACTCCACATCCAGCACAATCCTTCTCAACCATCCTGTCACGGAGGTATCATTATCCCCAGATCTAGCTGGCTTCTAAGCCAAATCATCATCGCCTATTTTGTTGATGGTGAAAGGTGCTGCAATTGGGAGGTGTTGCATGGCCAAGTGAATATGCCCACCTGCTGCACCAAGATGGTGCGCATTGCCGCTTGAAGGCAAGTCATGGATTTTTTTTTTTTTTGAGAGTTAGGAGGGGCCTCAAAGGAATAAAGATAATAAAGGGAGGAAGTGAGGGTTGAGAGGTAAGCCTCAAGCCTAGAAAGTTACTTACAGGATGTAGTTTAAGGGAAACCAATGAGTTCTCCTTGTCCTGAAATATCTCCCTAGCTAACTTATTACAGTGCTAGGAATCATCACCATTATGATTTTATGGTTAAAGGTTAAAACTGTAAGATATATGTATTACTGCTGGGCACAGGGGCTCACACCTGTAATTCCAGCACTTTGTGGGGCAAAGGCGGGAGCCCAGGAGTTCAAGACCAGCCTGGGCAACGTAGCAAGACTCTGTCTCTACAGAAAATACAAACATTAGCCAGGCATAGCGGCATGCACCTGTAGTCCCAGCTACTTGAGAGGCTGAGGTGGGAGGATTGCTTGAGCCCAGGAGGTTGAAGCTACAGGGGACCAAGGTCACACCACTGCACTCCAGCGTGGGCAACAGAGCGAGATCCTGTCTCTTTAAAAAATACATGTATATATATATGCATTACCTGATTACCTGGGAAGGGCAGTAAAACCAAGGAGCCCATCAACATAGGACAACTAATTCATTTATCGGATTAGTCATCACCTGTGGTGACATGACAGGAAGGCACCAGATCTGATAAAAAGAGACAAGGGCAGGTTTAGAAAGTAGGAAAGGTCCACAGCTTGGGATGTGTTTCTGAGACCCGGAAAAACAAAGGTGGCAACAGAGCCTCAGTGTGGGTTGAGGGCAGCAGTGGGTGGAAGGACACCAAAGGTAAACTTGACCTGCTTCCAAATATTGCCTTTATCAAGCACTACCTGGAACCCTATTATGCTTTCACCTCCTTGACAATTGAACTCAAGGGTCATGAGGGTGAGGGACATGAGGCGGCAACTTTGATACATAAGGAAGTCTGGGCTACTACAGGTATACTAGTAGGGCATCTGCAGCTTCCAGGAACCACAGAGCTAAACTAGGCAGGAGTGATGTAAAAGTGCCATGGTTTGGAACGACTTGCCCAAGGAGAAGCAGGTGGACTCCTTGACAGCTCCTGATATGTGTGACTCAGCGCTGGCAGCTTAACAAGGCCCACCCATCATCTCTCCCTCCTGGGAGCGGGCTCCTTTGCGCAGGTCCAGTACACCCTTCCATGTCTGAGACCGCTTGCCTTCCGTTTCAGAGAACCATATGCATAGGCCTAGAATTCTCTTGAAGGCCACCAGAGGGCGGTGTATAGCAGGGACCCTGTGCGATGGGAGCGCACAGCGGCTACTGGCAAGGGCGAGCTCCGGGTGGTACCAACAACCCCCGACTATTTCCTCCTCCCCGCCTCACCTCCACCCAAGACACTTCCCTTCTGGAGCAGCCCAGCTTCCTCCAGAGCTTCCATTCCTAACTCAGGGGCACCTGCCTGCCTGGATTCCAGGTGTCTACTGCGTTGGAACCTAAAGGTTCCAAAAACACCCAGGCTAGGGAAGTAGAGCTGGTGATAATGGGAGAGGGAGGAGGAGGCGCTGAAGACCAAGCCAGTAGAAACAACAATCAGGGCCAGCGATCAGGAGGGGAGCTCGGGTTGTAATGCTGATATGCCCTTGTTTAGGGAATCTACTTCCCCCACATACACCCAGGCTGAATCCATTCTCTCTCTCTGAGCAGCCCTTCAGTAAGGAAATATTCCAGCCTCTTACTGTGCCCCCCTTCCTTTTTCAGGCCATGACTATGCGACGATTGCAAATTATTACCCAGGTTTCCCATGGATCATCAGTTGGCCCAGTGGCATATCAGAAAAAACATCCACCCCATCCAGGCCCTGCCACCAAGGTAGGATGGGGACCAGGACTACTGGCTAACAATAGGGGACTAGATGCTTTGAGTATCAGTACTCATAGGGGCCTGAGCCCCTGCTGGAGCCCCTATAAACAGAGAAGAGGTGTGCACAGTCTTTCCCACCTGGGACAACCCTGGACCCTTCAGCCGCAGGAGCGAAATGCTGGTCCTCTCTGGATGGGAGACGGAAACAGCAGCCTGGAAAAGGGTACGACTCTTGTGGGCTCTGTTGCTTATGGGTTGGGATGCCCCTTCTGAAGGGAGGAAAAGGGTCCCAAAGACCCTGCTGAGGAAGGAGGGGGAGCCGGAAGTAAGCTGTTAACTCAGGTTGGCCACCTTTATCCCCCTCTCTGGAGGTGAATCACCCTCTGAATGGAAGTGTTTTCCAGTAAGCTCCTGAAAGCCTTCCCTTTATTAGCCCACCTTGCAGGAAAACGTCAGATGTCAGACTGGCTGGCTGTGTCAGACAGTGTTAATGCCATGCCCCAGCCCCTCACCTTGGCAAGCTGGGCAAGGGAATCATTATATTACAATTTATAAATAAGAAATAAAATAAAATTATCGGGTGGGGCTGAAGCACTGGGGGAGAGGCTAAATAGTCCTCTTTAAGGAGTGCGCACCATCAGCCCTACCTACCTAGGACCCGGTATCACCTCCTCTCAGTACGAGGTTGCCCCTAAGCCAGGCATAGCCCCATTTTCTCCCTCCCCCTCCCTCTCCCTCCCTTCCAGTCGGCATCGTCTGCTGCCCACAGCCCCATATCTCAGCCAGCAGGCCCTCGTTTCCTCGGGCGCTTCGAGGTTTCTATGCCTGGGACGCTCAGCCCAGTAGCTCCTCCGCTAAGCGGTAGAGGAGCCGAGAGTACCAATGCATGCCAGTCGGCTGGACGGCCCCGCCGGGGAGCAGCGCCCCTAGCGCGTGCAGCAGTCTCAAGGGGGCAAAAGCGCGGTGCGCCCACTGGTGACTCTCCAGAACCGCGTAGCAAGAGGCCAGGACATCGTTCACCAGCAGCGTCCCGTGCGCGGTGAGCGGCGCGAACACGCCCACGGCTTCCTCCCGCGCCACACGGGCCACGCGCGCTGGCCGAAGCGCATCCCCGCCGGGCGCCAGCACCGAGTCCCCAGCGCGTAGCCGGCGCGCGAACACCGGTGCAAAGTCGCCTGGCGCGGGCGCCGGCCCTCGAGCGGCAAACACCAGGTGCCAGGGCGTGAGCAACAGTTTGCGTGGAGGCCACTCGGTCTCCACAGCCACAAATGAAGCCCGGCGCTGCAAGTCCCGGTCCAGGAAGAGCAGCACCGGCGTGGGCACCACCCGGCCTGACGCATCGGCCGCCAAAACCCAGTCTCCGCGGTGCAGTTCCCGCAGCCCTTTCCGCTCGCCGCTCCACAGGCGCACAGTTGCATTTCCCGGAAAGCAGCCGCCCGCCCGGACCGCCAGTGAGTTATCTGCAGGGAACAACCACAGGGAGGATTGAATCAAGACCAGCGGTTCCAGAACGATTCTCAAGGCCAGCGCAGATATCGCCAGTCATGGACAACACAATTTTCCGTTAATCTGACTGGCCCCAACCTGGGCAGAAAAGGAAGGGCGGTTTTTCTTTCTTTTCTTTTCCTTTTTCTTCTCTTTTCTATGTATGTATGTATGTATGTATGTATGTATGTATGTATGTATGTATTTTGAGATAGAATCTCGCTCTGTCGCCCAGTAGATGGAGTGCAGTGGCACCATCTCGGCTCACTGCAACTTCTACCTCCCGGGTTCAAGTGATTCTCGTGCCTCAGCCTCACGAGTAGCCGGGATTACAGGCATACACCACCACGCCCAACTAATTTTCGTATTTATAATAGAGACGGGATTTCACCATGTTGGCTAGGCTGATCTCGAACTCCTGACCTCAAGTGATCCGCCCTCCTTGGCCTCCCAAAGTGCTGGGATTAGAGGCGTGAGGCACCGCCTCGGCCTGGACGGGTGGTTTTCAACACTAAAGCCCGCTTGGTCTCCCCTAGGGTGGCAACAGTACTACTGCAGACTCAGTTTCCCGGAGGGAGCCCCCTTTGGGCGGATTTTACCACCCTCCTCCTACTGTACCAGCTTTGACCGACACGTGGACGTGGTTGCGGGACTCGTAGTAGACCCAGTCGAAGCCGGCTTCCACTGCGAGGCGCGCCAGCAACCCATACTTGTTGCGGTCGCGGTCAGACGTAGTGATGTCCAAAGCACGGCCTTCGTAGTGGAGTGAATCCTGAGCGTGGTGGCCGTCCTCGTCCCAGCCCTCAGTCACTCGTAGGCGCACTCCGGGCCACATGTTCATCACGGCAATGGCCAAAGCGTTCACCCGCTCCTTACAACGCTGGCGGGGAATAAAGGAGTCAGTCTCCCCACCACCACCCTTGGGGCAAAAGGGACCTGGATAGGAGGGTTGATTCTTTGTTATTCCGGCCCTACTCTTACCCCTCCCAGCTTTTGAGTGTCCTGGAGAAATGAGAATCTGAGTCGATGGTAGTCACCAATCTGCACTCTGTTCCCAGGACGTCGTTGGAGAACTGTGGGCTCACCTCTGAGGTTGAGAGGGGGTGCCCATACCTAGCTCCTTCCCCATTTTTAATGCCCGTCCCTCACCCCTATTGGTTCAGGGACAGCGGCTCAACCTGGGAGAAGGACAGAGTTAGGAGGGCGAATGGAAGCGTGGTCAGGGAGGGCCTGGTTGCTCCCGGAGAGCCCCTGTTTGAGCCTGGCCCCCGCCCCAGGCACCGGCTCCCCTCCCTCCGCCTGATTCATCTTTTGTTTCATTGCCTTCCCTGGCACCGGGCATCGCTTCCTTCCTTCCTTCCTCCTCCTCCTTTGGGCCCTTAGCATTAACCCCTTCGTGCTCTGGGTGCCCCCCAGAGAGGTGCCCAAGAGGAGCTGTGCGGGATCAAGGCTGCTGGAAAAAGGATTGGGGTGGCGGGGGTTGCGCGAAGTACAATGGCCATTATCCGGGATGACTTAACCGAGCGAGAATCCTGAGCCCAGGCCGGGAACGCGCTGGGAGAAGCGGACTCAGCAGCTCCGGCCACAAAGGCGCTTTTCAGCCGCCCCGGCTCAGGGAGAGGAAAGGGCAGAAAGCCGCGCCCCCAATCCCTGCTCCGTCCGGGTAGGTCCCCTCCCCCCGCGCGTCCAGTCTTCCCAGTTCCAGCTAAGGCTCTGCCAGTCCGGAGAGCCCCTATCTCTCCCATCTCTGCTCTAGATGCAGCCCAGAAGGGCGTGGGAGTAGCACCTGAGAATAACGGTCTCCTTGTGCGGATCTGGGGAGCCCCCTGCAGGGTGAGAGCGGAGAAGAGGAAAAGAAGCTGCGGCTGGAAGCCTGCACCTGGGGGAGTGAGACCACAGTTATCTTGGCCGCTCCAGCCTGGGAGCGGGAGACCTTGGCGCGCACCATAGCAGGGACACCGCGGGAGGAGGCGCAGAGGGACAGCTTCCTTTTTTTCTTTCCCCTCCGACCTCTCACCTCGGACTTGGTTTTCTCCTAACAGAAAGACACTTTTCCCCTCTCCTCTAGTCTCCTCCACCCCGCAGAGTTGGGGTTGGGTGGGGGGAAAACAGGAAAAGTGGTAGCTCCTTCCAACTTTGTCGTTTCGTCCCCTAAGGAGGCCCCGAGGCCCTGACCTGCGGGGGCAGCAGCCCAGTGCAGAGCCAACTCAATGGAGGCCTTTTGCAGCCAGGGTGTGGGAGATAAGTAAGACTGAGGGGGCTCCCAGGCCTGCCGGAGCCCCTCCTGAGCCTGTCCCTTGTTCTGCCCACTCTGCTGCAGGTGGCAACCAGAGGAAAGGGCCACAATGTTCCACGGCCAAGGAGGAAAGAAGGAATGCCCCTTTTCCCATCTCTAGGTAGGAGGAAGGCTTCAGGGCAGAAGCAAAAGGAATTATTTCTTCCCTGGACAGGTTTTCCTAACAAAGTAACCTGGAAAACTATGGCAATTAATCAGAGGAAATCCGTACCCCTCCCTCTCCCCCCACCTCCCCACTCCATACACAATTAGGTGGTGTAATGGAAAGTATATAGGGCTTAGAATCAGGAGTCCTGAATTCTAGTCCCAGCCATGCCACTTTAAATTGTGAGAGTTTAAATTGCTTTTCCTCCTGGGGGAAGTCCAGCTCTCAGATGTAAAATGAGGGTGGCAGTGGGGGTGGGGAGGGTTGGAGGAATGTCATCTCTCAAGTTTTCTTTCAGTTCTAACATTCAAGATCACTGGCCAGGCTGGATGAAGTGGCTCACACCTGTAATCCAGCACTTTGGGAGGCCGAGGTGGGAGGATCCCTTGAGCTCAGGAGTTCAAGACTAGCCTAGGCAACATGGCAAGACCCCGTCTCTACAAAAAATAAAAAATAAATCACTCGCCAGAGGTGGTCCTTCTCTTCCACCTCACTCTAGGTGGTTCCAATGCTCAAAAATGGTAGTTGAATTTATCCTAATTATGTAATTCCAAGGAAAGCCCCTGAGATAGGCAGAGCTTGGAAGACTTAGGAGCCCTCTGATTCTCAGGTGGGTCCATCTGTTATTCTCACTGAGGATTACTTTTTAACCCCAAGATTATCGTTTAGACCCTAGGATAGCCCTAGAATAGACCCTAGAATAGATGTGTCCTGGTTCTAGGACACGTTTCCCATGCCAAAAGCAATGTCTGCCCAGCCCCTCCTCAGGTAGATGGTCTGGTGACCTGACCCTTGGCCACCCCTGTCCCAGCCCTTTTCAGTCTCTTCTTTTCGGCCCACAGAGCTTTTCTACAATCAGGTCAGGAGCCAGGCTTCTGTCTGCTACCTAGCCAGCTCCTGGCCCCCAGCTCACCCCAGCCCTTCCTGCCTGGCTGGGTGGCTGACCCCCGGTCCACGCCTCAGCCATTTCCCGTCTCGCCTGCCGCCATCCTCCTTTCCCCGCCCTCGCTGCCTCTACCAGCTTCACTCTCACTAGTCAGTCCCTCCTCCCCTCCCCATCCCAGACTATTCTAGTCGGGAGCCGTCCTAATTACTCTGTCCAGACTGCAAGGATTTTTCCCCCCCCTGGGGCTGGTGACAAGGGAAATCTCTAAGGCTAAACTCTCTGTAGGTGAAGCTGGACTCACCCACCTGGGCTGCCATAGGAAAACGGAGGAGCTGGCAGTGCCCCGGCGCAGGTAGGGAGAGGCCCTCCTTACCTCGGTCATCAGGCGGTCGGCTCCACTGTTCTCCTCATCCTTGAAGATGATGTCGGGGTTGTAGTTGGGCACGAGGTCCCGGAAGCGCTCGGAGCCCCTTGCCACCCTCCCCTCCGCTGGCCCACTGGCGCCCAGGGTCCGCTCTGGCACGCCGGGCACAAATTGCTTGTAGAGTAGCGGCACGAGCTGCTTGCGCGCATAGCGGCGCCGGCCAACCGGCCCCCGGCCCGGCCCGCAGCTCTGGGCTGGCAGCGCCAGAAGTGCCAAGCAGCACAGGGGCAGTAGATTGGTCAGGAGAGCCATGGATACAGCGGACCTCGGCCAAAAGGGAGCGTTCTTGTCCTCACTAACTCTCCTGTCAGTTAGGCATCTCCACAGGCACCAGAGAGGGCAGCAGGCACAGCTGCCCCCAGAGTGCCCTAGAGCTCTTGTGGCTCCGTGCACCTGGCTGCTGCTAGCTCTGCCCACGTGCCCCGGGAGCGGGCGGGGGGTGTCTAGGACCTGCTACTGACAAACCATCATAGCAGGGAAGGGGGGTCGTGGGTGAGTGCCAGCCCAGCCCGTCTCTGCTGCAGGACTCTGGTGCTGCCAGAACGCCCGGACTCCGGACTCCGCCTTAAGTGGCCCCTGGCCCCGCCCTCCGCCCTTCTCCCAAGACCGTCCCACCCCCTCCCACCCGGGCGGGGGATCTAGCCGGTCACTGCTGGTCCATTTTGCGACTGAAGTGTGTCCCATCCTGGAAACCAGGCAGACACCTGCCTAGGAAATACTTGTAGCTTTACAGTCCTTGGCTGCCTAAACATCCTTCTACCTCCAAGCTTAAACTTGGAACCAAACCACCCTCCTCTGATACTTGAATTGGAATTTTTACTCTCTCAAAGCCTACCCTGGCAGGCCATGCCCTCCGCTGTCATCCAGGAAGTATGGGTTCCAATTTCTGCCCAAGACCAGCCAAGCCCTTTGGGCATACAACCAGAGCCTCCCTTCTCTGTAGTCCTCCCCAGATCTCCCCGACTTCCATCTCTCCTCACATTCAGCATTAAGCAGGACTGGGAGGTGAGGATACCAGGGGCCCATTTCTCTACTAACTTTGCAGTCTCCTTTGGAACTTCCCCAGAACCAGGAACAGAGCTTGGTACTTATTGTCTCATTTAGGACTTCCAACTTTTTTCCCCTTCTCTTCTTTGCCAGGCATCTAATAGCTGCTGTTTTTCAAATGAATGACTTCTCAGTTGGAAGCTGCTGAAGGGCAGTGGACACTCAAAAGTCTTTGTAAGAGGTGAGGATCACTTCCCTTAACCGTCCATCTAGGCACCTCTCCAGCTTTCTCCCTCTCTGGACTCCCGGGGCTCCATTTTCAGCCACTCAGATCTCATCTCAGAGGCACCACGTCCAATTTCTTTTGTTTAGAAGTCATTTCTTCTAAGAAGCCTTCCTTGATGTCCCAACACTGCCCACCTGTGTTCCCTCGAGAACCATTACTTAACTGCAGTGTTAGAACAGTATTAGAATTATCTGGCACCTTACTAGACAAAGCAATCTTAAGCACACACATATTTATCATGTATCTCCAAGGTTAAGTGCCTACTCTACAGAAGGGTGCTTTGCAAGCATTTGTGGAATCTACACTTTGTGTTTCATATTCACCCTCCCCTCACCACACTCTATGGCTAGTACTCATAGCAACTTTGTGTACATCAGAAAAAACCAGGCCAGGCACAGTGGCTCACTCCTGTAATCCCAACACTTTGGGGGCGAGGCAAGGACTGCTTGAGGCCATGAGTTGAAGACCAACTTGGTCAACATAGTGACACCCCGTTTCAAAAAAAAAAAATTAATTAGTGGGAGGTAGTGGTACATGCCTGTAGTCTTAGGTACTCAGGAGGCTGAGGAAGGAGGATCACTTGGGTGCAAGAGTTCAAGGCTGTAGAGTGAGCTAAGATCATGCCACTGCACTCTAACCTGGGTGACAGAGTGAGGACCCCCCCCCCCAAAAAAAAGATGGCTGGGTGTTGTGGCTAACCCCTGTAATTCCATCATTTGGGGAGTCCAAGGTAGGTGGATCACTTGAGCTCAGGAGTTCAAGACCAGCCCAGGCAACATGGCAAAACCCCATCTCTACTAAAAATACAAAAATTAGCCAGGCATGGTAGCATGTGTCTGTTGTCCTAGCTATTCTGGAGCCTGAGCTGGAAGAATGGCTTGAGCCCAGAATGCGGAGGTTGCAGTGAGCTGAGATTGCACCACTGCACTCCAGCCAGGGTGATAGAGCCAGACCTTGTCTCACAAAAAAAAAAAAAAAAAAAAGAAGAAGAAAAAAGAAAAAAAAAGCACCCCTTCCTCAAGATGACTGACATTTATTAGAAAACTATCATAGTAACTATCCACACAATGACTATGAGGTGAATGGTGTCCCTGGAAGCTGTGCAATACACAATCTGTATAAGCCTAAGTTTTGCGCTCTTACTCCCAACATAGCACATGGGCTTTTCAAGAAACTGATGGCCTCTAGTAAAAAGCTAGATTCTTCTCTCAGGTAGGAAATGAAAATCCTTGTCAGCCAGCCACTTATTTTACTCTATATCCAATAGTTAAGCCAGGGAGGATAGGGCTGAAGGTATGAGTGTATCGGGGAGGTTAGCCTACTCCTATGCCCATGTCCTACCCCCAATACTCAAGGTACAGAAACAAGGCCATGAATATAAGGAGGAGTCAGGGGACAAGCCAGCTTTAAGCAAGACTGAGGATGGAGGAGTTTCCCACTGCCCAACTGCATGGCCTAACACCAGATCCAAGTCCCCAAAGGATGGTAATAATATAGATGAAGGGGAAGGAAAAGGATGGTGGGCAGGACCCCTCTGCTTCTCTTACTGGGCAGACGCCGGGCTGGTGGGAGCAAGGCTGTTCAAATATACACAGAGACAGGTGCTTTAAAAAAACAAAGCAAACCCTGGGATCAACTTTATTGCTGATGGCTGAAGCCTCCTCCTCCCTATCCCCTTGGTCTTTCAGGTGGTCCAAAGCCCCTCCAGGATAGCACAGTGCTTAGGCTCTGCTGGGCCAGAGGCAAGGGAGACAATCTATCTCCCGAGCCTGCCCTGGCCCAGTCCTTTCCCTGCCCCTACCCCACCCTATTGCACATCAAATCATGTAAACATGGCTATGGGGATGGCCCAGAACAGCAGTGAGGCAGATTGATGTGTAAACAGATTTGGGATCAGGGGCTAGACCCAGTCACCCAGCCCTACCCCATGCTGAGGCCACAGTTAAGTATGGAAAAGCAGGAGGTCCTGGTCCCAAACTCTGGCTCAGATTATGCAATAGTGCAGATGGCTCTGCTCCCCTCTGCCACCCACCCTCTCAGATTCCAGGTCCTGAGGTCCAAGTAGCCTTGGGCTTCCCTCCAGGCCTAGGCAGCAGATGGCAGTGTCCAGTTTTTTCCTTCCCACCCCCAGCTGGAGGTCACTGGTGCTGGGTCTTCCTAGATGCCTGGGGGAAACCGGAGACGGGCAGCGGCAGTCTGTCCAGCCCTGGAGAAGAGGAGATGGGCAGTCAAAAGCAAGTCAAAGGTCCAGTCCGTTAGGGACCAGGCAGCCAAGCCACAGAATGTGTGGATGAGGTACGTTACCCACAAAGCAGGAAGCACACCCTCTCCCCTGCTGGGGTGATCCATGTTCCAGAGTGTCCTAGATGATTACCACCCCCCACTAGCCTGCACCCTCACTCCCTCTCACCAAAGGCCCGGATCAGCTCTGCCCGCACAGCTGCAGTGAAGGTCTTCACCAGACAGAGTGTGGTGAGGCCTGCAAAGGCTGCGTTGTAGAGGAACACAATGTAGAAATTGCCCAGCCAGTTGAAGCGTCCAAAGTCACCCAGCAGGTCAAAGCGAGTGAGCCCTGAAGCACAAAGGCCAGGATGAGAGGTGGGCTCCCCAGGCCCTTTTCTGCTACCAGCCCAACTTTCTGCTGCCTCCTGGTGGCCACATTTCAACACTGCAACTGATAGGTTGGCCTCTCCCAATTCTACCACCCAAGCTGTCTCAAGAGCAGTTCGGGACTGTTCTAAGTGCCAGCAGCTAGGCTTGCTTCAACTTCGCTTCCAGAGTCTGGTATCTTCTCCTCCAGTGAGGCCTCCTCTGGCTCCTGGTGTCCCCAGGAACTCCCAGGGCCTACTACTTGTTCCTGGGCCTGGAATAAGCAGTTTGCCAAGTTTTTTTTAGTAGACAGAACAGTGTGGTTGCTGGGCGCTCATACTCATCAGGCTGCTTTGGTTCATATCCCAACTCCACCCCTAACTAGCTGCGTGATCTGGGGCAATTTCCTTAAATTTTCTGTGCCTCAGTTTCCTAAGAATTAAATGAGACAACACACATAAAGCACTGTCTGTGCCAGGCACTATTCTAACATTTACTGGTCCCCTCATAATATTATCATAAATCAAAAAACTCTGCTCTCCACCTTTAAATATTCTTACCTGCATCCACCCTAAAGGAACTAACTGGAAGACCCACAAACCTACTTTCTTACAAATTCTCCTGGCATAAATACAAATGGTAGAGTGGAAATAATATAACGTTAAGAATGAAATAGAGCTGTTTTTTGTTTTGTTTAATTTGGTTTTGTCTTAAGACAGGGTCTTGCTCTGTTGCCCAGGTTGGAGTGCAGTGGCACAGTCTTAGCTCACTGCAGCCTCAAACTCCTGGGCCCAAGCAATCCTCCTGCCTCAGTCTCACACATAGCTAGGACTATAGGTGTGCTAATTAAAAACACTTTTTTTTTTTTTTTTGGTAGAGATGGGGTCTCACTATATTGCTCAAGCTGGTCTAGGACTCCTGGCCTCAAGTGATCCTCCCACCTTGGCCTCCCAAAGTGCTAGGATTACAGGCGTGAACCACCAGGCCTGGCTCACAGCTGATTTTTTTTTTTTTTTTTTTCTGAGACAGAGTCTCGCTCTGTCACCCAGGCTGGAGTGCAGTGGTACCATCTTGGCTCGCTGCAACCTCCACCTCCCAAGCTCAAGCAATTCTCATGCCTCAGCCACCTCCCAAGCTCAGCAATTCTCATGCCTCAGCTGAGATTACAGGCATGTGCCACCATACCTGGCTAATTTTTATATTTTTCATAAAGATGGGGTTTCACCATGTTGGCTAGGCCGGTCTTGACCTCCTGGCCTCAAGCTGATCTGTCCACCTTGGCCTCCCAAAGTGTGAGATTACAGACGTGAGCCACCAGGCCTGGCCCCAGAACTGACTTAAATATGAAATCACATATAAAATACAGAGGATGATGTGGTATTTAGGGGGAGGTAGGAGGGCGGCTGTTACCTCTGCAGCTCACACACTACCTTGGGGTGAACTAGTTACACTCTTGAACTTTTTTTTTTTTTTTTTGAGATGAAGATTCGCTCTTGTTGCCCAGGCTGGAGTGCAATGGCGTGAGCTCAGCTCACCGCAACCTTTGCCTCCCGGGTTCAAGTGATTCTCCTGCCTCAGCTTCCCGAGTAGCTGGGACTACAGGCATGCACCACCACACCTGGCTAATTTTGTATTTTTAGTAGAGATGGGGTTTCTCCATGTTGCTCAGGCTGGTCTCGAAATCCTGACCTCAGGTGATCCGCCCGCCTTGGCCTCCCAAAGTGCTGGGATTACAGGCATGAGCCACTGCGCCCAGCCACTCTTGAACTTTTTAACCAGTTAATTCTAGATATAGCTCTAAAGGCAGGAGAAGGAGTGAGTTTATTATCTGACACACCAGTGTATAGAGAAAGCACTAGCCTGGGGTTCAGGAGACAAGGGTCCTAGACTGACTTGACCTTGCCTCAAGCCAGCTGTATAATCTGGGTTAATCAGGTAGCTTCTCTGTTTATTGTCTTTCAAATAGGAACATTTACTAGATTATTCACCCAGGAGAAAGATTTAGAAAAGTGTGCTCCCTGACCAAAAAGTAGAAGTAAATGAGAGGCAGTGGGATGTAGCAAATGTAAAAAGTATGTACTTTGACCCTGAAGCTCAGTGTAGGCACTTTACAGAGCCTTGCTTTCCTCATCTGTATAATGCGGATAATACCTACTCATGGGTTTGTTGTGGGAATTAGAGAAATTATGTATATAAAGTGCCTGCTTTGCATCAGTAAGTACTCAAAAAAATCCAATTCCTTTATCTCCTCCTTTCAATACTTACCCAGGGTTCGAGAGAAGACAGGAAGTGCTGAGCTTAGGACCAGGAGACAGACACAGTTCCCAATTATCTGGGTGGAAGCAGGGAAAGGAGAGGTGAGGGTGGAAGAGCTGCAGGCACCTAGTGCCCATCCACACCCCCCGGGAGCTTCCCTTACTCCCTCCCAGCTACCTGCGTCATGGCAGTGTCGTGCCATCTGGGCCGCAGGCTCCGGAAGAGTGGAGAGCTATAGAAGCCCACAACTGAGGACACCATTAGGTAACTGCCACTGCATTAAGGAAGAACTGGCTGGCTCCAAGAATTAATAACTCATCTCAAAGGGAACAGAGCTCTCTCCCAGCCCACTTCTTTTTTTTTTTTTGAGACAGGGTCTCACTTTGTCACCCAGGCTGGAGTGCAGTGGTGCGATTTCAGCTCACTGCAACCTTGACCTTCTGGGCTTAAGCGATCTTCCCACGTCAGCCTCCCACGTAGCTGGGAATGCAAGCACGCACCACCACGTCTGGCTAATTTTTTGTACTTTTTGTAGAGGCCGGGTTTCACCATGTTGCTCAGGCTGGTCTTGAAATCCTAAACTCAAGCAATCTACCCGCCTCAGCCTCCCAAAGTGCTAGGATTACAGGTGTGAGCCACTGCACCTGGCCTCTTTTTATTTTCTTCTGATCAGATTCTACTGAACCACCAGCCCTCCTTTCAAATTAAGTCTTTTCCTTCTTTCTGAACCTGAGGTTGATGAAAACTTGCCCCACTTCCCATCAGCGTTGCTCAGAGTCCCAAAGGAGACAAAGTCCAAGAAGTGCTCGGTCTAGAGTCCCAGGAGACAGGTTTGCTGAACAGAGGCAATGATGGGTTTCCAGAAGGATACAAGATGAGTACAACCTGAATGACGGCACCAAAGGAGCCCAGCTTGGAGAAGGAGACCTGGCCTAAGGAGGTACCCTGAGGAGTGGGGCAGTATCACTGTGAGCATTCCCCACCATCAGCACTACCCGGCACCCAGCCTTCCCACTGTCCTCAGCTTCTGCCTCCTCTCCCCAGCTGTTCTTAGGCCCTCCCCAAAGGATATGGTGGGAGGGCAGCCTGGTACCTGCATGCCTCGGGGCATGGCAGCCTCATCGATGAGCAGCTCCAGGATGTGGATGGCCACAATGAGCACAGACAGGCCCTGTGTGAGGCAAGGTCAGACTCCCATTCCACCCCAGACCACAGCTGGACCCAGAGCTAAAGGAATGGGCAGACTCTGGTCCAACATTTTCAGTTTCCAAGACTAGCTCTGCTTCCAATGAGCTATATGGGACCTCATCAAGGCTGCTATTAGCAACAGAGTGCCTTTGAGGATATTATAAGATACATCTCCTCTAGATGGAAGGATTGCAAAAAGGCTGAATAGGAAAAGGCATCTCTCTTCCTTCAACTGATGAGATCTATAACTGAGTCCATAGGGGAATCGACTGAATTTCAATGTTTATTATTTTAATGCCAGGGCAAACCTGCACAACTCCTCACTGGCCCTGTGTCTTTGGGCAAGTCACTCAACTCTGTCTCTTCGTCTACAAAATGGGGATTGATGTGCTCAACATTTGTGCTCACCACAGGCAGGACATAAAAGTAGGCACTCAGTGAGAAGCAACCACTATTACTGATGATAACCAGGTCCCTGCATTGCCTCCCCTCTCCCTGAGAAGGCCTCAAGTACTGAGGGTCCACTCCTCACCTCTAGGGCTGGTATACCTACCGTCAGCACCAGCAAGCACAGCATAGCCAGGGGGTAGCCCAGGTTCCGTTGCCAGGCTGAAGCCTTCCGCCTCTTCTCTGTGCAGGGATGGGAGGCTGTCAGCAAGCACCTGGAACCAGGGGCTACTCTCCTTGGGGAAACCCAGGTATCCCAAGCCCTACGAAGCCACATACCCAGCAGGACCCTCTGTGTCTGCAGAGCCAGGACCTGTCTGTGTAGCAGCTCCATGTCTAAAGGCAGCCAGCAGGAAGTAGGATCTGAGGGCAGAGAAGATGGTGTTGCTCTCAAGTCCTGCAGTTTCTGCCCAGGCCAAGCCTACCACCCCAGCAGGGAAGAACTGCAACTTACTACAGATCCTGCGGGTCAGGGCTGCCTCCTCAAAGGCTGAGCAGTACAGCTGCTCCTCCAGGTCTTCCAGCAGCTAGGGGCAGGGGAAAGGAAGAGACTAACTGTCAGAGGCTCCCTGACCCAAAGGCCCCAGGAGAACCCTGTTCTTCCCAGGGCTCCGTAGTCCCAGGCTTCCCCCAGACCCTCATTCACCACCCTGTGGCCCGCAGCTTTGCTCAGTCCCTCCCAATTGCCCTGTATTCTGCCCTGCATGTCTAGTGACCAGCTCTGCATGATAGGGGTACAGAATACAGGAACCAACAAAGGCTGTAGCTCTCTGCAAGTTGTGTACTACACAACCATAGGGTTGTTTCATTGTTTGGTTCCAGCTCTGCAGGAAGCTCACCCTGCAGGATCAAAGAGCAAGGAATACCACATACCCGGGGCTTGACTAGCAGCTTCCCAGTGACGGAGAACATGCGGGCGAGACCCAGTGGAGTACACACTGTAGGGACAAGAGCCAGTCACTTGCCAGACCCTGCTCTCCACCCCTTCCCTAACATGCCCCCCATTCCCTTTCCTTCTAGCCTGGTTACTCTGGTCCAAGGACCCTGCCCATTCCCTCCCAGACCCTGTACACTCACCCAGGAGCAGCAGAACCCCAAGGAAGGAGATGCATGAGTAGAGGTAGGGGAGATAGTACTCCCAAAAGTCTAAGGATAAAAAAAAGAGGCATGTCAGCTCATCTCTCCTTACTTACTGTCCCCAGGCTGACAGGCCTCAGAGTCTAGACAAGGGCACAGTCCCCACAGGGGTTAGGCAATTAATACAAATGAAGAAAGCTGGCCAGCATTAGCAGAATAGGGAGTGGCAGGGCCTATAGTAAACTGGAGATCCTAACCCCTAACTAAAGGGTACAACTGCTATTTGGCCCCCATCACCAGGGACTAATGTAGCCAGATCTTCTCCTTGTCAAACAAAGTTAGATATCTGGATATTAATGTGAAACCTCCCAATTTAAAATGTTAGCAACTGAATAATATATATTTTTAAAACCATTGCATGGGCCCAATGAAACATTTCTGCAGATTGCATTTGGCCAGATGTCTATCAGTTTGAAACTTCAGTCTAAGGGAGAAGGTGCCAACATTTTCCACTTTAGAAGGTTACAGTCATTCCAGGCAGGGGGACATGGGCCAACTGAAAAGCCATGCAGCCTGGAGGAAGCTGGGCCGCTCACCATAGAGTGACTCTCTGTTGGCCTTGTTCTTGTCCACAATGGCTGATGCCACCCACACCATACCTAGCACCAGCAGAGTGAGGAGCATCAACATCACCACTGTCTCATAGACCCGGCCCAGGACACCCTACGGGAGGAGGCAACCAGTGAAGAAGGTTAACATCAGGGCAGTGTGGGAACATTGGAGATGGCAGGCAGCCTGCAGGAACCAGAAAGGTTTGGATTCAGGAGGTAAGAGAGAGGGTTTTCCTCTTATTCTGCTAAGTTGCTCTGTCTTCCCACTCCCCAGTCTAAGGTCACCCCACATACCAGGTGTTCTTCATTTGCATCTCCTTTCCCCAGACCTATTCCTTGTCATTGTGTGCTCTGGGAGGCTGACCTCCGAGGTCTGCATCCCACAAGCTCTTTGCCCTCTGGTTTCGCATCCAACAGGAGAATGGAAGGTAGAAAAAAGGTGAGGGTATGTTTCCTGTGAGTCCTCCCACGTCTGCCACCATGGTTTTGGCAGTGATTATGACACTAAGACAACAGCTCCTCTCTGGGCAGCTTCACATCCCTGGCTTCAGCTATTAGTGGGTTCTAGAAACCATTTCCTCCCTTTGTCCCTACAGGCCTAAGGGTGGTAATGACTTCCTACTGTCACTAGAGCCTCAAACTTCCGTTAACTAAACCTCTGCAAATAGCCTCTTTATTAAAATCTCTTCAGCTGAACCATGTGTGTGGAATTCCGTTTCCTGCCTGGATACATATCCCCTACTTACCTTTCTGGAGCCAGCAAAGCCCTCAGACTCAGTGAAGAAATATGCAAAGGGCATGAGGAAGATGAGGGACAGGTTGGAGAAGAGAAAAACAAGGTTCCAGAGGCCTAGAGCAAAAAAGGAAGAGCAGAAGTGGTCAGTAAGGGGAGGGGCAACCCACAGGAGACTGACCATTTGCAGGAGAAGCAGAGTGGGAAGGTGCGACATATGACTGCTTGGCGCACGGCTGCCTGAGTCCACCCAACTCTATCTGCTCTCTGCTCCCTATCCCTACCCCAAGCAGCTTCCAGGAGCCACACACCATGGATGAGGGAGCCGTTGAGCCACTGGATGTAGTAGTTCCGAGGCAGGGAGAGCAGCACCTCATTGCTGATGATGGAGAAGGGCAGGAGCAGGACAGCACCCAGGGCAATTGCCAGGGTAAAGGTGCACAGCTCGAGCCTGGGCAGAGAAGGGGACAGTGTCCTTGCTTAGCTCAGCACTCACTACCCTGTGCTGAAGAAGCCCCATTTGTCCTGAGGGCGCCTGTGGCTTCCAGAACCAGCTGTAGCAATCACAGAGCTAAGGAAGGAGCTGTCCAGCTGGGGTTCTACCCACTGCCACCCCACCCTAGCTCTTTACCTCCAGGGAAGCCCCAGCTCATGGGATGGGCACAGCCTCGGGCATTCATGGGAACCTGGTCACCTGCCATGTCACATACCCAGGCTGTCCCCAGGAATGTGGTCCTCCCATACATGCCTATCAGTTATGCCAGGTATGATGCCAAAACTAGGGGACCTGGCTTCTCTTCTTTGGTCAGGGATATGGATTTCTGAGCTTACCTCTTTTAGCCCAGATAAGCACAGGGTCATCCCATATGGCTATGCCCTGCACAAAGGCATGAGGGCAAAGGAGGACAAGAGGGAACTGAAACCTAGCTTCATAGCCAAGGTCTATGCCCCGGGCTGCATATATTGAAGATGGGCACTTCTAGCTCTTTGGTCCATCAAGGGTGGAGGGCTGCCTTCTGATCTATTGACTCAAAGGAGTCATATCTCTATCTTTTTCTGTATGTACCAGTGAACACTGGCAGCCTGGAATATGGGCCTTTCTCCCAGAACCAAGCATGCCCCTCCCTCAGGGGTTCCCACCTTCCCCACACCCTGCTCTTTTTCCATCAATGTGCATCCCCACTCCACTCCCTCCCTATTGGTCGCTGGGAGGTGAAGCCAAGCTGGAGCCATTTCCGGTGACTCAGGCCCCAGCGGACGTTCCTGGCCATGAGGCTCCCACAAGCTCCTGGCCTAACCAGGAAGACAGGAACAGCAGCTTTTCTGAGCATCCCCAGGGTGAGGTAAAGCCGGAAGCCAGAAATGGGGTGGAAACAGAAACTCTCTCTTCACTGTGTGAGACTTCCCCCTTCTCCCTCCAGCTCCAGGCCTCCCTAGATCCCAGTTCCTAAAGACCACTGATGTTAGGTGCTGAGGCAGGGACACTTACGCAATCTTGTTGACGGTGGCATCTTCATCATCCACTGTAAGAGACAGAGGCACGGGGAACAGGCAGGAGGACATCAGGGGGCAGCTCTGAGGCCGTTAGTATTACAATGTGCTCCCTGCCCCATCCCTGCCCCCTCAAAGAAGGCAGAGCTGAACAGGAGGCTCCAGGAGACCACACATTATGAACTCCATAGCCTGTTCTCCAGCCAAGGTGGCAGCTTAAAAATCAGTGGTCCCAGGTGAAGAGAATACAGGCCAGACATTCCTATACTTCTTTACTCCTCCCTAGATCTCTCCCATCACAAGTTCCTCTTTATATGCTCAAACTATTAATATAATAAACAACTAGTCTGTGAGGTTGGTTACATCAGTGGCTGGGTCCAGGAAAGGGAAAAGAGAGGAGGGGGAAGGGGAGATTCACACAGAAAGTCCCCAGGGGAATTACTCTTGGGTAGCTGCCTTGTTGAGGGGGGACTCATCCTGAGCCATCCTAAGAGGAGGAAAGGCTGGAGCTAGGAACTGGGGCAAGTGTGCCCCCACCCCCAATTACACAATGTCTAGGGAAGGAAAGCTGCGATCTGAGCATACTCAGGCTCCCCATAAAGAGAAAGGCCACCATCACCAGGTTCCCCAGTCATCAGGGAGGTCTCTGGTCCTGGCTGTGGAAGCACTAGGAGAGGAGATGACACAGAGCCTGTGCCCGTAATGACATTCATCCAGCAGTTGCTCACTTCAGGTTCACAAAGGGCTTTCACATTAACCATCTCCTTTGGTCCACACAATGGAGTAGGTAGACATTGTTACGCCCATTTTGTAGGATGAAACTGAGGATCAGAAATGTTATATGACTTGCCCAGCAGACACATCCATCTAGCCGCCCTTGCCCCTATCTTGCAGAAAGGGAGGCTGAAGAGGCAAAGGCTCCAGAACAGCCCCACACAGCCACTGCTCCTTTCCCAGTGGGTACCATAGGCCCATTCCCCTGAGGCTGGTCCATGGCAACAGGGACTCTAGCAGGAGGGAGGGAAATCAAAGTACCTGTGGTGAACTCAGCAGGCTTCTTGAAGCGGGTCAGGAAGATGTGGCAGAGGATGTACAGTGTTGCAAACAGAAGTGTTGATATCTGTAGCAGAATATGAGCTGGGATGAGAAGCTCTAACCTTCAGCACACTCCACAGCCCCAAGGGCCTCTCTGTTAATTCCAGGCCATCACTTCCTCAAGATAAGGCTCCATACTTCCAAGGGTTCCATCTGGAAGTATGTTCTGTTCTGATCCCCCAGGTACTTCCTTCTAGTCAGGGCCCCAGGGGCCTCAAAGAAGGGCCAGACAGGGGCTGCCCCATGCACCTGGGGAAACAGCAACATGCCCAGCCCTACAAGGACTTCATTGGGAGAAAATAGCTTCAGCCCAACTCTGGTTGGTAAATGGGCAAAGAAAACTCCTAGAAATGCACATGCACACGCATTTCAAACCAGCTACAGAACCAGAGGGAATTTACTCCGAGCACATTATTGGGAATGAAAGCAGGTTTGAGGGGAGGAAGACGTCTGCATTGTCCTGGCACCCCATTGCTACCCCACCCTCCTACCTCCATGCACACTGCTGCCTTGACCCAAAGAAGGTGTCATGTTTCTAGACCAAGTCACAACTTCTATTCCATGCTTATTCAGGGGCCTGAAAGATCAGGTCTGCTCTGGGCCAAACCAGAGTCTCATTTAATCCTCTACCCCTAACAGTGGGCTTTAGCTGGGGCCCAATATCTATAGTGTTTCTAGAGCTGGCTGGACTGCCAAGTGACAGTGATGGCGGAACTCAGCCAGGTTAATCTGCATATTCATTCCTACTCTACTCCAAGTAAGCTGCTGCTGCCCAGAGGAGGAGCCATTGGCCAGCTTGGCTCTATAATCAAGAACAGAGAGTCTCCGCCAGGCACTGTGGCTCATACCTGTAATCCCAGCACTTTGGGAGGCCGAGGCAGATGAATCACTTGAGGTCAGGAGTTCAAGACTAGCCTGGCCAACATGGTGAAACCCCGTCTCTATTAAAAATACAAAAATTGGGCTGGGCGTTGAGGCTCACGCCTGTAATCTCAGCACTTTGGGAGGCCACAGTGGGAGGATCATGAGGTCAGGAGTTCAAGACCAGCCTGACCAACATGGTGGAACCCCATCTCTACTAAAAAAACAAAAATTAGCTGGGTGTGGTGGTGCATACCTGTAATCCCAGCTACTCAAGAGGCTGAGGCAGGAGAATCACTTGAATTCAGGAGGTGGAGGTTGCAGTGAGCTGTGATGGCGCCACTGCACTCTAGCCTGGGTGACAGAGCAAGACTCCATCTCAAAAAAAATTACAAAAATTGGCTGGGCGCAGTGGCTCACGCCTATAATCCCAGCATTTTGGGAGGCCGAGGCGGGAGGATCACGAGGTCAAGAGATCAAGACCATCCTGGCCAACATGGCGAAACCCTGTCTCTACTAAAAATACAAAAATTAGCCAGGCGTGGTGGCATGCACCTGTAGTCTCAGCTACTTGAGAGGCTGAGGCAGGAGAATTGCTTGAACCCGGGAGGCGGAGGTTGTAGTGAGCCGAGATTGTGCCACTGCACTCCAGCTCTGGCAACAGAGCAAGACTGAGTCTCAAAAAAAAAAAAAAAAAAAAAAAAAGGCCGTGTGTGGTGGCAGGTGCCTGTAATCCCAGCTACTCGGGAGGCTGAGGTACAAGAATCACTAGAACCTGGGAGGCGGAGGTTGCAGTGAGCAGAGATAACGCCACTGCACTCCAGCCTGGGCGACAGAGTGAGACTAGGTCAAAAACAAAACTAAACAAAACAAAAAAAACACCAGAGAGTCTCAAGAAGAGAAGTTATTGTGTTTGAGATAGGCCAAGAATACAAGATCAGTCTCATGGGTCTTCCAGTCTCCAGAAAGGGCTGACCCCACAAGGAAAACACATACAGCTATCTGTACAAGGAGGGAAGAATCCACAGAGACGCAGGAGAGCCATCGATCTAGAACAAAGTCATAGCTTTTGATATTAGGGAAGCAGAACAGAAGGAGCCACTCAGATTGTAGCTGCAAGATTTTTATAGCCTGTGTTCTGCTCTGGGCTTGCGTAATAGCCAGGAAGGTGGGAGGGCTCAAAAGGTCAGGCTGGAGTTCCACGCAGTTCCAAGAAGCTAGGCTGCTCTCTAGCCTCTAGATGAGAGCCAGGTGGGGGAGGCACCATAAGTCTTCAGGCTACCCTTAGCCAGCACTGATGTTCTCAGCTCATGGGACTAAAGGATTAGGGAGACATCCAGGAGGCTGCTTCTGTCCAAGGTCTCATCCCTCCCTGTTCTCTAGGAATTTGAGCCTCCAGCCCGACACTGTCTCAAGGCCTGGGTGTGCCTCTGCAATATGCCCAACCCACCATGTGGACTGTCCACCAAGAAACACACAAGGAAGGCTTGCCGAAAGCACACTTCTACTGGAGTTGCACACACAGACTAATATACTTTCCTGTCCTCACAGATAAGAGCAGACCTAATTATGTCCTGGCTCAATTTACCCCTCCTCCAATCAGGCTGCCCAGGGCTGGCTAGAGCCCAGCCTGAGAAAAATGAAGGGAATGACCCCAACAATGGATTCCCACACTTACTAACATTTCTTTCTGTTTTTCCAAACCATTCCCTTTCCATTTACTATCTGGAGATGAGGGTTGCCCTGGTGAGCTCTGGGGAAGGACACAGGAGAAAGGAGAGAGGTGAAAATTCAAAGCAAGGCTGAGAAAGATATGACACCCTAAGCTCCACTGGGTACCCCTACCCCAGAATTGAGTAGTCCACTTCTGTGCGCAAGGTTCAGTTGTCGCTCTAAGTGGCAGGGAGGGCGTAAGGAACAGCAGCCAGGTACCCTCTGAAGCCCTGGGAGGACCACTCACTGGGGAAACCCCGGAATGGCTGAGAGGCTGGGAACCCAGCCTTGCAGGGTTTCAAACAAACACCAATGAGAAAGAAAAAAGACGGGGGAATACTTGGTTGTTCCTCATCTCTACATATTAGGATCCACCCCAGCAAGACTCCTTTCTTCCAAAGCAGATGACCCACCAAGTCCCCAGGTTCCTCCCGTCTGCCATCCCTACACCTCCCCTCTTTTCTGGAATCAAGCTCAGTGTGACGACGTCTCCCCTTCATCCAACGTCAGCTGAGTTTGCCCTCAACCCAGTTTGAGAAGCAAACCCATCCTTCCCCGATTATCAGACTAAGGCAGACTCCGCAGGCTCTCAGACCCCGGAGACCCCCAACAGGAAGACGCGCTGGGTGAGGGGTGGGAGGGAGGGGCAGGGGAGGGGCGTGTGGGGGAGGAACGGAAACGACGGCCTTTGTTTATCGCTCAGGGACCCAGCTGATCCCATCTAGGGGATCGCTAGCCGGGCACCCGCCCTTCTGCCCGGACGGAGGCCTCCGTCGCCCGCCGCTGGCCCAGGCATGGTTTGACGGCACTCTGAGACCAGGTGGGCTCGGACCCCAACCTCCCCGTCTCCCGCAACCCCCGCTTCTCCTCGCCGGGGCCCCGCACTCACAATACACTCGCGGATCCTCTCGTGGAATAGCTGTTCTCGCACGGATAGCACTTCGTAGTCAGGTGCTTCCATACTCTGCTCAGCATGACTGAAGCCGAGGTGCCTCTGGGCCCGGGGAGGACGAGCGGGGAGGAAGCCGCCGCCGCCAAGCACCCAGACCCAGCCTAGGGGCCTTTCCTCGCAGCCTGCGACAGAAACTCGGGGCAGTCTGGGGCTCAGATACAGTCGTCCGGACGCCCCGCCCTTAAAGGGGCAGGCACCACCCGCCTCGTTTTAAAGGGCTCTGTCCTCCCTTTGCTCCCCACTCTTTAAGGTCGGGTCGCGCTCACGTTTCAATGCAAACACCCGCCACTAGGCTCGCTACGAGGAAGCGCCGCTGAGGGTCCATCTTTTTAAGAGATCTAGTGACGACACAAGGGATGGGCGGGTTCCTTCCAGGGGGAGGAACTCATTGGCTCCTGGAGAGCTGTCGTTCATCGCTGGAGGAGCGCTGATAGGCTCGCCCTGTGGAGGAAGGCGGGATCTTTTGGGCCTACCGCTGCCCATACTAATAGAGCAACTGTCTCTCTTATCTGGGAAAAGTGAAGGTTCCTGGATTTTAGTAGCAGCCAACATTTTAGTATGACCTTGGTTAAATGAACCGTTTGAAGCAGGCCAGCCAGGCAGGATGTGAGGGCACCCTAGGGGTTCTGAAATGTACCGCTGCCCAGTAACCGATGTTCTGTAGTAGCATTTTCTGTGTGTTTGTGTTGGGGTGCCCCTCCCCACATCCCCACCCCGCTTTCCCGCTGCCAGGAGTTTTCATTCAATCATTTTTGTGGAAGACCTAGTGTGTGCTAGAACAAATACTGAAAAATACTGGAGAGAGGACTACAGAAATACCTTGCAACTTTGTGAAGAAATGCCCACAAGGATCACTGAAGAGTGGGGCTGAGTCAAACATTAGCTAACCACTTACTATGTGCCATTCACTTTATAGTCGTTATCTCAGCCATGTTACCCAGGCTGATCTCGGACTCCTAGTCTCAAAGTGATGGGCCTCCCAAAGTACTGGGATTACAAGGCGTGACCCACCCAGCCTATTATCTCATTTTTAACGTCACAACAACACTTCAGAGGAAGATGTTGTGATTCAGCTTTTATTTCTTTATTTATTTTTGAGACGGAGTTTCGCTCTTATTGCCCAGGCTGCAGTGCAATGGTGTGATTTCGGCTCACTGCAACCTCCGCCTCCCGGGTTCAAGCGATTCTCCTTCCTCAGCCTCCCAAGTAACTGGGATTACAGGCATGCGCCACCGCGCCCAGCTAATTTTGTATTTTTAGTAAAGACGTGGTTTCTCCATGTTGGTCAGGCTCATCTTGAACTCCCAACCTTAGTTGATCCGCCCGCCTCGGCTTCCCAAAGTGCTGGGATTACAGGCGTGAGCCACCACGTCCGGCCAAGATTTTGTGTGTGTGTGTGTGTGTGTGTGTGTGTGTGTGTGTGTGTGTGTGTGTGTGTGTGTGTGTCTTGGAAGTAGACAGGATTTAGACGAAGGGAGATTTTCTTTTAAGTTATTTATTTTTGAGACAGTCTCACTCTGTCGCCCAGGCTGGTGTGCAGTGGTGCGATCACGACTCACTGTAGCCTCCAACTCCAAGGCTCAAGTGATCTTCCCATCTCAGTCTCTTGAGCAGCTGGGATCACAGGCAGGCACCAGCACACTTAGCTGATTCTGCCATGTTGCTCAGTCTGGTCTTGAACTCCTGGGCCCAAGCTGTCGGCCTGCCTTGACCTCCCAAAGTGCAGGGATTACAGGCGTGAGCCAACAGACCCGACCTCCTCTAAATTCTTAAAGCAACATCCAGCTGCATAGTTCAGTGAGCAGTTAAAAATTGGCCATTAGCCGCGCGCGGTGGCTCACGCCTGCAATCCCAGTACTTTGGGAGGCTGAAGCGGGCGGATCAAGAGGTCAGGAGATCGAGACCATCCTGCCTAACACGGTGAAACCCCATCTCTACTTAAAACATAAAAAATTAGCCGGGCGTGGTGGCAGGTGCCTGTAGTCCCAGCTACTCGGGAGGCTGAGGGAGGAGAATGGCGTGAACCCGGGAGGCGGAGCTTGCAGTGAGCCGAGATCGCGCCACTGCACTCCAGCCTGGGTGACAGAGCGAGACTCCATCTCAAAAAAAAAAAAAAAAGAAAAGAAAAAGAAATTGGCCATAAGACCGGGCGCGGTGACTCATGCCTGTAATCCTAGCACTTTGGGAGGCCGAGACGGGTGGATTACCTGAAGTCAGGTGCTGAGAGCAGCTCGGTCGGGGAGACCCTAACCCAGCGGCACTAGAGGAATTAAAGACACACAGAAATATAGAGATGTGAAGTGGGAAATCAGGGGTCTCACAGCCTTCAGAGCTGAGAGCCAGGAACAGAGATTTACCCAACAGCAAGCCAGTCATTAGCATTGTTTCTATAGATATTAGATTAACTGAAAGTATCCCTTATGGGAAACAAAGGGATGGGCAGAGATAAAGGGATGGGTTGGGCTAGTTATCTGCAGCAGGAGCATGTCCTTAAGGCACAGATCGCTCATGCTATTGTTTGTGGTTTAAGAACGCCTTTAAGCGGTTTTCCGCCCTGGGTGGGCCAGGTGTTCCTTGCCCTCATTCCAGTAAACCCACAACCTTCCAGCGGGGCATTATGGCCATCATGAATATGTCACAGTGCTGCAGAGATTTTGTTTATGGCCAGTTTTGGGGCCAGTTTATGGCCAGATTTTGGGGGGGGCTTGTTTCCAACAGTCAGGAGTTCAGGACCACCCTGGCCAACAGGGTGAAACCCTGTCTCTACTAAAAAATACAAAAATTAGCTGGGCATGGTGGTGGGTACTGTAATCCCAGCTACTTGGGAGGCTGAGGCAGGAGAAACACTTGAACCTGGGAGTTGGAGGTTGCAGTGAGCTGAGATCACACCATTGCGCTACAGCCTGGGCAACAAGAGCGAAACTCCGTCTCTAAAAAAAAAATTGTCCATATATGCATTGTTTCATAATATTTGTCCTCTTGAGCTGTTATTTAAATATTTTGTATTGTTTAACTTTACCTTCATTTATGTCTTTCCTCTTTTCCTCCTGTCTTCTCCTCTTCAAGAATTAGAAACTCATATTTGGCTTTTTTTTTTTTTTTTTTTTTTTTTGAGATGGAGTTTCACTCTTGTTGCCCAGGCAGGAGTGCAATGGTGCGATCTTGGCTTACCGCAACCTCCACCTCCCGGGTTCAAGCGATTCTCTTGCCTCAGCCTCCAGAGTACCTGGGATTACAGGCACTCCCCCATGACTGGCTAGTTTTGTATTTTTAGTAGAGACGGGGTTTCTCCTTGTTGGTCAGGCTGGTCTCCAACTCCTGAACTCAGGTGATCCGCCCGCCTCAGCCTCCCAAAGTGCTGGGATTACAGGCATGAGCCACCGTGCCAGGCTCATATTTGGCTTCTAATTCACCCCCTTCTTTTCTTCCCCAAAACTTAACCCAGTGCAGTTCTTATAATAAACACTTAAACAGGGCCAGGCACTGCAGTTCACGCCTGTAATCCCAGCACTTTGGGAAGCTGAGGCAGGCGGATCACCTGAGCTCAGGAGTTTGAGATCAGTCTGACCAACATGGAGGAACCCTGTCTCTACTAAAAATACATAATTAGCCGGTCGTGGTGGCGCATGCCTGTAATCCCAGCTACTGAGGAGGCTGAGGCAAGAGAATCACTTGAACCCAGGAGGCAGAGGTTGCAGTGAGCCAAGATCGTGCCATTGCAATCCAGCCTGGAAGCGAAACTCCGTCTCAAAAAAAAAAAAAAAAAAAAAAAAAAAAGACCAGCCTGGGTAACACATGACCCTATCTCTACAAAAAATTTATGAAATTAGCAAGGCGTGGTGGCATGTCCCCGTAGTTCTAAGATACTCAGGAGACTGAAGGAGGAGAATCACTTGACCCCAGGAAATCGAGGCTACAGTGAGCTATCATGGGACCACTGCATTCCAGCCTGCGCAACAAAGTGAAACCCTGTTTTTATTTTGTAAAAAAAAAAAAAAAGAAAGAAAGAAAAGAAAGAAAGAGAAGAAAGAAAACTTCCTGCCTACTCTAAGACTACTTTCAGGGTGATTTTGTTCTCAGGACTTTCTGGGTCTTTGGAAAGAGCTTATTTAGCTATTTAGCTAACTCTTTTTTTTTTTTTTTTTTTTTGGCTCTGTCACCTAGGCTGGAGTGCAGTGGCTCGATCTCTTGTAACCTCTGCCTCCTGGGTTCAAGCAATTCTCCTGCCTCAGCCTCCCAAGTAACTGGGATTACAGGTGCCCGCCACCATGCTCAGCTAATTTTTGTATTTTTGGTAGAGACAGGGTTTCACCATGTTTGTCAGGCTGGTCTCGAACTCCTGACCTCAGGTGATCCACCTGCCTCAGCCTCCCAAAGTGCTGGGATTACAGGTGTGAGCCACCGTACCCAGCCAGAGCTCATCTGACTCTGAATTATAACTTTTTTCTTCTCTCTGGTCAAAATAGGACAAATTTCTAGAAATTTTGGAATATCCCTCTTGTCTAGGGTGCCAGGGAAACCAGAAAACCAGGAATTTCCTAAGCAAGTCCTTCCTGCATCTGAGAACTTTTTGATGTTGTCGTTGGGAGTTAGGAGGAGAAGAATTTTAGAAACACGTTGGCCGGGCGCAGTGGCTCACACCTGTAATCCCAGTGCTCTGGCAGGCCGAGGCGGGCAGATCACCTGAGGTCGGGAGTTTGAGACCAGCCTGACCAACATGGAGAAACCCTGTCTCCACTAAAAATACAAAATTAGCCAGGCATGGTGGCGCATGCCTGTAATCCCAGCTACTTGGGAGGCTGAGGCAGGAGAATCACTTTAACTTGGGAGGCAGAGGTTGCGGTTAGCTGAGATCACACCATTGCACTCCAGCCTGGGCAACAAAGCGTGAAACTCTGTCTCAAAAGAAAAGAAAAGAAAACATGCTTTGAGATATTCAATTCTAATTCTTCCTCCCTACCTCTCTGACCTCTCCAAAAATATTTGAGAGAAGAATTATAATGAAAGATTGGCTTGAGACAGCAAGAAAAAATTTGTGAAATTATAGACTCTGGGAATGGAGAGGTATATTAGAAGTTATCAGGTCTACCTGTTTGTAGGGAAAAGAAGGACAGATCAGACTGTCACTGTGTCTGTGTAGAAAGGAAAGACAACATAAGAGACTCCATTTTGAAAAAGACCTGTACTTTAAACAATTGCTTTGCTGAGATGTTGTTAATTTGTAGCTTTGCCCCAGCCACTTTGACCCAACCACTTTGATCCAATCTGGAGCTCACAAAAACATGTGTTGTATGAAATCAAGGTTTAAGGGATCTAGGGCTGTGCAGGACATGCCTTATTAACAAAATGTTTACAAGCAGTATACTTGATAAAAGTCATTGCCATTCTCTAGTCTCAATAAACCAGGGGCACAATGCACTGTGGAAAGCCGCAGGGACCTCTGCCCTTGAAAGCGGGATATTGTCCAAGGTTTCTCCCCATGTGATAG
Source organism: Homo sapiens (assembly GCF_000001405.40). NCBI lineage: Eukaryota > Metazoa > Chordata > Mammalia > Primates > Hominidae > Homo > Homo sapiens. The sequence goes on from NC_000012.12 coordinate 49,116,035, forward strand.
TCTGAAATATGGCCTCGTGGGATGAGAAAGACCTGACTGTCCCCCAGCCCGACACCCGTAAAGGGTCTGTGCTGAGGTGGATTAGTAAAAGAGGAAGGCCTCTTGCAGTTGAGATAGAGGAAGGCCACTGTCTCCTGCCTGCCCCTGGGAACTGAATGTCTCGGTATAAAACCCGATTGTACATTTGTTCAATTCTGAGATAGGAGAAAAACCGCCCTATGGTGGGAGGTGAGACATGTTTGCAGTAATGCTGCTTTGTTATTCTTTACTCCACTGAGATGTTTGGGTGGAGAGAAACATAAATCTGGCCTACATGCACGTCCAGGCATAGTACCTTCCCTTGAACTTAATTATGATATAGATTCTTTTGCTCACATGTTTTTTGTTGACCTTCTCCTTATTATCACCCTGCTCTCCTACTACATTCCTTTTTGCTGAAATAATGAAAATAATAATCAATAAAAACTGAGGGAACTCAGAGGCCGGTGCCGGTGCAGGTCCTTGGTGTGCTGAGTGCCGGTCTCCTGGGCCCACTATTGTTTCTCTATACTTTGTCTCTGTGTCTTATTTCTTTTCTCAGTCTCTCGTCCCACCCGACTAGAAATACCCACAGGTGTGGAGGGGCAGGGCACCCCTTCAACTGTTTGTGCTTCATGACATAGACCAGGGGTCCTCAACCGCCGGGTGCAGACCATGGCCTGTTAGGAACCAGCCCACACAGCAGGAGGTGAGGGGTGGGCAAGCAAGCATTACTGCCTGAGCTCCACCTCCTGTCAGATCAGCAGTGGCATTAGATTCTCATAGGAGCTAGAACTGTGTTGTGAACTGTGGATCTAGGTTGGGTGCTTCTTATGAGAATCTAATGCCAGATGATCTGAGGTAGAACAGTTTCATCCTGAAACCACCCCTCACCACACACACCATTCATGGAAAAATTGTCTTCCACAAAACCTGCCCCTGGTACCAAAAAGGTTGGGCACCACTGACCGCTGAATAGATGGCATACTGGATCGTTGTTGGTGCTGGCTAATTTTTAGAAAGTGAACTGCAGTCTTATTCCCCATCTTTTGCTGTGCCCTCTGGGGTTTTGAGGAATGAATCTACTGCCATTTCTAGAACACGGCCCTGCATTGGGTTTCTCTTTTCTAAGCTAAACATCCTCAGTTCTCTGAGATTCTCTGCCTAGTACTCCTTACCACTCTCCTCACCCCTTTGAGAAAGCTCCATTGTCTATGTTCCTCTTGAAGCCCAGACTGGATAAGAGATTACACAGGACAGATGCAGTGGTTCACACCCATATTCTCAGCACTTTGGGAAGCCAAAGTGGGTGGATTGCCTGAGCTCAGGAGTTGGAGACCAGCCTGGGCAACATGGCAAAACCCTGTCTCTACAAAAAATACAAAAATTAGCTGGACATTGTAGCATGCCTGTAGTCCCAGCTACTCAGGAGACTGAGGTGGGAGGAGTGATTGAACCCAGGGGGTGGAGGCTGCAGTGGGCCGAGATTGTGCTACTGCATTCCAGCCTGGGAGTCTGGGCAACAGTGCAAGACTCTGTCTCAAAAAAAAAGACAATAACAAAAAAATCAACAACAACAACAAAGAGATTACACCGGGTGAGCAGTGAAGAGGATGGTGGGAATACTCACCTGCCTAGCTTTGAGCACTGTTATATAGAAGGAATATCTAGGGTGACCGCTTATTCTGGTAGCTGGGTCACAACCCAGCTCGTGGCACATATTGATTTGGTCATAGTGAGGCAGCAGAAGTTTCTACATGCCAGTATGATGAGATGCTAGGGTCAGAGAAGCTGAGGGATCTTTTTTTGGCTTGGGACATCTTCTTGATAAAGAAGGTTTATTATTTTATTTTATTTATTTATTTTTTGAAATGGAGTCTCACTCCACACATAGGCTGGAGTGCAGTGGCGTGATCCAGCTCACTGCAGCCTCCACCTCCTGGGTTCAAGCAATTCTTCTGCCTCAGACTCCTGAGGAGTTGGGACTACAGGTACATGCCACCGCTCCTGGTTAATTTTTGTATTTTCAGCAGAAACAGGGTTTCACCATGTTGGCCAGGCTGGTCTTGAACTCCTGACCTCAAGTGATCCTCCCACCTCAGCCTCCCAAAGTGTTGGGATTACAGGCGTGAGCCACTATGATGAAGAATCTTTAGAATACAGAAGAAGCCTTCCTATCCACTTCCATTTGATGTTTCTATCCACCTTTTACTCTCTGCCTGAGGTCCCTTAGAGCTTTGGCCCTGGGCTTAGTCTGAAAGTGGGGAGAAGTAGATGGATAGTCATCTCTAGCTTTCAGAGTTAAAAATGTTTTTTTGTTTGTTTGGTTTTTGTATAGTTGTTTTTTTTTGAGGCAGGGTCTTGGGGTCTTGGTCTGGCACCTAGGCTGGAGTGCAATGAAGCAATCTCAGCTCACTGCATCCTCAACCTCCCAGGTTCAAGTGATCCTCCCACCTCAGCCTCCCAGGCAGCTGGGACCAAAGGCATGTACCACCACCAGGCTAATTTTTAAATTTTTTTTAGAGACAGGGTCTCACTAGTTGCCCAAGTTGGTCTCAAACTTCTGATCTCAAGTGATCTTCCTTCCTTGGCCTCCAAAAGTGCTGGTACTACAAGTCTGAGCCATTGTGCCTGGCCCATTTGACTAATCTTAAAAAACAAAAACAAACAAACAAAAAACTGTGGAGCATTTATCTAATGGAACTTTTTTTTTTTTTTTTTTGAGACAGAGTCTCGCTCTGTCGCCCAGGCTGGAGTACAGTGGCATGATCTTGGCTCACTGCAAGCTCCGCCTCCCGGGTTCACGCCATTCTCCTGCCTCAGCCTCCCGAGTAGCTGGGACTACAGGCGCCCACCACCACGCCCAGCTAATTTTTTGTATTTTTAGTAGAGACGGGGTTTCACCGTGTTAGCCAGGAGGGTCTCGATCTCCTGACCTCGTGATCCACCCGCCTCGGCCTGCCAAAGTGCTGGGATTACAGGCATGAGCCACCGCGCCCGGCCTGGATTTTTTTTTTAATCTGGTAGAGGCTGGACATGGTGGCTCACGCCTGTAATCCCAGACTTTGGGAGGCCGAGATGGGCGGATCACGAAGTCAGGAGATCGAGACCATCCTGGCTAACACGGTGAAACCCCATCTCTACTAAAAAAATATACAAAAAATTAGCCAGGCGTGGTGGTGGGCGCCTGTAGTCCCAGCTACTGGGGAGGCTGAGACAGGAGAATGGCGTGAACCCGGGAGGCGGAGCTTGCAGTGAGCCAAGATCGGGCCACTGTACTCCAGCCTGGGCGAAAGGGCGAGACTCCGTCTCCAAAAAACAAAACAAAACAAAACAAAACAAACAAAAAAAATTAGCCGGGCTTGGTGGCGCATGCCTGTAATCCTAGCTACTCAGGAGGCTGAGGCAGGAGAATTGCTTGAACCCGGGAGGCGGAGGTTATGGTGAGCCGAGATCACGCCATTGCACTCTAGCCTGGGCAACAAGAGCAAAACTCTGTCTCAAAAAAAAAAAAAAAAAAAAAAAAAAAGAGGGCGAAGCAGGAAAGGATTGCTTGAGCTCAGAATTTTGAGACCAGCCTGGACAACATGGTGAGACTCCATCTCTACAAAAAATTTAAAAATTAGCCGGGGGTGATGGTCGGTGCCTGTAGTTCCAGCTACCCAAGACGCTGAGCTGGGAGGATCCCTTGAGTCCAGGAGGTCAAGGCAGCAGTGAGCTGAGATCGAATCACTGCAATCCAGCCTGGACACAAGAGCTAGACCCTGTCTTCAGAAAAAAAAACTCTGGTAGGGAAGAAATATATGAATTAAATAATCGCACAAATGTATATTTACAAAATATTACAAATGTGAGAAAAGTAGAGGTTCTATGAAAATATATAGTAGAAAATATGGCCTATTCTGACCTAGTCTCCAAGTCCTTGAAGAAATGACATTTGGGCTTTCTTCATTGAAGGGAGAGTATGCGTTAACTGGACAAAGGTGTTGGGGGCTCTTATGGCAATAGAAGATACCACAGGCAGAGGAAAGAGTATGTTTAAAGGCTCAGGCATGAATGAGGTGATGAGCTTGATTCTGTCTAGTTGGGCATGATAACATACAGCAGGCTGTCAGTTGGGAGTGGGTGTGGTAGAGCATTTGGGTATCATTTTGGCTTATGAACTAGATAGCAGAGAGGTGGAAGCTAGCCTTAGCAACACAATGACATCAGTGTCTACATGATGATGCCCACATTGTCAGGTGGTTATTGACTTTGTATCAATATTGAGTTTAGATTAATATGACAACAGGCTCCTCCCTTACTACATGTTGATCCCAAGGCGTTTTTTGTTTTGTTTTGTTTTTTTGAGACGGAGTCTCACTCTGTTGCCCAGGCTGGAGTGCAGTAACACTAACTTGGCTCACTGCAACCTTCACCTCCCAGGTTCAAGCAATTCTCCTGCCTCAGCCTACTGAGTAGCTGGGATTACAGGCACCTGCCACCACGCCTGGCTAATTTTTGTATTTTTAGTAGAGACAGGGTTTCATCATGTTGACCAGGCTGGTCTCGACCTTCTGACTTCAAGTGATCCACCCTCCTTGGCCTCCCAAAGTGCTGAGATTACAGGCGTAAGCCACCACGCCTGGCCCAACGCCATGTTTTTTTTGTTTGTTTTTTTTTTTTGAGATGGAGTTTCGCTTTTGTTGCCCAGGCTGAAGTGCAATGGCGTGATCTGGGTTCACTGCAACCTCCGCCTCCCAGTTTCAAGCGATTCTCCTGTCTCAGCCTCCCGAGTAGCTGGGATTACAGGCGCATCCCACCATGCCTGGCTAATTTTCGTATTTTTAGTAGAGACGGGGTTTCACCATATTGGCCAGGCTGGTATTGAACTCCTGACCTCAGGTGATCTGCCCGCCTCAGCCTCCCGAAGTGCTGGGATTACAAGCGTGAGCCACCATGACTGGCCAAGGCCATGTTTTTATACACATCCTACCTCAGGGATGCACCCTAGAGGAAGGAGCTGAGGTCAAGAAACTCCTTTGGTGTGGTGTTTTCTGTAGCCTCCTGATTCACAGTGGCCTAGCATGAGGCCCAGCTGCCTCCAGTCATGGACAGAAGAAAAAGTGACAAGTGTGTGAATGCTAGGGATGGCAGGTCAGTCACTTCCGGTTTGTTGGTCATCTTTTCAGCACAGGTCCAAGATGACAAGGGCAGAGTTCACAAATCTGAGCTTGGCTCTCCTGGATGGAGAACTACTTGTCAGTGGTGCCATCTGCAGGGCGTTAAGGAATTTGCCAGGAGTTTGATGGGATTGGGAGGGGAATATGGCATCTCCAGATAAAATGCTCTTCTCTCCTCCTTTGCTCAAGCCTCTTAGTTTAAGCACATCCCTAAATCACAGCCTGGGTCCTCGGTAAGGCTGAAAGACTCATGTCCTTCTGATCTCGTGGCGGGCAATATTTAAGGCTTCTAGTCCTACAAGGCAGGACACAAGGCTGTGGTATCTCTCCCCTTCGTCCCTACCAATTAAATCTGTCATCTCTAAAATGAGGCACTGGGCTCTTTTCATTTTAACAGTGAACTCAAGGAGGGGATGAACAGTAGGTTGTGAAGGCATTTAAGCATTCTGTGTTAAAAAAAGAAGGTATCTATGTAGTTAAGTTTAGTTATCATTGTTATTATCATCATCCTTTTCATCTCTAAGTAAACCCTTCTTGGGCTTTTAAAAATTTATATTCGGCAGGGCGCGGTGGCTCACGCCTGTAATCCCAGCACTTTGGGAGGCCGAGACGGGCGGATCACGAGGTCAGGAGATCGAGACTGTCCTGGCTAACACAGTGAAACCCCATCTCTACTGAAAATACAAAAAATTAGCCAGGCGTGGTTGCAGGCGCCTGTAGTCCCAGCTACTCGGGAGGCTGAGGCAGGAGAATGGCGTGAACCCGGGAGGCGGAGCTTGCAGTGAGCCGAGATAGTGCCACTGCACTCCAACCTGGGCGACAGAGCGAGACTCCGTCTCAAAAAAAAAAATTATGTTCATTGGCTGGGCACGGTGGCTCATCCCTGTCATCCCAGCACTTTGGGAGGCCGAGGCAGGCAGATCACCTGAGGTCAGGAATTCAAGACCAGCCTGGCCAATGTGGTGAAACCCTGTCTCCAATAAAAATACAAAACAATTAGCCGGGGCGTGGTGGCGGGTGCCTGTAATCCCAGCTACTCGGGAGGCTGAGGCAGGAGAATCACTTGAACTCGGGAGTTGGAGGATGCAGTGAGCCAAGATCACACCACTGCACTCCAAGCTGGATGTCAGAGTTAGACTTCATCTCCAAAAAGAAGAAGAAGAAGAAGAAAAAGTTATACTTATTTTCTGAATAAATGGCCTATTCTTCTGTAGCAGCTCTGGAGTATGGCTGAGCAGACATGTCAAGACCTGGGATGCAGTGCCCCTCATCTCCCAACTTGGACGCACATCTCTAAGTTTACAGGTCCAAGGCCGGGCGCCGTGGCTCATGCCTGTAATCCCAGCACTTTGGGAGGCCGAGACGGGTGGATCACGAGGTCAGGAGATCGAGACCATCCTGGCTAACACGGTGAAACCCCGTCTCTACTAAAAATACAAAAAATTAGCCAGGCGTGGTGGCGGGCGCCTGTAGTCCCAGCTACTTGGGAGGCTGAGGCAGGAGAATGGCGTGAACCCGGGAGGCGGAGCTTGCAGTGAGCCGAGATTGCGCCACTGCACTCCAGCCTGGGCAACAGTGAGACTCTGTCTCAAAAAAAAAAAAAAAAAAAGTTTACAGGTCCTTCCAGACTCTAAAGCCCTACTTGCTACCCCTTCTGAGAAAGGCAGAATGGAAATCTATAGTGTAAAAGGGAAAATAGTCCCAGAAGATTAAGGGGTCCTGATTAGTGACAGAACAAGAGGCTAACCAAATGTCTCTGTTCCCTAGGCCCCTCCCCTGAGACTTGACAAAGAAGCCTGGGCCCTGAAACAGAGTGAGAGTTCCAAAACCTTAGGGCTTAAAGTTTACATTGAGTAGAACAATAAAGAATCTGGCTGGGCCAGGCGCAGTGGCTCACGCCTGTAATCCCAGCACTTCCGGCTGCCGAGGCGTGTGGATCACGAGGTTAGGAAATCAAGACCATCCTGGCTAACATGGTGAAACCCCGTCTCTACTAAAAATACAAAAAATTAGCCGGGTGTGGTGGCGGGTGCCTGTAGTCCCAGCTACTCGGGAGGCTGAGGCAGGAGAATGGCGTGAACCCAGGAGGCGGAGCTTGCAGTGAGCCGAGATTGCGCCACTGCACTGTAGCCTGGGCGAGACTCCGTCTCAAAAAAGAAAAAAAAGAATCTGGCTGGCCGGGCGGGGTGGCTCGTGCCTGTATTCCCAGCACTTTGGGAGGCCGAGGTGGGTGGATCACGAGGTCAGGAGATGGAGACCATCCTGGCTAACACGGTGAAACCCCGTCTCTACTAAAAATACAAAAAACTAGCCGGGCGTAGTGGCGGCCACCTGTAGTCCTAGCTACTCGGGAGGCTGAGGCAGGAGAATGACGTGAACCTGTGAGGGAGAGCTTGCAGTGAGCCGAGATGGTGCCACTGCACTCCAGCCTGGGTGACAGAGTGAGACTCCGTCTCAAAAAAAAAAAAAAAAAGAAAAAGAAAAAGAAAAAGAATCTGGCCTAAGAGAAATTACCATTATTTATTTTTGGTTCCCTAGAAGCATTTTTTTTTTTTTTTGGAAACAAAGCCTCACTGCCGCCCAGGTTAGACTGCAGTGGCACGATCTCGGCTCACTGCAAGCTCCGCCTCCCTGCAAGCTCCGCCTCCTGGGTTCACGCCATTCTCCTGCCTCAGCCTCCCAAGTAGCTGGGACTAAAGGCACCCGCCACCACTCCCGGCTAATTTTTTGTATTTTTAGTAGAGACGGGGTTTCACCGTGTTAGCCAGGATGGTCTCCATCTCCTGACCTCGTGATCCACCCGCCTCGGCCTCCCAAAGTGCTGGGATTACAGGCGTGAGCCACCGCGCCCGGCCTCCCTAGAAGCATTCTATGGGCATTACCAGGCACTGTACTTGCTGCCCGGGCAGAGGTATAGATAAGATGACTGCAGTGCCATTTCATTCTAGCCATCCCCTCCCCCATGGCCCACACATAATATATCATTTAACCCAAGGCCTTAACTTATAATTATTAGTATTCATCTTGGCCTGGTGTGGTGGCTCACCCTTGTAATCCCAGCAGTTTGGGAAGCCAAGGAGGGAGGATCACTTGAGGTCAGGAGTTTGAGACCAGCCTGGCCAACATGGCAAAACCCCGTCTCTACTAAAAATACAAAAATTAGCTGGGCATGGTGGTGCAGGCCTGTAATCCCAGCTGCTCAGGAGGCTGAGGCAGGAGAATCCCTTGAACCCAGGAGGCAGAGGTTGCAGTGAGCCGAGACTGAGCCACTGCACTCCAGCCTGGCAATAGAGCGAGACTCCATCTCAAGAAAAAAAAAATAGTAGTCATCTTGATGTATAAAACAATTTTAAAATTTTTTTTTTCCTTTGAGACGGAGTTCGCACTTATCACCAAGTCTGGAGTGCAATGGCATGATCTCGGCTCACTGCAAGCTCTGCCTCCCGGGTTCAAGCAATTCTCCTGTCTCAGCCTCCCAAGTAGCTGGGATTACAGGTGCCCACCACCACACCCAGCTAATTTTTGTATTTTTAGTAGAGACGGGGTTTCACCATGTTGGCCTGGTTGGTCTCGAACTCCTGACCTCAGGTGATCCACCCACCTTGGCCTCCCAAAGTGCTGGGATTACAGGAGTGAACTACTGTGCCCAGCTTAAAATGTTTTATTGTATATTTTTGAGAGTTTCACTCTGTCACCGAGGCTGGGGTGCAGTGGCATAATCTCAGCGTGAGCCCCCGTGCCCAGCCACTAATTTTGTATTTTTAGTAGAGTTGGGGTTTCGCCATGTTGGCCTGGCTGGTCTCAGTCTCCTGACCTCAGGTGATCCACCTACTTTGGGCTCCCAAAGTGATAGGATTACAGGCGTGAGCTGCTGTGCCCGGGCCTCTCAGTTCTTTAAAGGTGTCTGCAGCTCGGCACACCCAGCGACTCATGCCTGTAATCCCAGCACTTTGGGAGGCCGAGGCGGGCAGATCACGAGGTCAGGAGTTCGAGACCAGCCTGGCCAACATGGTGAAACCCCAACTCTACTAAAAATACAAAAATTAGCCAGGCTTGGTGGCAGGTGCCTGTAATCCCAGCTACTCGGGAGGCTGAGGTAGGAGAATCACTTGAACCCGGGAGGCGGAGGTTGCAGTGAGCCACGACCACACCACTGCACTCCAGCCTGGGAGACAGAGCGAGACTCCATCTCAAAATAAATAATAAAATAAAAAATAAATAAAGATGTCTGCTTTCCCTTGGAACCTGTGATGGCTACATTTTTGTTGCTATGCTAGGCCTGTAGGCTCCCCACCAAAGCTTTTTCTCTGAATTGTTCATGCCAAATCAGATTACCTTTGGAGCTGAGAGTTGCAGTCATCCCTTAGTATCCCTGGAGGATATCAAAATCCATGAATGCTCAAGTTCCTTATATAGAGAACTCTGGTGTTTGCATGTAACCTGCACACATCTTCCTGTATACTTTAAGTCATTTCCAAATTACTTATAATACCTAATACAATGTGAATGCTATGCAAATAATTGTTATACTGTATCATTTAGTGAATAAAGGGGACAAGTATATGTTCAGTTCAGACACAACTATCCATTTTTCCAAATATATATTTTGAGATAGGGTCTTTCTCTGGCACCCAGACAGGAATGCAGCAGCACAATTACACTGGCTAATTTGTTTTTGTTTTAGTTTTGTAATGACAGGGTCTCCCTAGGTTGCCTAGGCTGGTCTCAAACTCCTGGGCTCAAGTGATCCTCCCGCCTTGACCAAAGTGCTGGTATTATAGGCATGAACCACTATGGCCGGTTGCTTCCAAGTATTTTCAATCCAGTTAGTCAAATCTAGATATGGAACCCACAGATAGGGAGGGCTGACTACATTTTGTAAATTTATAGGATTTATGGGCTAAAAAAACAAAAAACAAAAAACTGGGAAAATTGTAGACTTCCCTACTTTTTTTTTTTTTGAGATGAAGTTTTGCTCTTGTTGCCCAGGCTGGAGTGCAATGGCGCAACCTCGGCTCACTGCAACCTCCGCCTGCTGGGTTCAAGCAATTCTGTTTTTGCTTTTTTTTTGAGATGGCGTCTTGCTCTGTCGCCCAGGCTGGAGTGCAGTGGCGCGATTTCTGCTCACTGCAAGCTCCGCCTCCCAGGTTCATGCCATTCTCCTGCCTCAGCCTCCCGAGTAGCTGGGACTACAGGCGCCCACCACCACACCCAGCTAATTTTTTGTATTTTTAGTAGAGACGGGGTTTCACCGTGTTAGCCAGGATGGTCTGGATCTCCTAACCCCGTGATCTGCCCGCCTCAGCCTCCCAAAGTGCTTGGGATTACAGGCATGAGCCACCACACCTGACCCAAGGTTCAAGCAATTCTGCCTCAGCCTCCTGAGTAGCTGGGATTACAGGCATGCGCCACCATGTCCGGCTAATTTTGTATTTTTAGTAGAGATGGAGTTTCTCCATGTTGGCCAGGCTGGTCTCAAACTCCTGACCTCAGGTGATCCACCCGCCTCAAGCCTCCCAAAGCGTTGGGATTACAGGCATGAGCCACTGCGCCTGGCCTCTTCTTTTTAAAAAAATGCCTCATGTATTCTTTCAGTCTTGAACCAAGAAGACATCAAGGTCTTCAGCAGCCATAATTTTCCTGTGCTTTCCGGATTTGAAATCTACGTTTTCTCCTAGGTTAAATCCTCTATTTACATTCTCTGTGCCTACAAGTCTGTTACATGTAGCCAAAATACTTGAAAGGATGTAAACCATGCCAAATGCTATAAATTATAAACTTTTATCCTAAACTTTCCAAAGTTGCCGCTTTATCCTCATGTAATGCAGTCCTCTCCCACCAATGCATATGGCTTATTGTTTAGCCTTCTTACCTAGCATGACTTTTATTGACCACCATGAGTTCTGGTCCTTTTTCCTATCACAATAGGGCTGGAAACAGCCTTTACCTCACCACCCTCAAATATTCCTAGTCAGATGTTTTTCCCAGGTCACTGTTTTGACAGGATCTGTCACCAAGGCTGGAGTGCAGTGGTACAATCACAGCTCACCACAGCCTCAATCTTGTCAGCCTCTCAAGTAGCTGGGCTTATAGGCTCACACCACCACACCCAAATTTTTTTTTGTAGATGGAGTTTCATCATGTCTCCCAGGCTGGTCTTGAATGCCTGGGATCAGAGGTGTGAGCCACCATGACCAGCCAAAGATCACTTGGAAATTTCTTAATTACACTAACAAGTTAGCAGGCCACTTTAAACAGCAGCATCTCAGTGGATATTCAAAACTTACACTTCCTATACATTACTCATTAGTAACTACCCAGTCTTACTCTGAAGAGCTAAATGAGCTTTAGATTAGCAGAATGACTTTCCCCACCCCCTATGCAAGCGTTGAGGTGGTAAACTAGTCTGAGAATCTAGGGCTCCTGCCTTTCTAGTCTGTTGAGCTCCCTTTTCCCTAGAGGTGCCTGCACAGTAAGTGGGATCCTTGACACCAGACTCTCTATACTCCAAGTATAGATGAATCTAAAAACCAAGGCACTTTTAGAAAAAAACGCAGGAAACAAAGCTTTTGATGTTAATGACTTTACTTTGAGATATGATGGAAAAATATTACAGGTACACATGGAAAAGACATGATCACCAAGTGAAAACAATCTAACCAGAAAGCTTTAACGTCTGTCAGTTAAGCTGAAGCTGAAATTCTGGGAGCATGACATGCTGCAGGGCCAAAAGGAATGGATAATTAGTATTCCTCTCCTTCTTCCTCACCCTCTCCTTCAACAGAATCCACACCAACCTCCTCATAATCCTTCTCAAGGGCAGCCATATCTTCACGGGCCTCTGAAAACTCGCCTTCCTCCATCCCCTCACCCACGTACCAGTGAACAAAGGCACGCTTGGCATACATCAGGTCAAACTTGTGGTCCAGGCGAGCCCAGGCCTCAGCAATGGCTGTGGTGTTGCTCAGCATGCACACAGCTCTCTGTACCTTGGCCAGGTCTCCACCAGGCACCACAGTGGGAGGCTGGTAGTTGATGCCAACCTTGAAGCCAGTGGGGCACCAATCCACAAACTGGATGCTGCGCTTGGTTTTGATGGTGGCAATGGCAGCATTGACATCTTTGGGAACCACGTCACCACGGTACAACAGGCAGCAAGCCATGTATTTACCATGGCGAGGGTCACATTTCACCATCTGGTTGGCTGGCTCAAAGCAAGCATTGGTGATCTCTGCTACAGAAAGCTGTTCATGGTAGGCTTTCTCAGCAGAGATGACAGGGGCATATGTGGCCAGAGGGAAGTGGATGCGGGGGTAGGGCACCAGGTTGGTCTGGAATTCTGTCAGGTCAACATTCAGGGCTCCATCAAATCTCAGGGAAGCAGTGATGGAGGACACAATCTGGCTAATAAGGCGGTTAAGGTTAGTGTAGGTTGGGCGCTCGATATCGAGGTTTCTACGACAGATGTCATAGATGGCCTCATTGTCTACCATGAAGGCACAATCAGAGTGCTCCAGGGTGGTGTGGGTGGTGAGGATGGAGTTGTAGGGCTCAACTACAGCTGTGGAAACCTGGGGTGCTGGGTAAATGGAGAACTCCAGCTTGGACTTCTTGCCATAATCAACTGAGAGACGTTCCATGAGCAGGGAGGTGAACCCAGAACCAGTTCCCCCACCAAAGCTGTGGAAAACCAAGAAGCCCTGAAGACCGGTGCACTGGTCAGCCTGTAGGGGAATAAAAAAATGTAATATTTTAATGCCAGGACACATTATCTTAGAATTTCTATTTCAACTTTTTAGATTACGAACCATATCTCACTGATGTAAGCACAAGGAATTGGCAAAACAGACATATCCACAAACTGTCCATAACCTAGGGACTATCTGATTTAGAAGTCCAATTAATATAGCAAGCAGCCTATTCCACATTTTGGTAGGTGCCAAAGAATGAATGATGTCAGTCACTCCACCCAACTTGCACTGGAACTATCACACCACATTAAATGCATATTTATATGTGGTGCTTACCAGCTTGCGAATTCGGTCCAACACAAGGTCAATGATCTCCTTGCCAATGGTGTAGTGCCCTCGGGCATAGTTATTGGCAGCATCTTCCTTGCCTGTGATGAGCTGCTCAGGGTGGAAGAGCTGGCGGTAGGTGCCAGTGCGAACTTCATCTGGAGGAGGGAGAGAAGGACGGAGGGAGTGAGTGAGTGACAAGAGAAGCCCCTGGACAGACCTCCTGTCCCAGCATCCTGGGATCTCAGGTTACTGAGGTCAACTCACCAATGACTGTGGGTTCCAAGTCTACAAACACAGCCCGGGGCACGTGCTTGCCAGCGCCCGTCTCACTGAAGAAGGTGTTGAAGGAGTCATCTCCTCCCCCAATGGTCTTGTCACTTGGCATCTGGCCATCGGGCTGGATGCCGTGTTCCAGGCAGTAGAGCTCCCAGCAGGCATTGCCAATCTGGACACCAGCCTGGCCAACGTGGATGGAGATGCACTCACGCTGCGGGAAGGAAAAAAGATATCACAATTTAAACCAATCTATTGATGACTGTCAAGTGGAACAAAATACTCATGCAATCTTTATTTTTTTAGAGATAAGGTCTGTCGCCCAGGCTTGAGTGCAGTGATGCCATCTAGGCTCACTGCAGCCTAGGCTCCAGTCATCCCCCCACCTCAGCCTCTGGAGCAGCTGGGACCACAGGCACAGACCACCAAGCTGGCTAATTTTTTCATTTTTTTTGTGGAGATGAGGTCTGGCTGTGTTACCTAGGCTACTCACGTAATCTGAAAACGAATTTCCTTTTCTAAAGCGATCTTTTCTAAAGATCCTTTTCTAAGATGTACTACTTTTGAGAACAGCTACACTATAGTCTACGTTGCTTTTAATGAATGTTACCTTCCCATCCTAAACCGGGAAGGCCTCCTTCCAGACCAAGACAGCTCAGTCACAGCTTCCTCCTTTGGAGGACCAAGACAGGAAGGTGGGCATCCATCCAGCGCTCAGGCCCCAGAAGCCCACTTTAGACTAGGTGGTCACATTTCCGGGCAGCTCCTAGCACAGGAAGCACGTGGCCAGACCAGCGCAGAAGAAATGTCTGTCCGCAGGGACAAGGGGCGGGGCTCTGCGGCACAGGATGAATGAGCAATTCCGGGCGCGCGCTCTTGCGCCCCCCGGCGGTGCTGCAGAGGCACGAAATGGCCACGTCTGCAAAGGCGCTGCCCAAGCCGCCCATCCTCCCTTGCCTGCCGGCATCGGGCTCAGCCTAACACCTCCACAGCAGTCTGAGCGCAGTAGGAGATTATCGGCGGCCCAGATCTGGGTCAAGATCCGATTTCCGTTCCCTCAAAATCCCTTACTGCCACCACCTGCTCCCCTGAATTCCTAACGCAGCAGGGAGAGACAGGTGGCCTCTACAGACTGTTGTGTACGAACTGTCGTAATACACTGGTGTAGAGCGGTACATTGACAGGGAGCTCTTCCGCAGTCCTCTTATTGCTTTCATCAAAAAAAGAACACTCAGGTTAACAGGAGACACGCCCTGTAGCCCTAGTCGCGTCGCGACCCAGAGCGCATGCGCAAAGCGCAGTGGCGGTTTCCCGCCCAGGAGCGGCGGGAAGGTAACGGTCGCGCGTGCGCGCTTTTGTCTCCAGCTGCTTCCCACCCCCGCTTTTCGCGCTCAAGAGGAAGTGAGGGCTGGAAGAGTCCGCGCGCGCGTCCACCCAAGGCGGAGTAAGGGCATGCGCTGGAAAGGACTGCGGGGACTCGAGGGACCGCACCCAGGACACAGTTACGCGACAAAAGAGAGCTCCGGATACGGCGGAGGGCAGCCCGAGCCCCCCATCCCTTCCAGAGTCCGAGAAGAAATCCTGGCGCCCCTCGACCTTTCCGGGCCCCCGCTATTTACACACACCGAGGTCTCACCACTCCCGCCCTGGCCTCTCGCCTCGTTTTCCGCCCTCCAAACGGACGGCTCTGAGGCCAGCCCTTCCCGGCTGTATACAGGGCCCCAGCGCCCCGCCGGCTCGCTTTTCCCTGCTTCCCTGAAAGCAGCCGGGAGCCGCACGGCTTACTCACCATAGTGGCTAGGGATTAGGAGGCGAAGGCGACAGGAGCAGACACCGGGTCCCGGTTACCGTCCCCGACAAGCTAAGAGTCGAGGTAAGTAACGCACTAGGGCGGGGCCGGCGCTGGAGCCTCTTAAGTAGCGGCTGCGGAGGGGCGGGCGGGCACAGGCGGTGCCGCGGTCGCTGGCCCCTCCTCCGGCCCCGCGCGCCCACTCCGCGCCCGGCCTGGCCGCCGCAGAGGCGGGCTCCGAGCCCCGAGCCCCCTCCCCTCGCGCGGCCGCGGGGTGGGGTCTGCCGCGCCTGCGGGCAACGCGCGCCAGTACTGCAGTGTGCGGCGCATGGCTGCGAGGGCCTGCCGAGGGGCGGGCGCGAGTCGGAAAGACACCGACCAGGGAATGGGCGACGAGGCTTGCCTTAATTCGGAGGAAACCCAGGACTTGAGAGAGCCATACAATTTGAAAGACGAAGCACCGTGAAATGCAGAAAGTTGTGGTTCGGATAGCTCAGCTGATTAATTTCATGTTGCCACAGTTTGTCAGTGAGTTTTGCCTTTTTATTTTCTCAGTTCCTTTAAAGGCAGTGCATTCGGTACTTACCTGATAATGTGAAAAACGCGAGCTTTAGAAAACCGAATAGGTGTACATGGTTTACTGTAATGACTTGTTCTCCAAAGTAAGAGTACCAAACGCTGGAAGCAAATAGTATTTCAGTCATTCGAAGAGTAGTGCCCAAGCATTTAACATTGAAGCTGTTAAAAGGGCAAAGTAGGCCCCAATTTTAGATCTAAGCCATCAACTTTATGGAACAGTCCTAAGGGCTTTTTGAAAAGGAGATTTAAAAACACATTTCAGAGGTGGTAGCTGAGTTGAAGAAGTGAGGAAAGACTTGGATAGGGAGGAAATAGTTTGACACTGAAGGATGTTAGGAAGTAGGGATTCCTTGTGCAACTTAAGAGTTTTGTAAATAAGACGGCTTGGCCTTGTGTCAAGATACATCAATTGGTTATAGCTTAGTGCTTGGAGGCCCACATTATAGGAGTAGACTAGTTCTCCCTCCGCCCCGCCCCTGGAAAATCTATTTCAAGACCATAAACCACATTGCTAATCCTTGGAAATGCAGAAGGTGGTTAGGTTTAAAATGTGGCTTTAAAATGGTCCTAACAGAAACGTATTGATGTTACTATTCAGAATATCTGCCCAGTATACGAGGAAGAAAAAGGTTAAACCTAAAACACTAAAAATTCATAGTTCATATTCAGTTATTAGCCTATGAAGATTTGGTACAGCCTTCATCCTTCATTTTAGACAAATAACAAATCTATATGGTTTATAAGTGTATTTTGTAAGGAGTTATATATATCTATATATGTGTGTCTCCACCCATCTGAACCTGACCTGCAAACCAAGAGGTTCTTGTTTATTTCCGATAGTTTTGGTAGTCTTGTTAAAGGCATTTGATTCAAAATCCAAATTTGCATACATTTTTCCAACTGGATAGAGGAGGCAGGAATATATTTGAATATTGTTCTCACTTATTTTGTCCCTCTTCTTATTCTTTAAAAAAAAATTAAGCCTGTCAATTTTAGCAGTGGGGGTTGCATATCAATTTTAGTGATACTAATGTTAATAAGTTCTGATAACCCACTACCATTGGACCACCCCCACTCTTATTCCTAAAACGAATCTGAAAATAATTAGCTTGCTTTAACGGGAAGAATGAATGTTAGGGAACCACCCTGCTGAACTCCATTTTGCTGTCGGCTCTGAATAAAGCTATTTTATCCAGAAAAGCTATCTCTGGACAAATATTTTGAATAGTTCAGTAACCGCAATAGGTTTCTGCTAGAACCATTTTGAAGCCACCCTTTAACCCTAACCACCTTATGTATTTCCAAGGATTGGCGATGTAGTTTATGGTTTTGGGATAGATTTTTCTGGGGGAGGGGAGAACCTCCCTTCTAGCTCTCTGCAGATTATCAGAGCCGCCACTGCAGGGATTTGCTCCCGTGGGCCTATATGTCTCCCCAGATACCTTCCTAAAACTATTAGCTTTTATCTGTCTGTGTATTCCCCTGTTGTGAATGGGGAAGTATTTGAGGGCTTGTTTTTTTAGGTTCTTGATAATAAATACCTCAGGTTTCACAGAGTAATCAAACTAAAAGAAAACTTCTTTTTTATTTCATTTTATTTTTTTGACCGAAACTCCATCTCCAAAAAAAAAAAAGGGTATATTGTTATGTGATATTGGGACATCCGAACATTTTGTTGTCATAGGAGTTTGTCCTTGCCAGCATTAATAAACTGCTTCCTTAGCTGTAAACATCTTATGACCATGGGTTGTATCTGGTAAGGAATAGGCTTTGCTAGTCTAAATTTAGAATTGATTTTGAAATTGTGTTATCCTAGCCCTTTTTTCTTTTTTTGAGACACAGTTTTGTTTTTGTCACCCAGGCAGGGGTGCAATGGCGTGATCTTGGCGCACTGCAACCTCTGCCTCGTGGGTTCAAGCGATTCTCCTGTCTCAGCCTCCCAAGTAGCAGAGATTACAGGCACCTGCCACAATGCCCAGATTATTTTTGTATTTTTAGTAGAGAAGGGATTTCACAATGTTGGCCAGACTAGTCTCGAACTTCTGACCTCAGGTGATCCGCCCACCTCGGCCTCCCAAAGTGCTGGAATTACAGGCGTGAGCCACCGTACGTGGCCATGTTACCCTAACTCTTATGTTCCTGTTTCCCTAACATAATACCTCCTTTACTCTTCTCCTCTACTACTCTAATCTTAAGGGGAGATGAAGGGTGAAGGTCATTTTTTGTAACTTCTTCCTGCTGACAGTGGACGTTGATCTTTGGGACAGGATTCTCTTATAAGAATTTGCAGTTGGTGGGCTGGGCACGGTGGCTCATGCCTGTAATCCCAGCACTCTGGGAGGCTGAGGCAGGCGGATCACGAAGTCAGGAGATCGAGACCATCCTGGCTAACACGGTGAAACCCCATCTCTACTAAAAATACAAAAAATTAGCCAGGTGTGGTGGTGGGCACCTGTAGTCCCAGCTACTCGGGAGGCCGAGGCAGGAGAATGGTGTGAACCTGGGAGGCGGAGCTTGCAGTGAGGCGAGATCATGCCACTGCACTCCAGCCTGGGCAACAGAGCGAGACTCTGTCTCAAAAAAAAAAAAAAAAAAAGAGAATTTGCAGTTGGTTTCTAGGGAGCCAGGGGAGGTCCATATTTGCATGATGTTCTGTCTGATTTTTTTTTTTTTTTTTTTTTTTTTTTTTTTTTTGAGAGAGAGTGTTTCACTCTTGTTGCCCAGGCTGGAGTGCAATGGCACAATTTTGGCTCACTGCAACCTCTGCCTCCCAAGTTCAAGCGATTCTCCTGCCTCAGCCTCCTGAGTAGCTGGGATTACAGACATGCGCCACCACGCCCAGCTAATTTTGTATTTTTAGTAGAGACGGGCTTTCTCCGTGTTGGTCAGGCTGGTCTCCAACTCCCGACCTCGGGTGATCCGCCCACCTTGGGCTCCCAAAGGGCTGGGATTACAGGTGTGAGCCACCACACCCAGCTGATTCTTTTTTTTTTTTTTTTTAGATGGTGTCTCGCTCTGTCGCCAGGCTGGAGTGCAGTGGCACAATCTCAGCTCACTGCAACCTCTGCCTCCCAGGTTCAAGCAATTATCCTGCCTCAGCCTCCCGAGCAGCTGAGACTGTAGGCACGTGCCACCGTGCCCAGCTAATTTTTGTATTTTTAGTAGAGATGGGGTTTCACCGCGTTGGCCAGGATGATCTCGTTCTCTTGACCTTGTGATCCGCACACCTGGCGATGTTCTGATGATTCAATGGGCATAGCCCTGCCCAGTATTGGAGGAGTAAAAAAAAAAAAAATATATATATATATTTATATATATATTTATTTTTATATTATATATATTTTTATATTTTATATATATATATATATATATATATATTTTTTTTTTTTTTTTTTTTTTTGTAGAGATGGGGTTTTTCCATGTTGCCCAGGCTGGTCTCAAACTCCTGGACTCATGTAATCTGCCTGCCTCGGCCTCCCAAAGTGCTGGGATTACAGGCATGAGCCACCACACCCAACTGTAACACATTTTTATGCCAGAATAATATTGAATAATGATAAATGTATTTTGCCTCTTTTTCCTTTTCTTTTTTTCTTTTTCTTTTTCTTTCTTTTTTTTTTTTTGAGACAGGGTCTTGCTTTGTTGCACAGGCTGGAGTGCAGTGGCACAATCTCAGTTCACCGAAACCTCTGCCTTGTGAGTTCAAGCAATTCCTGTGGCTCAGCCCCCCAAGTAGCTGGGATTACAGGCATGTGCCACGACACCTGGCTATTTTTTATATTTTTAGCAGAGAGGGGGTTTTGCCGTGTTGCCCCGGCTGGTCTCGAACTCCTGGCCTCAAATGATTTGCCCGCCTCGGCCTCCCAAAGTGCTAGGATTACAGGCATGAGCCACCATGCCCAGCCTGCCTCCTCTTTAGTACCTGACAGGAAAGTCTGATTTTTTAAAAAATCCATACTTAACCTACATAGGTATATTTGTTTTTTGTTTTTTGTTTTGAGACGGAGTCTCACTCTGCTGCCTAGGCTGGAGTGCAGTGGCGCGATCTCAGCTCACTGCAACCTCTGTCTCCCAGGTTCATGCCATTCTCCTGCCTCAGCCTCCCAAGTAGCTGGGACTACAGGCGCCCGCCACCATGCCCGGCTGCTAATTTTTTGTATTTTTTTAGTAAGACGGGGTTTCACCATGTTAGCCAGGATGGTCTCGATCTCCTGACCTCGTGATCTGCCCGCCTCGGCCTCCCAAAGTGCTGGGATTACAGGCGTGAGCCACCGTGCCCGGCCAGGTCTATTTGTTTTGTTTGTTTGTTTGAGACAGAGTCTCGCTCTGTCTCCTAGGCTGGAGTGCAGTGGCATGATCTTGGCTCACTGCAACCTCCATCTCCCAGGTTTAAGTGATTCTCCTGCCTCAGCCTCCCAAGTGAGTAACTGGGAAAACAGGTACGCGCCACCACGCCCGGCTAATTTTACATCTGTGTGTCTGTCTGTCTGTCTGTCTGTCTGTCTATCTATCTATCTATCTATCTATCTATTTTTTGAGATGGAGTTTTGCTCTTCTTGCCCAGGCTGGAGTGCAATGGTGCGTGATCTCAGCTCACTGCAACCTCTACCTCCTGGGTTCAAGCGATTCTCCTGCCTCAGCCTCCCAAGTAGCTGGGATTACAGGCATGCGCCACCACGCCCAGCAATTTTTTGTATTTTATTTTTAGTAGAGACAGGGTTTCTCCATGTTGGTCAGGCTGGTCTCGAACTCCCGACCTCAGGTGATCCGCCCACCTCGGCCTCCCAAAGTGCTGGGATTAAAGGCATGAGCCACTGCACCCAGCCTATTTTTTTTATATATATTTTTAGTAGAGATAGGGTTTCACCATATTGGCCAGGCTGTTCTCAAACTCTTGACCTTGTGATCTGCCCGCCTTGGCCTCCCAAAGTGCTAGGAGTACAGATGTGAACCACCATGCCCGGCCTCTGTTTTTTTTTTTTTTTTTTTTGAGACAGAGTCTTGCTGTATTGCCAAGGCTGGAGTGCAGTGGTGCCATCTCAGCTCATTGCAGCCTCCATCTCCCAGGTTCAAGCGATTCTCCCACCTCAGCCTCCTTAGTAGCTGGAATTACAGATGTGCACCACCATCACCTGGCTAGTTTTTGTAATTTAGTAGAGATGGGGTTTCACGATGTTGGCCAGGCTGGTCTCAAACTCTTCACCTCAAGTGATCCACCCACCTTGGCCTCCCAAAGTGCTGGGATTAATTATAGGCATGAGCCACCATGCTCAGCCTCTATTTATTATACATACCTATACACACACACACACACACACACACACACACGAGTAAATAGTAGTTATCTATGTCTGGAACATAAACACAGTAGTATTTACTGTCTTGACATTTTTTTTCCTCCCCTAAGACAGGATCTCACTCTGTTGCCTAGGCTGGATTACAGGGGCATGATCATGGCTCACTGCAGCCTCCACCTCCCAGGCTCAAGCGATCCTCTCACCTCAGCCTCCTCAGTAGCTGGGACTACAGGCAAGCACCACTGTGCCTGGCTAATTTTTTATTTTTGTGGAGGTGGAGTCTCATTGTTACCCAGGCTGGTCTTGAACTCCTGGGCTCAATCGATCCTCCCACCTTGGCCTCCCAAACTGCTGAGATTGCAGTACAGGCCACTGTGCCCAGTCTGTCTGCACATTTTAATTGATTATATAGGCCTTTCTTTTGTTGTACTCTTTCAGGCCTGCAACTGTTTGCTTTGAGTCTTTGGTGTAGTGGGAAACCCTGTGATGCAATTAGAGTTATTCTCATTTTTGCTACATAGTATCATGGCCATTTGCTACTGTTCTAAGCAGTGGGTAACTGTTTTTGATAGTTTCCATATTGTGGTTTAGACACAGAAATTTACAAAATATTTTGTTCATTTCACTAGCTCTACAAGTAAAAACAAAATAACAAATGGCAACAATTTACCAAGTGTTAACTATTTATAAATATTTGAACTTCATTCTTATTTATCCCAATATTATAAATTTACATCTGCTTTTCCACAGATAGATGGTACTGGGGAAAGAAAATTGACTTTGGGCTGGGTGCAGTGGCTCAGGCCTATAATCACAGCACTTTGGGAGGCCGAGGCGGGTGGATCACTTGAGGCCAGTAGTTAGAGATCAGCCTGGCCAACATGGCGAAACCCCGTCTACTAAAAATACAAAAATTAGTTGGCCCTGGTGGCACGTGGCTATAATCCCAGCTACTTGGGAAGCCAAGGCACGAGAATCGCTTGAACCCAGGAGGTGGAGGTTGCAGTGAGCAGAGATCATGCTACTGCACTCCAGCCTGGGTGACAGAGTGAGACTCTATCTCAAAAAAAAAAAAAAAAAAAAACCAAAAAAAAAAGGGAAAAAAATAGAAAATTGACTTCGGTGGTGTCAGATAGGACTAGATTCAATTCTAGCTTTGTCAGTTAATAGTGGTATGACCTTAGACCCTTAATTATCTTTCTCAAGCTTCATTTATGAATGGGAATCAGTGTTAACTTGGAATCACCTTTTTCTCATACATTCAGTCCCATTAGTTCATGTTGTCAATTTACTTTCAAAATATGCCCACTACTTTTTATCACACCACTCTTATTTCACAGCTCTTACAGAATCTGAAATTACCTTGTTTGTACATTTATTTACTTGTTTAAAGTTTCTTCTTTTATGTAAACTCCATGTCTCTTTTTGTGGAAGTCAGTCTTGGTTGCCCTTCCAAAAACTACCTTCTTCCATTCCTCCTTGCTAAGACAGCCTCCTTTATCTGCCACTGTTTAAAGGGTATTTGTGTGCTCAGTCCCCGGGGACAAATAAATGCAACCTTGTTTCCCTTTGCCAGATACTTGCTTTTTCAGTTTCCTTCATGATTGGACCTGATTCTGACCAATGGGACATAAAGAGGCAAGTCAGCTGAGGACTTTCTGGGAATGATTTTCTTCTCTGATAAAAAGAGATTACCCCGTTGAGGAAGTCCCTTTTGTTTCACCCCTCTCCCTTTGCTTTCTGCCTTTGGAAATGTTCTTTGAAGATATGATGCCTAGAGCCAACTTCAGTCCTTGAGGGTCTAATGCAAAGAGAATCATAAAGATGCCAGTTCAGTGCAGTGGTCTGATATTGTGAAGCTATCGACCTAACCTTAAAACCAACCTATCTCCACATTTATTAATTAAATAATAAATTAAAGAAACTAAATAAATATTAATGAATAAAGGAAACAGTAAATGTCCTTATAATGTAAGCCAATGCAAGCAGGCTTTATCCCTAGAGACAAGAACAATACCTGGCACATAGTAGGTGCTTAATATGTAATTTTTGTTTAATATTGAACCTTGTGATTGATTGGATATGGGTTGTGAGGTAAAGTAAGGAATGGAGGTTATTTTGTAGGTTTCTCATTTATTTTATTTATCTATCTATCTATCTATTTATTTATTTTTGAGACAGAGTCTCACTCTGTTTCCCAGGCTAGAGTGCAGTGGCACGATCTTGGCTCACTGCAACCTCTGCCTCCCAGGTTCAAGTGATTCTCCTGCCTCAGCCTCCCAGGTAGCTGGGATTACAGATATGTGCTACCACGCCTGGTTAATTTTTGTATTTTTAGTAGAGACCGGGTTTCACCATGTTGGCCAGGCAGGTCTCGAAATCTTGACTTCAAGCTATCCGCCCACCTCGGCCTCCCAAAGTGCTGGGATTACAGATGTGAACCACTGCGACCAGCAAAGGTTTCTCATTTAAATAACCACGTGAATCGTGGTGCTTTTCACTGAGATCAAAATATTGAAGAAAGAAGTGGGCGGGAAGTAAGAAAAGGTCAGTTTTTAACACATTTTGAGGTTTAAGTGTCGGTAGTACATATGCTTAGAGATGTCCATTAGGCAGACATACTTGCAGATATGGAGAGGGGAGAGAGAGACAGATTTTGAACCTTCAGTATTAAAATGGTAATTAAACTACGGGAATGGTAAGACCTCTCAGGGGGAATGTGTAGAGCTAGGAAAGTAGTGCTTTTCTTTCTTTTTTTTTTTTTTTCTTTTTGATACGGAGTCTCACTCTGTCACCCAGGCTGGAGTGCAGTGGTGAAATCTCGGCTCACTGCAACCTCTGCTACCTGGGTTCAAGCAATTCTCCTGCCTCAGCCTCCGAAGTAGCTGGGATTACAGGTGCTTGCCATCGTGCCCAGCTAATTTTTGAATTTTTAATGTAGACAAGGTTTCACCATGTTGGCCAGGCTGGTCTGGAACTCCTGACCTCATGATCCACCCGCCTTGGCCTCCCAAAGTGCTGGGATTACAGGCGTGAGCCACCGTTCCCGGCTGAACGTGGTGGTATTAATAGAGAACCCTGAAGTAGATAGAGAACCTGGCCTTAGTAAGGAATTGAAAGAATGATCACATTTAAAGTGGAGAAAATGAGCTTATAAAAGGAGTCTGGGGCTGGGCACAGTGGCTCACGCCTGTAATTGCAGCACTTTGGGAGCCCAAGGCAGGCGGATCACCTGAGGTCAGGAGATCGAGACCAGCCTGAGCAACATGGAGAAACCCCATCTCTACTAAAAATACAAAATTAGCCGGGCATGGTGGCGCATGCTTGTAATCCCAGCTACTTGGGAGGCTGAGACAGGAGAAGCACTTGAACCCAGGAGGCTGAGGTTGCGCCATTGCACTCCAGCCTGGGCAACAACAGTGAGACTCCATCTCAAAAAAAAAAAAAAAAAAGTGGCTGGGCATGGTGGCTCATGCCTGTAATCCCAGCACTTTGGAAGGCCGAGACAGGTGGATCGCAAGATCAGGAGATCAAGACCATCCTGACCAACATGTGAAACCCCGTCTCTACTAAAAAAATACAAAAATTAGCCAGGCATGGTGGCGTGCACTTGTAGTCCCTGCTACTCAGGAGGCTGAGTCAGGAGAATTGCTTGAACCCAGGAGGCGGAGGTTGCAGTGAACCGAGATTGTGCCACTGCACTCCAGCCTGGGTAACAGAGCGAGACTGTCTCAAAAAAAAAAAAAAAAAAAAAAAATGGAGTCTGAGCCGGTCGCAATAATCCTAGCACTTTGGGAGGCCAAGGCAGGTGGATCACCTGAGGTCAGGAGTTCAAGACCAGCCTGGCCAACATGCTGAAACCCCATCTCTACTAAAGCTGGGCATGATGGCAGGTGCCTGTAATCCCAGCTACTCAAGAGGCTGAGACTGAAGAATCACTTGAACCTGGGAGACAGTGGTTGCAGTGACCTGAGATCGCACCACTGCACTCCAGCCTGGGCGGCTAAGCGAGACTCCGTTTCAAAAATAAATAAACAAATAAACAAAAGGAGTCTGAGAAAGAATGATCAAAGAGGAAGAACTGGGGGTTTTACGATCCAAGTAAAGAGTTTCAAGCGAGTACAGTGTCAAATGCTGCAGTGTCAAATCCTGCAGGTTAAATAGGGTAAAGACTAGAAAGTGTCCATTGTATTAAATATAGAGAAAACAGTATGGTGTCTATTTTTATTTATTTACTTATTGGACAAGTATTGAGAGCTTACCATGGCAGGTACTCCTTATAAGTGCTGGGTTGATATAACAGTGAATAAAATAAGTCTTGCTGGAGTCGTGAGAAGGGACATGCTTGCCTGTTCCTAATCTTAGTGAGAAAGCTTCTAATTTCTCACTTTTAAGTATAGTGTTAGCTGTAGGGATTTTGTAGACATTCTTGATCAAGACGAGAAAGTTCCCCTCTAAGTTTATCAAGAGAGTTTATCATGAATGAGTGTTGGATTTTGTCATATGCTTCTTCTGCATATGTTGATATGATTATGTGATTTTTCTTTCTTTTTTCTTTTTTAAACAGTTTTGCTCTGTTGCCCAGAATGGAGTGCAGTGGCACCATCTTGGCTCACTGCAACCTCCACCTCCCTGGTACAAACAATTCTCGTGCCTCAGCCACTGGATTAGCTGGGATTATAGACGCACGCCACCACACCTGGCAAATTTTTTTTATTTTTAGCAGATGCAGGGTTTCACCATGTTGGCCAGGCTGGTCTTGAACTCCTGACCTTAAGCCATCTGCTTGTCTCGGCCTCCCAAAGTCCTGGGATTGCAGGCATGAGCCACTGCACCTGGCCTTTTTCTTCTTTAGACTGCTGATCTGATGGATTTTATTAATTGATCTTTTCTTTTTCTTTCTTTTTTTTTTGAGACAGGGTCTTGCTCTGTCACCCAGGCCGGAGTGCAGTGGCATGAACATAGCTCACTGCAGTCTCGGTCTCCTGGGCTTCAGCGATCCTCTCACCTCAGCCTCCTGAGTAGCTAGGACCACAAGTGTATGCCACCACACCCTGCTAATTTTTAAATTTTTTGTAGAGATGAGGTCTTGCCACGTTGTTCAGGCTGGTCTTGAGCTCCTGAGCTGAAGTGATTGTCCCACTTCAGCCTCCCAACATGCTGGGATTATAGGTATGCGCCACTGCTCCTGGCCTTATTCATTTTCAAATGTTGAACCAGCCTTGTATACCTGGGATAAATTCCACTTGGTCTTGGTATATAATTCTTTTTATCCAGTGTTGGATTTGATTTTCTGATATTTAATTAAGGATTTTTGCATCTATGTCCATGCAAATATTGGTCTGTAGTTTTCTTTTTTCTTTTTTTTTTTTTTGTAGTATCTGTCTGGTTTTGGTATTACGGTAACACTGATCTCATAGAATGAGTTAGGGAATAATCCCTCTGCTTCTTTCTTCTTAAAGAGATGGTATAAAATTGGGATAATGTTTCCCCTAAAAGTTTGGTAGAATTCAAATTAGCTAGGCATGGTGGCATACGCCTGTAATCCCAGCTACTCAGGAGGTTGAGGCAGGAGAATCACTTGAACCCAGAAGGCAGAGGTTGCAGTGAGCCAAGATTGCACCACTGCACTCCGGGCTGGGGAACAGAGCAAGACTCCATCTCAAAATAAATAAATAAATGTTTGGTAGAATTCATCAGTTAACCCATCTGGGCCTGGTGCTTTCTGTTTGGGAAGGTTATTAATTATTGATTCAATTATTATTATTATTATTTGAGACGGAGTCTCGCTCTGTCACCCAGGCTGGAGTGCAGTGGCGCGATCTCAGCTCACTGCAACCTCTGCCTCCTGGGTTCAAGCAATTCTCCTGCCTCAGCCACCCGAGTAGCTGGGACTACAGGTGCGTGCCACCATGCCCAGCTAATTTTTTGTATATTTAGTAGAGATGGGGTTTCACCGTGTTAGCCAGGATGGTCTCGATCTCCTGACCTCATGATCTGCCCACCTCAGCCTCCCAAAGTGCTGGGATTACAGGCATGAGCCACCGCGCCCAGCCGATTCAGTTCTTTAATAGATATAGAGCTGTTCAAATTGTCTTTCTTCTTATGTGAATTTGGCAGATTGTGTCTTTCAAGGAATTTGTCTATTTCATCTAGGTTATCAAATCTGTGCACATAGAGTTTTCCTTTATTTTCCCTTTAATGTTCATGGAATCTGTAATTATGTCCTCTCTTTTATTTCTTTTTCTGTTGTTTTGAGACGGAGTCTCGCTCTGTCACCCAGGCTGGAGTGCAGTGGTGTGATCTTGGCTCACTGCAACCTCCTCCTCCCAGGTTCAAGTAACGCTCCTGCCTCAGCCTCCCGCGTAGCTGGGGCTACAGCATACGCCACCACACCCAGCCAATTTTTGTATTTTTTGATAGAGATGCGGTTTTAACATGTGGGCCAGGCTGGTCCTGAACTCCTGACCTCAAGTGATCCACCTGCCTCAGCCTACTAAAGTGCTGGGATTACAGGCATGAGCCACCACACCCAGCCTTTTATTTCTTTTTTATTACTTTTTTGTAGAGATGAAGCCTCGCTATGTTGCCCAGATTGGCGTGCAGTGGCTATTCACAGATGTGATAATCATATACTGCAGCCTTGAACTCCTGGGCTCAAGGGATCCTCCTGCCTCAGCCTGTAAAGTAACTGGAACTATAGGTGTGCCACCTTGCCCAGCTCCTTCACTTTAAAAAAAAAAAGTTTAATTTTAATTTTGTAGAGATGAGGTCTTGCCATGTTGCCCAGGCTGGGCTTGAACTCTTAGCATCTAGTCATCCTCCCACTTTGGCCTCCCAAAGGCCTGGGATTATAGACATGAACCACTATGCTCAGCCTCCTTTACTTTTTTTTTTTTTTTTTTGAGACAGAGTCTCGCTCTGTCGCCCAGGCTGGAGTGCAGTGGCACAATCTCGGCTCACTGCAAGCTCTGCCTCCTAGGTTCACGGCATTCTCCTGCCTCAGCCTCCCAAGTAGCTGGGACTACAGGTGCCCGCCACCATGCCTGGCTAATTTTTTTGTATTTTTAATAGAGACGGGGTTTCACCGTATTAGCCAGGATGGTCTCGATCTCCTGACCTTGTGATCCACCCGCCTCGGCCTCCCAAAGTGCTGGGATTACAGGCGTGAGCCACCGCGCCCGGCCTCCTTTACTTTTTTTATCTAGTTTCTCCTACAGATCTATAAAGAGTTGTTGGCAGCTCTAGATGCACTGCCTATGACTTAGCCCTGCTCTGCATGGAGCAGTTAAAAAAAAAAAAAAGGAGCTGTTGATTTTTTAGTTTGTTCAGCTTTTACTTGTTGTTATCATGGAGTGGTGACTTCCGAGCTTCTTTTCTGCTGGTCTGGAAACTGGATGTGTATATCTTTTCAAAGCAGTAACAAGAAGGTCAATGAGGCCAGAGCAGAGTAGTGAGTGAGGGGGAGAGCGTTATGAAATGAGATTGGAGAGGTAGCCAGGGTCTAGCTCATGTAATAGTGTTATTAGGCATGGAGAGATTTTGTGTTTTATTCTAAAAATAATGAGAAGCTATTAGATAGTTTTGAGCAAAGGTGTGACATGTTCTATTTTAGGTTTTAAGAGCATTGCTCTGGCTTTTGTGAGAGTAAACCACAGGAGGTTAAGAGTGGAAGAAGGAAGATGAACTAGAAGGGAATGGGCAGTAATGCAAATAAGAGATGATAGTGGCTTGAATCAAGGTGATATTGTTGAGGTGGTAAGAAGTGGTGGAAATGTGAGTTGTTTTGTTTTGTTTTGTTTTGTTTTTGAGATGGAGTCTTGCTCTGTCACCCAGGCTGGAGTGCAGTGGTGTGATCTCGGCTCACTGCAATCTCTGCCTCCCAGGTTCAAGTGATTCTCCTGCCTCAGCCTCCCAAGTAGCTGGGACTACAGGCGTGTGCCACCACGCCCGGCTAATTTTTTTTTTTTTTTTTTTTAAGTAGATGTGGGGTTTCACCGTGTTAGCCAGGATAGTCTTGATCTCCTGACTTCGTGATCTGCCTGCCTTGGCCTCCCAAAGTGCTGGGATTATAGGCTTGAGCCACCACGCCCAGCCTTCTGAGTATATTTTGAAGACAGAACTGACAGGATTTATTAAGAAGTTGGCTGTGAGAAAGAAAGAGAGGAGTCAGTCATGACCCCTAGATTTTTGGTCTGAGCAACACTGGGGAATACTAAAGGAGGAACAGGTGTAGAGAAATGGAAAGAATCAAAAGTTCAGTTTTGGACATGTTAAGTTTGAGATGCAGTGGGTTAAATATAAGTAGAGATGTTGATTAGGCAGTAATAGTTGGTTAAAAAGTGCAGAGGGGAGGTCGTGTTGGAGATAAATTTAGAAGTCATCAGTATAGAAAGTGGATAAGATCACCTGGGGAACGGGGGAGATCCAACCGGGCGCAGTGGCTCATGCCTGTAATCCCAGCACTTTGGGAAGACCAGGCGGGCGGATCACAAAGTCAGGAGTTCGAGACAAGCCTGGCCAACATAGTGAAACCCCGTCTCTACTAAAATTACAAAATTTAGCTGGGCATGGTGGCATGCGCCTATAGTCCCAGCTACTTGGGAGGCTGAGGCAGGAGAATCGCTTGAACCCGGGAGGCGGAGGTTGTGGTGAGCTGAGATTGTGCCATTGCACTCCAGCCTGGGCAACAGAGCGAGACTGTCTGAAAAAAAAAAAAAAAAAAGGAAGAGGTCCAAGGACTGAACCCCAGAGCACTCTAACTTATAAAAATTAGGAACAGGATCTAGTAGTGTAAAGTAAAAGGAGCAGACAGTGATGTTGGAAGTTAATAATGGCCTGGGTGCAGTGGTTCACACCTATAATACCAGCACTTGGGGAGGCCAAGGTGGGAGGATTGCTTGAGCCCAGGAGTTAGAGACCAGCTCTGGCAACACAGGGAGATCCCTTCTTTACAACAAATACAAAAATTAGCCAGGCGTGGTGGTGTGCACCTGTAGTACCGATTACTTGGGAGGCTGACATAGGAGCCCACGAGGTGAAGGCTGCAGTAAGTTGTGATCGCGCCACTGCATTCCAGCCTGGGTAACAGAGCAAGACCGTGTTTCCAAAAAAATAGAAGAAAGAAAATAATGAAGAGTTTAGTATTCTGGAAACCAAATGAAGAAAGTGTTTCAAGCAGGAGCAGGTGATAACTCTGCTTTTTGAACTGTGCTTTCTGGGAGGCTGGGTAACATGGGGTCTGAGAATCAGCTGTTAGATTTCACTGGTGACCTGGGCAAGAGTGGCTTCAGTGGAGCAGTAAGGATGAATTAAGGCCTTATTGGTGTAAGTTCAAGAGATGATTCATGACAAGGAAGTGGAGGAAGGAGAATTTAAAAACTTTTTTGAGGATTTTTGCTTTAAGGGGTTAGAAAGAAGAGTAATAACCAGGAGAGCTGGATAGGGATGTTCAATAAAAGGCGGGGTTTTCTTTTTGTTTTTGTTTCTAAGGTGGGAGCTATTTTAGAATATTTGTTTGCTAATGAGAAAAAAAAAACAAAAGGTAAAATCCATGTTGTGGGGAAAAGGAGCAAAGCTTTAGAGTAGTGAAATGGAAAGGCACCCAGTGCACCATGGAGGGGTTCACCTTGGAAAGGAGCACAGTATTCACCTGCTGACACACAGGAGGAAGCCAGAATTCGAGGAGCGATTAATCGGTTGGCAGTTAGATTTAGTGGTGGAATCTGTGGAATTTCTCTTCTGATTATTTCTGTTTTTCTCCTCTACTGCAGTGAACTAGAAAATGGGTAATTTCAGCCAGGGATGGTGGCATACAGTGGTGCCTTTCAGCTACTCGGGAGGCTAAGGCAGGAGGATCCTTTGGGCCCAGGAGTTTGAGTCCAGTCTGGGCAACATAGCAAAACCTCATCCTTTTTTTTTTTTTTTTTTTTTGAGACGGAGTTTCGCTCTTGTTGCCTAGGCTGGAGTGCAATGGCGTGATCTCGGCTCACCGCAACCTCTACCTCCCGGGTTGAAGCGATTCTCCTGCTTCAGCCTCCCGAGTAGCTGGGATTACAGGCATGTGCCACCACACCTGGCTAATTTTGTATTTTTAGTAGAGACAGGGTTTCTCCATGTTGGTCGGGCTGGTCTCGACCTCCCGACATCACGTGATCTGCCCGCCTCAGCATCCGAAAGTGCTGGGATTACAGATGTGACCTATCGTGCCCAGCCGCTAAACCTCATCTTTAAAAAAGAAGAACAAAATAGGTAATCTTTCCTAATTCTCCCTCTTTTCCTTAGTAACAGAACCCTGATTTCTTTGGGAACAGGGTGCCCAGCTTCTGTTCCAACTGATGGGGTCCATGTGACTAAGTTCTGGTGAAATGTTAGTGGAAGTTGTTTGGTGGGGCTGCTGATAAAGTTTCTAAAACAGGATTGATAAGATTGAGCTAGTGTCATTGGCCCTTTCTTTTTCTTTTTTTTTTTTTTTTTTTTTTTTGCCTAGAACATGGACAAGATGGCTGGGGTCCTGTGGAGTTCTAGTAATCTTCTTACGATAATAAAGCAACCTTATGCCATATGATATGCTAAGGATGGAGGAAGATAGAGTCTAGGTGCCTGATGACAACATGGAGCTGTCAAGCCCTGCATTGCCTCCCCCTGGACGTCTCATTATGGGAGAAAATGAAGCAATTTGTTTAAGCCACACTGATCTTTTTTCCTATTTTTCTTTTTCTTTTGTTGAGTGTGTGTTTGTGTCTGTTATTTACAGCTGATTGTAAGTCATAACTGATGTGGTAGTGGGACTGTGTAAGTTTTGTCTTCTGATGTTTTTCTTTTTTTTTTTCTTCTTCAGTGAAACAGGGATGGGGAGATCATTAGCTAAATGTAAGGATTGGGGAAGGAGTGTGGGAGGTTTGTGGAGAGAGAATGTGTGAAATGTGGGAAGTTTGTGGAGAGAGAATTTGTGAAATAGTTATCTCTGAATGGTAGAGTAAATTAAGTAGGGAGAGGTAGTAGGTCATTCAGACATCTGTGGTTGTAAATATAAAATGAGATCAGTCATCTGGGTTGTATTTTTCCCTAGTCAGGTTTACCTGCTCAGGAGAAGGTATAAACCTGATAGTGAATTGGGTTTAACCAGGATTTATATTTTGCTAAAGCCATTGTGTCACCATTTGTGAAATAGAAGAAGATACTGTAGAGTCACTAAGAAGACAGTTGACTGAATGGATTTATAAAAACATGTAGCCGGGCACAGTGGCTCATGCCTGTAATCCCAGCACTTTGGGAGGCCGAGGCGGGCAGATCACGAGGTGAGGAGATCGAGACCATCTTGGCTAACACGGTGAAACCCCCTCTCTACTAAAGAAAAAAAAAAAAATTAGCCGGGCGTGGTGGCAGGCGCCTGTAGTCCCAGCTACTCAGAAGGCTGAGGCAGGAGAATGATGTGAACCCAGGAGGTGGAGCTTGCAGTGAGCCAAGATCACGCCACTGCACTACAGCCTGGGTGACAGAGCGAGACTCTGTCTCAAAAATAAATAAATAAATAAATAAAATAAATAAAAATATATACAAACATGTAATTGCTGGCCAGGCATGGTGGCTCACGCCTGTAATCCTAGCACTTTGGGAGACTGAGGCGGTGGATTGCCTGAGCTCAGGAGTTTGAGACCAGCCTGGGCAACACGGTGAAACCCCATCTCTACTGAAATACAAAAAATTAGCCAGGCGTAGTGGCATGTGCCTTTAGTCCCAGCTACTTGGGAGGCTGAGGCAGGAGAATTGCTTGAACCTGGGAGGTGGAGGTTGCAGTGAGCCAAGATCGTGCCACTGCATTCCAGCCTGGGCAACAGAGTAAGACTCTGTCTCAAAAAAAGAAACAAACAAACAAAAAACATGTAATTAATAAAAGCAGTAGACTTGAAAGCAAAACTTTACACATATTTTTTGAATAGGTAAAGTTCCCATGGTTCAAACATTGAAGAGGTAAAAAGATACACAGACATACCTTACTTTATTGCACTTCACTTTACTGAACTTGTTTTGTTTTGTTTTGTTTTTCTTTTGAGACAGTTTCGCTCTTGTTGCCCAGGCTGGAGTACAGTCGTGTGATCTCGGCTCACTGCAACCTCTGCCTCCTGGGTTCAATCTCTTCTCCTGCCTCAGCCTCCCAAGTAGCTGGGACTACAGGCACTTGCCACCACGCCCGGCTAATTTTTGTATTTTTGGTAGAGACAGTGTTTCACCACGTTGGCCAGGCTGGTCTCGAACTTCTGACCTCAAGTGATCGGCCTGCCTCGGCCTCCCAAAGTGCTGGGATTACAGGCTTAAGCCACCGTGCCCGGCCCTTTTTATTTTTTTTGAGACAGAGTTTCGCTCTTGTTGCCCAGGCTGGAGTGCAATGACGCAATCTTGGCTCACCGCAACCTCCGCCTCCCTGGTTCAAGGATTATCCTGCCTCAGCCTCCCAAGTAGCTGGGATTACAGGTGTGAGCCACTGTGTCTGGCCCACTTTACTGAACTTCACAGATGATGAGAGTTTTCTCTTTCTTTTTTTTTTTTAAAACGTATTGAAGGTTTATGGCAACCCTGCATCAAGCAAGTCTGTTAGCACCATTTTTCCAACAGCATTTGCTCACTTCATGTCTCTGTGTCACATTTTGGTAATTTTCATAATATATAAAAATTTTTCATTACAGGCTGGGTGTAGTGGCTCACACCTGTAATCCTAGCACTTTGGGAGGCCAAGGCAGGCGGATCTCCTGAAGTCAGGAGCTCAAGACCAGCCTAGCCAACATGGCGAAACCCCATCTCTACCAAAAATACAAAATTAGCTGGGTGTGGTGACACACGCCTGTAATCCCAGCTACTTGGGAGTCTGAGGCAGGAGAATCGCTTGAACCCAGAAGGCGGAGGTTGTGGTGAGCCGAGATCGTGCCATTGCACTCCAGCCTGGGAGACAAAGCGACATCTCAAAAAAAAAAAAAAAAAAAAGCTTTTTTATTATTATTGTATTTGTTATGGTGATCTGTGATTAGTAATCTTTGATGTTACTATTGTAATGGTTTTGGAGTGCCACAAACATAAGATCACGTGACAGTGACCTTAATATATAAATGTGTGTGTTGTGATTGTTCTACTGACCAGCCATTTCCTGTCTCCCTCTTCTTATGCCTCCCTGTTAAATTAGACACAACAACATTGAAATCAGACCAATTAATAACCCTACAGTGGTCTCTGAGAGAGGCTAACAGCTAATCCTCTTGTGCTAAACAGCCAAATTGTGAATGCAAAGGAAAAGTTCTCAAAGGAAATTAAAAGTGCTACTCCAGTGAACACATGAATGATAAGAAAGTGAAACAGTCCGGGCGTGGTGGGTCACGCCTGTAATCCCAGCACTTTGGGAGGCTGAGGTGGGTGGATCACCTGAGGTCAGGAGCTCAAGACCAGCCTAGCCAACATAGTGAAACCCTGTCTCTACTAAAAATACAAAAATTAGCTGAGTGTGGTGGTGCACACTTGTAATCCCAGACACTCGGGAAGCTAAGGCAAGAGAATCACTTGAACCCCAGAGGTGAACATTGCAGTGAGCTGAGATTGTGCCACTGCACTCCAGCCTGGGTAACAGAGAGAGACTCTGTCTCAAAAAAAAAAAAAAAAAAAAAGTGAAACAGCCTTATTGATGCTGATAGGGAGAAAGTTTTAGTAGTCTGGATAGAAGATCAAACCAGCCACAACATTCTCTTAAGCCAAAGCCTAATCCAGAGCAGGACCTCAGTTATCTTCAATTCTGAGAAGGCTGAGAGAGGTGAGGAAACTACAGAAGAAAAGTTTGAAGCTAGCAGAGGTTGGCTCGTGAAGTTTAAGGAAAGAAGCTGTCTCCATAACATAAAAGTGCAAAGCGAAGCAATAAGTGCTGATGTAGAAGCTGCAGCAAGTGATCCAGAAGATCTAGCTAAGATCATTGATGAAGATGGCTATACTAAACAACACATTTTTGGCCAGGCACTGTGCCTCATGTCTAATCCCAGCACTTTGGGAGGCTGAGGTGAGAGCATTGCTTGAGGCCAGCCTGAGCAACATAGCAAGGCAATTTTTTAATCTCTACAAAAATAAAAAAATTAGCCAGGTGTGATGGCATGCTCCTGTAGTCCTAGCTACCTGGCAGGCTGAGGTGAGTGGCTTCCTGAGCCCAGGGTTTTGAGGCTGCAGTGAGCTATGATCATGCTACTGCATTCCAGCCTGGGCAACAGAACAAGACCCTGTCTCCAAAAGAAAGCAAATCAACAAAAAATGAGCAATAAAAAAAGATTTTCGATGTAGACAAAACAACCTCACATTGAAAGAAGATGTCATCTGTGACTTTCATAGCTGGAAGGGACAAGTCAGTGCCTACCTTCAAAGAACAGCCTGAATCTGTCAGGGGCTAATGCAGCAGGTGATTTTAAGTTGAAGCCAATGCTCGTTTACCATTCCAAAAATCCCAGGGCCCTAAAGTATCATGGTAAGTCTACTCTGCCCATGCTCTATAAATGGAATAACGACACCTGGATGACAGCATACCTATTTACAACATTGTTTACTGAGTATTTTCAGCCTGTTGTTGAGATGTACTTTTCAGAAATAAAGATTCTTTCAAAATGTTACTGCTCATTGACAATGCACCTGGTCACCCAGGAGTTCTGATGACATGTACGGGGAGGGAGATTAATGTTACTTTCGTGACTGCTAACAGCATCCATTCTGTAGCCCGTGGATCTAAGAGTCATTTTTACTTTTTTTTTTTTTTTTTTTTTTTTTGAGACAGAGTCTTGCTCTGCCTTCCAGGCTGGAGTGCAATGGTGCGATCTCGGCTCATTGCAACCTCCGTCTCCCGGGTTCAAGCAATTCTTCTGCCTCAGCCTCCCAAGTAGCTGGGATTACAGGCACTGGCTAATTTTTTGTATTTTTAGCAGAGATGGGGTTTCGCTATGTTGGCCAGCCTGGTCTCAAACTCCTGACCTTAGGTGATCCACCCGCCTCGGCCTCCCAAAGTGCTGGGATTACAGGCGTGAGCCACCACACTCACATGGTGGTTTCTTGAGATGGAATGTACTCGGTGAAGATGCTTGAACATTATTGAAATGACAACAAAGGATTTTAAATATTTCATAAACTTAGTTGATAAAGCAACAACAGGGTTTGAGAGGATTGACTCCAATTTTGAAAGAAGTTCTACTGTGGGTAAAATGCTATCAAACAGCATCACATGCTACAGAGAAATCTTTCATGAAAGGAAGTCAATCACTGCAGCAGACATCACTGTTGTCTTTAAGAAACTGCAGGCCAGGTGCAGTGGCTCACGCCTGTAATCCTAGCACTTTGGGAGGCCAAGGCGGGTGGATCATCTGAGGTCAGGAGTTCGAGACCAGCCTGGCCAACATGGTGAAACCCTGTGTCTACTAAATACAAAAAATTAGCCAGGTGTGGTAGCACATGCCTGTAATCCCAGCTACTTGGGAGGCTGAGGCAGAAGAATCGCTTGAACCTGGGAGGCAGAGGCTGCAGTGAGCTGAGATTGCACCATTGCACTCTAGCCTGGGCAACAAGAGTGAAATTCCATCTCAAAAAAAAAAAAAAGAAAGAAAGAAAAGAAAAGAAGTTGTGGCCGGGTACAGTGGCTTACACCTGTAATCCCAGCACTTTCAGCTACTTGGGAGGCTGAGGCAGGAGAATCGCTTGAACCTGGGAGGCGGAGATTGCAGTGAGCGGAGATCACACCATTACACTCCAGCCTGGGCGACAAGAGCGAGACTCTATTGCAAAAAAAAAAGAAAAAGAAAAAAGAAATTGCTCCAGCCACCTTAACCTTCAGCAATCACTACCCTGATCAGTCAGCAGCCATTAACATCAAGGCAATATCCTCCACCAGCAAAAAGATTATAACTAGTTGAAGGCTCAGATGATCATTAGCATTTTTCAGCAATGAAGTTTTTTTTGTTGTTTGTTTGTTTTGTTGTTTGTCTTGCTTTGTCATCCAGGCTGGAGTGTAGTGGGCAACAGGGCAAGACTCCATCCCAAAAAAAAAGATGTGTCTAGTGTGAATAAGAATTTGAATATTTTACTTTATTAGATTGTAATTAATTTACAATTAAATAATACAAATATATACAAAATTAGCCGGGTATGGTGGTACATGCCTGTAGTCCCAGCTACTTGGGAGGCTGAGGTGGGGGAACCACTTGAACCCAGGAGGTGGAGGTTGCAGTGAGCCGAGATCATGTCGCTGCACTCCAGCCTGGCAACAGAGTGAGACTCCATCTCAAAAAAAAAAAAAAAAAATTAGCCACATGTATATAGTAACTACCATGTTGCACAGATACTCAGGTCTTCTATACAAAGAAGAAAGGAAGGCTCAGTTGTCCTTGGATAAAATGAGAACTGGTGAAAAGGCACTTTGAAAGTAATGAAAACAGCTGGACACAGTGGCTCATGCCTGTAATCCCAGCACTTTGGGAAGCTGAGGCAGGAGGATCACTTGAGCCCATGAGGTCAAGTCTGCAGTGAGCCAAGATCGGGTCACTGTACCCCAACCTGGGTGTCAGAGCGAGACCTTGTCTCAAAAAAAAAAAAAAAGTAATGAAGACAAAGTGTCAATAATAACTAAAGATGATTAAGGAGAAGGGTTTTTTGTTTGTTTTTTGAGCCAGAGTCTCGCTCTGTCACCCAGGCTGTAGTGCAATGGTGAGATCTTGGCTCACTGCAACCTCCACCTCCCGGGTTCAAGCGATTTTCCTGCCTCAGCCTTCCATGTTGCCAGGACTACAGGCATGCACCACCATGCCTGGCTAATTTTTGTATTTTTTAGTAGAGATGGGGTTTCGCCACGTTGGCCAGGCTGGTCTCAAACTCCTGATCTCAGGTGATCCAGCTGCCTCAGCCTCCCAAAGTGCTGGGATTATAGGCATGAGCCACTGCACCTGGCCCTCTCTACTTTTTTATATTTAATACTTTTCTTCCCCCTCTATCCCTCCCTTCCTGCCATCCTTTCTTTCTTTTTGTTTCTTTCCTTTCTCTCCCCACCACCCACCCCACTCTCTCTCTCTCTTTCTTCTCTTTTAATACAGGGTCTCCCTCTGTCCCCCAGGCTAGAGTGCAGTGGTGTGACCATAGCTCACTGTAGCCTCGATCTCCTGCACTCAAGCGATCCTCCTGAGCAGCTGGGGCTACAAATGTGCATCACCATGCCCTAATTACTATTATTATTGTTATTTTTGTAGAGCTAGGGGTCTTGCTGTGTTGTCCAGGCTGGTCACAAATTCCTGGCCTCAGGCTACTGCCTTGGTCTCCCACGGTGCTGGAATTACAGGCATAAGGCATTGTGCCTGGCCAAGAGTTTTTTAAAATCTATTTGCATTACTTTTATAATTAGAATTAATGTTTAAAAAGTCAATCTAAAGTAAAATGGTGAATTAAGACTCATATAAGATATAGGAGTATTCATTTTTGCCCTTTGCTCACTGGTTTTTATTTTTAAACACCTTTATGGAGATTTAATTCAGATTCCGTAAAATTTACCCTTTTAGGCTGGACGCGATGGCTCACACCTGTAATCCCAGCACTTTGGGAAGCCGAGGTGGGCAGATCACAAGGTCAGGAGTTTGAAACCAGCCTGGCCAACATGGTGAAACCCCATCTCTACTAAAAATACAAAAATTAGCTGGGTTTGGTGGCACATACCTGTAATCCCAGCTACTCAGGAGGTTGAGGCAGGAGAATTGCTTGAACCCAGGAGACAGAGGTTGCAGTGAGCCGCGATTGCACCACTGTACTCCAGCCTGAGTGACAGAGCAAGACTTCACCTCGGGAAAGAAAAAGAAAATTTACACCTTTAAAGTGTACAGTTCAGTGGTTTTTTTTTTTTTTTTTTTAATTTTTTTCTGTAACCCAGGACAGTGCCAAAGTTCAGTGGTTTTTTTGTTTTTTCTTTGTTTGTTTATTTGAGACAGAAACTCGCTCTTGTTGCCCAGGCTGGAGTGCAATGGCGCAGTCTTGGCTCACAGCAACCTCCACCTCCCGGATTCAAGAGAATCTCCTGCCTCAGCCTCCAAGTAGCTGGGATTACAGGCATGTGCCACCATGCCCAGCTAATTTTTGTATTTTTAGTAGAGATGGGGTTTCACCATGTTGGCCAGGCTGGTCTCAAACTCTTGACCTCACGTAATCCTCCCACCTCGGCCTCCCAAAGTGCTGGGTTTACAAGCGTGAGCCACCGTGCCCAGCCAAGTTCGTGATTTTTAACACATTTATAGAGTTGTGCTACCATCATCACACTCTAATTCCAGAACATTTTTTATCATCCCTAAAGAAACTCATTGCCCAGGCTGGAGTGCAATGGAGTGATCTTGGCTTATTGCAACCTCTGCTTCCCAGTTCAAGCGATTATCATACCTCAGCCTCCTGAGTAGTTGGGACTATAGATGCGTGCCACCATGCCCAGCTAATTTTTGTATTTTTAGTAGAGATGGCGTTTCCGCATGTTGGCCAGGCTGGTCTCGAACTCCTGGCCTCAAGTTATCTGCCCGCCTCAGCCTCCCAAAGTGCTGGGATTACAGGTGTGAGCCATCATGCCCAACCCTGAGATGGCTTCTGAGGGGCTTGATATGGAGGGAGAGGGCCTAAGTAGCTTCAGAATGAAAAGAACAAGCCAGGATTAGAGGGTTAGAACTTTCAGCCCCATCCCCCAAGACCTCAGGGAAGGGAGTGGTGACTGGAGATTGAGTTTGATCACCAAAAGGTCAAGCCTTAATTATGCTTATGTGGTGAAAACTCCGGCCAGGCACGGTGGCTCACGCCTGTAGTCCCAGCACTTTGGGAGGCCAAGACAACGGATCACCTGAGGTCAGGAGTTCGAGACCAGCCTGGCCAACGTGGTGAAACCCCATCTCTACTAAAAATACAAAAATTAGCCGGGTGTGGTGGCAGGCGCCTGTAATCCCAGCTAGTTGGGAGGCTGAGGCAGGAGAATCGCTTGAACCCGGGAAGCAGAGGTTGCAGTGAGCTGAGATCTTGTCCCCCAGACTGGGGGACAAGAGTGAGACTTCGCTCAAAAAAAAAGAGAAAAGAAAACTCCATGAAACCCCCTAAATAATAGGGTATGGAAAGCTTCATAGTTGGTGAAAAAATTGGTGTTAGGAGGGTGCCAACCAGGAGAAGGCATGGAAACTCTATATCTTCCTCCACCTTCTACCCCCACCCAGGGCATACTTTTCTCGGTGCATCTCTTCCACTTAGCTGTTCCTGAGTTGTATCCTTTACGATGCATTGCTAAATGTAAGTAAAGTGTTTTCCTATATTCTGTGAATTATTCTAACGAATTATTAAACCTGAGGGAGATTGGCGGGTATTCTCGAATTTACAACTGTTCGGTGGCAAACCTGGCACTTAAAATGGGAGCAATTTTAGGGAACTGAGCCAAGAGAATTGAATTTAATTGTTTGACACCCAATTCCTGTTAGAGAATTGGAGAATTGGTGTTTGGTGTCAGAAAAAAACCTTACAGAATAGTTATGTATGGTATAGTACAACCTTGACATAATTAACTTCATCTTAGAAAAAGACTCCATTTTATATTTATTTATTTATTTTTATTTTTATTTATTTATATTTTTTGAGACAGAGTCTCGCTCTGTCGCCCAGGCTGAAGTGCAATGGCGTGATCTCAGCTCACTGCAACCTCCACCTCTCAGGTTCAAGCAGTTCTCCTGCCTTAGCCTCTTGAGTAGCTGGGATTACAGCATGCCACCATGCCTGGCTAATTTTTGTATTTTTAGTAGAGATGGGGTTTCACCATGTTGATCAGGCGGTTTCAAACTCCTGACCTTGTGATCTGCCCGCCTGGACCTCCCAAGGTCCTGGGATTACAGGCATGAGCCACTGTACCTGGCCATTTATTTTTATTTATTTTTTTGAGATGGAGTTTCACTCTTGTCACCCAGGCTGGAGTGCAATAGTGTGATCTTGGCTCACTGCAATCTCCACCTCCTGGGTTCAAGCAATTCTCCTGTCTTAGCCTGTTGAGTAGCTGGGATTACAGCGCACCACCATGCCTGGCTAATTTTTGTATTTTTAGTAGAGATGGGGTTTCACCATGTTGGTCAGGCTGGTCTCAAACTGCTGACCTCGTGATCTGCCTACCTCGGCCTCCCAAAGGCCTGGGATTACAGGCGTGAGCCACTGCACCTGGCCATTTTTTTTTTTTTTTTTTTTTTTTTGAGACAGAGTTTCACTCTTGTCACCCAGGCTGGAGTGCAATGGCGCGATCTCGGCTCTCTGCAACCTCCGCCTCCCGGGTTCAAGCAATTCTCCTGCCTCAGCCTCCTGAGTAGCTGGGATTATAGGTGCCCGCCACGACGGCTGGCTAATTTTTTTTTTTTTTTTTTGTATTTTTAGTAGAGATGGGGTTTCACCATGTTGGCCTGGCTGGTCTCAAACTCCTGACCTCAGGTGATCCACCTGCCTCAGCCTCCCAAAATGCTGGGATTATAGGCATGAGCCACCGCGCCCAGTCTCCATTTTATATTTCATAGGGAACTTTGTCAACAAGTATAAGATGCTTTGCTTAATAAACAAAGTTTTTTAAAAGATGCATCCAACCAGTTAAGGACACAAGCATGCTCTTCCACTATCAGTTCTCACTAGAGGATTCTGTGACTATAAAAGATGAGGCCAGCCGGGCGCGGTGGCTCACGCCTGTAATCCCAGCACTTTGGGAGGCCAAGGCGGGCGGATCACCTGAGGTCAGTAGTTTGAGACCAGCCTGGCCAACATGGTGAAACCCTGTCTCTACTAAAAATACAAAAAATTAGGCGGGCGTGGTGGCAAGTGCCTGTAATCCCAGCTACTCGGGAAGCTGAGGCAGGAGAATCGCTTGAACCAGGGAGGCAGAGGTTGCAGTGAGCTGAGATTGCACCACTGCACTCCAGCCTGGCAACAGAGCGAGACTCCGTCTCAAAAAAAAAAAAAAAAAATGAGGCCAGCTGGGTGCGGTGGCTCACGCCTGTAATCCCAGCACTTTGGGAGGCCAAGGCGGGCGGACCACCTGAGGTTAGGAGTTCAAGACCAGCCTGGCCAACATGGTGAAACCCTGTCTCTACTCAAAATCCAAAAAATTAGCCAGGCGTGGTGGCGGGCGCCAGTAATCCCAGCAACTTGGGAGGCTGAGGCAGAAGAATCGCTTGAACCCGGGAGGCAGAGGTTGCAGTGAGCCGAGATTGCGCCATTGCACTCCAACCTGGGCAACAAGAGCAAAACTCCGTCTCAAAAAAAAAAGATGAGGCCTTCAGCAGCTCAAAATGGTCATCTTAACTGACACCGTCTTGCAGTCAGTCACTCGTGATA
Source organism: Homo sapiens (assembly GCF_000001405.40). NCBI lineage: Eukaryota > Metazoa > Chordata > Mammalia > Primates > Hominidae > Homo > Homo sapiens. Next base: position 49,158,540 of record NC_000012.12, read on the forward strand.
AGAACTTGCCATCTGCCTCCGAAGGCTCTGCCACATCAAAGACTCTTCCTCGCAAGACTGGCAGACCAACTGGCCCAAAACAGAACTCCTTTTCTTCTTTGTTCTGCCTGGACTGGTTCTTTAACCCTTTCTCCTATCTCTTTCTCCTCTTGATGTTAAATGTTACTTTGTCATGGAATGTTTAACTTGTAACATTTATATATTGATTAATTATACTATTATGTATGGTTTACAATATTGACTGGCTTGCGTGCCCACAGCTCTGACTACTGAGTGAACAGGAAGTACTGTTAGCTGTGGAAGGTATACAGATCATCAGCAGTAAATCCATACAGGCCTGAAGCAACCTCAATTCTTGCCTCCTCAGAAGAAAGAATTCCACTGAGGGGCATAAGGCAGAAGGAGAAACCGAGGCAAGTTTTAAAGCAGGAGTAAAAGTTTATTAAAAAGCTTTACACCAGGAACAAAAGGAAGGAAAGAACACTTGGAAGAGACCCAAGTGGGCAACTTGAAGGAGAAGTGCCCCATTTCACCTTGGACCTAGGATTATTTATTTATTTATTTAATGAGACAGGGTCTCACTCTGTCGCTCAGACTGGACTGCAGTGGAGTGATCTCAGCTCACTGCAACCTCTGCCTCCCAGGCTCCAGCGATTCTCCTGCCTCAGCGTCGCGAGTAGCTGGGATTACAGGGCGCACACTACTACCACCCAGCTAATTTTTGTATTTTTATTTTATTTATTTATTTATTTTTGAGACAGAGTCTCGCTCTGTTGCCCAGGCTGGAGTGCAATGGCACGATCTTGGCTCACTGCAAGCTCTGCCTCTGGGGTTCATGCCATTCTCCTGCCTCAGCCTCCCAAGTAGCTGGGAGTACAGGCACCCGCCACCACCCTTGGCTAATTTTTTTTTGTATTTTTAGTAGAGATGAGGTTTCACCGTGTTAGCCAGGATGGTCTTGATCTCCTGACCTCATGATCCGCCTGCCTCGGCCTTGCAAAGTGCTGGGATTACAGGTGTGAGCCACTGTGCTCTGGCTCATTTTTGTATTTTTTTTTTTTTGAGATGGAGTCTCGCTCTGTTGCCCAGGCTGGAGTGCAGTGGCGCGATCTTGGCTCACTGCAAGCTCCGTCTCCCGGGTTCACACCATTCTCCTGCCTCAGCCTCCTGAGTAGCTGGGACTACAGGCACCTGCCACCACGCCTGGCTAATTTTTTGTATTTTTAGTAGAGACCGGGTTTCACCATGTTAACCAGGATGGTCTCCATCTCCTGACCTCGTGATCCGCCCACCTCAGCCTCCCAAAGTGTTAGGATTACAGGCGTGAGCCACCGTGCCCAGCCCTAATTTTTGTATTTTTAATAGAGACAGGGCTTCACCATATTGGCCGGGCTGGTCTTGAACTCCTGACCTCAAATGATCCACCCTCCTTGGCCTCCCAAAGTGCTGGGATTATAGGCATGAGCCACTGGGCCCGGTCCAGACCTTGGATTTCATATGCTGGTCTACTTCTAGTATTTTGTGCCCCTTTCCCTTCATTCTTGCCTTAGGGTGAGCTGCCCACATGCACAGTGGCCTACTAACGCCTGGCAGGTGAGCATGCGCAGTGTGTTTACTGGAGTTGTAAACATATTCACCTGAGGTTTTCTTCCCTTTTCTGGTGGAATGCCCTGGAAGGTCATATGCCTCCATTTTGCCTCTTAATGTGCATGCTCGAGCCCACTCGCCCAGTTCCTTAGATCTTACGGAAGCTGCTGATTACCAATTTCAGGTGTTTATCTGTTGGGAAACTGCCTCTCCCTGGTACTGGCTGTGACCAATTATTTTAGATAGGTAGTGTGACAACTGCCTGACCATTGGTCACCTGACATTCCTGGTGGGTGCAGGGAGCCCTCTCCTGCCCTGCTCTTGCCTGTCTAACTACCTACTGTAACAGTACTAAGGAGATTGCCCCCTTGGGAACTCCGTGTAGCTCCTGGCTTTTGTGATTGCAATAGCATCAGTAAAAGCCTGACACTGTGGAAAGACACAAACATGCAAGGACCTGCTTATCTCTAACCTTGCACCACTCACTGAGGCAGGAGAATAGGGACTAGAGGCAGGGAACCTAAGGACTTCCTAGAACTAAATCAAATGAAAATGAAAACACTTCAGCTATGACAAAAAATATCCTCCTCATTTACATAGGGCGTACACCAAGTAACCAGTGGGAACCTCTAGAGGGGATGTAAACCCCAGAAAATTCTTTTTTCTTCCTTTCTTTCTTTTTTTTTTTTTTTTTTTGAGACAGAGTCTCACTCTGACACCCAGGCTGGAGTGCAATGGTGCGATCTCAGTTCACTGCACCCTCCGCCTCCTGGGTTCAAGAGATTCTCCTGCCTCAGCCTCCTGAGTAGCCGGGGTTACAGGCACCCACCACGGGCCATGCCTGGCTAATTTTTGTATTTTTTAGTAGAGACAGGGTTTCTCTGTGTTGGTGAGGCTGGCCTTGAATTCCCAACCTCAGGTGATCTGCCCACCTTGGCCTCCCAAAGTGCTGGGATTACAGGCATGAGCCACCACACCCTAAACCCAGGAAAATTCTGTAACTGAGCCCTTGAGCCCCTATGTTTGGCCTGCTCCCACCCTGTGGAGTGTACTTTCATTTTCAACAAATCTCTGCTTTTGTTGCTTCATTCTTTCCTTACTTTGTACATTTTGTCCAAATCTTTGTTTAAGACACCAGGGACCTGGACACCCTCCACTGGTAACATCATGACATGTATGCAAAAATTGTCCGCAAAATTTACATATAAACGATTAGAATTTAAGAATTCCCAAAACCCCCTTTAGACAGGGTTTCACCACGTTGGCAAGGCTGGTCTTGAACTCCTGACCTCAGGTGATCCGTCCACCTTGGCTTCCCAAAGTGCTGGGATTACAGGTGTGAGCCACCATACCTGGCAGGGAACTTCATTATTTAAAGGAGAAAGAGCAAGCAGGAGGGGGAAAACGGGAGGTAGGGTAGGTAGTGAGGCGAATTGTTACATTCTTGTGAGGCTCTGATTAGCCTCAGTAAATTGACATTTTACATGTGAAAAGGGGAAGTAGAGGAAATGAGGCTATGGTACAGGATTGTGAAATTACAGCTATCTGGTAACAAAAGGAATGCAGTAATTCAGCTCTCAAGCTTAATGTCCCTTTGGCATAGTGAGTTTGGGGTCCCAAGATTCTATTTTCTTTCACACTAACACCAACAACAATAACAACAAAAGAACAAGACATCTGCAAGAAAATAGTATCTTTATTGAGAGATATTATGAAGATATTATGATTAATGTACTGAGAGATATATCACGTATTATTTGGAGGTATCAGATTACAAAGATGCTAATTCTACTTAAATTGCCCTATAAATTAAGTGCACTGGGAAGGTGGAGTAGACATACTTCCTAAATTCCTCCCACTAAATACAACTAAAAACCCTGGACATTATATATAAAACAAACATAAGAAGACTGAAAGAAAAGCCGGGCGTGATGGTTCATGCCTGTAATCCCAGCACTTTGAAAGGCTGAGGCAGGTGGATCTCTTGAGGTCAGTAGTTAAAGACTAGCCTGGCCAATATGGTGAAACCCCATCTCTACTAAAAATACAAAATTAGCCATACATGGTGGCGTGTGCCTGTAATTCCAGCTACTCAGGAGGCTGAGGCAGAATTGCTTGAACCCAGGAGGTGGAGGTTGCAGTGAGCCAAGATCGCACCACTACACTCCAGCCTGGGCAAAAGAGTGAGACTCTGTCTCAAAAAGAAAAAAAAAAAAAGACTGAAAGATGGAGAGAAGGCAGCAGACAAGCTAGGGATCTTGGGGGTCCAAGGAACAACATAGTGATGAGTTTCCTGGGTTTTCTTCCTACCTTACATCTCGAAGCCTTGGAACTGAAGAAGCTGACAATCCAAAAATGCCGAAGGGTGAGACAAAAAACGAAAACCTTCTCTCACTAGCCAAAGAACCAGGAAAGGGAAAATCTAGCAAGACAGCAAACTTTATATAACAACTCCTGTACTCCAGCCAAGTGCTACAGAAAGAACTGTGACCCTACCCCTACCTGTATCACCAAGACTGAGTGGGGAGCCTAGACTTCCACCCTTGCTAGGCTGTAACAAGGTGCTCCAAAGGATAGTCTTTTCTACAAATGGTGCTGGGACAACTGGATATTCACATGCAAAGGAATGTAGTTGGACTCTGCTGTGTGAATAGTGTCACCCTATCCAACATTCAGTGTCCACTTACAACCTCAGAATGTGGCCCTCTTTAGAAATAGAATCTTTGCAAATGTAGTTAGTTAAGATGGGGAATTACTGGATTAGAGTGGGCCCTAAATCTAATGACTGTCCTTATAAGAAGGCCATGTGAAGACACAGAAACATAGTGAGAATGCCCGGTAGCAACACAGGCAGAAATTGTAGTGGTGTCTACAAGGTAAGTAAGGAATGCCAAGGATTGTCAGCACCAGCAGAAGCTAGAAGAGAGGCATGGGACAGATTCTCCCTCAGAGCCTCTGGTAGGAACCAAACTTGCCAACGCCTTGATTTCAAACTTCTAGCCTACAGAACTATGAGGCAATACATTTCTTTTGTTTTAAGCCACTCAGTTTGTGGTTTAAAAGCAGCTCTGAGAAATTAATACAGACTCCTACCTCACACCATACACAAAAATTAAAATGGATCAAAGACCTAAATATAAGAGCTAAAACTATAAAACTCAGAAGAAGAAAACAGAGATAAATCTTTATTACTTTTGATTAGGTAATGCTTTCTTAGATATGACACCAAAAGCACAAGCAACAAAAGAAAAAAAATGGTAAGTCAGACTTTTTTTTTTGAGACGGCGTTTAGCTCTTGTTGCCCAGGCTGGAGTGCAGTGTTGCGATCTTGGCTCACTGCAACCTTCACCTCCTGCGTTCAAGCAGTTCTCCTGCCTCAGCCTCCCCAGTAGCTGAGATTACAGGTGTGCCACCGTGCCCAGCTAATTTTTTTTTTTTTTTCTTGAAACGCAGTCTCGCTTTTTCGCCCAGGCTGGAGTGCAATGATGTGATCGCGGCTCACTGCAACCTCTGCCTCCCGGGTTCAAGTAATTCTCCTGCCTCAGCCTCCTGAGTAGCTGGGATTACAGGTGGCCACCACCATGCCACAAGGCCCAGCCTAACTTTTTATTTATTTTACTGTTCTTTTTCTTACCTCTTAAATGAGTATTAGTTCTTTTTTATGTATATTTTTTCCTATTCATTGTCAATATTCAATATAAACTTAATTCTTTAATGTCTAGCCTTTCCATATTCCTTTTTTTTTTTTTTTTTTTGAGTTGGAGTTTCGCTCTGTTGCCCAGGCTGGAGCGCAGTGGCGTGATCTCAGTTCACTGCAAGCTCCGCCTCCCGGGTTCACGCCATTCTCCTGCCTCAGCCTCCCAAGTAGCTGGGACTACAGGTGCCCGCCACCACGCCTTGCTAATTTTGTTTTTGTATTTTCAGTACAGATGGAGTTTCACCTTGTTAGCCAAGATGGTCTCGATCTCCTGACCTTATGATCCCCCTGCCACAGCCTCCCAAAGTGCTGGGATTACAGGCGTGAGCCACCACGCCCAGCCAGCCTTTCCGTATTCTACTTTTTTATTTGTTTGTTTTTTAGAGACACTGTCTCAATCTGTGGCCCAGGCTGGATTGCAATGGGGCAAACAAAGCTCACTACAGCCTCAAATTCCTGGGTTCAAGTGATCCTCTCACCTGAGCCTCCTCAGTACCTGGGACTACAAGTGTGTGCCACCACACCAAGCGAATTAGTTTTTGTAGAGTTAGAGTCTCCCTATGTTGCCCAGGCTGGTCTCTAACTCCTGCACTCAACTGATCATCCTCCCTCTGCCTCCCTAAGTGCTGGGATTATAGATGTGAGCCACCTTGCCCAGTCTGTGAGGTTTAGTTGGAGCCTCAACTTTTTGATGAGGCAGGCCTCTTATTATATTTATAACTTGGGGTGGGCCCTGGACTTTACCTAGCACCTAGGCTGGGCGTGGTGGCTCACATCTGTCATCCCAGCACCTTAGGAGGCCGAGGCAGGAGGATCGCTTAAACCCAAGAGTTCGAGACCAGCCTGGGCATCAAAACGAGAACCTGTCTTTACAAAAAAAAATTTTTAAATTAGCCAGTCATGATGGTGCTCAGCTACTTGGGAGGTTGAGGCAGAAGGGTCACTTTAACACAGGAGGTCAAGTCTGTAGTAAGCTGTGATCGTGCCACTGCACTCCAGCCTGGGTGAAAGAGTGAGACCCTGTCTCAAAATAAATAAACAAACAAACAAATAAAATACTCCAGCACCTATAAGGTTGTAGAGAAAATGGCATTAGTGTTCCACTCCCTTCTGGTTTAAAGGTTCCTTACTATCTTGTCACCTTTTTAATGCTTTTAAGAAAATTATTTTATCTAGCAATTTTAATTTTTATTGGAAGGCATATCAAGATATCTGGCCCACCATATTATTCAAAACCCAGAATTCTGTCATTTTTTAAAAACAGATGATGGTAAGCATCAAGTTACTGTGTGTTTAGATTACATTAGATGTAACAGAATGGTGTAAGTTTTACTGTAAAACATCAATATTTACAACATGCTTCTTTTGGGGGACGGGGGAGATAGGGTCTTGCTCTGTTGCCCAGGCTTAAGTGCAGTAATTCAATCATGGCTCACTTCAGTCTTGACCTTCTGGGCTTAAGCAATCCTCCTACCTCAGTCTCCTGAGTAACTGGGACTACAGATGCATGCCACCATGCCCAGCTAATTTTAAATTTTTTTGTAGATACGGGGTCTTGCTGTGTTGCCCAGGCTGGTCTCAAACTCCTGGGCTCAAGTAATCCTACCACCTTGACCTCACAAAGTGCTGGGATTACAGGTGGGAGCCACCATGCCTGGCCACAATATGCTTAAAATTACATTATTTTACACTACGTATGTATATATCTCCACACATATACATATATGTGTGTGTATATATATATATACACACATATATATCCTGGGCTCAAGAGGTCCTCCCACCTCAGCCTCCTGAGTAGCTGGGAAGACAGGCAAAGCTACTTGTTTTCTTACATTTTGTAGAGATGTAGTCTCAGCTGGTCTTCAACTCCTGGCCTCAAGTGATCCTCCTGCCTCAGCTTTTACCGTATTTAAACTTAACTTGAAGAATTTTAGATATCAACTTAAAAATGACTGGAGTTACATAGTTTAATTTCTTTTTTTTAGGTGATAAGCAAAAATGTAAAGAACACTGATACAGAGAAATGGTCACATAGCCCGGACATGGTGGCTCATGCCTGTAATCCCAGCACTTTGGGAGGCCAAGGCAAGTGAATCACTTGTGGTCAGGAGTTTGAGACCAGCTTGGCCAACATGGTGAAAACCTGTTTCTACTAAAAGTACAAAAATTAGCCAGGCATGGTGGCAGGCACCTACAGGTGCCAGCTACTCAGGAGGCTGAGGCAGGAGAATTGCTTTAACCCGGGAGGCAGAGGCTGCAGTGAGCCGAGGTTGAGCCACTGTACTCCAGCTTGGGCCACAGAGTGAGACTCCATCTAAAAAAAAAAAAAAAAAAAGAGATATGGTCACATAATCCAATTTCATAAGAAAATATGTACACTCAGCTGGGCGCAGTGGCTCACACCTGTAATCCCAGCACTATGGGAGGCCGAGGTGGGTGGATCACGAGGTCAGGAGATCGAGACCATCCTGGCTAACACAGCGAAACCCCGTCTCTATTAAAAATACAAAAAAAATAGCCAGGCGTGTTGGCGGACGCCTGTAGTCCCAACTACTCGGGAGGCTGAGGCAGGAGAATGGCATGAACCCGGAAGGCAGAGCTTGCAGTGAGCCGAGATGGCGCCACTGCACTCCAGCCTGGGCGACAGAGCAAAACTCAATCTCAAAAAAAAAAAAAAGAAAAGATGTACAATCATCTAGTCTCATGACTTTAAATATCTATATACTGGTAGCTCCCAAATTTGTATCTTCTACCCAGGCCTATTTTCTGAAACACATATCCACATGCCTACTCTACATCTCTGATTGGATGCCTAATAGGCATCCTAAATTTATCATGTCCAAAACAGAACTCTTGAATTCTACTCCACTCCAGTCCACACACTCACATACAGACCACTCCTTTCTTCTCCCAGGATTCTCCATCTGAGTAAATGTTACCTTTATTCACCCAGTTGCTTAGCCCAAAGACCTCTGAGTTATCCTTGACTTCTCTCTCTCACTCTCCTGCTCTAATATTTATCATCTAACGCATCAGCAAATCTTGTCAGCTCTACTTAACAAAACATAACCTGAATGTCTGCCATCTTTCTCTCAGACACTAAAATAATCTACTTCTTACTGCTTTCCTTGTTCTATTCTTGCTGTCTCTTTTTAAAAGTGATCCTTTTTTTTTTTTTTTGAGACCGGAGTTTCACTCTTGATGCCCAGGTTGGAGTACAATGGCGTGATCTCCAGCTCACTGCAACCTCTGCCTCCCGGGTTCAAGCGATTCTCCTGCCTCAGCCTCCTGAGTAACTGGGATTACAGGCGCATGCCACCACGCCTGGCTTATTTTTGTATATATTTTTAGTTTTATTTTTTTTTTTTTGAGATGAAGTCTCACTCTGTTGCCCAAGCTGGAGTGCAGTGGCACAGTCTCGGCTCACTGCAACCTATACCTCCCGGGTTCAAGTGATTCTTCTGCCTCAGCCTCCCGAGTAGCTGGGACTACAGGTGCGCACCACCATGCCCAGCTAATTTTTGTATTTTTAGTAGAGACAGGGTTTCACTATGTTGACCAGGCTTGTCTTGAACTCCTGACCTTGTGATCTGCCCACCTCGGCCTCCCAAAGTGCTGGGAATACAGGTGTGAGCCACTGCACCCAGCCTATTTTTGTATTTTTAATAGAGATGAGGTTTCACCATATTGTCCAGACTGGTCTCGAGCTCCTGACCTCAGGTGATCTGCCCGCCTTGGCCTCCCAAAGTGCTGGGATTACAGGCGTGAGCCACCACGCCCAGCCTAGAAGTAAATCTTAATGACGCTAAGTTAGGCAAAGGCTTCTTAGGTATGACACCAAAAGCATAAGTAACAAAAGAAAAAATAGATACATTTGACCTCATCACAATTAAAAACTTCTTTGCTTCAAAAGACACACTATCAAGAAAGTAAAAAGACAACCCACAAAATGAAGAAAATATTTGCAAATCATATATCTGTAGTGTTATATATTGGTTTTCATCTATGGTTCTTGGCTCATAACTTCCATATCCCTCTTTACAGTCTTTTGTTAGAATGTTGGGTGTGTTGAGCCTCAGGGCAGGCATCTGATGTTCTCCTGCCCTCTGTTCATGCTAATCTTCCCCGACCTTTTTTTCTTTCTTTCTTTTTTATTTTAAGATAGGTTCTCACTCTGTCATCCAGGCTGGAGTGCAGTGTTGTGATCTCGGCTCACTGCAACCTCTGGCTCCTGGATTCAAGCAATTCTCCTGCCTTAGCCTCCCGAGTAGCTGGGATTACAGGCACGCGCCACCACGCCTGGCTAATTTTGTATGTGTTTTTTTAATTAGAGATGGGGGTTTCACTGTGTTGGCCAGGCTGGTCTCGAACTCCTGGCCTCAGGTGATCTGCCCACCTCAGTCTCCCAAAGTGTTGGGATTACAGGCGTGAGCCACCAGGTCCAGCCTAATCTTTCCCGACCTTTCTGATTGTAGGTCTTAATACCCTCCCATGAGAGTGTCCCACCCTATAACCTGGGAGAAGGAATGCTGATGTCTTTAAGCTTCTGTAAAAACCCAAGATGACAGGGCTCAGTGAGCTTCCAGACAGCTGAACACATGGAGGTTACTGGAGGGTGGTGCGCCCAGGGAGGGGATGGAAGCTCCACACCCCTTCCCCCATACCTCACCCTACCTATTCTTTTTATCGGTATCCTTTGCAATATCTTTTATAATAAACTGGTGAATGTGTCTCCCTGAGTGTTGTGAGCTGCTCCAGCAAACTAATCGAACCCAAAGAAGGGGTCATGGGAGCGTCAACTTGAAACCAGTCGGTCAGAAGTCCCGGGGGCTGAACTTGTGACTGGTGTGTGTGGGGTTAGAGTCGGGGGCTGGGGCAGTCTTGGGGACTGAACCCTCAACCTGTGGGATCTGACACTATCTCTGAGTGATAATATAGGAACTGAATTAGAGGACACCCAGCTGGTATCTGCTACTTGGTGTGTGGAGAAATCCTCCACACATTTGGTCACAGAAGTTGTCTTCTGTTTGATGATTGTTGTGGTTTGAGAGTAGAGGAAAAACAGTTTGAAGAGAATTTTTCTCTATACATATATAAGATACTTGTATCTAGAACATATAAAGAACTCTTACAACTCAGTAATAAAAAGACGAATAATAAAATTTTAGGCTGGGTGCAGTGGTTCACGTCTGTAATCCTAGCACTTGGGAGGCTGAGGCAGGAGGATCACTTGAGCCCAGGAGTTTGAGGCCATCCTGGGCAACATAGTGAAACTCCATCTCTTTTTTTTTTTTGAGACAGAGTCTCACTCTGTCACCCAGGCTGGAGTGCAGTGGTGCAATCTCAGCTCACTGCAACCTGCAACTTCCCTGTCCTGGGCTCAAGAAATTCTTGTGCCTCAGCCTCCCGAGTAGCTGGGATTACTAGTGCACGCTGCTACACCCAGCTAATTTTTGTATTTTAGTAGAGACTGGAGTTTCACCATATTGGCCAGGCTGGTCTCGAACTCCTGACCTCAGGTGATCTGCCCGCCTCGGGGTCTCAAAATGCTGGGATTACAGACATGAGCCACCACGCCTGGCCAAGACCCCATCTCTATTTAAAAAATAAAATAAAAATTTTAAATGGGCAAAGGCTCTAAATGTAGACTTCTCCAAAGAAGATACCCAAATGGCCAATAAGCACATGAGAAGGTACTCAAGTCTTTAGCCATCAGAAAATGCAAATCAAAACCCCAGTGAGATACCACTTCACACCCACTAGGATGGCTATAATAAAAGAAGACAGAAAATAACAAGTCTTAGTAAGGATGTGGAAAAATTGGACCTTCTTACACTACTAGTAGGAATGTAAATGATATAACCACTTGGGAAAATATCTTGGCAGTTCCATGAAATATTAAACAGATCTATAGTAAGACCCAGCAATTCCACTTCTAGGTGTATACTCAAGAGAAATGAAAATATATGACTGCACAAAAACGTGTACACAAAAGTTAACAGCAGTATTATTCATAATAGCCAAAAAATGTAAACAACCCATCAATTAATAAAGAAAATGTATATCCCTATAATGGAATATTATTTGGCAATAAGAAGAAGTACTGGCCAGGCACAGTGGCTCACACCTGTAATCCTAGCACTTTGGGAGGCGGAGGCAGGTGGATCACGAGGTCAGGAGTTTGAGACCAGCCTGGCCAATATGGTGAAAGGCAGTCTCTACTAAAAATACAAAAGTTAGCCTGGCATGGTGGCGCATGCCTGTAGTCCCAGCTACTCAGGTGGCTGAGGCAGAAGAATTGCTTGAACCCAGGAGGCGGAGGTTGCAGTGAGCCAAGATTCCGCCACTACACTCCAGCCTGGGTGACAGAGCAAGACTCCGTTCCACACCCCGCTCCCCCAGAAAAGAAAGGAAGTACTGATACATTCTACAATATAGATGAACCTTGAAAACATTGTGCTCGGCCTGGCACAGTGGCCCCTGTAATCCTAGCACTATGGGAAGCCGAGGCAGGCAGATCACCTGAGGTCAGGAGTTCTAGACCAGCCTGGCCAATATGGTGAAACTCCATCTCTACGAGAAATACAAAAATTAGCTGGGCATGGTGGCACGTCCCTGTAATCCCAGCTCCTTGGGAGGCTGAGGTTGGAGAATTGCTTGAACCTCAGAGGCAGAGGTTGCAGTGAGCTGAGATCATGCAATTGCACTCCAGCCTTGGTGACAGAGCAAGACTCCATCTCAAAAAAAAAAAAAAAAGAAAACTTTGTGTTAAGATAACGAAGCCCTATATTACATGATTCTATTTGTATAAAATGTCCGGAATAGGCAAATTCATAGGGACAGAAAGTAGATTACTGTGTTTGCCATGAGCTAGTACAAGGAAGGAGATAATGGGGAGTGACTGCTAATGAGTGCACAGTTTGAGCTTTTGATGAATGACAAAATTAAATTCTGGAACTAGTGAACAGACAAATATAAAAATTTAAAAGGACAGATATTGCACAAGCTGGTGAATATACTAGAGACTTTAAAATTATAAAGGGTGAATTTTATGGTGTGTATATTTTATGGCGTGTATATCAATTAATAATACAAAGAGATTGCTATATTCTAAAATTTCATGCCCTGGTGGTGTTCCTCATCACAATTTGGATCATTGAAATGGAAATATTTCCAAAATAGATGTACTTGAATGGATTAGGAAAAGAAGAAAGAAAGAAGCCAGTTATGAATGCCTGCATATTGTATGCTTCCTTCTACATTAAATGTCCAGAATAGGGAAATATGCAGAGACAGAAACTAGATTAGTGGTTGCCTGGAGATAGTGGTTGCCTAGGTTACAGAGTTTTTTTGGGGGGTGATGAAAATGTTCTAAAATTGTGGTGATCACACACCTCTTAATATACTAAAAGCCATTGAATTGTATACTTTTTTAAAACATTTTTTTTTTACTTTTTTATTTTTATTTTTATTTTTTTGAGATGGAGTATCTGTCACCCAGGCTGGAGTGCAGTGGTGTGATCTCAGCTCACTGCAACTTCCACCTCCCGGATTCAAGCGATTCTTCCAACTCAGCCTCCCGAGTAGCTGGGATTATAGGCATGCGCCACCATGCCCTGCTAATTTTTGTATTATTAGTAGAGTTGGGGTTTCACTATGTTGGCCAGGCTGGTCTCAAACTCCTGACCTCAGGTGATCCACCCACCTCGGCCTCCCAAAGTGCTAGGATTACAGGCATGAGCCACCTCGCCTGGCCTTGAATTGTATACTTTAAATGGGTGAATTGGACAGTATGTGAATTATATTTCAACAAACCTGTTATATTAGGAAAAGAAAAATCAAGTGATAAAGTGTGAGGGACTGAGTTAGCCTTCAGGTAGGAAGAGTGACTATTAGCCTATCACTGTGCACTGATTTTAACGGCTCAGGATACTTAAAATAGCTACCCAAAATAGCATCTTTGCTCAGATGGTGCTTGAAATTCTCTTCCTGGAGATTTCTTTAAAAGTTGAATCTTTAGTTTCTAAAAATTCCCTGTTTAAATGCCAGTACTTCAGGGAAAAATAACTTCTTAAGCAATCAGCTCCAATTTTTTTGTTTTTTATCTTTCTCTGTTGCCTAAGCTGGAGTGCAGTAGCACTATCACAGCTCACTGCAGCCTCCACCTCCTGGCTCAACAGATCCTCCCACCTCAGCCTCCTTAGTAGCTGGGGCTACAGGCACATGCCACCACGCCTGGCTAATTTTTGTATTTTTTATAGAGTCAGGGTTTCGCTATGTTGCCCAGGCTGGTCTCAAACTCCTGGCCTCAAGTGATACACCTGCTTTGGCATCCTAAAGTGCTAGGATTCAGGCGCGAGCCACCAAGCCTGGCCAATACTCTTAATATTTGATAAAGATCCTATTAGACATCTCTCTAGGCATATACACATATATAATTTTATGTAAATAGAGATACTATATATTGTAGAAAAACAAGACTTGGCATTATGTTTGGTTATGAATCTTTTAGAGGCACTTCTTTTATTTATTTATAATTTGCAAGCCTGAGAAGAGAAAACTAGATCCAGGATCTGTGATTTTTCTAAGAATTACAGAATCTATGTAATCATATGTACTTATTGGTTAAATTCTCATTATTATTATTATTGTTATTATTATTTTTTGAGACAGAGTTTCACTCTTGTTGCCCAGGCTGGAGTGCAATGGCGCAGTCTTGGCTTATTGCAACCTCCGCCTCCCGGGTTCCAGTGATTCTCCTGCCTCAGACTCCTGAGTAGCTGGGATTACAGGCCTGTGCTACCACGCCTGGCTAATTTTTGTAATTTTAGTAGAGACAGGGTTTCACTATGTTGGCCAGACTGGTCTCTAACTCCTGACCTCAGGTGATCCACCTGCCTCGGCCTCCCAAAGTGCTGAGATTATAGGCGTAAGCCACCGTACCCGGCCATGCGTGATTCACTTCTTATTAGCTACAGCAAAAGTGATGAGATGTCACTTCCGATATTACATTACAAAAAGACTGTGACTTTCATCTTGGCAGCTCTCTCTTGCTGTCTTGCTCACTTGTCCTGAGGGAAGCCATTTGCTGTCTGCTACTCTTTGGAGAGGCCCTTGCGGCAAGGAATTGTGGGAGGTTTCTGACCAACAGGCAAAAAGACCTTAAATATCTGGCCTTCAATATCCTGGACACCCAACACCCAAAGGTGCATTGAGCTGTTGTTTCCTTATATAATCCCTAACATGGGAGCCAGTCAGTCTGCCTACCAGGCCTCTGCCTAGGTCCCTGATGTTTTCCCCTTGTGTTATTTCTTGGATACCTGGCCTGATCTCTTTAAGCTCCTTTCTCTAGGGTTAGCTCCTCTTCGTCTTATTACATTGGACTTTCTTTTAATTTTTATTTTATTCATTTAATTTTTTTTTTGAGACGGATTTTTGTTCTGTTGTCCAGGCTGGAGTGCAGTGGTGCGATCTTGGCTTACTGCAACCTCCGCCTCCCAGGTTCAAGCGATTCTCCTGCCTCAGTCTCCTGAGTAGCTGGGACTACAGGCATGTGCCACAACGCCCAGCTGATATTTTGTATTTTTAGTAGAGACAGGGTTTCACCATGTTAGCCAGGATGGTATCTATCTCCTGACCTTGTGATCTGCCCGCCTTGGCCTCCCAAAGTGCTAGGATTACAGGCGTAAGCCACCCTGCCTGGCCTCATTTAATTTTTTTTAAAGATAGGGTCTCCTCTCTATCACCCAAGATGAAGTGCAATGATGTGATCATGGCTCACTGCAGCCTTGACCACCTAGGCTCAAGTGATCTTCCTGCCTCAGCCTCCTGAGTAGCTGGGACTACAGACATTGGCCACCACACTCAGCTGATTTATTTTTTGTAGAGACAGGGTCTCGCCATGTTGCCCAGGCTTGTCTCAAACTCCTGGCCCAAGTGATACTCCTACCTCAGCCTTCCAAAATGCTGGGATTACAAGTGTGAGCCACTGAGCCCAACTTTATACTGGACCTTTTGATTCATTACTTCTGATGCTGGATTGGAAATGGTGGTATGTTACTGTCATTCTCATTTTCTTTTCTTTTCTTTTTTTCTTTTTTTTTTTTTTTGAGACAGAGTCTTGCTCTGTTGCCCAGGCTGGAATACAGTGGCCAATCATAGCTCACTGCACCTTGATCTCCCAGGCTCAAGAGATCTTCCTGTCTCAGCTTCCTGAGTGTCTGGGACTCCAGGCACTGCCACTGCACACAGCTAATTAAATTTTTCTTTTTTCTTTTTTCTTTTTTTTAAGAGAGACTGGGTCGTGTTATGTTGTGCAGGCTGGTCTCAAACTCCTGGCCTCAAGCGATACTCCTGCCTCAGCCTCCCAAAATGTTGATATTACAGGCATGTGCTACTGTCCACGGCAAGTGTCATTTTCTTTCTACAGCTGTTTCCTACCTCCTTACTCCATTTACTAGATGGAAGCCTGCCCTATGTCTCAGGGTTTTTTTGTTTTTGTTTTTTGTGGTTTTTTTTGAGACAGGGTCTTGCTCTGTCGTCTAGGCTGGAGTGCAGTGATATGATCACAGCTCACTGCAGCCTTGCACTCCTGAGCTCAAGGGATCCTCCTGCCTTGGCCACCTAAGTAGCTAGGACTACAGGGCTGCGCCACCACGCCCAGCTAATTAAAAAAAATTGTTTTGACTGGGCACATTGGCTCACGCTTGTAATACCAGCACTTTGGGAGGCCAAGGCAGGTGAATCACTTGAGGCCAGGAGTTCAAGACTAGCCTGGCAGACATGGTGAAACCCAGTTTCTACTAAAATAAAATTACAGGCCAGGCTCGGTGGCTTATGCCTCTAATCCCAGCACTTTGGGAGACTAAGGTGGGTGGATCACGAGGTCGAGAGATCGAGACCCTCCTGGCCAACATGCTGAAACACTGTCTCTACTAAAAATACAAAAATTAGCTGGGCATGGTGGCATGCGCCTGTGGTCCCAGCTACTTGGGAGGCTGAGCCAGGAGAATCGCTTGAACCCAGCAGGCGGAGGTTGCTGTGAGTCGAGATCGCACCACTGCACTCTAACCTGGCGACAGAGACTGTCTTAAAAAAACAAAAAACAAAAAAAAAAAGTTTTTTTGTTTTTTTTTTTTTAGAGATAAGGCCTCCCAAAGTGCTGGGATTACAGGCATGAGCCACTGCACCCTGCCTCAGTCAATTTTTTTTTTTTTTTTGAGACGGAGTTTTGCTCTTATTGCCCAGGCTGGAGTGCAATGGCGTGATCTTGGCTCACCGCAACCTCTGCCTCCCAGATTCAAGTGATTCTCCTTCCTCAGTCTCCTGAGTAGCTGGGATTATAGGCATGTGCCACCACGCCTGGCTAATTTTGTATTTTTAGTAGAGACGAGGTTTCTCCATGTTGGTCAGGCCGGTCTCGAACTCCCACCCTCAGGTGATCCGCCTCCCTTGGCCTCCCAAAGTGCTGGGACTACAGGCATTAGCGACCACGCCCAGCCGCCTCAGTCAATTTTGATCCACTCTACCAGGTATGTCCTAACTCAACTGCAAATCACACTCACTTCCACATTGGCTGCACCATTTATGGTAAGTGAATCCATCCACTTGGTTCATGTACAAAACTATATCTTGACCAAATATAGAACTTTGGATCTACTTTTGTTCACTTTTCTTTATATAATTTTTGTGTATATATTTTTACATGTTCATATGTATATATTTAAGTGAAAACTTTTGGCCTAGCGCTCAAATACTACCCACTTTCTTCAGAGCAGTGGAAAGATGGTCCAATAAATTATCTGATTTTTTTTATCTTAGGCATCTATTTCCATTATAGCATATAATCTTTCACTTAATTGCCAAATTCAAAGCTACACTCTATTTACATATAATTCTTTTTTTTTTTTTTTTTTTTTTTTGAGACAGAGTATCGCTCTGTTGCCCAGGCTGGAGTGCAGTGGTGCAATCTTGGTTCACTGCAGCCTCCATCTCCCCAGTTCAAGAGATTTTCCTGCCTCAGCCTTCCATGTAGCTGGGACTACAGGCATGTACCACCACACCCAGCTAATTTTTGTATTTTCAGTAAAGACAGGGTTTCACTGTCTTGACCAGGCTGGTCTTGAACTCCAGACCTCATGATCCACCTGTGACCCACACTTGGCCTGCCAAAGTGCTGGGATTACAGGCGTGAACAACAGTGCTGGGCTAATTTACATATAATCTTAAATATAGTACTGATAATTATCAAAAACACACTGAGGCCAGGCACAGTGGCTCACATCTATAATCCGTGCACTTTGGGAGGCCAAGGCAGAAGGGTCACTTGAGCCCAGGAGTTCGAGACCAGCCTGAGCAATATAGCTGGACCCCATCTCTACAAAGTTTTTTTTTTTTTTTTTAATTAGCCAGTTGTGGGTGTGTGCACCTGTAGTCCTAGCTACTCAGGGGGCTGAAGTGAGAGCATTGCTTAAATCCCAAATTTGAAGTTACATTGAGCAATGATTGCGCCACTGCAGTCCAGCCTGGGCAAGAGAGCAAGACCTTGCCTCTAAAAAAAATAAATGTAAAAAAACATTGAAACAAATACATTTATGAGGGATTTCCTAAAGAATTTTTATTATTTCATTTATTTAGATTAGTGGTTATAATTATTTTGGATAATCTCATGAAAACAGCATACAGTAGGCCAGGCGTGGTGGCTTACGCCTGTAATCCCAGCACTTTGGGAGGCCAAGGCAGGCGGATCACGAGGTCAGGAGATTGAAACCATCCTGGCTAACATGGTTAAACCCTGTCTCTACTAAAAAATACGAAAAGTTAGCCGGGCGTGGTGGCAGGTGCCTGTAGTCCCAGCTACTCGGGAGGCTGAGGCAGGAGAATGGTGTGAACTTGGGAGGCGGAGCTTGCAGTGAGCTGAGATAGAGCCACTGCACTCCAGCCTGGGCGACAGAGCAAGACTCTGTCTCAAAAAGAAGAAGAAAAAGAAAACAGTATACAGTATTCTCTCTTTAGCTGTGCCTATAAGCCCTGTTTCAGTTCTCTATTGCTGTATAACCAACCACCCCAAAACGATTGACTTAAAACAGTCATTTATTATTTCTCATGATTCCATGTGGTATGTCATCTGGTTCACTCATGCAGGTGTGTTCAGCTGGGAGCCCAGCTGGGTCTGGAGTGCCTAAGATGGTTTCACTCACATATGTGGGACCTTTGTGCTGGCTGTTGGATGGGGCGGGGTGGTTCTTTTTCACACGACCTCTCTTTCTCTTCACATGGTCTCTCATCCATTGTTACTCTAGCTCAAGTTTCTTAAATGGTGGCTTGCTTTTAAACAGGCTGGGCATGATGGCTCACTCCTGTAATCCCAGCAGTTTGGGAGGCCGAGGCAGAGGATCACTTGAGGCCGGGAGTTTGAAACCAGCCTGATTAACATAGTGAGACCCTATCTCTGTGTGTGTGTGTATGTGTATGTGTGTATATATATATATACACATATATATATAAACACAACACAACTGCCAGGCTTCTTAAGTGCTTGACCTGGGTCTAGCACAGCTTCACTTTTGCACATTCTATTTGTCAAAGTCATCACAAGCCAGCTAGGGTTTAAGGAAAGGGGAATAGATTCCATCGCTCTATGGGAGAAGTAGCCTGTACCTACAGGGATGAGAGGAATGGTTAGTAGCTATCTTTGGAGAAAATTTATCATGAACATATTCACACAGAATTTTGCATACAACTTTAGGATAGTTCCCAAACCATGAGAACTATCTATGAAGTACCTGTGCTTTTCTGAGCCCTGAGTTAAGAACCCCTGTTTTAAACTATAAAGCAATTGTGGTTTATCCCAGGAATGCAAGGTTGGTTTCACATTCAAGATAAAAAAGGAGAAAACCCATGTGATCATTTTAATAGATGCACACAGAAAAATAATTTGACAAAATCTAACATCCATTTACCAAAAACAAACCAACGAACCTCTCAGCAAACTAGGAAACTAGAGAACTTCCTCTCTCTGATAAAGAGTGTCTGCGAAAACTGAGAGCTAACATCATACTTAATGGTAAAGGATATCTGCTCTCATCACCTCTAGTAATTAAGAATGAGCTGCTGCTTTAGATACTCTAAATTCTATTTCTGAATTAAGTTGGATAATCAAAGGCTTTCTTGCCTGGACTGCACTATATAGGCTTCTGGTGGAATAACTTTTTTTTATGGGATATACTCTGGTAACTTCCACAGTCTATACTGAATAGTAGCATAAAACTCAGCCCTATACACTGCTGTTCAGAGTGAAACTTTATCATCAAATAGAACCAGGTGCTGTTTTATGGTAATCTCAAAATCAATCAACCAGTCAGTCAATAATTTTAAAAAGAATCTGGCAGCACTAATCTCTATGACCAAGTTTTGTTGTTATTGTTGTTGTTGTTGTTGTTGTTTTGAGACAGAGTCTTGCTCTGTCACTCAGGCTGGTGTGCAATGACACAATCTGGGTTCACTGCAACCTTGGCCACCCAGGTTCAAGCAATTCTTGTGCCTCAGCCTCCCAAGTAACTGGGACTACAAGTGCACACCACCACACTCAGCTAATTTTTTTTTTTTTTTTTGAGATGGAGTCTTGCTCTGCCGCCCAGGCTGGAGTTGCAGTGGTGCAATCTCAGCTCACTGCAACCTCCACCTCCCAGGTTCAAGCGATTCTCCTGTCTAAGCCTCCCAAGTAACTGGAATTACAGGTGCGTGCCACCACGCTTGGCTAATTTTTGTATCTTTAGTAGAGATGGGGGCTTCACCATGTTGGCCAGGCTGTTCTCGAACTGCTGACCTCAGGTGATTCACCTGCCTCAGCCTCCCAAAGTGCTGGGATTACAGACGTGAGCCACCCCACCTGCCCTATTTTTTTTTTTTTTTTTTTTTTTTTGAGATGGAGTCTTACTCTGTCACCAGGCTGGAGTGCAGTGTCTCGATCTTGGTTGACTGCAACATCCGCCTCCTGAATTCAAGGATTCTTCTGCCTCAGCTTCCCGAGTAACTGGGACTACAAGCACACACCACCTCGCTCAGCTAATTTTTGTATTTTTAATAGAGACAGGCTCTCACCATGTTGTCCAGGATGGTCTCGATCTCTTGACCTCGTGATCTGCCCTCCTTGGCCTCCCGAAGTTCTGGGATTACAGGCATGAACCGCTGCACCCAGCCTAATTTTTTTTTTTAATAGAGATGGGGTCTTCCTATGTTGCCCAGGCTGGTCTCGAACTCCTAGCCTCAAGCATTCCACCCACCTCAGCCTCCCAAAGTGCTGGGATTACAGGCGTGAGCCACCATGCCCAGCCCCAAGTTTTTTATATTAGACATGCAATGATCATTCAATATTAGGAAATCTTTTAAAATAACTCATTATAGTATGTTGAGGGGGAAAAGTCATATGTTAATCTCCAAATATTGCTGAAAAGACATTCCATAAAATTCAACATCTATTCTGATTAAAAATTTTAATAGTATAGAAATAATGTAAATATTCTCATGTTGAGATACTTTCCATATATTGAGAAAAAAATTTATTTATATATTTATTTAGAGACAAGGTCTTGCTCTGTTGCCCAGGCTGGAGTGCAGTGGTGCAATCATGGCTCACTGCAGCCTCAACCTCCCCGGCTCAAGCGATCCTCCCACTTCAACCTCCCGAAGTGATGGGATTGTAGGCTCACACCTGTAATCCCATGCCTGGCCCAGAAAAAACTTATAAAACATGTGTCTCAAGGCCAAAAACTACGTTCCAATTAAAGATATAATAAGGGATAGGATGAGCACCATAGCCAGCATTATTTGTTGTTTTATTTTTAAATATGAAGGAAATAATGTACACATGAGAAATAAAACTTATAATGGTCTCAGGATAAAATAACTTTTTGCAGTTAATTTTTTTTACATTTTAGTTATTCCACCATTCTTTTTTTTTTTTTTCTTGAGATGGAGGCTCGCTCTGTCACCCAGGCTGGATTGCAGTGGCGCGACCTCGGCTCACTGCAACCTCTGCCTCCCAGGTTCCAGCGATTCTCCTGCCTCAGCCTCCAGAGTAGCTGGGATTACAGGCACATGCCACCATGCCCGGCTAATTTTTGTATTTCTTTTTTCTTTTTTGAGACAGAGTTTCACTCTTGTTGCCCAGGCTGGAGTGCAGTAGTGTGATCTCGGCTCACTGCAACTTCTGCCTCCCAGGTTCAAGCTATTCTCCTGCTTCAGCCTCCCAAGTAGTTGGGATTATAGGCGCCCACCACCATGCCTGACTAATTTTTTCTGTATTTTTAGTAGAGATGGAGTTTCACCATACTGGCGAGGCTGGTCTCGAACTCCTGACCTCAGGTCATCCACCCGAATGCTGGGATTGCAGGCGTGAGCTACCATGCCCAAACAATTTCAGTATTCTTATATCCTCATGGATTAAATGGTGGGATAAAAGTGTTTTAACATTGGCCGGTCATGGTGCCTCACACCTATAATCCTAGCACTTTGGGAGGCTAAGACGGGCAAATCGCTTGAGCCCAGGAGTTTGAGAACAGCCTGGGAAACGTGGTGAGACCCTGTCTCTACCAGAAACAACAACAACCACAACAACAAATTAGCTGGGAGTGGTAGCGTGATCCTGTAGTCCCAGCTACTTGGGAGGATGAAATGGGAAGATCACCTGAGCCTGGGAAGTCTGCAGTGAACTGAGAGAGCACCACTGCACTCTAGCCTAAGCAACGGAATGAGACCCTGTCTCAAAAAAATATATAAAAATAAAGTGTTTTGGCTGGGCATGGTAGCTCATGTCTATAATCCCAGCACTTTGGGAGGCCGAGGCAGATGGATCACCTGAGGTCAGGAGTTTGAGACCAGCCTGGCCAACATGGTGAAACCCTGTCTCTACTAAAAATACAAAAATTAGCTGGGCGTGGTGTCAGGCACCTGTAATCCCAGCTACTCGGTAGGCTGAGGCAGGAGAATCACTTGAACCCGAGAGGTGGAGGTTGCAGTGAGCCGAGATTGTGCCATTGTACTCCAGCCTGGGAGACAATTGCAAAACTCCGTCTCAAAAAAAAAAAAAAGTGTTTTAACATTAACAATCCAATTTAAAAATGGGCAGAGAACTTGAAAAGGCATTTCTCCAAAGAAGATATACAACTGGCTAATAAGCAAACGAAAAGATGGTCAACATTACTAATCATTAGGGAAATGCAAATTAAAACTACAACCACTTCATATTAGAATGGCTTCTATTGAAAAAAAAAACAGAAAATAAACCTGGGGAACATAGCAAGACCCTGTCTGTACAAAAAATGCAAAAATTAGCCTGGTATGGTGGCATGCTTGGAGTCCTAACTACTCAGGAGGCTGAGACAGGAGGATCACTTGAGCCCTGGAGTTAGAGGTTACGGTGAGCTATGATCCCACCACTGCACTCCAGCCTGGGTAACAGAGTGAGACTTCATTTCTTAAGAAAACCACACACACGCACATTCAGAAAATATGATCTAGCAATTCTACTTCTGTGTATATACCCAAAAAAACTGAAAACAGGATCTGGAAGAGATCCTTGTATACCCATATTCATAGCAGCATTATTCACAAAAGTCAACAGGTGGAAGCAATTCAAGTGTGCATGGATGAATGAATGAGTAAAAAAAAAAAAAAACTAGTATATACACACAATGGAATATTATTCAGCCTTAAATAGGAAGTAAATTCTGACACATGCTACAACATGGATGAACTTTGAGGACATTGTGCTAAGTGAAATAAGCCAGTTACAAAAAAGACAAATACTGTATGATTCTACTTATGTAAGGTACCTAGAATAGTCAAATTCATAGAGACAAAGGAGAATGCTGTTTGCCAGGGGCTGTGGAGACGGAGGAATGATAAGTTGTTTGACAGGTATAGAGTTTAAGTTTTGTAAGAAGAAAGAATTCTGGGCCGGGCGCAGTGGCTCACGCCTGTAACCCCAGCACTTTGGGAAGCCGAGGCGGGCGGATCACGAGGTCAGGAGATCGAGACCATCCTGGCTAACACGGTGAAACCCTGTCTCTACTAAAAATACAAAAAAATTAGCTGGGCGTGGTGGCGGGCGCCTGTAGTCCCAGCTACTCCGGAGGCTGAGGCAGGAGAATGGCGCGAACCCGGAAGGCGGAGCTTGCGGTGAGCCAAGATCGCGCCACTGCACTCCAGCCTCGGCGACAGAGCTAGACTCCGTCTCAAAAAAAAAAAAAAAAAAAAAAAGATGAAAGAATTCTGGAGATTGGTTGCAACAACAAGTGAATATATTTAGCAATACTGAACTGCATACTTCAAGAATTGTTAAGGTGGCTGGTACACTCGCTCACGCCTGTAATCCAGCATTTTGGGAGGCTGAGGTGGGAGGATCACTTGAGCTCAGGAGATCGAGACCAGCCTGGGCAACATGGCAAAACTCTGTCTCTACAAAAATAAAAAAAGTAGCCAGGCACGGTGGCTCATAGACCTGTGCTCCCGGCTACTCTGGCTGCTGAGGCAGGAGGATTGCTTGAACCTGGGAGGTAGAAGTTGCAATGAGCCAGATCATGCCACTGCAGCCTGGGCAATAGAGTGAGACCCTGTCTCAAAAAAAAAAAAAAAAAAAAAAAAGAAAAAGAAAGAAAGAGAGAATTCCCCTTTCTGCAGTTAAGACACCAACCTGATATTTGGTTAGATTTATTTGTTTCATTTTGTTTTCCATTTTTAAGGATTTTTTTCCACCTTAATTCTCTCTTATATAACATAGTTACATGTTTCTATAGTTAAATGACACAACAAATGCATCAGAAGAAGTGCAGTTAGATCATGTTCTCTCCCCATTGGCAATCATTTTTCTTAGTGCTTGATTTATACTTCCATTGTGTGTTTGTTTCTAAAATTGTGGTAAGATATACATATAACAGGCTGGGCGTCGTGGCTCACACCCGTCATCCTAGCACTTTGGAGGTTGAGGCAGGAGGATCGCTTGAGTCCAGGAGTTGGAGACGAGCCTGGGCAACATAGTGAGACCCTGCCTCTACAAAATACAGAAAAACATTAGCTGGGCATGGTGGCGTGGTCCCAGCTACTTGGGAGGCTGAGGTGGATCGCTTGAGCCTGACGTTGCAGTGAGCTGAGATCGCACCACTGCACTCCAACCTGGGTGACAGAGTGAGACCCTGTCTCAAAAAATATATATATATATATGTGTATATATATATATATAAAATAACATTTCCCATTATAACATAGTTTTTTTTTTTGAGATGGAGTCTTGCTCTGTCACCCAGGCTGGAGTGCAGTGGCGTGATCTTGGCTCATTGCAACCTCCACCACCCGGGTTCAAGCGATTCTGTCACCTCAGCCTCCCGAGCAGCTGGGATTACAGGTGTCCGCCACCACACCCAGCTAATTTTTGTATTTTTTAGTAGAGATGGTGTTTCACCATGTTGGAGAGGCTAGTCTCGAACTCCTGACCTCAAATGATCCTCCCACCTCAGCCTCCCAAAGTGCTGGGACTACAGGCGTGAGGCACCGCACCCAGCCCATCTTGATGTATTTCTTTTTTTGAGATGGAGTTTTGCTCAAGCTGGACTGCAATGGTGCGATCTCGGTTCACTGCAACCTCCACCTCCTGGGTTCAAGTAATTCTCTCTGAGTAGCTGGGATTACAGGCGTGTGTCACCACGCCTGGCTAATTTTTGCATTTTTAGTAGAGACAGGGTTTCACCGTGTTAACCAGGATGGTCTCGATCTCCTGACCTTGTGATCTGCCCGCCCCGGCCTCCCAAAGTGCTGGGATTATAGGCATGAGCCACTGTGCCCCGCCCAGTCTCAGGTATTTCTTCATAGCAGCGTGAAAATGAACTAATATGTATCCCAGAACCAGAAAATGTGAGAGTAGGAAGACAATTTACTGAACTTGGGAATAGACACTTTTGGTCAGTTGGTCTGGAGCAGAGCTCTATTGTTGGACAAATCGTAAGTCCAAAACATTTTTTGTATTGGTGCTAATGCATGCAATTGCACTATTAGGGCTTTATTATTTGAAGTTATTGGCCCACATTAACTTGGAGAATTAACTTTCAGATATCTAATTAACACATTAGAGTGAATAAATGTATCAGGCTTTTCCAACATGACATTCAGCTTAAAATAGGTTTGGAAAGAAGGTAAAGAACTAAGTCTAGCATAGGGCTGCTTGCTTTGAGAGGAGATTTGTTTTGGGAACCCTGGGCAGAAGAGGCATAATGGCACTAGACACATACCAAGGAGCGGAGGGCACATGAAAAACTGATGCATTTGGAATATTCACCATTTTATGTTAGTTACATAAGATTCAGCAGCCAACCAGATTTTGGCTATGTGTTACCAACTTTCAACTCTAAAAAGTACTGGCAGTTTAAATAACTTTATTATAATAATGAGGTAAAAACTTAATAGTATGAGCCGGGCACAGTGGTTCACGCCTGTAATCCCAGCACTTAGGGAGGCCGAGGCAAGCGGATCACTGGAGGTCAGGAGTCTGAGACCAGCCTGACCATCATGGTGAAACCCAGTCTCCACTAAAAATACAAAAATTAGTCAGGTGTGGTGGTGGATGCCTGTAATCCTAGCTACTTGGGAGGCTGAGGCAGGAGAAGCTCTTGAACCCAGGAGGTTGAGGTTGCAGTGAGCCCAGATCGTACCACTGCACTCCAGCCTGGGCAACAGAACAAGACTCCATCTCACAAAAAAAAAAAAAAAAAAAAAAAGTACATGATGCTCTGTAATGGTAATCTTTAGATATACATTTTGTGTTTCATAAATAAAAGTTTTAAATTACTAAGATACTTTAAATACAAACGTCACTTCCTAGGATATGTATAAACCACAGGCAACACTTATTTTTTATTCTCAATGCACTAAATACATGAAAAACTTCAGACACCCAGATAGAAAACACAGGACTGAATTCATTTAAGACAGGGAATACTTTATTCAAAACCCATCACAGAAATGGACAGCTTGGGTCTGTAACAAAGCATTCATGTTTTAGAGCATAGGTCAGTAATTGTATATGAGAGCATACACTGCTACATACAAATTAACTGATCAGACCACAACTTTTCAATGTTTAAAACAGAATAAGCTTCCCTGTAAAAGCAGCACCTTTGTGACGTTTTAACTTTAGTATTCCTCTCCTTCTTCCTCACCCTCTCCTTCAACAGAATCCACACCAACCTCCTCATAATCCTTCTCAAGGGCAGCCATGTCCTCACGGGCCTCTGAAAACTCACCTTCCTCCATCCCCTCCCCAACGTACCAGTGAACAAAGGCACGTTTGGCATACATCAGGTCAAACTTGTGGTCCAGGCGAGCCCAGGCCTCAGCAATGGCTGTGGTGTTGCTCAGCATGCACACAGCTCTCTGTACCTTGGCCAGGTCTCCACCAGGCACCACAGTGGGAGGCTGGTAGTTGATGCCAACCTTGAAGCCAGTGGGGCACCAATCCACAAACTGGATGGTACGCTTGGTCTTGATGGTGGCAATGGCAGCATTGACATCTTTGGGAACCACGTCACCACGGTACAACAGGCAGCAAGCCATGTATTTACCATGGCGAGGGTCACATTTCACCATCTGGTTGGCTGGCTCAAAGCAAGCATTGGTGATCTCTGCTACAGAAAGCTGTTCATGGTAGGCTTTCTCAGCAGAGATGACAGGGGCATATGTGGCCAGAGGGAAGTGGATGCGGGGATAGGGCACCAGGTTGGTCTGGAATTCTGTCAGGTCAACATTCAGGGCTCCATCAAATCTCAGGGAAGCAGTGATGGAGGACACAATTTGACCTATTAACCTATTCAGGTTAGTATAGGTTGGACGCTCAATATCGAGGTTTCTACGACAGATGTCATAGATGGCCTCATTGTCTACCATGAAGGCACAATCAGAGTGCTCCAGGGTGGTGTGGGTGGTGAGGATGGAGTTGTAGGGCTCAACTACAGCTGTGGAAACCTGGGGCGCCGGGTAAATAGAGAACTCCAGCTTGGACTTCTTGCCATAATCAACTGAGAGACGTTCCATGAGCAGCGAGGTGAACCCAGAACCAGTTCCCCCACCAAAGCTGTGGAAAACCAAGAAGCCCTGGAGACCCGTGCACTGGTCGGCCTATAACAAAAGAGAGGAACAGAGGAAAGGTTAAGTTTTTATTCTTTGTAGTACAATCATAGTAAATATATTTTCACTTTTCATACATCTTCCAGGACTTAGATCTTATTTTGACAAATGCTTTTTAAAAAATTCTCATTAACATTTACAAAATGACATCAAATAGTTCATTTTAACTGAATTTTAAAAACCCCAAAAGAATGACTCATTCCACTCTTTATTAAAATAACAGTTCAATTCTGTGTTTGAAAAAAAAAGCATTATTTCAAATGTGTTCTTTAGGCTCATTAATTTACTTTATTCTTGAAAAGAAACATACCAGCTTGCGAATTCGGTCCAACACGAGGTCAATGATCTCCTTGCCAATGGTGTAGTGCCCTCGGGCATAGTTATTGGCAGCATCTTCTTTGCCTGTGATAAGTTGCTCAGGGTGGAAGAGCTGGCGGTAGGTGCCAGTGCGAACTTCATCTGGAGAACATGATGGGGGAGGAGCAGGGGGGAGGAGGAGGAGGGACGAGGAGCGGGGAGGGAGAGTGGGTGAGTGACCAGCGGAGCCCCCCAGGACAGACCTCCTGTCCCAGCACCCTGGGATCTCACTTGGGTTACTGAGGTCAACTCACCAATGACTGTGGGTTCCAAGTCTACAAACACTGCCCGGGGCACATGCTTGCCAGCCCCCGTCTCACTGAAGAAGGTGTTGAAGGAATCATCTCCTCCCCCAATGGTCTTGTCACTTGGCATCTGGCCATCGGGCTGGATGCCGTGTTCCAGGCAGTAGAGCTCCCAGCAGGCATTGCCAATCTGGACACCAGCCTGGCCAACGTGGATGGAGATGCACTCACGCTGTGGGGAGGAAAAGTGAAAAAATCGTAAAATTAAGGTGTATTAGCATTTCAAACTTATAGGAAATTTCAAAAATATTTCTAATAATATACAGATATTTTTCTAAATTATTTGAGGTCATATCCCCAGCACGATACAAAGATTAAGGAAAATCACCTGCTACAAATGCTGCATATGGGTGTGGTCTGAATAATGATGTCGCCTTGGCCCTGTTCAGCACGTGGTACCAGCCCATTGTGCCTACTACCATGCTTGAATAGAAGATTTTTCATATTTAAAAAGTATTCAGTATTCAAAGCACAAATTTTGTAAAATGAAGTAAATCCAATTATGACTTAATTGGGATTAATTTTACTGCTTTCTTCCCTTTTAAATAAAGATGAAAGTTTCCTCTGAATAGGACTTGATATTATAATCCGGACATCTGTACTGCAGCTGAGGCAAGAAGCCACACCCTTCTGCAGTCTGTCTGCAGAATCCATCAATACTAGGAGTTTAGACAAGGTCTGCCTTCTGCATTGCTGCATTGCTGTATTTGCTGTGCCTGGTGCTAGCCTGTACTGTCTGCTACATTATTTAACAGAGCAAGCTCTATTTCCAGCAGCTGCCTACATGATCTCATTGTGCTGTTTTGCCAGTTTTCCTCCTCTGACCCCGCCCGGGACCATGTGCCTGAATTGAAATGAATTAATTAAGATGCACTGGAACAAAAGACAACGGGATGCGGAGTATAATTCTTCTTTGTCTGTAGCAATTTCATTACTTTTTTTTTTAAAAAAAAAGGTTTTTCCAGATCTTCTCCACTGTAAAAGCTGAAAAATTATCCGTATCTTAACACACACACACACAAAAGTTCCTAAGTTAGAAACAAGCATCACATGAAAAGGTACCAAAGAATAAAAGCCCAGTGGAAGGATAATGAAATATTTATTTAAAACAACAAAATAGTATTTTCATCCTGAGATTCTCTACCCATCACATAATATTCATATTCTTTGCATCCAATAGAGGTTTTCTTCTCTGTGGTCTTTAGGGCTACCACTTTCATTGTCTATTCGCTGATGTGGTGGGGGCGGGGCGGGGGGGCGGCGGGGAAGGGCGTTTCCCTGGGTCCTGACCATCAGGGTACCCTGGGGCTCACAAAGTGGGCTTTCTCCCTCGCTGAACGTGCAGTCCAGACAGACAGACAGACACACACACACACACACACACACTTCAGTCGGTCAGGGCAGGGCGTCCCACAGACACACACACACACACACACACACACACACACACACTTCAGTCGGTCAGGGCAGGGCGTCCCCAGACCAGACATTAAAGAGCTTGTGAAGTGAATTATGATTTTGCTCAAGAAAAAAAAAAGTCATCTAACTTATAATAGTGAAGAAAACCCTTTTGGAGCCTACAGTTCCGCAATGATGAAAGGTTTTTTTGTTTTTTTTTCAGTCAGCTCCTGACAGAAGAGGTTCAGTGAGGGCGAACCCCGCCCAGTGGCTCCAACGCCATAGAAGCCAGAAACAAACAACCCCGCCCCTGCGCCGCCCTGACACCCGCTGCCGGGGGCTCCGGCAGAAACTCACCATGTTTTCCCGGGAATGTGTGGGTATCTTTCCAAAACGCCAAAGACCGCGGAGGGTCTTCCCACGCTAACCCTAGGCTGCGCTTTGTTCCCGTTCCCCCTCCCACGTCCCCCAGCTCGCCCAACGCCCCCGCTCTTTTTGGGTGCCTCCTCCTCTCCCGGTCCCCAGAGAACAACGCGAGACAGAAAGTGGCCCCTCAGCATCAGCGAAACCGTGCGCACAGACACGGGGCCCAGCCGGGACGCCCCAGACCCCTCGGTCGCGGCAGACGGGCTGCCCGCGGCCCCCGAAAGTCTCTCGGATAACACAGGCGCCTAGGCGCCGCCTTTGTTCCTCCCCAGCGCTCTGCTGCGCCCTGGGCGCAGTACTGGCCCGGTTCCTGCACCCGCACTGCGGCGGCGGCGGGGCTTGAGGATTTGGGGCTAAGCTAAACCTCACAAAACATACCACCACCCTCGCCCAGAGAGCTTACGAAAGAAAAGAGCTTAAAGGTTTTCCAAGTAGAGCCTGGGGGCGCTGACTCCACCCAACGGCCACAAAGAGCCGAAGCCGATTCTCACCATGGTTGCTGCTTCGCGACTGCCGAGCTGATGGCGGAGACGAAGAGGAGAGGTTGTTGCTTCTTACAGCGCGACTCTTAGGCGGTCGATGTAAGAGAACCTGCGGCACATAGGCGGATGCGGCTCCCTATATACAACTCGGTCACCATGGGGATGGGCCGGGGCCTTTTCCTGTTGGTCCAGACCCCCAATCTGCCCAGAGAAGCCATGACAGGAGACTGGTGATTGGTGCAAGCGACGTGGGATGAGGTAATCTCTCCCCCACCCCTTTTTCTCTAGCATCCGTAGACTGTTTGCATCCTTTAGACAAAGAGACCGTGCAGAAGCAGTCGGCCGAGCATCCATTATGGGGCGGGGTTGGGGAGGGGCGGAAGGAGAAGAAAGGGGACTGGGGTTAGAAGACTTTCTGTTGCTTAAACCTCAAACTGCAGTTAAAATTATCTATGTGAGGTTTTTTCCCCCTACCCTTAATAACAATTTATGTTTAGATTAAATATTTAAAGGAAAATGACTGCCAGCCCCTCCCTCGTAGTATATTAAACTCGACTACATTTTGTTAGGGTTCAACATCTCTAATTGCTTTAAACGTAAAGTGGGAGGGAAAATCGGCATGATGCTCGAAATGGCCTGGGTATATGTGATTTTTTTAATTTAAAAAAAGATTTAGCCATACGGTCATTCCAAATGGTTTCTCAGGTTCAACTAACTTATTTTCAGAGCTTCTTCTGCAGGCACACGCACACCCGAATAGCTAAACAAAACTGGAAGATGGAAAGAATAACCATATTAAATAAAGAAGCGAACAAATAGTTCTAACATGGCAATAATCAAGAGCAAGTGAACGTAGAGTAGTTATAATGGTTTACTAGAGGTATTCTTTTATGAGAAGTCTATGTAACACATTTTGTATGGTACATTGTCCTTTGGAATGAATCATCTTTCCTGATAGAAAATTGGGAAAATACAAGGAGAAATAATTGAGCTCAGAAGTTAGTACTACATGTGTGCAGTTACATATCTGAATTGGACTTTTGTCTGGAAAGTAACAAGCAAAATAATAGTAATAACCAATACACCAAATTAAAAAGAAGAAGAGAATAATATAATGTAAAAAGAATTTTGCAATGTCGCCTCCATCCACAGACAACTGTGAAACATCAGCTCAATAAACGCATTTCCTTTTTATGTAGTTCTTATGTCAATTTGGTAAATATCCTCCTGCGAGTGGGCTTCTAACTGTGGGAATTTTAGCCGGCCTCACACCCTTGCTGTTCAGCTAGAGACTCTGGTGGTTGCTCAGTTGTCCCTTGGGACAAAAAGGCTTTGCTTTCACCCCTAGGAAATAAATTGGAGTAAAATTATCTTGATATTTAGGAAGCCTCCATTCTCAGCAACGATCCGGAGTAAGTCACTGGACTTCGTACCACTGGATGTTGGTGATGAAATTTCAGAGGTAAATAAGTTTGGCCACTAAAGTTGAAAATTTATTTTTTACAAATAATTTTTCCTTTTGGTTTTCAGAGACAAATTTTCAGGGTCTGCAGCACTACTCACACAGTGCTCTGCGGAACCCATTCATTCCTGCTAGGCTGGCAGGCTAAGAAGGGCGTGGGAGGGAGGGACTTGAGAATACAGCTGCTGCAGGTTGTGGTGTGACAATGGCGACCACAGATTTTTCTAGCCTGCCATCCACAGTTCTGCTTTACTTGATCAATTTTGCTTCAGTAATATTCTCTGGAAAAAAAATAATATCCAAAATGCAAAAATCATTTTATCTACTTATTGTATATTTCCTAGGAAAAAATAATCCTCAACATCATCTTATCTCCACTTCTTTAGCAAAAAAAAAAAAAAAGTATATTTCAGAAGAGACAGGAGGATTAGGTATTTGAATGCTTCTTTCAGAACCCAGAAATATATTTAACAAAAATAAGAATTAAATGGCATAAGGAAGCATAAGGATTAATAAGTAGCTCATTCAAAATACTTTCACAATTTTAATAATAAAATATATCAGACACTATTGGACTATAGTAACATGTACAAGTCTTTTTGGAATGAGAAGCAGAGTTTGAACATTATTTTCTTTACAATATAAAAAGATTAATTAAGAAATATGTCACTTATCCAATAGTCTCAGTTCTTTATGCAATTTCCAAAGGATTAAATAAAAGAGAGGAGGGTTCACGTGGTTGATTCTTTGAAATTCTATCTCAGAGCCATTCTGTTCCTTATGTAAATGAGGGTTATTCCCTCCGCTTGGGCATATGTAACAAGATCTAGGTCAGAAATAGACTATTTAGGCACTGATAATCTCAAATATATAAACAAGAGATCGGGGAAATAACTAATCTATAATTTTTGTTCTTTATTATCTGATTTAATAGCACTCAAACTGTGGAAAGGAAAACAATACTTTTTTTACTAGTTCATCTCTTATTTTTATTGCCATTTAAAAAAATTTGACATCAATATACATGTACAAGTATTCTGCTAATGGATTCATTCTTGTACACAGTAAGATTAGCATAAAACATTCTTCTTTCATAATATTTGTAGAATTTTAATCATTTATTCACATGTCTACATTTCTCCTCCATTAAAATGTAAGTCCTAATTCCTGTCAAAGTGCCTAACTACAGTAGACGTTATACACTACATGTTTGCTCAATTAAATGAACAGCTCTCTGTGCAGTTTCTTTCTCTTTCTTTCTTTCTTCCTTTCTTTCTTTCTTTCTCTCTCTCTCTCTCTCTCTCTCTCTTTCTTTCTTTCTCTCTTTCTTTCTTTCTTTTTTTTGAGATGGAGTCTCATTCGGTTGCCCAGGCTGGAGTCAGTGACATGATCTCAGCTCACTGCAACCTCCGCTTCCCGAGTTCAAGCGATTCTCCTGCCTCAACCTCCCGAGTAGCTGGGATTACAGGTGCTGGCCACCACACCCAGCTAATTTTTGTGTTTTTAGTAGAGACGGGGTTTCGCCATGTTGGCCAGTCTGGTCTTGAACTCCTGACTTCAGGTGATCCACCTGCCTCAGCCTCCTAAAGTGCTAGGATTACAGGCATGATCCATGGTGCCCGGCCTGTGCAGATTTTCATTACCTATTATCATGCTTAGTAATGTAAAGATATTGGCCAGAGCGGTGGCTTACTCCTGTAATCCCAGCACTTTGGGAGGCCAAGGTGGTGGGCCACCTGAGGTTAGGAGTTTGAGACCAGCCTGGACAACATGGTGAAACCCTGTCTCTATCAAAAACATAAAAATTAGCCCTTGCGCAGTGGCTCATGCCTTTAATCCCAGCACTTTGGGAGGCCGAGGCAGGGGATTATTTGAGTTCAGGAGTTCGAGACCAGCCTAGCCAACATGGCGAAACCCCACCTCTACTAAAACAAAACAAAACACCAGCCAGGTGTGGTGGCTTGTGCCTGTAATCCCAGTTATTGTAGAGATTGAGGCATAAGAATCGCTTGAACTCGGGAGGCGGAGGTTGTAGTGAGCTGAGATCATACCACTGCACTCCAGCCTGAGCAACAGAGTGAGACTCTGTCTTAAAAAAAGATATTTAATAAAGTATTTTACCATTTATAATCAGCAAGCATTTACTGAGTAAGCCCAAGACCATCCTAGGTGGTGAAGAATTCAGAGGTAATAGCATGGTCTCTTTTCTCTAGAATCTTCCAATTTATTGGAATAATTGAGACACGTACATTCCTATAGGTTTGAGAATGACATGTACGTGTGTATGTTTGGAGAGGGGCCATGCAATTGATCCCAATAGAGGGGATCTATTTCATGACTCCGTGTATCATAACTTACGAGGGAAACGAGTTGTTGAACACTTTTTTTTTTACATCTTCACCTCCTATTCATCCTTAAATCCATTTCAAACTGGATTCTGCTCCTATCACTCCTTTAAAGTGCCTCCTTGTTTGTTTTTTGTTTGTTTGTTTGTTTTTGAGATGGAGTCTCACTCCAGTTCAGTGGCGCGATATCGGCTTACTGCAGCCTCTGCCTCCTGGGTTCAAATGATTCTCCTGCCTCAGCCTCTCAAGTAGCGGGGATTATAGGTGCCCACGACCACGCCCAGCTAATTTTTGTATTTTTAGTAGAGACGGGGTTACCTCATGTTGGCCAGGCTGGTCTCAAACTCCTGGCCTCAAGTGGCCAACTTGCCTCAGCCTCCCAAAGTGCTGAGATTACAGACGTGAGCCACCGTGCCTGGTCTATCTTAGTTGTTAAATCCACTGGACACATTTTAGCTCTTGTTGACCTGTGACAGGCTTTGTCACAGTTGACTATTATCTCCTTCAAGACACTTTCTTCCCTTAGCCTCAAAAACTCTACATTTTCTGGGTTTCTCTCCTACATTTTTGTTTCTGGTCAGTCTCTGCTGGTTCCTCCTCCTTTCCCTAATCTTCAAACGTTGGAATTCCTCAAGCTTCAGTCCTAGACCTTTTCCTCATTTTATTCTATGTGGTCTTAGACCTTTTTGGTGGATGGCAAGTGCATTCATTCCCAAGGCTTCAAATCCTTCCTATATGCCGATGACTTCTTTTATTTATTTATTTACTTTTAATTTTTTTTTAGAGACTGAGTCTCGCTATATTGCCTAGGCTGGTCTCAAACTCCTGGCCTCACGTGATCCTCCTACCTCAGCCTCCCCAGTAGCTGGGATTACAGGTGGGAGCCACTGTGCCTGGTGCTGATGAATTCCTTTTTCTTTTTTTTTTTTCCAAGACGGAGTTTCGCTCTTGTCACCCAGGCTGGAGTGCAATAGCATGATCTTGGCTCACTGCCACCTCTGCCTCCCAGGTTCAAGCGATTCTCCTGCCTCAACCTCTTGAGTAGCTGGGATTACAGGCGCCACCACCACACCCAGCTAATTTTTCTATTTTTAGTAGAGACTGGGCTTCATCATGCTGGCCAGGCTGGTCTTGAACTCCTGACTTCAGGTGATCCACCTGCCTCTGCCTCCCAAAGTGCTGGGATTGCAGGCGTAAGCCACCTCGCCCAGCCTGATGACTTCCTGATACCTCTTCTTAGCCTCAGATCATATAGTCAATTTCCAGTCTCTGGCTTGTTTTCTCAGGTATCTCAAATTGAACTAATGTTTGTTTGTTTGTTTGTTTGTTTGTTTGTTTTGAGACAGAGTCTTGCTCTGTCACCCAGGCTGGAGTGCAATGGCACTATCTTGGCTCACTGCAACCTCTGCCTCCTGGGTTCAAGCAATTCTCCTGCCTCAGCCTCCCGAGTAGCTGGGATTACAGGCACACGCTGCCATGCCTGGCTAATTTTTTGTATTTTAGTAGAGATGGGGTTTCACCGTGTTGCCCAGGCTGGTCTCGAACTGCTGAACTCAGGCAATCCACTCACCTCGGCCTCCCAAAGTGTTAGGATTACAGGCATGAGCCTGTATAATGTTTATAATGGAAGCTTTTATTAGAAATGGTGGCTCTTGAATAGAATGGGAGTGGAATAAGTACTCTAAATAGGAAAAATAACATTAGCAAAGATATAGTATAATGATGAACTGTTGCCTGGATAAGGGAGGACAAAGAAATTGGCTTGATTAGGGCATTCAAGGGTGGGTAAGCGATGTGTTATATGGGGAGGGTGGAGCTAGTTAACAAAATGGTTTGAACTTCAGTCTGAAGGAGTTTGGGATTGAGTCCATACACAGTGTGAAGCCTTTATACATATATATGTATATATATATAGAGAGAGAGAGAGACAGAAAGAGAGAGAGAGAGAGACGGAGTTTTACTCTTGTTGCCCAGGCTCGAGTGCAATGGCATGATCTCGGCTCACCACAACCCCCGCTTCCCAGGTTCAAGCAATTCTCCTGCCTCAGCCTCCCAAGTAGCTTAGATTACAAGCATGCGTCACCATGCCTGGCTAATTTTGTATTTTTAGTTACTCCATATTGGTCAGGCTGGTCTCGAACTCCCAATCTCAGGTGATCCACCCGCCTTGGCCTCCCAAAGTCCTGGGATGACAGGTGTGAGCCACTGCGCTTGGCTGAAGCCTTTATGTTCTTATCCAAAAGAGTGACAGGCCAAGGGTAGTGGCTCATACCTGTAATCCTGGCACTTTGGGAGGCCGAGGCATGAGGCTTGCTTGAGCCCAGGAGTTCGAGACCAGTTTGGGTGACATAGAGAGACCCCATTTCTACAGAAAATTTTAAAAATTAGCTGGGTAAGGTGGCATGCACCTGTGGTTCTAGCTACTTGGGAAGCTGAGGCAGGAAGAATGCTTGACCCTGGGAGGTCAAGGCTGCAATGAGCTGTGATGATTGTGCCACTGCATTCCAGCTTGGGCAACAGAGAGAGAGGCCCTGTCACCAAGTAAAAAAAAAAAAAAAAAAGCGGGACAAATTTATGAAGGGAACAGCATTTTCATAAAATTAATGTGACTGGTGTATGGAGTAGGAAAAGAGACTGGAGAATGAGACCAATACAGTTATTGCAATAATCTAAGTAGAAGGTCTCAGGCCATCATAATGGATAGAAAGGGATAAGAGAAGACATCATTCAAAGGAAGAATCCTGGTGGTGATTGGTTGGACATGTGGTAAAAAGGAAGGAGTCAAAATCAACCCTTAAAGTGTTTTTTTTCTTTTCTCTTTTTTCAGAGGCAGGGCCCAGGCTGGAGAGCAGTGGCATAATCATAGTTCACAGCAGGCTCAAACTTCTGGGTTCAAGTGATCCTCCTACCTCAGCCTCCCGTGTAGCTGGGACTACAGGCCCACACCACTACACTTGGCTTTTTCCGTAGAGAGGATCTCACTTTTCTTGCTCAGGCTGGTCTCAAACTCCTGGCCTCAAGCAGTCCTTCTACCCCAGCCTCTGAAAGTGCTGGGACCACAGGCGTGAGACACTGTGCCCTGCCTAATCCTTAAAGTTTTTAGCCTGGAAGACTCAGAGAATGAAATGGTAGTGGTGCTGTTAACAGAATAGGGAAGTTGAGAAGAGATGCAAGTCTAAGCAGAAAATGCATTTGTGTGTGTGCTGGGGGAGGGTGTTGAGGGCAGGAAAGTTCAGTCGATGTGACCTAACAAGCTGAATGTTACACCATTTAGGTGATAGAGGAATTGAGGGCAGAAGTCTTGGAGGCTGCTGGGAATCTGAGATTGGGACTGCTTAGGGAAAAGTCAGGACTGGAGGGGATGGAGATGTGTATTTGGTGTCTAATGACAACAGCATGGTTATAAAGCTGGTGGTATAGTATGAGAATAGAATTCTCCAACTGTAACCCATAATTTCAAGTCATGTCACTGAATGGGAACAAGATAGATTTGGGGACTTTTAGGGATATTTAGCAGGTTGATTTACCAGGTTTGGGAACAGATTTAATAAATTAAAAACAGGGTCGTGCATGGTGGCTCACGCCTGTAATCCCAGCACTTTGGAGGCCAAGGTGGGTGGACCACCTGAGGTCAGGGGTTTGAGATCAGCCTGGTCAACATGGTGAAACCCTGTCTCTACTAAAAATACAAAAATTAGCTGGGCGTGGTGGCAAGTGCCTGTAACCCCAGCTACTCAAGAGGCTGAGGCAGGAGAATTGCTTGAACCTGAGAGGTGGAGGTTGCAGTGAGCCAAGATCACGCTACTGCACTCCAGCCTGGGTGACAGAGCAAGACTCTGTCTCAAAAAAAAAAAAAATAATTAAAAACAGTAGGCTGGGTGAGGTGGCTCATGCCTGTAATCTCAGCACTTTGGGAGGCTGAGACAAAAGGATTGCTTGAGCCCAGGAGTTCGAGACCAACCTGGGCAGCATATCAAGACCCCCATCTCTACCAAAAAGAAAAAAATTAACTGGGCGTGGTGGTGCACGCCTATTGTCCCAGCTACTTAGGAGGCTGAGGTGGGAGGATCGCTTGAGCCCAGGAGGTCTAGGTTGCCATGAGCTGTGATGGTGCCACTGCACTCCAGCCTGGGTGACAGAGTGAGACTCTGTCTCAAAAATAATAATAATAGGCCAGGCGCTGTGGCTCATGCCTGTAATCCCAGCACTTTGGGAGGCCGAGGCGGGTGGATTGCCTGAGCTCAGGAATTCAAGACCAACCTGGACAACAAGGTGAAATCCCATCTCTACTAAAATATAAAAAACTAGCCGGGCGTGGCTGCGTGCGCCTGTAGTCCCAGCTACTCAGGAGGCTGAGGCAGGAGAATTACTTGAACCCAGGAGGTGGAGGTTGTAGTGAGCCAAGATCGCACCACTGCACTCCAGCATGGGTGACAGAGCGAGACTCCATCTCCAAGAAAATATAATAATAATAACAAATAATAA
Organism: Homo sapiens; assembly: GCF_000001405.40. Taxonomy (NCBI): domain Eukaryota; kingdom Metazoa; phylum Chordata; class Mammalia; order Primates; family Hominidae; genus Homo; species Homo sapiens. Next base: position 49,197,260 of record NC_000012.12, read on the forward strand.
TAAAAATAAAAACAATAAAGAACTGCAAGAGAAAGAAGTGTCAGAAAAGGAAACAAAGAAGGAGGCGGTAAAGCAGAACACGTTGATGTCACAGAAACAAAGGAAGGAGCGAGTGTCAAGAGAGTGCTGAGTAATACTAAATACTGCAGAGGAGTCTTTAAATAAGGACAGAAGAGTGCTCATTGGATTTAGTAACAAGGAAATCAGTATAAAGCAAGGGCTTGGCATAAAAGACAAAAAAAAATGTTTCCTGCCCCAGAGGAGCTCAAGGTGCAAGGAAGGAAACTGTTATTACAGTGTGACGAGTGCTGTGAGATAGAGTTCAGCCCAGGAGCTGCCACACGGACACAGAGATGAAGCTGGTGGTCCAGTTTTCCAGGTGCTGTTGGTTCACAGTTCCTAACCTCATTTCCCTGTGGTGTCACCTGTCTCATGCCACATCACTGCCTCTGCATCTTTTGTGAAATGAGCATACCTGTCCATGCCAAACTGCCTTCTTGGTGCGTGGTGGAGTGTAAATGGGTATATTCAAGCAACCAGGTTTTCCTTAAATTCTCTCGCTAAACACGCTTCAAACTCTAAATGTAAACAAGGGAATGGACATGATTATAATGATACATGGAATTTAAGTTTATCTTCATTTTAGGGTTTAGTATGGATCAATATATTGAATGAATTGGCTGTCACTATGTGTAGCTATCCACACAAAGACTATCCACTGAATTTACCTTGACCAAATTCCAACACTAACCATTTAGGTAAGAATATGGTTCCACATCTAGAATTCAGAATTTTATTTAAAGCTTAACATTCTTTTTCTCAGGATCTGGCCAACAATGCAGTATTACTAAATAATAGTTTTTTTCTGGATAACTATGGTAAGAATTATCTGTGGTCATTCTGGTAACCGAGTTTTATCTATTTGGGGAAGGATTTTTGTGTGTATAGCAGAGATAAACATTAATGGATTTCTATTCCAGAAGTAGGACTTACAAAATAACACAATGAATACCTGAACCCTGTAATATTAAAAATATATCTCTGGCATTGGAATACAATGCTTTGAAGTAACTCATTAATGTTCATTTATTTACTGGAGCAGTCTTTTTTTTTATGTGTCCCAGTCTCACTCTGTTGCCCAGGCTGGAGTGCAGTGGTATGATCACAGCTCACTGCAGCCCTGACTTCCCGGGCTCAAGCCATCCTCATACCTCAGCCTCCGAGTAGGTGGGACTACCTACTCTGTAGTAGGTAGTCCGAGTAGGTGGGACCACCATGCCTAGCTAATTTTTCTATTTTTTGTAGAGACAGGGTTTCTCCATGTTGCCCAGGCTGGCCTCGAACATCTGGGCTCAAGCAATCAGCTGGCCTCAGCCTCCCAAAGTGCTGGGATTTCAAGCATGAGCCACCGCGCCCAGCCTCTGGACCACTCTTTTAAACAAAATATTTAAGTCCTGAGATACACATTTTAATTTGTAATTTTGCTCTGGTACATTGGAGTGGTAATTTAGCCACGCCTACTGATGAAATCTGACATTTGAGGAAAGGGGACAAAACTTGAAGAGGCTCAAAGGCATCCGGAGAAGACAAGAAAGAGAAGGAAACAGAGAAGACAATAGGGAATGTCAGTTTTCACGAAACACAATTTATAATTCGGTTGCATTTTACACATACTCACAAGAATGCACATTGAACCACCTCTGTCCTGCCCCCTTCCTTCTCCAAAGCAGATGGAAATGAGGTGGCCGACTGGGAAGGTTGCCATGGTGCACTGGCTACAGGGATTCAATTGTAATCAAAAGAGGCTCCAGAGTCCCTTCCCCCAACCTTCCAAATGTGGGTTTCTCTCTTTTCTCTCAAATCTCTGTCTTAATTCCATGCTGTAGATAAACCAGAATGAGAATGATTTACTAGTGAACAAAAAACCATTTATTGCCTCCAAAAGTTTACAGATGCATTGATCTTGTCAGATACAAAACACTGAGGAATTAGAACTGGTTCATTTTTAGATACAGCTTGTCACACAAAAGTCAGAATTCACTTTTAAAATGTCTTATACATCACACCTCCATCTTTAAGACTTATATTTCTTACTGATTTTATCCCCAGATAACCTGCACACATCTCAAATTCAATATATCTAAATGGAATTTGTTATTTTTCTCCATCTCTCTCCTTGTATTTTATATTCTCAGTGATCCTGTATTCTTAATATTAGTTCATTGTCACCATCTTTCTGGTCTGCAAAGCTAGATTAAAATAACCTCGGCTGGACACAGTGGCTCATGCCTGTAATCCCAGCACTTTGGGAGGCCGAGGTGGGTTGATCACTTGAGGTCAGGTATTCAAGACCAGCCTGGCCAACATGGTGAAACCTCATTTCTACAAAAAATACAAAAATTAGCCCAGTGTGGTGGCTCACACCTATGATCCCTGCTATTAGGGAGGCTGAGGCATGAGAATCACTTCAACCTGGAAGGCGGAGGTTGCTATGACCTGACATCGCACCACTGCACTCCAGCCTGGGTGACAGAGTAAGACTCTGTCTCAAAAAAAAAAAAAAAAAAAAAAAAAAATATATATATATATATATATATATATATATATAAAATAAATAATAATAATAACCTCATATAACACTGTGTTCCAGGCACTATTCTAAGTACTTTAATTCATTTAAGTTAATCCTAACTGATCACTAAATTCTGTCAATTACAATTCAAAATTATCTTAATAAACATTTGCAGAATGAACAATTGAGGAGGCTTCTGAAGCTTTACCAGTCTTTTTTTTTTGGAGATGGAAGTCTCACTCTGCCGCCCAGGTTGGAGTGCAATGGCATGATCTCAGCTCACTGCAACCTCTGCCTCCCAGGTTCAAGTGGTTCTCCTGCCTCAGCCTTCGGAGTAGCTGGGATTACAGGCGTGCACCACCACACCAAGCTAATTTCTGTATTATTAGTAGAGATGGGGTTTTACCATTTTGGCCAGGCTGGTCCCGAACTCCCAGCCTGAGGTGATCCACCCACCTCAGCCTCCCAAAGTGCTGGGATTACAGGCGTGAGCCACCACGCCCAGCCTTGACCAGTCTTATTAGCCAAAGGGCCTACATCAAGGGGAGGACGTGGCAGAATATTTAGGTTGGGCTTTGAACCTCCCTCTTCAAGTGTTACAGGCATAAATCTAAGACTAAAATAGAAGATACCCCCCTATAACATGTTGGAATGATCATGTACACCAGTGTTTCCTAAATGTGCTGAAGTAATTGGGGTGCTGGTTAAAATATGGATCCCCAGTTCCTCCACCAGAGAGTCTGATTCAGTAGGTCTAATTCAGTAAATAATACTCTCCTAGAATTAATAATTTATCATTTTTGAGCTAAACAATTTTAGTGTGCTTGATGTGGTTCAGCTATTTCTAAATTCTGATATCCGCTCGATAAATTTACTGAAAATTACTTTATTTATGGTTGTTAACCCTAAAGACACAACTCCTAGTGAAGCCTAGCCTCAAAGAGCATTTTAAGAAATGTCTCTCCATATTCCCTTTTTAAAATATTTTTTCTTTTTTTTTTTTTTAAACTTCTCTGGAGATAATGCTGGATCCACCTTCCTTTAGATTTAGAAATCAATTATGCACAGGCAAAAGAGAACTTAGAAAAAGCTGCCTAGCTTTTTCTTCATCTGCCTAGCCTAAAAGATCATTTAGCAAACATTTCTCCATTTCCCTGTGGATGTAAACTTTGATTATACATGTGTAGAAGAGAAAGGCTTAGAGAACGCTGTGGGTTTTTTCCTTCATCTGCTTATGTGAACAGCAATCTGTTGTTCTAGTACTGTCTACAGATTATAAGAGATGTAGAGTTTCACTCAAGATAGCATAGCCTGAAATAAGTCCCTTATATGGCAAGACTATTTATGGATTTAGTATATTTTAATAAATAAGCCCACTATTAATCTTTTTAAAATGATTTCAGTATTTTTAGATTTGTAAGAGCGACTTCACTCTCACCCCCATGTTACTAAGCAACGTATTATACAGTTGCTAGGAGACAGACTAGCAAGGTTGGGGGTATTTCAAATTTCCGTTGTCACCTTGCCTATCACATGACTATACCCTAGAGAGTTTTACAGCCTTAGAGAAAAGAGAAAAAAGTTAATGGCACATAGAAAAGAAGGAAAGAGAGATGAGGTTGAGGAATAAAGGAATAGAATAAGGAAAATTGCAAGGTATTTGAGAAGAGTCTGTGAACTTGGCAGGGAAAGGCTATTATGCAATTTCCTTGAATGAGTCATGGAAAAACCTTAAATTGCCAGTGCTGTATTTCATATTCTGTATGCTTCTACCTTTTCTAAAAACAAAATAGAGAATAAGCTTGGAGAAGAAGATCTTTCAGATAGTTTTTCTGAATATTTTCAGAAGAGTGGAAATCAATTATAACTCTTACAGAAGACAGGTATTTACAAATGAGTTTTTCAAAGTCACACATAATTTAAAATCCCCAAGTCAGATAAACAGCTTATTTCCTTCTATTTCTCCCTCAAAATAGTAAAAAAATGACAGTACTGAGAGGAAGGTTAGAATACAAGTGTTCTTAGACAAATTGAGCAGCAAGATGGTCATATAGGCTCTTGGGCAGTATGTGTTTCTGCACACAATTTAAAAAATTTAATACAAAGGAGAGAGAGAAGAAGCCTTTGTACTGTATCTCAAGGACTCTGTATCTGAAATAAGAAACCAGGCTCCAGGTCTCATTGTGTGTATGTGAAAAGTTGAGTCTTTGTGTCATTGTGTCTTCATGGTATTTACTGTTGCTAGCAACCAGGAAGCTCCCTAGTGATTGTCGCTAGGTCCTCCATGCCTCTGTCTGCCTGAAACCTTAGTCAGTGCCAGAAACACCAGAGATAAAAATCGTTGCAAAAAATCCAGCGCACATCATCCCCAGTGGTTTTATAGAAGACGGTTCATCTTGTGTTCAGTGAAAATCTGTGTAAAATGGAGGCTTCACACAGAGCTCATCCTCAGCTTCTTCTTCATCAATGCCAATCTTTCCGTGCAGAGCAGAGTGGACATTGTGATGGTTTAATTAAAATAAGATTTATATCCTAGCGTCATCAGCTTTAACCAATAAAATAATAAATAAATAAATCAGACAGCCGGGCGCGGTGGCTCACGCCTGTAATCCCAGCACTTTGGGAGGCTGAGGCAGGTGGATCACCTGAGGTCGGGAGTTTGAGACCAGCCTAACATGGAAAAGCCCCGTCTCTACTAAAAATACAAAATTAGCTGGGCATGGTGGAACATGCCTGTAATCCCAGCTACTCGGGAGGCTGAGGGAGGAGAATCGCTTGAACCTGGGAGGCAGAGGTTGTGGTGAGCTGAGATCATGCCATTGCACTCCAGCCTGGGCAACAGGAGCGAACCTCCATCGCAAAAAACATAAATAAATAAAAAATAAAAAATAGTTAAAAATAAAATAAAATAAATCAGATGAAGAGCAGAGAAAAGAAATATTTCACCAGTTTTAGGTGACTTCTAGTTCTAAGGCATCAACACTTGCTGACAGCTTGAGATCACCTTTGTGTTCACAGAACCATGGTACAAATGATGATACTATTTCCACAGAAGAGTCTAGAATATTCCGATTAAAGATCCACATCAGTGTCATCCCCAGAAACGACTGAAATCATCTCTCAAAACTCAATTTTTTGGGTCTTACATGAACCCCAAGTCAATACAACTTACTTACACCATCCTGTACAAATATTTTGTTTCCTGTGTGTTTTCTACTCAGAGGTAGATAGTTACAGCTCTGAAATGGGAAAGAATTGCAAATCTGAGCTGAAATTTAGAAAAGATTAATGTTGAGATGACATAAATATGTACTTCTTTCAGGTGCCTATACTCCAAAAGAGTATCTGAAGAGATATTTATTTATGTATGTATTGAGACTCTGTAGCCCATGCTAGAGTGTAGTGGCACAATCAGGGCTCACTGCAGCCTCAACTTCCCGGGCTCAAGCAATCCTCCCACCTCAACACCCCTGAGTAGCTGGGACTACAGGCATGCACCACCACGCCCAGCAAATTTCTTGTATTTTTAGTAGAACTGGGGTTTCACCATGTTGCCCAGGCTAGTCTTAAACTCCTGGCCTCAAGCGATCCTCCTGCCTCAGCCTCCCAAAGTGCTGGGGTTACAGGTGTGAGCCACCACGTCCAGCTGAGATATTTATTATTGTGATTACAGCACCTAATGAAGTCTATAAGTAATACGGGAGTTAAGAAAAAATCACTTAGGCAGATAGTTAGGGTATGGGAGTACCCCAGGGTATATACCCCAGACAACATAGCCGCTTCATAAATACTTGGTATTCATTATGTAATTTAATCATTTATTTTATCCTCAAAATAATTCTAGGGGGTAGATACAATTATATTCACTATTTTTCTCAGTTGAGGAAGCTGAGGTTTAAATTTAAATAGTATGGCTGGGCGTAGTGGCTCACGCCTGTAATCCCAGAACTTTGGGAGGCCAAGGCGGGCGGATCACCTGAGGTCGGGAGTTGAAGACCAGCCTGATCAACATGGAGAAACCTCATCTCTACTAAAAATACAAAATTAGCTGGGCATGGTGGCACATGCCTGTAATCCCAGCTACTCCAGAGGCTGAGGCAGAATTGCTTGAACGCAGGAGGCAGAGGTTGCTGTGAGCCAAGATCGTGCCATTGCACTCCAGCCTGGGCAACAAGAGCAAAACTCTGTCTCTAAATAAATAAATTAATTAAAATAGTATGTCCAAGCAAGGTCTCTTACAGCTGATAAGTAACAAAATGAAAATGCAAACTTGTCTATCTGGCTTTAGTGTTTGACTCTCAACCATTATTTTATTTATTTATTTGTTTATTTTTGAGATGGAGTCTCACTCTGTAATCCAGGCTGGACTGCAGTGGTGCAATCTTGGCTCACTGCAACCTCCGCCTCCCAGGTTCAAGCAATCTTCTACCTCAACCTCTGGAGTAGCTGGGACTACAGATGCATGCCACCATGCCCAGCTAATTTTTGTATTTTTAGTAGAGACAGGGTTTCACCATGTTGGTCAGGCTGGTCTTGCACACCTGACCTCAAGTGATCCACCCACCTTGGCCTCCCAAACTACTGGGATTATAAGCATGAGCCACTGAGACTGGCCTATTATTATTATTTTTTTGAATAAACCGCTCAACATCCCTTAACCATTATTTTACATATTTTGTGTAACAGAGAAAGCTTTCTATATGGAATTAAATTGTGCAGTACAGTATTGTGTCAGGGTGAGGAACACAGGCTCTAGAGTCCCTCTGTCCCCTTACAGGATAATGGTGACTCGGAATGCCTGCTCACTCTGGGGCTGGGCCTTCCCACAGGGCCCTACCTGGATGATCATCTAGAACTAACAATTCCCCATCCTTGGATTTCCTCAACTCTAGGTGCTTCAATCTGGAAGACCTCCATGGTGTCTTTAGATGGATAGTTCCCACTGGGCTCTGTGATGCCAGTCCAGTCGACCTGATAGTTCTTTTTCAGTGTGAGGCAAAAACTTGTCCCTAGAGCCTTCCTGCATTCATCTGATCTTCTCCCCTCCTTTTCTTATCTAATAAGAGCAGGAGATCCATTTTAGGGACCATGTGTGGCCTGAATTCTAATTCTAATTCATTCTAATAAAGAATGTGTTTTTAGAAGAACTGTCTAGAGGACTGCAGCATTTCACATTCTTCAAGGCTTGGTTCAGTGCCTTGGAGCCATATTGTCTCAACATCTTCATTTCAGAAGAAAATCTTGGCTTTCCCTTTGCATAATCAAAAAATCCATTGCATTGGTATTCTTAGCACAAAGAAACATTTAATACATATTTTTTTTTTCCATTTTAAAATGCATTTCTTCTTACATACACACTGAGCACAAAACATGAAATAGTCACTTGCAGGTGGTGTCCTGGAGCCTACCTGGAAGACTCCTGAGAATCAGGTGTATACACCCATTCCCAACTCAGTGTTCAGTGATATCACACTGGTGGCCTGAAATGGGCCATGATAGAAACATTTACATCATGGAAATTGGCAAATGCTACAAATCAAGACTTTTTCCTTTCTTTCTCTCTCAGTGCCAGTTAACATTTTACCAGAAGGCTAGGCGCAGTGGCTCACACCTATAATCCCAGCACTTTGGGAGGCCAAGGAGGGCAGATTGCCTGAGGTCAGGAGTTCGAGACTAGTCTGGCCAACATGGTGAAACCCCGTCTCTACTAAAAATACAAAAAAAAAAAAAATTAGCCGGGCATGGTTGTGCAAGCCTGTAATCCCAGGTAATCAGGAGGCTGAGGAAGGGGAATTGCTTGAACCAGGGAGGTGGAAGTTGCAGTAAGCCGAGATCGCACCACTGCACTCCAGCCTGGGCGACAGAGCAAGACTCCATCTCAAAATAAGTAAATAAAATAAATAAACATTTTAGCAGAAAACCACTAGGAGAGGAGTTCTTAAAGAGCAATGTGCCTGTAATCCCAGCTCCTCTGAAGGCTGACATGGGAGGATCACTTGAGCCCAGGAAGTTGAGGCTGCAGTGAGCCATGATCGTGCCACTGCACTCCAGCCTTGGCAACACAGACAGATCTGTCTCAAAATAAATAAATAAATAAATAATAAAAGCAATATGTCATCAGTGTAACTTCAATGAAGCATAGTTCATCCTTGTGTCACCTGGCATCATCTTGCTGGATTTCTCAAATCATATAAATGAAGGAAGTCATTTGCTCAGTGACATGTGCTAACACAACTTTCGTTAAATGGGGGAGTATTGCACGCGCCCTCAAACACAAAACTTGCTAGAAATTATGTTCACCATCTAACACAGGGCAGGCTATAGTAGGATCCAATCTTTTCAGAAGATTGGATATATCCGGATTGCCTACAAAAAAAGGCACAAAGCAGGTTGCAGGAATAGCACAGTTTTCTCATTACAGTGTTTGTGGTTAGCTTTTCATTTCTGAGATGATTACCTAAAGGATCTTTATTGAAATCTGTAGATGACTGGTTTAGTTACAACAAGTGAGAAGCCTTACGATCTGACTTTAAATGGTAATTATTAGAAAAATAGGATTTAAAAATCTTGACTTGTATTGCTAAATGAACTGAGAACATCTATAATAATAACTAACATTTTAAAGTTATGACTATGTGCCAGGCTGTGTTCTGGGTATTATATTTGTATTAACTCATTTATTCTTCACCACAACTTTCAGAGATAGATATTATAATTAATCCCATTTTACAGATGACAAAATTGAGGCACAAAAAGTTTAATTAAGTTGCCAAATGTCACCAAGTAAATAATAAAGCCAGAGTTCAAACCCAAGCAGCCTAAATTCTAATCCTTCTAATCCTAATTAAGGCCTTCTGGCATAATTTTTTATGCTAAATATAGATTTAAACTTACATTTAGATTTTTCTAGTGATTTTGTAAAGCAGATCATATATGGTCCACTAGTTCAGCATTTTTCCAAACTTGTTGACCATCCATCTATTGTTAAAAGTATACTTTGCATTCATATTATAACAAAATAATATTTACTCTTACTGTACACAATACACTCTATTTTTTAAATTCGATTTCACTTTTTAAAAGTTGGTCACAACTCGCTAAAAGAAAGAAAGAAAGAAAAAAAAAAAGAAAGAGAGAGAGGCCGGGTGTGGTGGCTCACGCCGGTAATTCTAGCACTTTGGGAGGCCGAGGTGGGCAGATCACGAGGTCATGAATCACGAGTCATGAGATCGAGACCATCTTGGCCAACATGGTGAAACCCTGTCTCTACTAAAAATACAAAAATTAGCTGGGCATGCTGGTGCGTGCCTGTAGTCCCAGCTATTCAGGAGGCTGAGGCAGGAGAATCACTTGAACCTGGGAGGCAGAGGTTGCAGTGAGCTGAGATTGCACCACTGCACTCCAGCCTGGGCGGCAGAGCGAGACTCCGTCAAAAAGAAAAAAAAAAGAAAGAGAAGGAAGGAAGGAAAGAAGGAAGGAAGGAAGGGAAAGAAAAAGAAAGAAAGAAAGAAACTCATACCTGTAATCCCAGCACTTTGGGAGGCCGAGGCAGGCAGACCATGAGGTCAGGAGTTCGAGCAAGTCTGATCAACATGGTGAAACCCCATCTCTACTAAAAATACAAAAATTAGCCAGGTGTGGTGGTGGGCGCCTGTAATCCAGTACTCTAGAGGCTGAGGCAGGAGAAATGCTTGAACCTGGGAGGTGGAGATTGCAGTGAGCCAAGATTGCGCCACTACACTCCAGCCTGGGTGAGAGTGAGACTCCATCTCAATTAAAAAAAAAAAAACAAAACCAAAGGAACAACAACGAAAAACTATTCTGGGCAGGCATGGTAGCTCACGCCTGTAATCCCAACATTTTGGGAGGATGAGGTGGGCAGATCACTTGAGGTCAAGAGTTTGAGACCAGCCTGGCCAACATGGTGAAACCCCATCTCTACTAAAAAAAAAATACAAAAAAAATTAGCTGGATGTGGTGCCACACACCTGTGATCCCAGCTACTTGGGAGGCTGAGGTGGGAGAATCGCTTGAACCCGGGAGGCGGCAGTTGCCGTGAGCCGAAATCGTGCCACTGCACTCCAGCCTGGGCAACAGTGAGACTCTGTCTCAAAACAAAAAAAAAGAAAAGAAAAAAAAGAAAGAAAACTAAAGAAATCCGAATAAAGTATGGACTTCAGTTAATAATAATATATCAATGTTGGCTCATTATTTGGGGAAAATATATCATACTAATGTAAGATACTAATAACAGGTTAAACTGGATATATGGAATTTCTATGTATCTTTGCAATTTTTCTGTAAATCAAAAACTATTCTACAACAAAGAAATTTATTTTAAAAAACTATTTTCTACTAAAAAGAATCAGGTCTTTAAAAAAAAAAACTCAGAGCTTCTAGAAGATAATGAATCAGGGGTTTTTGGAGAAATGGCTAATTCCTGGTCTGAAGCATAAAATGTGCACAATGTGCCTGGTACATCTTGTTATGCCAGAAAGCAAAGAAGTTATCCAAAAAATTAATGGGATTGTCAAAAGGCTACAGGAGCCAACATGAAGCTATTATTGGCCCCAAACAAGACACTATACGCATTGAAAAGAACCATTACTGCAATTGAAAGTGACACACTGATCATATTTTTCAGATCATGAATTCATAATGAGATTTTTAAAGACAGAAAACAAAAAACATTCATTTGTCACTATATTCTGAAAATTGGCAATTTAAAGGGAAGAAATTAAGCTTTATCTTCTCTTTTCCATATTAACTATGTTTCAGGCAACCAAATAGCACTTCTTTACAAAATCATTTTAGCTAATAAATGTAGAAAAAAGTACAGAATTCGAAAATTGCCACTTCGCACCCCTTAATAGCAAATAATTGACTCAGGTAAAGGTCATCAAAGGATGATACCATTACAAGCAAGTTGAGGCATTTTACAATGAAGGCACCAGTCCGTCACACCTTGAATCTGCTAATGAGTCTCGGCATCTCTAACAGCTGGAGAACCGGAAACTGTGTGCCTCCTCGTGTGATGCAGTGTGAAGCGCACGGCACGGCCTGTGAGATAGACCCTTGAATCCGGATCTGATGAAGGCTTCGAGCTACCTTCTTACAGGTAATATGGAGAATAGAGGGGCAAGTTAAATAAACCACCAAGAAGCAAATGAGCAAATTCCGAATGTGGGCCATTTTAAAGAGAACTGTGTCAGCCTGTTCTTGTATTGCTATAAAGAAACCCCCGAGGCTGGGTAATTTATAAAGAAAAGGGGTTTAATTGCCTCACAGTTCTGCAGGCTTTATGGGAAGCATGGTGCTGACTTTTGCTCGGCTTCTGGGGAGGCCTGAGAAAGCTTACAGTCATGGTGGCAGGCAAAGGGGGAGCCCCCAATACATGGCGAAAGCAGGAACAAGAGGGCAGGGAGGTGCCACACACCTTTAAACAACCAGATCTCCTCAAGAGAACTCACTACTGTGAAGACAGCACCAAGCCACCCGGGATCTGTCCCCATAATCCAAACACCTCCCACCAAGCCCCACCTCTGGCACTGGGAATTACGATTCAACATGAGATTTGTTTTTGTTTTTTTCTGTTGTTGTTTTTTTTTGAGACAGAGTCTTACTGTGTCGCCCAGGCTGGAGTGCAGTGGCACAATCTCAGCTCACTGTAACCTCGGCCTCTCGGATTCAAGCAATCCTCCTGCCTCAGCCTCCTGAGTAGCTGGGACTACAGGCGTGTGCCACCGCGCCTGGCTAACTTTTGTATTTTTAGTAGAGATGGGGTTTCACCATGCTGGCCAGGCTGGTCTTGAACTCCTGACCTTGTGATCCGCCCACCTCAGCCTCCCAAAGTGCTGGGATTATAGGCATGAGCCACCACGCCCGGCCCTAGATTTGATTTTTGTTTTTAATTTTTAAATTATTACTTATCATTATTATTTTTATTTATTTATTTATTTTGAGACGGAGTTTTGCTCTTGTTGCTCAGGCTGGAGTGCAGTGGCACACTGTCTGGCTCACTGCAATCTCTGCCTCCTGGGTTCAAGCGATTCTCCTGCCTCAGCCTCCCAAATAGCTGGGACTACAGGAATGTGCCACCACACCTGGCTAATTTTGTATTTTTAGTAGAGATGGGGTTTCTCCATGTTGGTCAGGCTGGTCTCGAACTCCTGACCTCAGGTGATCCGCCCGCCTCGGTCTCCCAAAGTGCTGGGATTACAGGCATGAGCCACTGTGCCCGGCCTATTTTTATAATTATTTGAGACAGGGTCTCACTCACTCTGTTGCCCAGGCTGGAGTGTAGTGGCAAGATCTTGGCCCACTGCAACCTCCGCTTCCTAGGTTTAAGCAATTCTCCTGCCTCAGCCTCCTGGGTAGCTGATTACAGATGTGCATCACCACACCTGGCTAATTTTTGTATTTTTAGTAGAGACGAGGTTTCACCATGTTGGTCAGGCTGGTCTCGAACTCCTGATCTCAAGTGACCCACCTGCCTCAGCCTCCCAAAGTGTTAGGATTACAGGCGTGAGCCACCATGCACGGCTATTATTATTATTTTTTAACTTATTATTTTAAGTTCAGGAGTTTGTGTGCAGGATGCCCAGGTTTGTTACATAGGTAAACATGTGTCATGGGGGTTTGTTGTACAGATTAGTTCATCACCCAGGTATTAAGCCTAGTATCCATTAGTTATTTTTCATGATCCTCTCTCTCCTCCCACCCTCCACCCTCCAGTAGGCCCCAGTGTGTATTGTTCCCCTCTATGTGATCATGTGTTCTCATCTTTTAGCTCCCACTTATAAGTGAGAACACAGAATGAGATTTGGGCGGGGACAAATATCCAAACTATATCAACAACTGACCCAGTTTATTCAACAGGACAATGGCATGGGGATTTAAAAAAAATGGAAGAGGAATGGCTTCAGATTAAAAGACAAGAAGCCGGGCTTGACGGCTCACGCCTGTAATCCCAGCACTTTGGGAGGCCAAGGTGGGCAAATCACTTGAGGTCAGGAGTTTGAGACCAGCCTGGGCAACATGGTGAAACCTAGTCTCTACTAAAAATACAAAAATTAGCTGGGCCGTGGTGGGGCCCACCTATAGTCCCAGCTGCTCGGGAGGCTGAGGCAGGAGAATAGCTTGAACCCGGGAGGCAGAAGTTGCAGTGAGCCAAGATCACGGCATTGCACTCCAGCCTGGGTGACAGAGTGAGATTCTTTTTGAAAATAAATAAATAAATAAAATAAAATAAAAGAGACATAACCAAAATAATGTGTTCTCCTCATTTGGATACTAATTCAAACAAACCAATTACAAAATAATTTATTTTGAGGTAATCAGGGAAATTTGAATATGGACCAAGAAATTGTTAATTTATTAGGTATGACAATTACATTGAGGCTATGTAAGAAAATGTCCATATTTGTAAGAGATAGGTACTCAAGTATGTAGGGTGAAATGACATGAAGTCTGATTTAAAACAATAATAATAGTAATAACGAGAGACAGGTTATATTATTCTCTCTACTTTTGAATGTGTTTGAAAGTATTAATAAAGTTTGAGGCCAGGCACAGTGGATCATGCCTGTAATCCCAGCACTTTGGGAGGCCGAGGTGAGTGGACTCCTTTGAGTCCAGGAGTTCGAGACCAGTCTGGGCAAAATGGTGAAATCCCATCTCTACAAAAAAATACAAAAACTAGCTGGGTGTGATGGTGCATGCCTGTAATCCCAACTGCTTGGGATGGTGATGTTGGAGCATCATTTGAGCCTGGGAGGCAGAGGTTGCAGTGAGCCAAGATCGCACCATTGTACCCCAGCCTGGGCAACAGAGCAAGACCCTGTCTCAAAAATTAATTAATTAATTAATTAATTTAATTTAAAAAATTTTGGGGGCCAGCGTGGTGGCTCATGCCTGTAATCCCAGCACTTTGGGAGGCCGAGGTGGTGGATGACCTGAGGTCAGGAGTTCGAGACCAGCTTGGCCAACATGGTGAAACCCCATCTCTACTAAAAATACAAAAAATAATTAGCCAGGCATGATGGTGCATACCTGTAATCCCAGATACTTGGGAGGCTAAAGCAGGAGAATCACTTGAACACCGGAGGCGGAGGTTGCAGTGAGCCGAGATCTCACTATTACACTCCAGCTGGGGCATCGCAGCGAGACTCTGTCTCAAAAAAAAAAAAAAAAAGAAAAGAAAGAAAGAAACAAAAGAAAATATTAAGTCTGGGCGAGATAGCTCACACCTGTAATCCCAGCACTTTGGGAGGCCAAGGTGGTGGATCACCTGATGTCAGGAGTTCAAGACCAGCTTGGCCAACATTGTGAAACCCCATCTCTACTTTTAAAAATACAAAAAATTAAATGGGCATGGTGCCGGGCGCCTGTAATCCCAGCTACTCGGGAGGCTGAGACAGGAGAATCACTTGAACCCGGGAGGCAGAGGTTGCAGTGAGCCGAGATCACGCCACATACAGCAAGACTCCATTTTTTTTTTTTTTTGAGACGGAGTCTCACTCTGTCACCCAGGCTGGAGTGCAGTGGCACGATCTTGGCTCACTGCAACCTCCACCTCCCAGGTTCACGCCATTCTCCTGCCTCAGCCTCCCGAGTAGCTGGTACTACAGGCACCCACCACCACGCCCGGCTAATTTTTTATATTTTTAGTAGAGACAGGGTTTCACCATGTTAGCCAGGGTGGTCTCGATCTCCTGACCTCGTGATCTGCCCACCTTGGCCTCCCAAAGTGCTGGGATTACAGGCGTGAGTCACCGCGCCCGGTCGCAAGACTCCATTTTGGCAGACTCCACAGCCAGTGTTGTGGACACTGTGATGCACTGCCCCGATCCCCCTGTACTAAGGGGCTTGTTGTCCCTGCTACTGGAGAGTTGTTGGCAGATGCCTGCAGCTGTCGGCCCCTGCAGAGACTTCATCAGCTTCAGGGAGTTGTAATCAAGTTAAAATGAGATCATTAGAGTGGGCCCCAATCCACTATGACTGTTGTCCTCATAAAGAGAGGAAAGTTGAACAGAGATACAGACCTGCACAGAAGGCAGACAGACACAGGGAGAAGGTGGCCATGGAGAAGCCAAGGAGAGAGGACTGGAACAGATCCTTCCTGCACGGCGCTGGGAACAAACCAGTCCTGCCAACACCTTGCTTTTGGACTTCTAGGCTTCAGGACTGAGACAACAAATTTCTGTTGTTTAAGGCACCCAGTTTGTGGTACTTTGTTCTAGCAGCCATAGCAAACTAATACAGATGGCCAGAAAACTAAACAGTTTTGTCCAATTATGCACACATATGTACCAAAACCATCAAGAAAAGCAAGAGAATAAGCACTGATTCTTCCATGTGGGAGGAAAGGGCTGCTGTCCGGGCGGGAGCATGCGGAGCTCCATCAAGAGTCCTGCATCACGATGTGGTTCCTGACGCTCCAGTTCTTGAGGGGGTGGGAAGTTCATGGACATTGGTCCTATAATTATGATTTTAATTTTTACATTATATATATATATATAATGTATATATTTGTAAATATATATACATATATATATTTATTTATATATACATAAATAAATATATGTATATATTTAGAGACGGGGTCTCTCTCTGTTGCCCAGCAGGAATGCAGTGGCACAGTCATGGCTCACTGCAGCCTTTGACCTCCTAGGCTCAAGCACTCCTCTAGCCTCAGCCTCCCAAAATGCTGAGATTACAGGTGTGAGCCATCACACCTGGCTTATAATTTTTTTAAAATGTAGAAAACTCATCTGAATTGTGGGAATATCCACAAAGTTCTCTTGCAGAGTTTGGCATTACGAGAGAGGGGAAGTATAGACAAACACGAGAATCTATTTCCTTTTATAGGGACCAGAGTTCAGACGGGAGACTCTTTCTGGTAATATTCATATCTAGTCCTTCTGGGCCTCTTTGATGGCCCGTGGGATGTAAGAGGCAAAAAATTCGTACTTCAATTTTTAATGCCCCAGGAAACAAGTTGCTTATATGAACTCAATGATGAATCAGCTGAAGTGACTCATTTATGTAATTTTGAGAATGGATTCAGCCGATTTCTTTAATTCCAACATTGACTGCAGTAGAAAATAAATGTGCTTGACCTCATTCTACAGCTTGCTGGAAAATAGGATTAATGTTTACCTCAGAACAGTCATATGAGGCCTGATGTTTCAGAGATTTCTGATGAGTGGTGTTTAAGAAATCCAACCTGTTTGGACTGCAATCAAGGTTAACTATTTTCTTCTTTGGCTAAATAGGAAATCTATTTTGCTGGGTTTTTTTTGTTTGGTTGGTTTATTTTTGAGACGGAGTTTTGCTCTGTCACCCAGGCTGGAGTGCAGTGGCGACATCTCAGCTTGCTGGAGCCTTGACCTCCTGGGCTCAAGGGATCCTCCCACCTTTGCCTCCAAGGTAGCTGGGACTATAGGCTCACGCCACCACGCCTGGCTAATTCTTTTTCTTTTTTTTTTTTGAGACAGAGTCTCGCTCTGTCGCCCAGGCTGCAGTGCAGTGGTGCGATCTCGGCTCACTGCAACCTCCACCTCCGGGGTTCAAGCAATTCTCTGCCTCAGCCTCCCAAATAGCTGGGATTACAGGCACCCGCCACCAGGCCTGGCTAATTTTTTTGTATTTTTTAGTAGAGACAGGGTTTCACCATCTTGGCCAGGCTGGTCTTGAACTCCTGACCTCGTTCCACCTGCCTCAGCCTCCCAAAGTGCTGGGATTACAGGCATGAGCCACTTTGCCTGGCCTAATTTTTGTATTTTTAGTAGAGACAGGGTTTTGCTATGTTGCCCAGGCTGGTCTCGAACTCCTAGGCTCAAGCGATCCGCCCACCTCAGTCAGTCTCCCAAAGTGCTGAGATTACAGGCGTGAGCCACCACGACTAGCCTTGTTCTTCTTTTAGTGTTGGTCTTGTGGCTGGTACTCTCCTAGGGGCCAATATCCTGGCCCTCTTGTCTTTTGGTGATAGTTATTAGAGTTCCTGAAGCCATGTCCAGGCAGGTCACTGCCCCCACCCCTTGAGCAGTTGCTGTTCTGGGGAGGGTATGCCTTCCCTGCTGCTCAAAGAATCAACCCTTCCTTCCTCAGCTAACACTTTCTATACAAGAGGATTACTTAGGGCTGGGCAGCTTCAAAAGGCAATTAGCATAAAGTGGGAAAGCAGTCCAGTCTCAGAACCTGGCAACTAAAGGGACTGTAACTCAAATTACACATCTAAATGTTGGGAGTAGGAAACAATGAAAGGGAGCAATTGCTTAGTGGACATTTTAAAACTATACTCCTAAAGCAGCAACCCTGTCTTTTTTAACACAAAGTAAAGGACATGGTTAAAAAGCTCTTCTCAGAAAGCAGGTGGGATTGAAGAGATTTATTTATGACTTACTGGAAGCACAAAGAGAAGCTTTTATTGTTGATAGCTAGGCTGGGTAAGTGCCAGGAGACACATCCCAGGGGAGCTGTGCTGCCAAGCACTGACACACAGAGAGCTGACCCAGTCCTTTTTTATGCTGACTGCTTGCTAAGAAATGGTAGCAGAGGACCGCATGGAAAGACCCAATGTGGTTTAGAACAATTATGGAGACTTTAGAGTGATCCTGATTTTAAGGGACCATTTGAAGGGAAATAGAGAAACAGTATATTCATCAGATTTGTGCAGAAGTACTGTTGAATTTGTTTAGGGAAACTGCCTTGAAATCACTCTACGTGACCATACATTCAGTGTTATCATCCTCCTTGTTTTTTTGAAACTACAGATTTAGGCCGGGCGCAGTGGCTCACGCCTGTAATCCCAGCACTTTGGGAGGCCGAGGTGGGCGGATCACCTGAGGTCAGGAGTTTGAGATCAGCCTGGGCAACACGGTGAAACCTTGTCTCTACTAAAAAAAAAAAAATACAAAATTAGCCGGGCGTGGTGACACATGCCTGTAATCCCAGCTACTCGGGAGGCTGAGGCAGGAGAATCGCTTGAACCTGGGAGGCGGAGGATGCGGTGAGCCGAGATCGCACCATTGCACTCCAGCCTGGGCAACAAGAGTAAATCTCCATCTCACCAAAAAAAAAAAAAAAAAAAAAAGAAACTACAGATTTAAATTCAAGCTTTCAGCAAATGCCTACCAGAGACCCCAGGTTAAAAAATGTAAGGAGCACATTATTGTAACCAATATATTTAGGCTTAGAAAGATTTTTCAGATTCTGAGCTGAAAGTCAGAGGGAGAGAGGGACAGGGTGTGCATACAGGGGGGAGAGAAGGAAAAGAAGGAGAAAGAGTGATTTTTGAGGGAAATAGTAACCTAAAGCCCAAAACAACGCACAGATTTTGTTAGACTCAACAGAGTCATGAAATGCCAGTGTGGAAAGAGCTTGAGAGATGGCATCCCTGTCCCTCACTGGTCATCCTACTGACGAGGAGCCTAGACCAGAAAGTGGAGTGACCATGCCAAAGAGGCAGAGCCAGGTGGTGGCGGAACCACGCTGGAAGCCAGGTATGCTCATTCTTCTCATGACACCCCTGGCCTCCGTGACCTCGCATCCCACCTGGCCTGATGACTGTGGCCCTTTGTCTTTTGTCCTTCACTTTAAGAGGTTGTGGCCAAAGGGCCCATAAAGCAGGTGGGATTGTAATTTATGCAAATGCCTTCTGGTCTCCAGGTCTTGTATCTTCACATCCTAAGACAATCAATTCCATTTTCCAAAAAGCTCTTATTTTTTAATCTTTCATTTGGAAAATATGATATTTAAATGTAACAGGGGAGAAATATTCCCGTAGAATTTCTTTTCAGAACAATTCACATTCTACAATCTTTTTTTTTTTCTTTTTTTTTGAGATGGAGTCTTATTCAGCCGCCCAGGCTGGAGTGTAGTAGTGCAATCTCGGCTCACTGCAACCACCATCACCTGGGTTCAAGCAATTCTCCCGTCTCCTGAGTAGCTGGGATTACAGGCACCCACCATCATGCCTGGCTAATTTTTTGTATTTTAATAGACATGGGGTTTCACCATGCTTGCCAGGCTGGTCTTGAACTCCCAACCTCAGGTGATTCGCCCACCTTGGCCTCCTAAAGTGCTAGGATTACAGGTGTCAGCCAATGCACCTGGCCTCTACAATCTTTTACGTTGGTGTAGATCCCACATACCTCCCATGGCCATGCAGATAGTGTCAGCTTCTGCAGTCTCATATTCCTCCCTGACAACAATAATTTGTTTTCTCCATAGAAACTTGAGCAATAAGGATTTTGCCAGGATGCAGTCCAGGGACCATGTGGGACTCAAAGCTTAGGTCTTCCAGATAAGCTGGTTGATGCCAGTTAGTTTGTAGAGTAGGGGGAGGGGCAAGCATGGTAATTGGTAGAATATAAAATATAATAATACTGTGCGTCTAGAGTATGGCCTTAGGTCTTTAATTACCTTCTTCTCTCCTTTATTTTTGTCTTGCACTCTGCTAGACATCTTGTTGCCTCAACTGCCAACAGGCCAGTACAGTAATTTATGTTTGTTTATTTGAGGCACATGCATTCAAAAACAGAAAACTACATAAAAGAGGATTTTTGGTTTTTTTGAGACAGGGTCTCGCTCTGTCACTCAGGCTGGAGTGCAGTGATGTAGTCATAGCTCACTGTAACCTCAGACTCCTGGGCTCAAGTGATCCTCCAGTGTCAGCCTCCAGAGTATCTAGGATTGCAGGCGTGTGCCACCATACTTGGTTAATTTTTTTTATTTTTATTTTTTGTAGAGATGGGATTTCACTATATTGCCCAGGCTGACCTCAAACTCCTGGTCTCAAGCCATCCTCCTGCCTCACATTTTGCTTTCTAATGCTCATTCCTGGTGTCTTTATGAAGTGAGAGAGACAATCCTCTTGATTCCTCACCTGGGCTCCAGGAGGCAGGTGAAGACATGGGGGCAATGGTGAAATGCACCTCAAAAATTGGGAAGTAAAATTGTCCTAATAAACATTTAAAAATTATTATTATTGGCTAGACACGGTGGCTTACGCCTGTAATCCCAGCACTTTGGGAGGCCGAGACAGGCGGATCACGAGGTCAGGAGATCAAGACCATCCTGGTTAACATGGTGAAACCCCGTCTCTACTAAAAATACAAAAAATTAGCCGGGAGTGGTGGCAGGCACCTGTAGTCCCAGCTATTTGGGAGGCTGAGGCAGGAGAATGGCATGAACCCAGGAGTCGGAGCTTGCAGTGAGCTGAGATGGTGCCACTGCACTCTAGCCTGGGCGACAGAGCGGGACTCCGTCTCAAAAAATAAATAAATAAAAATAAAAATAATTATTATTATCTGTACAAATACACCTCTTTTTCCTCAACCAAAGAGTTTCTGATTCTCTTAGGCATCTAAAAGAGATTTATATGCAACCTATTAAATCAGCAAAAATTAATTGTTAAGCATCCACTCAGTGTTTGATGACATGTAAGCAATGTGGGAGATAATAATACTAACTAATGTTTATTGAGTTCTTAGAATTTGCTAGCTGTCTGTTGGGCTCTGTACATGAGTTGCCTCATTAAGGCCTATGGCCACTCCTATGAGATAGGTCTTCTTCTTTTTTTTTTTTTTTTGGACAGGGTCTGGCTGTATCGTCCAGGCTGGAGTGCAGTGGCACGATCTAGGCTCACTGCAACCTCTGCCTCCTGGGCTCAAGACATCCTCCCACCTCAGCCTCCCAAGTAGCTAGGAACACAGGCATGCAACACCACGCCTAGCTAATTGTTGTATTTTTTTGTAGAGATAGGTTTTCACCATGTTGCCCAGGCTGGTCTCAAACTCATGAGCTCAAGTGATCTACCCACCTCGGCCTCCCAAAGCATAGGGGTTACAGGCGTAAGCCACTGCATTCGGCCTATGAGATAGATACTTTTATTATCTCCATTTTAAATATTAGGAACTGGCCAGGGAAGGTGGCTCACACCTGTAATCCTAGCACTTTGGAGGCCGAGGTGGGTGGATCATGAGGTCAGGAATTCGAGACCAGCCTGGCCAACACAATGAAACCTTGTCTACTAAAAATACAAAAATTAGCTTGGCGTGGTGGCAGGTGCCTGTAATCCCAGCTACTCGGGAGGCTGAGGCAGGAGAATCGCTTGAACCCGGGAGGCGGAGGTTGCAGTGAGCCGTGATTGCACCACCGCATTCCATCCTGGGCAACAGAGCAAGACTCTGTCTCAAAAAAAAAAAAAAAAAAAAAAAAAAAAAAAGAAAAGAAGAGAAGAAGAAAAAAAAATTAGGAACTAAGACATAGAGAAGTTAAGCCATTTGCCCAGTGCCATACAGCTAGCAAGTAGGAGAGCCAGGATTTGAGCATAGTCTGATTCCAGAACGTATGATCTTAAAGAAGTAGAAATTGGCCGGGCGCGGTGGCTCACGCCTGTAATCCCAGCACTTTGGGAGGCCGAGGCGGGTGGATCACCTGAGGTTGGGAGTTTGTGACCAGCCTGACCAACATGGAGAAACCCTGTCGCTACTAAAAATACAAAATTAGCTGGGCGTGGTGGCACATGCCTGTAATCCTAGCTACTCGAGAGGCTGGGGCAGGAGAATTGCTTGAACCCTGGAGGCGGAGGTTGTGGTGAGCCGAGATCGTGCCATTGCACTCCAGCCTGGGCAACAAGAGCGAAACTCCATCTCAAAAAAAAAAAAAAAAGAAGTATAAATTATGGTTCCCGCACTCAACAAATTTATAATCTAGTTGAGGGAAACGTGACTAACACACATGAAAGCAACAGTAGATTATGTAAGATGAGCATATATAATTAAGTGCTAAATTGAATGCTTCAGAAGTTCAGAGGGCACAAGAAGGCGTGGAACAGGCAAGCAGCCTTTCATGAGGAATAACCTTGAAGTTGAGCCTTAAATGGTCCCTGAGATGAGCGTAGGGAATGCACTGCTGCAGGTGAGGTGGTGGCAAAAGCGTTACAAGCAGGAGTGAGCAAGACTTTGTCCTGGAGGATGGAGCAGCCAGCCTGACCACAGCTGGGTGGAGCCAATGGGAAGGGCTGGACCAACTAGGAAGGCCTTTAAAGCAAGGCAGAGTTTAGGCTTGGTGCATTAGTAACCAGAGAGTCGTAAAAGGCCCTCCATCAATAAAGCAATATTATAACAGATGTTTAAGGAAGACACGTTTGGCAGGAGGATCTATCTTTCTTATTAAAATTGTAGATGACAGCCAGGCGTGGTGGCTTACGCCTGTAATCCCAGCACTTTGGGAGGCCATGGCGGGCAGATCACGAGGTCAGGAGTTCGAGACCAGCCTGGCCAACATGGTGAAACCTCGTCTCTACTAAAAATACAAAAATTAGCCAGGTGTGGTGGCATGCGCCTTTAGTCCCAGCTACTTGGGAGGCTGAGGCAGGAGAATTGCTGGAACCCGGGAGGCAAAGGTTGCACTGAGCCGAGATCACACCACTGCACTCCAGCCCAGATGACAGAGCAAGAATCCGTCTCAAAAAAAAAAAAAACAAAAAAAAACTGTAGATGGCACAAAGCTTGAAAAAACATGAAATGACTAAATTGGTATCTCAAATTCACTGCTTATTTTGTTTGATCTTTAGGCTTTATTTCACATTAGCAAGTTCTGCCAAATCTTCCTCCTTAATATTTTTCCAATTTGTTTATTTCTCTACATTTCCCTTGCCATTACTTCAGTTCAGCCACAATCCTAGGGGTGAGGGGAGGTGT
Source organism: Homo sapiens (assembly GCF_000001405.40). Lineage (NCBI taxonomy): Eukaryota > Metazoa > Chordata > Mammalia > Primates > Hominidae > Homo > Homo sapiens. The sequence continues at coordinate 49,220,543 of NC_000012.12, forward strand.
CAGAGAAACCTTCCTGGAAAAGATGACATTTTTCCAGAGTCCTGAATATTTAGCAAGAATTAGCCAGGTACCAAGGGAAGGGCTTGAAGGGGGAATGGAAGTGAGGAGATGGGAAAAAGAAGAGGGGAAGGATCAAATAATGGGCAGAAGAAAGCAAAAGCAAACAAACAAAATAAAATATAGACTTTGATGCTATAATAAGGAAAATTAAATGTGGCATTAACTTAGTGAAAAGGGTCACTGGTGGGTGGTGCAGGCCCAAAGAATCCAGACTAGAACACTGATGACGCCTTGCTGTGTGGTATCAAAACATTTGGTTGAAATGTCACTTCTTGTACCCTGGAGGGCAGACCACTCCCAGTGAAATGGAAAGGAAAGGCCCTTGAAGAGGTGACATGCAGTCAGGGCCCTGAACACACAGGTTGAATGGAAGGAACCATGTTGGCAAAGGCACAGAGTCTGGTGGTGCAGGGAGGAGAATCCTGACTTCCAGGGTTGAGCTCTGGGCAGATTAAACTGTTGATGGGGGTGCAGAGAGCAGGGAAATGGACCCAAGTAGGGAGAACTAAGTTAGGGAGAGGGCCCAGCTGAAGACTGCTCACCTACTTTAGAGAAATGTTGGCAAATGGGGAAGTGAATTTTTTATTTTTATTTTTGAGACAGTGTCGTTCGTTCTGTTGACCAGGCTGGAGTGTAGTGGCACAATCTCAGCTCATTGCAGCTTCGACTTCCCAGGCTCAAGCCATCCTCCCACCTCAGCCTCTGAGTAGCTGCGTGTACAGGTGTGCACCACCCTGCCTGGTTAATTTTTGTATTTTTTGTAGAGATGGGGTTTCACCACATTGTCCAAGCTAGTCTTGAACTCCTGAGCTTAAGTGAGCCACTTGCCTCTACCTCCCAAAATGCTGGGATTACAGGTGTGAGCCACTGTGCCTGGCCAAAATTTTTAATTCTCTTTCAAAATCCAGTAAGAAATAGCACTAGATTTTTAAATAGCTTTGTTGAGGTAAAAATCACATACTATAGCGATTCACCTATTGAAAGTACACAATTCGCCGGGTGCGGTGGCTCATGCCTGTAATCCCAGCACTTTGGGAGGCCGAGGCACGTGGAGCACGAGGTCAGGAGATCAAGACCATCCTGGCTAACACGGTGAAACCCCGTCTCTACTAAAAAGTACAAAAAATTAGCCAGGCGTGGTGGCAGATGCCTGTAGTCCCAGCTACTCGGGAGGCTGAGGCAGGAGAATGGTGTGTGTGAACCCGGGAGGTGGAGCTTGCAGTGAGCTGAGATCGCGCCACTGCACTCCAGCCTGGGCGACAGAGCAAGACTCCCTCTCAAAAAAAAAAAAAAAGAAAGAAAGAAAGTACACAATTCAACTATTTTTAGTATATTCAGAGAGTTTCACAGACATCATCAAAATCAATTTCACCACTCCCAAAAGAAATCCTGTATCCATTTCTATCCCTTCCTCCTAGCTCCTGGTAATTACTAATCTACTTCTGTCACTAAGGACTTGCCTGTTTTGGACATTTTATATAAATGGAATCATACAATATGTGATCTTTTGTGACTGGCTTCTTTAATAAATGCTAGATTTTGCAAGTCCATAATATTGTTATTAAATAACCAATGGTTAAACTACATATTTGCAAATATATTAGGAAGAAATAATAGTAAATATTTGGAAAACAGTGGGGCAGGATGCTAGTATAAGAATAAAGACTCTAGGCTGGGTGTGGTGGCTCAAGCCTGTAATCCCAGCACTTTGGGAGGCTGAGGAGGGCGAATTGCCTGAGGTCAGGAGTTCGAGACCAGCCTGGCCAACATGGTGAAATGCCGTCTCCACTAAAAATACAAAAAATTAGTTGGGCGTGGTGGCAGGTGCCTGTAATCCTAGCTACTTGGGAGGCTGAAGCAGGAGAATCACTTGAACCCAGGAGGTGGAGGTTGCAGTGAACCGAGATCATGCCATTGCACTCCAGCCTGGGCAACAAGAATGAAACTCCGTTTAAAAAAAGAGAAAAAAAAAAGAAGAAGAAGAACTAGGAAGTTTGCTTTCCTTAATGCTTCCCACTTTACAGAGGACAAAAATAACTGAAAATAAGGAACAAGCTATGTGAATAAATAGCATGTATGTGGTGTACTGCTAAGCACTGAAATCTGACAGATAGAGACAGAGAGAGAGAGAGAGAGAGAGTGTGTGTGTGTGTGAGAGAGAGAGAGAGAGAGAGAATGCTTGGCTTTTTAGCCCACTTCCTCATGGACAGCTGGTCAAATTCCTAACTCGTGAGACTGCTTGGATAGATGTGGTTGAGTTTTATATAACCGAATAACACTTACTGAAAGCTTTGAACAAGATGGGAAGAGATACATTCTTTAAAAAGAGTCTTGAGCTCCCTCCCTAACTTTCACTTACATGGGAAACGCAGACATTTTGATCCTTCTCCTTGAGTACTAGCAATCCATTGTTCCTATACCTTGTTATCGGTCTTTAGCTGCCAAACATCTCAAAACAGGGGACAGGGAGCGAAGCTTGGCCTCCACCAAAAAAATAGGCCGGCCTCGTGGCTCACGCTTGTAATTCTAGCACTTTGGGAGGTCAAGGCAGGAGGATCGCTTGAGCTCAACAGTTTGAAATCAGCCTGAACAAAATAGTAAGACCTTGTCTCTACAAAAAAAAAAAAAAAAAAAGCCAGGCATGATGGTGCATGCCTACAGCTCCAGCCACTCAGGAGGCTGAGGCAGGAGGATCACTTAAACCCAGCAGGTGGAGGCTGCAATGAGCTGTGATTGTGCCACTCCACTCCAGCCTGGGCAAGAGAGTGAGACCCTATCTCAAAAACAAAAAAACAAAAAGAAAAATAAAGGAAAAAATAGAGAAAGAAACCTCACAGGTGTAAATGAATTAACACTCACCATTACCAAATACACAGTTTCCAAACTAGCAGGGAGAGTTGCTGATTAGAGAGGAGCTCTGCTCCCATCCCCGGGACTCTCTCTCTCCAGTTTTCTGGGTTTTCCTCCATGTATTAGCTTCATTCTCAAACAGGCTTATCCCTTTGGTGTCAAAATGGCTACAGCAGCCCTGTCACCAATTAATTAACTCCATGTCCAGCAGGAAGACAGAGAGAGAGAGAAACTCTTCTTCCAGTAACTCTGGAGAAAGTCCCTAGATTTAATCTGATTAGGAAGGCTTAGAGCACATGCTTACCTCAAACCAATTAGCTAGGATGGACTGGCTGATTTAGGCCTAAATCTTGTCCTTCACCCTGGAGCTAGAGGTTGGGGAAGCCCTAATCAGATCGCAAAGACCAAAAGCAGAGAATTCCCTGAAAAAAATCAGGCCTATTGTCAGAGTACAGGAAGAGAAACTGGGGTGACAAGAAACAATGTCCATTGCAATTCAGTAGGACTAGAGTGAGGATATTACACAAGAAACCATATAACATAGCATATAAAAATGCAGTTAAAGAAGAGAAGAAAGAAAGGCCAGCCTGGGTAACACAGCAAGACCCTGTCACTACAAAAAATAAAAAAAAAATCTGGATGCGGTGACAGGTGCCTGTAGTCCCAGCTACTCAGGAAGCTGAGATGGGAGGATCTCCTGAGCCTGGCAGGTCAAGGCTGCAGTGAGCTGTGATTGCACCACTGCACTCCAGCCTGGGCAACAGAGTGAGACCCGGACTCAAAAAATAAAAGATAAATAAATAAAAGTATATCTAGGGCTATATGCTGTGGTAGGTGTATTTTACATAAATATGTAAAAGAAATAAGTCTCAGTCTTTGGGAAATTTATACTCTGATGAGGGAGGCAGACATATAAACAAATCAAATAGGCTAAGTGTCAGAGCATGGGTGCTGCAGAGGCCCAGACAAGGCACCGACAGCTCTGCCTGAGAGCTCAGGAAAGGTTTCCTAGAATACATGGCCCCTGAGCTGAATCCTTCCCACCTGTCCTCCAAACTATCTTCCATGCTGCCATCAGAGCCACCTTTCTTTCTATTTTTTTTTTTAAGGAGGGATCTTACTCTGTTGCCAAGGCTGGAGTGCAGTGTCACGCTCATGGTTCACCGTAGCCTCAACCTCCTGGGCTCAAGTGATCTTCCCACCTTAGCATCTGAGTAGCTGGGACTACAGGTGCACCATGCCCACCTAATTAAAAAACAATTTTTGTAGAGATGGAGTCTTACTGTATTGCCCAGGGTGATCTCAAACTCCTGGGCTCAAGTGATCCTCCTGCCTCAGCTTCCCAAAGCACTGGGATGGCAGGCATGAGCCACCGTGCCTGGCCAGAGCCTTTTTTTTCTTTTTCTTTTCTCTTCTTCATTCTTTTTTTTTTCTTTCTTTCTCTCTCTCTTTCTTTTCTTTTCTTTTTTAATTGAGATGGGGTCTTGCTCCATTGCCCAGGCTGGTCTTGAACTCCTGGGTGGAAGGAATCCTCCTACCTCAGCCTCCCAAAGTGCTGGGATTACAGGTGTGAGCCACCATGCCCAGCCTACAGGCCATCTTTCTAAAACACAGTTTGGATCATTTTACTTCCCTGCTTAGAACTCTTCCGTGGTTCCCAGGAGCTACCAATAGAAAATCCAGCTTTCTCCCTTTGTCACACAGTGTTTCCATTGACCTCTACCTAAATTCCCAATCTCATCTTTGGTGCTATGCAAGCCCCAAACTTCCTTTTTTTCCAGCAAAACACCAGGCCCACTCTCTATCTCAACGCCATGTACTTGCATCCCTCCTCCCATCCCCAGATATCCCTTATTTCTCAAAGCTCAATTCAGGAATCACTTCCTTTTTTTTTTTTTTTGAGATGGAGTCTCGTACTGTCACCCAGGCTGGAGTGCAATGGCGTGATCTTGGCTCACTGCAAACTCCGCCTCCCGGGTTCAAGCGATTATCCTGCTTCAGCCTCCCGAGTAGCTAGCTGGGATTACAGGCGCCCACCACCACACCCAGCTAATATTTTGTATTTTTAGTAGAGACAGGGTTTCACCCAGGCTGGTCTCGAACTCCTAACCTTGTGATCCACCTGCCTTGGCCTCCCAAAGTGCTGGGATTACAAGCATGAGCCACTGTGCCCAGCGAAGAATCACTTCCTTCGACATTTTTCTGATTCCTTGAACCTCAACCAAGGAAAACAGTATTTCCTCCTCCCACCAAGGCCCCACAGTGCTCCCCTGCATGTTAGGTGTTGACACTGCTGCCTCCTTGAGGCTGTGTCTTACTCAATGGAGTAGCCTTATCAGCCCACAGGGGCTTAGCAAATAATGAGCTTTTAATAAATGCTTTTGAGCAGTTGAATGAACTGTACTTGAATGGGTTTATATTACAACCCGGTAAACACTAAGTTTGTTCCAAGGAGAACTTCCTACCGGTTGCTCCTGCTCACAGCTCTTGAGGCCACGGGCGTGGCCAGAGCTGGGTCAGGGACAGGGCCACTCCTATGTAAGAGCAGGGCCCAGGCCTCCAGCCTGTTGAGGTCCATCCTGTTCTTCTATGACAGTTGTGTGGCATTTGGTGACTCAGGTTCTAGTACAAGACCACTGAGTTCCCAGTAAACTCAGTAAATTCAGCATTTCTAAACATATAGTCCTTTGACTGGGCGTGGGGGGTCATGCCTGTAATCCCAACACTTTGGGAGGCTGAGGTGGGCAGATCACCTTAGGTCAGGAGTTCAAGACCAGCCTGGCCAACATGATGAAACCCTGTCTCTACTAAAAATACAAAAATTAGCTCAGTGTGGTGGCAGGCACCTGAAGTCCCAGCTACCTGGGAGGCTGAGGCAGGAGAATCGCTTGAACCTGGGAGGTGGAGGTTGCAGCGAGCCAAGATCACGCCACTGCACTCCAGCCTGGGCGACAGAGTGAGACTCTGTCTCAAAAAAATAAGAAAAATAAAAATACAGTCCTTGGGTGAGGAGATTCTTTCCTCAGAGAAAGAAAGTGCTGGTTGGGCGCGGTGGCTCACGCCTGTAATCCCAGCACTTTGGGAGGCCGAGGTGGGTGGATCACCTGAGGTCATGAGTTCGAGACCAGCCTCAACATGGAGAAACCCTGTCTCTACTAAAAATACAAAATTAGCTGGGCGTGGTGGCGCATGCCTATAATCCCAGCTACTCGGGAAGCTGAGGCAGGAGAATTGCTTGAACCTGGGAGGCGGAGGTTGCAGTGAGCCGAGATCGTGCCATTGCACTCCAGCCTGGGCAACAAGAGCGAAACACTGTCTCAAAAAAAAAAAAAAAAAAAGAGAAAGAAAGTGCTTTCCTGGCCAATATAGTTTATTATCAAGCATAGGATAAATTGGAGAAAGGCAGGTTTGTGACAAAACTGATCAGAGGCCGTTTGCATAGTGCCAGGTGTTAAACATCTATTAACTAATTTCATGACACTGTCTTGTCACTTCTCACTTTTGGTCTGTGTTTTTTAATATTCCAAGAAAAGTTATTAGACTAGATGATCTCTAAGATCACTTCCCATTCTATCATTTTATTGTCTGGTTCTTACCTAATACCAATATAATGTGTGTTTGAGATGGTGAAGGTTCAGGAGTTATTGGCCACATTTCACAGATGGGAAACAGGGCAGCGGGGCACGGGGTTTGCTTCAGATCCGTGGGTCCTTGCTGAGCTCTACTTCATTAAGCGATCAATATTTCCTGGCTCCTGAGTGGAACTGCAGTTACATTTCCCTTTGGAAAAGCTGGTCTGTTTTTACCAATAGGCCTGCAGAAAAAAACCAAGGCCGGCCAGGCGCGGTGGCTCATGCCTGTAATCCTAGCACTCTGGGAGGCCGAGGCAGGGGGATGACCTGAGGTCAGGAGTTCGAGGCCAGCTGTCAACATGGTGAAACCCCGTCTCTACTAAAAATACAAAAATTAGCTGGGCGTGGTGGCACATGCCTGTAATCCCAGCTACTCAGGGGGCTCATGCAGGAGATTCGCTTGAACCTGGGATGCGGAGGTTGCAATGAGCTGAGATCTTGCCATTGCATTCCAGCCTGGGCAACAGAGCAAGACTCTGTCTCAAAAAGAAAAAAAGAAAAAAATCAGGGTCAGAGTATTGTTATGAAAAAACACAACAACACCACTTATTCTACTCCCACAGCCTACCTAGGCTTTGAAGCCCACAGTATTGAGAGTAAGAAAACTCAGAGGTGCTAGGACTGCCAGGAGGCATGTAGGAAAGAGGCTAGAGGAGAAGAGGAATAGATTTGAAGCCACTAAGGAGAAATTTCAGTGATCTGTGGACTAGGATGGCGGAGGGGGTGGGGACCTGATCCCAATGGCACAATGACAAGGTCAGCCTCATCTCTTCTCTCTGTTCTTGGCAACAGCCAGTCTAGCCAGAAAGAGCAATCTGTCAAATCTAATTAAAGTAGAAGAAAGTGAACAATGGGCGCCCAGCTCTAAAATGACAGCCTGGTTCAATGGGGTGGAGGAGCTAGGGAGGGATGAGTGCTTTGTGTGCTTGGAATTAGATCCTTCAAATGGATCCTTTCTGAATGCAAAACTGTACATCTCTAACTGGATTCTTATTTACTTCACCAGGACTCTTCAGCTCCCTGCGCCTTTTAACACATGCACATCCAGCAAAAGCAGAGGAGAACCTGGCTGTGATTCAAAGGTAAGGCTGTAATAGTAATGTAATGTAAATAGCTTCATCATGCACGGCTTGGACATGGTACTGTGTGCATGCAACTGATATTTGTGAATTTGCTCCTATTTATTGTTTCATGTTTAATTATATTGGTGGCATTAGTGTTTATCTTATTATTTCTGCAATCCTTTTTATTATAAGGCTTATTATTGGAATATTGAAATTTCAGAGCAGTCTGAAGTTTTATTAGGACCACAAATAGACATATTTTCAGATGCAAAACACATTAATTATATTTTTGTCTTATACTTTAAATGGCCTCCCTGATTTGAATATTTTAGTTTCTGAATCAAAAGTGGGTTGCACAGGGAAGAGGCATATTTTATAAATGGAATCAAATGAGCATATCCCTTAAAATACATGCATGAATACAGGCTATTGAAGCCTAAAAACCATGCATCTGCAGAATCTAAAGTCTCAAATTACAAGAGGCCTGTTATCAGCAAATATTATACTAAAGAATGATTTATTAATTTTACTCTACTTTAGTGTGGGATACTCAGACATCTTAAAGGTGTGAGGAAAAACAATTCTGTGAAGTGGGAGGGAGAGAATGGGAAGAGAGTAGGCGCTAACACAATCTGCAATTTACAAGTCTCTGTTCCCCAGGTTTGGATGGCTTTTCCTATGCGTTATCTCATTTAATCCTCAGGGCACCCTGTGAAGTGTGTTACTATCCTCTCCACTCTGCAGATAAGGAAACTAAGGCTTTGAGAAACCAGCCCAAGGTTACAGAGAAAGGCAGTCGGGCCTTGAACCCAGGTGGTCTGCTTCCAAGTCTATTGAACTTCTCAGGAATATATTTCTGGTAGACACAGGAGACATTAAATTTAGAAAATCATTAAAGTATTAATAATGTCAACATGAGGACACTCCTCTAATCTATTGGTCTTCCCTGGACATGAAGGAGGCGGTGGATTTTAGCTTGGTGTATTTGTATCACTTTCCCCACTTTACTGCATGTTGCGAACCTTTATCTTTTTTGCGTGCGTGTGACAGAGTCTCACCCTGTCGCCCAGGCTGGAGTGCAGTGGCATAATCTCGGCTCACTGCAACCTCTGCCTCCTGGGTTCAAGCAATTCTTTGCCTCAGCCTCCCGAATAACTAGGATTACAGCTGTGCACCACCATGCCCAGCTAATTTTTGTATTTTTAGTAGAGACAGGGTTTCACCATCTTGGCCAGGCTGATCTTGAACTCCTGACCTCAGGTGATCCGCCCGCCTTGGCCTCCCAAAGTGCTGGCATTACAGGCGTGAGCCACCACACCCAGTCTATTTTTTAACAGCATCACTTGTTTCTTTTCTGTCCTTTCTTTCTTTACATACCCCTTATACGAATAAATTATCTTGTAAAAAGACAAAGGAAAAGTCTGCCGGTACTGCTCACTTCACCCCAAACCCAGTCCTCTCCCCAAAGAAACCCCTGTTAACAATTTGGGGGTGTAACCAACTATTTCTTACCTGTTTGCATAGAGGTGTGTGTGTGTGTGTGTGTGTGCACATCACATTGTTTTGTGTGACTTTTTAAGAGATAAATGGTGCCATGTTGTGCTTTTTATTCTTAACTTGCTTTTTTTTTCTTTTTAAATTTATTTCATTATTTTATTTTTTGAGATGGAGTCTTGCTCTGTCGCCCAGGCTGCAATGGCACAGTATAGGCTTACTACAACCTCTGCCTCCTGGGTTCAAGCGATTCTCCTGCCTCAGCCTCCCTAGTAGCTGGGACTATAGGCGTGTACCACCATACCTGGCTAATTTTTGTATTTTTAATAGAGACAAGGTTTCACCATGTTGGCCAGGCAGGTCTCAAACTCCTGACTTCGTGATCTGCTTGCCTTGGCCTCCCAAAGTGCCGGGATTACAGGCATAAGTCAACATCCTGGCCTTTTTTTTTTTTTTCTTTTTTAGAACAGTCTATGCCTTGTGGAGATCTTTACCTGGCAGTATGCTTAAATCTAATTCATTCTATTTAACTCTTACATAGCATTCCATGCATAATGACTTGTACTGTTTTCTCTTGACCTCATCTGTGCTTTTGAAATGGTTTAATGGCATACAAGTCAACATTTAACCATATTTGTATTTATGGGGCAGGGAGAGACAGGTGCAAGCTTTCTGGCTGGCTGGAGTGTTACTAAAAACATAGGAGAAGAAGGAAAGGTGAGACACGCCCACGCCAGTACTGTGAGCCCAAGTGAGAGGCCTGGGGCAGGTACAGTGTTATCAGTAGATTCGTTCCCTCTCTGCCTCTGAATATTTGAGCATTTACCTTTTTCTTGAGCCCAGCTGTTCTCCAGACATTTATTCCTTATATATGAGATAACAATAACATCCTCCACAGGGTGCCATGGGGATTAAACTAGAAAATGCACAGGAGAAGACATCAAGCCCAGGCATACTGCGACATGTTCCGTTATGAATTGTGCCTGTGCTGACCCTTTTCCCTCTCCCTCTCAAATCATGTATTGCTTTTTAAATTTTATTTGAGCTCGTTTGCTCTGAAGGACTATCCCTCTCACTTCAGATATTAGGTTGCAAGGCTCAAAGCAGGGTGGTTAATAAATGGAGCTATGGAGGTCATCATGAGATGTTCTGGTGCAGGATTTTGCCTGAAAGCATTGGAAACTGACTGAGAGCTGGACTCAAGTCCTGATGTGGACACTTACTAGCGGTGTGACTTGGGTAATGTTTTGTCATCTGGAAAATAAGCGTAATCCTAATAGTAATACTTAAGTCTGTGGGGTGTGGTCAGATATAAATGAGATAATGTATGAAAAGAACTTAGTATCGTTTCTGGTATACAGGAAGGTCAGCTGCTGTCATTGTTATTTAGAAAGGTTGCACCATCTCCACTTCTGTTTTCTGGCTATAAAGTATCACTGTCTAGCTTCCTCAGAAGTGACAATAAAAACAGGCTTAATCTCAGAGCACAGCTGTTTGTTGTTCCATTAGTCCATCATTATTTTTTAATTGTTGTTTTTTATAGTCAGGGTCTCATTCTATTGCCCAGGCTGTAGTGCAATGGTGCAATTATAGCTCACTACAGCCTTAAACTCCTGGGCTCAAGTGATCCTCCTGTCTCACCCTCCCAAGGAGTTGGGACTAACTACGGGCATGCACCACCACTCCCAGCTCTAATTTTTAAAAAATTTTTGTAGATATAGGATCTTGTGTTGCCCAGACTGGTCTCATACTCCTGGGCTCAAGCAATCCTCCCACCTCAGCCTCCCAAAGTGCTGGGATTACAGGTGTGAGCCAGCACTAATTTCTTTTTTAAGTATTCCGAGTGACCACTGCATGTGTAATACCTTGCTGGGCACTGTGCGAAATATAAAGGAAGTGCGAAACAGGGCTCTTGCCCTCAAAGTGCTTACAACTTTTAAATTTAATCTCCTTAACACTGGAGAGAACACGGCGTAGTATTGTGAACGTATGTGCCATGGCTATTTTTCTTTAAACTTCTGCTACTTAAAAAAAATAGATGATAGATAGATAGATAGACAGACAGACAGACAGACAGATAGATAGATAGATAGATGGAGTCTCGCTATGTTGACTAGGCTGGTCTCGAACTCCTGGCCTCAATTGATCCTCCCATCTCAGCCTCCTGAAGGGCTAGGATTACAGGCATGCACCACTGCGCCTGGCCTTCTGTTACTTTCAGAGGCATCCATAATTCTTGGACACCTGCTCATATGTTCTGTGTCTAGCTTCAGAATTATTGTAGAAGCTTGCCTGAACGTCACCTATAGAACCTGAGCCATTAGATCATCTATCCCTAAACGCTAATGCTGGGCTGATTTCCTGGCTGGGGGTGGCTCTCATTTCCTCCAGAGGGCCTGACAGAAGGAGGACAAGAGCTGATTGGGAGGAGCTGCCCTCAGGGCCACCCAACGCTTGCTTTCACAGTAACCTGCAGATAGTCCCTTGTTCTGGACACAACAGGAGTGGATATTTAGCAAGCAGATGAAATCCAAAGAGCAGAAACTGTCTGAAAGGGCCTGAGGATGCTGTGTGAAGGGAATGAAGCAACCTCATTTTTGCGGATAAATTCCCCGGAAATAAACCTATAGTATTTACAAAATGTCCACCTTGTCCTTCTCAGCACAGTAAGCTTTCTCTGACCCACAGAACCCATTTTCTGTTTGGATATGAACTCATTGCAGCCTGCCCAACATGAAATTCCAACTGGACATAAAAGGGCACTTCAGCTGTCAAGCCACGTGTGGATTTCGGTTTAAGAATCAGCCCAGGCAGCAGATGCTCCAAGTGCTTGGGGAGTGGCACGCCTATTCCTGATACAGAAGTCAGGCACCCTTTGTCTTGATCCCCCACTTAAATCAGGGATAGGCAATTCTGAATTTTTAAAAAGGCGCTATGTTAAATCCTTCTTATGAGAAAAAAATATCACTTATAATGTAGAAAGTTGAGGTTTCTCAGAGAGCTCTCCCTTTTACTGCTGAAGGGGCTTCTCAGCAGGCAAAGATATCTGCTCAGTAACTTATACTTCTGTGAAGAAGAGATTCCTAAGTGTAAGATGTATGACTTGTCGTTTTGGGGTTAAGTACAATCCCAAACACTCTGTCTCCACCACCTTTTTTCTGGAGGTGTTCTTTTTATTTTATTTTTTCAAAGTGGGGCACATTTCAGAAATTTTTGCTGGGAAACTCAGAATACAAACTTAACGGCATGTTAAAATTCTAAAAATAGTTTGACCCTGCATTTCACAGAGTTCAGGGCTTCAAAACTGTGCTGTCCAAACATGATTGGTGATTAATTGATTTTGACCCCCTGCAAGAAGTGAAAGCAGCTGGTTTACGAGACTTGAGAGACAGCCGATTTTCCAAGGGAGAACAAAGAAAAAGTGGCCACCCCTCCCCGCTGGGAGCGCGCTTTGCTTTGTCTGAGCGGACTCTCTCCAGGGACTGCCGCCGGGGAGGCTCAAAGCTGTGTCCTTGCGATTAGTTTGGTACACTTGGTTCAGCAGCCTGGGGAATGTGGGGAGATGTGTGCCTGCACAGTATCAACGTTATCAGCTGCCCTGTTCATGTCGCCTCTCCCTGAAGGACACTTTCATAACACAGTAACACTTAGGAGAAGGTTCCCCTCCTTTACTTCTGTTTCTCTGCTGATAAACAAATGTCAGGCATCTTCCTGGATCCGGGCCCTGATTCACTAAGTTACTGTATATCCATTGCCCTTTTTTGTCCTCCAAACACTGAGCTCTCAGTGCTCTTCTGGCTGGATCCAGATTGTGAAGATTACAGCCCCACTGGTTCCTTTCAGGACTTGGGGGCCCAACATTCCATCTCCAGGGCCTCAAGGAGCCTTCCATTCCTGATGGGTTCCCAATTACCGTGTTTCTGGTGCTACCAGACAAAAGAGAAGGCCCTGTTTTGACCCAGAGCCCTATAGCTGTGCCCTGATGGGAGATGGGAATTTTGATGTCTGACAACCTGATCAACAGCGTGACTCCTAGACCGAGTGAACCGTGGTCCGTCCACGAGCCTTCATCACTAGAGGAAAAACGGAGATGAATGATTATGACGCTTGAAGCAACGAACCTCTGCAAGTAGGAGGGTCCGGAAGGTTATTCCGGAATCACTGGGCAAGGTGAAGGGCAGGGCTGCGTAAGCGAAAGCGTCTGCTCAGTGCAGGGCAGCATAAACTCTGCAACATAAAAAGAGGGAAGCTGAGCTCTGGCATCATCTTGCGGGTTGCAGTTCCCGGCAACAGGGCTGGCTCCAGAGCAGAAGCGCAACCCGTCATCTTCCTGCGGGCCGCAGCCATAGGTGGAGAAAGGTGGTACCACAAGGCTCTCCCACTGGATGACGGTGACGCGCAATAAGCAGATGATTGCAGAGGCTCCTGTCAAATGGGTGCAGAGAAAAGGGAAGTGGGGAGAGGAGGAGGGACCTAGAAATGGCACTGCAACGATCCTGGAATAAAAACGAGGGGCCACAGTCAGAAATGACAAACGCCTCCACCTTGAAACGCAACCCCTAGCCCATTTATCCAATTTGCCTCTGATAACTGCTTTTAATATGTTGTAAATCCCATTAAAGCAGGAGAGAATAAATGAAAGCAGTCCCCTACCAGGTTCTAATTTTCATTCTCCTTTAGCATTGTCTTAAATAACAAGGACACCCTAAAAATCAAGTCCACCCTGTTTAGCTGTGGCAAGCGCTAAAAACCGTTAAGTTCGTTGAAACACTACTCTCCAAACCAGAGTAGGCTTCCAGGTTTCTCTGCAGAGCAGAAAGGAGGCTGTGGTTGTGTCCATGACTTTGCTTCCTTGGTTAGTACGGTGACGTGCAGCGCCAGGGCCTGGGCCTGGGCTCGGGCTCCCACCCGCGTGGCGCCGCAGTCCTGGCGAGCCCCGAGCGCTCTGTCCCCGGTGACCAGCAGGCGGCGCTATCTCCAGGCCGCAGCCGCCGCCCCGCCCGCCACGAAGGCCACTTCCGCCGCGGCCCGGCGAGCGCGCCCCCGCCACGCCCTGCTGTTTAGAAGCGGCCTTTCTTCACATATCGCTGTCCGCGAAAGTTTCTGAACTCTTGTGACAATTAATGCTGTTTGAAAACCTCCCTCTTGGGTCTTTTGGAAGAGTGGACATCCTAAAAAAAATTTTCTTTTTGGAGACGGAGTATTGCTTTTGTTGCCCAGGCTGGAGTGCACTGGCGCGATCTCGGCTCACTGCAACCTCCGCCTCCCAGATTCAAGCGATTCTCCTGCCTCAGACTCCCGAGTATTTGGGATTACAGGCACCCGCCACCACGCCCATCTGATTTTTGTATTTTTAGTAGAGACGGGGTTTCACCATGTTGGTCAGGCTGGTCTCGAATTCCTGTCCTCGTGATCCGCCCGCCTCGGCCTCCCAAAGTGCTGGGATTACAGGCGTGAGCGACTGCGCCCGGCCAAAAAAAAAAAAAAAATTAATTTGGGATTGCGTAATCAAAAAGTCTTTTAGACATCTCAAATGCATTGCAACTTATTCGAATAAAAAGGGCTCCTGACACGGACAAAAAGGCAGTATAGGTTGAAAATTAGAATGCTTAAAAAAAAAAAAAATTCCCCTTCCTGTTAGTTCCAGATTTTTCTGCAAGCTTGGAGGACAGCTCGCGAAAATTCAGCTGGGGCGCCATCTGCTGGACGCGCCGCGCCGCTGCAAGGCCCTTTCCGGAAAGGTGTCGGGGTTGCAGGTCAGCGCCCCATTTTTTGTCCAGGAGAGACTCGCTGGCACCTTGGCTGGACCAGGCTGGGCGCAGTGGCTCACACCTGTAATCCCAACACTTTGGGAGGCCGAGGCAGGTGGATCACCTGAGGTCAGGAGTTTGAGACCAGTCTGGCCAACATGGTGAAACCCCGTCTCTACTAAAAATACAAAGAGTAGCTGGGCCTGGTGGTGCGCGCCTGTAATTCCAGCTACTCGGGAGGCTGAGGCAGAATTGCTTGAACCTGGCAGGCGAAAGTTACAGTTCGCCTGGGAGGCGAAAGTTGCACTCCAGCCTGGGTGACAGGGTGAGACTCGGTCTCAAAAAAAAAAAAAAAAAAATCTTACATAGTTTTTAAAAAATAAAAAGAGACCAGGCTGACTCTCTGCAAGAAAGTGGCCTGTGTTGAGGAGCCCTCGGGCCTCAATGAGTCGTCATTTGTTACATTGCTGGTCTCTGAGGAAAACCTGAGGCTCAACTCATTTAATTTCCTCCACCGGCCCACGGGCACAGGGCTACAAACTAAAACTATGCTTTCCATCAGTGCACACAGCGGGTTTCAGGGACAGAAATCACAATGTGCTTATTCTGAATGCTTCTGATTTTGCTGAATGGGAGGAGTTTCCAAGGTGAAGAGGGTGACAGAAATGAAATTAATCTGGGAGTAGGGAGATGTTAAAATGTGGCCTTGCCACGGTTTGATATAAGATCATGAAGCCCTGCCAACATTTTCCAAACTCCTCAGTCAGTTCTGATTCAGTTGAAGATTTTTCTATTTAGAAGACTTCAGGCCCTTTTCACATGAGGGTCTAAATGCATTAGCAAACACATTTATACATATACTTCAGCATGAGCCTGCATTCCCCGGTATTGCACTTTGTTAAAGTCCATAATCAGAAAACGTTGGGAGAACTGGTAGAAAGCAGAATATTAGAGCAGATTGCAGTTGGCCCACCCACCCGGAAAAATATGGTATGAGGGATAGAAAGCATTTGTAATGGAAACATGTTATCAAGCATAGTTCTGACCCGGCAAACCTTGATAGTTACTTTCCAACAAAACTGAATGTTGTATTCAGAGATGAGCTTATGATGATTTTCCTGAAAGAGATGAAGTAGCTTTATCAACAGTATAGCCTACTGAAGCCTCACTGATTATGTAGTCCTTGGGGTCCATGTCATGTGACTTCCATATAAGTCATGTGTCATTTAATGACTGATACTTTCTGAGAAATGCATCCTTAGGCAATTTCATCACTGTGCAAACATAGAGTGCACATACACAAACCTAGGTGGTAGTGTCTTCTACACTCCTAGGCTATATAACACAGCCTATTGCTCCTAGGCTTCAAAACTATATAGCATGTAACTGTACTGAATACTGTAGGCAATTATAACACCATGATAAGTATTCCTGTATCTAAACATAGCTAAACAGAAAAGGAACAGTATTTGATACAGTCCGGATTATGATATTATAATCTTACGGAACCACCATCATTAATGAGGTCCACCATTGACTGAAACATCATTATGCAAAGCATGACTGTATAGTCAATATGTTATAAGGACATCCTTTGGTACTTCAATAACTAAGCCCTCGTGAATGAGACCTGCTGATTCTACCATGATACTGATCATAGAGAAAATGTTAACTTTCTATATGGGTGCTTGAAGAAGATACTCAGACAACTAACAAAACGAGATGAGAAATAAGATAAAAATCCGGGCCAGGCATCGTGGCTCACACCTGTAGTCCCAACACTTTGGGAGGCTGAGGCAGGTGGATCATCTGAGGCCAGGAGTTCAAGACCAGCCTGACCAACATGGAGAAACCCCATCTCTACTAAAAATACAAAATTAGCCGGGAGTGGTGGCGCGTACCTGTAATCCCAGCTACTCGGGAGGCTGAGGCAGGAGAATTGCTTGAACCTGGGAGCGGAGGTTGCGGTGAGCCGAGATCGTGCCATTGCCCTCCAGCCTGGGCAATGAGTGAAACTCCGTCTCAAAAAAAAAAGGAAAAAAGAAAAATAAGATAAAAATCTACCCTGGGCTGGATGTGGTGGCTCACACCTGTAATCCCAACACTTTGGGAGGCTGAGGCAGGAGGATCACTTGAGCCCAGGAGTTCAAGACCAGCCTGGGCAACACAGTGAGACCCCTGTCTCTATTAAAAGTTTTCAAAATTAGCCACATGTGGTGGCATGTGCCTGCAGTCCCAGCTACTTGGGAGGCCAAGGTAAGAGTATCCCTTGAGCCTAGGAGTTCGAGGGTGCAGTGAGTATGATCGCGCCACTGCACTCTGGCCTGGGTGACAGAGACCCTGTCAAAAAAAAAAAAGAGAGAGAGAGAAAGAGGGGTGGGGAGGCAGGGAGGAAGGAAAGGAAAAAGGAAAGGGAATGGAGGGGAAGGGAAGAAACCAGGTGCAGTGGCTCACACCTGTAATCCCGGCACTTTGGGAGGCTGAAGCAGGTGGATTACTTGAGGTCACGAGTTTGAGACTAGCCTGGCCAACTTTGGGAAAACTCGTCTCTACTAAAAATCCTAAAATTAGCTGGGCATGGTGGTGGGCGCCTGTAATCCCAGCTACTCAGGAGGCTGAGGCAGGAGAATAGCTTGAACCTGGGAGGCAGAGGTTGCAGTGAGCCAAGATTGTTCCACTGCACTCCAGCCTGGGTGACAAGAGCGAGATTCCGCCTCAAAAAAAAAAAAAAAGTTCACTCCGGCAATGCATGAGTGAACTGTATCAGAAAACTAGTAAGACGAAGTTATTGGGTATCGAACTGTGACTAGAATAGGAAATACTGATGGCTAGTGCCACATCTATTGTATCCCACAATTCTGCTAATGTGAAAATATATAAGAAAAAACTAATTTAGTTTCTCCTGTGCTGTCACTCAACAATCAACACAGAATACTTCTGTGACCTCTGGTCACCAAAATTTGTGTGGGGATTTTTCCCCACCAACAATCAATCAGTTCTTTTCTGCAATGGATAGTAGCTGGGTGTTCTCTAATTCAATTCTCACACTACCTGGAGAGCCTCGGATCCCACGAGGACTGAGTCCCATGAGACTGAGCCCCGCTTAGGATGCTGATTGCGAGCCCCAGGTGGTTTTTACTGGCTATAAATGAGGGTTCCCACAACCTCCTCCTTGGGATCAATTAATTTGCTAGAATGGCTCACACAACTCAAGGAAGCACTTATTTTTGTTTACCGGTTTATTACAAAAGATATTCATTTTAAAATTTTTTTGCTTATTTTTATATTTAAAAAATTTGTTTACAGACAAGGTCTCACTGTGTTACCCAGGCTAATTTTGAACTCCTGGGCTCAAGCATGAGCCACCACACCTGGCTACAAAGGATATTTTCAAGGATGCAAATAAACAACCAGATAGAGAGATGCATAGGGCGAGGTACGGAGGAAGGGGCACCAAGCGTCCACGCCGTCCCTGGGCACACCACTCTCCAGGAACCTCTACGTGTTCAGCCATCCAGAAGCTCTCTGAACCCTGCCCTTTTGGGTTTTTACTGAGGCTTCATTACATAGGAATGATTGATTAAACCATTGGCCATTTGATGGTCAGCTTAACCTTCAGCCCCTCTCCCCTCCCTGGAAGTTCCAGCCCTCTGGGAATGTGGCTGGTTCCCCTGGCAACCGGATCCCCATCCACTGTAGCCATCCTGATTTTCGCCTCATTAATGTAAACTCAGGTGTCTTGAAGAGTTTGGTAAAAATAACAAAAGATTGTCTGTCTTCCACCTTTATTACTCAAGCTTTTCCTGAGCTGCTTCAAGACTCAGGACAAAAGGCCTTTAACAAAAGATATTGCTCTAGTCACTTAGGAAATGACAAGGCTTACAGGAGCTGAGAGCCAGGAATAGTGGAGGAAAACCAAAATATATACATCATAACGTCACATAATGTATTAATATTTGTAGAGTTGGCCGCGTGGGGTGGCTCATACCTATAATCCCAGCACTTTGGGAGGCCGAAGCGGGCGGATCACCTGAGGTCAGCAGTTTGAGACCAGCCTGGCCAACATGGTGAAACCCCATCTCTACTAAAAATACAAAAATTAGCCAGGTGTGGTGGCATGTGCCTGTAGTCCCAGCTACTCAGGAGGCTGAGGCAAGAGAATTACTTGAACCCATGAGGTGGAGGTCGCAGCGAACTGAGATTTCACCACTGCACTCCATCCTGGGCGACAGAGTAAGACTCTGTCTCAAAAAGAAAAAAAAAAAAAAGAAATAAATTGCGTGAAGCTGGGTGCAGCTGCGTACTCCTGTAGTCCCAGCTACTCGGGAGGCTGAGTCGGGAGGATCGTGTGAGCCCAGGAGTTGGGAGTCCAGCCCTGGCAACAGAGAGATGGTATTTCTAAATAAATAAATAGCTTGATAACAAATCAGCACTGAATATTGGCATTAAGTAGAGAGTCTAGCATCTCTCAGCAAAGGTTTTTTCAGGGCCTCTGGCTTGGGACAGGACCAGGACGGGAGGTAGAGCAGTGGGATATTCCACTTGTGTGGCACAAGTCAGTCCCTTGAAACTGTTTTCTCTTGTTGTTCTGCTTATTTCAGTTGCTTGTTTGCTAGGAGGGTGCCTCCACCCTCAGAGCACAGACACACACACACACACACACACACACACACACACACACACACCCTGCCTTTTTCCTCACAGACATCCCAAGAGCATTCTCTGAGCATTATTTTTGGGGACGCCAATATAAAAAGGCTGCCCACTCCCCTGGCAGTTGAACTCAGGATTCAAATATTTATGTTTGGCAAAAAGCAAGGGGAAAACTTTTCTGGAGATGACCTCTCCCTTGACTTTCAGCTTGTTCTATAATTGGGCTTTTGAGAATATGTGACCATTCTCTGAAAAAAAAAAAAAAAAAAAGAAAGAAACACTAAATTCAGTAGTTTCTATCTGGACCCTAGAGTTAAGTGTGTCCCTCACATTGAAATCCTGATTCCACAGAGGAACTGCCTTAAAAATATCAATTCAACTCATTTTTGTGTTTTCAGTATAGATCAGTCCTCTTCTCTCCTCTCCCCACAAAATATCAGGCTTATCAGAGGGTCTTGGCTTTCTGGCCACTTCCTGGACCCCCACAGGGTGCCCCTGCTGTGAGTTGGCAGCACCTCCAAGTTCCCCATTGTGGCTCTTTTATCTACTTATTTATTTTTGGGACAGGGTCTCTCTCTGTCACCCATGCTCGAGTGCAGTGGTGCGAACACTGCTCAGTGCAACTTCGACCTCCCGGGCTCAAGTGGTCCTTCTGCCTCAGCCTTCCGAGTAGCTGGCACTACAGGCGTGCACCACCACACTGGACTAATTTTTTTTATTATTATTTTTTTGTAGAGATGGACTCTCACTACATTGTCCAGGCTGTTCTTGAACTCCTGGGTTCAAGCGGTTCTCCCACCTCAGCCTCACAAAGTGTTGGGATTACAGGCATTAGCCACTGCCCCCAGCCCATCATAGCTCTTTTTTTCTTTTTGAGATGGAGTCTCACTCTGTCACCCAGGCTGGAGGGCAGTGGCGAGATCTCAGCTTACTGTAATCTCTGCCTCCTGGGTTCAAGCGATTCTCCCGCCTCAGCCTCCCAAGTAGCTAGGACTATAGGAGTGCACCACCACGGCCAGCAAATTTTTGTATTTTTAGTCGAGACAGGGTTTCACCATGTTGGCCAGGCTGGTCTTGAACTCCTGACCTCA
Source organism: Homo sapiens (assembly GCF_000001405.40). Lineage (NCBI taxonomy): Eukaryota > Metazoa > Chordata > Mammalia > Primates > Hominidae > Homo > Homo sapiens. The sequence goes on from NC_000012.12 coordinate 49,241,137, forward strand.
GGTGAACCGCCCGCCTCGGCCTCCCAAAGTGCTAGGATTACAGGCTTGAGCCACCATGCCTGGTCCCATCTTAGCTCTTATAATACCATATATAATATGATTTATCTGTGTCTTCCATACCAGACACTTAAATTTTATGAGAATGGGGCCAAGATTATCATGTTCATTTTGCACCCCCAGTGCCTAACTAGTGCCTCAGACCAGGCAAATGTTAGGTAGGATTCAACACTGAGATGGGAGGGAAAGGTGTTTCCATTGGAGGAACTGGCAGGACCACATACAAAGGTATAGACCTGGAAGAGTGACAAGGAGCATGAATGTGGTTTGCTTCAGCCTGAAGGGACTGACAGGAGGTAAGATGGGGTGATTATGATGTGAGTGTGAGTTTAAGGCAGTGGTCATCAGAACTTGAAATAGTTACAATTCATGCAATTTCTGGTGTATGATAAATGCTTTACACATATTTTCCTCCCCTCCCTCCCTCCCTCCCTGCCTTCCTTCCTCCCTTCCTTTCTTCCTTCCTTCCTTCCTTTTTTGAGAGTCTCGCTCTGCCCCCAGGCTGGAGTGCAATGGCGCGATCTCAGCTCACTGCAACCTCTGCCTCCCGGATTCAAGCAATTCTCCTGCCTCAGCCTCCCAAGTAGCTGGGACTACAGGCGCACGCCGACACGCCCGGCTAATTTTTTGTATTTTAGTAGAGATTGGGTTTTACTATGTTGCCCAGGCTGGTCACGAACTCCTGAGCTTGGGCAATCCGCTCACCTCAGCCTCCCAAAGTGCTAGGATTACAGGTGTGAGCCACTGTGCCCAGCCTTTATACATATTTTCATCAAAACTTAGAGCCTTCTTTCTTTCTTTTTTTTTTTTTTTGAGACAGAATTTCATTCTTGTTGCCCAGGCTGGAGTGCAGTGGCGTGATCTCAGCCCACTGCAGCCTCCGCCTCCTGGATTCAAGTGATTCTCCTGCCTCAGCCTCCCGAGTAACTGGGATTACAGGTGCCCGCCACCACACCTGGCTAATTTTTTGTATTTTTGGTAGAGATGGGGTTTCACCATGTTGGCCAGGCTGGTTTTGTACTCCTGGCCTCAAGCAATTCACCTGTCTTGGCCTCCCAAAGTTCTGGGATTACAGGTGTGAGCCACTGCACCCGGCCAAAAGTTTACAGCCTTCTTAGACAAGGTGGCATGAGGAAAAAAATGTGGTTTGGAGCCACAGATCTAGCTCCTTCCATTTGTAGAAAATATTACTTAACTAGCAAAACCAGTCCCCATGGCCAAACCAATCAGTCAAATGGAGTTATTTTGTTTTTTTGTTTTGTGTTGTGTGTGTTTTTGTTTTGTTTTGTGTTGAGATGGGGTCTTGCTCTGTCACTCAGGCTGGAGTGCAGTGGCACAATCCTAGCTCACTGCAGCCTCAAATCCCCAGGTTCAAGCAATCCTCCCACCTCAGCCTCCCGAGTAGCTGGGACTGAAGGTGCACACCACCACACCCAGCTAATTTCCAGCTAATTTTTTTGTTGTTGTTGTTATTTATACAGACAGGGTCTCCCTGTGTTGCCCAGGCTGTTCTCAAACTCCTAGTCTCAAGCAATCCTCCTGCCTCGGCCTCCCAAAGTGCTGGGAATACAGGTATGAGCTACCGCGCCTGGCTCATCTGTGACTTCTAATTCTGTTGTTGTTGTTTTGAGACAGGGTCTTACTCTGTTGCCCAAGCTGCAGTGCAATGGTGTGATCTCAGCTCACTGCAACCTCTGCCTCCCAGGCTCAAGCTGATCCTCCCACCTTAGTGGCCTGAGTAGCTGGGACTACAGGCGCATGCACCACCACACCCAGCTAATTTTTGTATTTTTAATAGAGACAGGGTTTTTGACATGTTGCTCGGGCTGGTCTCGAACTTCTAGGCTCAAGTAATCTGCCTGCCTCAGCCTCTGGAAGTGCTGGGATTACAGGTGTGAACCACCGTGCCCGGTCGTGACTTCCAATTCTAAGAAGCTTGCCGTGAATTTGTTAAGATGAAATAAGGTGCAGGCTGGTTGCGGTGGCTCATGCCTGTAATCCTAGCACTTTGGGAGGACAAGGTGGGCGGATCACCTGAGGTCAGGAGTTCAAGACCAGCCTGGCCAACATGGAGAAAACCCCATCTCTACTAAAAATACAAAAAATAGCTGGTGGCGCGCGCCTGGAGTCCCAGCTACTAGCCAAGCTAAGGCGGGAGAATTGGTTGAATCTGGGAGACAGAGGTTGCAGTGAGCCAAGATTGCACCACTGCCCTACAGCCTGGGTGACAGTGTGAGACTCCATCTCCAGAAAAAAAAAGAAATCAGGTGCTACCCTGTGAGTGCTTCTTACTTGGCTCTCAGGAGCTCCTCCGTCAGTCATGATGCTTCTCCAATTATCCCTTTGCTTGGGAACATCGCACATAGCATAGTTCAGGATGGCTAAGGGATAGCTTTTTGTTTTTGATTTTTATTATTTTATCTATTTATTTATTTTGAGACAGAGTCTTGCTCTATCGCCCAGGCTGGAGTGCAGTGGTGCAATCATGGTTCACTACAGCCTCAATCTTTTTGCTGTGAAGGCTAAGAGGACTTGGGAAGGGGAGGCTGGAAAAGAAAAATCAGCTCATTGCAAACCATTCTCAGGCAGTTCCCTTTAAGGAAAGGGTACATTTGGTGGTTTAGAACCTGGAAATTGAGACTTGTAATACTATCTCATTAAAAGAAAAACTTTAGGCCAGGCATGGTGGCTCGTGCCTATAATCCCAGTGCTTTGGGAGACCAAGGTGGGAGGATCTCTTGCTGTCAGGATGTCAAGACCAGTCTGGGCCACACAGCGAGATCCCGTATCTACAAATAATTTAAAAATTACCTGGGTGTGGTGGCGGGCACCTGTAATCCCAGCTACTCGGGAGGCTGAGGCACGATAATCACTTGAACCCAGGAGGTGGAGGTTGCAGTGAGCCGAGATTGTGCCACTGCACTCCAGCCTTGGTGACAGAGTGAGACTCTGTCTCAAAAAAAAAAAAAAAAGAAAAAAAAATCTGCTTTAAAACATGTATTGCCTGCAGAAACAGCTGAATTTTCAGCAAGGCCCTAAATGGGGCTCTAAATGGCCTCACCACTCACCACAGTATTTTCATTTTCAAATTCCACACATTGTTTGGTCATGTTTCTCCTTCTCCATCTTTTACCACAAAATGGATGTTTCCCTTCTGATTTGGGAGACTATGTCTTCTTAGAAGAAACATCTAAAAATGGGAAAGCTTGTGATTAAGAAGAATTTACATCTATAGTCGTGGTCTTTTGAAGATATCTACGGTATCTTCAAAATGTTCAAATGTCCAGGGAAGAAGGAAGTTAAGGGAAGTAATTTGAGTAGCTTCCCTATTTTTAGAAATTCTATTATGACCAAATTTTCCCAGAGAGGTATTTTTTTTTTTCTTTTGAGATGGAGTTTCATTCTTGTTGCCCAGGCTGGAGTTCAATGGCATGATCCCAGAGAGGGGATTCTTTAGAGTTCACAAAGTACATCATAATAAGGCATAATAATACCTTATAGTTGTGTCTAATGGATATAATATCAAAGAGTTTTCATGATCTTATCCCTGCATTCCCACCAGTCATGTCTCCACTGTGTGTAAGGATGGAAAATGAGATTGAAGGCCATCCCAGACTCACAGTCTGAACAGGAGCTCAGACCTCCTGACAAATACTATGTTGGGAAAGGACTCTGAAGCATCCTCCCAGATGCTTGCTCAGACCACACCTTCCTTATAATAACTTTATAATAACACCCCAGGTATTATTTTAGCTATTTAACAGAAAAAAAACAAGACTTGGAGAAGATAAATATACTCATCAAGTACACAGTGACTAAGTGGCAGAGCTATAATTCAGCCCAGGCCTGTCTTACTCAGAGCCTGTTTTAGTGCCTGGGAAGTAAATGATAATTTTTGATAAGACAGTTTCAGTACAGTGGTCAAGACAGAACACAAATTACAAGGGGTTTATTCACTTATTCATCACTTGTTTATTGAGGAGGGTGAAACGTCCAGCTATGGCAGTGTGAAGAGGTGGGCAAATTCTTTCCCTAAAAAAAATTACAAAGGTGGAAAAAATTGACAAAAATGACCATTTCTGGCACTCTGAAAATTGACCAAAGGCATGTAATAATCTGAGAAACAGCCAGGCACGGTGGCTCACACCTGTAATCCCAGCACTTTGGGAGGCCAAGGTGGGAGGATCACTTGAGGCCAGGAGTCTGAGACCAGCCTGGGCAACATAGTGAGACTCCCATCTTCACAAAAAATAAAAATAAAAAAATTAACCAGGTAGTGGTGGCACATGCCTGTAGTCACAGCTACTCAGGAGGCTGAGGTAGAAGGATTACTTGAGGCTAGGAATTTGAAGCTGAATTGAGCTCTGATCACTGCACCCCAACCTGGATGAAAAAAACCTGAGAAGCGTTTATGTTTGAGTAACTGCTGAACTTTTGTAATAACAGTGGGAATCTGTGGCATCTTGCCTGGGGACACTCCCATTCTCAGCTGTCCCTTCAGCTCCGTCAGCAAGAGGATTTTGCCAGGGTGGGGACTGCTGTAACAACCAGCCTTGCAACTATACTCAAAGTGGGCCTACTTTGTTTGGAGCAGGGCAGGACCAAAGGTTCTAACCTGAGGTTACAGTTCTGGCTGGGGCAAGCATCTTCCTGTCTAAACTTCTACACATTTACAGCAGATAACAGAGGGCCTAAGATTGCCACATACTTCTTCTTTTTTTTCTTTTCTGAGATGGAATCTCACTCTGTTGCCCAGGCTGGAGTGCAGTGGCACGATCTCGGCTACCTGCAACCTCAGCGTCCCAAGTTCAAGCAATTCTCCTGCCTCAGCCTCCCAAGTAGCTGGGACTACAGGCATGCGCCACCACGCCCACCTAATTTTTGTATTTTTTAGTAGAGACCGGGTTTCACCATGTTAGCCAGGCTGGTCTCAAATTCCTGATCTCAAGTGATCTGCCCGCCTCAGCCTCCCAAAGTGATAAGATTACAGGCGTGAGCCACTGCATCTGGCCTAATTGCCACATACTTCTGCCTGCCTCAGCCTCCCAAAGTGATAAGATTACAGGCGTGAGCCACTGCATCTGGCCTAATTGCCACATACTTCTGCCTGACCCTGGGGCAGCCTGCCTAGAGAAAATGTGATGGAAGAACCCAACAGAGAATAAAAGTAAAAGCCCAGATAGAATTGAAAATGGCCTGAACTTGGCCGGGCGCGGTGGCTCACGCCTGTAATCCCAGCACTTTGGGAGGCCGAGGCGGGCGGATCACGAGGTCAGGAGATCCAGATCATCCTGGCTAACACGGTGAAACCCCGTCTCTACTAAAAATACAATTAGCCGGGTGTGGTGGCGGGCGCCTATAGTCCCAGCTACTTGGGAGGCTGAGGCAGGAGAATGGCATGAACCCGGGAGGCGGAGCTTGCAGTGAGCGGAGATCGCACCACTGCACTCTAGCCTGGGCGAAGAGCCCGTCTCAAAAAAAAAAGAGAAAATGGCCTGAACTTTGAATTGTGTGCTTCCTAAAACATGCAGAAATGCATTATCAGAAGACAGAAGGCCAACTGGCTTATGGCATTTCAGGACAATTTCTGCCCCATCATTGGTCAACCAGGAGGCTACTCAGACACAGGGGGCAACCCCTAGGAAGCCAGACTTAAAAAGTAAAACAAGGCCGGGCACAGTGGCTCACAGTGACCCAGCACTTTGGGAGGCCGAGGTGGGTGGATCATCTGAGGTCAGGAGCTCGAGACCAGCCTGACCAATATGGTGAAACTCCATCTCTACTAAAAATACAAAAATTAGCCAGGCTTGGTGGCAGGTACCTGTAATCTCAGCTACTTGGGAGGCTGACACAGGAGAATTGCATGAACCCAGGAGATGGAGGTTACAGTGAACTGCGATCATGTCACTGCACTCCACCCTAGGCGATAGAGCAAGACTCCATCTCAAAAAAAAAAAAGAAAGAAAAAAAAAGTAAAACAAGAGAAAAGAAACTAAGCAGAGAGATCAGCAGCTACAAACCTCAGAGGGGAGACAGAGCTCATAGATTTAGCCCAGGCAAGTCACTAAACAAAGACAAACCCGCCGGACTTGGTGGCTCATGCCTGTAATCCCAGCACTTTGGGAGGCTGAGGTGGGTGGATCACCTGAGGTCAGGAGTTCAAGACCAGCCTGACCAATATGGTGAAACCCCATTTCTACTGAAAATACAAAAATTAGCTGAACATGGTGGCATGCACCTGTAATCCCAGCTACTCAGGAGGCTGATTGCTTCTCAGCCTTTTGGCTAAGATCAGATGTACTCAGGAGGCTGACACAGGAGAGTTGCTTGAACCTGGGAGGCGGAGGTTGCAGTGAGCCGAGATTGCACCACTGCACTCTAGCCTGGGCAACAGAGCGAGACTCTGTCTCAAAACAAACAAACAAGACAAACCCACAAACAAAGCAAAAAACAGGCTTTAGAAAGTAAAATCGGCTGGGCATGGTGGCTTACGCCTGTAATCCCAGCACTTTGGGAGGCCAAGGCAGGCGGATCACGAGGTTAGGAGTTCAAGACCAGCTTGGCCAGCATGGTGAAACCCCGTCTCTACTAAAAATACAAAAAAATTAGCCAGGCATGGTGGCATGCACCTGTAATCCCAGCTACTCAGGAGGCTGAAGTAGGAGAATTGCTTGACCGCAGGAGGCAGAAGTTGCAGTGAGCCGAGATCCTGACACTACACTCCAGCCTGGGCGATAGAACGAGATTCCGTCTCAAAAAAAAAAAAAAAAGAGAGAAAGAAAGAAAGAAAAGTAAAATCAGAGCCAGGTGCGGTGGCTCACACCTGTAATCCCAGCAGTTTGGGAGGCTGAGGCAGGCAGATCACGAGGTCAGGAGATCGAGACCATCCTGGCCAACATGGTGAAACCCCATCTCTACTAAAGTACAAAAAATTAGCCAGGCGTGGTGGCACACGCCTGTAGTCCCAGCTACCCAGGAGGCTGAGGCAGGAGAACTGCTTGAACCTGGGAGGCGGAGGTTGCAGTGAGCCAAGATAGAGCCACTACACTCCAGCCTGGTGACAGAGCAAGACTCCGTCTCAAAAGTAAAAAAAAAGAAAAAGAAAGTGGCTCACACCCATAAGCCCAGCACTTTGGGAGACTGAGGCTGGTGGATCACCTGAGGTCAGGAGTTCAAAACCAGCCTGGCCAACAAGGTGAAACCCGTCTCTACAAAAAATACAAAAATTAGCTGGGCGCGGTGGCGGCGCCTATAGTCCCAGCTACTCAGGAGGCTGAGGCAGGAGAATCACTTGAACCTGGGAGGCGGAGATTACAGTGAGCTGAGACCGGGTTGTTGCCTGGGCAACAACAGCGAAACTCTGTCTCAGAAAAAAAAAAAAAGAAAAGGGCCGGGCACGGTGGCCCACGTCTGTAATCTCAGCACTTTGGGAGGCCGAGGCGGGCGGATCACGAGGTCAGGAGATCGAGACCATCCTGGCTAACACAGTGAAACTCCGTCTCTACTAAAAATTCAAAAAAAATAATTAGCCGGGCGTGGTGGCAGGCGCCTGTAGTCCCAGCTACTCGGGAGGCTGAGGCAGGAGAATGGCGTGAACCCGGGAGGCGGAGCTTGCAGTGAGCCAAGATCGCGCCACTGCACTCCAGCCTGGGTGACAGAGCGAGACTCCCTCTCAAAAAAAAAAAAAAAAAAAAAAGTTAGAAATCAACAACAGAAAGAGATCTGGGAAATCCCTATGTATTTGGAAATAAAACAGACTTCTAAATAGCACATAGGTCAAAAGCCACTTCACAAGGGAAATCTTAAAATATTTTGAACTGAGTAAAAATGAAAATACAACATATCAAAATTTATGGGAAGCAGCTAGAAGTGCTTAGAGGAAAACATATATATAAGAAGAAAAGAAAGGTCTCAAATCAAATTAAGCTTCTATCTTAAGAAAATAAAAAGAAGGCCGGGCGCGGTGGCTCATGCCTGTAATCCCAGCACTTTGGGAGGCCGAGTCGGGCTGATCCCCTGAGGTCGGGAGTTTGAGACCAGCCTGACCAACATAGACAAACCCCGTCTCCACTAAAAATACAAAATTAGCCGGGTGTGGTGGCGCATGCCTGTAATCCCAGGTACTCGGGAGGTGGAGGCAGGAGAATCACTTGAACCCGGGAGGCGGAGGTTGTGGTGAGCTGAGATGGCGCCACTGCACTCCAGCCTGGTCGACAAGAGTGAAACTCCGTCTCTAAATAAATAAATAAATAAACAAAAGATCAAACTAAACCCAAGGTAAGCAAAAAAGAGGAAATAAAGATTAGAGCAGAAATCAATGAAACAGAAAACAGCAATATAGAAAATCAACGAACAAAAAGTTGTTTCTTTGAAAAAATAACAATGACTGGTCGTGGTGGCTCACACCTATAATCCTAGCACTTTGGGAAGCAGAGGCAGGTGGATCACTTGAGCCCAGGAGTTGGAGACCAGCCTAGGTAACATGGTGAACACCGTCTCTTCCAAATAAATACAAAAATTAGCCAGTCATGGTGGCACGTGCCTGTAGTCCCAGTTACTCGGGTGGGGATGCTCATGAGATAGAATTGCTTGAGCCTGAGAGGTTGAGGCTGCAGTGAGCTGAGGTCACGCCACTGCACTCAAGCAGGCAATAGAGCAAAACATTGTCTCCAATAATAATAATAATAATAAGATTAGCCAAGCGAAAAAAATTTTTAAAAAGGCCAGACATGGTGGCTTATGCCTGTAATTCCAACACTTTGGGAGGCCGAGGCAGGTGGATCACTTGAGGTCAGGAGTTTGAGACCAGCCTGGCCCAACGTGGTGAAACCCCATCTCTACTAAAAATACAAAAATTAGCCAGGTGTGGTGGCGGGTGCCTGTAATCCCAGTTACTCAGGAGGCTGAGGCAGGAGAATCGCTTGAACCTGGGAGGTGGAAGGTTGCAGTGAGCTGAGATCGTGCCACTGCACTGCAACCTGGGCGACAGAGTGAGACTCCATCTCAAAAAATAATAATAATAAATTTGTTTTAAAAAAGAGAAGACACTGGCTGGGCGTGGTGGCTTGCGCCTGTAATCCCAGCACTTTGGGAGGCCCAGGCAGGCGGATCACGAGGTCAGGAAATCGAGACCATCCTGGCTAACACGATGAAACCCCGTCTCTACTAAAAATACAAAAAATTAGTCGGGCATGGTGGCGGGCACCTGTAGTCCCAGCTACTTGGGAGGCTGAGTCAGGAGAATAGCGTGAACCTGGGAGGCGGAGCTTGCAGTGAGCCGAGATCGCGCCACTGCACTCTAGCCTGGGTGACAGAGTGAGACTCCGTCTCAAAAAAAAAAAAAAAAAAGAGAAGACACAAATTACCAGTATCTAGAATGAAAGAGAGGACATCAATCTCTGCCCTACAAAAATTAAAATTATAAAAGTATATTATGGGGCCAGGCATGGTGGCTCATGACTATGATCCCAACACTTTGGGAGGCTGAGGTGGGCAGATTACTTGAGCCCAGGAGTTCCAGAACAGCCTGGGTAACAGTGAAACCCCATCTCTACCATACACACACAAAAAGTATAATGTGAACAACTTTATACCAGTACATTAGGCAATTTAATGAAATGAAAAATTCCTAGAAAGGCATAAAGTATCAAGACCAACTCAAGAAGAAATAGGATATCCAAACATACCTATATCAAGTGGTTAAAAAAAATGAATTTAAAAAACAATCTTCCAGCTGGGCATGGTGGCTCACACCTGTAATCCCAGCACTTTGGGAGGCCAAGGCAGGTACATCACTTGAGGTCGGGAGTTCAAGACCAGCCTGGGCATTATGGTGAAACCCGTCTCAACCAAAATGTACAAAAATTACCCAGGTGGGGTGGCACATACCTATAGACCCAGCTACTTGGGAGGCTGAGGTGGGACAATAACTTGAACCAGGGAGGTGGAGGTGTCAGTGAGCTGAGATTGTACCACTGCACTCCAGCCTGGGGCAACAGAGTGAGACCCTGTCTCAAGAACAAACAAAAACAATCTAACAATCTTCCCACAAGAGCCCAGCCCAGATGGCTTCATTGGTAAATTCCATTAAATATTTAAAGAACCAATAATACAAATATTGAACAAATTATTTCAGAAATTAGAGGAGGAACACTTCCCAATTTATTCTATAAATTCAATATTACTCTGATACTAAAACCAGGTAAAGACACTGTAAGAAAAGTATATATCGATATCCTTATAAATATTGATACAAAAGTCGTCTGCAAACCAAATTCAGCAACATATAAGAGAGATTATAGGCTGGGCCTGGTGACTCACCTTGTAATCCTAGCACTTTGGGAGGCCGAGATGGATGGGTCACTTGAGGTCAGCAGTTCAAGACTAGCCTGGCTAACATTGTGAAACCCCTGTCTCTACTAAAAATGTAAAAATCAGCTGGGTGGTGGCAGGCACCTTTAATCACAGCTACTTTGGAGGCTGGGGCAGGAGAATCGCTTGAGCCCAAGAGGTGGAGGTTGTAGTGAGCTGAGATGGCACCACTGCAGTCCAGCTTGGGCGACAGAGCGAGACTCGGTATTTAAAAAAAAAAAAAAAAAGATTATACAACACGACCAAGTTGTATTTATTCCAAGGATGCATGGTTGGTTTAAATTCTAAAATAAATTAATGTAATATACAATATTAATAAAGGACAAAAGCTACATGATCATCTCAATCGATGCAGAAAAAACATTTGACAAAATCCAACCCATTCATGATAAAAACTCAACGAACTAGGAATAGAAGGGAATATCCTTAACCAGATAAGGGGCTTCTAAGAAAAACCAACAGCAAACATTCTGAGTCTGTCAGCTGGTGAATGGGTAAATAAAATATGCTACATCCATACAATGCAATACTGTTCAGCAGTAAGAAGGAATGAAGGATGAATGCATGCTACCATATAGATTAAACTCCAGAATATGATGCTAGGTGGCAGAAACCAGATGCACAGGTTAGGATGTTTTTGCTCTGTAAGGCATTAACCAGTTTTGTATCTATCTATAAATTTTATTCTAATAAAATTTTAAGTGTCTTTCCTAATAAAATATGTAAATTCCTGCTCTTCAAGTGCTCTTTTCACCAGCTTGACCATTTTACTGCTTCCTTTAGTTAATAAAACTTGATGTTTATTCTATATTTGTATGACAGTCATAATCTTAACTTTTTCAAAATTATATTTTAACATGGAAGACATAGCAGTAGGGGCTTGTGGACATTCTTTTCTGACTGCTTCTATTTTCTCAGTGAATAAGGGTGAAAAGTCATGAACTGAGAGTGAGAATAGGGAGAAGCTTTGGGGGAAGTTGAGGGCAGTGAAGAAGATATTACAAAAAGACTTTTAGAGCCTGGCCAACATGGCGAAACCCCATCTCTACTAAAAATACAAAAATTGGCTGGGCACGGTGGCTCACACCTGTAATCCCAGCACTTTGGGAGGCCGAGGCGGGTGGATCACGAGGTCAGGAGATCGAGACCATCCTCACTAACATGGTGAAACCCCGTCTCTACTGAAAAAATACAAAAGATTAGCCAGGCATGGTGGCGGGCGCCTGTAGTCCCAGCTACTCGGGAGGCTGAGGCAGGAGAATCACTTGAACCCGGGAGGCGGAGGTTGCGGTGAGCCGAGATCATGCCATTGCACTCCAGCCTGGGGCAACAAGAGGGAGACTCCATCACAAAACAGAAACAAAAACAAAAATTAGTCAAGTGTGGTAGGCCTCTGTAATCCCAGCCACTTGGGGAGGCTGAGGCAGGAGAATTCCTTGAACCCGGGAGGTGGAGGTTGCAGTGAGCCAAGATTGCAGCACCACTGCACTCCAGCCTGGGTAGCAGAGCCAGACCCTATCTTAAAAAAAAAAAAAAAAAAAAAGACTTTCAGGAGAGTGGGAAAGTGAAAAATTAAGGGAAATTCCGGATGACTGCTGAGCAATATAAACCCGCTGGAGGTTAGTAGTCATGAACTTTAAATGGAACTCTCGGCATACCACAGCCATGCCTGCAGGCATGGAGTAGGCAGAGTTAGATTTAATCAGGTTATTCGGTTTTGCTAAGTGAGCACAAACAAGAAAATAAAGCATGAGAGTTGGTAGGTGTAAGCTACGGTGGAAGCTATGGAAGGAGACCTGAGGATGTAGCGGAATAGAGGACAGTGCACACGTGGGCGTGTCAATGTCTTGTAAGTCCCAGTTAGGTAGAAGGGTTGTGGGTACTGGTTTCGTAGAGCTAAAAAGTGGGAGGTTGTGGTTGGACGGTGGGATGCTTAAAATTGAAATCATGAAGGGAGGGGGCGTGGGGAGGGGATACTCATTTTATTTTTGAGAGAGGGTTTCACTCTTGCCCAGGCTGGAGTGCAGTGGCACCAACATGGCTAACTTGAGCTCTTGGGCTCAAGCGATCCTCCCACCTCAGCCTCCCCAGTAGCTGGGACTACAGGCATGTACCACCACACCATGCTAATTTTAAATTTTTTTGTAGGGACAGGGTCTCACTATGTCGTCCAAGCTGGTCTTGAATTCCTGGACTCAAGCGATCTTCCTGCTTCTGCCTCCCAAAGTGGCCTATAATTTTATTTGAACAGTAACTCAAACTGGTACTGAAACTAGAGTTCAGTCCCAATTTGTCTAAACAAAAGAAAGTGAAGGGTCAAGAAAAAGGGTTAAATTATGAAGCAAGATCCCAGAGACTGTGAGCAGGAATACAGAACTGGGGCACAGGTGGATAGGACTAGTATTAATAAAATCAGGGACGGGGAGCCCTACAGAGATAGAAGACAGGATAAAAGCAGGAAGGGGAGCCGGGTGCGGTGACTTACGCCTGTAATCCCAGCAGTTTGGGAGGCCGAGGCAGGCGGATCACCTGAGGTCGGGATTTCGAGACCAGCCTGACCAACACGGAGAAACCCCGTCTCTACTAAAAATACCAAATTAGCCGGGCGTGGTGGCGCATGCCTGTAATCCCAGCTACTCGGGAGGCTGAGGCAGGAGAATCGCTTGAACCCGGGAGCTGGAGGTTGCGGTGAGCCAAGATCATGCCATTGCACTCTAGCCTGGGCAACAAGAGTGAAACTCCATCTCAAGAAGAGAAAAGAAAAAATTAGCCGAGTGTCGTGGTGCACGCCTGTAATCCCAGCTACTCAGGAGGCTGAGGCAGAGAATCACTTGAACTTGGGAAGTGGAAGCTGCATCATTGAACCGAGATCATGCCACTGCACTCCAGCCTGGGCAACAGAGCGAGGCTCCATCTAAACAAAAAAAAAAAAAAAAAAAAAAAACGGGAAATGAATTGTCAAATGAGGATATATATAGGGTGAGGTATGGAAGGCTCCTGAGTGCAGCAGCTTCTGTCCTTTGAGTGTAGTGGAGCTGGGGTGCACAACCCTCCTGCAAGTGGATATGTTCTTGTTTACCAGTTTGGAACTCTGGGAACCCGGTAGTTTAGGGATTTTTATGGAGGCTTCATCACGTAGGCATGATCAGTTTTTAACTCAATCCCTAGTCCTTCTCCCCTCCCTGGAGGATGGGGGATGTGGCTAAATTTTCAAGCTTCTAGTCATGACTTTGTCTTTCTGGTGACCAGACCCTATCCTGAAGCTATCCAGCAAGACACCAAGAGACCCTCATTAGTACAAAAGATGCTCCCATCACCCAGGAAGTTCCAAGGATTTAGGAGCTCTGTGTCAGGAACTTGGTGCAGAGGCAAAACACATATATTTTTTTTTTATTTTTTAAGTAGAAACGGGGTCCCTCTGTGTTGCCCAGGGTGGTCTCAAACTCCTGAGCTCAAGTGATCCTACCACTTCAGCCTCCCAAATTGCTGGGATTACAGGCTTGAGCCACTGCACCTGACCTCAGGCTGTTTTAGAGCAAGTCTTATCCTCACACCAAATGCAGATGGAGAAACTCACCCAAAATACAACTACGGACCTTGCCAAGGTTACTCTATTTAATCACACTATAAGCCAGAATTCCTAGTAATTATAATGGCTCTGAGAGTTTACAGTGAATAGTCTAATTCAGTATTTTGTTATTCTAATCTTTACTTTCCTTACTCTGCAGTGCTTTTCCCTTTGTATTTTATCTTGTCCTTGTCTTTAAAGGTCAAAATGATTCTGTTGCTTGCTAAGAAACCAACTACCACTTTCCCCAGCAGCTGAACTTATCTTTAAAAAATATATATATATATATATATATATATTTCTCTGATAGAGGTCTTGCTATGTTGCTCAGGCTGGTCTCAAACCTCTGGACTCATGTGATCCACCCACTTGGTCTTCCAAAGTGCTGGAATTACAGTCATGAACCACTCTACCTGGTAGATTCGTCTTTTCTTTTTGTTTTTCGAGACTGAGTCTCATTCTATCACCCATGCTGGAGTGCAGTGGCGCAATCTCAGCTCACTGCAACCTCCACCTCCCAGGTTCAAGCGATTCTCCATTCTTGTGACTCAGCCTCTGGAGTAGCTGGGATTACAGGCGTCTGCCACCACGCCTGGCTAATTTTTATATTTTTATTAGAGACAGGGTTTCACCATGTTGGCCAGGCTGGTCTGGAACTCCTGACATCACGTGATCCGCCGGCCTCAGTCTCCCAAAGTGCTGGGATTACAGGCGTGAGCCACCACGCCCAGCCAGATTTATCTTTTTAGGCTTCCATAGCAATGTGCTTGAGGCTAGGGCGTGGTGGCTGACATCTGTATTCCCAGCATTTGGGGAGGCTGAGGCCAGTGGGTGTGGTGGCACGTGCCTGTAGTCCCAGCTACTTGGGAGGCCCAGGTGGGAGGATCACCTGAGCCTGGGACGTTGAGGCTGCAGTGAGCTACAGTGGTGCCACTGCACTCCAGCCTGGGTGAGAGAGTGAAACCCTGTCTCAAAAACAAACAAACGAACAACACTAAAAGAAACTAGTGTGCTTGGGGTTAGGCCCTCCTGGCCTTGACCAAAGGCCATGAAACCCCCAATGCAACTGAGCAAGTGAGCATCAGCGAAACAGGCTGTGTAGCTTGTCAGGTGATCTCTGTTCCAGGATAATTTTTTTTTCCTCTGAAACAACTTTGGTTTATTATCAGTCATTTCGTGCAGAGTAAAGAGAAAGAACAGCGTGAATTTAAAATTTGTTTCTTTGTTTTGAACAAAAATTATTTCTTCTTTTTCTTTTCCACAGTGTGTGAACCCAGCTCTGTCCCTTGGGTTCCGTACATATAAATGGAGCAGCTGAGGGAACTGGATAAGAAGTCGATTTTGTAGTTACAGGCTGTTCCGTATCACCCATTTACAAGGTCAGTGGGGACTGAAACTGACCAAAACAGAGAACTATGTACTTTAAAATGAGGAAATCTTTATCTATCAGAAACACACAAAGAACTTTCAGGGGTTCTAAAGGGCTTATATTCCTGACTCCATTGGAACAAAATATGCTGGAGGGTAAGGAAAAAGGTATATGGACTAGAGGATCAAAAACAGCAAAGTGTTGTAAAAACAGAGGCCTGCAAGTGCAGACCCTCATCTGTTAGAACCCTGTTCCAGCCTCCTTCCTTCACTGAATCTCCTGAGGGGTTTGGGGACATTGCAGATTTTGATGATTTGGGGAAATAAACATGTAATTAAAGTTGTAGATATAAAAGTGGTTCTATATTAATGTTCTTGGAGAGAAGACAGTAATTTAGGCCAGGAGCGGTGGTTCACGCCTGTAATCCTAACACTTTGGGAGGCTGAGGCGGGTGGATTACCTGAGATCAGGAGTTTGAGACCAGCCTGGCCAACATGATGAAACCCCGTCTCTACTAAAAATACAAAAATTAGCTCGGCATGGTGGTGGGCGCCTATAATCCCAGCTACTTGGGAGTCTGCGGCAAGAGAATCACTTGAACCCAGGGGGCAGAGGTTGCAGTGAGTCCAGATCAAGCCACTCCATCTCAAAAAAAAAAAAAAAAAGAAGACAGTGGTTTAGAAATGAAGGCCTTAAAGCCAACCTCCTGAGGGAAGGGTTGGGATTCCAAAGAAGGCTGGACTGAAGGCAACATGCGCTGCTGTGTGACCTCAGGGCAGTTCCCAAAGCCAGGCAGCCTCCATTTCCTCTCCTGTAAAATGGAGGTAACAATAGTGTCTACCTCATAGGATTATCGTGAAGAATAAATAAGTTAAAGCATTTAAAATCCTCAGTCCAGGGATGAACACCTAGCATGCAGATACTGGTACTAGCAGTGGAGGGGCTGAGGAATGGGGGCAGGAAGAGGCATTTATTTTTTTTTTAATTTTACGTTTGCAGGCCAGGCGAGGTGGCTCAAGCTTGTAATTCCAGCACTTTGGGAGGCCAAGGTGGGAGGATTACTTGAGGCCAGGAGTTTGAGACAGTCTGGACAACAGCAAGACCCTCTCGCTACAAAAAATACAAAAAATTAGCCAAGCATGGTGGCGCACACGGTAACCTCAGCTATTCAGGAAGCTAAGGCGAGAGGATTGCTTGAGCCCAGGAAGTTGAGGCTGCAGTGAGTCGTGATCATGCCAGCGCACCCCAGCCTGGGTGACAGAGGGAGACCCTGTTTCAAAAAAAATGTTGTACAGCTGTACAATGTGTTTTAAGCTGTGTTATTACAAGAGACAAAAAGTTTAAAAAAAAAAAGTTTACAATTTTTTTTTTTTTTTGAGCAGAGTCTCACTCTACTGCCCAGGCTGGAGTGCAGTGGTACAATCTTGGCTCACTGCAGCCTCCGCCTTCCGGGTTCCAGTGATCCTCCTGCCTCAGCCTCCCAAGTAGCTGAGATTACAGGTATGTGCCACCACATCCGGCTAATTTTTTCTATGTTTAGTAGAGGTGAGGTCTCACCATGTTGGCCAGGCTGATTGTGAACTCCTGACCTCAAGTGATCCGCCCACCTCAGCCTCCCAAAGTGCTAGGATTACAGGCATGAGCCACAGCACCTGGCCTTACAAATTTTTAAAGCTACAGTAAGCTAAAGTTAATTTATCATTGAAGAAGGAAACATGTTTTCAAGTTTAATGTAGCCTAAGTGTCAGTGTTTATAAAGTCTACAGTAGTATACAATAATGTCCTAGGTCAGCTGGGTGCAGTGGCTCCCACCTGTAATCCCAGCACTTTGGGAGGCCCAGGAGGGAGCATCACTTGAGCCCAGGAGTTTGTGAGCAGCCTGGGCAACAGAGTGAGACCTTGTTTTTATAAAAATTATTTATGTTTTGTTTTTTGTTTTTCTTTTTGAGACAGTCTCGCTCTATTGCCCAGGCTGGAGTGAACTGGTGTGATCTGGGCTCACTGCAACCTCCACCTCCCTATTTCAAGCGATTCTCCTGCTTCAGCCTCCCAAGTAGCTGGGATTACAGGTGTGCATCACAACGCCTGGCTAATTTTTGTGTTTTTAGTAGAGATGGGGTTTCGCCATGTTGGTCAGGCTGCTCTCGAACCCCTGACCTCAGGTGATCAGCCCGCCTTGGCCTCCCAAAGTGCTAGGATTACAGGCATGAGCTATCATGCCCGGCTATAAGTAAATAAATAAATAATTCAAAAATGAAATTTTTTTTTTTTTGAGACGGAGTTTTGCTCTTGGTGCCCAGGCTGGAGTGCAATGGCACACTCTCGGCTCACTGCAACCTCCACCTTCCAGGTTCAAACAATTTTCTTGCCTCAGCCTCCCGAGTAGCTGGGATTACAGGCATGTGCCACCACGCCTGGCTAACTTTTTTGTATTTTTAGTAGAGACGGGGTTTCTCCGTGTTGGTCAGGCTAGTCTCGAACTCCTGACCTCAGGTGATCCACCTGCCTCGGCCTCCCAAAGTGCTGGGATTACAGGTGTGAGCCACCGCACCCGGCCAAAAATGAAAAATTTTTTTAAATGTCCTAGGCCTTCACATTCACTTACCACTGACTCACTAAGCAACTTCCAGTCCTGCAAGTTCCATTCATGGTAAGTGCCCTATATAGGTGTGCCATCTTTTATCTTTTATACCATATTTTTACCATAAGTTTTCTATGTTTAGATACAAATACTTTCTTTTTTTTTTTTGAGACGGAGTCTCACTGTGTCGCCCAGGCTGGAATGCAGTGTGCGATCTCGGCTCACTGCAACCTCTGCCTCCCGGGTTCAAGCGATTCTTGAGCCTCAGCCTCCTGTGTAGCTGGCACACACTACCATGCCTGGCTAATTTTTGTATTTTTAATAGAGTTGGGTTTTCACCATGTAGGCCAGGCTGGTCTCAAACGCCTGACCTCAAGTGATCTGCCTGCCTCAACCTCCCAAAATGCTGGGATTATAGGCATGAGCCACCACGCCCAACCTAGATACAAATACCATCTAGTTACAATCGCCTAAGTATTCAGTACAGTAACAGGCTGCACAAGTTTCTAGCTTTGGAGCAATAAGCTAGGTTTGCATATGTACACTCTGTGATGTTCCCACAATGAAGAAATTGCCTAGGATGCATTTCTTAGAACAGATCTTGGTTGTTAAGTGACACATGGCTGTACATGAGTAAGAAGAGACCGGTTTCACCTCTAAGTTTCCTAACTATAATTTATGCACTGATATTCTCTCTAGTATTCAGATTCCATGCTTTAATTATGTACGAAAAAACATTACTTAGTGTACTTGATAATGGCTGGCTGTGTGTCCTGGGAGCAGGAGGAGGCAGGTGGAGATGCAGAAAAGTAAAAAGGAAAAGATTATCCTGAGATTCACAGTCCCTAAGCAAATTCCCCATTGTTTTGCTTGGTTGCAAGAAGTTAGTCGCAGGGAAAGAAAACCTTCAGGGGCCTTCTACTTTGGGCTGCCTGAGTGCTTTTTCAGTACATGAATAAATTTATTAAATAAATGTTACTATAAATAGAAAAGTTTTCCAGGCTCTATGATATAGTCCTTTTATTAGAGTAATACTGTAGACAATTGAAGAATATGAGTAGTTCCTTTTACTTTTCCTCCAAGAGAATTTTATCTGTGTATCCTAAAGGAATGGGGGAAGGGGGCAAGGGAATGGTAGTTAATTCCAGAAAAGATTAGCAAGAGCTTGAGTAAGAAGTCTTGGGTGTAGGGATACAGGGTGGGAATACAGGTCAAAGGAACCGGTTCAGTTGTTTCAGTTAGTCACCGAGGAAGTGATGCCACAGCACTGTATTTTTAGGAAATATAAAGCAGATCAGAACAAGCCAAATCTCAGTGGAAAGAAAATGTGTAATTTCAGAGATGAAAGTCAATCTTCTATGGTAATCTCCCAGAATGGAGCTAGCATTTCACATACTAAGCCCTGCCAAAGGGGAAGTCGTCCAAAACACAGCTCAAATCAGGGAGGAAGAGAACTTCTAAAGAATTTGTAGGAACTTTTAAAGACTGCAAACATTTGTGGGATAAAAGAGAAATAAATAAAAGTTAAAGGATCCAAGGACTGTTTTTCCCATAAAATAAAATAACATGTTACCTAGAAAGTAATGTCCTGCTATTCTGTACATACAAGGCATAAAAAAGGAGAAAAAACAAACTGCCTTGAAATACATAATTTTATTTCTTTTGGGTGGAACAGGGTCTGTTTTCCCCCCAGGCTGGAGTGCAGTTGCATGATCTTGGCGTACTGCAGCCTCAGCCTCCCAGGCTCAAGTGATCCTCCCACTAAAGCCTTCCGAGTAGCTGGCCGACAGGCACACACCACCATGTCCAGCTAATTTTTTTTTTAATTTTCATAGAGACAGGGTTTCGCCATGTTGCCCCAGGCTGGTCTCGAACTCCTGGACTTAAGCAATCTGCCCACCCTGGCCTCCCAAAGTGTTGAGATTACAGAAATGAGCCACCTCACCTGGCTGAAATGCATAAATCTTAAAAAATGCTTATTGTAGGCTGGGCGCAGGGGCTCATGCCTGTAATCCCAGCTCTTTGGGAGGCCGAGGCAGGCAGATCACCTGAGGTCAGGAGTTTGAGACCAGCCTGGGGCTCAGTGGCGCTGAGCCAAGATAGCGCCATTGCACTCCAGCCTGGGCAACACAGCGAGACACCGTCTCAAAAAAAAAAAAATGCTTATTGTAAAGAAGGTTGTTCAACTGCAGAGTCCTAGCTGTCCTTTGGGGTTGTTAAAAGTAGGGTAAATTTTTTTTCTTGTTACATTAGTAACCTTACCATAGGACTACAAATTCAATAAATGACTTTTCTAGGACTTCCCTTTCCCTGTTAACTAGAGCCAATAACAGGCTGAGGAAGAACCTAGAATAAAAGAGACAACTGTCATTGTAGGTATTTAATCTGACTCCTATCTCTTGTGGTTTGGGGTAAATTATTTCAAGTCTCAGGACTTTATTTTCCACAGTTCCATAATAAATACCTTTGTAAAAACTCATTTATAAAAACTCTACCAAGGCACTATTGCAGTAGAAAACATTTTGTTATAAATTTCTACATAAGCACAAAATATTCCTACATCATTAATTGTATCATGTAATTTGTAACTGAACACAAACAAATACTTCAGCATTACTAGTATCTCAGCAAAGAAAACAGGAGTTAGGCTGAAAAAAAATAAGGTTCAGTTTTATCTGAATTCTTTTCTCTTTACTAATGTTTTGTGATGTTTTGTGAACATGCTATATGGTCATTTAAAGCCCAAGAAAGCTGCAGTAGGTATGCAACGCTTATTTCCCTAAAGCATTGTAAGATTACAACGAAAGCCCCATCTGTAATTATTTATCTAATGTTCTGGTGATTCTTCAGTCAAGATGTTGACTGAGGAAGCATGTTTTCTCCTTTGCTCATATTTGTAGAGCTCACATGAACCCCACAAACTTTGAGTCACACATCACAGAATGTTAGGGCTGTAAGGGCCTTACAGAGGATCCTGTCCAATCTCCTCATATTGCACATTCAAAACCTGGACCCTGAGGAGGGGAAATGTCCATCCAAAGTTATATATTAGCCAGGCGTGGTGGCTCACACCTGTGATTCCAGCACTTTGGGAGGCCAAGGCAGGAGGATTGCTTGAGCCTAGGAGTTCAAAACCAGCCTGGGAAATATAGTGGGACTTCATCTTTACAAAAAAAAAAAAAAGATTAGCCAGGCATGGTAGCACACACCTGTAGTCCCAGGTACTTGGGAGGCTGAGGCAAGAGGATTGCTTGAGCCCAAAAAGTCGAGGCTGCACCACTGCACTCCATCCAGGGTGACAGAGTGAGACCCTGTGTAAAAAAAAAAAAAAAAAAAAAAAGTTTTATAGCAAAAAAAAAAAAAAAGGCTGATCACTGAACCGTGTCTTCTGTCACCCTATTAATAATTTAGCATAGTCTGGGCAAACTGGCTCATGCCTGTAATCGCAGCATTTTGGGAGGCTGAGCCTGGTGGATCACCTGAGGTCAGGAGTTTGAAACCAGTCTGACCAACATGGTGAAACCCCATCTCTACTAAAAATACAAAAATTAGCTGGGCATGGTGGCACATGCCTGTAACCCCAGCTACTTGGGAGGCTGAGACAGGAGAATTGCTTGAACCTGGGAGGTGGAGGTTGCAGTGAGCTGACATCATGCCATTGCACTCCAGCCTGGGCAACAGAGCGAGACTCCATGTCAAAATAATAATAATAATTTAGCATATTTTTGGTGAATTCTGGAAACTGTCAACTGAAAAGTAAGTCCAGTTTCTGCCTCTCCTTACACTGTAATTTTTAGACTCATAAAGATCTGTTAACATAAAGGTTAAATGTTTAACTGTCTACCCAGGAAATTTTTCCCCAAAAAATTCCAGCAGAGGGCAGCAAATCTAAATATGGATCCCAATGCTTAAAATTAATTTAAAGTACAAGAGAATTACTCTTTTTTTTTTTTTTTTTTTTCTGAGACAGAGTCTCTGTCACTCAGGCTGGAGTACAGTGGCACGATCTCTGCTCACTGCAACCTCCACCTCCCAGGTTCAAGTAATTCTGCCTCAGCCTCCCGAGTAGTTGGGATTACAGGTGTGCACCACCATGCTCGACTAATTTTCACATTTTTTGGTAGACATGGGGTTTCACCGTGTTAGCCAGGCTGGTCTCAAACTTTTGACCTCAAGTGATCCGCCCGCCTCCCAAAGTGCCAGAATTACAGACTTGAGCCACTGCGCCAGGCCTGTTGGTTGTTTTTCTTCCCTATCCCACTCCCACTTCCCTATCTTCCCTATTCCCTCTCCATGAGGCAGAGCCATCAGTTTTGCTCACAAACATATTCCCTAAGCATCTCGGATACTGTGCTAAATATATCTGGGGAATGAATGAAAAAGTTGAAAAGCTCTACTAAGACTAAAATCTCTACACATATGTTCCACAAGGGCCATTTTGTATGTGTGAGTTGAAGTATATCTTGAACTCCTGACCTCAAGTGACCTGCCTGCCTCGGCCTCCCAAAGTGCTGGACTTACAGGCATGAGCCACCGTGCCCGGCCAGAAAATTCACTTTTGTTCCCTCAATATTTCCATAAACTCTGTATCTCCCAGAGATGGTCAAGGAATTCATGAGCTAAGATAACATGATAGAGTTGCAGAGAAACAAAAACAACAGAAATAAAAGGCGCTTCTGAGAAACCTTGGCAGAGATGGTCAGAGAGGCACATTTAGTATGACGCAGTACAAGTTAGTGTTGAAGGGTTTAATTCCTCGGAGCTCTACTTTCCTCATCTGTAAACTAGGGATAATAATTCATAGAGTTTGTCATATGGATGAAATGTGATCATGTGATATGAAAAGCCAACTACTCGGCCAGGCGCGGTGGCTCACGCCTGTATTCCCAGCACTTTGGGAGGCCGAGGCGGGCGGATCACGAGGTCAAGAGATCGAGACCATCCTAGCTAACACTGTGAAACCCCGTCTCTACTAAAAATACAAAAATTTAGCCAGGTGTGGTGGCACGCGCCTGTAGTCTCGGCTACTCAGGAGGCTGAGGCAGGAGAATCGCTTGAACCCGGGAGGCAGAGGTTGCAGTGAGCTGAGATCGCGCCACTGCACTCCAGCCTGGGTGACAGAACGAGACTCCGTCTCAAAAAAAAAAAAAAAGCCAACTACTCTGCATAGTTAGCAATCAAAAAATGTAAGCTATTCATTATCCTAATGAACTGAAAAAACTGCTTTTGCGCCTATCGGGAGGAGACTGTTAGAAGCCAAAGGCTCATTTAAAGAGGACGTAAGGAAAAGCAACCAAAAAGGTGGGAATAGAGTTTAAGGCGCGTTCGTGGTGATTCAGACCTAGAGTGGGGAGCAAGCCCTCTCTCTGGACAGCCCTCAGCGGCGAGGGGAGCGGGCGCCCGCGGGCCCAGCCGGGGTGCCCGGCAGCCAGGACTCCGAGGCGGAACCCGCAGCCTGGTCCCGGCGTCGGCGCCTCCCCGGCGGCGTAGGGAGCGCAGCCGCGGGGACCGGGGGCGAGGCCGGGGCGGTGCAGTAAGGGCTTCCCTCCTGGGCGCGGTCGCCCTCTTACCTGGAGCTTCCCCTCGCTGGGGTTTTGCCCACCTGACGCCCCCGCACCCACCGGGGACGGGGCAGACGTCCGGCCTGCTCCCTCCTCCCAGTGGACACCTCTGTCCCTGTCCCGGCCCATTCTCCAGCCCCAGAGCCCTTCCTGCCCTTCCTCCCCTTCCTCCCCTTCCTCCCCTTCCTCCCCTTCCTCCCCTTCCTCCCCTTCCTCCCCTTCCTCCTCTTCCTGCTCCTGGCTCCTTCCGACGAGTTTGGTTTGAACTTTTGAATCCGCCAATCAGCGCCGCGCGCCCCCACTCCGCGGGTGCGGCCGGGCGCAGGCCAGGGCTCGAAGGTGGGGCCGCAGCGGCACGGGGCGGGGTCTGGGGCCCGCCCTCCCGACACGTGGCCGGGGACCGGGTATATAAGGCCCTTCGGGGCCGGCCACCCTTTCACTACTTCTCCCCCGGACTCCTTGGTAGTCTGTTAGTGGGAGATCCTTGTTGCCGTCCCTTCGCCTCCTTCACCGCCGCAGACCCCTTCAAGTTCTAGTCATGGTGAGTGGGGTTCCCTCGGGGCTGGGGAAGAGTGCGCGTCCCAGGGGACGGCGGGCCCGGAAACTACTGCCTGCACCTCGGGCCGCGCCCAGGACAGCTCCAGACTACCCCGGGCCCCTCCGGTTAACCTGGCTTGTGGCGGCCGGGCTGGAAGGTCGAGTTCACTTGGCAGACACCAGTTCGGGCCGGAAAACCTGGCCCGGGTGCGGCCATCAGTGGAAATGGAAAGCCCTCTTGATCCTAGTGAGGGCTTTCCCCGCAGGGCCCGCTACTGCCCTAGGGAGGAAGGTCAGGGAGCCTGCTCATTGGCCTCCAAGAACTTAAACTAAAAATCCCTCCCCACGTTTTCTCAAGCGACCTCTCCTTCCTACTGCCTTACAAACTGGGCCCCGGAGGCCCTCGTGCGCTCCCGCACCGACGGTGCAGCACTTCCTGGCTCCCCCTCTCCAGCGCCCAGTGACTCGCTGCTGAGTCACCTGTGGCCCTGCCCTGGGGAGAGCTTCCAACTGCGCCAGTCCACTTGAGAATGGAGGCAGGCACCTCCTTGGAAGGGAATAATTAACTTTCACGTTGCCTAATCCTGCATTTCTGGTGTTAATCTAGTGGTAGGTTTATAGCTGAAGCTTTCTACTTAAGCCGGGTTTAAAAACACGTCCACAAAAGGATATTTTCTTATAAAACCAGAGTTGGCCCGGCGCAGTGGCTCACGCCTGTAATCCCAGCACTTGTTCGAGACAAACCTGGCGAACATGGTGAAACCCCGTCTCTACTTTAAAAAAAAAAAAAAACAAAAAAAAACGCTGGGCGTGGTGGCGCGCGCCGGTAATCCCAGCTACTCGGGAGGCTGAGGCAGGAAAATCGCTTGAACCCAGGAGGCGTAGGTTTCCCTGAGCCGAGATCGCGCTACTGCACTCCAGTCTGGACGACAGAGCGAAACTGTCTCAAAAAAACGCAAACCCGGCCCGGCGCGGTGGCTCACGCCTGTAATCCCAGCACTTTGGGAGGCTGAGGCTGGTGGATCACGAGATCAGGAAATCGAGACCATCCTGGCTAACACGGTGAAACCCCGTCTCTACTAAAAAAAAAAAAAAAAAAATTAGCTGGGCGTGGTGGCAGGCGCTTGTAGTCTCAGCTACTCGGGAGGCTGAGGCAGGAGAATGGCGTGAACCCGGGAGGCGGAGCTTGCAGTGAGCCGAGATCGCGCCACTGCACTCCAGCCTGGGCGACAGAGCAAGACTCCGTCCAAAAACAAAAAAAAACCCGCAAACCCCAGAGTAAACTAGTACCACGTGTTCTTAGTTCAGTTTTCAAGAAACGTGAAATTATACGTAACTTGAGTGTTTTCTATAAAGCTTCCAGAAGTATTGAAAACAACTATCTTAGGCCGGGCGCGATGGCTTATGGTTGTAATCCCAGCACTTTGGGAGTCCGAGGCGGGAGGACCGCTTGAGCTCAGGAGGTCGAGACCAGCCTGGGCAACACGGTGAAACTCCGTCTATACTAAAAATACAAAAATTATCTGGGCGTCGTGGTGCGTGCCTGTAGTCCCAGCTTCTCGGGAGGCAGGGGTGGGAGGATCTTTTGATCCCGGGAGGTGGAAGCTGCAGTGAGCCCAGATCGCACCACTGCACTCCAGCGAGACCTTATCTCAAAAATACGTACATGAATTTAAATATAAAAATCAAATGTAAATACATGTATATGTCGCACTGTAACAACTTATTGCTTCTTTTCAAGCAGTACCAAAAAGATACTGGTAAAAGTGGGATTCACAAAGTAGTGAGACCCTTTAAAAAGCAGGAGAGCGGCAGCGGACTGGTTTAGGTGAACACTGGTTAAATTTTCTTGTTTTTTAACGAGAGGTAAGAGCTGCTTATCCAGTTAACACTAGACCAATTGACTCCACCTGTGCCTCACTTTCTCCCACGTGGCCAGGGGAGAGTGGAGGGTAAGTCAGTGGCCGCTGACTGCCTGCTAAGCTTCAAGAAGGCAGTTTAGACTGAGCAATGAAAGAAAAATTGCGGGCGCAAAATAGAAACGGCATTTAAACAGAAGAAGCATTTGTTAGAATGAGTGGATCTTCTCAGATACTTTATCTCCTTGGGCCTGGGGGCCATCATGATCAGGTATCTGGTTATCTCCAGCTTTTTGGGGCTTGGGCGTTTCCAAAGTCCAGTTAAAGGTAAACATGATGCCGGGCGTGGTGGCTCCCGCCTATAATCCCAGCACTTTGGGAGGCCGAGGTGAGTAGATCACCCGAGGTCAGGAGTTCAAGACCAGCCTGGCCAACATGGTGAAACCCCATCTCTACTAAAAATACGAAAATAAGGCAGGCATGGTGGTGGGCACCTGTAATCCCAGCTACTTGGGAGGCTGAGGCAGGAAAATCGCTTGAACCTGGAAGGCGGAGTTTCCACTGCACTCCAGCCTGGGCGACAGAGCGAGACTTTTTCTCAAAAAGGTAAACATGATGCAATGGTAAATAGTCATGGGCTAATTAGAACAAACTACTCCTGTTCTCCCACACCCCTGGAGCTGGGTGAGTAGACCCAGGTGATACTGAGCTTGCTGATGTGGTTAAGAGACCTTGATTGTTTCATGGGGAGTGTAGGTGGGAAGGAGGTCAAAGGTTGTGAGTAATTAGGGTTTTTATTATCTCTTGGCTTATGAGACCAGGTCCTTTGAGAACTTAGTGCTCTGCCAGTCTCCAAAGTGGCTAATCTGACTTATGATGAAATGCCAAACACCCTTTTTGTTTTCCTGTTAAGTCTGTGTGTACAGATTCTATGTTTATTCCCTTATTTTACTTAGCAGGTGTGGGTTTGGTAATTTCTAACCATATTCTGCTTTGGCCCCTCTGGCCTTTCTAAATTAACTTGGTCCACCTCATAAATATATATCTATGAGAGAGAGACACACACACACAGACACAGACACAGAGTCTTGCCTCTGTTGCCCAGGCTGGAGTGCAGTGGCGAGATCTCTGCAACCGCCACCTCCTGGGTTTGGGTTCAAGTGATTCTCATGCCTCAGTCTTCCGAGTAGCTGGGACTACAGGCGCGCACCACCATGCCTGGCTAATTCTTGTATTTTTAGTAGAGATGGGGTTTCAGCATATTGGCCAGGCTGTTCTTGAACTCCTGACCTCAGATGATCCACCCACCTCGGTCTCCCAAAGTCCTGGGATTACAGGCATGAGCCACTGTGCTCTACCATAATTTTTTTTTTTTTTGTATTTTTAATAGAGACAGTTTCACCATGTTGGCCAGGCTGATTTCAAACTCCTGACCTCAAGTGATCTGCTCACCTTGGCCTCCCAAAGTGCTGGGATTACAGGTGTGAGCCAGAAACAACTAATTTCTTAACCTATCAGTAAAGTCTTGGTAACATTTCTAGCCTTTATTATTATGGTCTTCCCTCTTCCGGAGATGTTTTGACGGTGAAGGAAAAACGTTCTTCCTATAGATTAGATTCTTCCACTTGGTTAAAAAGCTGCCTCTGACCACAGTTTTTAAAATACAGCTAACTGCTGCTTATCCAGCATTTTCTTCATGAGTCATGGCTATAGTTTGCTGGTTTAAGCTGGTTTTAAAGGAGGGAGAGAGAAGCTTTTGTCTCCTAAAGAATAGGATTAAAGCGGGACCAGAATGAGCTCAGTAGTTACACAATCATTCAGAGAATGAATCAGAGCTGGAAAGGGGAATTTTGCCTTAGTTTAAGGAATCATATCTACTGTGGCTACAAAGCAACTGTCTGGTCTTGCCGAGTAGTTCATGAACACATCTTTGGTTTTCCAAGGCACTTTTGCTGAATTAGGTCTTCAAAGATTTTTGCTTTTGAAATTATAGTCCCTGAGCAGGAGTGGCCTGCTGAAAGATGGTTATCTTTTTTTGTTTGAGATGGAATATCTTGTCACTCAGGCTGGAGGGCAGTGGTGTGATCTCAGCTCACTGCAACCTCCACCTCCTGAGTTCAAGTGATTCTCCTCCCTCAGCCTCCCAAGTAGCTGGGACTACAGGTGTGCGCCATCATGCCTGGCTAATTTTTTTTGTATTTTTAGTAGAGATGCAGTTTTGCCATGTTGGCCAAGCAGATCTCAAACTCCTGACCTCAGGTGATCCACCTGCCTCAGCCTCCCAAAGTACTGGGATTACAGGTGTGAGTCACTGCGCCCAGCCAGTTATCTGTCTTGAAGGTTAATCAGTCATTAGGTGTGAATCATTCCTAAATGTCCCATCTGATGTATTATACCCTGACATTTTCCTTTCTTCCTCCCACAGCGTGAGTGCATCTCCATCCACGTTGGCCAGGCTGGTGTCCAGATTGGCAATGCCTGCTGGGAGCTCTACTGCCTGGAACACGGCATCCAGCCCGATGGCCAGATGCCAAGTGACAAGACCATTGGGGGAGGAGATGATTCCTTCAACACCTTCTTCAGTGAAACGGGTGCTGGCAAGCATGTGCCCCGGGCAGTGTTTGTAGACTTGGAACCCACAGTCATTGGTGAGTTGACCTCAGTAACCCAAGTGAGATCCCAGGGTGCTGGGACAGGAGGTCTGTCCTGGGGGGGCTCCGCTGGTCACTCACCCACTCTCCCTCCCCGCTCCTTGTCCCTCCTCCTCCTCCCCCATCATGTTCTCCAGATGAAGTTCGCACTGGCACTTACCGCCAGCTCTTCCACCCTGAGCAACTCATCACAGGCAAGGAAGATGCTGCCAATAACTATGCCCGAGGGCACTACACCATTGGCAAGGAGATCATTGACCTCGTGTTGGACCGAATTCGCAAGCTGGTAAGTATAGTACTTTAAATAAAGTGGGATGAGAGTTTCTTTTGCAGTTCTGAGACCAAACTACAGAAATCATTCTTTGCAACTAAAATGAGACTATTTGCATTGCAACTAAAATGTATCTGTTCACTAAATTAATTGGATTTCTGAACCAGATGATCTTGGATTTATGGGACAACTATGGGGTAGAAGTAAGTGCTCTTTAGCCTATTTTGCTTCAAGCTGAGACACCCCTTTTGAGGTCATCTTAGTCATACTGAGTGAGTAGGTAGCTGACTTCTACATGTAACTAATTGATCAGAGTCATTTTTTAAAAATCTGGGATGGTTCCTTCATGTCAATACAGAAAGTTCAGAGAACAAGAAGCCAGTGTCACACTGACAAGAAACAGCCAATACTGGAAACTTCCAGTACTGCTGAAAGTGGAGTCGGGAGCTTCCTTATGAAGTGTGCTGTTTGGATCACTTTAATTAAGAGCCTGGCAATCAGATGACTCTTTGCTCCTTAGGCATGTGGGCAGCTTGTAAGTAATTAACCAGAGATCAAGCATGATGGTCTGGGCAGAGTAACTTGTCAAGAAAATCACATTGTATTAAGCCCAGCCATGACTGCTCCATTCTAAAATAGAATAGCCTCATCATTCATGGCTTCATACTTTCTCAGATGTTTACGTAGTCTTCCCAGCAAAACTGGACTGATGTTTCCGATGCTTAAAAACTAAGCTTTAGGCTGGGCACGGTGGCTGACATCTGTAATCCCAGCACTGGGAGGCCAAGGTGGGCGGATCATGAGGTCAGGAGATCGAGACCATCCTGGCTAACATGGTGAAACCCTCTCTACTAAAAATACAAAAAAATTAGCCGGGCGTGGTGGTGGGCGCCTGTAGTCCTAGCTACTAGGGAGGCTGAGGCAGGAGAATGGCGTGAACACGGGAGGCGGAGCTTGCAGTGAGCCGAGATCGTGCCACTGCACTCCAGCCTGGGCGACAGAGTGAGACTCCATCTCAAAAAAACAAACAAACAAAAAAAACCCTAAGCTTTAGTTATAAGCACTGACTTGGAAAATCAGGGACCTGCCTTTAGGACAAATAAACCTAGTAGCTATTTAGGGTTCTGGAACGTGAGGTTTATTGCCTACCAAAACAATTGCATTTGTCCTTGTCATTACTGTGCTCACAGGAGGCTTAACTGGTGTAATTGGTAGGCGAGAGTCTGCCCTGTGCATTGATCTCATGTAGTTGATGGACCCACAGGCTATAAGGGAGCTGAGTAGAGAATGTTCACAAATCTGAGGCCCATCACTTGGAGAAGCAAGAGTTTACAACAGAATACTTTATTTGGAAGGTCAAAATCATTCCTTCGTAAAGTAGCAGTTTGCTAACCAAAATAGCCCAGTTAGGTGGAGGAAATCCCCAACAACCTGAGGTCTCATGGAATTGTGGTTGTGTCACTTTACCCAAAATAAATGGGCTTCTTGGTACCTAGTGTCATATATTGGCTTACTGGGCCAATACTGTGCTTACTGTGCCAAGCACTATGCTGAGTACTTACTTAATTCTCAACCTAAGGTGATTACTATTCTCACTTAATCAGTGGAAGAACTGAGAAATGAATGTGGTCATACAGTAAGGAACTGGTACAGCCGGATCCTGACACAGCCTGACTCCAGTACCAGGGTGTTAGAACTTTGGCTATTCTGTTGTTCCACCTCAGAAAGCAGCTGCCAAATCTTTACAAGACATCCACTGTACCAGGCTGGTGGTCCTGGGCCTGCCCCTTAGGACCTCTCCAACTAAGAAACTGCCCTGTTCTGTGGCCACAGCAAGAGAACCAGAGGCTGCCTTCCCAGTTACCAAAACTTGAGCCCTGTATGCAAGCCCAGGCCTTGTGATTCCTCTGCCTAAGGCAATAGTTCATCTTAAAATAGTCTTAGCAAAGGTTTTTCTGCTCAAGGACTTGATTGTGAAAAGTTGTTCTGAATCACTTAGCACTTAAAAGCTTTTTTTTTTTTTTGGAGACAGGGTCTGCTCTGTCATCCAGGCTGGAGTGCAGTGGCCTGATCATCAGTCTTGAACCCCTGGGCTCAAATGCAAATGGTCCTCCCACCTTGGACCCCCAAAGTGTTGATTACAGGCGTGAGCCACTGCGCCTGGCCCAGAAGAGTTTTAAAATTGCAATTGGAGTAGCCATAGATTTATAGAAGTCCTCTGTAGGTTTCACCAAATGTGAACACTAAATGAAACTTTCGCAACACTAAAATGAAACTTTTTTATTTTGCAGGCTGACCAGTGCACCGGTCTTCAGGGCTTCTTGGTTTTCCACAGCTTTGGTGGGGGAACTGGTTCTGGGTTCACCTCGCTGCTCATGGAACGTCTCTCAGTTGATTATGGCAAGAAGTCCAAGCTGGAGTTCTCCATTTACCCGGCGCCCCAGGTTTCCACAGCTGTAGTTGAGCCCTACAACTCCATCCTCACCACCCACACCACCCTGGAGCACTCTGATTGTGCCTTCATGGTAGACAATGAGGCCATCTATGACATCTGTCGTAGAAACCTCGATATCGAGCGCCCAACCTACACTAACCTTAACCGCCTTATTAGCCAGATTGTGTCCTCCATCACTGCTTCCCTGAGATTTGATGGAGCCCTGAATGTTGACCTGACAGAATTCCAGACCAACCTGGTGCCCTACCCCCGCATCCACTTCCCTCTGGCCACATATGCCCCTGTCATCTCTGCTGAGAAAGCCTACCACGAACAGCTTACTGTAGCAGAGATCACCAATGCTTGCTTTGAGCCAGCCAACCAGATGGTGAAATGTGACCCTCGCCATGGTAAATACATGGCTTGCTGCCTGTTATACCGTGGTGACGTGGTTCCCAAAGATGTCAATGCTGCCATTGCCACCATCAAAACCAAGCGTACCATCCAGTTTGTGGATTGGTGCCCCACTGGCTTCAAGGTTGGCATTAATTACCAGCCTCCCACTGTGGTGCCTGGCGGAGACCTGGCCAAGGTACAGAGAGCTGTGTGCATGCTGAGCAATACCACAGCTGTTGCCGAGGCCTGGGCTCGCCTGGACCACAAGTTTGACCTGATGTATGCCAAGCGTGCCTTTGTTCACTGGTACGTGGGTGAGGGGATGGAGGAAGGCGAGTTTTCAGAGGCCCGTGAGGACATGGCTGCCCTTGAGAAGGATTATGAGGAGGTTGGAGCAGATAGTGCTGACGGAGAGGATGAGGGTGAAGAGTATTAACCTGTGTGCTGTACTTTTACACTCCTTTGTCTTGGAACTGTCTTATTTTTGTTCTGTAAATGTCTATTGCCGTAAATTGTTAATAAAATTGAAGTTTCCATTTTAAATGTCGAGCTGACTTAAATACTTGATCCAGTTAAAGTTGGATGTATGAGGCTGGTAGATGAAACCACCTGAGTCGAGGGTCTTGCTCTGTCACCCAGGCTGGAGTGCAGTGGCATGATAATACATAGCTCATTGCAGCCTCGAGCTCCTGGACTCATGTGATTCTCCTGCTTCAGCCTCCTAAGTAGCTGGGGACTGCAGGTGCACACCACCATGCCCAGCTATTTTTATTTCTTGTAGAGATGGGGCCTTGCTATGCTGCCCAGGGTGGTCTTCAACTGGCTTCAAGTGATCCTCCTGCCTCAACCTCTCAAAGTTTTGATTATAGGCATGAGCCACTGCCCAGCTTCTTGGTTTATCTGTTTAATTTGGGCCTGAATTAAGTGGTTATAGAATCATTTTGTAAGTGAGGAAACGGGTTCAGATTGAGCCAGTGCTTCTCTAACTAAAATGGATGTGAATCACCTGTAGATATTAAAATGCAGGTTTGGGGTCAACCTGGTGGCTCATGCACTTCGGGAGGCCAAGTTGGGTGGATCACGAGCCCAGGAATTCGAGACCAGCCTGGGCAACATGGTGAAAACCCATCTCTACCAAAACAAAAATTTGCATGCTGTGATGGCACCTGCCTATAGGTGGGAGGACCACCTGAGCCCAAGGAGGTTGAGGTAGTGAGCCATGATTGCACCACTGCATTCCAGCCTGGGTGACGGAGACCCCTGACTCTCAAATTTAAAAACAAAATGCAGGTTCTAATTCTATAGGCTTGAGGTGAGGCTTCAGACACGTCTTAAATTTTTTTTCTTTGAGATGGTCTCTTTCCCAGGCTGCAGTGCAATGGCACCATCATAGCTCACCCCCACCTTGACCTGGGCTAAGCCATCCTCCCACCTCAGCCTCCCAAGTAGCCAGGACTACAGGTGTGTTCCACCATGCCTGGCTGATTCTTGTAATTTTTTTTTTTTTTTTTTTTTTTTTTTTTGGTAGAGATGGGGTTTTGCCATGTTGCTTAGGCTGGCCTTGAACTCCTGGGCTCAGGCAATCCTGCCTCAGCCTCCCAAAGTGCTGGGATTACAGGAGTGAGCCACTACACCTGGCCCCTAGATACGTTTTTTAATAACCTCCCAAATGATGCTGTTGGTCTGATGTGACCACATGTACAGTAGCAAAGGGTTAGATAACAGTAACTGCTGGAGCCAAAATTCAAGTGCCCAGCCACACTGCCAGAACTATTGCTGTCAGTCTTTAATAAAGTATTAGTCACACGAGAAGGGCTTGGAATCCTGATTTATTCCATACTTAGCTAAGACCTACAGTGGCAAAGATGGTTCGTACTAAAGGGGTTATTGTTTAGAGAAAGTGGAAATGTCAGACAAAATAACAGTCACCGGTTTTTCTGGTATTGGCATTTGACCCAATTGTATGTCATGGAGATTATTTGAAGTAGGAGTAATATGTATGTGTAGGAAAGATTGGAGAGGGGTGAGTTCTCTGATTTGGACTTTTTTCCAAGCACCTGTTGGAGGACCGTGGTTCTTGGGGGCAGACGGGTGAAGGGGCATGAGTGTTATACGTAGCTGGAGAGCTTGGTGCCTGGTACTCAGTTGAACTAAGCAATGGGAAAGGACAATGACCAAAAGGTGAAGCTTCATGCAGAAGGGAGGAATCAGTTTTGGTGCTTGGGTGCTTGCCTGAGTGGGAATGCCTAATGAGTGGTAGCAGATGGGCCCTGGGGGCAGAGTTGCAGGCATACTCACCTCTCCTCCGTGACTTACTTTATTCTGATGTGTACCCAGTTACCATCTCTTTCCCAAAGGTGTTTTGTATCCCTTACCCATTGCTCACTTTAGCCCCTTTGCTCTGAGAATTGCATCTGAAAGATGTGCATGTTTAAGGCCAGCGCTGGGGTTCACAGCTGCAGTCCCAGCACTCTGGGAGGCCAAGGTGAGAGGATTGCTTAAACCCAAGAGTCTGAGACCAGTGCCTGGGCAAGAGGGTGAGACCCTGTCTATTTTGAGCATTTTTTTGGCCGGGTACCATGGCTCACGCCTGTAATCCCGGCACTTTGGGAGGCTGAAGCAGGTGGATCACTTGAGCTTAGGAGTTCAAGACCAGCCTGGGCAATATGGTGAAACCCCATCTCTACTAAAAATACAAACAATTAGCTGGGCATGGTGGTGCACGTCTGTGGTCCCAGCTGCTTGAGAGGCTGAAGTGGGAGGATTGCTTGAGCCTGGGAGGTGGAGGTAGCAGTGAGCTGAGATCGTGCCACTGCCCTCCAGCCTAAGGGACAAAAAATTTTTTTCCCTTAAATTTTTTTTTATGTCTCAAATTTTTTTAAATGTATATATTATACCTGCGTGCATAGCACAGCATGCTTTTGCAGCCTGAGATGCCTCAACTATGTGCTCTGGATGGTTTTATATAGCATTTGTCGAGAGCAACCATAGTTTTATGTCCTTCGGGGCAAGGTAAGACCCCAGCACAAATTCAGCCACTGCTACTTCTCAGATGAGCCAGGTTCTTCCTGCAGCCTGGGCAGGGGAGCGGGGTGGGATGCCTGAAATGAAGGTGAACCTTGAAGACGCTGGCTAGCCTGCCAGAGGGGATTTTGAGACCTTCCCAGGCCAGGAGATCTGCTGATTGCCATAGTGCAAGCACTGGAGGAAATGGGAATGGGACACCCGTGTATGAAAAGGAGCAGATAAATCACAAAGCTTAGGCGAGTGTGACACCCCATGACACCAGCATTTCCCAAGCAGGGTGCCCTGAGAATAGGATTCAGGGTGCCCATATAGGATCCCTTCGGCTTTTAGAATGACATGGTGGAAACTGGAGAGCCTGACTCACCCATCCTCCCTGGGGCCAGTCACCCTGGCCAGGAGTAGCCCCCTCCATTTACCTCTGTACACCTTACAGATGAATTATTTTCTACATGTGCCAAGATGTGAAAAAGGTTGGAAAGCTTTAAGCAGCCACAGAGGTCTGGGGTGAAAGAAGGTGAGAGAAAAGTTTAGCTGAGAAGAAATATTCCAGTAGAATAAAGCCTGGGGAATTGGAAGAGCAAAGTGCCAGTGGTTGGGGGGGCATTTGTCCTTGTAAAGATGATTTCCCCCTCCTGCGTTGGAGGGAGAGTGAATAGAAGTTAGCCTGCAGCAAGAACAAATATACCCCAAGGTCTAGGTCACTGCTTTGTGGCTGACAATCATCTGATCTGCCCTTGAGCACGAATGGAAAGTCTGGACCCAGAGCTGCGACTGATGCTGATGCTGAGGCCGCTGAAGCTTGATGGGAATAAATGCACACAGCCTAAGAGGATTCGGGCTCCTGAGGCTGGCGGCAGCCCCAGGTCCGGCTGTGTGGACAGAGGGCTTAGTCTGCCCTCACCTAACCTGGCCAGAGGAGCAACCTGCTTCCCCCCACAGAGGCCGCTGACCACTGAGAGGTTAGCATGTCTGGGCAGAGGTGTTTTGGGCAGGGATGAGAAGGGGGATAATGACTTTGAGGGGCTAAGGGCCTGCCTGTCCACCTGTCATTCTGTGTTTGGGAAGCAGCTGGCAAGTGACTCTTCTCCAGCAGGAATCTGTCAGGCCAGAGGATGGCCAAGTGGGTTATGCAATTACAAATCAGTCTTCAGGCCTCTGCTGGAAGGTGGTGTGGCAGTCCTGGGTGAGGCTGAAGGAGGTCAGGGGAGGCGCTGTCAGGGTGGGAGGAAAAGGTGCCTTCACAGTTTCCACAGTACCCTGGGAGGTGATGTTATTATACCCACTTCCATAGCTCACAGAGATTGAATATCTAGCCTAAGGCTACAGAATGAGTGGCAGAACTGAAATTTTACCGCAGAGCTCTGGCTCTAAAGCCTAGGCTGACTCCACTCTGTCGTCCAGCCATCGAGGAGCTCCAGAGGAAATCGGCTCTGCACCTGGCAGCCTTTCCAGTCCTGGGGGGATAGTGCCACCTCCCAGGACCCTTGGGGCATGAGGTCAACAAGGGCCAGCCCTCACATGAGCACTGGATGGAGCTGTAGTCACAGAGAGATCTCATTATGCCAGTGATTGTCAGAAAACCTCCCAAGAGCCCCGTTCCTGGGCCCAGGTGGCAGCCCATTGACCTTAAATAGCAAAGCCAGCTGGTCCCCATGTCCAGGCTGTAGCTTCCCTAGTGAGGGGGCATTTTTGTCCAGGCCTCCCTCTGAACTCAGTTCTCAGGTCACGGGGAGATACAGTGCCCTTGCAGGATGGCTGCTGCCACCTGCCTGGTCTCCTGCCAACAGGGACACCAGCTGAGGCACAGGCAGGACAGTGTACACCTGGAGCCTCGCTCCTCTATGCTCCAGGGCCAGAGTGGTCAGTGCCCGTCAGCTGAGGCGGCAAGGTGAAGCTGGCAGAGATGACCCAGGCAGATGGCTCCAGGAGCCCAATGCCAGGGCGACTATCTAGGAGACACAAGGCAGCAGAAGCTGAAGAGAAAATAGACCCTTGGGTGTGGGGGCTGTGGAGCAGGAGTGGGCCCTCGCCCCGTGAAATAGGTCCCCTTTGCTGACATCTCATTAGCCTGTCACTGCCCCTTTCATGCCAAGAACCTAGTGCCCCTGAATTTGTCATTGTCAGCCCCAAGCAGGTTTTGGGAAAACAGTTCTTTCCTCCTCTACACTCCCTCCGAGTCTACAGCAGGAGAGCAATAGTCAGAATCAATGAACCTTCCAGAACTAGAGACATGTCTGCTTTAGTCATAATACAAAAAATGCTTTTAAACAGTCGTCTCCCTACTGGACTTTTTTTTCTCTCTCTCTCTTATTTATTTATTTATTTATTATTTTTGAGACAGTCTGTCTCTGTCGCCAGGCTGGAGTGCAGTGGTGTGATCTCAGCTCACTGCAACCTCCGCCTCCCGGGTTGAAGTGATTCTCCTGCCTCAGGCTCCCAAGTAGCTGGGACTACAGGCATGTACTACCACGCCCAGCTAATTTTTGTAGTTTTGGTAGAGACAGGGTTTCATCATGTTGGCCATCTCCTGACCTTGTGATCCGCCCGCCTTGGCCTCCCAAAGTGTTGGGATTACAGGCGTGAGCCACCGCGCCTGGCCTTTTTTTTTTTTAATTGGAACAGACTATAAAGGTTTTACAGAATATAAAGATTTCCTAATTACACAAAGATTTTGTCTACAGAAATTAGTTTAACTCATGGAAGAGGGTGGGTATAAATTCAACCCCACTCTCTCTCCCTTCACCCTCTCTGCACACTTCTCTATTTTTTTTTTTTTTTTTTTTTTTTTTTTGAGACGGAGTCTCTCTCTGTCGCCCAGGCTGGAGTGCAGTGGCGGGATCTCGGCTCACTGCAAGCTCCGCCTCCCAGGTTCACGCCATTCTCCTGCCTCAGCCTCCCAAGTAGCTGGGACTACAGGCGCCCGCCACTACGCCCGGCTAATTTTTTGTATTTTTAGTAGAGACGGGGTTTCACCGTTTTAGCCGGGATGGTCTCGATCTCCTGACCTCGTGATCCGCCCGCCTCGGCCTCCTAAAGTGCTGGGATTACAGGCGTGAGCCACCGCGCCCGGCCACACTTCTCTATTTTTATCAAATATCTCATTTGGCTTCCAAGAGATGTCTAGTCCAAGAGTAAACAAATACTGAAATGCCCTTGGCAAAGGTAATCCAATTATACTATTCTGGCAATCATCTCCAGTTTTTTGTTTGTTTTTCTTTCTTTCTTTTTTTTTTTCCAATACAGAGTCTTGCTCTGTCACCCAGGCTGGAGTGCAGTGGTGCCATCTCAGCTCACTGCAAGCTCCGCCTCTCGGGTTCAAGCAGTTCTCCTGCCTCAGCCTCCTGAGTAGCTGGGATTACAGGTACCCGCCACCACTCCTGGCTAATTTTTGTATTCTTAGTAGAGCTGAGGGTTCACCATGTTGGCCAGGCTGGTCTCGAACTCTTGACCTTGTGATCCGCCTGCCTTGGCCTCCCAAAGTGCTGGGATTACAGGCGTGAGCCACCGCACCTGGCCGTTCTTCTTTCTTTCTTTCTTTCTTTCTTTTTTTTAAATTAAGCCTGATACTTGCTAAGTTTATTTTTTTAGAGACTGAGTCTTACTATGTTGCCCAGGCTGGCCTTGAACTCCTGGGCTCAAACACTCCTCCCACTTCAGCCTCCTGTGTAGCTGAGACAACAGCACACCGCACTGGGCTTCATTTTCAACTTTCAAGTTTTATTCGTTCATTATTTTTGCAACACCTGTTTGGTGCAAGTCACTGTGCTGGGTACTATAGGAAATATATTTAGCTTTTTGCTTCTCAGATTGTAGAGACAGACCACACATGCATAATCCCAATTCGAGGCAGCATATGCCACATGTCACAGAAGAGGCTGTCACAGGCAGTAGCCACTGTTGCATAGCTACTTCAAAGCCATTCCCAGCTTGTTCCACCTGCCAACACAACGCAGCTCTGTCCTGGTGTGGGACACCCATGTGCATTGGAGGGGCTGGGCTTCACTACCAGGGTGAACCTTCCCCTAAGCCAATCAAGGTAATTCCAGTTGTTTCGCCAGGGCCTGGTTAAGGAACCAGCATGTGATGTAATTATGGAAATGAGAGGTGAGGTAATGTCTGCCGGTTGGGGGTTGGAAGGAAGATATTCTTGCAAAAATTTCCTTGCTCTTAAAAAAGAACTCAGGGAAAGGATTTTCCTCTTGCAGCCCTGGGCATTACTGCGTGAGCACATTGTGCTTGTGCTTGTGCTTGTGCCTGGTGCTTGAGGTTGCTGCAGCCGTCTTGTGACCAGAATGGGACAAACACGAGGACAAAAGCTACCGCTCAATAGCAAGGCAACACAGAAAGCTGAAAAGAGCATGGGCCCCGATAGAGTGTTGAGCCCCTGAATTAACCAACCTTGACACCAAACCTTGCTCTGCCTCCGAAGTTTTTACAAGATTTTTAGTCCCCTTATTGTTTAGGACATTTTGATTTGGGTCTTCTATTTTTTCCTGCCAAAAGCATTCTAACTAACATTAAAGCCTTATGTAATTGTTAATAGATTTTTTTTTCCTTATTTTCTGCCGGGCGTGGTGGCTCATGTCTGTGATCCCAGCACTTTCAGAGGCTGAGATGGGTAGACCACTTGAGGTCAGGAGTTCGAGACCAGCCTGGGCAGCATAGCAAAACCCTGTCTCTACAAAAATAAAATAAAATAAAGTAGAAGAAGCTGGGCATAGTGGTGTGTGCCTGTGGTCCCAGCTACTCCGGGGGCTGAGGTGAAAGGGTTTGAGCTGAGCCCAGGAGGCAGTGAGCTGTGACCGCACCATTGCACTCCAGTCTGGGCGACAGAGCAAGACCCTGTCTCCAAAAAAAAAAAAAGAATTTTTTTCTGTATTTTCTTCTTCCTCCTCCCCTCTTCTTCCTCCTCCTCCTCCTCCTCTTCCTCCTTCTCTTCCTCCTTCTTCTTTTGTAATAGAAACAGGGTTTTGGCAGGGCACGGTGGCTCACGCCTGTAATCCCAGCAATTTGGGAGGCCAAGGTGGGCAGATCACTTGAGGTCAGGAGTTTGAGACCAGCCTGGCCAATATGGTGAAGCCCCATCTCTACCAGGTGTGGTGGCACACGCCTGTAATCCCAGCTACTCAGGTGGCTGAGGCAGGAGAATCACTTGAACCCAGGAGGTGGAGGTTGCAATGAGTGGAGATTGCACCATTGCACTCCAGCCTGGGCTACAGAGCAAGACTCTGTCTCAAAAAAAAAAAAAAAAAAAGAAATGGGGTTTCACCGTGTTGCCTAGGCTGGTCTCAAACTCCTGGACTCAAGAAATTCACATTCCTCAGACTCCCAAAGCGCTGGGATTACAGGTATGAGCCACTGTGCTTGGCCAGAAATTTGTGGTAAAATTATTAATAATAAAAATATGAAGGCCCTGCTTTCATTCAGGCCAAAAAATATTAAGGCCCTTTTGAATTTGCAGAACCCCTTTGCCAGTGCAAACCTTGCCTTGGGCGAGTGAAGATCCTGTCCCCTCTTTCTTTCCTCATATGTTGCCTTCTTCCACCTGCAGTTCCTAGTCCACCAAATGGATCTGCTTTTTCCTTCCAGTCTTCCCAGGTGCCTTGGCCAAACTCAAACCATAAATAAAAGGAACACAGACACCAGGCATGGTGGCTTCTGCTGTAATACCAACACTTTGTGAGGCTGAGGAGGAAGGATTGCTTAAGGCTAGGAATTCGAGACCAGCCTGGCAACATAGTGAGACCCTGTCTCTACACAAAATGTAAAAATTACCCTGGTGCTGTGGCACGGACCTATAGTCCCAGCTATTCGGGATGATGAGGTAGGAGGATTGATTGAGCCTGGGAGATCAAGGCTACAGTGAGCCGTGTTCATGCCACTGCACTGCAGCCTAGGTGACAGAGCAAGACCCTGTCCCAAGGGGGAAAAAAAAAGGATAGAACATCTGCAAGTCCAAACAGTGTGCCATATTCTTCCTTTTTTTTTTTTTTGAGACAGAGTTTCGCTCTTGTTGCCCAGGTTAGAGTGCAGTGGTGCAATCTCAGCTCACCGCAACCTCTGCCTCCCGGGTTCAAGCGATTCTCCTGCCTCAGCCTCCCAAGTAGGTGGGATTACAGGCGCCTGCCACCATGCCCAGCTAATTTTGTATTTTTTATTAGAGATGGGGTTTCTCCATGTTGGTGAGGCTGATCTCAAACTCCCAACCTCAGTCAATCCGCCCACCTCGGCCTCTCAAAGTGCTGGGATTACAGGCATGAGCCACCGTGCTCGGCCTCATCTTCTTCCTTTTTACTTGCAGCTATGAGTGGGGCCTGTGGCCTGATGTGAGGGGGTAGAGAAGAGCAAGAAGGCCCCAACCTGAAGGAATGCCCCCCTCCTAGGTACCTATCAAAATGAGCCTGACCCTAGGGCAATGCCACAGCTTCCAGAGCCTCCCATGCTATTTCAGACCAAGGATCTTGTAGACAAGGAGTGGTGCAGGGTGACGCGGATGAGACCCAGACCAGACTCTGAGGGCTCTGGGATGTGAATGGGGTTAGCTGACTGGTTGCTCCCCGTGTGGAGGCTCTGGGGCCTGTGAGAGGAAAAAACCCAAGTTC
Organism: Homo sapiens; assembly: GCF_000001405.40. Lineage (NCBI taxonomy): Eukaryota > Metazoa > Chordata > Mammalia > Primates > Hominidae > Homo > Homo sapiens. The sequence goes on from NC_000012.12 coordinate 49,282,421, forward strand.
CCATTTCTGGCCCATTGTTTTCCTCTATTCTTCCTCCCTCCTCCCCTCTTTCCACCACCCCTCACCTCCATTTCCCTTCTCCTCTCCCCTCCTCTCTTCCCCCTCCATTTCCCCCTTCCCTCTCTCTCCCATTCAGTTCTCCCGTTTCCTGTCTCCATCTCCTCTGCCACTGCCCTCCCCTCCAGCCAGGGGCCAGCACAGATAGCCGTGTACTATAGAAAGAATCCAACTAGAGAGTGAGAGAATGTTCTTCTTTTGTTGTTTTTGTTTTCTGAGATAGGAGCTCACTTGGTCACTCAGGCGGGAGTGCGGTGGCATAATCATAGCTCACTGCAGCCTCAACCTCCTGGGCTCAAGCAATTCTCCCACCTCAGCCTCCCAGGTAGCTGGGACTACAGGTTTGCACCACCATGCCCAGCTAATTTTAAATTTTTTGTAGAGACAGGGTCTTCCTATGTTGCCCAGGCTTGTCCTGAACTCCCAGGCTCAGGCAATCCTCCTGCCTTGACCTCACAAAATGCTGGGTTTACAGGCATGAGTCGCTGTGACTGGCCAAGAGAATTTCTTTTTTTTTTTTTTTTTTTATTGATCATTCTTGGGTGTTTCTCGCAGAGGGGGATTTGGCAGGGTCATAGGACAATAGTGGAGGGAAGGTCAGCAGATAAACAAGTGAACAAAGGTCTCTGGTTTTCCTAGGCAGAGGACCCTGCGGCCTTCCGCAGTGTTTGTGTCCCTGGGTACTTGAGATTAGGGAGTGGTGATGACTCTTAACGAGCATGCTGCCTTCAAGCATCTGTTTAACAAAGCACATCTTGCACCGCCCTTAATCCATTTAACTCTGAGTGGACACAGCACATGTTTCAGAGAGCACAGGGTTGGGGGTAAGGTCACATATCAACAGGATCCCAAGGCAGAAGAATTTTTCTTAGTACAGAACAAAATGAAAAGTCTCCCATGTCTACTTCTTTCTACACAGACACGGCAACCATCCGATTTCTCAATCTTTTCCCCACCTTTCCCCCCTTTCTATTCCACAAAACCGCCACTGTCATCATGGCCCGTTCTCAATGAGCCGCTGGGCACACCTCCCAGACGGGGTGGTGGCCGGGCAGAGGGGCTCCTCACTTCCCAGTAGGGGCGGCCGGGCAGAGGCGCCCCTCACCTCCCGGATGGGGCGGCTGGCCCGGCGGGGGGCTGACCCCCCCACCTCCCTCCCGGACGGGGCGGCTGGCTGGCCAAGAGATTGCCCATCAGGTCACTGTGGGTGTGACAGCCACTGGCTCCAGAAGCTCAGTCCTGGCGGCAGCTGTCAAACCAACACCCACATAGCCTGCAAGCAGAGGGCAGGCGGGGCAGTTTGTAGGGCTTCAGACCCTGTGAATTTTTCTGTTCAGCTGTCACCCAACCTCTCCCTGCAAGAGGTAGGGTGAGACGGATGGCAGAGTGTCATGACTGAAGAAGAGCCTCCGACGACTGGCCTGATGGGCACGGGCCCCTGCCCTGTCGCATGTCAGGCACACACATGTGCTCCAGCCACTGCCTGGGGAAAAGAGCATAACCATGTGCCAGGGTGAGATCTCTCCCCGGCTCACAGAATTGCAAGTACTGCTCCCCTCTCAGCATCTTCAGCAAGAAACAGGGGGTTGGGGGTGAGGGGCTGTGCCTGGTGATCCCAGTTTTCCTCCTTCTCATCATCTTCCAGGGTTCCAGGCTGAGGAGCTCAGAGGTTGTGTGGAGGAGGGAGGGGAATAACAGATGGGCCCGCATCAGGGCTGCGCCTCCTCTTGGACAGTCCCAGAACTGAGAGTTGGCGGCGGTGAGGAGGATCGCTGCCCTCCTTGGACACCCCGACTGTGATCTACTCTAAAAATCCTCCCTTCACCTGAGGAGAAGATTGCAGGCATGTTCCACCTCCAGCACGGTCCTGAGATGAGTTGTCCCCATTTCCCCCTGCCCTTTCCTTCCTCAGTAAAGGGATTACTGTTCATTCCCACCCAGAGGATCTTGGAGCATCCCCCTGAGAAGGAAGAGCTTAGGACTCCTTCCCCGCTCCACAAAGAGCAGTTACAAAATAAAAAATAAATTAAAAACACAAACAAAGGCTACTCTGGGCACACTGCCTACGGGGTAGCCTTGCTCCACAGGGGGCAGTTAAAAAAAGCAAAACAACAATAACAACAAAAAACAAAAAGAACTACTGGGGGCAGTGGTCTGAGACCCACCCCTCTCTTTAATAAATGCCTATTTCATTTTATTTTTACTTTTAAGACAGAGTCTCACTCTGTCGCCCAGGCTGGAGAGCAGTGGCGCGATCATATTTTACCAGTGAGGAAAGCAAGGCCCAGTGACTGGCCCAGACCTGGGACCATATCCTTCCTGGTTTTTGGTTAGCTGCACTTTCCTTGCAACATGAGACATCTCAAGTGTAAACACCTCTGCCCAGCTTTCCCACCTTCTATAAACCCTACTAGGGTTCTCACACCTTCCTCAAAAACCTCTTTCTCCCTAGTCCTGCTGGCCTCACTCCCAATAACTTGTCCTTCATCACACCCCCTGGAGTTCAGCCATTCAAGCCCCTGCCATTCCAGGCAGATTGCCTGAGCCCAGGAGTTCGAGACCAGCTTGGGCAACATGGTGCAACCCCATCTCTACAAAAAATGCAAAAATTAGCTGGGGATGGTGGCATGCAACTGTAGTCCCAGCTACTAGGAAGGCTGAGGCGGGAGGATAGCTTCAGCATGGGAGACGGAGGTTGCAGTGGGCTGAGACTACACCACCGCACTCCAGCCTGGGTGACAGAGTGAGACCCTGTCTCAAAAAAAAAAAAAAGAAAAAGAAAAAGAAAAGAAAAAAATAATAGTCTGATAAATATTCATACACCCTCCACCTAGATTAGGCAGTCACTAATATTTGCCTTTTTTTTTTTTAATGGAGTTTCGGTCTTGTCACCCAGGCCAGAGTGCAGTGACGTAATGTCAGCTCGCTGCAACCTCCGCCTCCTGGGTTCAAGCGAGTCTCCTGCCTTAGCCTCCCAAGTAGCTGGAACTACAGGCACCTGCCACCACACCCAGCTAATTTTTGCATTTTTAGTAGAGACGGGGTTTCCCCATGTTGGCCAGGCTGGTCTCAAACTCTTGACCTCAGGTGATCTGCCCACCTTGGCCTCCCAAAGTGCTGGGATTACAGGCGTGAGCCACTGTGCCCAGCTGATATTTGCCATATTTCAGCCGGGCACAGTGGTTAATGCCTGTAATCCCAGCGCTTTGGGAGGCTGAGGCAGGAGGACTGTTTGAGCCCAGGGGTTTGAGACCAGCCTGGGCAACACAGTGAGACCCAGTATCTATTTTAAATAAATAAATATTTTAAATAAATAAATAAATAGAAAAAATAACAAGTAAGATGAAGACAAACTATTTTTTTAAAAAAGGAAAAAAATTAATAGAAGAAAAAATTTTTAAAAATTGCCATTTCTTTCTTTCTCTAGAACATATACCTTTTCTTTGCTAACCCACTAGAAAGAAGGTTGAGGATATCATGACACTCCACTCCTAAATACTTTAGCAGGCAGACATTCCATTACACAACCACACTCCGATCTTCACACCTAAAAGAAGAATAATCATTTCATAGCATATAATACCCCAAATTCTCCAATAACCTCTTTAAAAAAAATTTAGGGTCCAATCTAGCTTTGTACATACATTTGATTGTTTCATCTCTTAGTCTCTTGTTGTCAAAATGATCTCCCACTGTAGTGGACTGAATGGTGGCTTCCCAAAACATATGTCTATGTCCTAGGACATGTTAATGTGACCTTATTTGGGAAAAGCGTCTTTACAGGGGTAAACAATGATCTTAAGGTGAGATCATCCTGGATTACTTGGGTGGGCCCCAAATCCAAAGATGAGGGTCTTTGTAAGAGGAAGAGGAGACATGGACACAAAGGAGGAGACGGCCATGCGAAGACAGAGGGAGAGACTGGAGGGATGTGGTCACAAGCCAAGGAATGCCTGGAGCACCACAAGCTGGAAGAGGCAAGGAAGGGTTCCTCTCTGCTCCAGCCTTCGGGACTACAGCCCCACCAACACCTTGATTTTGGACTTCTGGACTTCAGAACTGTGAGAGAATACATTTTTGTTGTTCTAAGCCACCAAGTTTGTGGTAATTTGTTATGAAAGCTCCAAAAAACACCAACAAAAAATGATATAAACTTATTATTATTATTATTATTATTATTATTTTGGCATTAACTTTTTTTTTCTTGTATTTTTAGTAGAGACAGGGTTTCGCCATGTTGATCAGGCTGGTCTCCAACTCCCGACCTCAGGTGATCCGCCCACCTAGGCCTCCTAAAGTGCTGGGATTACAGGTGTGAGACACCGTGCCTGGCCTTGACCTTAACTTTTTAAAGAGTCTAGGACTAGTTGTCTTATAGAATGTCCCAACTCTGAAATTGTCTTCAGATTGACCTTTTAAAATCCTAAATCAGGGCGGAGCAAGGTGGCTCATGCCTGTAATTCCAGCACTTTGGGAGGCCGAGGCGGGCAGATCACTAGGTCAGGAGATCGAGCCCATTCTGGCCAACATGGTGAAACCCCACCTCTACTAAAAATACAAAAAAATTAGCTGTGTGTGGTGGCACGCTCCTGTAGTCCCAGCTACTCGGGAGGCTGAGGCAGGAGAATCACCTGAACCTGGGAGGCAGAGGTTGCAGTGAGCCAAGATCGCACGACTGCACTCCAGCCTGGCGACAGAGCGAGACTCCATTTCAAAAACAAAACAAAACAAAACAAAAATTATAAATCAGATTAAGTCATTCCCTGCTTCAAACCCTCTAATGGCTTTTCATTGCATTTAAAATAAACTCTTTACTCTGATTTTAAAAGCCTCGTGATCTTTGACTCCTTGCCATGCCTCTAACCTCACCTTTCCCGCTCTCTTCCCTCATCTGCCTCGCGCCAGCCTCACTGAACTTTCTGCAATTCTTCAAACATGCCAAGCTCATCCCCAGCCTTACCCTTCTGCTCGGGTGATGACTGAATACAATTCATGATTTTCAAGTCCTAGATTGCATGGAAATAGCTATAAAGAATGTTATTGGGGCAATTGAGGGAATTTGAATATGGGCTGTGTATTAGATAATACTGTTATATCAGTGTTAAATTTCTTTTTTGTTAGTTACAAAATTTTTTTACACAAATAAAGGCAAATCGATGTTAAATGTCTTCAGTGGGCTAATCCTACTGTGGTTATGTAGGAAAATGTCCTTGTTCTTTGGAGTTACATGCTAATGTATTCAGAGATTAAATATAATGATGTCTAACACTTCCAGAGGAATTGTGGCAAAACATTGACAACTGGTAAATCCAAGGGAAGGATATATTGGTGTTCATAGCAGCATTCTTTCAACTTTGTCCTGGGTTTGATTTTTTTCAAGATAAAATAGAGTAAAAGATGGACAATTTAAAGAAAAAATATCTTAATCCAGGAATACTTAAAAATCAGTAGAGCATTTGTCAATGCCCTTCTAAAGATTCAGAAGATGTGGGTAGGACCCAGGGGCCTGCCTTTTCATGGCCCGGGTGACCCTCAGGCAGCTGCCCAGGCCACACTTTGAACAGGTTCACTGAGCACTCTGCCCTTGGAGTGTGGCTTGCTGGCACAGCCCATTATTTCCCATTCTCCAGCTGAGGAGCGGCTGGCTGAAAGATCAAGCAGGCGGATGGAGACGTGATTTTACAGTGAGGGTGGAACCGGAGATTGTGGGCACAACAGAGAATGGTGAGGAGTTGCGGAAAGATTTTGTCTTCCTGCCCTGTCTTTTGGCTTCTGGAGGAACAGAGGAGGCTCCTAGAACTCAGGGAATGAATGGAATGAGGGCTCCAAACTCCTCATACCAGTGCTTCTCTGACTCTATTTTACACTCCCTTGGATAAATGTCATCTGTAAACAAACAAACAAACAAAAAAAGAAATCACAATAAGTTTTGAAGTATTCCCCAAATTCCAGTGTTCCAGGATCCTTGAGTCTTGAACTCAACATAGATGCAGACTGAACACGTCAGCACGTCATTCTGACTTCTGACCAGAAGGTGGCAGCAACATACCTCGCTTTATTTTAGGGGCCACCAACAAAGAGATTTTTTGGGTGCCTCACACGCATTCAATTGACCTAGGTCCCGCCGCAGACACCACGGACAAAAAGATCAGTACGATCTTATCGTTGCCCTCAAAGATCATATTGTCAGGGAGCGGAAAGTCAGAGGCAGACATATAAACAGATTACCAGTTACTAGCTGTGTGACCTTAGGAAAGTTACTTAACCTCGCTGTGCCTCAGTTTCTTCAACTATGAAGTGGGAATAGTAATAGTACCTATGTCATAGGGTTACTGTGAGGATTAGGAGTGATTAAATAAATGTGTTAGACCTAGCACTGTATCACTATGTGATACAGTGAGAGAAGGGATGAGCTGGCAGGGATGCCCACAGTGCTCCCTAACTGGAAGCAGTGGAGCCCCAGGTGGAGATAATGGGAAAGAGTTCCACTCTGGTAAAGCCACTCTGTCAGTGGGGACCCTGCAGCCAAACTGGGCTGGGAGAGTCTACCTTCAAAAGTGTGGTGCTGGATCCCTTCCGGCTGAGGCTCACCTTGGGTCCTGCAGGCATAGAGTGAAGAACACCAGCAGGGCCACTCAGGGCCTGATCAACCAGGACGCGCCCTTCCAGAGGAAACCACCACTAGCTCACTGTACAAGCTCAGACATGCAACTTGGTCCCTCTGAGCCTCAGGTCTTACCTAAGTGATGGGGAAATAGGACCACAGGGACCAAGGAACAGTGCTGAGTTCCACATCTGGGACATCGCAAGAGCAACTATAAAGTCAGGCAATTCAGGAGCAGCGAGGACTTGGAGCTAGGGACTCAAAAATAAAGCTGGGGGGCCAGGCATGGTGGCTCACGATTGTAATCCCAGCACTTTGGGAGGCCGAGGTGGGTGGATTGCCTGAGCTCAGTAGTCTGAGATCAGCCTGGGCAACATGGTGAAACCCCCTCTCTACCAAAAGTAGAAAAAAATTAGCCAGGCGTGGTGGTGCGCTCCTGCAACCCCAGCTACTCAAGGACTGAGGCAGGAGGATCGTTTGAGCCTGGGAGGCGGAAGTTGTAGTGAGCTGAGACTGCACCACTGCATTCCAACCTGGGTGACAGAGTGAGATCCTTCTCAAAAAATAAAAATAAAATAGGCCGGGGGCTGTGGTTCATGCCTGTAATCCCAGCACTTTGGGAGGCCAAGGCGGACAGATCACGAGGCCAAGAGATGGAGACCATCCTGGCCAACATGGTGAAACCCATCTCTACTAAAAATACAAAAATTAGCTGGGTGTGGTGGCGTGCCCAGGATGTAGTCCCAGCTACTTGGGAGGCTGAGGCAGGAGAATCGCTTGAACCCCGGAGGCGAAGTTTGCAGTGAGGCAAGATCGCACCACTGTACTGCAGCCCGGTGACAAAGCGAGACTCCGTCTCAAAAAATAATAGTAGTAACAATAATAATAATAATTAATAATAATAATAATAAAATAAATAAATACATAAAAATAAAATAAAGCTGGGAAGACAAAGGAATCCTGGAGAGGACCCTGGACTTCACCTAGGATGTGGAGTGGAGGTTTAGTTTTTTAATTTTTATTTTGTTTTGTTAAATTTTTTAATTTTTATTTTTGAGACGGAGTCTTGCTCTGTCGTCCAGGCTGGAGTGCAGTGGCGCAATCTCGGCTCACTGCAAGCTCCGCCTCCCGGGTTCACGCCATTCTCCTGCCTCAGCCTCCTGAGTAGCTGGGACTACAGGCGCTCGCCACCATGCCGGTTTACTTTTTTGTATTTTTAGTAGAGACGGGGTTTCACCGTGTTAGCCAGGATGGTCTCGATCTGACCTCATGATCTGCCCGCCTCGGCCTCCCAACGTGCTGGGATTACAGGCGTGAGCCACAGCGCCTGGCTGGTTATTTATTTATTTATTTTGAGATAGGATCTCAGTCACTGGGGCTGGAGTACAGTGGTGTAGTCACAGTTCACAGCAGCCTTGACCTCCTGGGCTCAGGTGAGCCTCCCACCTCAGCCTTCCAAGTAGCTGGGACTACAGGTGTATGCCACCATGCCTGGCTAATTTTTGTGTGTTTTGTAGAGATGGGGTTTCTCCATGTTGCCCAGGACTGGTCTTGAACTTCTAGGATCAAGCGATCTGCCTGCTTTGGCCTCCCAAAGTGCTGGGATTACAGGTGCGAGCCACTTCGCCTGGCCTGGAGTGGAGGTTTGTGTCAATCCTAGACCCGGAGAGGCAGAGACCCCAGCTGACAGATGCAAGTATTAGGGATGTGCTGAAGCAGAGGGTAAGGCTGGGAGGAGCTTAGCATGTCTTTTTTTTTTTTTTTTTTTTTTTTTTTTGAGACAGAGTCTCACTCTGTCGCCCAGGCTGGAGTGAAGTGGCGCGATCTTGGCTCACTGCAACCTCTGCCTCCCGGGTTCAATAGATTCTCCTTCCTCAGCCTCCCAAGTAGCTGGGATTACCGGCGTATGCTACCACGCCCGGCTAATTTGTTTGTTTGTTTTTTGAGATGGAGTCTCGCTCTGTCACCCAGGCTGGAGTGCAGTGGCGCGATCTCCGCTCACTGCAAGCTCCACCTCCTGGGTTCACACCATTCTCCTGCCTCAGCCTCTCCAGTAGCTGGGACTACAGGTGCCCGCCACCACGCCCGGCTAATTTTTTGTATTTTTAGTAGAGACAGGGTTTCACCATGTTAGCCAGGATGGTCTTGATCTCCTGACCTTGTGATCCGCCCGCCTCAGCCTCCCAAAGTGCTGGGATTACAGGCGTAAACCACTGTGCTCCACTGGCATGTCTTTGTTCTATGACTGTTCTTTGGCCAGCCATGGATCTCTTTACTCTCCCAATCTCCCACTCTCTCTTGCCTACATGCCCTCCTAATCCAGCTTTGAGCCCGTGGCCTGACATTTAATAGCACTCTTGGCCAGGCGTGGTGGCTCACGCCTGTAATCCCAGCTCTTTGGGAGGCCGAGGCAGGCGGACCATTTGAGATCAGGAGTTCGAGACCAGCTTGACCTACATAATGAAACCCCGTCTCTACTAAAGTACAAAAATTAGCCAGGCATGGTGGCAGGTACCTGTAATCCCAGCTACTCGGGAGGCTGAGGCAGGAGAATCGCTTGATCCCAGGAGGTGGAGGTTGCAGTGAGCTGAGATCATGCCACTGCACTCCAGCCTGGGCAACAGAGCAAGACTCTCTCTCAAAAAAAATTTAATTTAATTTAATTTAAAAATAGCACTCTTGCCAGTAACCTAAACTTCGTTACTCACCTTCCCTGCAAACCCCTGAACACATGCAATAGTTGTTTCTCTTCCAGCCTTCATCAGAGCAGCCAAGGGAGGCAGGAGGAGGAGGAGCGATGAGAATACTGGCAAATACTTCTACAGCATGTACTAGGTGCCAAGCACAAGTGCTTTACAGAGGGTAACTCGTTTAATCCTCCCAACACCATGAGGTAAGTACTGTTATTATCATTCCCATTTGTGGATAAAGAAAATGGGGTGGCCAGGCGCGGTGGCTTATGCCTGTAATCCCAGCACTTTGGGAGGCCGAGACAGGTGGATCACGGTCAGGAGATCGAGACCATCCTAGCTAACATGGTGAAGCACCGTCTCTACCAAAAATATGAAAAAATTAGCCGGGCGTGGTAGCAGGCGCCAGTCATCCCAGCTACTCAGGAGGCTGAGGCAGGAGAATGGCGTGAACCCGGGAGGCGGAGCTTGCAGTGAGCTGAGATCGTGCCACTGCACTCCAGCCTGGGCGACAGAGCGAGACTATGTCTCAAAAAAAAAAAAAGGAAGAAAAAAGAAAGAAAGAGAGAAAGAAAGAAAGAAAGAAAATGGGGTGAACAGAGGTTAAGTCACTCAGAAAACCCAAAGCACACAGCTAATTAAGGTGAGCAGCCATGAATGAACCTGCACCATCTGCCCAGAGTCCCGGTCCACCAGGGGAGGATGAGGCCAGGGAGGACTTGGCTTCTTCCGCCTTGGGTCCAAGCACTACTTTCAGCAACCAGGGGCACAGTCCAAAAGAAGCCCAGACTCTCACTGCTCTTGGGGCTGACATTATCACTCTGGAGGTTAATAATAATAGCAATAATAAAACCAGCTTCCATTTTCAGGCTTTAAGATGTGTGTCCTAAGCACTTCACATGTATTTATTTATTCCTTTAGTCCTCCCAACAACACTATGAGGTAGAAGCTACAGTTAGTTATCTCCCTTTTCTTGAGGGACATGAAGGGACGTAGTGACGAGCCTAAATTCTACAACAGAGTGGTGGATCAGATGGGAAGTGTGGCAGCTGGATGCCAGAGCCCGGCTCTTAACCCAGACTCTTTGCCTACCTTTGCTCCGCCTGGAGTTGCTGGCCTGCTCCTTCTGCTTTAGGGGAGGAGCCTCTTCTGCCTGGCAGTTCCCCACCCAGGCCTGATCCACAGCTCCAGAGCCCTGCTGTGGCAGCCCTCTGTCCCTTCTCCTCCGAGGCATGTAGGTGGCCAGCGGAGCCCTTAAGCAGGGTGAGGACGGGAACTCCATCTGGAACTCCCCAGGCCCAGCTGCAGCCCCAGCAGCCTCTACTCTCAGAGGCTTGGGTCCCCCACTAGTGCCCTGTAGACAGGGCCTGAGCTGGTCCTCCCCAGGCCTTGCCCGCCTCTCCTGATGCAGAGCTGGCTCCCTGCTCCTGGAGGGTGGGGCCAAATCCGGGATAGATGGGGCTCCAGGCCAACAGCAGCTGGGGCTCAGTGCCCAGGACTGCGGCAGGAAGCACCAAGGCTTCCCTAGCCCCTCCTCACACCCACCAAGCCTCCCGGCCCTATCCCGGGTGGGACCCTACCCCTCCCAATTCCCAGGAGTTAGGGGAGGCCAAGCTGTCATTTATTCGTCCTGTCCCATCTCTCCCTTCCTCCCGCTTCCCACTCCCCTGGCAACCAAACCAGACCCATCAAGGAGAAGGAACTGGCAGCTGTGCAGGGAGAGACTAATGGCCCGGAAGGAAGGAGGGGCCTGGAAAGGAGACGAAGGCGGTAGGGACGTGAGCAGGGCGTTGGCCCTGGCCCATCTCACAGGACGCACAAAGGGGGGAGGGGGCTGCTGCCCTGCAATACTGAGGAGCTGGCCAGCCAGGGAGCCGCCCTCCTTACCCCCAGCCAGATATCCAGGCAGGAACCTGAAACCTGCTTCCCCAGATGCACTCTCTTGTCCTCAGGTCCCATCTGAGGCAGACCTGTCTCACAGGACAGCGCTGGAGTCCCCAGCAGCAGCAGCAGCCCCAGCCCTATGGTTCCTGGCAAACCCAGCAGACCTCAGCAACCCGGCTCCTGCAGACCATCCGAGCTGCCTCTGTCCACTCCTGGGCAGGTTGTGCTTGCATTCTGGAAGCTGTTTGACATACAAAGGCCAGATATCAGCCTTCTCGCTAACTCTGGAGTAGGGGAGGGTGTGGTGGGATGTGTGATTGTGTGTGTATGTGTGTGTATGTAGTGTGTGTGCGCATAGATATACAAAGCTGTGTGTATGCATCTGTTTGCGTGCGCAGGTTTGTGGACCTGTTCTGGGGCCTTCTCTCTTTCAGACTGCTGGGGATGGGCACTTTCTCTTTCCCCATCTCTTCCCCATCCAGCCCCACCCATCCCTGGTACCTGCAACTCATCAATACTGGAAACCAGCTCCTGCCAGTCCATCCATCTCTCAGCCTTGGCAGCCGCTGTTGCCCCTCAGCCCCCTCCCCTTCCTACCTCAGGAATCACTCTGGTTCCTGTAAAGCCCATGACTGAGCAGCAATTGGTGTGGGGTTGGGGGGAGGGAGAATCCAGTAAACCAAGACAGAATACAAAAGGCCCACTTAGCCCAGCCCGTGGCATGGGGCAGACCCTCCCGAGTGGGATCCAGAGCTGGGTCCAGCCACCCTCAGCCCCCTATGATGTACCCACCTCATTGGGGCTTGTTGCGGGGTAGGTCTAGGTTTGGGGGCTGTGTCTTTAAGGCTGAAACATCAGCAGACAACCTCTGCTGGGCCGTCTTCAGGGGAGGGGGAGGGGGGCTGGTCAGCCCATTAGCAGCAGAGCTGGCGCCAGGCACCAGCCCTTCACAGGGCCCTGGGGATTAGGGAGAGTAGCTCTTCCCCAGCCCGATCTGCCTCTGCGCCCCTGTCTCCTATTCCTCTCTGGGTGTGGTGAAGGAGGGGTAGCTGACAGCAGGTGAAAATAGAGCCTGGCCTTCAGGGGGCAAGTCAAGGCACTAGCTATGGGGCCTAAGCCAGGTCAACTCTCCCTCCAGCTGGCCTCCTCCCTACTCCTGTGCCAGAAGCCTGCCCTTTAACTTCAGGTCCTTCTACCTCGCAATTTTCAGGGACTCTAGTTCAAGTCAGGCCTTCCTACCCTAGGTTCTAGCTTTGGGTGCTTGTTGGGAGGAAGTGACCCCCACCCCAGCGGCAACAGGGGGCAATCAAGTGGGTAGAGGCCTGCAACCAGGGAAGGGAGGGGAAGGCGCTCCTGCTGTTCCGCAGGGGTGGGGCATCCCCCTCCCCATACAACCCCCCTCCAGCGGGCCATCAGGCCAGTGGGAGGAGCTGCCCGTGCCCCCCCTGAGACCGCAGGGCTATAAAGCCGCCTCGCAGCGGTCTGCGGCTCCTTCCCAGCCCCCGGCCTAGCTCTGCGAACGGTGACTGCCCATCCTTGGCCGCAATGAGCCACCACCCGTCGGGCCTCCGGGCCGGCTTCAGCTCCACCTCATACCGCCGTACCTTCGGTCCACCGCCCTCACTATCCCCCGGGGCCTTCTCCTACTCGTCCAGCTCCCGCTTCTCCAGCAGCCGCCTGCTGGGCTCCGCGTCCCCGAGCTCCTCGGTGCGCCTGGGCAGCTTCCGTAGCCCCCGAGCGGGAGCGGGCGCCCTCCTGCGCCTGCCCTCGGAGCGCCTCGACTTCTCCATGGCCGAGGCCCTCAACCAGGAGTTCCTGGCCACGCGCAGCAACGAGAAGCAGGAGCTGCAGGAGCTCAACGACCGCTTCGCCAACTTCATCGAGAAGGTACGCTTTCTGGAGCAGCAGAACGCGGCCCTGCGCGGGGAGCTGAGCCAAGCCCGGGGCCAGGAGCCGGCGCGCGCCGACCAGCTGTGCCAGCAGGAGCTGCGCGAGCTGCGGCGAGAGCTGGAGCTGTTGGGCCGCGAGCGTGACCGGGTGCAGGTGGAGCGCGACGGGCTGGCGGAGGACCTGGCGGCGCTCAAGCAGAGGTCAGGGGGCAGGGCTGGGCCGCTGCCGTCGAGGCGAGGTCGAAGCGGCCGTCGAGGCGGCTGCTCTTGCCTCCCCTCGCTTCCCCTCTCCATCAGCAGCCCAAGGGTGTGGCTCCCCTTACCAACCCAGGTGTGTGCGGGCAGCATCCCTGCCCACGGGCTCCAAGTGCCCCCCGCTACCCCTTTGCTCTGAGTGTTTGGGGAGGTGGGAGAAGTGGGTATCTGTGCCTCCCCTGAGTAATGAGGAAACCCCCTTTTCAGCTCCCAGTCCGTTAGAGACAATGCGGGGCAATTCCATTAGACAGCCTCAGCCCTCCATTTAGAGTCCTGGGCAGCAGAACAGCCTCTAACCGGATCCTGGGGGGCGTGCGGTCTGGGGTGCGAGCTGGGCGGCGACCCCGCAGTTCAGCCTCTGCACGCTCTTCCCGTCAGGTTGGAGGAGGAGACGCGCAAGCGGGAGGACGCGGAGCACAACCTCGTGCTCTTCCGCAAGGTGAGTCCGAGCCCCTCTCCGAGTTCAGCCTCCCCACCGCTACCCCCGATCTCAGTATCCAGAGGTGGCATCGGTGGGCGCGGGGAGAAGGGGGTAACCCAGATGCCTCCTGAGGCAGACAGGGAAGGCCTGGTCCTTCCTTGGTCTGCGCAGCCCCTAACTTATCTTGAACCTCCACTGCCACCCCTCGAAGGACGTGGACGATGCCACTCTGTCCCGCCTGGAACTAGAGCGCAAGATTGAGTCTCTGATGGATGAGATTGAGTTCCTCAAGAAGCTGCACGAGGAGGTAAGTGGGCCCGGTATCAGGGGCGGTTTCTGAGGTTGTGGGGTGGTCTCGCTGGAGCTGGCGGGTGGAGCGGAGGCATCGCCCTGGGGATCAGGACGATGCTGGGTAGACGCAGCCCCTCCACCCTAGTCTACAGGTGGTTAGACTCCCACCCTTGCGCCACCTGGCGGCGGGCAGCGGGGCTGTACCTCCGAAACCTGGCCTCTGGTCTCGCGCCCGCGGGGGCGCAGGGCTGTACGCCCTGCCCTCCCTGGCGCCCACTTCTGTTCGTTCAAGCGTTTCTTCTCTTTTCTGTGCACGAACTGCGTGGCCCGCGTGGAATTTGCGCCGCTGTCCATCCTCTGCCTGCTCCCGGCCGTAGGAGCTGCGAGACCTGCAGGTGAGTGTGGAGAGCCAGCAGGTGCAGCAGGTGGAGGTGGAAGCCACGGTGAAGCCCGAGCTGACGGCAGCGCTGAGGGACATCCGCGCGCAGTACGAGAGCATCGCCGCGAAGAACCTGCAGGAGGCGGAGGAGTGGTACAAGTCCAAGGTGCAAGAGCCGGGAGGGCCTGCGAGGCGGGACGCTGGGGTGGTGTCGCGCGTCCCAGCCGACTAAAGCCTGGGTTACCCCCACTTCTCAGTACGCGGACCTGTCCGACGCTGCCAACCGGAACCACGAGGCCCTGCGCCAGGCCAAGCAGGAGATGAACGAGTCCCGACGCCAGATCCAGAGTCTAACGTGCGAGGTGGACGGGCTGCGCGGCACGGTGAGTACGAAGCTGCGCGCTCGGGCCCGGGGAGCGGACGATGAAATGTTCTGCAACTGGCCCCTTCCACTCTCCTACCCCAGAACGAGGCGCTGCTCAGGCAGTTGAGAGAGCTGGAGGAGCAGTTCGCCCTGGAGGCGGGGGGCTACCAGGCGGGCGCTGCGCGGCTCGAGGAGGAGCTGCGACAGCTAAAAGAGGAGATGGCGCGGCACCTGAGGGAGTACCAGGAGCTCCTCAACGTCAAGATGGCCCTGGACATCGAGATCGCCACCTACCGCAAGCTGCTGGAGGGCGAGGAGAGCCGGTGAGGGTGGAGCTGCTGGGGCGGGGCAGGGCGGGGTCGGGACTGGGCCGGGCAGGGCGGGGCCTGGGCAGGGGCGCTGACAACTTGCTTCGCCTCTAGGATCTCCGTGCCCGTCCATTCTTTTGCCTCCTTAAATATAAAGACGACTGGTGAGTCTGGCTTACAGCCTGTACCTCTCCTTGTCCACTTCTGCCCTCCTCGGGCTCTTGCTCTGGCTCACCTCAGGGATCTCTTCTCCCCACGGAACTTCTGGGTCCTGGCCTGTACCCACCCCTACTCCTCAAACCCGCCCCTCCCCTGCCCTCAGGGATAGCAGTGGGAGCCTAAGAGGAGAGATTCCCACGCCTTCCCCCTTGAACCCTTTATCCTGCTTTCTTCAGTGCCTGAGGTGGAGCCTCCCCAGGACAGCCACAGCCGGAAGACGGTTCTGATCAAGACCATTGAGACCCGGAATGGGGAGGTGAGGCAGGTCCCCTAATGCCAGGACCCCACCATTTCCCATATTATTTCTGAGCCCCAGCCTGGCTGTCGCTAATCTTACTTAGGGTGGGTAATTCTTGGGGAGAGACAGAGAAGGAGACAGAGAACGTGGATAGATAACCAGGAGCCTCTGCTGGTTACCCCAGGGAGTGGGGCTCTATGATCCAAAGGAGTAGGATGGAGGGTGGCGCTGAATGGCTTGTGCCCATCATATGCCCTGTCCCCAGCAGGTGGTGACAGAGTCCCAGAAGGAGCAGCGCAGTGAGCTGGACAAGTCTTCTGCCCACAGTTACTGAACCCCTTGGTCCGGAGCCTTGACTCTGCCCTAGGCCTGCTCAAAGCCCAAACCCTAAGACCACTCCTGAATTGTCTCCTCTCCCTCTGCATGTGTCTAAAAGGTGGTACCAGGCATCCCTTTCCTGGCTTATGGCCAAGCCCTACCCGGCCAGCAGTCGCTGGGCCTCTCCCTGCCCTGACACTTGATGTGACCTATGTGCTTCCCTTTTCATGTCCCGATAAGAAGCCAATGATCCCCCCTCAGGACAAATCTACTCCAGCCACGATGAGAAGTGGGTGAGCCAGGGTCTGAGTTTCACATTTGAACCAAATAAAATGCTGTCAAGAGAAAACTCTCCAGTGCATTTGTTTCTGTGGAAGTGTGTGTGCGGTACCTGAGGGGAGGAGCCTCGGCGGTGTTCTCCCTTTGTCTCGAGTCATTTCTTTTCTGGCTGTCACTCTCTTGGCATCAATATACCCTTCTAGGTTTTCTACCTCTGTCCATTCCTTTTCAGCTTTTGTCCCTCACCTGCAGCCTGGAATGCCCAGCCACCTGCTGGGTGCCTCACAGGCCACTCAAACTCAACCTGTCCCAAACAGAGCTCCTCACCTCCCTCTGCAATCATGCTCTTCCTCTGGATTCCTTGCCCCAGAAGAAGGCACCACTAAGACACCTAGTGCCCAAGTTAGAATTCACCTCAGCTTATGCACCCTTCTTTTCTTCACCTGACCCCAAATTCTGTGAAGTCTACTTCTTTTGTTATTTAAAAAATTTTAATAGGCTGGGCGCGGTGGCTCACGCCTGTAATCCCAGCACTTTGAGAGGCCGAGGCAGGTGGATCATGAGGTCAGGAGATCAAGACCATCCTGGCTAACATGGTGAAACCTTGTCTCTACTAAAACTACAAAAAAATGGCCGGGCGTGGTGGCTCACACCTGTAATCCCAGCACTTTGGGAGGCCAAGGCGGGTGGATCACTTGAGGTCAGGAGTTCAAGAAGAGCCTGGCCAACATGGTGAAACCCTGTCTCTACTAAAAATAAAAAAATTAGCTGGGTGTGATGGCGGGTGCCTGTAATCCCAGCCACTTGGGAGGCTGAGGCAGGAGAATCGCTTGAACCTGGGAGGCGGAGGTTGTAGTGAGCCGAGATCGCACCACTGCACTCCAGCCTGGGCAACAGAGCGAAACTCTGTCTCAAATAATAATAATAAGAAGAAGAAGAAGAAGAAGAAGAAGAAGAAGAAGAAGCCCGGTGGCCAGGCACGGTGGCTCATGCCTGTAATCCCAGCACTTTGGGAGGCCAAGGCGGGCGGATCACGAGGTCAGGAGATCGAGACCATCCTGGCTAACATGGTGAAACCCCGTTTCTACTAAAAAAAAATACAAAAAATTAGCCAGGCATGGTGGCGGGCACCTGTAGTCCCAGCTACTCCGGAGGCTGAGGCAGAAGAATGGTGTGAACCCAGGAGGCGGAGCTTGCAATGAGCTGAGATCATACCACTGTACTCCAGCCTGGGCAACAGAGCGAGACTCCGTCTCAAAAAAAAAAAAAAAATAGCCAGGCGTAGTGGCACGCGCCTGTAGTCTCAGCTACTTGGGAGGCTGAGGCAGAAGAATCACTTGAACCCAGGAGGCAGAGGTTGCAGCAAGCCGAGACCGTGCCACTGCACTCCAGCCTGGGCAACAGAGCGAGACTCCATCTCAAAAAAAAAATATATATATATATACACACACACATTTATTTATTTATTTATTTATTTATTTATTTATTGAGATGGAGTTTTGCTCTTGTTGCCCAGGCTGGAGTGCAGTGGCTCAGTCTCCACTCACTGCAAACTCCATCTCCCGGGTTCAAGCAATTCTCCTGCCTCAGCCTCCCAAATACCTGAGATTACAGGTGTGCACCACCATGCCCAGCTAATTTTGTAAAGTTTTTTTAGTAGAGACAGGGTTTCACCATGTTGGTCAGGCTGGTCTCGAACCCCTGACCTCAGGTGATTCACCCACCTCGGCCTCCCAAAGTGCTGGGATTACAGGCGTGAGCCACTGCACCCGGCCAAAAATAATTTTTTTTTTTTTTTTTTTTGAGATGGAGTCTTGCTCTGTCACCCAGGCTGGAGTGCAGTGGGGCAATCTCGGCTCACTGCAAGCTCCGCCTCCTGGGTTCATGTCATTCTCCTGCCTCAGCCTCCCAAGTAGCTGGGACTACAGGCGCCTGCCACCACACCCAGCTAATTTTTTTGTATTTTTAGTAGAGACGGGGTTTCGCCGTGTTAGCCAGGATGGTCTCCATCTCCTGACCTCATGATCTGCTCACCTCGGCCTCCCAAAATGCTGGGAATACAGGAGTGAGCCACCTCGCCCAGCCCAAAAAATAATTTTTAAATTTGCTTCATGAGATGGGGTCTTGCTATGTCACCCAGGCTGGTATTGAACTCCTGGGCTCAAATGATCCTCCTGCCTCAGCTGCCCAAAGTAATGCTAGGATTACAGGCACAAGACATCATGTCAGGCTTTTTTTTTTTTTTTGAGACGGTCTCACTCTGCCACCCAGGCTGGAGTGCAGTGGCACCATCATAGCTCACTGCAACCTTGACCTCCTGGGTTCAAGTGATCCTCCCACCTCAGCCTCTTGAGTAGCTGGGACCACAGAAACTTGCCACCACTCATAGCAAATTTTTCCATTTTTTGTAGCGATAAGGCCTCCCTATGTTGCTTAGGCTGGTCTCAAACTCCTGGGCGCAAGTGATCCTCCCACCTCAGCCTCCCAAAATGCTGGGATTACAGGCATGAGCCACTGTGCCTGGTATGAAGTCTACTTCTTAACTCTCTTTCAAGTCTGTCTGGTTCTCTCCATCCCCATTACCAACATCTTAGTCCAGGCCAGCATCATATCTTGCGTGGGTCACATTATCTACATTATCAATGGTTTCCTTCCCCTGGCCTGCTCTGCCACCTGCCCAAATCTATTCAATACCCTTAGTAAATCAGATTATGCCATCACCATCCCTGCCTCTGCTTGAAAATGTCTATTTCCTGACCAGGTGTGGAGACTCATGCCTGTAATCCCAGCACTTTGGGTGGCCAAGGTGGGAGGATGGTTTGAGGCCAGGAGTTCGAGACCAGCCTCAGCAACACAGAGAGACCCCATTTCTACAAAAATTAAAATATTAGCCGGGCATGGTGGCATGAGCCTGTGGTCCCAGCTACTTGGGAGGCTGAGGTAGGAGGATCACTGGAGCCCAGGTCGTGGTTGCAGTGAGCCAAGAAAAGTGCCACTGCACTTCAGCCTGGGTGATAAAGTAAGACCCTGTCTCCACAAAAAGAAAAAAAGAAAAAAAAGAAACACCCATGCTGTCTTCCAACTTCCAACTCCATTCCTCCATTCCGTCCTACCCTTGCCTTCAAGTCAAAATTCACATCTGAATTTAAGATGATCTTCTTCACTCAGCTATGGTGCTAGGTGCAATGAATAAGTCAGAGTCCCTGATCTCAAGGAATTTACAGTTTGGGGTGGGGGAGACAGGCAACATAAGCAGACAATTTCAACCTCCTGAGGAGTGCTGTCTGGGATACTAAGCAGATAGTGGTGTTGATATGAAGATAAGCACCTAAGCCAGGCTTAGGCAGGAGGCGTGGCTTCCCACAGGACGTGACATCACACTGAGCACTGAAGAATGAGCGGGACTTAGTCTGGTGAAGCAAGGAGAGAAGGACTTTCTAGGTATAGAAATCAGCCAGGAGGTAAGACAGCAAATTTGGAAACTAAAAGCAGTTTCATAATGATGGAGTAAAAGCTAGAATGGAAGTAACAGCGCTGATGCTGGAAAGATGAACAAGGGCCCAGTCACAGAGGGCTTGATAAGCCATGTTAAAGCAGTCAGGTTTTTGTTTTTTAATTAATTTATTTATTTATATTTTCATTTATTTATTTATTTGAGGCAGAGTCTCGCTATGTCGCCCAGGCCGGAGTGCAGTGGCGAGATCTCACCTCCCAGGTTCAAGCGATTCTCCTCCCTCAGCCTCCCAAGTAGCTGGGACTACAGGCACGTGCCACCACACCCAGCTAATTTTTCCTGACCTCAGGTGATCCACCCACCTTGGCTTCTCAAAGCGCTGGGATTACAGGCATAAGCCACCACACCTGGATTTTTTTTTTTTTTTTTTTTAAAGACAGGGTCTCTGACACTAGGCTGAAGTGCAGTGGCACTATCATAACTCACTTCAGCTTCCAGCTCCTGGGCTGAAGTGATCCTCCTGCATCAGCCTCCCCAGTAGCTGGGACTACAGGCGCATGCCACCATACCCAGTTAATTTTTTAATTTTTTTTTTTTGTAGATACAGGATCTTGCTATGTTGCCCATGCTGGTCTCAAATTTCTGGCCTCAAGCAATCCTCCCACCTCAGCCTCCCAAAGTGTTGGGATTACAGGTGTGAACCATCACATCTGGCCCTGAATTTATCCTAAGAAAAAGGGAAAGAAACTTAAAAGTTTTAATAAGGAGGGTGATTCAGATCTGCATTTTAGGAAGATCACTCTTGCTGAAATATGCAGAAAGAATTGGAAGGAGATGGGAGATCAGGTCAGAGGCTTTTTCAGTGAAAAATACAAGAGATGATGATGGGTATTGTCACCGGAGGTGGGTTTGAGAAATACTGGGGGGTGGAATCTGCAGTTTCTAGGATTGATTGGCAGTGTGCAGAAAAGGAATAGTAACAATGACCAGCGTTTTTGCTTGAACAACCAGGCAGCTAGATGATGGTACCTTTCAAAGAAAGAGCAAAGCTGGATGCAGTGGCTCTCAACTGTAATTCCAGCTACTCGAGAGGCTGAGGTGAGAGGACTGCTTGAAGCCGAGTTCGATACCAGCCTGGACGACATCATGAGACTCTAGCTCTAAAAAAAAAAGGAAGACTGAAGTGAAATGGGGAAAGTGGGAGCCCAAGACAACAAAGTCAGTTTTAGACTCACTGAGCATGAGATGCTCTGGAACATCCAAGAGGAAGGGATGAAGGGGTGCCAGGCAGCTGGCGTCACAGGTCTGGAGTTCAGATGTGGTTGGATATTTTGAGATACTGAATCTATTAGAATGCTATTTATTTATTTATTTATTTATTTTTTGAGACAGAGTCTCGCTCTGTCACCCAGGGTGGAGTGCAGTGGCGTGATCTCCACTCACTGCAAGCTCCACCTCCCAGGTTCACGCCATTCTCCTGCCTCAGCCTCCGGAGTAGCTGGGACTACAGGCATCTGCCACCACGCCCGGCTAATTTTTTGTATTTTTAGTAGAGACGGGGTTTCACTATGTTAGCCAGGATGGTCTCGATCTCCTGACCCGTGATCCGCCCGCCTCAGCCTTCCAAAGTGCTGGGATTACGGGCGTGAGCCACTGCGCCTGGCTAGAATGATTTTTATTACAAGTAACAGATGACCTCTATAAGAAAAATAAGGCCGAGTGTGGTGGCTCATACCTGTAATCTCAGCACTTTGGGAGGCCAAGGTGAGAGGATCTCTTGAGCCCAGGAGTTCCAGACCAGCATGGACGACATAGGGCAATCCTGTCTATACAAAAAATACAAAAATTAGTGGCATGCACCTATAGTCCCAGCTACTCCAGATACTGAAGTGGGAGGATCGCTTGAACCTGAGAGATGGAGGCTGCAGGGAGCTATGATCATACAACTGCACTCCAATCTGGGCAACAGAATGAGATCCTGTTTCATAAATAAATAAAAAAATAAATACATAGAAAAATGAAAAGGAAATATCTCACATAACAGAGAGCCAGAGGTAGGGGGCAGGCTCTGAGGTTGGTTGATTCAGAAGCTCAATGATGTCACCAAGGACCCAGGCCCTGTCCATGGCTCGGCTCAGCTTCCTCCTTGGAGGGGTACTTTGCCCTTGGGATGGTCCTCATGATTCCACAATGGCTGTCAGCAGCTACTGGGTGATGCCAGGTATGAGATAGAAATCTTTCCCATTAGGCTGTTTAGCTAATGTCTTTGTCGTGTCTACTCCTGAACTAGTAACAGTTGCCAGGGGACAGCTGCTGACTGGCTTGGGCTCATTATCTGGTATGGAATGGAAGTCAGGAATCCATGAGGTCACACCAGATGTTGCTCAGGCTTTCACCACCACCCTCTGCATAGGACACACATACACACACATTCTTTATACCCCATGCCTTTGCTCTCTTCCATTCAGTGGCACCTATTACCTCAAAGGAGAAATATCACTGTGGAAAAGCAGACAAAAGCTTTGGGGTTTCAAATATTTAGGTGTTTAAGTGAGCAAAAGTTTCAGTTTGAAAACTTTTACATCAGTTCATGGCCTGTGATTTGTACTGGGTACAAGGAAGAGAGATTGAGCCAAAGACAAGGGCATGGGACCTCTCAGGTGTCACACACGGGAAAAAATGAAATCACCTGGCCGGGCGCGGTGCTTCATGCCTGTAATCCCAGCACTTTGGGAGGCCGAGGCGGGTGGATCACCTGAGGTCGGGAGTTTGAGACTAGCCTGGCCAACATGATGAAACCCCATCTCTACCAAAAATACAAAAAATTAGCTGGGCATGGTGGCGCACACCGGTAATACCAGCTACTCAGGAGGCTGAGGCAGGAGAATCACTTGAACCTGGGAGGCTGAGGTTGCAGTGAGCTGAGATCACACCACTGCACTCCAGCCTGGACAACAAGAGCAAAACTCCGTCTCAAAAAAAAGAAAAGAAAAAAGAAATCACCCAAGAACAGTGCATATAGCGAGAAAAGAAAAGAACCTTGGGTAGAATCTTAAAGAGAATATGGAGAATTAACAGGCTGAGATGGAGGAGGAACACCAGGAAAGTGTGGCCTTGACTTCTCAAGGCCAGAGAAAGCTTTAAGGAGGGAGCACTGGGCCAAATGATGCTGGGAGCCCAAGTTACAAAACAATAGGAAAATTTAGGATTTATCAACAAGGAAGATGCTAGAGACCTAAGTGAGAGCAGATTCAAGGCAGAATTGGGTCAGAAGAAAAAAGAGGAGTGAATGAGAGATGAGGAAGTGAAGACCAGAGTACCCTCTTTTTTTCTTTTTCTTTTCTTTTTATTTATTTATTTATTTATTTTTTGAGATGGAGTCTCACTCTGTCACCCAAGCTGGAGTGCAGTGGCACGATCTAGGCTGACTGCAAGTTCCGCCTCCCAGGTTCATGTCATTCTCCTGCCTCAGCCTCCCGAGTAGCTGGGACTACAGGTGCCTACCACCATGCCCGGCTAATTTTTTGTATTTTTAGTAGAGACGGGGTTTCACCGTGTTAGCCAGGATGGTCTCAATCTCCTGACCTCGTGATCCACCCGCCTCAGCCTCCCAAAGTGCTGGGATTACAGGCGTGAGCCACCGCGCCCGGCCCAGCCTTCTCTAATTTTGTCCTCTCTCTGTTCCTTTCAGTACAAGCTGGCAGTGTTTCTGTTGCATGACATTCTCAAGAATGGGTTTCCTATGTATGTATCAGGGATTCACCCCATTATACAAGAGACTCTGCCACAAATCTTTTCGAATAATCTCATTTCTCTTCCGCTTAGATGACTGAGGAGACTCACTAGTCACATGCCAAAACCCTCCAACGGGCCCATTGTGTGGCTGACTGATCTGATCTTTGATCCTTCCGAGGCACTAGCAGAAGATTGCCAAGGTACACTCTTGGATTTCTCTTCGGAGCACGTTTCCTGACAGTGAATGGCCTAATTTGAGCATATTTACCAATATGGGTAGGCTGAGAATTTCCCAAATACCAAGTCCTGCTTCCTTTCTGCTCAACAGTTCTTCCTTCAGTTTATCTCTCCTCTCACATTTTACTATAAGCAGCAAAAAGAAAGCAGTCCACCTTCAACACTTTACAACACAGCTAAATATCCAAGTTCATCCTTACAAATTATGCTTTCCACATAATTATGACA
Source organism: Homo sapiens (assembly GCF_000001405.40). Taxonomy (NCBI): domain Eukaryota; kingdom Metazoa; phylum Chordata; class Mammalia; order Primates; family Hominidae; genus Homo; species Homo sapiens. The sequence goes on from NC_000012.12 coordinate 49,306,271, forward strand.
CAATTCTGCTGAGCTTCCTACCACTATATAAAAAATCCCCTTTCCTCCATTTTCTAAAAACATGTTCCTCATTTCCTTCTAAGCCCTTAATGTCAGCACTAACATTCACATTTCTACCAACATGATGACTTAGAGATTCTCTAAGATAATACAGGGATTCTCTCCTATGCTCCTCAGTTCCTTCTGAGCCCTCCCTGTCAGAGTTGTTAGCATTCATACTTCTGCTAACAGTCTATGTAAGGCAAACTGGACATTTTTTTTTTTTTTGAGATGGAGTCTCTCTCTGTTGCCCAGGCTGGAGTGCGGTGGCATGATCTCGGCTCACTGCAACCTCCACCTCCCAGGTTCAAGCGATTCTCCCTGCCTCAGCCTCCCAAGTAGCTGGGGTTACAGGCGCGCACCATCATACCCAGCTAATTTTTGTATTTTCAGTAGAGATGGGATTTCACCATGTTTGCCAGACTGGTCTCAAACTCCTGACTTCAGGTGATCTGCCTATCTCGGCCTCCCAAAGTTCTGGGATTACAGGCATGAGCCACTGCGTCTGGCCAGAGATCCTGATTTTCTTTCCTTTGGGTATATATACAGTAGTGGGATTGCTGAATCGTATGGTAGTTCTAATTTTAATTTTTTGAGGAATCCCCATACTGTTTTCCATAATAGTTGTACCAATTTACACTCCTACCAACAATGTACAAGAGTCTCCTTTTCTCTACATCCTGCCACACATCTTTTGTCTTTTTGATAATAGCCACTCTAGCAGGTGTGAAGTGATATCTCATTGTGGTTTTGGTTTGCATTTCTGTGATGATTAGTAATGTTGATTTTTTAAAATATATATATGTTAGCTGGATGTAGTGGCTCATGCCTGTAATCCCAGCACTTTGGGAGGCCTAGGTGTGCAGATCACATGGTCGGGAGTTTGAGACCAGCCTGGCCAACATGATGAAACCCCATCTCTACAAAACATACAGAAAGAAAAAAAAGCCAAGTGTGGCAGTGCACACCTGCAGTCCCAGCTACTTGCAAGGCAGAGGTGGGAGGATCACTCGAGCCCGGGAGGTTGAGGCTGCAGTGAGCCAAGATTGCGCCACTGCACTCCAGCCTGGGCCATGTAGCGAGATCTGTCTCAAAATAAAATAAAATAAAATAAAATAAAATAAAAATTAATATATCTGTTGCTCATTTTTATGTCTTCCTTTGGGAAATCTCTACTGAGGTCCTTTGCCCATTTAAATAAGTCAGGTCTTGTTTTTGTTTTTACTATTGAGTTGTTTGAATACCTTACATATTCTGGATATTAACCCCTTCTCAGATATATGGTTTGAAAATATTTTCTCTCTTTTCATAGGTTGTTTCTTCACTCTGTTGATTGTTTCCTTTGCTGTGAAGAAGTCTTTTAGTTTGACGCAATCCCATTTGTCTATTTTTGCTTTTGTTGCCTGTGCTTTTAGGTTCATTTCCAAAAAGAAAAAAAAAAATCATTACCCAGACTAATGTCATGAAGTTTCTTCTTTTTGCTCAAAGTTGCTTTGGTTAGTTGGGGTCCTTTGTAGCTCCATATGAATTTTTTGATTGTTTTTTTTCTATTCTGTGAAAACTGCCACTGGAATTTTGATAGGGTTTGCTTGAATTTGTAGATCATTTAGAGTAGTATGAACATTTTAACAATATTAATTCTTCTAATCTATTTGTATTTTCTTAAATCTTTTTCATTATCTTTTTATTGTTTTCAGACCTCTATTATTATGATAAAGGGGTCAGTTCATCAACAGGATATAACAATTGTAAATATATATGCACCCAATATCAGAATAACTATATATAGCAAACATATAAAGCAAATATTAACTGAACTGAAGGGGGAAATAGACAGCAACATAACAATAGTAGGGGACTTCAATATCCCACTTTCAACAATAGATAGATCATCCAGACAGAAAATCAATAAGGAAATGGCAGACTTGAACAACACTATAGCCAAAATGAACCTAACAGACATATACAGAATATTCCATCCAACAGCAACAAATACACATTCTTCTCAAGTGTACACAGAAGTCTCCAGGACAGATTATACATTAGGCCACAAAACAAGTCTTGACAAATTTAAGAAGACAGAAACCACATCAAGTATCTTTTTTGATCATAGTGGATAAAACTAGAAATCAACAATAGGAGAAAAAATGAAAAAATCACACTTGTGTGGAAATTAAACAACATACTCCTGAACAACCAATGGGTCAAAGAAGAAGTGAAAAGAGAAATAAAAATAACTTGAGGCCACTTTTGGAGGCTGAGGTGGGCAGATCACTAGATGTCAGGAGTTTCAGACTAGCCTGGCCAACATGGCAAAATCCTGTCTCTACTAAAAATACAAAAATCAGCTGGGTATGGTGGCAGGCACCTGTAATCCTAGCTAGTCAGGAGGCCGAGGCACAAGAATTGCTTGAACCCAGGAGGCAGAGGTTGCAGTGAGCCGAGATTGTGCCACTGCACTCCAGCCTGGGTGACAGAAAGAGGCTCCATCTCAAAATAAATAAATAAATAAAAAATTTAAAAAACGAGGCAAATGAAAATGGGAAAATAGAAACACAACATACCAAAAATTTAAGGAATGTAGCAAAAGCAGTTCTAAGAAGGATATTTATAGCAATAAGTGCCTACATTAAGGAAAAAAGAAAAAATTCAAATAACCTCAAACAACTAGAAAAAGAAGAACAAGGTAAGCCCAAAGTTAGGCAACAGGAGGAAATAATAATCTGGCAGAAATAAATAAAAAAGAGATTAGGAAAACATAAAAAAGATCAATAAAACCAAGAGTTTGTCTTTTGAAAGGATAAACAAAATTGACAAACCTTTAGCTGGACTAAGAAAAAAAGAAGACAAAAAAAAGAAGACAAAAATAAATAAAATTATAAATGAAAGAGAAGGCATTACAACTGATACCACAGAAATACAAAAGATCATAAGAGACTACTATGAACAATTATATGCCAGCAAATTGAATAACCTAGAAGAAATAGGTAAATTTCTAAAAACATACAGCCTACCAAGACAGAATCATGAAGAAATAGAAAATCTGAACAGACCAATGATGAGCAAGCAGATTGAATCAATAATTTAAAACCTCCCAGCAAAGAAAATACCAGGACCTGATGGCTTCACTGGTGAATTCTACCAAACAGTTGAAAAAAAGGAGCCGGGGCCAGGCACAGTGGCTCACACTTGTAATCTCAACACTTCAGGAGGCCGAGACGGGCAGATCACTTTGAGCTCAGGAGTCTGAGACCAGCCTAGGCAACATGGTGGAACTCTGTCTCTACAAACAAAACAAAACAAAACAAAACAAAAATTAACTGGGTGTGGCGACGCATGCCTGTAGTCCCAGCTACTGAGAAGGCTGAGGCTATAGAATTGCTTGAACCTGGGAGGCGGAGGTTGCAGTGAGTTGAGATCATGCCACTGCACTCCAGCCAGGTGACAGAGCGAGACTCTGTCTCAAACAAAAAAGAAAAAAGAAAAGAAAAGGAGCCGGGTGCGGTGGCACCTGGCTGTGATCCCAGCTAGGCTGAGGTGGGAGTATTGCTTGAGCCCAGGAATTTGAGACCAGTCTTGGTAATGTAACAAGGACCCCTGCCCCTCCAAAAGAAAAATTAACACCAATCCTTCTCAAACTCTTTCAAAAACCTGAAGAGACAGGAACACTTCCAAACTCATCTTTTCTTTTTTTTTTTTTTTTATTCTTTAAGTTTTAGGGCACATATGCACAATGTGCAGGTTAGTTACATATATATACATGTGCCATGTTGGTGTGCTGCACCCATTAACTCATCATTTAATCTTAGGTATATCTCCTAATGCTGTCCCTCCCCCCTCCCCCCACCCTTCAACAGGCCCCGGTGTGTGATGTTCCCCTTCCTGTGCCCATGTGTTCTCATTGTTCAATTCCCACCTATGAGTGAGAACATACGGTGTTTGGTTTTCTGTCCTTGCGATAATTTGCTGAGAATGATGGTTTCCAGCTTCATCCATGTCCCTACAAAGGACATGAAATCATCATTTTTTATGGCCACATAGTATTCCATGGTGTATATGTGCCACATTTTCTTAATCCAGTCTATCATTGTTGGACATTTGGGTTGGTTCCAAGTCTTTGCTATTGTGAATAGTGCCGCAATAAACATATGTGTACATGTGTCTTTATAGCAGCATGATTTATAATCCCTTGTGTATATACCCAGTAATGGGATGGGTGGGTCAAATGGTATTTCTAGTTCTAGATCCCTGAGGAATCGCCACACTGACTTACACAATGGTTGAACTAGTTTACAGTCCCACCAACAGTGTAAAAGTGTTCCTATTTCTCCACATCCTCTCCAGCACCTGTTGTTTCCTGACTTTTTAATGATCGCCATTCTAACTGGTGTGAGATGGTATCTCATTGTGGTTTTGATTTGCATTTCTCTGATGGCCAGTGACGATGAGCATTTTTTCATGTGTCTTTTGGCTGCATAAATGTCTATTTTTGAGAAGTGTCTGTTCATATCCTTTGCCCACTTTTTGATGGGGTTGTTTTTTTCTTGTAAATTTGTTTGACTTCATTGTAGATTCTGGATATTTGCCCTTTGTCAGATGAGTAGATTGCAAACATTTTCTCCCATTTTGTAGGTTGCCTGTTCACTCTGATGGTAGTTTCTTTTGCTGTGCAGAAGCTCTTTAGTTTAATTAGATCCCATTTGTCAATTTTTGCTTTTGTTGCCATTGCTTTTGATGTTTTAGACATGAAGTCCTTGCCCATGCCTATGTCCTGAATGGTATTGCCTAGGTTTTCTTCTAGGGTTTTTATGGTTTTAGGTCTAACATTTAAGTCTTTAATCCATCTTGAATTAATTTTTGTATAAGGTGTAAGGAAGGGATCCAGTTTCAGCTTTCTACATATGGCTAGCCAGTTTTCCCAGCACCATTTATTAAATAGGGAATCCTTTCCCCATTTCTTGTTTTTGTCAGGTTTGTCAAAGATCAGATAGTTGTAGATATGTGGCATTATTTCTGAGGGCTCTGTTCTGTTCCATTGGTCTATATCTCTGTTTTGGTACCAGTACCATGCTCTTTTGGTTACTGTAGCCTTGTAGTATAGTTTGAAGTCAGGTAGCGTGATGCCTCCAGCTTTGTTCTTTTGGCTTAGGATTGACTTGGCAATGAGGGCTCTTTTTTGGTTCCATATGAACTTTAAAGTAGTTTTTTCCAATTCAGTGAAGAAAGTCATTGGTAGCTTGATGGAGATGACACTGGATCTATAAATTACCTTGGGCAGTATGGCCATTTTCACAATATTGATTCTTCCTACCCATGAGCATGGAATGTTCTTCCATTTGTTTGTATCCTCTTTTATTTCATTGAGCAGTGGGCAAACTCATCTTATAAGGCCAGCATTACCCTGATATCAAAGCCAGACAAGGAAACTACAAGAAAATACAATTACAGGTAGAATATATCTCCCAGCTCTGTCCACTGAGAGGGACTGGGAGCAGTAATACCCTAATAGCAACGAGCAGAGCTACTGTCCAGATTTTGGTTTTTTGGTTTGTTTGTTTTGTTTTTTGAAACAGAGTCTCGCACTGTCGCCCAGGCTAGAGTGCAGTGGCGCGATCTTGGCTCACTGCAACCTCCACCTCTTGGATTCAAGCAATTCTCCTGCCTCAGCCTCCTGAGTAGCTGGGATTACAGGTGCGTACCACCACATCCAGCTAATTTTTGTATTTTTAGTACAGACGGGGTTTTACCATGTTGATCAGGCTGGTCTCGAACTCCTGACCTTGTGATTTGCCCGCCTCAGCTTCTCAAAGTGCTGGGATTACAGGCATGAGCCACCACACCCAGCCAGATTTTGGTTTCTAAATAACAATCTCCATTAAAAGGAACCAGGCTGGGTGCAGTGGCTCACACCTGTAATCCCAGCACTTTGGGAGGCTGAGGCAGGAGGGTCACTTGAGCCCAGGAGGCTGAGACCAGCTTGGGCAACATGGTGAAACCCTGTCTCTACAAAAAAATTAGCTGGACATGGTGGCATGCATCTGTGGTCCCAGTCACTTGGGAGGCTGAGGTGGGAGGATCGTTTGAGCCTGGGAGGTGAAAGTTGCAGTGAGCCAATATTGTGCCACTGCACTCCAGCCTGGGCAACAGAGAGCCTGTCTCAAAAAAAAAAAAAAAAAAAAAGGAACCAGAGCTCCTTGGAGAAATGACTGATTCCAGAGCTGATGCAGGGAAAGTAAAAATAGGTTCTGAAACATGTTGCTATGCCAGAGTGCAAGAATGCTTAAAAGTGATGAAGTGGCCGGGCCTGTAATCCCAGCACTTTGGGAGGCCGAGGCAGGCGGATCACGAGATCAGGAGTTCAAGACCAGCCTGGCCAACATGGTGAAACCCTGTCTGTACTAAAAATACAAAAATTAGCTGAGTGTGGTGGTGTGCGCCTGTAATCCCAGCTACTGGGGAGGCTGAGGCAGGAGAATGGCTTGAACCTAGGAGGCAGAGGTTGCAGTGACCCGAGATCATGCCACTGCACTCCAGCCTGGGTGACAAGCAAGACTCCGTCTCAAAAAAAAAAAAAAAAAGTGATGAGGTTATGTTAAAAGGATACAGTAGGCAACTTGAAAGGACTCCCACTGGCTAAATCAGAGAAAACGTGTCAAAAAAAAAACAGTATTAGTAACTGGATAGTGGTCCATTGAATAGGAATTTACGAGTTCATACTGATATAATTTTAAAAAGCAAAAGATGCCAGGTGCGGTGGCTCATGCCTGTAATCCCAGCACTTTGGGAGGCCAAGGCCGGTGGATCACCTAAGGTTGGGAGTTTGAGGCCAGCTTGACCAACATGGAGAAACCCCATCTCTACTAAAAATACAAAATTAGCCAGGCGTGGTGGCACATGCCTGTAATCCCAGCTACTCAGGGAGGCTGAAGCAGGAGAATCACTTGAACCCGGGAGGCAGACGTTGTGGTGAGGTGAGATCGCGCCATTGCACTCCAGCCTGGGCAACAAGGGCAAAACTCCGTCTCAAAAAAAAAAAAAAAAAAAAGAAAAGAAAAGAAAAAGAAAAAGATTGATGAGGAATGGAATATTTACATAACCTCAAAGTATCCCCCCTGCCCCCCACAAAATACTTCTTAATTACAAAAGTGAAGAGTAATTTACGGTGGAGAAACTTGACAGATACCACTTTTTTTTTTTTTTTTTTTGAGACAGGGTCTCTCTCTGTCTCCCAGGCTGGAGTGCAGTGACCAGATCCTGGCTCACTACAGCCTCAAACTCTCAGCTCACGTGATCCTCTTGCCTCAGCCTCCCAAGTAGCTGGGACTACAGGTGCACGCCAGTATGCCCAGCTGATTTTTATTTATTTATTTATTTATTTATTTTATTTAGAGGTGGAGTCTTGCTCTGTCACCCAGAGTGGAGTGCAATGGCGCGATCTCAGCTCACTGCAACCTCCGCCCCATGGGTTCAAATGATTCTCCTGCCTCAGCTTCCCAAGTAGCTGGGATTACAGGTGCCCACCACCACGCCCAGCTAATTTTTGTATTTTTAGTAGAGACGGGGTTTCACCAGGTTGGCCAGGCTGGTCTCAAACTCCTGACCTCAGGTGATCCACCCACCTCGGCCTCCCAAAGTGCGGGGATTACAGGCGTAAGCCACTGCGCCTGGATGCCCAGTTAATTTTTTTTTTTAATTTTTGTAAAGATAGGGTTTCACCATGTTGCCCAGGCTGGTCTCCAACTCTTGGACTCAAATGATCCTCCTGCCTCAGCCTCCCAAAGTGCTGGGATTACAGTCATGAGCCACCACACCTGGCTACCACTTGAATCAAATAATTAAAGTAAAAGGACACACTGAAATGGGAGCCACCTGATAGGATGCAGTAGGAAGAAAACAGCATAACTTCTGTGACAGTCCTGCCAAAGATTATAGCATGAGTCTAATCATAAGAAAACATCAGGCAAACCCAAACAGAGAGAAATTCTACAAAGTAACTGGCCTGTAATCCTCAAAAATGTGATGTCATGAAAGTCAAAAATGAAGAACTCTTTGAGATTGAAGGAGACTAAAGAGATATGACAACTGGCCAGGCAAGGTGGCTCACACCTGTAATCCCAGCACTTTGGGAGGCCGAGGCAGGTGCATCAGGAGGTCAGGAGATCAAGACCATCCTGGCCAACATGGTGAAACCCCATCTCTACTACAAACACAAAAATTAGCTGGGTGTGGTGGCAGGCGCCTGTAATCCCAGCTACTTGGGAGGCTGAGGCAGGAGAATCGCTTGAACCGGGGAGGCAGAGGTTGCAGTGGGCCGAGATTGCACCACTGCACTCCGTCCTGGCGACACAGAGAGACTCCATCTCAAAAAAAAAAAAAAAAAAAGATATGACAACTAAATGCAACACATGAATCTGGACTGGATCCTTCTTCTATAAAGGACATCACTGGGAAAACTGGCGAAACTTGAATTGGGTCAGTATTAAGGTTCTTCAGAGAGACATAACCAATTGGATATATGAGAGGGGATTTATTAGGGAATTGGCCACATGATCACAGAGGCAGAATCCCATGATAGGCTCTTTGTAGGCTGGGGAACCAGAGAATCTGGTAACATGGCTCAGTCCAACTCCAGAAGCTTCAGAGCCAGGGAAGCCAACAGTACAACCCCCTAGTCAGAGGCCAAAGGCCTGAAAACCCCTGATAGGCCACTGGTGCAAGTCCCAAAGTCCAAAAGCTGAAGAACCTGGAGTCTGTTGTCCAAGAATAGGAGGAGAAAAAGCAGATTGCTCTGGAAGGGAGAGTTTGAGAATTCCCCCACTTCTTCCTGTTTGTCCAAATCCACCCCAGGCGGTTGGATGATACCCACCCACACTGAAGGCAGGTCTTCCTCTCTCAGTCCAAGGACTCACAGCCAATCTCCACTGCAACACCCTTACAGACACACGGACACAGGACACACACACGAACAATGTTTCACCAGCCATCAAGGCATCTCTCAATCCAGTCAAGTTGATGCCTAAAATTAACCATCACAGGGCCTGAGGGTTAGGTGGTCAGAATGTATCAAGGTTGGGCTGGGCACAGTGGCTCATGCCTGTAATCCCAACACTTTGGGAGGCTGAGGCAGGCGGATCACCTGAGGTCAGGAGTTCGAGATCAGCCTGGCCAACATGGTGAAACCCCTGTCTCTACTAAAAATACAAAAATTAGCTGGGCATGGTGGCAGGGGCCTACAATCTCAGCTACTCAAGAGGCTGAGGCAGGAGAATCACTTGAACCCAGGAGGCAGAGTTTGGGGTGAGCCTAAATCATGCCACTGTACTCCAGCCTGGGCAACAGAGAGAGACTCCCTCTCAATAAATAAATAAATAAATAAATAAAAATAAATGCACACTGAAATATTTGAGGCAATATATTGTCAATTTGCTCTCAAATGGTTGAGAAAAAATGTTATGTATATCCTTGCACATGTTCTGTAAGTTTAAAATTGTTTCACAAAAACAGGGAAAAAAGTTACTCTTTGGAGAAGCTTCAGATGGTTTCCCACAAGTCAAGGTTGCTCCAGCACTGTTGCTGTTAATATAATATTGGAAATTTTCTATGATGGTGTAAGAAAAAGAAATCAACAGAATCAGGGCCGGGCACGGTGACTCATGCCTGTAATCCCAGCACTTTGGGAGGCCGAGGTGGGTGGATCACCTGAGGTCAGGAGTTAGAGATCAGCCTGACTAACATAGTGAAACCCCATCTCTACTAAAAATACAAAAATAGCCGGGCATAGTAGCACATGCCTGTAATTCCAGCTACTTGGGAGGCTAAGGCAGGAGAATCACTTGAACCCAGGAGGTGGAGGAGATCATGTCATTGCACTCCAGCCTGGGCAACAAGAGCAAAACACCATCTAAAAAAAAAAAAAATCAGCCGGGTGCGGAGGTTCACGCCTGTAATCCCAGCACTTTGGGAGGCTGAGGTTGGCAGATCACAAGGTCAGGAGATCGAGACCATCCTGGCTAATGTGGTGAAACCCTGTCTCTACTAAAAATACAAAAAATTAGCCAGGCGTGGTGGCGGGCGCCTGTAGTCCCAGCTACTTGGGAGGCTGAGGCAGGAGAATGGCGTGAACCCGGGAGGCGGAGGTTGCAGTAAGCCGAGATTGTGCCACTGCACTCCAGCCTGGGCGACAGAGCAAGACTCCGTCTCAAAAAAAAAAAAAAAAAAAAACAAACAAACAAAACAAGAATAACAAAAAATCTAACGAGGTATAAAGATTGAAGGGGAATATGTAAAACTGTTTTGTTTACAGAGGACATAATTATCTCTGTAGAAAACCTAGAAGAATCAATAGAAAAATAAGAAAAGAGTTCATTGGATAGAAAATCAATTATAAGAAAATATTTGCAATGTTTAAAGTGGATATGGGGAGCCAGATGTGGTGGCTCACGCCTGTAATCCCAGCATTTTGGGAGGCTAAGGTGGGCACATCACCTGAGGTTAGAAGTTCAAGACCACTTGGCCATCATGGTGAAACCCCGTCTCTACTAAAAATACAAAAATTATCTGGGCCTGGTGGTGCACACCTGTAGACCCAGAGACTTAGGAAGCTGAGGCAGGAGAATCACTTGAACTCACAGTGAGCCGAGATCGAGCCACTGCACTTCAGCCTGGGCGACAGACCAAGACTCAATAATAATAATAATAATAGGTTGGGCGCGGTGGCTTACGCCTGTAATCCCAACACTTTGGGAGGCCAAGGCGGGCGGATCATCTGAGGTTGGGAGTTCAAGACCAGCCTAACCAACATGGTGAAACCCCATCTCTACTAAAATACAAAAAATTAGCTGGGCATGGTGGCGCACACCTGTAGTCCCAGCTACTCGGAAGGCTGAGGCAGGAGAATTGCTTGAACCCGGGAGGTGGAAGCTGCAGTGAACCGACATCGCGCCACTGCACTCCAGCCTGGCGACAGAGCACGACTCTGTCTCAAAAAATAAATAAATAAATAAATAATAATAATAAATAAATAAATAAAGTGGATATGGGGCTGGGTGCAGTGGCTCACTCCTGTAATACCAGCACTTTAGGAGGCCGAAGCAGGCAGATCATCTGAGGTCAGGAGTTCTAAACCAGCCTGGTCAACATGGCAAAACCCCCCTCTACTAAAAAATATAAAAATTAGCCAGGCGTGGCCAGGCACCATGGCTCATGCCTGTAATCCCAGCACTTTGGGAGACTGAGGTGGGCAGTCACCTGAGGTCAGGAGTTTGAGACCAGCCTGGCCAACATGGTGAAACCCCATCTCTACTAAAAATACAAAAATTAGCCAAGCATGGTGGCGAGCACCTGTAATCTCAGCCACTCGGGAGGCTGAGGCAGGAGAATCGCTGAACCCAGGAGGCAGAGGTTTCAGTGAGCTGAGATCGGGCCACTGAACTCTAGCCTGGGAGACAGAGCAAAACTCTTCCTGAAAAAAAAAAAAAAAAAAAAGAGGTCGGGCGTGGTGGCTCACACCTCTAATCCCAGCACTTTGGGAGGCTGAGCCAGGCGGATCACGAGGTCAGGAGATCGAGACCATCCTGGCCAACATGGTGAAACCCCATCTCTACTACAAATACAAAAATTAGCTGGGCATGGTGGCAGGCACGTGTAATCCCGGCTACTCGGGAGGCTGAGGCAGGAGAATCCCTTGAACCCAGGAGGCAGGGGTTGCAGTGAGCCGAGATTGCGCCACTGCACTCCAGCCTGGTGACAGAGCAAGACTCAGTCTCAAAAAAAAAAAAAGAAGAAGAAGAAAAGAAAATTAGCCAGGCGTGGTGGTGCGTGTCTGTAATCCCAGCTACTTGGGAGGCTGATGCAGGAGAATCACTTGAACCCAGGAGGTAGAGGTTTCAGTGAGCCGACATCAGGCCCCTGTACTCCAGTATGGGTGACAGAGCAAGACTCCATCTCAAAAAGTAATAATAAATAAAATAAAATAAAATAATTTTTAAAAAAGTGAATGTGGGATTAATATTCATAATATAGTGTAATCTTATGAAGGAACAAAAGTAAAGACAGGAATCCAAAATAAAAAAAGCACAAAGGATATGAATAGGCATTTCAGAGAGAAGGAAGCTTTATTGGCTAACAAGAATATGAAATAGCCAGGCGCAGTGGCTCACACCTGTAATCCCAGCACTTTGGGAGGCCAAGGTGGGTGGATCACCTGAGGTCAGGAGTTGGAAACCAGCCTGGCCAACATGGCGAAACCCTGTCTCTATGAAAAATACAAAAATTAGCCAGGGATGGTTGTGGGTGCCTGTAATCCCAGCTACTAGGGGGGCTGAGGCAGGAGGATCGCTTGAACTTGGGAGGCTGACGTTGCAGTGAGCCAAGATCGTGCCACTGCACTCCAGCCTTGGTAACAGAGTGAGACTCCATCTCAAGAAAAAAAAAAAAGAATATGAAGTAACACTCAAACTCACTAGTAATCAGAGAAATGTAATTTTAAATAACTGAGAGTACACTTAATATACCTATTAGAATTGCAAATATTAGAGAGTTGTATAATATTACGTGTTGGAAAGGGTATGAGGTAATAAGAACTTTCAGTAATGATGTTGAGACTGTAAACAGCTACAGACCTGGGTTTTCTTGCTTGGTTTTGTTTTTCAGGGTTTTTTTTAGAGTGTCTCACTGTTATCAAAGCTGGCTTCAAACTCCTGAGCTCAGGCAATCCTCCTACCTCAGCCTTCTAAGAAGCTGGGACTACAAGTGTGTGCCATGCCCGGTTTACAGCTACAGATTTTCTGAAAAATAATCTGGTGCTACTTAGTAAAATTGAGCATGCATATACCTTACCACAGAAATTCCACTCCGAGGAATATGTTCCAGAGAAATTCTTGAACTGGTTCACAGGGGACTATGAAAGAGATAACTGTCTGGCATTGTGTGTAGAAGTCAGGAATGGGTAAGTAAAGTATAATGGATGCCTACCATGGAATCCTATGTAGCAGGTATAAGCAATGAATTAGATTATATGTAGTAATAAGGATGAATCCTGAAAACAGAGTTAATCAAAAAAAGTAAAAGCAGGCTGGCACAGTGGCTGACATCTGTAATCTCAGCACTGTGGGAAGCTGAGGCAGGAGGATGGCTTGAGCCCAGGAGTTTGAGACCAGCCTAGGCAACATAGCAAGACCCCATCTCTATACAAAAAAGTGTATATTAAAAATATATATTTTTTTGAGACAAAGTCTCACTCACTCTTTCTCCCAGCCTAGAGTGCAGTGGCATGATCTCTGCTCACTGCAACCCTCCCTTCTGGGTTCAAGTGATTCTCGTGCCTCAGGCTCCTGAGTAGCTGGGATTACAGGCATGCATCACCACGCCCAGCTAATTATATTTTTAGTAGAGACCGGGTTTTGCCATATTGGCCAGGCTGGTCTTAGACTCCTGACCTCAAGTGATCCGCCTGCCTTGGTGTCCCAAAGTGCTGGGATTACAGGCATGAGCCACCACGCCTGACCTTAAAAATTTTTTTAAAGAGGAAGTTCAAACATTATTTCTTCTTGGAGGTCTTCCTTGTTGATGCATTCAATCATATATTCATCTATCTATTGACTCATTCAACAAGGATTGAGCACTTTTACGAAGGATAATGCAAGGTACTAAAGATATGATGGTAGGCCAAAAATAGAGGGTCACCTTCATCATCTCCTTGGAGGTCTATTGGAGGAAACTGGGTTTAGTAAACATATTATGTTCACACTGATTAATATATAATTACCAACTAACATACATGCTCTGAGGAAACAAACATTACTTTTTGCGAGCACATAGCCAAGAGGTCTTTACTAGATTGGGGTGGGTGGTAGGTAGAGGGGTGCAAGGAAGGCCTGAGGAAATAACAATGGGAATCAATTTGGAGGCATAAATAGGCCAAGTGGAAGTGAAAAGGACATTCCAGAAACAGGGACCATATAGAGCAATCAGGACAAACTTGAGGAATTGAAAGAAGCCATGAAGTTGGAGATATTAATAGAAGGGGAAGAGTGGTAGAAGATGGAGGGTTTCAGTGGGGAGAGGTCAAGGGATAGTGGTAGCCTGACTTGATGTGCATTTTGGAAAGATTACTCTAGCTGCTATATGGAGAATGGAAGAGTGTGAAGAGAAAGAGAGAATAGGGGATGGGAGACCAACTAAGACACTCTTGCAATTGCCTAGGTGAGACTGAGGTGGATTAGGGTGGTGCTAACAAAGAACAAGAAAGTAGATGGGCCGGGTGCGGTGGCTCACGCCTGTAATCCCAACACTTTCGGAGGCCGAGGCAAGTGGATCACTTGAGGTCAGGAGTTCGAGACCATCCTGACCAGCATTGTGAAACCCCGTCTCTACTAAAATACAAAAATTAGCTGGGCATGGTGGCTGGTGCCTGTAATCCCAGCTACTAAGGAGGCTGAGGCAGGAGAATCGCTTGAACCCGGGAGGTGGAGGCTGCAGTGAGCTGAGATCAGGCCACTGCACTCCAGCCTGGGGGATAGAGCAAGACTCTGTCTCAAAAAAAAAGAAAGAAAGAAAAAGAGAGAGTGAGAGAGAGAGAGAGAAAGAGAGAGAGAAAAAAAAAGAGAAAGAAAGAAAAAGAGAGAAAGAAAAAAGAAAGAAAGAAAGAAAAAGAAAAAAGAAAGAAAGAGAAAGTAAGAAATTTTTTTTCTTTTTTGAGACAGAGTTTCACTCTTGTCACCCAGGCTGGAGAATGCAGTGGCACAATCTTGGCTCACTGCAGCCTCTGCCTCCTGGGTTCAAGTGATTTTCCTGCCTCAACCTCCCAAGTAGCTGGGATTACAGGCATCAGCCACCATGCCCAGCTAATTTTTGTATTTTCAGTAGAGACGGGGTTTCACAATGTTGGTCAGGATGGTCTCAAACTCTTGACCTCAGGTGATCCGCCCACCTCGGCCTCCCAAAGTGCTGGGATTACAGTCATAAACCCAGCCGAAAGTAGATGATCTTTTTGTTGTTGTTTGTTTGGTTTTTTTTTGAGACGGAGTTTCGCTCTTGTTGCCCAGGTTGGAGTTGCAGTGGTGCGATCTCGGCTCACCTCAACCTCCGCCTCCTGGGTTCAAGCGATTCTCCTGCCTCAGCCTCCTGAGTAGCTGGGATTACAGGCATGAGCCACCAAGTCCGGCTAATTTTTGTGTTTTTAGTAGAGACGGTTTTCTCCATGTTGGTCAGCCTGGTCTTGAACTCCCAACCTCAGGTGATCCCCCTGCCTTGGCCTCCCAGAGTGCTGGGATTACAGGCGTGAGCCACCGCGCACAGCCTGAAAGTAGATGAATTTTAAAGATGCATACAATTAGTAAAGATACCTTACGTATCTTTAAATTTTTTTTTATAGAAACAGGATCTTGCTACACTGTCTAGGCTGGTCTGGAACTCCTGGCCTCAAGCGATCCACCTGGGCCATCCAAAGTGCTGGGAAAGACGCCTGTAACCCCAGGCTAGACAACGTAGCCAGATCTTGTCTCTACAAAAAAACACAAAAATTAGCTGGTGGCAGGCACCTGTAGTCCCAGCTACTTGAGAGGCTGAGGTTCCCACCTCAGGAGGCCGAGGCTGCGGTGAGCTGAGATCGCACCACTGCACTCCAGCCTGGGCGACAGAGTGAGACCCTGTCCCAAAAATGCATAAATAGTAAAACTAGTGAGAGTGAATGAGAGATGGGATATGTAAAGGGAGTGGGAGGAGTTAAGGAGTAACTCCTCGGTTTCTGGCTTGTGTAAGAATAACTTCTGTGATTGGTGGGGAAAATCCACCAGAGTTCTGTTAAGTGTTGTTCATTTCCTGTCCCCCGTTAGGGGTTACCCCTTCCATCTTAAGCAGGATATTCTAGGATCTCTCAGTCTCACAGCCTTGCCCACCAATAACCAGCAGGTGAGCCCCCTCTCCCCAGACCTCTAGATCTGCAAAAGGCAACCTGGAGGCAAGGAAATCCCCAGCTGTGAGTAGCCATTCAATTCTGGTGCTGTGGTAACTGAGTTCAAAAACAATGAGTCTTGTTACCTACCCGTAAAATGAAAGACACCTCATCAGACACCTCACTGGATTGTGAGGCTCCAAGGAGCACACATATTGTTAGGCTCAGTTCGATTCCCTCCAGCCCTCTCCGCCCGTTTGAAGGCAGTTCCTTATCCCGGAGACAACGTACAGATGTTCTCTCTTTCCCTCTTTATTTTTTTTAAGACAGGGTCTCTGTTGCCCAGGCTGGAGTGCAGTGGCGCGACCACAGCTCACTACAGCCTCAACCTCCTGGGCTCAACACGATCCTCCTGCCTCAGCCTCCAGAGCGGCTGGGACTACAAGCGCGCACCACTGCACAGGGATTATTATTATTATTTTATTATTTTGTAGAGAAACGGGTGGGAGTGGTCTCGCTATGTTGCCCAGGCTGGTCTCAAACTCAGCTCAAGAGATCCTCCCGCCTCGGCGTCCCAAAGTGTTGGGATTACAGGCGCCTGCCACCGCGCCCGGACGCAGATATTTTCTATGGGCATCTGGAATGGCGTCCCCAAAGCTTGGCGCCGTGCTATGGTCAAGCCGGGTCGGGGGCTCGGGCCAGCCTTCAACACCGTTGGCAGCAATCGGAACGATCAACTGTACCCTCAGTACCGCGACCTCGCCCGGTCCTGCCAATGGCCGGCCCCTAGCCGGTCCTGAGGCCTCGCGAGAGCTCCCGTGGCTACGCCTTCCCCGGCCTCGGAACGGCCCCATCCTTCCTCTTTCCCCGCCTCCCAGCGGCGCTCCACTCTCGGATTGGCTGATTGATCCGAGTCAGTTTTTTTCCTCGCCAGAAAGCGGTTCGACAATTGGTCCTTCTTTTGGCCCCTCCTGCGATGCCCGCGGATTGGACGGCTGAGTCTGGCTACGCGGGCCTCCGCGGGAGCGCGACCGGGCCAATCAAGAGCTTGGCGTATTTTACAAACTGAGAAAGTAGCTCCAGCAGCACCCGAGAGGGTCAGGAGAAAAGCGGAGGAAGCTGGGTAGGCCCTGAGGGGCCTCGGTAAGGTAAGGCACGGGGGTCTTGAAGGGAACGAAGGCTGCTGGGTTCATAGGGAGGAGGGCAGTTTGGGGCCCGAGGGCGAAAGAGTAGGCTCGGGGTGTCTGGAGATAGCACCCATAAGAGCGGTCTTGCAGGCGCCGGGGGCTTGTGGGCGCGTGGATTAGGGCGGAGGTATCAGGGATGGCAGGACAGGTGCCCCGAGAACTGGTTGATCTTTGATCTTAGATTCTGCCTGCCTTCTTCCCCGTCTCAATTGTAGCCATCATGACCACCCGGCAAGCCACGAAGGATCCCCTCCTCCGGGGTGTATCTCCTACCCCTAGCAAGATTCCGGTACGCTCTCAGAAACGCACGCCTTTCCCCACTGTTACATCGTGCGCCGTGGACCAGGAGAACCAAGATCCAAGGGTAAGAGGGGCCTAATGGGGGAAGACAGTAGTCACACCAGTAATGCACCCCAACACTAAACCTCACCTTTTTGTCCCCGCTCCCTCCCCTAGAGATGGGTGCAGAAACCACCGCTCAATATTCAACGCCCCCTCGTTGATTCAGCAGGCCCCAGGCCGAAAGCCAGGCACCAGGCAGAGACATCACAAAGATTGGTGGGGATCAGTCAGCCTCGGAACCCCTTGGAAGAGCTCAGGCCTAGCCCTAGGGGTCAAAATGTGGGGCCTGGGCCCCCTGCCCAGACAGGTACCTGTTGGAGCCATGGTAACACGGCCTCCATGGCTGAGTAGGGGACTAGGAAGG
Organism: Homo sapiens; assembly: GCF_000001405.40. Classification (NCBI taxonomy): domain Eukaryota; kingdom Metazoa; phylum Chordata; class Mammalia; order Primates; family Hominidae; genus Homo; species Homo sapiens. The sequence goes on from NC_000012.12 coordinate 49,324,095, forward strand.
GTAAAAGTGGGGTTTTGGGGTTTTGCACTCACTCCTGCTGTCTCCTACTTACTGTGATAGTCCTGGTCCCAGCTCCTGGAAAGCTCTTTGCTCTTAGAAGATCTCCCTTTCCTCCAGCAAAATGTCATCTCGCCAGGTGCCATGGCTTGTACCTGTAATCACAGCTACTCAGGAGGCTGAAGCAGGAGGATCACTGGAGGCCAGGAGTTGGAGACCAGCCTGGATGACAGAGGGAGATCCCATCTCTTTAAAAAATAAATAAATAAATAAATAATAAATATCACTTCTTCTGAAGCCTTTTCCAGTTCCCCATGTCACAATCAGTTGCTCTGTGTTCTCCTAATACTTTGCAGCACTTCTTTTATAACATGTATATACCTTGGCTTGAGTCTGTTACCTGTCTATAGTTTGATGATAGCCTCTTGAGGATAGGGGCTTTGTCTTATTCTTATGGGACCCCAGTGCTTAGAATAGTGTCTTATGTAACATTCTATGAACATTTGGTGACCAGGTGTGGTGGCTCACGCCTGTAATTCCAACACTCCTCCGAGGCAGGAGGATCATTTGAGCTCAGGAGTTTGAGACCAGCCTAGGCAACATAGTGAGACCCCATCTCTTTTTCTCTTTTTTTTTTTCTTTTCTTTTTTTTTTGTGGAGACAGAGTCTTACTCTATCCCTCAGGCTAGAGTACAGTGGCATGATCTCGGCTCACTGCAACATCCACCTCCCAGGTTCAAGCGATTCTCATGCCTCACCCCGAGTACCTGGGATTACCAGCACCTGCCACCACACCCAGCTAATTTTTGTTTTCTTTCTTTTTTTTTTTTTTTTTTTTGAGACAGAGTCTCACTCTGTCACTAAGCTGGAGTGCAGTGGCACGATCTTGGCTCATTGCAACCTCCACCTCCCAGGTTCAAGTGATTCTCCAGCCTCAGCCTCCTGAGTAGCTGGTACTACAGGCGCGCGCCACCAGGTCCAGCTAATTTTTTTTTGTTTTTGTTTTTTGTAGAGATGGGGTTTTACCATGTTGGCCAGGCTGGTCTCAAACTCCTGACCTCAGGTGATCCACCTGCCTCAGCCTCCCAAAGTGCTGGGATTACAGGAGTGAGCTACCGCACCCAGCCAATTTTTGTATTTTTTTAGTGGAGACAGGGTTTTGCTATGTTGGCCGGGTTGGTCTCAAACTCCTGACCACAGGTGATCCACCCGCCTCGGCCTCCCAAAGTGCTGGGATTACAGGCATGAGCCACTGCACCCAGCCATCTATTTCTTAAAAAAAAAAAAAAAAATAAGCCAAATTCAATTGAATGAGTCTCTTGCTCACCTTGTACCTCAAAGTTCCTATGCTAGGGGCCCTATCCCCCTCAGCCTTCCCCCTTCCTTTTCCTTCTCCTCTTTCCTTGCAGAGGCTCCAGGGACCATAGAGTTTGTGGCTGACCCTGCAGCCCTGGCCACCATCCTGTCAGGTGAGGGTGTGAAGAGCTGTCACCTGGGGCGCCAGCCTAGTCTGGCTAAAAGAGTACTGGTTCGAGGAAGTCAGGGAGGCACCACCCAGAGGGTCCAGGTAATGAAACAGGATGTGAGGAGACCAGGCTAGGGGGCACTGAGGGGGGCATCCTGAGCAGTGCTGACAGCCTCTGTTGGTGTCCCAGGGTGTTCGGGCCTCTGCATATTTGGCCCCCAGAACCCCCACCCACCGACTGGACCCTGCCAGGGCTTCCTGCTTCTCTAGGCTGGAGGGACCAGGACCTCGAGGCCGGACATTGTGCCCCCAGAGGCTACAGGCTCTGGTGAGTGCCCTTGAGGGGCTGATAGTCGGTGCTTCTGGGAGCTCCTTCCAGGGACAAAGCTGGGCTCTGGGAGAAGAGGTACCTCATGATGAGGCAAGGGATCCTACTGGGGGAGATGGGGTTGGTGGTGAGGCCTGAGGGTTTGGGGTCCACCTCTGATTCCGTTTTCATCTCTTGCTCCTGTGGATCAGATTTCACCTTCAGGACCTTCCTTTCACCCTTCCACTCGCCCCAGTTTCCAGGAGCTAAGAAGGGAGACAGCTGGCAGCAGCCGGTGAGAAAGGAGAGGGTGTGGGAGAAGGTCATCTGGAAAAGAATGAACCAGTGTCTGATACAGGAGTCCCCCAGAGTTGGGGCCTTCCAGGAGCTTTAGGACTCCCCACCAACTCAGGAGGGGAAGCAAGAAACCTGTGATTACCCGGGATGAGCCCTTGGGATAGGGTTCAGGCTTTCACAGCCAGGCCTCAGTGTGACATCAGTTTACTCAAGTCATGGGGGGACAGGGAGGACAGAAATGTGCTATCTCTTTTGTTTAGTGGCTAGAGTATAGACTGTGGCAATAAGTGGGATTTGGGTTTATATCCTAACTCTTAACACTTACTATTTGTGCAAGCTTGCCTTCACCTCTCTGAGCTTTGGTTTCTTTGTCAAGTGAGAATAACATTTGTACCATCATTAGTTGTCATGAGAATGAAATGAGATGATGTTTGTAAAGCACTTAGCACATGTCCAGCTCATACTTGGTATTCAGTGACTGCTGGCTAATGTCCTTATTGTCATCAGGACTTCAGTGAGCCAGGCCTCAGGATTGCTCCTGGAGACCCCAGTCCAGCCTGGTAAGTGTTTCTGGCGTGGGGAGAGAACAGGGGCAGTTGGGCTGCCTGAAGCAGGGAACAAGACCAGAGAAAACTCAGCAGGCTGGGAGGGAGCATGAGGAAGTGGGAGGCCGGGAGGCTAGGTCAGAAGGAGAAGGAGAAGAGACCTTCTAGATAGGCCAGCGATTGGCACAGTTGCACTTTTGTCTAAGGAGATGGTCTCCATTTCGGCCCTCTCTCTGCCACTTCCTGCAAGATTTATCTTCCACTCACTGTTTATCCCCAGCCCCTAAGTGCCATCACCACATCCCCAGCCTACTCAGACGTTCAGATTAATAAGTGTTTACTGAGATAGTGTTGGGTGTTGAGGGGCTGCTGGATGGGTTCCTGTCCCTAATAGTGCAATGGGGCCTATTAAACTAATATACCCTCTTCAGAAGTTGCAGAACACTGTGCCAAACTTTGGTGGGTGTTCTAGAGTCTACAACAAATGTCCTGTTTCTTCCTAGCTTTCTCTCTTCCTAAAGGAGAACGCGAGGTTGTCACTCACTCAGATGAAGGAGGTGTGGCCTCTCTTGGTCTGGCCCAGCGAGTACCATTAAGAGAAAACCGAGAAATGTCACATACCAGGGTGAGATGCGACTCTCCTGGGATGGTGGGTGGGAGGTGCAGGAGTTGCTTGGAAGAATTTTGCTGCAGCAGCCAACACTGAGAATTGTAGGTAGAGCCAGGAAGTCCTGGGCCTCAGGATGTTACTGGGTAGGTTTACCCCAGATGCACCCAGTCCCTCTCCAATGTGAGACTGACCTCTCTTTATCAGATGTCTGGGGCCTAGGGTGAGAGGTCATATTTGTATCACCATCAGATCAGTGCTAAGGGTGAGACAGATCTGACACTTGTCAGCCAAAAGCATTCATCCCTTGGCTCCACAAATATTTACTGAGTAGCACCAGCCTACTGAGTGCCAGGCTCTGTTCTAGGCTCTGGACATATAGCAGTAAACAAGTTCATATTCTAGAAGGGGGAGACAAGAAATAAACACAGGTATAAAATAAATAGTGTCTCAGATGATGGTAAGTTCTCTCTAAAATAATAATAATAATAATAATAAGGCACTAAAGGAGAATTGGGAGCAGGGGAGTTGGTATTGCAATTTAAAATAGATTTGTCAGGGAACTCTTACTGAGAAGATGATGTTTAAGTGAAGACCAGGGGTTGGAGGAGGAGTGAGATATGTTGATATCTGGGGGAAGGAACATTCCAGGCCAAGAGAACTGAAGAGGTAAAGGCCCTGGGGAGGGAATGTGCCTGGTGTGTTTGAGGATCAGCAAAAAGGAGAGGCCAGTGAGATTGAAGCAGAGTAAGAAGAACAGTAGGAGATAGGGTTTTAGCGATAACACGATCAGATTGGGTAAGGAATTGTACACCAGTGTAAGTCTTTGGCTTGTCTTGGAATGAGTGGAAAGCCATGGGGAGAGGGGTTGATCAAGAAAGTGACATGATTTGACTTAGGTCTTTTTTTTTTTTTTTTTTTTTTTTTTTGAGATGGAGTTTCACTCTTGTTGCCCAGGCTGGAGTGCAATGGCACGATCTCCGCTCATTGCAACCTCTGCCTCCTGGGTTCAAGTGATTCTCCTGCCTCAGCCTCCGAGTAGCTGGGAATACAGGCATGCACCACCACGCCTGGCTAATTTTGTATTTTTAGTAGAGACAGGATTTCTCCATGTTGGTCAAGCTGGTCTCAAACTCCTGACCTCAGGTGCTCCACCCTCCTCGGCTTCCCGAAGTGCTGGGATTACAGGCCTGAGCCACCATGCCCGGCTTGACTTAGGTCTTAAAAGAATCACACTGGCTGCTGTAGTGAGAACACGATATAGGAAGACAGCCAGGCGTGGTGGCTTACTCCTGTAATCCCAGCACTTTGGGAGGCCGAGGCGGGCAGATCACGAGGTCAGGAGATCGAGACCATCCTGGCTAACATGGTGAAACCCCATCTCTACTAAATATACAAAAAATTAGCCGGGCATGGTGGCGGGCACCTGTAGTCCCAGCTACTCGGGAGGCTGAGGCAGGAGAATGGTGTGAACCCGGGATGCGGAGCTTGCAGTGAGCCAAGATCGCGCCACTGGACTCCATCCTGGGTGACAGAGCGAGACTCCGTATCAAAAAAAAAAATAGGAAGACAAAGGGGGCGGGGATCACTCTTCCACCTTTTTCTTCTTCACAGGACAGCCATGACTCCCACCTGATGCCCTCCCCTGCCCCTGTGGCCCAGCCCTTGCCTGGCCATGTGGTGCCATGTCCATCACCCTTTGGACGGGCTCAGCGTGTACCCTCCCCAGGCCCTCCAACTCTGGTTTGTGTCAACAACTGGGGGCTGGGCAGGGGCAGAACAGTCTGGCCGGAGATCCTTGCTATGTCTGGGTTTTGTCCCTGCTCAGCCACCCACATCTCTCCCCAGACCTCATATTCAGTGTTGCGGCGTCTCACCGTTCAACCTAAAACCCGGTTCACACCCATGCCATCAACCCCCAGAGTTCAGCAGGTAAGAGAGGGCATGGAGAGGTGGCTGGCATAAGTCACAGCTAGGGGAGAAAGGAGATGGATGGGTACAGGAGAGAGAAGACAGAAGCAAGGGGAGGCTGAGTGCCATCTGTGGGTGTCAGCCCTTGCTGACATCTCACTTCTGTGCCAGGCCCAGTGGCTGCGTGGTGTCTCCCCTCAGTCCTGCTCTGAAGATCCTGCCCTGCCCTGGGTAAGTATCAGAAGCTTCCCCCTACTGAGATCCCTTGCCCTGTGCTGCCAGCCTGGAGGCCCAGGAGTTTGAGGCACACGTGCTTTCTGGGCCAGGCATGGTGGCTCACACCTGTAATCCCAGCACTTTGGGAGGCTGAGGTAGGAGGATTGCTTGAGCTCAGATCTTTGAGACCAGCCTGGGCAACATAGTGAGACCCTGTCTCCACTAAAATTTTAAAAATTAGAAAGTGCTCTCTGGAAAAGCTGCCTAACTCTCACTGCTTCTCTGCTGCCCCTCCTAATGTACATCTAGGGCCTCTCAGTTAGGGGCTTCAATCCATTCCTCATGAGGGTGGGACTCAGGCTGGTCTTTCTCCTGCCCCAGCCTGGCTTGCTTGTGTGCCTTGTTCCTTGGTGACAGGAGCAGGTTGCCGTCCGGTTGTTTGACCAGGAGAGTTGTATAAGGTCACTGGAGGGTTCTGGGAAACCACCGGTGGCCACTCCTTCTGGACCCCACTCTAACAGAACCCCCAGCCTCCAGGAGGTGAAGATTCAAGTGAGTCTGTGTGGCCAACAGCTTTGATGTCTATTGAACAGTGACTGGGCTGAGGAAGAGGGAAAAGAGATGGGGGATCAGGAATAGGACAGTGTGGGTAGACTACTGAACGCACATCTTGATGTCACACTGGGGTGCTCTCTCCCACCACAGCGCATCGGTATCCTGCAACAGCTGTTGAGACAGGAAGTAGAGGGGCTGGTAGGGGGCCAGTGTGTCCCTCTTAATGGAGGCTCTTCTCTGGATATGGTTGAACTTCAGCCCCTGCTGACTGAGATTTCTAGAACTCTGAATGCCACAGAGCATAACTCTGGGACTTCCCACCTTCCTGGACTGTTAAAACACTCAGGGCTGCCAAAGCCCTGTCTTCCAGAGGAGTGCGGGGAACCACAGCCCTGCCCTCCGGCAGAGCCTGGGCCCCCAGAGGCCTTCTGTAGGAGTGAGCCTGAGATACCAGAGCCCTCCCTCCAGGAACAGCTTGAAGTACCAGAGCCCTACCCTCCAGCAGAACCCAGGCCCCTAGAGTCCTGCTGTAGGAGTGAGCCTGAGATACCGGAGTCCTCTCGCCAGGAACAGCTTGAGGTACCTGAGCCCTGCCCTCCAGCAGAACCCAGGCCCCTAGAGTCCTACTGTAGGATTGAGCCTGAGATACCGGAGTCCTCTCGCCAGGAACAGCTTGAGGTACCTGAGCCCTGCCCTCCAGCAGAACCCGGGCCCCTTCAGCCCAGCACCCAGGGGCAGTCTGGACCCCCAGGGCCCTGCCCTAGGGTAGAGCTGGGGGCATCAGAGCCCTGCACCCTGGAACATAGAAGTCTAGAGTCCAGTCTACCACCCTGCTGCAGTCAGTGGGCTCCAGCAACCACCAGCCTGATCTTCTCTTCCCAACACCCGCTTTGTGCCAGCCCCCCTATCTGCTCACTCCAGTCTTTGAGACCCCCAGCAGGCCAGGCAGGTAAGGAGTTGGCTGGGAAGGAGTGTGAACACAAGAGGTCCTCACCTCACTGTGAGCTGCACACCTGCCCTGCCCCTACCCCAGGCAATCTCATGCTTCCACACCTTCCACCCTGGCCCAGCCTGGCTCTCCCTCAGGAAGAGGGGAGGGGCTGCACTTCCAGCCCTGTGCTCCTAATTGGCTTGGCCGTTGGTGGGGGAGGAGGAGAGGACAGTACATGGTGGAAGTATAGGACCCCAGACCTCCCTCTAAATTTTCCATGCCCCTCAGGCCTCAGCAATCTGGCCCCTCGAACCCTAGCCCTGAGGGAGCGCCTCAAATCGTGTTTAACCGCCATCCACTGCTTCCACGAGGCTCGTCTGGACGATGAGTGTGCCTTTTACACCAGCCGAGCCCCTCCCTCAGGCCCCACCCGGGTCTGCACCAACCCTGTGGCTACATTACTCGAATGGCAGGATGCCCTGGTGAGACTCCAACCCACAGCCCAGCTGTGGCTGCACAGTGAGCCTGATGGGAGGTGGGGAACAGGGACAGGGGGCCACCTGGGCTTCTTCACAGAGAGGTCAGCAGGAAGGCTTGGCTACAGTGCAAGGTTGGCTGAGCTGTGACAAGGTCTTCTCTGTCTCCAGTGTTTCATTCCAGTTGGTTCTGCTGCCCCCCAGGGCTCTCCATGATGAGACAACCACTCCTGCCCTGCCGTACTTCTTCCTTTTAGCCCTTATTTATTGTCGGTCTGCCCATGGGACTGGGAGCCGCCCACTTTTGTCCTCAATAAAGTTTCTAAAGTATCCACGTGTCTAGCTAAGTGTCCAAACAGGCCAGCTACTGCTGTCACTCTCCCACTGCCCACAGGATGGCAGTGTCCTCCAGCTCAGAGGCCAGCCCTGGGCTCTTGGGATCCCCCAGGCTCCCATCCAGAAGCCGTCCTGAATCCTGAAAGGGAAGGAGGAAACCCACTCCTGCCTAGCCCACCCCCTTGCAAGCTCTGAGCCTCCCACTCCTGCCAAGCCCACTCCCTCGCAAGCTCTGTAAATATGTTGGCGGGCAATTGGAACCCCTGTTCCCCTTGCTTTTTGAGATCAGTCTCACTTAGCTTGCAGGAGCCCTAGACGACTCCTTCACCCCCTAGAGCTCCTCTTCTAGAACTCTCTGCGTGCATTGGGCAGAAAAGCAGAAGCACCAGACCCAGACCTTTGGACTCTTCCCTTATTAGGCTGGTGTCTCCCTCCACCTACAGCGTGAGGCCCCAAAGCTCTCCTGAAACAGACCATCCTTCTTCCTCCCCATAGCAGAGTAGAAGCACACACACACCCCTTTTCTGCCAGAGGCAGGCCTTGCCTGGAATTAACTAAAACTTTGCCTCTGGCAGGGACTGACAGCACGGTAGGAGCTCTTTAGAGGAATGAGGGAAAGGGTCCGCCACTTTCCCCCCAGTCTATGCACCAAGTTAAGCAGCCACACACAATCCCCCAACCTCACTTTATTAGAAGAGGCAGCAGCAGCTGTAGCCCCAGGGCCTAGTCCGGATAGGGGGGAATGGGGACTGTACAGAATGCGTTTTAAATGCCAGGAAAGAATTCACTGGTTCCTCCAGTTCACAGGAAGGCTGCCAAGGCTGGAGCCTGAGCCTGAAAGTGGAGACGAGGGGACGAGAGGGTGGCGAGAGAAAGTTGTGACGGAGAACCTGCACTACCCTGTTTTAATGTCTTCTCTTGCCTAAATGGGCTCCTCCTGTTTCTGTTATTTCCCTCGCAAGCTGCGGGGGCTTCCCTCCGGCTTTCTGGGCCTCTGAGTCCCGCTATTAAAACTGCTCCCCATCTCTGTACAAAAGAGAAAGCCACGACCTCTGCCCCTATGGGGTCCAGCGCGCACTTGGGTGCGGGTGATCCCTCCGGAAGTCGCTCTGCTCCTCTGGCCGGGTCTCCTCCTCTTCCCGGCCACTTATACCCTTGAGCACCAAGAGTTCGCCCATTTAGGCCGCCTCCGGGAACGGAAGGGTCCACCCCACCGCCAGGCTCTCAAAGGGTGGGGTGGCGCCTCGGGTGGGGCGGGCAGGAGGTGGGTGAGGACGGGAGAGAAGGGGCGAGCGGGGGCACGGGGCGGGGCCGGCTCAGTCGGGGTAGATGATGAAGCCGGAGAAGGTGCTGTACTTGTTGGTGTTGCCGCCGTGCACTTTCCCGCCGTCCAGCTTGATGAAGACCTCGTCGCCCACGTCCAGGTGCAGAATGACGCTGTTGCTGGCGTAGTCGTAGTTCTGGTCCGCGTCCTGAGCAATGGCGCTGGCCCGGACCTATCGAGGGAGAAGAACCTGCTCATGCTCTGTGTGGAGCTGGGGTGACGAGAGGGGTCGGGGCGGCTGGGCGTGCGAAGGCGGCCGGGCAGCCGCCGCAGGGGCTGGGGAGGACCAGGGAGGAGGGTAGGACATCACGGAGTTGCTCCAGCTCTGCCATTCACTAGCTGTGTGACGCGGAGCAAATACCACGCCTTTTCTGGACCTCGAGTTGATTTATAAAGTGAGGGACAATAATAGAACCCACCTCATAGGGTGTTAAGATTAAGTGAATTACTACATGTGAAGTGTGTTCAGAAGAGTGGTTTGCTTTTTTTTTTTTTTTTGAGATGGAGTTTCATTCTTTTTGCCCAGGCTAGAGTGCAATGGCACGATCTCGGCTTACTGCAACCTCCCGGGTTCAAGCGATTCTCCTGCCTCAGCCTCCCTAGTAGCTGGGATTACAGACGCCTACTACCACGCCCAGCTAATTTTTTCTATTTTTAGTAGGGACGGGGTTTCACTGTGTTGGCCAGGCTGGTCTCGAACTCCTGATCTCAGGTGATCCACCCACCTCAGCCTCTCAAAGTGCTGAGATTACAGGCGTGAGCCACCGCGCCTGGCTCAGTGGTTTCCATTCTTAAATTATTTTTAATGCATTTTCAAATTACTATTCTCATTTTAAAAATAAAATTTGTCGGCCAGGCGCGGTGGCTCATACCTGTAATCCCAGCACTTTGGGAGGCCGAGGCCGGCAGATCATCTGAGATCGGGAGTTCGAGACCGGCCTGACTAACATGGAGAAACCCCGTCTCTACTAAAAATACAAAATTAGCTGGGCGTGGTGGTACATGCCTGTAATCCCAGCTACCCGGGAGGCCGAGGTCGGAGAATCGCTTGAACCCAGGAGGCAGAGGTTGCCGTGAGCCGAGATAGCGCCATTGCACTCCAGCCTCGGCAACAAGAGCGAAACTGTCTCAAAAAATAAATAAAATAAAATAAAATTTTGCCTATAGGATAATTTCTAAAATTCTGAACCGGCTGGGACCTCCTGTCAGTCCTCATGGAGGGTTGGCTTCCCCAGTGGTGGGGCATAGGTGTGCCTGTGCGTGTGCATAGGGTGCGGGCCATGATAAGGTGCACTGTTGCGCTCTCGCCTGTGGGCGCGGATTTCCCGACCAAGCACCCACTGGTGCCCAGGCGTGGGGGGTCGTCTTCTGCCAGAACAGGGAGCACTTCCTCCCCTCCGGGCTCATGGCGGTCGCTTCGGGCCTTCAGCCCCCCTCTTCTAGAGAGTCCCACAGGGGCTGGTTATTAACTCATTAATTATTCATCATTATTCTAATCACTATTTACCGTCCCCAGGGCCGCAGCGCCCGCACTGAAGAATACAGAGTGGGAGCTGCGCAGTCCCCTCCCCCTCTGAAACCCGCACGAATTAGTTACACACTGGCCCCCTCCACCTCCTCCCAGATACCCTGCATGGACCAAGCACACCTACTCGATGTCATATACAGATAGACACCGCTCTACTCTCACATCGCACTCCGCACTCACACACACTCCCTGACACACATACATATTCTTTCACTCCATGAGGACGCACACTCACTCCCTTTCCCCGGGTTCCTGGGGCAGCCCGGCTGGGATGAGATCCCAAAGCAGGTCTCGGGGCAGGTAGATGCTGCCGCGGTACCAGGCTCCTGCAGGCCTGAAGCTCCTGGGTCGCCACCACCCCCTTCATGCTGGACATCCAGAGGTCACCACTCAGCCCCAACCTCCCTCTGCAGCCTGTGCAGCTCTGGCACCTTCTCCCACCTACCCCACACCTGCGGCCTCTAGTTCCCACTATGTGTGAAATTTTGGTGCTAGAGCTTAGTCCTTGGGGCTATTCCCCGAAAACAGAGGCAACAGTGACTCCAACTGCCCACAAGGGCAGGGAACTGTGGAACCTGGATACTGAGAGATTGCTAGGGAGGGTGTGGGGCCTACAAGACCAGGCCAGGGCCCAAGGCTATTCTACCTGTCCCTTGCCTCTTTCCTCCCCCAAATCCATTCATTCCAGCCACCTGGCTGGCCCTTGAGCTGCCAAGCCACAGACTCTGCTGAGGGCAAGGCCGTTCTAGGCCCCCAGCCCTGGGGTGAGCAACAGAACAGCTGATCGGCAGGTGAAGTGAGCAGGCAAATGTTTTCTTCCTTTTATACCTTTTCCTCAAACATCCAACCCGAATGCCCTCAACATGAGAACAGCTGCTGACTTCCTATTGCCTGAGACATGGATTCCATTCTAATTCGAAGGAGCCTAGACTCCAGTTAGCTGGTCCAATGCAAGGCTGAGAGACCCAAAGGCCAGGGGGGCTGCCGCAGAAGAAAGGATAGCCCAAGACAGGACGAGAAAAGAAGCGAGTTGGCAGGGCGAGACACCAAAGACATCTGGTGTTGCCCATAGTTGCAATGTGAGGTCACAGCTGCAGAGACACTCAGGTTTAAGTCCTGAGTTCTAATTCTAACACCATTCCTACACTCCGTGAGGCCCTAGGCAGAAGGTTTTCCTTCTCTGGCCCCCAATTTCCTCTGTGGGTAAATGAAGTCATCTATCGTTCTTGGCAGCCTCGCGTTCCTGGATTCAGTGACGCTGTTTCGGGGAATAATCTCAGGTTGTGGGATGAGTGCAGGGAGATCTAGAGAGCGACCAGTCTGAGCTGGGTTGGGGAGAGGGGCATCTCACCTGTCCGTTCTTCATGAGGTCGGCCCACATGCTGGTGCCGTCGCCGCCGCGCATGAGCACGTGGTAAGCGAAGAAGTAGACGCCTGGCATGGGGCAAGTAAACTTGCCGCTGGCTGCCTCGTAGGCGTTGCCCACGTTGGTCACCACGTCGTCGAAGCGCAGCACCTCGTAACCCTCGTGGGGCCGCCGCAGGCCCGCGTAGAAAGCAATGCGAGGCACGTAGCCGGCAGCGGGCGCCACCCCGCCCGGACCTGGACCGGGAGGGCCCGGGGGGCCTGGCCTGCCGGGTTCTCCTGGGGGCCCTCTTGGACCTGGTGGTCCAGGGGGCCCCCGCAGGCCTGCTTTCCCGCGCCGGCCCACCTCTCCCTTGGCGCCTGGCGGGAAGGGGGGCACGGAAGCAGGCGCGCCGTCGGGACCAGGGCCACGGGGCCCATGCGGGTCGCACACCATGCGGCAGCGACCCAGCATCTCGTAGTGCGCTGGCCCGCGGGAGCTGTGCACCAGCAGCGGGATGGCCACCAGCAGCAGCAGCACCATGGCCACTCCGACGGCCGCGCCCGCCACCCTCTTGCGGCGGCTCAGCCGCGACGCTGCCAGGGCCAGCAAATCTTCCTCACTCTTGGGCGCAATGGCTGCCGGGGCCGGGGCTCTCCGCGGGCCAGGAGGCGGTGACCCGCCTTGGGCCTGGGTCTGCACTCCCCCGACGGCTGCCCCCCGCTCCCCTTACCCTGCCTCTGCGGGCTCCAGCCGCGGCGGTGCCGCTCCCCAAGCCGTCCGTCAAGGGGAGGCCCCTCGTGGGTTACGTCAGGGGCAGCTCCCGACGGTCCAGAGCCAGTGGTCCTCTAGTACCCTCCCGTTCAGTCCTAACGATCCTGGGCACCTGAGATCCGCGGCTTCTCGGACGGCTGGTTTCTTAGGGATCTGAGATGCCTGCTCTCCAGACTGCTGCTCTCTCAGGGATGGCGCGGTGCCTGGGTCCCAGACTGCCCAGATAGACCACTCCCTGATGGAGAGGGGACTGCTCCCCGCGCTCCGGACGTCCCGGGCTCTGAGCTGCGGGTGCTGCTCACCGGGCGCGATCTCCTAGTAGGTTTTGCGCTCTGCCTCTTGGCAAGCACCGACTCACCTTGCTACCCCTGCCGCGGCCCCAGTCCCTGCTAGAGCCCTGGCCCGCGCCTCTCTCCTGCGGGCGCGGTCCCTCTCCGCCTCCCTAACCTTCCTCCCCTCCCTCCCGGGCGCGGGTGGTATGAGGCGCCGCGCGGCGGGAGCCACTATAAGCGGCCAGAGGCGGAGCGACCCCTGGTGCCCAGAGTGGGAAGTGCGGGGGCGGGGCAGGCAGCGGCCCCCACCCACGTCCTCCCCGCCTCCCCTCCACTCCCCCACTGCCCCTAGGTTCCTTCCCGGCTCTGAGCGGGTTCTTCAGGGTTTCGCGGCCCCCGCTGTATCTTTACTTTTACCCTTTACCCGGAGTTTGGCATTCTCAGAGGCCAGAGGAAACCCAAAACAGCGATGGGATAAAGAGGGGTCAAGATACAAACACGCAGAGAAGACAGGGGTAGATTCCCGAGCTAAAATGAGGGGGAGGGACCTCACAAACAAACAGAAAACAAAATAAGAAGGGCTAGAAAAGATAGAAATTCACCACCCCACGCACCTCAGCGCCCGTGACCGAATAACATGGTAAAGGATTCAACTGATACTAGTTGGCCTGAACTGGAAAAGGCAAATCTCTAGCCAACCCTACCCCCACCCCTCAGTATTGGGGCGCGGAGCGGAGTGTGTGTGTGTGTGTGTGTGTGTGTGTGTGTGTGTGTGTTTGTGTGGAGAGAGAGAGAGAGAGAGAGAGAGAGAGAAAATAAGAGAACAGATCAGCCCGGGGGAGCAAGCAAGAAACCGACAAGAAAGCAGAGAAGGAGCGACAGAAATCAAAGAGAAGGAAAGCTAGATAGAGATGCAGAGACAGAGACAAAGCTTCGAAAAGAGACGGACTGACAGCCCCAGAGGGGGAGAGGGAGAGACAGAGACAGAGGAAGAGAGACAGAGCCGGGACAGGTTGACAGATCGAGAGAGAAATGTAAATGGCGCGCTGCAGAGAGACACCCAGGTCCGTGTTTGGACTCCAATGTGACATATCAACTGTGGGGAAGATGCGGGGGCAGGGCGGCTCTGCCAGCAGTGCTAGGCTCTGGGCCTGTGCATTGTGACAGTGTGCTCCAAAGTGTGGAGGTGGCCATGGGATCCTGGCCCTGTGTGTCCCTGGGTGAGTGCGATTGTGGATTGTGTGTTGTCTTTGTGTATGTATATGTGAGGGCTGTTTGAAGGGAGGTATTTGTATTTGTCTTCCTCCTAGTCCCTCAATTTGGAGCCCACAAATGCCATTTTTCCTACCTTGGGACTGAGAATGAAGGACTCTACTGGACAGAGAGGAAGTCAGAAGACAGCTGTCTTCTCATTTGCCCTGCCCAGCTCAGCCCAATGCCACCCCTGCCCTGGTCCCAGACTTATCCAGTCCCAGGAGTCTCTGCCCCTTCCTCCTTCTTCAAGAGTTTGTTGTTAGATGAAACCCAGAGAAGTTGGATCCCACATAATGGGTATTTGGGTGGGGGTTGAAGTTGGCCATGCAAATTAATGTAAGTAAAATGCAGATTAGGTGCTAGGCACCCTCCTGTAAGAGGGGACTGTATCTGTCTTTCCGAGCGGCCAAGACATTGCTAGACACAGGCATTGCTAGATCAGAGTCCAGAGAAAAAGCTACTGGCTGCATCCTCTCTTAGGGCCTGGGCCTTCTGGGGAAAATGTCTTGCTCACAGGGACCCCAGAGGCTAGGAAAACAGGTTCTAGGACTGGTAAAAAGTGGGGGCATTTGGAGACCCTGGAGGTGAGCAGCTGCAAAGGCCTCTTAGAGACCAGGATAAGCCAGGACTATCATGTATGGGAGAACATTGTGTAAGATGGAGGGCACAGGGCACACCAGGGCATGATTATTGGATGGAGAGTGATTTCCTCCTCTCTTGTTTTCTGTACTCCTTCCTTGCACCCCCGACCCCCGCCTCATAATGATGCTGGGAGAGAGAGGTTCCTAAGGCTGGGCCTGTGTTGGGGGTTGGGGGAGGCCCCTACATGTCTGCAAGGAGTGGGAGAGAAAGGATTGGCAGTCAGTGGGGGAGGGGCCTCCTCCTCCAACCATAAATACAAATTTTATTCAAGGTCTTTGTCGCCATTTGTCTTCCTCGGGGGGCTGAGGGCCGTGTCAGCCCTCTGCATGTCTAATTCCGGATCTGCTCCCCCAGGCTGGATGATGGATGGATCAGAGAGCAGGCCCAGGCTCACACCAGCCTCCCCTGCCTGATCCTCAGGCCCCATCCACCCCAGGTCCTGACTCCTCTCCCTCCCTTTTCCCTCCCTCCACTCACCAGAGACCCCCTCTGCCCAGCCACACTCCTCACTCCACTCATTCTACTCACCAAGGTCCCCTTTTTAAGTCCCTCACCTCAGCCCCTTTCAGGTCCCAGTCCTCTTCTCTCTAGAGCTTCCCCTCTCCTCCCATCCCCAGCCCAGGCTGTGAGATGTGGTGACCAGCAGGGCTGCAGGCAGCAGCGGATCTGTGTGGTCGGGGGAGCCGGCTTGGCTCACGGGGAGCTGAGGGGCCAGCTCCATGAATTTATTCATGTTCTGTTGCTCTTTTCCCACACTCTGGAATGAAGCTGCCAGCTCACCAGGTCCTTATTGCTTCCCCTGCAGCTGCCACATTCTGCCAAGAAGGGACCTGGGTGGGGCCAAGGCCAGCCTGTGCACCTTGGGCCAGAAGCCAAGTGTCTGGGCTCGAGGCAATGCTGGGGCCCAGGCCAGGGTCTGGGACAATTTTCCCAGAACTCCTCTGGCAGCCAAACTGGGAAGCCCCAGGGAGGTGGTATGGTTGGGAATGGGAAGTAGGTAGAGAAGGGTGTGCTGCAGGACAAAGAAGGGGCAGTGGAAGTGGGGGGCAGAGTTGGCAGGGGGAGCGGAGAGGAGAGGAAGCCTTTAACAGTTTCCTAGGCTCCCCCACTTAAAGGTTAATGCAGCCTTCAGACAGACCAGTCTGTCCTTGACTCTGCATTAGCCTTGACCCTAACCCCTATTTATATACTCGACTCCTCTTCAATCCTAAAATGAATTTTAACTCCATAAACTGACCCTAAATGGAATGCCTCCCTCACCTGTCCTGGAACCCAGGGGGATCCCCAGAATCCCCCCCAGGGCTATAGCTAGGTGTGTGTCAGAGTTCTGAGGACCAGACTTTGGATTAGCATGTGATTAGCATATGATTTGCATGTGATATGTGCCTTCTACTCTGTGGAAGTTTTCATGTTAAAATTTTATGAAGTCTAGTGGAAAGGTCCTGGCTCCTTGAAAGTTCTCTCTTTTTGTTCCTTCTCTCACACTTACTGTCACTGACCCAGACCCCCTCAAGGGAAGAAAGGGGGTGAAGAGGTGAGCAATAGAGGGCCCTTGGGAGGGAAGGCTCCAGCAGCATGATATGCCTGCATCACTTGAACGTGCCTCAGTTTCCTCATCAGTAAGAGAAGAGAAACCTCCTCGCTGCCTGACATTTTATCAAGATCTAAGGAAACACTTTTTTTTTTTTCCTTGCACTCTCTCCTTCCTCCCCTTCAGGGCCCGTCACAGTGTGGTTCTCCCTACTCATTCCCACACTCTGGCTTTCAACTCCCACATTGAAGATCACATGGATCTGGAAGCAGCCTGGGTTGCCTGGTAGCAGTCCTCTAGTATGAAGACAAGGGAATCCACGTGAGAGGACAGGGGACGGCATGGAAAGGGAAACAACATTATTGAGTCCTTATTGTATTTTAGGGCTTTAACATGCAACTTCTCGTTGCATCCTCACAGCACCCTTTAGAGTTAGATCTATTGTCCCCATTTTAAAGATAAAAAAACTGGGGCCCAGAAAGGGGAAATGGCTTGTCCATTATCACCCTGTAAGGGATAGTCCTGGAATTAGAGTTATGACCTCCTGGCTTCCTTCTCAGTTCCCTAGAGGAGACAAATGGCACCCAAGGCAGTGGAAGAGTGAGAGAGGCAGGCCAGGAGTGGGCAGTGAGATTTGAATGGCTTCCGGGAGCCTTTTGTATGTGAGGCCAAAAGGGTTGGGTCTTGGCTCCGTGTATCCCCCAACCCCCACCCTGACACTGTTAAGCATGATGCCCAACAGGTGCTCAACTGTTGGCTAAAGGATGGCCAAAGTTAGTTTCAGAGAACAACCGTCCAGATGGAGGAAGAGAGGGCAGAGAAAAAGGAAGGCAAAGGAAAACGAAGCGAGTCAAGGAAAATTTGCTTAAGGGACAAAAGGGAAGCCTGAAGCCGGCTGTTCTCCGACTGCAGCTGGGAAAACCGTCCCAGCCCAAGAACCTGCTCATGGTTTGCCTCCTTGCAGAGACTACCCTCCTGCCTCTGCCATCACGGCCAGGCCCAGGGCTCCCACTCATCAGCCAGTGCCTCTGGCACCAAAACTCAGTGCAACCTTAAGTTCAAAGTATCGCACCAGGGTCCACAGGGCTGAAGACAAGCTCCTGGCTTCTCAGAGAGTGGGTAAAGACTGCTTCCAAGGTGTCTGCCAGGTCAGAGCTGTTGCTGACTTACTTCGGCAGCCCTCCACCCCTGGCCAGGTGCTGCTCCTAGCCTTTGACTCCTCCACCTCCCTTTGTGCCCCCCTCTGCCTCCACCGCTTGCCAGCTCCAGCCTCCAGTTAATGAAATGTGGGGATCGGCTGCACAGAGAGCTGTCAGACCCCTCATTTCTCCTCTGGGATATTGACTCCGGGTCTGGGAGACCCACAGGTGAAAGGAGGCGGGTGGGGTGCGGGAAGTTGAGGTAGGGGCGCATACTGATGAGAGCCCCGAGACCAGGAGGTAGTGCTAAGCTCCAAGTCTCGAGGGCTCGGCTAAGCGAGGAAGGCCCTAGGATGCTCTTTCTGCTTGGGGTCCCCAGCTTTTCTCTGACGAGCAGGACACTTAACGAGCCCCAACCCACCGCACCCGGACCTGGACCCCGAACTAGCACCCCAGGCGGGCTGGACTTCAGTGAGCGCCGCGCGCAGCGCCTCGGAGCCAGAGACCGCTGCCCGGTGCTTCCTCCCATCTTCTTCCATCCCTTCCCTCTTGCTCCCCCTCCCTCCTGCACTCCCTCCCCGGCGGCCGCGGCCTTTATTAGGGATTCCGCGGCTGTCGGTCCCGCCATCCATCCTGTCCGCCGGCAATTAGGCGGCCAGACAAAGAGCAGCTTCGGATGGATGAGGGTCCCAGCGGATCGGAAATGTGAAGGGTCAGCGCTGCCGCCCGCGGCGCACCCCGCTCCCCCTTCCGCATAATCACCGGCCGCCCGTCACTCAGCCGGCCGCCCAGGGAGCTCCTGGGCCCGGCCCGGGAGAGGGCGGGGTGCGGCTGCAGCCTAGGCGCCCAGGACAGGGCGAGGGCGGACCTGCGGCAGGAGCGCCTCCTGCGGGGCAGTGGAGGACTGTGGCCTGAGGCATTGGCCGAAGGGTGGGGGATTATGGCCCCGGGCACTCCCCGAAGGGAAACTGGGGCTAGCGGCTTGGGGCCTCCCAGTGGGGAAGAGGGAACAAAAGCTGCGGAGACCGGAGGCCCGGGGTCCAGGGCGCCCCCTGCTGGGAAGCTGGGAACCAAGCCTTAGAGGTCCGGCAGGTACAGATGGAACCAGGCCCAGGGCGACCCCTCCTAGGGAAACCAAGGGTTTCTAGCCTGGCGCGCCTCCTGCCGGCTTTGAATGACACTGCGCTTCTATGCCCGCTCCGTTCAGTGAAATCCAACCAATCCGCATCCGCTCAAAAAAGGCTCCAAGTCCTGGCGAACCCGAGGGGAGCCGAGAGGGAGTTCAAGGAGTCCAGGTTTTACTGCAGATTCTTTGGCGCTAGCTCCCAGCTGACAAATCAACATCTCAATCTGACAATTAGTGGTCAAGATGCGGGGTGAGGGGCTCTTACAGCCCCGGCCGCTTAGCCCTCCCGGCGGGAGGCAGAGGGGTGGGCGGTGCTGGCAGTGATGAACGACTCCAGGGGGGCCCGTGGCCCCGAGCGCGCATTCATTACTCGACTGACAGGCGGGTGGCGGGCCGGGCGGGCTGCGAGTGGACGTGCCGGGAAAGAGGCCAGTAGCAGGAGGGGACTAAGGCAAGCGTTTAACAGTCCCACTGCTCCATCTGCTCCCGGTCCTTCGCCTTGACCCTGGGACTTGACTTCCTTGAGCTCGGCCTCCCAGTTGTTGGAGCTGGCCCTGGCTGGGAAGCAAGGGCGGGGACCTAAGCCCTCTTCTGGGGTTAGGTGATTTAAGGTCTGAGATGTCAAGGAAGGGTATTAGGCAGGTCTCAAGACTAGGCGATTCGGCCTGACCTCTGAGAGATTGTGCGTGACTGTGCACTCAGAGATGGCGTGTATGACAGGGATTGATGAATGTGGATCGCACGTGGGAGGTCAGTGACTGTGTGTGTCAGTACCAGGTATGTGTCAGTATGATTTTGTCAGTGGAGGTGTGAGATTCCCTCTGAGGATGAGCCACCACCCCTCCCTGTGTGTCCGTCTCCCCACTACCCCCCAGCTGGCTGTCAGCTCTGTCTCCAGTTATGGAGGAAATGGCAGTGCGCACGGTGACAGCTGAGGTGTGCTGCTGGGGTGGGGGGTGGGGGTGGTGCTAGATGTTAACTGTGAGAGTGCTGGTCAGGACAGCTGCTCCCTTCCAGCACCTTCACCACTAACATCCCTACCCCAAGGGTTTTGAAAGTAGTGGATTTTTTTTTTTTTTTTTTTTTTTTTTTTTTTTTTTTTTTTTTTTGGCCAAAGTTTGGACACCTAGTTGCTGTGCCCTGGGGAACAAAGTGATTACTGCCAGAGTTGTCTAGCCCATACCCCTACACATACACATACACAAGGTCTCCAAATGTGAGATGTGATCTCCAACCCATGTGGCCTACCTAGGCTGGTGGTGGCCAGAGAGGAGTTGGTAGATGTTGAGCAGATGCCTGTGTGATGCTCAGGAAGAGAGAGGCTGACCTTCAGACCTCCAAGGCAGCCTATCTCTTTGGAGCCTGTACTAGCAGCCTCGGAGACCCTAACCTTTTGGGTCTCAAGTCCAAGTTAATTACTAGTTTATGCCTTGGGAGGATAATGCTAACTGCACTCTAATTCCTCTCCATAATAACTCTCTTCAGTTTGGCTTGGTCTCCACTCTCAATCCTCATTCTCAAAAACACCAAGAAGTTGAACCTGGCCTCCTCCCAGCCCTGAACCTCCTGGGTTTACAGAGCAGAGAGCTGGGCTGACTCTGGATCTCTGGCCCCCTGTTTTGTTCAGCAAGACCCCTTCCCTTTGTCTTGTTGTTCCTTGGGGCTAGGGTATCTCCTGGAGCTTCTGTATATTTATCTCTGTAAACGTCCTCTTCTTTTTTTTTTTCGGGGTCTCACTCTGTCTCCCAGGCTGGAGTGCAGTGGCTCGATCTTGGCTCACTGCAATCTCCGTCTCCTGGATTCAAGAGATTCTTCTGCCTCAGCCTCCTGAACACCTGGGACTACAGGCTCCACCCGGCTTTTTTTTTTTTTTTTTTTTAATTTTTAGTAGAGACAGGGTTTACCATGTTGACCAGGCTGGTCTTGAACTCCTGATGTCAGGTGATCCACCCACCTCAGCATCCCAAAGTACTGGGATTACAGGTGTGAGTCACGGCGCCCAGGCTTTGTACCCTCCTTTGTGTCTGCATATTTCCACATTTAGGAATCTTCCAAATTTGTCTTCCTACATTTTGGGGGGCTCTCTCTTTGTTCCTCTTGGGGCTCTTCTCTCTAAGAATACACCAGCCCAGCAGAATACCCCACGGACACTGGAGTAGGAGAAGGAGGAGGGCTTTCTTCCTGCCCCCATCCAGAGGTGATTGCTAACCCAAGGATGGTCACACCGTGTCAGGGCTCGGGCACGCGCGGGTCACTTCACATTCTGAGCACAGACGCCTGGTCGATGCCCTGCTGTCCCTCCCTCCTCCCAACCTCCCTCCGCCTGGCCCCCGCCCCCTCCGCCCGCCTGGAAAAGGCAAATTTGACATTTTTAAATCCCGAGCCTTAGAGGGATCGATGCGGCCCGGGGGCCCCGCCCGGGGTCGATATTCCTGATTGGGAAGCGGCCGCTTCGCGGAGCCCGCGTGTAAATCACCTGGGCTGGGGGAGGGGGCGTGGGGAGCCTACCACGTCCCAGGCTCGCGAAGCCAGGAGGGGTCGGGACCCGGGCGGTACCGGAGGGCGACGGAATGAGAACGACAGGCCTTAGAGAACCAGAGAGAAGCCCGCCCAGGGCCTCCCCCTCCCCCGCTCAGCCCTGCCAACTCCCCCAGCAGGCTCCAGTCTCGCTTCAGCGGCCGCCACCCTTCGTTGCCCCTGGAGCCGCCGGGGAGGCCAGTGTCGGAGCCAGCCATGCGGCGGCTCCTCTCTGGCCGCTCCCGCGGGGCCGGGGCTTCGGCGGCTGCTGTCACGGAGCCGACAGGCCGGGCCGGCCGGGAAGGGGCGGGTGGCGGGGGGGAGAGGCGGCGGGGTGAGGCTGGCTCAGCGCTGGCACTCAGTGGGCGCGCAACGTATGTTTGCCGAATTGAAAGGCTGGGACACCGAGCGGCGCAGGGCAGAGGGTCGGAGGGCACAGGCGGGGTAGGAGATGGCCCAGACCGGGTGAGGGCAGAAGCCTCACTCACGGGGGAAGAAGGCACTCGAGGTCGCTCTGAGGACCGCTGGGCTGGGATAGACCACCCATCCCCCGCCGGGGAGACCCGGGTAGTAAAGAACAAGACAGAATGGGACAGGCAGGACGGTTTGGACCCCACCTACAAGCGCCTCCACCACCCCAGCCTCCGATCCTTGTCACGCTCTGCTGGGGAAACCGAGGCAGCCGATGCTGAGAATAGCCAAAAAGTTAAAAGCGGGGTCAGCGACGAAGCTGGGGCAGCAACCAGAATTCCTGCGTGGGTTTTTTGGATTCCTCCGCCCACGCGGGGCCAGTTTGCGGGTAAATGCACCACCGCGCCCCGCACCACAGCTCAGACCCTTTCCTCTCGCTGCAGTTTGTCAGATCCCCCCACCTCCCACTCTGCACCAGTTTATAGAACAACAATTTGGGGAA
Organism: Homo sapiens; assembly: GCF_000001405.40. NCBI lineage: Eukaryota > Metazoa > Chordata > Mammalia > Primates > Hominidae > Homo > Homo sapiens. The sequence continues at coordinate 49,346,103 of NC_000012.12, forward strand.
AACAATCCGGGCGGAGTGACGGCCCCGTAATTGTGACAAAGTGAGTGCGGGCGGCTGGAGAGAGCGCTAGGCCGGGAGCGCTGCAGGGCGAGGCGGAGGCAGGGGCGCCTCCCCCCGCCCTGCCGCCCCCTCGTTCTTATTCCGGTCACCTCCCATCCCTCTCCTTGACTCTTCAATTCCTCTTCTCCCGGCCCCTTGCGCCTTCCTTCGCTTGTTCCTCCATCGCTCTTCCCTTTCCTCCCGGTAACAGCTCTTCTCCCGCTCCCCCGACCCCGTCGCCCCTCCCCCGGTGCGCTTTTTCCTCGCTCACTTCTCCCCTCTCCTCTGCCCTCCACTCGTTTCTTCAGCTTTTCCTCGCGCTTACATTGCCCTTGGGCCCCTGGCTCTCCCCGCACAATCCGCTTCTCTCCCTCCCCACTCCTCCCTTCCTGAGATCGAACCCTGAGCCCCTTCCCGACCCCCACTCTCTGGGCCGCCAGCGCAGCCCCGCATTTCTGGGTTCCTCGGGAAGTAAACCTGGGGGCGCGCTGCGGCCCCGGGTGCCCCGGCGGCCAGCCCCTTCCCTCTCCCTTGTATGGCTGCCGCCCCCGCCCCACCACCTGAGCCGGGAGATAGTTTGTTTGTCCAGCGGCGGCCGCCGCCGCCCACGCTGTTTGCAAAGCTTAGCGCGCCGTCGCGCAGTGCGGGCCCAATTAAGTCTCATTCATTATTCAGCGCTCCTGTCCGCCCCCGCCCCCCAGCAGTCTGAGGCGTCGCTTTGGGGCCCCTCCCAGCCTAGGCCCCTCAGTGAGCCCTAAGAGGTCATATAGAGAGCAGCATTTCCTCTCCAGGCCGAGATGAGGGCTGAGGGCGTTTGGAGGGAAGCGCTCTGCCTACTGCCGGGAGGTGACACCCGCGAGGCCGACCGTCCCCCGAAGCCCCCGCAAGTCCAGACTGGGGGACCTCGGAGATCCACGAGATTGCCAGAGAAGGAAATTGAGGCCCAAGAAGCTGCATGACTTAGCCAAGTTCACGGAGTAGAACCCGGGATTGGAGCCCGGGACATTGAAATGAAGGCGTCTTGCATTGCAGCTCCGTTGCAGCGCAGAGGCGCAGGAAGGCAGACTACCACGAGCCTCGGGCTGCGGCCTCGCCCTCCTGGTCGAGCCTCCTGCCCTCCAACCCTCTGCTCCCGTTTCTCCCTCTGGTTCATAGCCCGCGGGACAGAGCAGCCCTGGATTGGGAGGCTCCTCAGGTCTCAGGCTCAGGTGCAGAAGCAGAGCCCCTAACTGGAAGGCTCGGAGGTGGGCCGGTGAGGCAAGCAAGCCCTGTGGGGGGTTGAGGACAGCTTGGGTTGGATGTCCCTCACTGCAGCCTGTCCGTGGATGTCTCTGCCTTAAGGGAATTGGAGGTGGAACCATCCAGTCTTGAAGGTCAACGGAGCGTGAAGAGAGGAGCGTGCAGCTTGAGGTGAGGGAGGAGTCACCTTTCAATTTGTGGGGGTGGGAGGAGGTAATCAAGGACGTATTCTTGCATTTACAGGAGTTTATCCTTTTTTTTAGCACTACAGATAGGAGCGTCCCTTGCTCCTGCCAGGCAGCCCCTCCATAGGGGCAGTCCTGTGCTGCTGTGCCTCGGTACCCGCACAAGGTGTCTGGGGACCGCCCGGACCCCCCCTTCCATCGGCGGCAGCGCCACCTGGCGGCCATGGTGCGGTGGTGTGGGAGGAGCTGGGCCCGGGCTGGGCACTGAGCCCACCGGAGCTGCAGGCGTCTGCAGAGCCTTGCACCGAGTTTCCCCGCGAGGGCGGGCGGGAGGAGTCCCAGGCGGGAATGTGATCCCCAGGGGGCCGGGGAGGGCCCTGGGGAGGAGCCTGGCCTGGGGAAGCCGGACTTCCGTGACACAACAGACACAAAAGACAAAGTCCATTTGGATGGAAGTGGGAGCAGGGCGAGACGGGCCATTTTCACTCTGTGGTCAAAGGAAATGACTGGTCTGACTCGGTCTGGGAGCGGGGCACCCAGGTATGGCCACTTGATTTGGAAGTAGCGGGTGCTGGCTGGTGGTCGCTCCAGATAGAGGGGACACTGGCAGGCACGCTTGGCGTCCAGTTTGATATTGTGAGGATTTGTCCAGCTGCTGTGGAGTGGCTTTCCAAGCCGGCCTCCGAAAGAGGTGGTTGAATTGTGGGGTGCCAAGGTCTAGGTCAAACGAAGTTTTCCAGAATATTTTAATAAAGGGAATTCAGGACCCCTTTCAAGTTTGACCTGTGGGAAAATCTCATGGCCTGGAGAGTTAGGAAGGCAGGAGAGTGGCTAAAGCCTGGGCCAGGTGTGGGAGGGCAGCCACAGTTGGAGTTAAGTCAGGGGTAAGGCAGAGGCTTTCAAAATGTGTGGGAACTTTGGAAAAGCATCCAATGCAGCCCTGCCCCTCCACACATCCCCCCATGAGTCATTTGGGGTCATGGGTCTCAGGGGAAGTCTGAAATTTAAACAGCTTTCTCCTCTAAATCTGGAGTCACTGTGGTTGTAAAGAATGGGACTGAGGTGCTAGGACAAGGGATATGAGATAAATAGCACTGGGGACTCAGGCAGATCTGTACTCAACTTTTATTGGAAAGAGAAATGGTTGCTGTGTTGGAGCCTGGACATCATCTTATGACTCTACTTTTTCCCATCTCTTAGGGTCTAAGGATAACTCTGGGGCCATGACAGCCATGAGTCTCACAGAGGACCCCGAGACTTCTGTGCTGCGAGTAACCGGACTTGTTCTGAGACCTTTGCCCTAGAGGATGGCCAAGGGGCTCCTGGTGACCTATGCCCTCTGGGCTGTGGGGGGCCCTGCTGGGCTCCACCACCTGTACCTGGGAAGGGACAGCCACGCCCTGCTCTGGATGCTGACCCTGGGGGGAGGTGGGCTGGGCTGGCTCTGGGAGTTCTGGAAGCTCCCAAGCTTTGTAGCTCAGGCCAACAGAGCCCAGGGACAGAGGCAGAGCCCCAGAGGGGTGACACCCCCTCTGAGTCCCATTCGCTTTGCTGCCCAGGTGATAGTTGGCATCTATTTTGGCCTTGTGGCACTGATTAGCCTTTCTTCCATGGTCAACTTCTATATTGTGGCCCTCCCACTGGCAGTTGGCTTAGGGGTCTTGCTGGTGGCTGCTGTTGGCAACCAGACCTCAGACTTTAAGAACACTCTGGGGTCAGCATTTCTCACTTCACCTATCTTCTATGGCCGCCCCATAGCCATACTGCCCATTAGCGTGGCCGCCAGCATTACAGCTCAGAGGCATCGCCGCTACAAAGCTTTGGTGGCATCAGAGCCGCTCAGTGTGCGGCTCTATCGTCTGGGCTTGGCTTACCTTGCTTTCACAGGCCCACTGGCATACAGTGCCCTCTGCAACACAGCTGCCACCCTCAGCTATGTGGCAGAAACCTTTGGCTCCTTCTTGAATTGGTTCAGCTTCTTCCCCCTTCTTGGCCGCCTCATGGAGTTTGTCCTCCTTCTGCCTTACCGGATCTGGAGGCTACTGATGGGGGAGACTGGCTTCAACAGCAGCTGCTTTCAGGAGTGGGCGAAGCTCTATGAGTTTGTTCACAGTTTTCAGGATGAGAAGCGTCAGCTGGCTTACCAGGTAAGGCTTTCTTCCCTCAGTCCTGTCCGGTGGCTCTGGTGGCCCTCATGTGGAAGTACTGTACTTTTGTCTGTTGGCCAGGTGCTGGAAGGATATTCTGGCTTCTTTGGATATCTGTGTACAATGGGCAAAGGTTACAGATGCTGTGAGTAGGAAAAATATATGTGTATATTATTTACTTTTTATTGAGGTACAACATATATAAATTGCACTAATTTTATGTATACCTGACTCAGATCAAGGGATGGAACATTTCCAGCACTAAGAAGTTTCTTTTATTCCCCTTCTCAGCCTATACTCCCACCTTCAGAGGTCATTTCTATTCAGACTTTCGTCACCATACATTAGTTTTGCTCATTCTTCTTCTTCTTTTTTTTTTTTTGAGATGGAGTCTCGCTGTGTTGCCCAGGCTGGAGTGCAGTGGCACAATCTCAGCTCACTGCAACCTCTGCCTCCTGGGTTGAAGCGATTCTCCTGCCTCAGCCTCCCGAGTAGCTGGGACTACAGACGTGTGCCACCACGCCCGGCTAATTTTTGTATTTTTCATAGAGACAGGGTTTCGCCATGTTGGCCAGGCTGGTTTCCAACTCCTGACCTCAGGTGATCCACCCACCTTTGCCTCCCAAAGTGCTGGGATTACAGGCGTGAGCCACCGTGCCCAGCCAGGTTTGCTCATTCTTGAGCTCCAAATAAGTGGAACCATCCCGTATGTGTTCTTTTGTATTTGGCATCTTTCATCTTTCATTCAACATCATGTTTATGAGATGTATTCCTCTTGATTCTTTTTTTTTTTTTTTTTTTTTGAGATGGAGTTTCACTCTTGTTGCCTAGGCTGGAGTGCAATGGCGCGATCTCAGCTCACTGCAACCTCTGCCTCCCAGGTTCAAGTGATTCTCCTGCCTCAGCCTCCCGAGTAGCTGGGATTACAGGCATGCGTCACCACGCCAAATTAATTTTGTATTTTTAGTAGAGACGGGGTTTCTCCATGTTGGTCAGGCTGGTCTCGAACTCCCGACCTCAGGTGCTCCACCCGCCTCGGCCTCCCAAAGTGCTAGAATTACAAGCAGGAGCCACCACGCCCGACCATTATTCCTCCTGTTACTTGCAATTGTAAATTGTTTGTTTTCACTGTTGTGTAGTATCCCATTGTATGATTATACCACAGTTAATTTATTCACTCTATTGTTAATGAACATTTGGGTTGTTTATGGTTTGGGGCTATTATAAATAAAGCTGCTATGAGCTTTCTTGTACATGTCTTTGGTGGACATATATACATTTATGTCTTTTGTGGGGAAGAGATCTTGCCAGGGATATGAAGTTCCAGGTTGGAAAATGGGCAGTTGTGGTTAATGGCTCTTGCCATGAGATCTAGAGCTTGTCTATGTTTCAAAAGGCTGGAATTCTTTTTTCTAAAATAATTTTTTTCTTTTATTATTACTCTATAAGGCTGGAATTCTAACCTGAGCTGCTGGACCTTTCCCACGGGCAAGTAGAAGCCAATTCTAGAGATATGATAGCCTGATTTAGCAAAGGTGCAAGGAGAGGCCCAGGTACCCTGACAACTTGGGGGATTCTAATTTGTCATCTTCTGTTTCCATAAGGTTTTGGGCCTCTCAGAAGGGGCAACAAATGAAGAAATACATCGGAGTTACCAGGAGCTAGTGAAGGTCTGGCACCCAGACCACAACCTGGACCAGACAGAGGAGGCACAGAGGCACTTCCTGGAGATCCAGGCTGCGTATGAAGTCCTGAGTCAACCCAGGAAGCCCTGGGGATCCCGGAGGTGAAAAGAAACTTCCCCCTGAGGACTGACTCTTCCTAGCAGAGCTGGGCAACTTGTCCCAAATCTAGCTTTGCCCACGAATGGCATCCCAACAGAGTTAAAGAAACTGCTTGCAGGGGCTGGGCGTGGTGGCTCATGCCTGTAATCCCAGCACTTTGGGAGGCCGAGGCGGGCAGATCACGAGGTCAGGAGTTCGAGACCAGCAGCCTGGCCAATATAGTGAAACTTCGTCTCTACTAAAAATACAAAAAATTAGCCAGGAGTGGTGGCAGGCACCTGTAGTCCCAGCTACTTGGGAGGCTGAGGCAGGAGAATCACCTGAACCTGAGAGGCGGAGGTTGCAGTGAGCCGAGATCACGCCACTGCACTCCAGCCTGGGCAACAAGAGTGAAACTCCGTCTCAAAAAAAAAAAAAAGAAAGAAAAACTGCTTGCAGGGGACATGAGAAAACAATGGGGTGAGAAAAGGTTGTGGTAGAAGGATGTGTTTATATTCTGAATTTCTGAATTCTTGGCTATTGCATTCTTGACAATTTTTCTTAAAACCAGAGAGTGAAAGGCATATTATAAAACAATCAAATATCTTTTAGAGTATGGACAACTATTATATATCAATAAAAAATTAATTAGAAAAAATATATCTTTTAGAGAACACACCACCTTATCCCACCCATGATATATTGATGTGTGATGGAGAAAGATTATTTAACTATTTTTTTAAATGTGTAAAGCAGCAGGGCATAGTGGCTTACGCCTGTAATCCCAACACTTTGGGAAGCTGAGGTGGGAGGATCACCTTAGGTCAGGAGTTCAAGACCAGCCTGGCCAACCAACATGGTGAAACCCCATCTCTACTAAAAATACAAAACTTAGCCAGCCATGGTGGCACATGCCTGTAGCCCCAGCTAGTCGGGAGGCTGAGGCAGGAAAATCACTTGAGCCTGGGAGGTGGAGGTTGCAGTCAACTGAGATTGAGCCACTGCACTGTACTCCAGCCTGGGCGGCAGAGCTAGATTCTGTCTCAAAAATTAAATAAATAAATAAGTAAGTAAATAAATAAATAAATAAATGTATAAAGCACTATGTTAGGAGATTGAAGGAAAAATATGAAGGTTCTAGTATTCACAAGCTGTCCTGTGATAAGAGAGATTTGATCTTTTCTGTAGATGGGGTGAGACTAGGATTAAATTTCAAAATTTGAGAAAAATATTTTCATTCCATTTATGGGAGAACTTTCTAGCAGCTACACTTTCTCCAAAAGGGAACAAGCTACTGTGGAGTGGGGGGTAGTTCTTCCTCCTCTGCTTAGAGGAGAATTTTTGGAGAGCTCTCAGACTTTACATAGGTGATTGGACTGGCTGACTTCTCAGGTCTTCCCAGTATTTGAGGTCTGATTCTGGGCTACATACCCTACTCCTAGAAGCATACAATCTGATGGGAGATAATGACACAGGTACACAGATATCAAAGCCCTTGTTCAGTGTTTTGAACTAAATGTCATAAGAGCTGTAAATAGTGTATTGGCACATTGGAGGAGGGACAGATAACATTGTTTTATGGGGACTCAGAAAGATTCATTATTTTATATGTCATATGTCCCTTTGGGGACTTTGGGAAACCCTAGGGAACCAGCGGCTAGAGCATCTCAAGGGGGCCTTATTCAATTCTAGGTAACTAGCCAGGTGTGAAAGAAAGGGCCCAGGGTGTCTCACTTTGCAGAGGAAGATTGGAGACCAGGAACATGATTTTAAATTATGTGCCTTTACTGCAGCTTTCTTGCTCTCTTTGTGTGTGTGCATTCTTTCCATTTTTTTCTTCTTTCTGGATGTTAAATCTGAGTAATATATATCATTTTTAAAGTGGAATTATGACCAGGCATGGTGCCTCTTGCCTATAATCCTAGCACTTTGGCAAGCCAAGGCAGGAAGATTGCTTGAGCCCAGGAGTTCAACACCAGCCTGGGCAACATGGCAAAACTCCATCTCTACAAAAAGTACAAAAATGAGCCAGGTGTTGTGGGGTGCGCCTGTAGTCCCAGCTAAGGAGGCTGAGATTGGGAGGATCACTTGAACCCAAAAGGTGGAGGCTGCAGTGAGCTGAGATCGTACCACTACACTCCAGCCTGAGTGACACAGTGACAGCCTGTCTCAAAAATATAAAAATAAATAAATAAATAAAGTGGAATTATGTTGATGACTATTCTCTCTATTCTCTCTCTCTCTCTTTTTTTTTTTTTGGAGATAGAGTCTTGCTCTGTCACCCAGGCTGGATCTTGGCTCACTGCAACCTCTGCCTCCTGGGTTCAAGCAATTCTCCTGCCTTAGCCTCTCGAGTAGCTGGGATTACAGGCACCTGCCACCACGCCCGGCTAATTTTTGTATTTTTAGCAGAGATGGGGTTTCACCATGTTGGCCAGGATGGTCTCGATCTCTTGACCTCATGATCTGCCTGCCTTGGCCTCCCAAAGTGCCGGAATTACAGGCATGAGCCACCACACCTGGCCACTGTTCTCAAATTGTATTATGGAGTTTTTTTTTTTTACAAAATATGGATATATTTTAATTTACTCAAATGGGAACTACTGATAAGCAGTTCTTATTTTTCCAGCATAAGCAAGGCTACAATAAATATCTTTGAATATATGTACTGATGCTTTTTGTTTTTTGTTGAAGCTATATCCCAATAAGTGATAAGTACGGTCTAAGAGAGAACATGTTTTTTACAATTTTGATTGATATCATATTGGGCCACGCATGGTGGCTCAGGCCTGGCATCCCAGCACTTTGGGAGGTTGAGGTGGGAGGATAGCTTGAGCTCAGGAGTTCAAGACCAGCTTGAGCAACCTAGTGAGACCTCATCTCTACTAAAAAAACAAAACAAACAAACACAAAATTAGCTAGGTGTGGTGGCATGTGCCAGTAGTCCCAGCTAGTTGGGAGGCTGAGGTGGAAAGATTGCTTGATCCTGGGAGGTTGAGGCTACAGTGAGCTGTGATGGTATCACTGCACTCTATCCTGGACAACACAGCAAGAACCTGCCTCAAACAAATGTATTTGGTTGATATTGTATCAGATTTCTTCTGAAAAACGTTTTAATGGTTTAGACTTTCACCAAGTGCAAGAAACTGGCATTTTCTTTGTAACTGGCCTGGAATGTTACCACTCTTTTAAACTTTTGTCAAGATGATCGTGAGAAATAGTATCTAATTACTTTAATTTGCATTTCCCTGACTCCTAATGAAGTTCAGCATCTCTTCAAATCTTTATTGGGCATTTGGATTTTCTCTTCAGTGAATTGCTTCATCATATTCTCCATTTATTCTAAAGTTGTGTTCCTATTTGTCGCTTTCAAATCTAGTTTGGTGGAATCCTTGCATGTTAGAAACCTTAACCCTCGTAATATGTGTTGTAGATATTTTTCCCTCGCCTATGAGTTGTCTTTCATCCTTGAGCATGAGTTTTAGAGTCAGAAGAACAACAGTAGGATTTGAATCATGTTACGTTATTTTCTAGTTGTCGTATTTTTTATTTCTTCAGCCTCTTAGAATCTTAGTTTCCTTTAAAATTGAGATAATAGTATCTACTTTATTCAAAAAAATTTTTTGGCTGGACGCGGTGGCTCACGCTTGTAATCCCACCATTTTGGGAGGCCAAGGCAGGCGGATCACCTGAGGTCAGGAGTTTGAGACCAGCTTGGCCAACATGGTGAAAACCCATCTCTACTAAAAATACAAAAATTAGCCAGGTACAGCGGGGCATGCCTGTAATCCCAAGTACTCAGGAGGCTGAGGCAGGAGAATCACTTGAACCCGGGAGGCAGAGATGAGGTAGTGAGCTGAGATCGCACCACTGCACTCCAGCCTGAGTGGTAGGGCGAGACTCTGTCTCAAAAAAAAAATTGTTTTTTCATTTATTTATTTATTGAGACAGGGTCTTGCTCTGTTGCCCAGGCTGGAGTTTAGTGGGGTGATCACAGCTCACTGTAGCCTGGAACTCCTGGGCCCAAGTGATCCTCCTGCCTCAACCTCCCAAGTAGCTGGGACTACAGACAGGCATCACCATACCTGGCTTTTTTTCTTTTTTTTTTTTTTTTTGGTAGAGATGGGGTCTTGCCATGTTGCCCAACCTGGTCTCTAACTTCTAGTTTCAACCCACCCTCCCGTTTGGCCTACGAAAGTGCGGGGATTACAGGTATGAGCCAAGTATCTACTTTAAAAGGGTTGCTGTGGCCAGGCGTGGTGACTCACACCTGTAATCTCAGCACTCTGGGAGGCTGAGGTTGGTGGATCACCTGAGGTCAGGAGTTTGAGACCAGCCTGGCCAATATGGTGAAACCCTTTCTCTACTAAAAATACAAAAAATTAGCCAGGCGTGGTGGCACATGCCTGTAATCCTAGCTACTCAGGAGGCTGAGGCAGGAGAATCACTTGAACCCAGGAGGTGGAGGTTGCAGTGAGCTGAGACTGCGCCATTGCACACCAGCCTGGGCGACAGAGTGAGACTCCACTTCAAAAAATAAAAAACACAAAAAATACAAAAATGAGCCGGGCATGGTGGCACACGCCTGTAGTCCCAACTACTCTGGAGGCTGAGTGGGGAGAATCGCTTGAACCCAGGGGGGCGGAGGTTACAGTGAGCCGAGATGGCGCCTCTGCACTCCAGCCTGGGCAACAGAGTGAGACTCCGTCTCAAAAAATAAAAAGAAAAAAAAAAGAAAAAAGAAAATGTGGCTGCCCAGAAGGTCAATCATGAGTGAGTTGTGATTGCGCCCCTGTACTCCAGCCTGGGCAACAGAGTGAGACACAGTCTGAAATAAATAAATAAATAAACAAAATAAAAACAAATAAGTAAATGAAATTAAAACAAAACCCAAAATACGGTCTTAAAAAAAGGACATTTAGTAAAATAATAGGAAATCTAAGACATTAACAAGTGAGTCTTCTTTATTTTCTACCTTAGTTGATTTAATGAAATCCAGTGATTTCATATTCTCCCATTTGCACAAAACAAAAATTCATAGATACTTTGAAGAGTTGGAAGGGAACTGAGAAGGCCTGTATCCCAAGCAACTATACAGTACAGAATCTTGGGAAAAGCTTGCCTTAGAGATGACCATTTCGGGTTTTGCTTGAATTGGAAATCTTCTACCTGTCTCACCTTTTAGACATCCTTAATTGTTCCCTAAATTGTTCCTAAATTTGCTTCCTTGTAATGTCTTTCTGGACCTGCCATCTCTTGCTACAAAGAACATAAAAAACCAAAAACCATTTCTTGATGAGATTCTGCCCTTCATCTCCTATCTCTCTAAGTCTTTCATTTGCCACATTTACCATCACTTTGTTTAAGGAGGAGGCACTGTAGTCCGAGTGAGGAGGGATGAAGAGGTGAAGAGATGGGTCTCTACTTCTACCTCTTGCATTGACCATACTGGTGACTTTGGGTGAGCCACCTTTCCATTAGGGCCTCTGTTTCTTTCTTGTCAGGTGAGGGAGATGGACTTAGATGACTTAGATGATTTTTTTTTTTTTGAGACGAAATCTACTTTGTTGCACAGGCTGGTGTGCAGTGGCACGGTCATAGCTCACTGCAGCCTTTACCTCCTGGGCTCAAGCAATCCTCTCACCTTGGCCTCCCAAAGTGTTGGGATTACAGGCATGAGCTACTGACCCCAGCCTAGATGACCTTTAAGCTTGCTTTCAACCTGCATTCTGGAGTTATTAGCTTTTCAGCTGAGGTTTTTATTAAATGGTTTTATTTGTCATCTTCTGTCTGCCCCCTTGTGGACATTGTTTTGGGAAGAAAATAAAATATTTAATTGCTCGAAGAACAATATAATGACCATCTCACCCTCCAAAAATTCACTTGCATCACACTGTTTGTTTTCAGTTATTCATGTTCACTTCTAGTCGTCGTTCATAAATGTACATCATTTTACATGGTTGAATCATATCAGGGACATAATTTTGTACTTTCCCCCCTCCCTGATAAAGATGATGTTTTTACAGTAAAATAAAAAAATGCTTGTGATTCAATAAGCTTTTAAAATATTACTATAAAGACTTTGTTATTATATATATTTAATTGAGATATAATTCATATAGCATAAACTTCACCCTTTAAAAGTGTACAATTCAGTGGTTTCTGATAGATTCACAAAGTTGTATAATTATCACCTCTATTTAATTCCAGAATGTTTTACCACCCCAAAAAGAAACTCCATACTCATCAGCAATCACTCTCTGTTTCCTCCTCTTCCTAGCCTCTGCAATCACTGATCTGCTTTCTGTCTCTAGATTTGCCTATCCTGGACATTTTATTTAAATGGCATCACACAATATGTTGTCCTTTGTGTGTGTCTGGCTTCTTTCATTGAACATAATGTTTCCAAGATTCAAATATGGGCTGGGTGTGGTGGCTCACGCCTGTAATCCCAGCACTTTGGGTGGCTGAGGTGGGCGGATCACGAGGTCAGGAGTTTGAGAGCAGCCTGACCAACATGGTGAAACCCTGTCTCTACTAAAAATACAAAAATTAGCTGGGTGTGGTGGCATGCATCTGTAGTCCCAGCTACTCAGGAGGCTGAGGCAGGAGTATCGTCTGAACCTGGGAGGCGGAGGAGGTTGCAGTGAGCTGAGATTGTGCCACCGCACTCCAGCCTGGGTGACAGAACGAGACTCTCAAAAAAAAAAAAAAGAAAAGAAAAGAAAAAATGATTCAAATATGTTGAAGCATGCATTATCATTACATTTTATTTTTTAATAACACACCATTATATCTTAAAGCTGTATAATATTCCCTTTTTGATAAACATTTATATAATGTTGTTGTAAATAATGTGGCATCGATATCTTCATGGCTCTAATTCATCTCTTCTCTTGAATTATTTCCTTAGAATAAATTCCCATGGGTGGGATTACTGGGTCAAAGGGTATGAACATTTTTTATAGCTCTTGTCAATATTGCTCTTAAATTGTGGTGCCCAGAACTAAATGCAATTCTGAGACGTGTTCAGACAGAACGGGGTACTGTGGGGCTGTTACGTTCTCAAGGTCTGAACAATATATCATCCTTTAAATCCAGCAGCCTAAAAATTTACTAGCTTTTTTTGGTTGCTATGTAAGTGTGACTCATTGAGTTTATAGTCAACTGAGGCCCTTAGATCTTTTCCTAGGCACTGTGTCTTAGAGCTATGTTTGCATCTACTCTAGGACCCAGGAGGCTTTTGAGGACTCACTGACTTTAGTACTCTATGTCTTAGTTTTCTTTTCTCTTGAACAGTGGGGTGGTCCTAACAAGCCTGGAGACGTGTGGTTTGTTGTAGTCTTAGCTAGGAACTGCAGATGGCGCTACAAGGCTGTCATGGTAAAATATGTCCCTCGGCTGTCCCCTTCACTTAAAAAAAAATGTGGTAGTGGCACCTCCATAGCAGGTTCATTACCAGAGTTCAGTCCTCTCCTTTTGCTGAGAAGGAGCAAGCAACTGTGAAGTTGGATTTGGGGTGTTATTCAAAGCAAGCTCCAACTGAAGCATGCTTTTCAGTTGTCATTTAATCTCCTAGGGGAATCTAGAGCTGTCTATTTCATGTTAGAACTTTGAACGCACATCTCATGCCAGTGCTTTGGCTTTTGAAGTTCCCACCCTGAGAAGGTGATTTAAAATGTTTTTCTTTTGCTTCATGTTCCCTGCAGTATTTCTGTTAGTCGCCTCAAGGGATTAAAAGTTGTTCAACTGTTTTGTTTTGTTTTGTTTTGTTTTTGCTAAGATGAGTTTTGAGCAATAAAAGTAAAAAATTTATGTAGGGTTCCAGCTAAAGATACTTCATTTCAATAATTTGTTCTCTCTTTTCTTTCTTATTCTTCTTTTTCCCCACCTCTCATTCACCCTTTCCATAGTCCATCTGGTTATTTGCAAACTATTATGACTCTAAGCAAGGATCTTGGACTTTCTGGGTTTAAACGTTACTGACAAGTTTCAACAGAACAAAGCAGTAAAACAGTGCCCTGTATGGGAAACTTGGAAGGGAATCTTTTTTTTTTTTTTTTGAGACGGAGTTTCGCTCTTGTTGCCCAGGCTGGAGTGCAATGGCACCATGTCAGCTCACCACAATCTCCACCTCCCGGGTTCAAGCGATTCTCCTGCCTCAGCCTCCTGAGTAGCTGGGATTACAGGCATGTACCACCACACCCAGCTAATTTTGTATTTTTAGTAGAGACGGGGGTTTCTCCATTTTGGTCAGGCTGGTCTCGAACTCCCAACCTCAGGTGATCTGCTCGCCTTGCCCTCCCAAAGTGTTGGGATTACAGGCCACCACTCCCAGCCCAGAAGGGAATCTTTTAACCCATTCTGTGCCAGACCTCAGTCCCAATTCTGGGTTGAGAAATGTTGTGGGGAACATCTGCTGGGCAGTGACTGAGTCAGCATGTGAGCCTGGCTTTGCAAGCAACACCTAAAAGGGCATTTTTCCTAGAATCAATGGCTCAGGCACATTTCAGGTGAATTAGTACCAGAAAAGGAACGGGAGCTGGGTGTGATGATGGGCGGAGGCGGGGGGATCACTTGAGCCCGGGAGTTTGAGGCTACAGTGAGTTATGATTCTGCCACTGTACTCCAACCTAGGCAACAGAGCAAGCCCCTGCCTCAAATAAATAAATAAGAAATTTATTAATCTGTCTCAAGAGTGGGGAAAAAAAAGGCCAGGCATAGTGGCTGATGCCTATAATCCTAGCACTTTTGAGAGGCTAAGGCAGGAGGATCACTTGAACCCAGTGGGGAAGATTGCTTGAGTTTGAGACCGGCCTGGGCAACATGGGGAGACCCCATCTCTATAAAAAAAAAAAAATTAGCCAGGCCTGGTGGCTCACACCTGTAGTCCAAGCCACTGGGAAGGCTGCAATGGGAGGACCAGTTGAGCCTGGGAGCTGGAGGCTGCAGTGAGCAATGATCCCATCACTGCACTCCAACCTGGGCAACAGAGTGAGAACCCTGTCTCTTAAAAAAAAAAAAAGGAATGGGGCTTGGCGCCGGTGACTAACGCCTGTAATCCCAGCACTTTGGGAGGCCAAGGCAGGTGGATCACGAGGTCAAGAGATTGAGACCATCCTGGCCAACATGTGAAACCCCGTCTCTACTAAAACTTCAAAAAAATTAGCTGGGCATGGTGGCGCACCTGTAGTCCCAGCTACTTGGGAGGCTGAGGCAGGAGAATCGCTTGAACCCGGGAGGTGGAGGTTGCCGTGAGCTGAGATCGCGCCACTGCACTCCAGCCTGGGTGACAGTGCGAGACTCTGTCTCAAAAAAAAAAGAAAAGAATGGGAAGGGGTTGTGGGACATAAAACGTCTTTGGTTCAGGTGTTTCCCAGTCACAGATCTGAGGGCCACTGAGGCTTGTTTTACTCCCCCACCCCTCCTTCCATATCCTTACCCACTTTAGACGTGGTTTCTCTTGCTTTTTCCTCCCTTTCCCTCCCATGAACCACAGGAGAGAGTGTACGTTTAATATTCAGTAAATTTGATATTCAGTGCCTGCAAACTTACTTCGTCTTAGCAGTTGACTTTTCTTGCACAGCCAAGATGACTGATCATTTCAGACCCATCTCCCTTCAGGCTCTAATTCTTCTCCATCAATGTGTTTGTTTTGATATTTCTGCCTTTGGTTGATGTTCTTCTTCTTTCCTATAATTATTTTTCCTCTCTGCTAAATCTTTTTTTTTTTTTTTTTTTGAGATGGAGTTTCGCTCTTGCCCAGGCTGGAGTGCAGTGGTGTGATCTTGGCTCATTGCAACCTCCGCCTCCTGGGTTCAAGTGATTCTTGTGCCTCAGCCTCACGAGTAGCTGGGATTATAGGCGCCCGCCACCACGCCAGGCTAATATATTTGTATTTTTTGTAGAGACAGGATTTCATCATATTGGCCAGGCTGGTCTCGAACTCCTGACCTCAGGTGAGCCACCGGCCTCAGCCTCCCAAAGTGCTGGGATTACAGGCATTAACCACCATGCCTAGCCTTGCTAATACAAATCTTTACACTTCTTTTATGACCTAGCTTAAGGTTTATCCCTAAATGATGCCTTTGCTGATTAATTCCACCTCTAGTAATCTTTGCCCTTTGAATTCCTTCTGTATTCCCATCTAGTTTGTACTGTTCTATCAATAAGTTTCTTGCATGTTGCCATATAAATTGTTCTCTGTCTCATGTTTGCAAGTCTTCTCTTCTTAACTATACCAAAGCTGCTTGAGGGCAAGTGACTGTGTCTTCTCCTAATGTAAATAGCAGGACATTTATTAAATGTGCAACCTAGGTAAATTATTGAAAAATTTTGAGCTTCAGTTTCCTCATTTGTTACATGAGGACAATGATGCCTGCACCACACAATGTTCAGACAATCAAATGAGACAATGTGTACAGAGTGCTTTATGAAGTATAAAACATTTGACAGAAGTGAAGCATACTATTTTTTTAAAGTGGTGACAGAATCTATAAATGAAAGATAATTTAAAAACTTAATAAAAGAACTTAGAGTACAGCAATATTAGTTACTATCTTACACATAGGACAAATTCACTTAATATCAAAGTCAAGTCTTAATGAACCTGCAAGGCTCACATTGAACTGAATTTTTCAGATCTGAGTTTTGGGTCCAGCATTGCCAATAATTTTGTGATGTAACACTTCAACCTTTGATAGTTTAAGGCCTTTCCCAGCTTTAAATATCTGATACACAAGTGAAAATTTGGGTATGTTAGCCTTGTTTTTGGGCCTCAGTTTTGTTATCTGTAAAATGGGAAATCTGACCTAATTAAACCATTTTAATTGAACTTTATACAATGGATGTTCAAAGACACATTAATTCTGCAAAAAAGTCTTGGGGGTGGGGATGGGAGTGGGAAGAGCTTCCTTGGGGAAAGCTGCACACTACATAGCCTGCTCGCTTCAATATGAACAAAGCATGGTATCATATTAAATATTCTGGGAAGTAAATACACCAGTTTAACTTGATTTTAACCTGTGCTTCCCAAACT
This sequence comes from Homo sapiens, assembly GCF_000001405.40. Classification (NCBI taxonomy): domain Eukaryota; kingdom Metazoa; phylum Chordata; class Mammalia; order Primates; family Hominidae; genus Homo; species Homo sapiens. The sequence goes on from NC_000012.12 coordinate 49,362,514, forward strand.
TAATTGGACATGGAATAGTTTTCTCAGATAACATCTATTTAGTATCCCATGAAACGAATTTTCTGAGGCACACTTTGGACTGCTAACATGAATATTCTTAGGTACTAGGGTTAGTATAGGCAAAAGGAAAAGTACAATCTTATGAGCTGTTCTCTACTGGTTTTTGTGCCTGTTGTCACTTGCAGCTTCAGTCAATGGAAACTTTAAAACATTATGTTTCTTAATTACAGTCATTGGTTATCAAGTCTCCAAGATAATAAGTTAAATTTTTGTGCCTCTCAGGCTCTAGTTGGCCTCTTTTTCTTCCTAATAAAAACATGGAATCTGGCAATCAATTATTTAAGATACAAAATATCAAGTCAAGGATCCATTTGAAAACATATCAAATTAGGTCAGGTTAATACCTGCAGAATATATCTGCCAAGGTGAAGCTTATGTCATGATTTCTCTCTAATTCTAGTTCTGGCACTTGATCATTAAGTAACATGGGATAAATTAATTTCGTAAGGCTGAACAGAGGCTAATGGATCTCATTTGAAAATGATCTTTTTCTTTTTTAACCCTTAACATCTATGCTAAACATTTCAGAAATTTGGTTATTTTTGTGTTTTCTTCAGCGTAGGTCACAAATATTATATTTTGCATTTATTGCAGCATTTATTTTCCTCCAAAATAATTTATACATGCACTTTGAACAATTTGCAATTATTTCAAGGCAGGTGACGATAAATGTTTTATTGTGAAGTAAAACATACACAGTATGCCGGGCGCGGTGGCTCATGCCTGTAATCCCAGCACTTTGGGAGGCTGAGACAGGTGGATCACCTGAGGTCAGGAGTTCGAGACCAGCCTGACCAACATGGAGAAACCCTGTCTCTACCGAAAATACAAAATTAGCCGGGCGGGGTGGCACATGCCTGTAATCCTAGCTGCTCAGGAGGCTGAGGCAGGAGAATCGCTCGAACCCAGGAGGTGGAGGTTGCGGTGAGCTGAGATCATGCCATTGAACTCCAGCCTGGGCAACAAGAGTGAAACTCCGTCTCAAAAAAATACATAAATAAACATACACAGTAGAAAATGTATGTGCATTATAAAGAACAAAAATAGGCCAGGCCTGGTCAAGCCTGTAATCTCAGCACTTTGGGAGGCTAAGGCGGTTGGATCATCTAAGGTCAGGAGTGCGAGACCAGCCTGGCCAACATGGTATAAACCCCATCTCTACTAAAAATACAAAAATTAGCTGGGCTTGGTGGCAGGCGCCTGTAATCCCAGCTACTCGGGATGTTGAGAGAGGACGATTGCTTGCACCCGGGAGGCAGACGTTGCAGTGGGCTGAGATTGGGTCATCGGACTCCAGCGTGGGCGACGAGAGCAAAACTCCGTCTCAAAAACAACAACAACAAAATTAATATTTGTAACCCAGGTCAAAAAATATTTTTGAAACATTTGTTCAATGTCCCTTTAGAGAGGTTGAGTGCTGCATGGAGAAAGGGCAAAGGTGGGCCATGAGTTGCAGTACCCCTTTTGCAAACCCCACTCAGCAAGACATATGCTAAAGCAACCTGCTCTCCTTGGAGGAGAGATATTTTTTGAGTAAAATCCTTGTGAGGAGGTCATGTTTACTACCACCCCAGGGGCTTAGCAAAATGTGCCTTCCAACCACACCCCAAACTTTCCCTTGGAGGAGACTTGTTAAATGCAATATTCTCCATCTTGTTAGATTTCCAGTGATGTTTTAACAGCTCTCATACCCTAGGGTGCTCCTTAATCTACCTCCCTTCTCTTGGAGAAGGCTATCCACATATACAAAGTGTCTCCTAGCCGGGTGTGGTGGCTCAGGCCTGTAATCCCAGTGCTTTGGGAAGCCCAGGAGGGAGGGTCATTTGAGCCCAGGAGTTCAAGACCAGCCTGGGCAATGTGTTGAGACACCCATCTGTACAAAAAATTTAAAAATTAGCTGGGCGTGGAGGCCGGCGCCATAGTCCTAGCTACTCGGGAGGCCGACGGGGAGGATCCCTTGAGCCCAGGAATTCAAGGTTACAGTGAGCTATGATTGTGCCACTATACTCAAGCCTGGGCAACAGAGGGAGACCCTGTCTCCAAAACAAACAAAAAAGTCTCTCCTATTAGATCAGGGAATCTCTTGGGAGAGGCATCATGTCTTCCCCACAACAGACTACGTTATTAAGAATGGGAACTTTTTTTATTTGATAAGGTCTCATTCTGTTGCCCAGGCTGGAGTGCAGTGGCGTGATCACAGCTCACTGCAGCCTTGACCTCCTGGGCTCAAGGAATCCTCCTACCTCAGCCTCCTGGGCAGCTGGGACAACAAGCACAGCCACCTCAGCCAGCTAATTTATTTTTTGTAGAGACAGGGTCTCCCTATGTTGCCCAGGCTAATCTCAAACCCCTGGGCTCAAGTGATCCACCTCAGCCTCTCAAAGTTTTGGGATTACAGGCATGAGCCACCGAACCTGGCCAAGAATGGGGACTTTATTTTCCAGCCAAAAAACTTGTATTGGCTTTGCAGCACCAACAGGCCCTATAATGAAGGCATTTCCTGAACTGAGTGACTTTTGGTGAGTGAAACCAGTCTTTGTGGAATAGGACTCAAGGCTCGCATCCCACACCTCATGATGAAGTTCTCCATTTACCAGGGTCATATCCTCCTGTTCCTACTCTGTATGGGAAGGAAGGGGAATTGTGCAAGAATTAGTCACTCATTCCTTTCTGTTCCTAAACCACTTTGTACTTTTCTGCTTCAACACTATGTTATTATAGTCATTTAATAACTTATATTTGTTTTTTGTAGAGATGGGGGACCTTGTTATGTTGCTCAGGCTGGTCTCAAACTCCTGGGCTCAAGCAATCCTCCCACCTTGGCCTCTCAAAGTGTTGGGATTACAGGCATAAGCTGCTGCAACTGGCCTATTTAATAACTTTATCCTCCTTTGGAACTGGATACTCTCCTTGGGGTAATGATTTTTTTTATTCTTCTTTGTAAATGTTCGAATACCTAGAACAATACCCACCATCATTGAGTAGGTGCCAATTTAGTGAATGAAAAGAAAGCAGACATTTGGATAATTTGCTTCTATTTGAATTTTTGAATGAAGATTGAATAGTAAGGAACATATAGTCCAGTGCCGTACCTAGCTGGATGACTTCGTCTTCTGCTTATCTAGATCAGTAAATCATATGGTTGGAGTAGATGAGACATTACTAACCACAGGTCATTGGACTCCAGGCGATTTTTGAGCCCTTACCTCAAGCAACGTTAAAAACCACAAGGATCAGATGGCTTGGCAAAGCTCTACTATACTACTCAGTTACATGTACTGTGATTGCAATAACATACGTGGAAACCAAAATGACATGTGCCTGTGGTGTCTAGCTATACACTGACACACACTCTCCAGCTTGTTGGTGCCTTTTCAGAGCCCCTTTGCTTGGCCTCAAAAGGTAAGATGAGGACAAATTCTAATATATATATATATTTTTTGAGATGGAGGGTGGAGTGCAGTGGTGCAATCCCGGCTCACTGCAACCTCCGACTCCTGGGTTCAGGTTATTCTCCTGCCTCAGCCTCCCGAGTAGCTGAGATTACAGGCGTGTGCCACCACATCCGGCTAATTTTTGTATTTTTTGTAGAGACGGGGTTTCACTATGTTAGCCAGGCTGGTCTCGAACTCCTGACCTCAAGTCATCCGCCCGCCTCGGCCTCTCAGAAGTGCTGGGATTACAGACGTGAGCCACCGCGCCCGGCCCCAGATTCTAATAAATATTTTCAATGCTGACTGTCTAAATCCCTCTGGCCCCTCTTAATAGACCCCTGACCAGTCGACACTGAGGTAAGTGCTTTATGCATGCAGAAAGGGTGCACAAATACTAGTTAGTTCCAGCACCAGGGAGGTTGGGAGTCTGGCGTCGAAGAGAGTATTTAACAGAAAAGATTCGAAGGGCGGCGGGACCGACCACCGCCGCGTAGAGGGGCTATGCTGACAGCTGGGTAGATCAGAAACCCGACTGACGATCCCGAGGTCATTCTTCCCGCGCCCCCACCGGCCTCTGCGCTCTCTCAGGAGGCAGAGCGACCGCGCGGTCCGGAGGCCCCAGCGTTTCCCGTCGTTGGCGACTCTGAAATTGCCTTTTGGAACAAAACTTGGGTCGGGAAGGAGGCGAAGGGGAAAGCGGTGTGAAGTCCTCGGTACGGAAGAGTGAGCGGCGCTGTACCCGGCGGCCAGAGAAAAAGCTTCCCAACCCGGACATTGAGCAAAAGCCCCGCGCTCGACTCCCCTAGCGGCGCCCGCGTTCGGCCACCTCCGGGGGAGTTTCGGCTCTTTCCGTCAGTTCAGCTCGGGCCCTCCGTTCCCGGCGCGCGCCGGGTCCCTAACCGATGCCGCCGGGTACGAGCTGTGCTGCACGCGGACGCGAGCTCGCGTCCCACCCGTTTTCCCCTTCCATCTACTTTGTCCCCAACCCTCTCCCCGAGTCTCTTCCTTTCCCCGGTAATTCCCAGTCTCCGGTGGCGCGCGAGCCTGCGGACGGTGCGAGACGCGAGGGACCGGGCCCCGAGAAGAGCGGTAACCCGACTGGTCGGAGCCCGCCTCTCGCCGCCCCGCGCCTCTCCCCGATCTTCTCGGTCTCCGGTGCGCGGGCCGTCTCGCCGCTCGAGCCGCGCTCGCGCACCCGTTGGCTGCCACAGCCTCGAGCTTGGCGCGCCGGATTCGCGCCGGCGCGAGTACGCGCCCTGAGCTCTGGCTGGCTGGCTGGCGCGCACGCGCCCGAGAGGGCTCCGGGGCGGGGCGAGCCGCTGCCTGGGCGAGGGTCGGGGTGATCTGCTGGATCTCCGGCAGCATCCTGCAGTCCGGCCCAGGAGAGAAGTGGGGAGGCGGCGGTGGGGGCGGGGCGGCGTCCGGCTCTGAGAGAGCTGGGGGAGGAGCGCGGCGGCGACGGCGGCGGTGGCTCTAGAAGGGGAGGTGGAGGATCTCCTTTCCTCTTCTCAGACCCGGGAGCGTCCGGGACGCGGAGCCCGGAGCTGGGGCGACGAGGCGATTGCGGGGGCCTGGGCTAGGTGAGGCTAAGGGTGCTGGGTGGCGGGGTTGGCGGGGGCTCAGAGGGCGCCGAGGTGCGGGGAGCGGGTTGAGGGAGGAAAAAGAGGGAGGGGGTAGTTGGGGGCGGGGGGACGGGAAGGAGGGGGATGTGAGCCCTTAGAGGCCCGAAGTGCCCAGAGGGTGGAAGGTTCCTGGGGTCTGTGGGGCGGGTGAAACACCCGCGTCGGAGTTGGGGAGTTTCCAGACGGATAGGCCGGGGAAACAATGGAGTGTGGGGGGGACTCTGGCGTGAGCGTGTGTGGGGTATTGGATTTTAAGAAACAACGAGCGAGATAGAACGAAAGAATAGGATCATTTGGGATGAGAAGTACAATGAATTAGGAATGCAGTAGGGATGCGTAAGGTCACCTCCGTGGCTGTGCGAGGTCCTTAGCATTCGGGGGCAATAATGAGATTTGAAAATAAGGGAGAGAAGGGCGTTCTTGGAATTGAAGGGGGAGACGAAATGGAAAATCAGGCGAACAGACGCAGAGACATAAAATAGATGTGGTTAGGACTTGGATTAAAGCAGAAAGGTAGATTCAGTCAGTTTTGGACTACAGTGATATTTTTCTCATAATTCATCCAGAATGATTAGGTTCTTTTAGAAAGTGGATCTTTCTCAAGCTTGTCCCTCTGTTAAGGAGTACAAGCCGTTCTTTAAATAATTTGATTATCGCTTGTCCATTTTATTGATAAAACATGCCTGTGATATTTACTTCCCCTCTGTTTAGCAGGCTACTGTTCCTAATTTACCTACGGTTAATGAAGCAGGAGAGGACAGATCACCAAAAATATCTTGCTTTAAGTTAGGTCAGTGATAATGCAGATTTCAGTGTTTTGGAGAGAACCAAAAGCTTGGTTGTTTGTTTTCAGTTTGACCAAAAGGTGATGGATAAAATTAAGTTACCTGTACTTTGTTAGAATTGCAATTTCTCACTGAGAAATGTTCTTGTGCCATCTGCTACTGGTTTTGTGTTTGTGGGAGAGAGTTGGGGTTCTGCCTTAAATTATTTCTTGATGTTAACTTCAAATAGGCTGCCTCATACCTTCCAGTTTCAATTAAGGTGATTTGGGAATATTGATTATGATGTTTGCATTTCCTTAATATTTGGATTTCCAGACCAAATTTGTGATTGTACTAGATAGAAAATTGCCGATTTTGAAATTGTAATGACCATTGTGTGCTCCTAAGTAGTCCATGTTAAGCCTTTTATTTGTTGGGCATTAAGTTTTGCTGACTCATCTAAGATTTATGGACATTAATCAGTTTGTATTTCTCAGCTAGGTCTTGGATGGTAGCATTTAGGTTACTTTACAAAGGTCCAAAAATAATGATTTAAATTGTTACTTTTCTTAGATGTTATGAAAATTGAACAAAGCAAGAAATGAGTGCAGTGTTCTCATTAGTGACAATGTGCCTCTTTTTTTTTTTTTTTTTTTTTTTGAGATGGAGTCTTGCTCTGTTGCCCAGGCTAGAGTGCAGTGGCGTGATCTCGGCTCACTGCAACCTCCATCTCCCGGGTTCAAGCGACCCCAGCCTCCCAAGTAGCTGGAATTACAGGTGCCCGCCAGCACGCCTGGCTAATTTTTGTATTTTTAGTAGAGACGGGGGTTTCACCATCTTGGCCAGGCTGGTCTCGAACTCTTGACCTCTTGATCCATCTGACTTGGCCTCCCAAAGTGTTGGGATTACAGGCGTGAGCCACCGCAGCCTAATGTGCCTCTTTTTTAATTGACCTCTTTCAGTGGGCTAGCCAAGGTGCTAAGATTTTTTTGTATGTATTATCTCATTCAATCCTCACAATTATTTCATATTTTGTAAATTAAGAGGTTAAATAATTTACTAAGGTCACAGAGCTAGTAAATAACAAAGCTTTATTCAGACCTAGCTGTATCGGATGCCTTTTTTAAAATCTTCACTACCTGTTTGCTCTTTCTGCTTCACCCTCATCTTGGTTATAGTAAAGCAGCATGAACTGGTTGAAACTTGGGTCTGATAACTGTGATTTAGATGAAGATTAAGTTAGTAGGCTGTAGCCTACTCTGTGGAGTTCATTGAAGGTTTACTGCTCCTGTGATTTAACAAAGGTCTGGGATCCTGATAAATAGGGCTAAAAACATCTTTTTGCTTAGGATTTGTCCTGCGACCACACTTAGTTTTCTGTTTAGTCTTATACTGCTGAGGTACTGTGCATACGTGGCACTCTTACTTGTAGAAGTCAAGACAGCCAGTTGTGGAGCCAAACCAATTAACTCTGGAAAACAATTGAAAACTGCTCAGTACTCAGGTGCCCTTGAGCCCACAATTGGTACTAGCATTACCTCTAAATATAGATAGGATCCTTTTAGAAACCAGGAGTGAAACAACTAGAACTGAGGGAAACAGCTGGGGCCTGAGGGAGGAGCCACAGGTTATGGCCAAAACATGAGCATAGCCCCTGGAGGCCGATCAGGCTAAGACAGGAGGGAATTTTCGTTTGTTGAGCATTTATGTATTCCAGGCGCTGAACTCAGTGTACATTATTACCTTATCTGTTAGTTGTAAGTATTATCCTTATTTTTCAGATGAGGCTCAGAAGGGCTAAAAGTAACTTACACAAAGTCACTTTATAATGGCAGTGAAGAAAATTTGTGTATACTATTCTAAAAATTGCTGCTTTCAGTTTCCCATTGTAGGGTCACCATATTAAAACTGGGAACTAAAAGTCACTCTTTCAGATATACCTGGCTTCTCATGTGTGTAACTGATTATTTCAGTCTTGCTGCTTTCATTGGAAACTGGAAGGAAAAGCTTGTATTTTTTGGATGTAATTGTTAGGAAGTACAGTCCATTCATTATATTACCAAATGACCTGTAGAATATAATTCAGCTTCCTCAGTTGCTTAGTGTATATCTGCAGCAACATGAAAATAGCATGTCCATCCCTTCTTTTCTGGGATCTTCACTTTCAACGAAGTCATCTAGACTCTGGAGGATGACAGTGAAGCTTGCCTGTTACAGACTCTTCCACTTTTCTCAATATGTTTGACAGTTGTTCTTGGTTATTTATTTATGTTTTAGAGACAGGATCTCGCTATGTTGCCCAGTCTGGCCTCAAACTCCAGGGCTTAAAAGATCTTCCCGCCTCAGCTTCCAGAGTAGCTGGTATTGGCTAGTTTGTTTACTCCCCCCCAACCTCCTCCCACCTGCCCAGAAAGGATCTCACTCTGTCGCCCAGGCTGGAGTGCAGTGGTACAATCATGGCTCACTGTTTGACCACGCCCAGTTAACTTTTGTATTTTTTTGTAGAGTCAGGGTTTCGCTGTGTTGCCCAGGCTGGTCCCCAACTCTTGGGCTCAAGCAATCCACCCGCCTTGGCCTCCCAAAGTGTTGGGATTATAGCATGAGCCACCTCACCTGGCCTTTTTGTTTACTTAAAAAAAATTATTGTGGTAAACTATACATAACAAAAAATTTAGCGTTTTAACCATTTTTAAGTGTATGGATCAGTGGCATTAAGTACATTCACATTGCTGTGCAACCATCACCACCATCCATCTTGGGAATTTTTTTATTTTCCCAGACTGAAGCTCTATATCTATTAAACAATAATTCCTTGTTTCTCTTTCTCTACCCAGCTGCTGGCTACCAATATTCTACTTTCTGTCTCTATGAATGTGACTACCCTGGTTACCTCATATGTAAGTGGAATCATACAATATTTACTTTTTTGTGTCTGGTGTGTACCACTTAGCATATCTTCACAATTCATCCATGTTGTAGCATATGTCAGAATCTTATTCCTTTTTAAGCCTGAATAATATTCCATTGTATGTACACATCACATTTTGTTTATCCATTCATTCTCAATGGACATTTGGGTTCCTTCCACCTTTTGGCTGTTGTGAATAATGGTGCTGTGAATTTTGGTGTACAAATACTTGTTCGAGTCCCTCTGTATTGATCCATTCTCATATTGCTGTAAAGAAATACCTGAGACTGGGTAATTTATAAAGAAAAGAGGTTGAATTGGCTCATGGTTCTGCAGGCTGTACAGGAAGCATAGCAGCTTCTGGGGAGGCCTCAGGAAGCTTATGATCATGGCAGGAGGCAAAGGGAAAGCAGGCATGTCTAGGTGGCTGGAGCAGGAGGAAGAGAGAGAGGTGGGGGGAAGTGCTACACACGTTTAAACAACTAGATCTTGTGAGAACAACCCCAGGGGACTGGTACTAACCCATTCATGAGAAACCACCCCAATATTCCAGTCACCTCCCACCAGGCCCCACCTTCAACACTGGGGATTACAATTTGACAGGAGATTTGGTGGTGACACAGATCCAAACTATATCGCCCTCCTTTCAGGTTTTTTTTTTTTTTTTCTATTTACACAGAAGTAGAATTGCTGGATCCTATGGTAATTCTATGTTTAGTTTTTTGAGTAGGCTTGGTTACTTTTATTTTTTATTTGTTTTTTTGGAGACAGTCTTGTTCTGTCGCCCAGGCTGGAGTGCAGTGGCACGATCTCAGTTCACTGCAACCTCTGCCTCCTGGGTTTAAGCGATTTTCCTGCCTCAGCCTCCAAGTAGCTGAGACTACAGGCATGCACCACCACACCTGGCTAATTTTTGTCTTTTTAGTAGAGATGAAGTTTCGCCATTTTGGCCAGTGTAATCTCAAACTCCTGGCCTCAAGTGATCCACCCGCCTCAGCCTCTCAAAGTGCTGAGATTACATGCGTGAACCACTGTGGCCTGCTGAGGCTTGGTTACTTTTAAGCGGTGATTTTGTCATATGCTACCTGAAGGTAGCACTTGATGGTGCTTTCTCTATTGACTTTTTCTGTATTGCTAGCAGGACACTTAGGGTGGAAATGATTCAAAAGGAAATGTTTTACCCAGTTTTCATGTATCCAATGTGGAAGGAACCATTTGTTATATACAGTTCTTTCCAGTTATGTGCAAATATGAATGATCGTCTTAAGAATGCTCTATATGTTATGTAAAATGCGTCAACATTTTTAGTATACTTTGCTGCCTTTGATTGAAATTTAGGGTACTTTTTTCATTTAAACATGTTTTACATGTATGAGATGCTGCTTACTGCTTACCTTCTGTATCTTCCTGCATTCATTAAAAAAAAAATTTCGTGTCTGCTGTATGCTTTAAATATTTCGAGCGGATACCTGGAATACATAGAATAGAAAGTAAGATTGGTTGAAGTCATTTGGCTCCATTTTCTCTCCCTCCTTGTACAGTATGCAAGCTGTAACATAATACCAAATATAATAGGTTGAAATGGCTGCAGTGAACTGTCTCTTAGGATGAGCCTAGCCTCTCATTTGATTTTCTGTTTTGTGTGTGTGTGTGTGTGTGTGTGTGTGTGTGTGTGTGTGTGTGTGTGTGTGATGGAGTTTTGCTTTTGTCGCCCAGGCTGGAGTGCAATGGCGTGATCTCAGCTCACCACAACCTCCACCTCTCGGGTTCAAGCGATTCTCCTTCGTCAGCCTCCTGAGTAGCTGGGATTACAGGCAAGTGCCACCACGCCCAGCTAATTTTTTGTATTTTTAGTAGAGAGGGGGTTTCTTCATGTTGGTCAGGCTGGACTTGAATTCCCAACCTCAGGTGATCCACCCGCCTCGGCCTCCCAAAGTGCTGGGATTACATGCTTGAGCCACAGTGCCCAGCCTCACATTGCATTTTCTAAATGTTACATGGAAGTTAATTATCCCTGCATCTTGCTTCATGATATTATTGGGTGACATAGTTACTTCAGGCTCATATGCCATTTTCTGGGGGCCTTATAGGAGACTTTGTGAGCCCACACTTACTTTGTAGGTGGTCTGTCTGAAACCCAGTCCAATTGCCATTCAGTTGAATTGAATCTGAAATATTTCTAAAGATTTGATGTTTGTTGGGGGCTGGGCATGGTGGGAGGCCACTTTGACCTCAGTCCTAGCACTTTGAGAGTCCAAGGTGGGAGGATTGCTTCAGACCAGGAGTTTGAGACCAGCTTGGGCAACAGCGAGACCCTGTCTCTGCAAACAATTAAAAAATTAGAGCTGGGCATGGTGGCTCAAGCCTGTAATCCCAGCACTTTGGGAGGCCAAGGTGGGCGGATCATCAGGTCAGGAGTTCTAGACCTGCCTGGTCAATATGGTGAAACCCTGTCTCTAATAAAAATACAAAAATTGGCTGAGCGTGGTGGCATACACCTGTAGTCGCAGCTACTCGGGAGGCAGAAGAATTGCTTGAACCCAGGAAGCAGAGGTTGCAGTGAGCCAAGATCATGCCACTGCACTCCAGCCTGGGCGACACTGCGAGATTCCAACTCTAAATAAATAAATAAATTAGCTGGTCATAGTGGTTGGCGCCTGTAGTCATAGCTTTTCTGGGGAGGATGAGGCAAAAGGATTGCTTGAGCCCAAGAGTTTGAGATTGTAGTGAGCTATGATCATGTCACTGCACTCCAACCTAAACAACAGAGACCCTGTCTCTAAACAATAAAAAAAAAAAATTGAAGTTTATAAATATGTTATTATTTTTTAATTTTTATTTTTTTTGGAAACAGGGTTTTGCTCTGTCACCCAGGCTGGAGTGCAGTGGTGCCATCATAGTTCACTGCGTCCTTGAACTCCTTGAACTCAGGTGATTCTGTCACCTCAGCCTCAGTAGCTAGGACTGCAGGCACACACCATGGCAGTCAGCTAGTTTTAAAATTTTTTGTAGAGACAGGGTCTTGCTTTGTTGCCCAGGCTGGTCTTGAACTTCTGGGTTCAAGCGATCCTCCTGCCCTTGGCCTTCCGAAGTGCTGGGATTACAGGTGTGAGCCACAGTGCCCAGCTCACTTTATTATCTTTAGCCACTGGATATTAAGGATAGGCCAGAAGCCAGCATTTACTCTCCCATGTTCACATCTACCATGGCAGCCTATAGGAATGGGTTCCTGAAATATATACCATCTTCTATACAGATTCTTCAGTAGTTGCAGGCCCTTGAAACATTCTGCAGGGTCTGAGGATATAGATGTTACTTAAAGGTAACTTCTGCAGCCATTGTCCTATGACTAATTTGTGGTTAAGACATAAGTTGAAGGCTGGGTGCGGTGGCTCACGCCTGTAATCCCAGCACTTTGGGAGGCCGAGGCGGGCAGATCACTTGAGGTCAGGAGTTCAAGAGCGGTCTGGCCAACATGGCGAAACCTCATCTCTACTAAAAATACAAAAATTAGCCGGGTGTGTTGGTGCATGCCTGTAATCCCAGTTACTCAGGAGGCTGAGGCAGGAGAATCACTTGAACCTGGCAGGCGGAGGTTGCAGTGGGCCGAGATTGTGCCACTGCATTCCAGCCTGGGAAACAGCGAGGATCTGTCTCAAAAAAAAAAAAAAAAAAAAAAAAAAAGGCATAGGTTGATTGGAGGTTTTGGGGGATCTCCAAGGGTTACACAGGGATTCTTAGCAGTCCAAATCCTATAATAAATAACAACCTTGGATTGCTGGTAAGAAGGATGATTTTTACATTACTTAATTAACAAGATGTATGATTGCAAGTTGTGGAGTGTGTGTGTGTGTGTGTGTGTGTGTGTGTGTGTGTGTGTGTGTGTGTGTGTGTGGTGGTAGTGGTCTTTAGAATTTGCTAAAGGGTATTAGGACGGAGGAGAAGGATGTTTGTGATGAGGCCATTATATGATTGTGAATGAGCCAGGATAGATAAGTAAATATCTTTTGTACTTGAAGATGCTGCCAATGATATTACTTCTTACTGACCTGGATAGGACTGAAAAGACCAATTTGTAAAAGCTGCAGTCTTTCCTATTTTAAATAACTTGCTTTTGTTTTAAGGCTACCCTCTGTAGTTGAGCAGTACTTTTCCTTACATTATCCACTTGGTCTCTGATCATAGCATGTCAGTGTGGTTAGCCCACTGCTGGCTCTTCCTGGCCTACTGTTAAAAATGATTCAAAATGTACATTAGTGTGTGGCAGAAGTGACTCTTCTGCTTACCTTGTTTGGATATCTAGTTACATTTTTATAGTAAATTGCTCTTGTAATCTACCTGCATGTCCTGCAGGAGCCCTTTGTATAGCATGCCTTCATAAGAAGCTTTGTGACATGTGATGAAAACAGTGAAACTCATCTGTAACTAATGTAATGACGGGAAGTTAATGTATTGTAGCTGAATGGTAGGTGGGACATAACACTGCAGATGAAGCCAGCCATGTAGCTTAAACTTCTTTTTTTTTGAGACAGGGTCTTGCTCTGTCTCCTAGGCTGGAGTGCAGTGGCACAATCTTGGCTTACTGCAACCTCCACCTCCCAGGGCTTAAGTGATCCTCCTGCCTCAGCCTCCCAAGTAGCTGGGAATGCAGGTGCTCACCATCTGGTACTGCTAATTTTTAAATAGAGACAGGGTCCAGGCTGGTCTCAAACACCTGGCCTCAAATGATCCTTCTGTCTTGGCCTCCCAAAATGCTTGGATTACAGGCATGAACCACTGCACCTGGCCTGATTTTTTTTTTTTTTTTTTTTTTTTTTTAAGATGGAGTTTCACTCTGTCGCCCATGCTGGAGTGCAGTGGTGCAATCTTGGCTCACTGCAACCTCCGCCTCCCAGGTTCAAGTGATTCTCCTGCCTCAGCCTCCCGAGTAGCTGGGATTACAAGTGCCCGCCACCACGCCCAGCTAATTTTTTGTATTTTTAGTAGAGACGGGGTTTCACCATGTTGACCAGGCTGGTCTTGAACTCCTGACCTCAGGTGATCCGCCTGCCTCGGCCTCCCAAAGTGCTGGGATTACAGGCCTGAGCTATCACGCCCGCCCCTGATTTTTTTTAAGTCAGAGTCTTGCTTCGTCGCTCAAGTTGGAGTGCAGTGATGTGATCATGGCTCATTGCAGCCTCCAGATCCTGGGCTCAAGTGATCCTCCCACCTCAGTCTCCCTAGTAGCTGGGAGTACAGGCTCGTACCACCATGCCCTGCTAATTTTTAAATTTTTTATAGAGACAGGGTCTTGCTATGTTTCCTAGGCTGGTCTTGAATTCCTGGCCTCAAGCAGTCCATTGGCTTTGGCCTCTCAAAGTGCTGAGATTACAGGTGTGAACCATTGTACCTGGCCGGTGTTTTGTTGATTTTTTTTTTTTTTTTTTTTTTTTTTGAGACGGAGTCTCACTCTGTCGCCCAGGCTGGAGTGCAGTGGTGCGATCTCAGCTCCACTGCAACCTCTGCTGTCCGGATTCAAGCAATTCTCCTGCCTCAGCCTCCTGAGTAGCTGGGATTACAGGCTCCTGCCACTGTGCCTGGCTAATTTTTGTATTTTCAGTAGAGACAGGTTTCACCATCTTGGCCAGTTTGGTCTTGAACTCCTGACCTTGTGATCCGCCTGCCTTGGTTTCCCAAAGTGCTGGGATTACAGGCATGAGCCACCTCACCCAGCCCAGTGTTTCGTTAATCTTATCAGCACACAGGAGGTTTTCTTTCTTCTTTTTTTTGTTCATCTAGAATATACACACTGAATACACTAGGTTTGTTGAAATGTCTAATTTCTTAAGTTGATAATGCTTTAAACAAAGCTTAGTTGGTTAATGTTTTTCACCTCTGTTATTACTCAAAGGTTGTATTGTATCTAGGAATTTTAAAAGTTGATATTTGGCATTTGTCATTAGCCTACCAGTCCATAATGTTATGATGATCCTATAAATTAGACTATAGGATATTATTATATGATATTATTGTAATTTGGGAGCACAGGGAACAATGCGTAACAACGACTACTAAATGTGTGTTCGGTCTCTAGCCTGATGAAAAAGCTTCTGAAAAAAGGAAGGATATTTGATACTTTCATCCTGATTACTTGTTACCTGAAATCTTAACATTTCAGCAACATTAAGTAGGATTATATTCAATTTTTATATGATTACATTTTTCATTGGGCAGTAAAGCTGAGAACACATCATCCTTTCACACTGTACGGGCTAATTATTTCCATTGTGAAATAGCCCCAAGTATATTATTAACCTTTTTGGTAGCTGAAGTTTCTGATGCCTGAAATGTGTATCTACTGAATGGCGTTAGTTATGATCAGGCCAGTATTGATAGTATAGTTATAATATTTCTATATATAATATGATCAGGCCAATATTGATAGTATAGTTATTTCTATGTATAATATTTCCAATATTTTTCTTTTAACTTATTAAAATAGGGAAGCTGTATGAGATGTTAGTTAAAAGCACAAGCCATTGAGTACACAAATCTGGCTTTGAATCTACTCCCCTACCTACTCCCTTGGTCAAGTCATTTAATTTCTCTGAGCCTATGTTTCTGTATCTGTAAAATGGATGCAGTAGTAATCCTACTATAGAGTTGTCATGATTGTTGCATTTTGTTTTATTTTATTTATTTATTTTTTGAGACAGAATCTTGCTCTTGACACCCAGGCTGGAGCACAATGGCACGATCTTGGCTCACTGCCACCTCCAGCTCCAGGGTTCAAGCGATTCCCCTGCCTCAGCCTCCTGAGTAGTTGGGATTATAGGTGCTCGCCACCATGCCTGGCTAATTTTTGTATTTTTAGTAGAGATGGGGTTTCACCATGTTGGCCAGGCTGGTCTCAAACTCCTGACCTGATGATCTGCCCGCCTCGGCCTCCCAAAGTGCTGGGATATTTATTTTGAGTTAATGTTTATTTTATTTTATTTTATTTTATTTTATTTTATTTTATTTTATTCTTCTTTTGAGACGGAGTCTCACTCTGTCACCCAGGCTGGAGTGCAGTGGCTCGAACTCGGCTCACTGCAACCTCCGCCTCCCGGGATCAAGCGATTGTCCTGCCTCAGCCTCCTGAGTAGCTGGGACTACAGGCGCATGCCTCCACGCCCGGCTAATTTTTTGTATTTTTTAGTAGAGACGGGTTTCACCGTTTTAGTCAGGATGATCTCTATCTCCTGACCTCATGATCTGCCCGCCTTGGCCTCCCAAAGTGCTGGGATTACAGGCATGAGCCACCACGCCCGGCCAATTTTATTTTTTTTTTGAGACAGGGTCTAGCCCTGTCGCCTAGGCTACAGTGCAGTGGCATGATCATGGCTTACTGCAGCCTCGACCTGCTGGGGTCAGGCAATCCCCTTGCCTCTGTCTCCCAAGTAGCTGGGACTACAGGTGGATGCCATCATGCCTGGCTAATGTAAAAATTTTTTGTAGAGACAGGATCTTGCTATGTTGCATAGGCTGGTCTTGAACTCCTAGGCTCAGCTATCCTCTGGCCTCAGCCTCCCAAAGTGCTGGGATTATAGGCATGAGCCTCTGTGCCCATCAGATTTTATTTTATTATTTTTATTTTATTTTATTTTATTTTTGAGATGGAGTCTCCCTCTGTCGACCAGGCTGGATCGCAGTGGTGCGATCTCGGCTCACTTCAACCTCTGCCTCCCGGGTTCAAGTGATTCTTCTGCCTCAGCCTCCTCAGTAGCTGGGATTACAGGCATGTGCCACCATGCCCTGCTAATTTTTAAAAATATTTTTAGTAGAGACAGGGTTTCTCCATGTTGGTCAGGCTGGTCTTGAACTCCTGACCTCATGATCCACCCACCTCGGCCTCCCAAAGTGCTGGGATTACAGGTGTGAGCCACTGCGCCTGGCCCCAGATTTTATTTTTGAGTTGAAATTCATATAACATAAAATTAACTGGCCGGGCATAGTGGCTCACGCCTGTAATCCTAGCACTCTGGGAGGCTGAGGTGGGTGGATCACGAGGTCAGGAGATCGAGACCATCCTGGCTAACATGGTGAAACCCCGTCTCTACTAAAAATACAAAAAAATAATTAGCCGGGCATGGTAGCGGGTGCCTGTAGTCCCAGCTACTCAGGAGGTTGAGGCAGGAGAATGGCGTGAACCCGGGAGGCAGAGGTTGCAATGAGCCGCGATCACGCCACTGCACTCCAGCATGGGTGACAGAGCGAGAATCCGTCTCAAAAAAAAAAAAAAAAAAGAAAACAAAAATTAACCGTTTTATGTCCTACAACCATCACCTCTATCTAGTTCAATTTTTTTTTTTTTTTTTTGGACGGAGTCTTGCTCTGTTGCCCAGGCTGGAGTGCAGTGGCATGATCTCCGCTCACTGCAACCTCTGCCTCCTGGGTTCAAGTGATTCTCCTGTCTGAGCCTCCCGAGTAGCTGAGACTACAGGCACACGCCACCACACCTGACTAATTTTTGTATTTTTAGTAGAGATGGGGTTTCACCATATTGATCAGGCTGGTCTCAAACTCCTGACCTCAGGTGATCTGCCCGCCTTGGCCTCCCAAAGTGCTGGGATTACAGGCATGAGCCACTGTGCCTGGCCTATTTCAGAACTTTTTCATCACCCCCAAAGGAGACCCTGTATTCATTAAATATTTACTCTTTATTTCCTCCTCTCATCTCTGGCAACCACTGATTTGCCTTCTGTCTATGTGGATGTACCTATTCTGTATATTTCAAATAAATGGAATCACACAATATATGACCTTTTGTGTCTGGCTTTTCTGACATAGCATAATGTTGAGACTTAACCACTGGTCTCATGTATCAACCTCATTCCTCTCTCTCTTTTTTTTTTTTTTTTTGAGACAAAATCTCACTCTGTTGACCAGGCTGGAGTGTAGTGGTGTGATTACAGCTCTCTGCAGCCTCAAACTCAAGTGAACCTCCCACATCAGCCTCCCAAAGGGCTGGGATTACAGGCGAAAACCACCATGCCTGACCGAGAACCTCATTCCTCTTTATGGCTAAATACTAGTCCGTTGTTCAGATATACAACTCTGCCTTCAATGCCTTCCAGGTCATTTGAAAAAATCTGTTTATTGGCCATGCACGGTGACTCACACCTGTAATCTCAGCACTTTGGGAGGCCGAGGTGGGCGGATCACCTGAGGTCAGGAGTTTGAGATCAGCCTGGCCAACATGGCAAAACCCCGCCTCTATTAAAAATACAAAAATTAGCCAGGTGTGGTGGCGTGCGCCTGTAATCCCAGCTACTTGAGAGGCTGAGACAGGAGAATCACTTGAACTCGGGAGGCAGAGGTTGCAGTGAGCCGAGATGGCACCACTGCCCTCCAGCCTGGGAGACAGAGCAAGACTCTGCCTCAAAAAAAAAATATATATATATATTTATCTATTTATGGTTAGTTGTGTCTTTTCCACCTTTGCCTACTGTGAAGAAGGTTACTGTGAACATTCATGTATAGTATTTGTTTGAATACCTGTTTTGAGTTCTTTTGTGTCTATACCTAAAAGTGGAATTGCTGGGTCATATAGTAATTCTTTTTTTTTTTTTTTCCTCAAAAGCTGGTGTCATAGTGTACATATAATAATACTATATTTAACTTTTGGACAAACCACCATACAGTTTTCCATAGCGGCTGTACCATTTTACATTCCTACCAGCAACGTATGAGGAGTCTGATTTCTTCACATCCTTGTCAACATTTGTTGTTGTTGTTGTTGTTGTTGTTTTTAATTTTAGCTATCCTAGTAGATGTGAAGTGGTATCTCGTGCTTTTTATTTGCATTTCTCTAATGACTAGTGATGTTGAACATCTTTTCATGTGCTTGTTGGCCATTCGTATATCTTCTTGGAGAAATGTCTATTAAGTCCTTTGCCCAATTTCAAATTGGCTTGTCTTTTTGTTGAGTTATAACCATTGAATTTTAATTGCTGTAAAACACTCCATGAGTACATGTAGCATGCACTCAATAACTATTAGCTAATACTATAGTTGTAATTATTTTTGCCACATGTGGCCTGAATTGGAAGGAAATTGCCTAGTTTTTCCAAGTAGGAGTGGAGATGTAACAAAACCTGTATTTAAGGCCAATAAAGATTTGACTCTGTCAGTGTTGATACTTTGCTTTTAATTGATGCTCCCAAATCAAGAAATTAGAAACGTGTATACATAAAATCAGTTTATCTTTGGCAGAAATCAGTATATTATCAATGTTTAATTAATTCCTAAGAATTAATGGCAATAGTGCCTCTAGTTTTAGCTGAGATTTAGATCATCTTTCTTCATTCTGCCCTGTTATGCGACATTTGCTATAAATGCCACAATGAGAATTTTTTGAAACCTGGGTCAGAGAAGCCTACTTTTTATATTTAATAGTATGTGATTGATGTATTATCATTGTTTTATGCTTATTGCATCTTGGTTTTATGGGGTGTTCAAAAGAAGATAGATGAGAATAGGTGATCCAAAGTAATTTAGAATTTTATCCTCCAGTTGGGACTGAACCATCTTGAACTGATGAATATATTCTACCAGGTTTATAGGTAGATATGCCGTTTCATTATATCGTGATTTGGAGTGAGACAGTAGCTTTTAAGCAGAACAAACAGCCATATGTAAGTCTAAATTTGGTTATTTTCTTTGAATAAGCAATGGAAACTGTATGCATTCAGGAACTGGTGATTCAGATATCTTCTGAAGGCCCTCTCTCCCTGTGCTCCACAGCTTTGTCCTGAACTCTCCTGTCTCTTGCGATGCCTCTGTGCCTATACCTATTTTGTGAACTCTGCCTGCAATGCCGTCCAAGTCAGTTGGTGACTCCTCAAACCTCACTGAAGTCTTTCGGGTGGATTCAAATGCTGCTTTTAGCCATTAAAATCTGTTACATCTGTTACATACTTTCACAATAGCACTTATCCTAGTGTAGTTTTAAAAATGCACTTAAAAATTTTTAAAGCAGTGCATGCATGCAGTAAACAAAATTGGACAGTACAGAAATAAATGGTGAAGACAGTCTCCCAGTTTTCTTCCCCATGGATAGCACTTTCTCTTTTTTATCCTTCCAAAGATATTTTGTGCTGATACAAGAATTTTTATACCGTATGAAGTGCTTATTCATCTTATCTTTTACTTCAGGGTAATTTATGAGTAATGAAAAAATTCAAGCATTACAAAAATGTAGAGTGTGTGAAGCAAAAGGTCCCCTTTACTTTGATCCCTAACACTAGCCCTTTCCAAATAACACTGTCCTAATTAACATTCCTCTCTCCAGAAGTAACCTCTGTTATAAGCCTTGTCTGTGCCTTCAGATTGTTCTGCTTACACTTATATGCCTATTTAAAAGTGTATATTTTTGTATTTTGTTTGTTTGTTTGTTTGAGACAGAGTTTCGCTCTTGTTGCCCAGGCTGGAGTGCAATGGCGCTATCTCTGCTCACTACAACCTGTGTCTCCCTGGTTCAAGTGATTCTCCTGGCTCAGCCTCCTGAGTAGCTAGGATTACAGGTGCACGCCACCATGCCCGGCTAATTTTTGTATTTTTAGTAGAGATGGAGTTTCACCATGTTGGCCAGGCTGGTCACGAACTCCTGACCTCAGGTTATCCACCCACCTTGGCCTTTCAAACTGCTGGGATTACAGGCATGAGCCACTGCGCCCGGCCTTTTAAATTTTATTATTATTATTATTATTTTAAAACAGAGTCTTGCTCTGTCACCCAGGCTGGAGTGCAGTGGCACAATTTTGGCTCAATGCAGCCTCCGCCTCCCGGGTTCAAGCGATTCTCCTGCCTCAGCCTCCCGGCTAGCTGGGATTACAGGCGCACACCACCATGCCTGGCTAATGTTTTGTATTTTTAGTAGAAAGGGGGTTTCACCATGTTTGCCAGGCTGGTCTCGAATTCCTGACCTCAGGTGATCCGCCTGCCTCGGCCTCTCAAAGTGCTGGGATTACAGGTGTGAGACACCATGCCTGGATTGTATGTATTTTTTTAATGATATTTTGTATATTCTTTAACTTTTTCTTTTTAATATATGTGTCTTGGAAATTTTTTTATGTCAGATCCTCTTTATTTTTATTTATTTTTTGAGACACGGTTTTGCTCTGCCACCCTGGCTGGAGCGCAGTGACATCATCTCATCTTATTGCAACCTCAGCCACACAGGCTCAAGTGATCCTCCCATCTCAGCCTCCCAAGTAGCTAGGACTACAGGCCATGCTTGCTAATATTTAAATTTTTTTGTAAAGTCGAGGTCTCACTGTATTGCCCAGGCTGGTCTTGAACTCCTGGACTCAGGTGATCCTCCCACCTCAGCCTCTTAAAGTGTTGCGCTTATAGACATGAGCCATCTTGCCCGACCCACTTTATTCTTCCTGCATGGTGTTTATTGCATAAAATGTATATACCATTTTATTTAACCATTTCCCAATTAATGGATATATCTAGGTGTTTCTAACAGTGTTTTAATGAACCACTTTTTTATATGGTTCTTGTCGGGCATGTGTGAATCTCTAGGTTGCTAGAAGTGAATTGCTAGGTGAAAGGTTGTGCTCTTCTAAACATTTTGGTGAATACTACTAAATTGCTTTACTTTTTAAAAACAATGTACTTTGACATAATTTTAGATTTACAGAAGAGTAAAGATAGTACAAAGAGCTCCCATATTCCCTTCTCTCAGCTTCCCCTAATGTTAACATCTTTCATAACCATAGGGCATTTATTAAAACTAAGAAATTAACACTGGTACACTATTATAGACTTGATTTGGATTCCTCCAGTTTTTCCACTAATGTCTTAAAAAATCTCAGAGATGGGCTCTTGCTGTATATTGCCCAGGTTAGTCTTGAATTCCTGCCTCAAGTAATCTTCTTGCCTCGGCCTCCCAAAGTGCTGGGATTACGGCATGAGCCACTGTGCCTGGCTACATTCTGGATATTAATCCTTTGTTAAATATGATTTCTTTTCCTTTTAGGCAGATGATGCTTTTTCTTCTCTCTTTTTAAAATTTCAAATGTAATATGCTTATTGTACAACATGTATAAGTTGAAAAGTGAAAGTCTCCCTACTGTCTCTTTAGTCCCATTCCCCATACATGGTACTGTTCTTACCCCACAGACTAACAGATTGGTATTTTTCCTACCAGAACATTTTCTGTATAGATGTAGAAACATGTATGTATGTGTTTGTATGTGCCTACATGTGTGCAAGTGTGTATGTATATATAAAAGCATGCATAAATGTTTTTTGATAACAGTGAGATCATACAACATACTGCAATTTTGCTTTCATCAGTTAACAAATCATAGAACCCTAATGTGTTGTAAATGTATGTTTCAAATACAATCTAGTGTCTTTTTCTCACTAGATTATAAGCTCCCTCCTACAGAGACCATGATTCTTCTCACCCTACACCTATTCTTTTTCTGTGTAAATACGATCATCCATACGTTTGCTCATGCCAAAAATCTTTCATTTTTTTTTTTTTAAGACGGCATTTCACTCATGTTGCCCAGGCTGGAGTGCAATGGCGCGACCTTGGCTCACCGCAACCTTCGCTTCCCGGGTTCAAGCAATTATCCTGCCTCATCCTCCCGAGTAGCTGGGATTACAGGTGTGCGCCACCATGCCCAGCTAATTTTGTATTTTTAGTAGAGACGGGGTTTCTCCATGTCGGTCAGGCTGGTCTGGAACTCCCAACCTCAGGTGATTTGCCCGCCTCAGCCTCTCAAAGTGCTAGGATTACAGGTGTGACCCACTGCACCCAGTCCATTCATTTCTTTAATAAAGTTTTACTTAGTGCCTACTATGAGCCAGGTACATAGGAGTAAACTAAGCATGAAAATTCTTGCCTGAATGCAGCTTATATTCTAGTGGAGAGGGCAGATATTAAGCGAAGGAGTGAAATGTTTAGTATTTCACGGGGTAATAAATGGTATTTCAAAAAAAAAAAACAAAAACCATGAAAAAAACACCCTCCCAAAGGAGGGGGAGACTGTGTGAGCATGTAAGTATATAAGTGTGTGTGTGTGTGTGTGTGTGTGTGTGTGTGGCAGAGACAGAGATAGAGACAGAGACAGATTCAGATGTAGTGAGGGAAGGCCTTGTTGAGAAACTAATATTTGAGGAAAGATCTAAAAATTGTCTTTGATTTCCTTTTCTTCCTTATAATTCACATCAAATATGTCTCCAATTCCTATTGATTTAATCTTCAAAATATATCTGAAGCCCACCCATCAAGTAGGTGGATTGAATTGGCAGTGGGAGTTTGTGAAAATTTTCTTACGATTGTTTTAATATTCTCAGTGAATTAGGAAATAAAGTGCTTAGCTGAGAGTGAGGATGAGGAGGGTGATGGAGGTTTGTGTAAAGAGGAAAAGGTGTGAAATTGTTTAGGAGAATGGGAGAATGGCTGCAGCAGGGAAATATTGTGTGATTGCCAGGGAGCATTGAGAGCCCCTTGAGGTTTGCAGTTACAATTTTGTGGGGTTTTTTTTGTTTTTTGTTTGTTTGTTTGTTTGTTTGTTTGTTTTTTGTTTTTTTTTTTTGAGACAGAGTCTTGCTCTGTCTCCCGGGCTGGAGTGCAGTGGTGCGATCTTACTGCAACCTCTGCCTCCCAGGTTCAAGTGATTCTTGTGCCTCAGCCTCCCAAGTAACTGGGATTACAGGTGCATGCCATCATGCCTGGCTGATTTTCGTATTTTTTTTTTAGTAGAGTCGGGGTTTCACCATGTTGGCCAGGCTGGTCTCAAACTCCTGACCGCAAGTGATCCGCCTGCCTCGGCCCCCAAAGTGCTGGGATTACAGGTGTGAGCCACTGTGCCCAGCTTGTGGTTATTTATTTGAGACAGAATCTCGCTCTGTCACCCAGGCTGGAGTGCAGTGGTGCCATCTCGGCTCACTGCAACCTCCGCCTCCTTGGTTCAAGCCGTTCTCCTGCCTCAGCCTCCCAGTAGCTGGGATTACAGGCGTGCGCCACCATGCCCAACTAATTTTTGTATTTTTAGTAGAGACGGGGTTTCACCTTGTTGGCCAGGCTGGTCTCAAACTCCTGACCTCTCAGGTGATCTGCCCGCCTTGGCCTCCCAAAGTGCTGGGATTACAGGCGTGAGCTACTGTGCCCGGCCTCTGTGGTTATAAATTTAAAGTGAGATTGGTCAGTATGGTTTATTTCCTCCAGCCATATTCAGCTGCAGGGGTGTATGTTTGGAGTGAATTTAACCAGGGAGGGGTTTTGCCAAGATAGCCAAACAAAGCAGGAGAAGGGCAAGGGATAGAGGGTACCTGTGTATGCAAGGGAGTGGTATAATATACTGTGGAATTCTAACCGGGTAAGGAGGGGAGGACATGAAGTGGCTAAGAGATAGTGAAAAGATGGGAGAAGCAATGGATGGAAGGTCCTGGTGGGATCAGAAGCTGCTGGAGTTTGGGTATGTGAGAGACTGAACCATGAAGATAGTGGGTTATTGTTGGACAGTGGGAGCTAATTGATATTGTGAAAGCATGATCATGGGATGAGTGGGTAAAGGACAAGATCAGTGGAAGTGAGAAATTTAAAGAACTGAGACAAGGAATTCAGAGAGATACGGTATGGAAAGATCATCTTTGTGAAATCACTGAGAGTTAAGATAGTAGTGTAGAAGGTCACAGTAAGCCAGGTATTGGGTAATAGAATTTTTATAGGATATTCGATGTAAGGTTTTGTGTTTTTTTAGGGAATAAGGAGGGAGACTGATTTGGAAACATCTGTGAGGAGCAAAGAGGACACTTACTCACCCCCAGGTCCAGTGGTATGAGAGGTATGGGGAAGGTAACTTACACCACTTTAGGGCCCCAGAGGCCAGTGTGGCCCCAGAGGAGAACCGGCTTTTAATTAGAGCAAGAAGTTGAAGGGAATATTCAAAGAAGATGCTGAAAATGTAGGGAAAGCGCTTCAAAGTTTGGAGAGGTGGATGACACATGGAGACGGAACTAGAGATATGCAGAACAGTGTGGGGATTAGAATGTGGGAGATGAGGCCAGGCGTGGTGGCTCATGCCTGTAATCCCAGCATTTTGGGAGGCTGAGGTGGGTGGATCGCCTGGGGTTAGGAGTTTGGGACCAGCCCGACCAACTTGGTGAAAACCCATCTCTACTAAAAATACAAAAATTGGCCAGGCGCGGTGATGCACTCCTGTAATCCCAACTACTCGGGAGGATGAGGCAGGAGAATCTCTTGAAGCTGGGAGGTTGAGGTTGCAGTGAGCTGAGATCACGCCACTGCACACTCCAGCCTGGGCAACAGAACTAGACTCTGTCTCAAAAAAAAAAAAAAAAAAAAAGAATGTGGGAGATGGGAGATGAGAGATGTGGGAGTCTGGGGCTTCTTTGATGGACAGCATAAGCAGAGATAAAGAACCTGAAGAGATTAGGCCTGGTGGAGAGCAGGCAGGCACTGGAGGTGAGGGTGGGAGTGTGGGGAGGGAGCAGGGGCGTTCTTACCTAGATCCCCTGCTGACACATCTGTTCATAATGGAGAGGAGTATCTTACTGCAGGTGTAAGGGGTTCTCTTTTGATGAATCCTGTGGGCTCTCTCTTTATGATCACATATTAATGCCTTTTGCTTTAAGTATTTATTTTTTTTGAGGCAGGGTCTTGCTATATTATAGCCCAGCCTGGCTTCAAACTTGTGGGCTCAAGCAATCCTCCTGCCTCAGCCTGTTGGGTAGCTGGAACTACAGGCGTGCACCACTATGCCTGGCTTTTTCACTTTAAGTCTTTTTGTCTCTGTTACTAATATTAATGAATGAATACCAATAAGATTTTTTGATTAATATTTGTGTAGCACATTTTTTTAAACCATCTTTTAAATTGTCAGCCCTCTGGCTTACTTTGCTTTAAGTGTTTCTTCGTAAGCTGTACATAGTTGTATTTCAAAAATCTGATTGTCTTGATAAATGTAATCTTTTCATATTTAATGTGATTACTGATAGTTTACACTTATTTCTGCTGTTTTCATTTATACTTGTTTTTTGAACCCTACTTTTTTTTTTAAAAAATAATTTTTTTTCCCCTGACAGGGTCTCTCTCTGTCACCCTGGCTGGAGTGCAGTGGTGCAATCATGGCTTACTGCAGCCTCAAACTCATGGGCTCAATATATCCTCCTGCCTCAGCCTTATGAGCAATTGGGACTACAGGCATGTGCCACCATGCTGGACTAATTTTTTTTATTTTTTTATATATATGGGGTTTTACCATGTTACTCAGGCTGGTCTTGAACTTCTGGCCTCAAGTAATCCACCTGTCTCAGCCTCCCAAAGTGTTGGGATTACAGGCATGAGCCACCATGCCTAGCCTTGAACCACATTTTTTTTTCCTTTTTTTTTTTTTTAAGAGACAAGGTCACACTCTCTTGCCCAGGCTGGAGTGCAGTGGCATAATCCTAGCTCACTTCAGCCTCAACCTCCCAGGCTCAAGTGATCCTCCCTCTTCAGCCTCATAAGTAGCTGGTACTGTAGGCACAAGTCCCCATGCCCAGCTAATTTTAATTTTTTTGTAGAGATGGGATCTCACTATGTTGGCCAGGCTGGTCTTGAACTCCTGGTCTCAAGCAGTCCTCTCACATTGGCC
Organism: Homo sapiens; assembly: GCF_000001405.40. Taxonomy (NCBI): domain Eukaryota; kingdom Metazoa; phylum Chordata; class Mammalia; order Primates; family Hominidae; genus Homo; species Homo sapiens. The sequence goes on from NC_000012.12 coordinate 49,388,950, forward strand.
TACGAAAGTGCTGGGATTACAAGTGTGAGCCATGGTGACCACACTTCTTATTTGCATTCTGTTGTATATATGGAGTCCTTTTTTCTTCTGATTTTTAAGTTGAACATTCTATTTCTCTGTTTAGTAGTTAACTGTTAAATTTTTAACATGCATACTTACTGAAGTCCAAGATTAATATCTTTGACTTCCTGAATAATTCAGGAACCTCAGAATGCTTTAAGTTGGAAGGACCCCGCCCAGCCTTCTCACGCAAAGCTTCAAGTGTTCGGCCCTGCCCCACCGTAACGCGAGGAAGGAAATCTCGCAAGGCTGGAGTCCTTTTGGCGCCCCTGGCGGAGGCGGTTAGCAGAGGTGTCTCCCCCGCCGGTGGTGGGGCTAAACGCTACTGGCTTCACGGCCACACCTCCGCTGCCTCCGTCTGGTTCAGCGTCTGCTAACTGAGGAGGCAGATTAGGGGCGCGGAGTCTCTTCCCTTGGGTGCATAGGTCCCGGTTGGTAGAGGCTTTGAGTCCTCATCGCCACAGCTGACGGCTGCGAGGGACTAAGAGCAGGATATATCTTTAGAAATGAGTTGCACAATTGAGAAGGCACTTGCTGATGCTAAAACTCTTGTTGAAAGATTAAGAGATCACGACGATGCAGCAGAAACTCTGATTGAGCAAACCACAGCTCTCAATAAGCGAGTAGAAGCCACGAAGCAGTATCAGAAAGAAATTCAAGAGCTTAATGAAGTCGCAAGAACATCGGCCACGGTCCACGTTAGTTATGGGAATCCAGCAAGAAAACAGACAAATCAGAGAATTGCAACAAGAAAGAAAAGAATTGCGTACATCCCTGGAAGAACATCAGTCGGCCTTGGAACTTACGATGAGCAAGTATCGAGAACAAATGGTTAGATTGCTAATGGCTAGCAAAAAAGATGATCCGGGAAAAATAATGAAGTTAACAAAAGCAGCACTCCAAGGATACAGGCACATGTTGACCAGATAAATGAAATATGGCAGCAGTAATGAAGAAAGCCATTGAAATTGACAAGCAACAGGATTGCAAGGAACAAGAACTAATATTTCAACTTGAACAAGAAAACAAAGGCGTTAGAGAGATCCTATAAATAACTCGAGAATCACTTTTGAACCTAAGGAAAGAAGATGTGTCGGAAAGTACTTCTTTGTCAGCATTAGTGACCAACAGTGACTTGAGTCTGAGGAAGAGCTGAAGAGCTTCTGAGTCTGTGAGCTTCTTACATGGCTCCCAGTGGTCAAATAAGTGAATGAATGAATGAACAGAAAATTCAATCCATTATTTTTTTCTCTTTAAATATGTACAGTGTACTGGCTATGAGATAGCAACAAAAACGCATAGTTAATGGTCATAGACCTTTTTCCAAAACATAATTGGAAAATAGAAACTGAGCCATTGCCAACTGGTAAAGAAATGAAAGGTTTTCACAGTGACTACTAAATATAGAACTTTTGGCAGTGCTGCTGGCTTTCTGGGTGATTAATTAGGTAAACTTGAATATTCCCAATAAATATGTGAGAATTCATAAAATTATATCAATTTAAAAATATAAAGTTTTGCCACTGTTTTGTGAATGGAAGATTTGCATGCTAAATTTCATCCTTATTTGGCGTTAAAGTTAACACAAAGTTTATGTACCATGAGACTTCAGCTTTAGTGATTACCTACTTTCACATTTATTTAAATTTTTGTGAAAGAAAATTCAGTTTTAAAGGCTATAGGAATGTGTTATATGTACCATAAACAAAAAAGGTAATTTTAGCAATTTACCATAACTGATACTTAGCTAACAATTGTCCATAACTTGTTTAAGTATAAGAAATACCATTTCAGGAATGAAAAAGAAGGAATACTACTTTCTAAGAAAGAAAATCTTATAATAGACATTTTAGTAGGTTAAACTTCTCCTTTGAAAGAATAAGTTTTGGTTCGAAGTCAGTAATGAAGATGAGATTTGTTTTTCTCTTCTCTGGCTGATTTTTAAGGATACTATGTAGTTCATTTAATTAACAGAATTGAAGTGTTTGATATGGCAAAATAGGTATGGTAATTTCAAAGTGAATTGGGAATTCCTCTGGCTCATAGAACTCTTTTAAATTAAAATTTCAAAAAAAAATTCTGGATCTGTTTTTAAACTCCATCTGGTCCTCATAACCTGTAAGATTTTTCTTAAAACCTTTCAGCTGAAAGCGGGGGTAGAGGTGGGGTAATCTGTGGATTTAGAAGTATTTGTTTTCTGTTGTCTTTTAAAATGTCAAATATGCCGGGCGCGGTGGCTCACGCCTGTAATCCCAGCACTTTGGGAGGCCGAGGCTGGTGGATCACGAGGTCAGGAGTTTGAGACCAGCCTGGCCAACATGGTGAAACCCCGTCCCTACTAAAAATACAAAAATTAGCTGGTCGTGGAGGCGTGTGCCTGTAATCCCAGCTACTCGGGAGGCTGAGGCAGGAGAATCGCTTGAACCCGGGAGGCGGAGGTTGCAGTGAGCTGAGATCGTGCCATTACACTCCAGCCTGGGCAACAGGGCAAGACTGCGTCTCAAAAAATATGTATATTTTAAAAAAAAGTCAAGTATGTAGTATGTATATTTTAAAAAAGCCACCAGTTATGGAAATGTGCTTTAACATCAGTTGAAACCTAAATTTTCTAATGTTGTGATTGTAGTAAAAAGGGATAAAAGAAGAGTGTCAAACATGATGAAATATATTATACTCATTTATATTGAAGGCATATTAAAGACAAATAGAAAATTCTACTTTGAGTATATAATTTTTTAAATAAATATTACTTTATATGGTAATTTTTATGTATAATTTCATATACTGGTGAAATTCAAAACCACTTTACACTTCAGAATTTTTCTATCTTAAGTTTGGGCTGAGTGGGGTGGATGAGACTGATTGAATAGAAAAGGGCTAATGGCCCAAACATTACATGGATTTCTTTTCTCAGTCAGAGGCCTTATTTGATATTTTATAAATAAATGACAGTTTTTATTTTTAAACTTTTTTATTGTTTTTGGGAAAGTATCCCTTAATTTAACGACACATTCATTCAGATACTTTTTATCCCTGGTAAGAAAGAAAGGAAATAAGCTACACAATTGAGATTAAGTCTGAGGCAGTTCATTGAGGCAGCTCTACTGTAAAAGATTACTTGACAGATAATTAGTTTTGTAAACAAGTTGGGTTAACTTATTCTTGGTCTTTTTGCTTGGATATGAATTTAAGGTTTGATTGTTATTTAGTGACACTTTTCCATCCTATTTTTTTTTTTTGGTTGTTGTTAAACAGAACCTTAACTTTATGTCTGAGGTATGTACTGCATGGGAACCTATTTTATTATTAAAGATGAGTGATTAAAAAAATAATGCTTTAAGTTATATTCCTTCTGTATGCTTCAATCTTGTTTAATTTTTTGGTAGTTTAGTTCCACCTTAAACCATGCTTACTGTGAAATATTTCAGGCCAGGGTTGGTGGCTCACACCTGTAGTCCCAGCAGTTTGGGAGGCGGGTGAATCACCTGAGGTCAGGAGTTCGAGACTAGCCTGGCCAACATGGCGAAACCCTGTCTTTACAAAAAATACAAAAATTGGTCAGGCGTGGTGGCAGGTGCCTGTAGTCCCAGCTACTCAGGAAGCTGAGGCAGGAGAATTGTTTGAACCCGGGAGGCAGAGGTTGCGGTGAGCCGAGATCTCACCACTGCACTCCAGCGCCTAGGCAACAGAGTGAGACTCCATCTCAAAAAACAAACAAACAAAAAGAAATATTTCAAATCCACAGATAAAAATAGAAGTAGGCCGGGCGCGATGGCTCACGCCTGTAATCCCAGCACTTTGGGAAGCTGAGTTGGGTGGATCACCTGAGGTCAGGAGTTTGAGACCAGCCTGGCCAACATGGTGAAACCCTGTCTCTACTAAAAATACAAAAATTAGCCAGGCGTGGTGGCAGGCGCCCATAATCCCAGCTACTTGGGAGGCTGAGGCAGGAGAATTGCTTGAACCCAGGGGGCGGAGGTTGTAGTGAGCAGAGATCATGCCACTTCACTCCAGCCTGGGCAAAACTGTGAAACTCCATCCAAAAAAAATAGTAATATAGAAACATCTGTGTACTCACCAGTGCTTTGTCTCACCTTAATTATGCCAATTGGAGTCGTATTTTTTTTTAATTGTGGACATTTTCAACAATAAAAATGGAAAGAATAATATAATTAACTCCCCTGTAGACTCATCTAGCTTCAGTGATTATTAAAATTTTTTCCATTCTTAGTTTCCTCTGTTCTTCCCACTCACTACTTTTCATGAGTATTGTCAACATTATCCATCCTTTTCTAAAAGTTCTCCATCAGCCTTTCATTCAGTGATTTTAGCAGCCATTGATTGTTGACTAGATCCATTCTTACATTAAGGCATACAAAATAGGGATTTTTTTCTAATTTTATTATTATTCTGTATTTATTAGGTAGAATTTTTCTATAAAGAAGACTTTTTCCTTCATTGACTTTTTTATTACTTTGAAATATGGTTTGTACAGGAAGGGCAGAATTATTTCTCTTTGTTCGTATTTAGAATAATGAAATGACTTAGTGCCCCACTAACCTCCAAAAATGACTAATGTGTTTTGTTTGTTTTAGAGTGTGATTATAAATTAATGGATATTTATGTATTTAATATGTTTCAGGCACCGTAGACATTATTCTTATTGATGTTCATATTGTGTCATCTTAGTTCAGTGGGAACCCATTTAATTTGGCTCCTTTGTCCTTTTGATGTGACCCCAGTAGTCTTTGATAGCTTTTCTGTTTTATAGCACAAGAAAACCGAGGCTCATCTATTTGTTTCCTTTCAATAGCAGGCCACCATGTCCTGCTATTTTTATGTTTATTTTTATAGAGACAGGTTCTCCCTATGTTGCCCAGGCTGGTGGTGTTGAACTCCTGGACTCAAGTGATCTTCCTGCCTCAAGTGATTTTACTGCCTCAGATTACATGCGTGAGCCACTGCTCCTGGCCAGCCCTACAACTTCTTTTTCAAAGTCGTTTTTACTATTCCAGGACTTTTGCATTTTCATATGGATTTTAGAACTAGTTTGCTGGGCTGGGAGTGGTGGCCCACACCTGTAATCCCACCACTTTGGGAGGCCATAGTGGGAAAATTGCTTGAGCCCATGTCACCTGGGCAACATGGCGAAACCCTGTCTCTACCAAAAATACAAAAATTAGCCGGGCTTCATGGTGCACACCTGCAGTCGCGGCTACTTGGGAGGCTGAGGTGGGAGGGATCCCTTGAGTTTAGGAGGCAGAGGTTGCAGTGAGCTGAGATCGAGTCACTGCACTCCAGTCTGGGGAACAGAGCAAGACCTTGTCTCCAAAAAAAAAAAAAAAAAACAGAACTAGTTTGCTGGATTCTGCAAAAAAAGTCTGCTGGGATTTTGATTGAGATTGCATTAAATCTATTGAATCAGTTTGGGGAGAATTGGCATGCTGACAACATTGAATCTTCTAACCTATGACCAGATAGATATATAACTCCTTTTATTTAGGTCTTTAATATCTCTCCATGATGTGTAGTTTTCAGTGTTCAGATCTTTCACATCTTTTTTTTTTCAGATTTATCTTTACAAATTTTATATTTAATGCTTTGTATTTATAGTTTTAATTAGTGATTGCTTGTTGCTAGTATATAGAAATATAATAGATTTTTCTGTATTGACCTTGTATCCTGCAACGTTGCTAAACTCATTTATTATTATTTTTTAGATTTTATCAGATAGTTTTTTCACAGATGATCATGTCATCTATGAATAAAGACAATTTTAAGGCCGGGCGTGGTGCCTCACGCCTGTAATCCCAGCACTTTGGGAGGCCGAGGCAGGTGGATCACCTGAGGTCAGGAGTTCGAAACCAGCCTGGCCAACATAACCCTGTCTCTACTAAAAATACAAAAAAAAAATTTAGCTGGGCTTGGTGGCAGAGGCCTGTAATCCCAGCTACTCAGGAGACTGAGGCAGGAGAATCCCTTGAACCCAGGAGGCGGAGGTTGCAGTGAGCCGAGATCCCACCACCGCACTCCAGCCTGGGCAATAGAGCGAGACTCTGTCTCGGGGGATAAAAAAAGACAATTTTATTTCTTTTTCTTTTTTCTTTTTAATCTGGATTCCTTTTAATTTTTAATTTAAAATTTTTTTAATTTAAAGTATTTTTTTATTTATAGAGATGGAGTCTTGCTATGTTCCCCAGGCTAGTCTCAAACTCCTGGCCTCAAGTGACCTCCTGTCTTGGCCTTCCAAAGTGCTGGGATTATAGGTGTGAGCCACTGTGCCCAGTCTTCTTTTATTTCTTTTTCTTGCCTGATTGCACTGGCTGGGACCTCCAATACAATGTTGAAGAGAAGCAGTGAAAGTAAATATCTTTGTGTTGTTCCTATCTTAGAGACAATACTACCTTGTTTTTCAGATTTTTTTTTTTTTTTTGAGACAGAATCTCACTCTGTTGCCCAGGATGGAATGCAGTGTCATGATCTTGGCTCACTGCAACCTCCTCCTCCATGATTCAAGTGATTCTCCCGCCTCAGCCTCCCGAGTAGCTGGGATTACAGGCGCCCATCACCATGCCCACTAATTTTTTTGTATTTTTATTAGAGATGGGGTTTCACCATGTTGATTAGGCTGGTCTTGAACTCCTGACCGCAGGTGATCCACCCGCCTCAGCCTCCCAAAGTGCTGGGATTACAGGCATGAGCCACTGTGCCCGACCCAGATTGTTATATTACTTCTTTTTGGTAGTAAGAACACTTAACATGAAATCTACCCTCCTGACAAATCTTTTGTTGTACAATACTGTAATATTAACTATAGGGACAGTGTTTTACAGCAGACCTGTAGAACTTAATTAGCTTGTGTAACTGAAACTTTATACCCACTGAATAGCAACTCTTTGTTTCCCCCTCTTCCCAGCCCCTGGCAACCACCATGCTACTTGATGCATCTGTGTGTTTGAGTATTTTATATACCTCATATAAGTGGTATCATGCATTATTTGTCCTGTGACTGGCTTTCACTTAGCATAGTGTTTCAGGGTTCATCCATGTTGTCACATGTGGCAGGATTTCCTTTTTTAAAACTTAATATTCCATTGTATGTGTATACTATATTTTCTCACTAATTCATCCGTTGATGTACATTTAGGTTGTTTCCACATCTTGGCCATTGTGAATAATGCTACAATGAACGTAGGAATGAAAATACCCCTCAAGATCCTGATTTCAGTTCTTTTGGATAAATATCCAGAAGTGAGATTAGTGGATCATGTCATATGTTTTCCATAGCAGCTGCACTGTTTTACATTCCCACCAACAGTGTACAAGGGTTTTAGCATCTCCTTGTCTTCATCGTGTTCTTATTCTTGGGGTGCTGTCTTTGATTGCTGATTTCCTCGTGGGAGGTTTGTTTCTCTGTCTGTGTATGTGTGTGTATTTTCTTTAACCCTGAACTTGAGTCCTATGTACCTCAGATTGTGGAAGCTTCCCTACTGCATAGTTTCTCCTTTGCTTCTACTATGGTACTATTTCATTCTTTAGTTCTGAATCTTATTTATGATAAAGTGTCAGCTTGGGGTCCCTCTACCACATGTGTAGTATGAATTTAGATCTCACATCTGTGAATGGTGCAGGACTAGGATCCAGTTTCTTCCAGGTAACTTTTTCCATTCCTAGTCCCAAATGCAAGGCTTTCTCTTCTCCTAGCTAGAGAGCTGTTTCTACTTCGCATTTCATGGATGGAGCAGTCCTTTTTGTTTCTTAATTTATGCTCAGTTCCATCTTGTTTTGGGCTGAGTACATGGCCTGTGGCCTAAACTCTTTTGTAACTCCTAGCGATTCAGGTATTCATGTGTATCATTTGTCTTCAGCTCTGGACTTCAGCTCTGTAATAGCCTTTTAAATGAGCTCCTCTGATTCCACTCTTGTACCCCTAATAATCCATTCCCAACACAGTGATCATTAATATATTTACATTTTAGTGCCTGTGTTTTTAGCTTCATCTGGCACCATTCCTACCCATGCTACCTGGCCATTTATTTCCCTAATGCCTTGTGTTCCCACTCGCTACAGGGCCTTTGTACTTGCTATTCCCTCTGTCTGGAATGTTCTTCACTGCCACCACCTCTTCTCTTATCATTACCTTCTCATCTTTGGGCTCTGACCTCAGTTATCACTTCCTGAGAGAAGTCTTTGCTGACTCCTCAGTTTGTTTCAGGTTTCCTTCTCCCTGTGGATATCATAGCATCCTAAGCTTTATTTTCATGGCATGTATCATAGTTTTTTATTAGAATGTAAACTGTCTGAGGGTAGGGACTTTGTCTTGCTCATCACTGTATTTCCTGTCCTGAGAAGAGTGCTTATACAAGTAGATATTAAAAAGATGTTTGCTGAGTGGGTGCATGTATTTGAGCGGTTTCCTCCATTAGACTGTAAGCTAGGAAAGTGCAGGACAATTTTGTTTTGCTCACTAGTATATTCCCCAGTGCCTAGTATAGAATCTGGCATATTATAAGTGCTCAATAAATATTTACTGGCTGGCTGAGTGCTGTGGCTCACTCCTGTAATCCCACAGCTTTGGCAGGCTAAGATGGGAGGATCGCTTAAGGCCAGGAGTTTGAGACCAACCTGGGTAACATAACAAGACCCTATCTCTACAAAAAATAAAAAAAAGCTAGCTGGATATGGTAGTGCATGCCTGTAGTGTTAACTACGTGGAAGGCTGAGGTGGGAAGATCACTTGAGCCCAGGAGTTTGAGGCTGCAGTGAGCTATGATGGTGTCATTGCATTCCAGCCTGGGTGACAGAGTGAGACTCTTAGCTCTTTAAAAAAAAAAAAAAAAAAAAAAAAAGGATCCATTGGCCGAGCATGGTGGCCCACATCTGTAATCCCAGCACTGTGGGAGGCCGAGGTGGGCAGATCATTTGAGCTCAGGAATTTGAGACCAGCCTGGGCATCATGGCAAAACCCCATCTCTACAAAAAAATACAAAAATGAGTGGTGTGAGCCTGTGGTCTCAGCTACTCAGGAGGCTGAGGTGTGAGGATTGCTTGGGCCCAGGAGGTGCAGATTGCAGTGAGATCAAGCCACTGCACTCCAGCCTGGGAGACAGAGGGAGACCCTGTCTCAAAAAAAAAAAAAAAAAAAAAAAAAGAAAAGAAAAGAAAAATTTGATGGCTGACTGAATGAATGAATGAATAAGTAGTTTTAAATGAGGATGGGGGCCAGACTAGGGCCAGTTCATAAAAAATTTTATTTGCAATGCTAAGAAGCTTGAACTTGAACTTTATATAAGGGGGTTTTAAACAGGAGAATGACACGAACAGGCTTATGTTCAATGTAGAAGGATCCCCTCAGCAGTTATGTGGAGGCTGGTTGGAACGTTACAGAATATTGGTGTACTCCAGGGAAGATTGAAGTCCTAATAGAAGGAAGGTGGAATGGAGAAGATAAATTCAAGAGAATTTAGAAATAGGTTAGGCGGGATTGTATTGGATGAAGATGGGAGAATAAAGGGAAGAACGCATATCACTTCCTGGGTTTCTTGTTTGGGAGACCAAGTAGTGCCACCCACATAGGCACTATGGGAAGAAGGACAGGCTTGGGAATGGATGAACTTAGTTGAGATGTGTTAAATTTTCAAACATGAGAAATCTGGAAAATTTAATTGATGGTATATTTACTTGGATTACGGATATTCTTTTTTTCCCCTCACACACTTAATCCTTTATATGTAAATACAGAAATCCCACCAACCCCCATGTTTTCCAGAAAATGATTTGAGTTAAACAGCTCTTTTACTAGGAACATGTTCAATTTGAGTTTCCTGTGGGATATCCAGGTGGAGATGTACATTAGGTAATAGGGAGCTTGTTTGAAAAGGTCTATTTCTGTACTATTTCCTACAATTTCAATGAAAACAGCCTGACAATTTTGACTTTTTCTCTCTTAGGCTGTTTTAGCATGCTTTGTCTCCAGTACTTGCAAAGCTGCCCTAGATTTTTCTTCCTTTTGTTTTTGTCCTTCCTCTTTATTTTGCCTTTGCCAGACTCAAGGGCTTCTCACCTTCTGACCCCTGCATTTCCCCCATGTCCACATACGTTTTCGTGTCTTTTTTTCTAATTTTTTTCTCAAAGAGCATATAATTCTTTTTTTTTTCCTTTGGTTTTCAGGGTTCATTTTCATCAAAGTTATGTGTGAATATGGTTTATAGAATCAAATAGTTTTGTAAAGCTTGTTTTAAGAAAGCAGCACTCCTTCCTTTATTTCCCTTTTCTCAGAAGCACTTTTAGCTTTTTTAGTTAATATTTTTATCTCCATTTCTGTAATAACATACTTGTATTGCTATTTCTGATTTCATCAGTTGTAAGATACACCATTACTTGATGTACTACTAGAAAAGAGAAATAAGCCCAAGATGGATAGTCTATTAGGGGCCACGCATAAAGCTGGGAAACTACATGAGAATGGAAATGAGAAGTAAACCCACCATACAGAAAGGCATAGCAAGGCATCTTGTGTCTCAACTTTGATGGTGTGTAGGAGGGCTAAAAACTTTCATGGGAATTTAAACTGGTTCTAGGTCTGAATTCACACTCCCTATGTGGTACAACAAAATTTAAACAGAGATTCTAATTAAAAGTTGTTTCGGATTGGTAGTGCCCCAGGTGCTTGAAAGAAACAAATAGCAATTATAAGATGTCATTAATTGTGCCTGGTTTTCAGAGATGTTAAAATATGAAAAAAATGGCCAGGCGCGGTGGCTCATGCCTGTAATCCCAGCACTTTGGGAGGCCAAGGCAGGCGGATCACGAGGTCAGGAGATCAGGACCATCCTGGCTAATGTGTTGAAACCCCATCTCTACTAAAAATACAAAAAATTAGCCAGGCGTGGTGGCAGGTGCCTTAGTCCCAGCTACTCGGGAGGCTGAGGCAGGAGAATGGCGTGAACCCGGGAGGCGGAGCTTGCAGTGAGCAGCGATCACGCCACTGCACTCCAGCCTGGGCGACAGAGCGAGACTCCGTCTCAAAAAAAAGAAAAAAATATGGTACCATGTACCAGGCACTGTTAGAGTTACAGCTGTGAACAAAACAGACCTCTCTGTCTTCCTTGAGTTTATATTCTGGGGAGGGGAATGTTTTGACAAAGTAAGAATATACATGGTATACTAGATGTTGCAGATATCTAAGTAAGATGACTAAAAATTGACCATCAGATTTAGTAATTTGGAATTTCTTGCTGATCTTGATGGGAGAGGCTTTGGTAGGGTAATCAGGAAGCAAAAGCCTCTTGGGGTGATTTTGAATGGGAGGAAAGGAATTGGAGACAGTTACAGCTTCTTGGAGTGTTGCTGTGAAGGAGAGCAGAGAAATGGATAAGTAGCTGGTGAGGAAACTGGGGTTATGGCTTATCTTTTTCAGTGAGATAACTGAGAGTATGTTTCTACAGTGCTGATGAGGATGCACCAGTAGAGAGGGAAATATTGCTGATGCAGGAGGGAGAAAGGGGAATGACTAGGCAATAGGGTTTGGAGTCTGGTGTTCAAGTGGAGGAGTTGGCTGTAGATAGGAGCAGTCAGTTCATCTACAGTGCATAACAGGAGAGAGGACAGGGCAAATGGTGGTAGTGATTGCCTTCTCTTTCACTGAGGAAGTGGAAGGGCAGCAACTAGGAGTAAGCATGGACGAGGAAATGTTCATTGATAGCTTGAGGAAAGAGAAAATGGCATAAAATGTACCAAATAGAGGAGTGGGAGAATGAATGGATGAGGCAAAAGTTTTGATTGTCATGCTGAGCTAAGAGACCATTTGAAGTTAGCTGTTGTGAATTTTATGTGAGAACTGTTTAGTATGAATGTTTTATTTTTATTATTTCATTTTAATTTTGAGACAGGATCTTACTCCGTCAGCCAGGCTTGAGTGCCGTGGTGCATAGCTCACTGCATCCTTCAACCTCCCAGGCTCAAGTGATTCTCCCACCTCAGCCTCCCAAGTAGCTGGGACCACAGGCATGTGCCACAACGCCTGACTAATTTTTTTGATTTTTTTTTGTAGAGACAAAGTCTTACTATGTTGCCCAGGCTGGTCTCAACCTCCTGGGATAAGCTGTCCTCCTGTCTCACCCTCCCAAGTAGCTGGAACTATAGCCAAGTACCACCATGCCTGGCTAATTTTAAAATTTTTTGTAGAGACAAGGTCTCCCTATGTTGACCAGGCTGGTCTCAAACTCCTGGGCTCATATGATCCTTCTGCCTCTGCCTCCCAAAGTGCTGGGATTACAGGCATGAGCCACTGCATCTGGCTCTTTTTTTCCTTTTTAAAGCCACATTTAGCTGCATGGTGCAGGCATAGAGTAGATGGACAGCTGCATTTTTTTTAAACATGTTATTCAGGAAAATTTTAAACATACAAAAGTAAATAGAGCCCTCATGTACTCATCACCCAGTTTCAACAAATATTTACTCACTGCTAATCTTGTTTTATTTGTACCCTCAACCATTTCTACTTTTCCATATTATTTTGAAGCAATCCCAAACATCATATTTTGTGCTTAAATATTTCATGTTTCTCTAAAAGATATGAACTCTTACCAAAAAGTACCATTACCATACTAAAAGATTTAACAATTCCTTGATATCAAATATCCTGTCAGTTTCTTTTTCTTTTCTTTTTTAGTTTTTGTTTTATTTTAAAATTTAATTTATTTTTGAGACAGGGTCTCACTCTGTCGCCCCGACTGGAGTGCAGTGGCACGATCTCAGCTCACTGCAACCTCCGCCTCCCAGACTCAAGCGATTCTTCTGCCTCAGCCTCCTGAGTAGCTGGGATTACAGCCATGTAGCACACTGCCCAACTAATTTTTGTATTTTTAGTAGAGACAGGGTTTCGCCATGTTGGCCAGGCTGGTCTTGAACTCCTGACCTCAAATGATCCACCTGCCTGGCCTAGTTTTTGTTTTATTGATTGATTGATTGGTTGATTGATTGTCTGACAGGGTCTCGCTCTGTCGCCCAGGCTGGAGTGCAGTGGTGCAAACACGGCTCATCGCAGCCTTGACCTCTTGGGCTCAGTTGATCCTTCTTCCTCAGCCTCCCAAGTAGCTGGGAGTATAGGCATGCACCACCATGCCCAGCTGTTAGTTTTCTAATTTCCAGTTGCCTCCCGAATGTCCTAAATGTTTTTGTTTTTCTTAACAGGGGTTGTATTTAATCAGGGTTGGTGTTTTGCCAGGCAGGTATGATGAAATGAGAGTGGAAGTCAAGAGACTTGAGGTGTATGCAAGGGAATGATTATAATGATGGACCTTGAACTTGAAGCTGAGGAGGAAAATGAGGATGTAAGAGGGGAATGGGATCAATGGCTTATAAATCCTGGTGGGGTCAAAGGATTTTTAGAGTTAGGGTGCTAGATGGAGCAATCTGAAAAGATACAGAATGGTGATTGGAGAGTAGAGTGCAGCTGAAGTTGAGATTGTTGGGGGACTATAATTATTGTAACGACAAGGTCTAGGGTATTGACTGTGGGAGTGAGTGGAATGTAGGGTAAAGGACGAGATTGTCGTATGAGAGGTGGTCAAGGAACTGAGAGGTGCGAGCATCAGAACAGTCATCTATATGAACATTGAAATCGCCTGGAATGATAGCCCAGTGAACCAGGAACTAAAGTCTTCAAGGCTTAAGGCTTGAGAAGTGACCTAGGCATATCAGATGAATGTAAAGAAGAAGGGGGTAGTGGTGGTATGGTTTGACAGGAGGCTTTTTTCAGGAAGGAAGGGGGAATTATCTGGAAACAAACTAGGTACAAGATAAATAACTTTACCTCTTCTAACCTCTAGGCCCTCTGGTATAAGAGTGTGAGAGAGAAAACACTACGGATAGGACTATAGAGAGAACAGTGGCTTCAGAGCAATTAGATTTCGTTTGGAGCAAAAGAGTGAAGGGACCATTCAGACAAGAGGTTTAAGATATAGGGGATTTAGCTGATGTGTTCCAGGGGATATGATGCAAAGATTTCAGGAATTGAGGAGGAGTGGAGAAAGGGGGTGAGAGTTTGAGGATTCAGAATGACCTGAGAGTCCTGGGATTTTCGTGGTGAGTAACGTAAAGAGGGACACATCATGATGACATTAGTCCTGATGTCTCAAGGCAAATTGTAGTGTAAGCACATGAAGGACAGAGGTAGTGAAGAAGCTGCAGAGTGGACGTTCCCTTTACTTCTGGCAGTGCAGGTGTAGGGAAAGGCGGAGGAGCTGGAGCTCTGTTACTTCTTATTTACTCCTGGGGCCAAAGTGGTCAAAAGTAAAAAGCTGTTATTTCAGCGATTCAAAAACTGGAATTCTTGCTGGGCGTGGTGGCTCATGCCTGTAATCCCAGCACTTTGGGAGGCCGAGGTGGGTGGATCACCTGAGGTCAGGAGTTCGAGACCAGCCTGGACAACATGGTGAAATCCCGTCTCTACTAAAAATACAAAAGTTAGCTGGGTGTGGTGGCGGGTGCTTGTAGACTCAACTACTCGGGAGGCTGAGGCATGAGAATCGCTTGAATCCAGGAGGTGGAGGTTGCAGTGAGCCGAGATCATGCCACTGTCTACACACACACACACACACACACACACACACACACACACACACACACAAACAAAACTGGAATTCTCTGTTATGGCTTATTGATTTTCTATTCCCTGTTTCCTGCCCCTAGTACCCTATTCTTAAATATCCTGGAAACTGGGTGCTGGGGAAATGACAGCAAGATTATAGTAAGGAATTTGGGGCCTCAGCTCAAGGGTTGGAAAGGGAAGGGACAGAAGAAGTTTCAAAGAGAATTAGCTTTAGATTCCTTAAATCTGGCCAAAGAAAAAGAGTAGAAGAGGGAAGTTTGACCTGTGTTCTGGGAAGGGAGAGTAAAGTACTATTTGGAAGTAGGGAACCTGCCTAAGGATTTGTGTCCTGACAGGTTCCAGAAACAGCTGTTGCTGGATGTGAGACTTGACTTTTGCTAGATTCATTCGTTCCAGTGGATATTTACTAGCACCTGCTGTGTGCCAGGCACTGGGCTAGATGCTAGAGATATCATGTTGAGCAAGAGACAAGTTCCTGCTTGCATGGATTTACAATCTTGCAGGGAAGACAATTAAACCAGAAATTACAATTTAACGTGGTGAATGCTATGATAGAAATTGTCAGGGTCCTTTGGAAGCCTCTAGTGAAAGGATCAGATTAGTCTTAGGTGGGGTAGGGAGGGAAAGAGTACAGGTTCTAGAGTTACAGACTTTTTTTTTTTTTCATTTTTTTTTTTTTTAGAGATAAGATCTTGCTCTGTTGCCTAGACTGGGGTGTGGTTGTGTGATCTTAGCTCACTGCAGCCTTGAACTCCTGGGCCGAAGCGATCCTTCCGCCTCAGTCTCCCAAGTAGCTGGGACCACAGGTGCATGCCACTATGCCCAGCTAATTTTTTGTAAAGACTGGGTCTTGCTATGTTGCCAAAGCTGATCTCCAGCTCCTGGCCTCAGGTGATCCTCCTTCCTTGGCCTCCCAAAGTGCTGGGATTATAGGCGTGAGCCACTGTGCCCTGCTTAGAGTAGTCATATTTAAATAGAGACTTGAAAGATGAGCAGAAATTAGCCAAAGAGAATAGGGGAGAATAGTTATGTGTCGAGCAGCCACAGGTATGCTGTCTTTGCCCCTCCAACTGCCAAACCTTGTTTTACCCAGGGGAACAGAGAACAGAGTCATCTGTTCTGATCACTGTCTTCATCCCCAACATTCCTATGTACCAGGGGTTGGTAAACTACTGTTCACGGACAGGTCAGATCTGGCCTGCTGCCTGCTGTTGTATGGCCTGCAAGCTAAGAATGGTTCTTATACTTTTAAGTGGTTGAAAGAATAAAAAGGAGAATATTTTGTGACACATGAAAATTATATTAAATTCAAATATCAGTGTCCCTGAAAAAAACTTGTGTTGGAACACAACCATGCTCATTTTTTTTTTTTTGTATTGTCTATGGCTGCTTTCACACTGCAGCAGCAGATTTGAGTGGTTGCAATACAGACTGTATGGCTTGCAAAGCCTAAAATATTTGGTATCTTGCTCTTTACAGAAAAAGTGTGGCACCTGGTTTAACCCATTATTATTATTTCATTGTACCATGTGTGTATGAGGATTATAATTAGCTACCATTCATTTTCTATGTGCAGTCTACCCTGCTAGATGCTTTACATATTTATATATAATCTTTTTAATAATTTCCAGAGATGTTGGTAACATGCCTAAAATTACACACTTAAATTTTGACACAGTGTCAAAATTTAAACCCAGATGTCTGAATTCAACATCTGTATTCATTTTACTGATCACATTGTGTTATAATTAATTGTTCATATGTCCATCTCTCAAAAAGAGACTTGAGCTTGGGCTGGGCACCGTGGCTCACGCCTGAATTTGCAGCACTTTGGGAGGCTCAGTTGGGTGGATCACCTGAGGTCAGGAGTTTAAAACACAGCCTGGCCAATGTGGCAAAACCCCGTCTTTACTAAAAATACAAAAATTAGCTGGGCGTGGTGACCCATGCCTGTAATCCCAGCTACTTGGGAGGCTGAGGCAGGAGAATCACTTGAACCCGGGAGGTAGAGGTTGCAGTTAGCCGAGGTTGCAGTGAGCCGAGATCACACCACTTAACTCCAGCCTGGGCGACAGAGCGAGACTGTCTCAAAAAAAGGAGGGACTTGAGCTTGAATGATAACTTACTTTTTCGTAAATGTCTACCATTTTTAGTACAGGGCGAGTCCAAATAAATGTTTATTAGACGACTTTCGTGTATATAATTTCATCTGCCTTCTAACAAACCTGTGAGGATAACACATATATAAATTTTTCAGATAATTGACATTTACTCTTTTGCATACAGTTTCTTCCATTTTAAATAACAATACTTTAAAACATGACATTTGAAAATTACATTAAATGTAACTAAAGATATTTGGAAAAATTTTGTTCTGTCAGAACAATGCCTTTGGTTTGGGAGGCCGAGGCGGGTGGATCACTTGAGGTCAGGAGTTCAAGACCAGCCTGGCCAACATGGTGAAACCCTGTCTATACTAAAAATACAAAAATTAGCTAGTCATGGTGGTGCATGCTGGTAATCCCAGCTACTTGGGAGGCTGAGGCAGGAGGATAGCTTGAATTCGGGAGGATACTGACATATATGTACAGTTGTTTGTATAATACCTATAGTAAATAATAAATAATCTTGGAATGCTAGATCTTTCTAGTTTTTGTAAACTTTTTTTTTTTTTTTAAAGACAGGGTCTCTTGCTCTGTTACCTAGGCTGGAGTGCAGCAGTGCAATCACAGCTTACTGTAGCCTTGACCTCCCAAGCTCAAGTGATCCTCCCACTTCAGCCTCCCCAGTAGCTGGGACTGCAGATGTGCACCACCATACCTGACTAATTTTTTTTTTACTTTTTGTAGAGATGGAGTCTCACTATGGTGCCTACTCTGATTTTGAACTCCTGGCTTCAAGCAATCCTCCCACCTTGGCCTTCCAAAGTGCTGGGATTACAGGTGTGAGCCACCACACCCAGCCTAGTTTTTGTCAGCTTTTTATGCTTTCTTTTCTGTTTACTCCTTTGTCAGCGGTCAGTGATAGCTGCTTTTTTCCCCCTATTTTAAATTTGCTACTTCTATCTTTTGGTGGATTCAGGAACTAGAACTATAACCCTATTAAAATTGTGTATAAAATAAGAGTTCCAAGATCAAGGCAGATTTGGTTAAAAAAAAAAAGTAAGAATTCGTCTTGATACTATCACCTGTGAATGAAGTGAAAGTGAGGCGTTCTTATTCTTAAGGATTTTATAACACAGTTGGAGAGAGCAAACATATACTGGGAACAATCATAATGTAAAATAATATTAACACCAAACTTGTGTATCCCACTGGCCACTTAACATCTCTATGTGCATGTGTAATAGTGGATATAATAGGCATCTCACACTTCATATGTGTCTCCACGCCTCTTTCATGGTCATCCCCATTTCAGTAAATAGACTATCCTTCCATTTACTTGGGACAAAAACCTTGGAATCATCCTTGATGCCTCTCTCTACATATCACATTTCATCTTGTTTTACTTTGAGAATACATACTGAATCTGACCACCCTCTCTACTGCTACCACTCAGATTCAAACTGCTGTCCTCTCTTTCCTGGATTGTTGCATTAGTCTTCTGATTGAGTTCTCTCTTTCTGTCCTTGTCTTTGTGTAGTCTTTTCTCAGCAGACCTCCAGAATGATCCTCTTAAAATTAAGTCAAATGAGGTTGTCACTCCTTTGCTCAAGATCTTCCAGTGGTTTTCCATTTTAGAGTAAAAGCTAAAGTTGTGACAGTGGACTAAAAGGTTGTACAAAGTCTGGCTTCAGTTTACTCCTCTGGCCTGATTTCCTATGACTCTCCACTGCTCACGTTCCTTTAGCCACAGCGGCATCCTTGCTGTTTTTCTAAGATGCCAGGTTGTTTCTTCTTCAGAACATTTGTGCTTGCTGTTACCTCTCCTAGAATGCTTTTCCTATGCAGGTAGCATGGCTTTTCCTCTTCCTTATTTCAGGGGTCAGGCTGAAATGTCACCATATTGGTGAGGCCCTGGCTCTCTATCGCCTTTACCCTGCTTCATTTTCTCTGTAGCACTTATCTGGATCTGATAGGCTCTGTGTGTATTTTATTTATTCAAATTTTAATTTAAAAAATGTTTTATTGCTATCTCCCCATAGGCTAAGACAGGGGTTGCCAAGCCAAAAATGACCTACTGCCTCTTTTTGTAAATAAAGTTTAATTAGGACACAGCCATGCTCATTCATTAACATATTGTCAGTGCAGCTTTTGCACCGCCAACAGCAGAGCTGAGTATTGTGACAGACCGTATGTCCAGCAAAGCCTAAAATGTTTGTTGTGTGGCCCTTGACAGAGTTTGTGGACTCCTTGGCTAGCACAGTGTTTGACACAAAGCAGACGACTGATTGAATGAAAACAATGTCAGTGTTAAATGGTAGGTTACAGACTGTAAAATGCTATATGAGTTAATATCTAAAAAGTTATTAGTTATTAGACTTTAAAATCAAGGATAATTTGGGAATATGTCAGCCATAATACTTTGTTCAAGCTGAGGTTCTTGAATGTATTAGCCATTACTACCTGATAGCAGAGATACGCCCGCTTTTCGAAGGCCACACCTAATTTGGAGATGATAGTATTCTTCTTTTTTTTTTTTTTTTTGAGACAGACTCTCACTCTTGTCACCCAGGCTGAAGTGCAATGGCACAATCTCGGCTCACTGCAACCTCCGTCTCCTGGGCTCCAGCGATTCTCCTGCCTCAGTCTCCCGAGTAGCTGGGATTACAAGCACCTACCACCATGCCCGGCTAATTTTTGTATTTTTAGTAGAGACAGGGTTTTGCCATGTTGGCCAGGCTGGTCTTGAAATCCTGACCTCAAGTGATTCGCCTGCCTTGGCCTCCCAAAGTGCTGAGATTACAGGCTTGAGCCACTGTGCCTGGCCTTTTTTTTTTTTTTTTTTTTTGAGACAGAGTCTTGCTCTGCCGCCCAGGCTGGAGTGCAGTGGTGCAATCTTGGCTCACTGCAGTCTCCGCCTCCTGGCTTCAAGTGATTCTCCTGCCTCAGCCTCCCGAGTAGCCAAGACTACAGGCACGCAACACCAGGCCCAGCTAATTTTTGTATTTTTAGTAGAGACGGGGTATCGCCATGTTGGCCAGGCTGGTCTCGAACTCCTGACCTCAGGTGATCCACCCACCTCGGCTTCCCAGAGTTCTGGGATTACAGGTTTGAGCCACCGCGCCTGGCCAAGAGATGATAGTATTCTAAAGGCACAAGATTCTTTTACATGTTATTTTCTGTAATAATGCTACAGAAAGTGTCCTAAATAATGAATAAATGGTAGTTGTTGGTTGCATCCTGTGAAAATCATGAACCTAAATGAATGCATACAGCTTTCAGTCAATTATGCTAAAGTTGGACAGATGGAATAATAATAGTACATTTGACATTTGAATACATTTTTGGATTACAAATGAATTAACCTGATATTCCAGGTACTTCTAATGGTGTTTCAGGCAGCATCATAGAATCAAACTGCAAAAAACCAGCTGTGAAGAATCTGGGAAATGGTGCTGCTTCTGGCATCCTGTCTATCCAAATCTTATCTTTTTAAAAGCTGCATTTAGAGGATAAATAGTATCACCATCATGCAAAGTGGAGAGGTGGAGAATATTTTAGAAGTTTTTTTTGTTGTTGTTTTTTGTTTTGTTTTTTTGAGACAGAGTCTCGCTCTGTCACCCAGGCTGGAGTGCAGTGTCACGATCTCGGCTCACTGCAAGCTCCGCCTCCCGGGTTCACGCCATTCTCCTGCTTCAGCCTCCCGAGTAGTTGGGACTACAGGTGCCCACCACCATGCCCGGCTAATTTTTTGTATTTTTAGTAGAGATGGGGTTTCACTGTGTTAGCCAGGATGGTCTCAATCTCCTGACTGCCTCGGCCTCCCAAAGTGCTGGAATTACAGGCGTGAGCCACTGTGCCCAGCAATTTTTTTTTTTTTTTTTTTTTTTTTTTCAGATGGAGTCTTCCCTGTGTCGCCCAGGCAGGAGTGCTGTGGCGCAATGTCAGCTAACTGCAATCTCCGCCTCTCAGGTTCAAGCAATTCTCCTGCCTCAGCCTCCCGAGTAGTTGGGATTACAGGCATGCTCCATGACACCCGGCTAATTTTTGTATTTTTAGTAGACATGGGGTTTCACCCTGTTGGCCAGGCTGCTCTTGAACTCCTGACATCTAGTGATCCACCTGCCTTGGCCTCCTAAAGTGGTAGGATTACAGGCATGACCCACCAGGCCCAGCTGTATCTTAATTTTAAAAGACCTTTACTGATAGCTGAGTTGAGTGTAGAGAAGGAATCTTAAATCTTCTTGTTGGAGTATATACTGTGTGTGTAGAAAACAAATATCATTTAAGCAAATGGTGAAGAATTGTAGAATCAGGGCTGGAAGAAGTTTTGTTCAATACATGTTTTTTTTTGTTGTTGTTGTTTTTGAGATGGAGTCTCGCTCTGTCGCCCAGGCTGGAGTGCAATGGTGCAGTCTTGGCTCACTGCAGCCTCTGCCTCCCGGGCTCTAGCAATTCTCCTGCCTCAGCCTCCTGAGTAGCTGGGATTATAGGTGTGTGCCACCATGCCTGGCTAATTTTTGTATTTTTAGTAGAGACGGGGTTTCACCATGTTGGCCATGCTGGTCTCGAACTCCTGACCTCAAGTGATCCGCCCACCTCGGCCTCCCAAAGCACTGGTATTACAGGTGTGAGCCACCGTGCCCAGCCTGTTCTATACATGTTTGATGGCTGCACACCATGTATCTGAAAAAAAGTTGAATATACCCTAGCCACTTTGTTAGGCACTGGGATGCAGAATGAGTAAGACAGAGAGGATCCTTGCCCACATCATACTTACTATCTAATTTTTCTCCCCAACTTCTACCTGACCTCATTTTGTGTTGTATAATGGAAACTAAAGCTTGAGAAATCAAGAAACTTGTCCAAAGTTACATAGCTAGTTACTGATAGACTGTAACTAGAGTGCAAGTTTCTTACATAAGAGATAAAAGCAGACCATCTATTCATTTATGCAAAGTTTTGAGTGCTCACTGATACGTTTATTCCTCTGTTAGATGCTGGGGAATATAGTGGTAAGCAAAACACCCATATCTCTTTGATGTAGAGCTTAAAAGGAATTTTTTTTTTTTTTGGAAACCAGCATTTTCTCCACTATATTATATTTAGTTTATAATCTTTTCTCTCATGGGAGGGTTAGGTGCTATCAAATATCTATTCTTTAATGTGACTGAGTTCAGTGAGTTTTAGTGTGTTCCTGACACTTTTAGTTTTATAGAAGAAGTTTTGAATGAGGAAGGAGGAATTAGGTAGTTGTGGGTTCTCTGTGGGAGGTGACATTTACTTATTTCAAAATTTGTATAGGGCCTAAACTTTTGCCCTGTGGGCAAGCGAAAACCTTTTCTCTCCCCTTGGATGGGATGACTCTGCTATCAGGAGCCAGAGCCCATACTGATATTTAAAATCAGCCACATTATGGGTTAAATAGATGTTTGCATGTTGACCTTCTCTTTCCTTTTAGTTTCCCATCTAATGTAGTAATAGAAAAGTTTATTGTTGTTAGCATACTCAGTCCTCTTGCCATGTAATGCCCTTGGTCATCTCAGGACACATCAAAGAGAACACACCAGCAAGAAGGCTCCCACCGGATGTGCCCCCTCAACTTGGACTTCCAAGCCTCCATAACTCAAATACTAGCTTATCTTGATGAATATGCATGTTTTACTGAGACTATGTGAAGAGACTTGATTGAAATGTGAAATGAAGCATTATGTGCCATAATCTACCATGAGTAAATAAATATTTTTGGTCCCCCCCAAAAAAGAAAAGTTTATTAAAATAGTTTTCTTCATAGAGTAGACTTGGGTATCTGCATGACTCAATATTCAAAGAATCATATCTAAAGCAGAATACATACTTTATTCTTTAAAATTTCTTCTCAAACTAATTAGGATTATATTTGATTTTTTCCTCTTGGTACTTGCTTAAAAAATCAAGCATTTGACAGTCTAGGAAAAAGTGAAAAAAGGTTAATTAAACCGCTGCTAAATAATTTAGGATGTGTCTAGTTGGAAGTGCTCACACAATGGAGAAAGTAATTTTTCTTTCAGAGGTAAGTTACCTTGACCTCAGGCCTCCTTGCTATTCTTCTTTCACAGTACCTTCTGCCATTCTGCTGGGGCCAATTAGTTCTTGGCTCAGCTGTTTTAGTTTCTCTACAGAAGTTGGGCTTAACCATGTTTATAATATGTGAAAATCAAATTCCATTTTTTTCTTCTAAGAGAGCTAGAACATTAAATTCCCTGCCAGTGATCTAAAACACATCGAATTGTATATCTTCAAATGCAAAAGGTTTATTTTTTCCAAACTTACAGGATTTAAAGATGACGAGGCCTTAGAAATAGTGGTTATTATATGTTAGTGATGATTATTTTAGTTCTGCAGATACAACTGCATTTTAAAACACTATAAATTAGTGTTATATTGCAGAGGAGATAGCATGACCATCAGTCTCAAATTACCTAATAATTTATTTTATTTTATTTTTGAGATGGATTCTCTCTCTGTCGCCTAGGCTGGAATGCAGTGGCGCCGTCTTGGCTCACTGCAACCTCTGCCTCCTGGGTTCAAGCGATTTTCCTGCCTCAGCCTCCCGAGTAGCTGGGATTATAGGTATGCGCCACCATGCCCAGCTAATTTTTGTGTTTTTGGTAGAGGCAGGGTTTCACCATGTTGGCCAGGCTGGTCTTAAACTCCTGACTCCTGACCTCGGGTGATCGGCCTGCCTTGGCCTCCCAAAGTGCTGGGATTACAGGCGTGAGCTACTGTGCCCGGTTAAATTACTTAATAATTTAAAAAATAATTGTAAAATAAATGTTAGTAGGCAGTAAACCATTGATTATGTGTGTGTGTAAATAATTAGAAGTCGTTTCAGGCTGGGCATGGTGGCTCATTCCTGTAATCCCAGCACTTTGGGAGGCTGAGGTAGGAGGATCGCTTGAAGCCAGGAGTTTGAGACTTCAGTGAGCCATGATCACAACACACTGTACTACTACAGCCTGGGCAACAGAGTGAGACGCTCATTCTAAAAAAAAAAAAATTCAAATAGTGTTTGAAGTTAGATAATAATATTTAAAGTTAGATTCAAATAATATTTAAAGTTAGATTGGCATAAATCTTGAAACTTCTAATGATTTTGTCACATTGTAATTGGATAAATGTTAAAACAATTATAAAAATATCTTTTGCCATGGTCAAATTAAACATTTCAGCTGGGGAAAGAAGAAGGAACTGAGTAAGCATAAAGCTAGTATTTGATGTTAATTGATTGGTAATATAGAAAGGCAGGCTAAGTTTGAACTTCCCGAGTCTCAGGCTGGGGTCTCCAGACACGTTGTTAAACAGTTGTTTTGTTCCTTAGTAAGGAACAAAACAACTCCAAACTTAGTGCATAAAACCCTCATGGTTTTGGGGGTTGACTGGGCTCAGCTAAGTGGTTCTTGCTCAAGTTCTGTCATGTAGTTGTAGTCAGATGGTGACTGAGCCTAGAGATATGTTGATGGCTTCCTTCTGTACTTACATATCTGACAGGAGCAGGGAAGTTCAAATAGGCAGGGGATGGAACAGCTACGGCGCCTTGGACATCTCTCTCTATTTTCGTGTAGTCACTCCAGCATAGGGACTTTATGGTAGCCAGACTACTGTAACTTTTTAATTTTAATTTTAATTTTTTTTTTCCCCGTAGAGACAGGGTCTTGCTGTGTAGCTCAGGCTGTCCTGGAACTCCTGGGTTCAAGTGATCCTCCTGCCTCAGCCTCTCAAAGTACTGGGATTATAGGTGTGAGCCACCCTATCTTGCCAGCACGTCATATTCCAAGGGTACTTCAGTCTGCTCTCTGGTCACAAATTATTTTCATTCCTCCCACTTACAGAATACACTCACCCCTTCTTAAGGCCCCCAGAATCTCGCCTAATACATTTCAGCATTAGTCTCAGGTTTGAGGTCCAGGATCTTGCTTTCTAAATCAGATCCAGGTATAAATAAGGCTACTCAGATATGGTTCCTTGGGTGTAGCTCTTTGACTACCATTGCTTTCACTCTGAAGACCTGTGAACTAAACAGACAGGGCATCTCCCCCCATTCCCAGCCTACCCAGTATGCAACACTGGACAGGCAGAAGATAACCACTGTATTCACTCCTGTTCAGAAATACAGAAAAATGGGAGGAACACAGTCATGGGTCCACAGCAATTCTGAAATCCAAGCAGGCATGTATTACCAGTTCTGTAACATTATTGGAGGGATCAGCCCTACTGCCTAGGAATGATCCTCCATAGCTCTTGGTCTGCCTTTTGAATTCTTCCTTTTCCATAAAATGTACTGTGTTGCAATAGAGTACTTTTCTTGGCTTCTTTCCTGCCTATAGAAGTTTGGGTGTCCAGAAGCCTCTTTTCATTTTGTATGGTCTCTGTCCCTTTTAGTCCAAGATGACAGTGTTTCTGAACATAAAATTCTCTTTAAAACTTAGTAGATTTTCTGTGACTCTTATGGGAAGGGAGTTTTAATGTATTAGATAAAAGCCACACTTGCACATTGATAGAACATGTAGAGCTTAGGTTTCCTATATGGCTTTTGTGGGACAACACCTTTAGAATTCTTAGAAGGCCTTTTGTTTGAAACAATCTATGAGGTACCACCTTAAATGTCTTTGACATCTGAACTAGGAGTAGGCAAAGGCCATCGAACTAAGACTTGTTTTTATATTTTCAAAGGGTTAAAAAAAAAAGTTCAACAGAGACTGTATATGGCCCTCAGCCTAAAATATTTATCTGGTCCTTTGCAGAAAATGTTTGCTGACTCTTGGTCTAAATAAAGTTTTAATCTTCATGCCAATTTACCCTGGTCTGCTTTGGATTTGATCTTTGCCCAGAAGGCTTTTTTATTTTTTTATTTTTTTGAGACAGGTTCTTGCTCTGTCTCAAAGGCTGGAGTGCGGTGGTGTGATCATAGCTCACTGCAGCCTTGAACTCCTTAGCTTGTGACCCTCCCACCTCAGCCTCCTGAGTAGCCAGGACTATAGGCAGGCACATGCCTGGCTAATTTTTAAATTTTTGGTAGAGACAGAGTCTCACTATGTTGCCCAGGCTGGTCTTGAACTCCTGGCCTCAAGCGATCCTCCTACCTTGGCCCCACAAAGTGCTGGGATTTTAGGCATGAGCCACTGTGCCTAGCCCAGGGAGCATTTCTTTCTTTTTCTTTTTTTCTTTTTCTTTTCTTTTTTTTTTTTTTTTGAGACAGAGTTTAACTCATGTTGCCCAGGCTGGAGTGCAGTGGCGGGATCTCGGCTCACTGCAACCTCTGCCTCCCGCATTCAAGTGATTCTCCTGCCTTAGCCTCCCGAGTAGAGGCACGTGCCACCACGCCCAGCTAATTTTTGTATTTTTTTAGTAGAGATGGGGTTTCACCATATTGGGCAGGCTGGTCTCGAACTCCTGACCACCTGATCTGCCCCCCTCAGCCTCCCAAAGTGCTGGGATTACAGGCTAATTTTGTATTTTTAGCAGAGATGGGGTTTCACCATATTGGTCAGGCTGGTCTCAAACTCCTGACCTCAGGTGATCCACCCACCTCGGCCTCCCAAAGTGCTGGGATTACAGGCATGAGTCACTGTGCCTGGTCTGGGACATTTCTTAATTTGAGAAATGTTTGCTATATGGGAAGGCTGGGAATAAGAAACAGTTTAATTTTTGGACCTAGCAACTCATTGCTCCTTATATTCTATATACTGCTTGGAAATTGTATAATTTCTTCTGGAGCTTATCTCTCTCTATCTGTACTTTCTTATACACAGCTAAAAGAAACCAGTTGATACTTGATATTCTACCTGGAAATCTCCTTATCTAGTCTGTCAGTTCATTAATTATATTTTCTGTTTTCCACATTACTGCAGATGACAGCTTTGCTAAAGTTTTTCTGTGGTTACCCAATAAAATTCTTCAGCTTCCGGTAACGCTTTTTGCATTTACTTTTAAGCCAGGGGCCTGCAACCTTTTTCTGTAAAGGGCCAGATAGTAAATATTTTAGGCTTTTTGGGCCATATGATCTCTGGCATACTTATACAATATGTAAACTAATAGGTATGGCTGTGTTCCAATAAAACTTTATTTACAAAAACAGGCAGCAGGTTGAATTTCACCTACAGACTGTAGTTTGCTCATCTCTGTTTTAAGTCTTTACGACAGCCTCCTTGAGGCCTTTGTTAACATTTTTCTCAAGACCCTGCAGGCCTTGGCTTACACTCTCAAGGCCCTTTTTGCTTTCCTTTGCTGCTCAGTGTTAAGACCAAACATTTTACTTTTTTTTTTTTTTTTAATGGCAGAACAAAAAAATCTACTCCCTGTACCAAAATCTGTTTTGGTTATCTATTGCTGTGTAACACACATCCCAAATTTAGCAGTGTAAAACAAAACTCCGTTTTATCTTTTATGGTTCTGATGTTTGGGCTTGGCTAGGCAGATCTTTTTTAGGGTTTCTCTTGAAGGTGCAGTCAGGTCATAGCTGGGGTTGGAATCACTTAGAAGCCTTCCTCACCAGCGTCTCTTATGCAGTTGGAGATAGATGGTAGCTGGGCCTGGAGTCATTATCTCAGAGGGATCCTCATTCATATGAGGTGGCTGGGCTGGGAAGCCTTAACAGCTGGTGTTTCCAGACATCTCTCTAACCCTGTGAGGCTTACTGGGTATCTTATATGGTGACTTGGACTTTGAAGTTGCCTGAGAGAGCACCTGGCAGAAGTTTTATCACCTTTTTATTTTATTTTATTTTATTTTATTTTATTTTGAGATGGAGTCTCGTTCAGTCGCCCAGGCTGGAGTGCAGTGGCTTGATCTCAGCTCACTGTAACCTCCGCCTCCTGGGTTCAAGCAATTCTCCTGCCTCAGCCTCCCACTGGGATTACAGGCACCCATGACCACGCCCGACTAATTTTTTTGAATTTTTAGTAGAGGTGGGGTTTCACCATGTTGGCCAGGCTGGTCACGAACCCCTGACCTCAAATGATTTGCCCACCTCAGCTTCCCAAAGTGTTGGGATTACAGGCGTGAGCCACTGTGCCTGGCCTTTATCACCTTTATGACCTAGCTTCTGAGGTTGCTCAGTGCCCCTTCTGTTGCATTCCCTTCATGGGGAGAAGAATGAGACTCTACCTTTTGATGGGAGAAGGATGAAAGAATTTGCAAACGTATTTTAAAACACCAGACACCCCACATATATACCTATCAACAAGTTTTGGAAGCTAGACAACGTGTCAGGCTTTTCTCTTCCCTTTTTCACTAGGCAGGGAGATGAAAGATGGCCTCTCTTCTTTTAAATGTTCAAGAACTGGTTTGTCAAGAGCTGTGGAAGAAGACTTCCCAGTAATAAAAACCTCTTTTCTTCAGTAGGGACAGGACCTGGGAACTTTGGACTGACATTTGATTTCCTCTCTTTTCCTTTTGTATCAGAGTAGGCTTAATGATGCTTCTCTCTCAAAAGAGGAAACAAAAAGAAATTAAAATCTCTGTATTAAAATTTTTACCATTTAGGGATTAGCTTGAATCCATAAGTAACATCTTTGCAAGGGTTAAAGAATATATGTGCCTGTTTGTCATTCACACTTTCAGTTGAATTAGTTTAGCTAGCTTTCTTAATTCTTGTAGGGATACTCCTAAGGGAAATTTTGAAAAGCGGTTAGGTGATGGAGATAATTTAGAATGTAGAGACTGTAAAGCAGGTTAGAAGAGTCTTTGAACAGCATTAGGGCACTGTCTGTAGAACTACTCTACTGCCTGACCCCATCTGATAAGGCTTTGCTCACCTTATGTGGTGATCTGGCTCTGGAGGTAAAATATTCAGAAAAGGTGATTTATGATATGTGTTTGTAGAGGCTATTGTGTTTTGTGTTGTTTCCATTTTGTTTTCTTCTTCCCGTTTTGCTGTTTCTTTATCTTTCTGGGTTTGTACATCTTGAGAGATTCAACCCATCTTCTCTGATGACCTAAAAGAAGACAATAGCCTAGCAAATAGAAAGTTGTTGCAGAAATAGCTGTCTGCCATATTACAACACTTCTGGGAAGAAGAAATGCCTAAATGTAATCATTAACCTGTTTTATTTTTCTTGGTATCCAGATCTGTACATTGTTGAATTTGGGGTAGAGGGAAAAAGTGTATTAGCATGTATGTGTTTATGTATTTAGAGACCATGTCTTGTTCTGTTGCCCAGGCAGTAGTGCAGTGGTATGATTTTGGCTCACTGCAACCTCCACCTCCCGGCTTATGCCATCCTCCCACTTCAGCCTCCTGAGTAGCTGAGACTACAGGCGCATGCCACCATGCCGGGCTAATTTTTATGTTTTTTTTGTAGAGGTGGGGTTTCACTGTGTAGCTTTCATTTTAAATGACTCAGTTTTTTTTTTTTTTTTTTTTTTTTGAGGCAGGGTCTCACTCTGTTGCATAGGCCAGAGTGCAGTGGTGCAATCATGGCTCACTGCAGCCTCAACTTCCTGCACTCAAGGGATCCTCCTGCCTCAGCCTCCTGAGTAGCTAGGACTACAGGTGTGTGCCACCATGCCTGGCTAATTTTTAATTTTAATTTAATTTAATTTTATTTTTTTGAGACAGAGTTCTGCTCTTGTCACCCAGGCTGGAGTGCAATGGCGTGATCTCGGCTGACTGCAATCGCCACCTCCCAGGTTCAAGGGATTCTCCGGTCTTAGCCTCCCTAGTAGCTGGGATTACAGGTGCCTGCCACCACGCCCAGCTAATGTTTGTATTTTTAGTAGAGACGGGGTTTCGCCATGTTGGGCAGGCTGGTCTCAAACTCCTGACCTCAGGTTATCCGCCTCCCTCAGCCTGCCAAAAGTGCTGGGATTGCAGGCATGAGCCACCACACCTGGACTAATTTTTTATTTTTATTTTTTGTAGAGACAGGTCTCACTATGTTGCCCAGGCTGGTCTTAAACTCCTGGCCTCAAGTGATCCATCTACCTCAGCCTCCCAAAGCGTTGGGATTACAGATGTGAGCCACTGTGGCCAGCCGACTAAATTACTTCTACTTGGTATTTGAAAAATACTTTTACAAAGCTTTGGTAGAATTCCTGCAAACACATGCTAATTTGTAGTGCTATAAGAACCATGAGAAGAATCAGAAAACAAAGTTTTGAAATGAGTTACATTATAGGAAGGCAGACAATAGGTACTTTCAGATCTTGAACTAGTGTAAATCAGAAGACTTCACTACAGTTCCTTAACTTCAGTTGTAATTTGGCAGAAGTTTTGGGATTAACATTCTATACCTTTTCATTTGTCTTGTTTGTTTTACCTGCATTCTTTTCCCCTCCACCTGACACATACTCCTGTTCCCCTCCCAAGGTTCCTGAGTGGTTTGGAGGGAGTAGGGGTGGGGAGAAGAAAGAGTTAACTTTTTATGCTTTTAAGTCTCCTAGTATTACTTAACTAATTTCAGCTAAATGAAAACTTATCTTTTAGAATATTTAATGCATGATATGCTGCATGCATTATGCATTCATTTTAAGACTTACAATATAGTAGCATGGATTTATGAATGACATGGATAGCAAATTATTTCCAATCTAAATTGCTCTGTTCATTTTTGGGCAAAATAATTACTTGCTAAAGCAATATTTTTCTGACATGTTACAAGCCTGGGAGTGGTTTGGAAGGCTTTGAATGAATGCTAAGTATAAAGATTTTTGGTACAACTTGATTTTACTGCTTCTTTCCAGAGACTGCCAGTGGATTAGTTTGATCCTATGTGAGGAAAAAAGCTGCTTTGTGAAACCAGTAATTCCATAGAGACTAGTGGTATTAGAGATATTTTTAAATTTGGGGCTTAGCCAGAAGATCTGAGCATTGATATACCCTTTCCTTTCTGTATTAATGAATTTAAAATATGTTGTTGATTTAATGTTTAGTTTGTACATTGATTTCTGGTTTGGGCTTCTTTAAACTTTGTGTGAATATTAGAATCCAGTGAGTTTGTTAAAAAATATTTGCTTATTCTATCCTTTCATATGACATATACTAGTAGAAGACAGCTATTATTTTGAAAGCAGCATATATATTTAACATTCTTATGATTGTACAGATGTGGACTGGCATGAGTATTTTGGATCAGAAAAGGCATTTGTCAAATGTAGATTTTTAGTTCATTATGAAAACATACTGTTTTATTGGTGCAATTAACAAAAGTAGTTCAGAGAAAAGATTCAAAGCATTTCTGAAATGATGAAGCTTCTGTTCTTGAGACAGTCCTTTATTTACACTATGCATCAAGGAAAAGCAGCTGGAAATACCATTTCAAACAATTCTTTTGTGAGTTGTGGGCTCTTTGATGAATGACCAACTTCAACAATGGCTATGCTTCTTAGAGTCCTAAAATTTTGGAACTGAGAAGAGACAAGGCACAAGTTTTGTTTGGTCTTCCTTAAACACGTAGATGGGTAGAAAAGGATGTTTCTTTCCCTTGAGCTTTGAGCTTTTGCATTAAAATTTTTTTATTTTCCAGGTTATCTACCACATGTTATATTTATTGTTAAGGGATTAAAAAACAGGCAAAAATCTTGATTTTCATACAAGTATAAAGTGAGGCCTGGGTACAGTGGCTCACGCCTGTAATCCCAGCAATTTGGGAGGCCGCGGCCAGCAGACCACCTGAGGTGAGGAGTTTGAGACCAGCCTGGCCAACATGGGGAAACCCCATTTCTCCTAAAAATACAAAAATTAGCCAGGCATGGTGGCATGCACCTGTAGTCTCAGCTACTTGGGAGGCTGAGGCAGGAGAATCGCTTGAACCTGGGAGGTGGAGGTTGCAGTGAGCCACTGCACTCCAGCCTGGGTGACGGGGCAAGACCCCATCTCAAAAAATAAAAATAAAAATAAATAAATAAAATGAACACATGTAAAAGATGTTATTTAATATATTAATTAAAGAACCAGTAAGAAGTTAAAATGGTTCAAAGGACAATTCAAAGTACCACACATACATAGGATCAAGAATGCTTAACATTTGGTAGGCGTGGTGGCTCACACCCATAATCCTAACACTTGGGAGGCCGAAGTGAAATGATCACTTGAGGCCAGGGGTTCAGGATCAGCCTAGTGAAACTCTGTCTCTACAAAGAAATAATAATTAGAAACAAAATTAGCCAGGTGCATTCTTGTAGTCCCATCTACTCCGGAGGCTGAGATGGGAGGATTACTTGAACTCAGGAATTAAAGGCTGCAGCAAGCTGTAATTGTACCACTGCACACAAGCCTGGGCCACAGAATGAGACCCTGATTCAAAAGGAAAAAAGAATGCTTGAAATTAATTTACAGACCAATCCAAAACTGGCTTTTTCCACCAGGAAAAATTGTTGCCCCTTACACTGATAGAATTTATTTGCACGTGTATACGTAAAAATTCTTTGCATTGGCCGGGTGCGGTGGCTAACGCCTATAATCCCAGCACTTTGGGAGGCCGAGGCGGGCGGATCATGAGGTCAGGAGTTCAAGACCAGCCTGGCCAACATAGCAAAAGCCCGTCTCTACTAAAAATACAAAAATTAGCTGGGCATGGTGGCGTGCGCCTGTAATCCCAGCTACATGGGAGGCTGAGGCAGGAGAATCTCTTGAACCTGGGAGGCAGAGGTTGTGGTGAGTGGAGATGACACCACTCACTCCAGCCTGGGCAACAGAGCAAGACTTTGTCTCAAAAAAAAAAAAAAAAAAAAAAAAAAACAACCTTTGCACTGCTACCACTTATCTACAATTTACAGTTGTAAAATAGCTCAAAGACCATGAGGGATACAAATCCCACAGAATCAGATAACTAGGAAGGGTACACATTATGCAATGCCTAGTTTCCATCGAAGATGCCTAATTCTGGTCCATTTTAAAGTCTAAAAGGTTTTCCCCTACATCATAAAAAGGTGAAGTAAACAGATCTGTGTTATCATTTTTGACAATAATCCAGTGTCTGTTAGTTTTAGGGCCTATTCATTTAAATAAAGTCAGTTTTGAAAACAAAGAAAAGTTACTCTTAGGTGGATATTTTCTGATATTTTGATTGACATTAGATACTTCCTCAGATTAGTGTTGAATTTGGACTATGTACGCTACCTAAACTGTAGCTTCAAATATTTGGGTAGCAAGTCCTGTAAGCTATCCAGTGCCTAATATTTTGTAGGTATTCATTTTTGTAAAGAACAATAATGATAATTTGAAGGGAGGTAAAACTCTTCTGCCCTATATTAGTCCTTAAATGTACATATAAATTCGTTGCAATTCAGGCAACTTCCTAATGTTAAATGCTTTTTACCTGGGTGGCTGAACTCAGGGAGCAGAGGGCACAGAGTTGGCATTATCTGCTCTAATTTCATGCTGTGTGATTTTAACTGGGCCTTTGCTGCTTTATGATCTTTTTATTCATCTCATATTTATTCTCTAGCACATTCCTGATGT
The DNA here is from genome assembly GCF_000001405.40 of Homo sapiens. NCBI lineage: Eukaryota > Metazoa > Chordata > Mammalia > Primates > Hominidae > Homo > Homo sapiens. The sequence continues at coordinate 49,422,167 of NC_000012.12, forward strand.
TGATATAGCAGAAAGAAATATAATTTGTAGTTTCATGGAGCTAGGTTTGAATCACCACCTCACCACTTACCAGCTCTTTGTTCTTGGGAAACTCGCAAACCTCAAGTTCTTCAGTTAAATGAATGATAAGTACTTCACAGAATTACATGACATGTATGTAATGGATGTTACAGTGGCTGGCACATAGTAGGCAGTAAATGTTAGTTTCTTATCTGTTCCTCTCAAGCCCTCAAGCCTTCCTGCTTTTTTTTCCTTCTGTTTCCATAACTAAAAAGTTGCAGTCATTTGGTATGACCTCCTTAATCTTCCCTCTAGTTATTTTTGTCTTTTTGTTTGTTTCAGAAGTATGTTTCTTTTACCTAACAGAGTTTTTGTGAAGATTTTTGATAATGCATATAAAATTGCATTATTAGTATAGTTCCTGGCCTATAGTAAGCATTCAATAAAGATTAGGGTTGGCATGGTGGCTCACGCCTGTAATCCCAGCACTTTGGGAGGCCAAGATGGGCAGACCGCTTGAACTTGAGCTCCGGAGTTCGAGATCAGCCTGCGCAAGGCAACATTGTGAAACCCCATCTCTACAAAAGATACAAAAACTAGCTGCATGTGGTGGCGTGTGCTTGTATTCCCAGCTACTCAGGAGGCTTAGGTAGGAGAATCGTTTGAGCCCAGGAGATGGAGGTTACAGTGAGCCAAGACCGTGCCACAGCACTCCAGCCTGGGAAACAGAACCAGACCCTATTTAAAAAAAAAAAAAAATTTTTTTAATTGACTGTGACTATGTGAATGTAAGATTAATTTGGTCTTTGATTACCTTTGTATGTTGCTCCTCCCTTATTTTCTACTCCAATAAGTATTACCTTTCTCTGTTTTATGTTTTATGTCCTCATCCCTTTTCAAAGAAAAAAGTCTTCCCTATTTGGGGGAAAACCCCTTTTGCTTTGCCTTGCTAGCACTCTGGTTAATACTGTTTTTGTTTTTTTTTTTTGAGATGAAGTCTCTGTTGCCCAGGCTGGAGTGCAGTGGTGCGATCTCGGCTCACTGCAGTGTCTGCCTCATGGGTTCAAGCGATTCTCCTGCCTCAGCCTCCCGAGTAGCCAGGACTACAGGCACGCACCACCACACCAGATAATTTTTGTAGTTTTAGTAGAGACAGGGTTTCCCCATGTTGGCCAGGCTGGTCTCGAACTCCTGACCTCAAGTGATCCTCCTGCCTTGATCTCCCACAGTGCTAGGATTACGGGCGTGAGCCACCGCGCCTGGCCTAATACTCTATTTTTTAAAATCCCTTTATTGTCAAACAGTTGAATAGTTAAGTGGCTTGGTCCCCACTTTTCCACAACCTGCTCTCATATTGAAGCCTCCTTGCATTCTGATATACCATAATTCTTCCATGAAACTGAAAGAGCATCATCCTCCCACCCAAACTCTCACAAAGCTTAGAAAATTATAAGCATTCAATGAATATTAGTTGAATAATGAATGAAATGAGAAAGTTTAAAGTTCTATCACTGAGAGTCCTCTGATGCTTTCAATCAATGGATTTAAAGAAACCCTGTAAGTAACTGTCGTACCCAAATTCACCTAAATGGATGTTGTTGTGTAACATGAATTTTATTGTTTTTTTCTGAGAAACCTATGATTTATATCAGAGTCAGGGAAGGCATTTTAAATATTATGTTACGGAGAAAAGTTTAACTCTGAGGGCAAATTTATTAGTAAAAATCTCTTGTTTTTTCTATTAAGAGAACTCAGACCAGGCGCAGTGGCTCACTCCTGTAATCTCAGCACTTTGGGAGGCCAAGGCGGGCAAATCACTTGAGGTTAGGAGTTTGAGACCAGCCTGGCCAACATGGCGAAACTCCATTTCTACTAAAAATACAAAAATTAGCCAGGCATGGTGGTATGCGCCTGTAATCCCAGCTGCTCGGGAGGCTGAGGCAGGAGAATCACTTGAACCCGAGAGGTGGAGGTTGCAGTGAGCTGAGATCCTGCCACTGCACTCCAGCCTGGGCAACAGAACGGGACTCTGTCTCAAAACAAACAAACAAACAAACAAAAAAAACAAACTCAGACCATTATTTTTCTACTTCAGTGATACTCAGACCTTTGTTCCTCAGCCCCATGTAGTCCGTTCAGCAGCCATCTTCTTCTGAGACATCTGTGATATTAACCAGAACATACCTGCATAGGGAACCATGGTGCCCTTTTGATTAATGAGAATAGCTAATGTGGCCCCAGAGGCATATGCTTTTAAGCACAACAGTCTCAGCTTTGGTCAGTTTGATTTATCTTTTGTCATTATAATAGGTAGACTTGTTGACAGTTAGTATTTTTGTTTTATCTGTCTAGTAGATTGTATTAGTTTGCCAAAAGTTATTAGGGCAAAGTTTCTGTGATTATAGTTCTCTTATCTGTTACTATTATATCTTATATAGTGTTTACTGTTAATTGGGAAAGTTGATTAAAGCAGGAAATAAAAAATGATACATACGTACCATAGTATTTTTTATTTGTTTTGTTTGTTTGAGATGGAGTTTTGCTCTTTTGCCCAGCCTGGAGTGAAGTGGCGAGATCTTGGCTCACTGCAACCTCCGCCCCCCACCAGATTCAAGTGATTCTCCTGCCTCAGCCTCCCAAGTAGCTGGGATTACAGGCACCCACCACCACGCCCAGCTAATTTTTGTACTTTTAGTAGAGATGGGGTTTCGCCGTGTTGGCCAGGATGGTCTGGAACTCCTGACCTCGGATGATCCACTCCCGCTTGGCCTCCCAAAGTGCTGGGATAACAGGAGTGAGCCACCACACCTGGCCCATAGTATTTTATTTTAGCTTAAAACAAATGTACATTTATTCACCAATCTTTGATGTATTTAGTATGAGTTTGCTGATTAGAATTCTTCATATTTTTGGCATTAATTACACCCTGTGATACATTCTTGCAACTTCTATTTACGGTTTTTTTAAGCAGAGTGAGAACTCTTAGAGACTTGAAGCAATGAGTACAAACCCTTTTTTTAGATTTTTAATTTCCCTCCCAACTTGTATATGTGTCTCACCCACACTTAAATTGAGGACAGTTTTAAAAATAATTTGTATTGGTTCAGTCTTCTAGAGCCTTCTGTTTAGTTTTTAAAGAAATAATTTTTCTTATAGTTTATTGATGTATTTACTTTTGTTTTTCTTTTCTTTTTTGTAGACAGGGTCTCACTCTGTTGCAGAGGCTGAAGTGCAGTGGTGCTATCACAGCTCAGGTGATCCTCCTACCTTAGCCTCCCGAGTAGCTGGGACTACAGGCGTGTGCCATCGTGCCTGGCTAATTTTTACATTTTTTATAGAGATGGGGTATTGCTATGTTGCCCAGGCTCGTCTCGAACTCCTGGGATCAAGCGATCCATCTACCTTGGCCTCCCAAAGTGCTGGGATTACAGGCATGAGCCACCACGTCCGGCCATGTAAGTGTTAATATTTCTGTCTTTTTTGAGACGGAGTCTTCTCTGTTGCCCAGGCTGGAGTGCAGTGGCACGATCTCAGCTCACTGCATCCTCTGCCTCCCAGGTTCAAGCAATTCTCCTGCCTCAGCCTCCCAAGTAGCTGGGATTACAGGCGCATGCCACCATACCCAGCTAATTTTTTTGTATTTTTAGTAGAGACGGGGGTTTCACCACGTTGGCCAGGCTGGTCTCGAACTCCTGACCTCAAGCGATCTGCCTGCCTTGGCCTCCCAAAGTGCTGGGATTACAGGTGTCAGCCACCATGCCCAGCCAGTATTAATATTTCATGACAATTATGTAATTGTAATTATGAGCACAACTGGCATTAAGTAGGTTTGAGAACAACAAATAGATTAGACTCTTAGTAAGTATTGCATAGTGGGAAGAGAAAAGCCTGCGTGTACGCCAGTGTTGCCTTTTAGCCTACCAGTGTTCATTTAGGGGTGTTAGTCAATTCATGCTAAGGGTAATGGATAGCATCAGTTAAACTGTGAAGGTAAGAGGTAAAAGGACATCTTTAGTTTTTTTCTTTGTTTTTGGTAAACTTTTTTTTTTTTGATGTGTAATACACACAAAATGCAAAATCCTTAAGGGTACAACGTAATGAATTTTTACATTGAACACAGCCATATAACCACTATTCAGATCAGGATCCTAGAAGCCCTCCTGTGCTCTGACCCAGATTCTCTCCCTGACCAGTATTCTGATTTATATCACAAGACCAGTATTCTGACTTATGTCACAATAGATGAGATTTGTTCGATTATGAGGTTCATATAAATGGAAACATGCAGCATGCACTATTTTGCACCTGACATTCTTTGCTTAGCATTGCTTTTGAAATTCATCCTTGTTGTATCATCAGTAGCTCCTTTTTCATTGCTGTATCATATTCTTTTTTTTGAGACAGAGTCTCGCTGTCACCCAGGCTGGAGTGCAGTGGCGCCATCTTGGCTCACTGCAAGCTCCGCCTCCCGGGTACACGCCATTCTCCTGCCTCAGCCTCCCGAGTAGCTGGGACTACAGGCGCCCGCCACCTCGCCCAGCTAATTTTTTGTATTTTTAGTACAGACGGGGTTTCACTGTGTTAGCCAGGATGGTCTCGATCTCCTGACCTCGTGATCCTCCCGCCTCGGCCTCCCAAAGTGCTGGGATTACAGGCGTGAGCCACCGTGCCCAGCCTGTATCATATTCTATTCTGTGAATGTGTTACAATTTATCCATTCTGTAGTTGATTGATGTTTAGGTTTGTTTCTGGTTTTTGGACTTACAGATAATGCTGCTGTAAACATTCTTGTACATGTCTTTTAGTACACATTATAAATGCATTTGTGTTGGGTATTACTTAGGAGTGGACTGCTGGGTCATAGGGTGTGCTTATGTTCAGTTTTAGTAGATTTTGCTAAACAGATTTTTATACTCCCACTAGCAATATGTAAGAATCAGTTACTTCACATCCTCCTATGGCAAACAATAAAGTTTTTTAAAAGGTGAGGCTGGTCTCATTCCTGGGCTCAAGCAATCTGCCTGCCTCAGCCTCCCAAAGTAAACTTTTCAAAAAATAGTTATCAAATATATATGTGTGTCTAAATAATATATTGTTTTAGCATTAGTTGTATTTTTTATTAAAAAAGAATCTTATGTTGTATGTAATCTGGAATTTTCTACTTAACATTATATTGCTAAGATTAATCCATATCATTGCATATAGTTGACACATTTTTGCAGCAGTACAGACATTTAGTGAATACATCACAGTTTATTCTCTTGTTAATGGCATTTGGGTTGTTTCCATTTTCTTAACTGTTATGAATACTACGTGTTTTCTAATGTACCATGAGCAAGAATTTCTCTTGTACTTGAATTTCTGGATCATAGGATTGACAAGTGTACTACTTTACAAAATAATGCTGTATTCTAAAGAAGTTGTACCAGTTTACATTCCTACCAGAAATAAATAAGAAATGAAACCCTTTCTGTTATGAGAGAATTTTAAATTATGACCTCAATTTCTTTTAGAGTTACAGGACTATGTCAATTTTCCTTTTTTGTGTGTGAGTCTGTTTGGTAACTTGTTTTTCAAGAAATTTATTACCTAAATTTTCAAATGTATTGGCATAAGGTCATCTATATTTTTGACTTATAATTTTAATGTCTGTAAGATCTATACTAGCTCTTTAAAAACCTTCATGATATTGGTATTCTTTGCATTTTTACCCCTTGATCAGTATTTCTAGAGTCTTCTTGCTGGGTCAAGAAATCAACTTTTTCTTTCATTTTTTTTTTCTTATTGCATTAATTAAAAAAATTTCAGGCCGGGCGCGGTGGCTCATGCCTGTAATCCCAGCACTTTGGGAGGCCGAGGTGGGCGGATCACGAGGTCAGGAGATCGAGACCATCCTGGCTAACACGGTGAAACCCCGTCTCTACTAAAAATACAGAAAATTAGCCGGGCGCCATGGCAGGCGCCTGTAGTCCCAGCTACTTGGGAGGCTGAGGCAGGAGAATGGCGTGAACCCAGGAGGCGGAGCTTGCAGTGAGTCGAGATAGCGCCACTGCACTCCAGCCTGGGCTAAGGAGCGAGACCCCGTCTCAAAAAACAAACAAACAAACAAAAAAAAAAAACAAAAATTCAGTAGAATGCACATAACATGACGTTTACCATTTTAACCATTTTGAAGTGGTATTAATACACTCACATTCTTGTGCATCCATCTCCACAACTTTTCTCATTTTCCCAAACTGAAACTGTACCCATTAATCAGTAACTCTCATTCCCTCTTCCCCCTAGCCTCTGGCTGCTACCAGTCTACTTTTGGTAAAATTTGACTAGTCTAGGTGCCTCATATAAATGGAATGATATAGTATTTGTTTCTTTGTGACTGGCTTATTTCACTTAGCATAATATCCTCAAGGTTCATCCATGTTATAGCACCTGTCAGAATTTTCTTACTATTAAAGTCTGAATAATATTCCATCTTTCATAATTTTTTATCATCAGTATTGGCACATAGTAGGTTTATGTTAAATAACAGTTGATCAGTTAATTATTTTTTAAGTTAACAAGGTTTTTAGAAATTGCTTTTTCTATATGCTTGGAATCTCCCTTTATGGGTTAGAATCAGTGAATATAGTTGCTCCTAATTGCCTGGTTTTGTTTTTGCCTAATAGCTGCCTCCAATCCCTTGAGCTGCTTGCTGAGGACCGGAGTTTTATATGTGTGTGTAAGGGGGTGGTAATAAAATTATCAGTATTGTTTAAATCCGTTATGAAGAGTAATACAGCTGAGGATAATTTAGCTCAGTTGGGTTTGGGTTAGAGCCACCTGTGCGAGGAGGAGGGCGCAGACAGCTCTAACTACTGAGCTAGCAGTAAAATAGGAGGAGACAAACATGTATTCCAGCTCTGCTCCTTTTGAGCTCCCTCTACTCCCACATCTACAGCTGCTGCTGATGACTAATGTTAAGCAATTTGGAGGACCTTTTGTCTTTTAATAGTAGTAAAGAGGAGTTGTGGTATCATGTGGCTTCTGATTTCCCACTTAGAATGTCTTTTAAATTTCCAGAAATTCTATGTTGTTCCAATTTGAGGTTTCTTTTTTTTATTAAAAAAATTAATTGGTTTTTCAAAATGAAAACATTTTTTCAAAATAAAATTTATGGTGATCAAGTCTTACAATTATGGGAGAGTTTTTAGATTAAAGTAGAAAATTGGTGCCAGTGGTGCCAATTGTTGAGAAAGCGGACTTAGAGAAAGGTTTCATATTCACCATTTTGACCTGAGGAAATCCCCTTTTTAGTTCCTTTTTTGAGTCTCACTCTGTTACTCAGGCTGGAATGCAGTGGTGTGATCTCGGCTCACTGCAACCTCTGCCTCTGGGGTTCAAGCGATTCTCCTGCCTCAGCCTCCTGAGCAGCTAGGGTTACAAGCATGTGCCACCACGTACCCAGCTAATTTTTGTATTTTTATTTTTTTAGTAGAGACGGGGTTTCACCATGTTGGCCAGGCTGGTCTTGAACTCCTGACCTCAAGTGATCCACCAGCCTTCGCCTCCCAAAGTGCTGGGATTACAAGCATGAGCCACTGTGCCTGGCCTAGAATTTAGGTCTTTCTCTTCTTCTTCTTCTTTTTTTTTTTTTTTTGAGAGTCTCACTCTGTCACCCAGGCTGGAGTTCAGTGGCATGATCTCAGCTCACTGCAACCTCCGCCTCCTGGGTTCAAGTGATTCTCCTGCCTCAGCCTCCCAGGTAGCTGGGATTACAGGGACGCGCCATCACGCCCAGCTAATTTTTGTATTTTTAGTAGAGACAGGGTTTCACCATGTTGGCCAGGCTGGTCTTGAACTCCTGACCTCAAGTGATCTGCCTGCCTCAGCCTCCCAAAGTGCTGGGATTACAGGCATGAGCCACCATGCCCGGCCATCTTTTTCATATTTCTTGTTTTTTTTTTTTTTTTTTTGAGACAAAGTCTCACTCTGTCCCCCAGCCTGGAGTGCAGTGGTGTGATCTTGGCGCACTGCAAGGTCTGCCTCCCAGGTTCAAGCAGTTCTCCTGCCTCAGCCTCCCGAGTAGCTGGGATTACAGCACGCCACCGTGCCTGGCTAATTTTTGTATTATTTTTTAGTAGAGATGGTGTTTCACTATGTTGGCCAGGCTGGTCTCGAACCCCTGACCTGAAATGATCCGCCGACCTCGGCCTCCCAAAGTGCCGGGATTACAGGCGTGACCCACCATGCCTGGCATTTCATATTTCTTTATAAAGCTGATGAAAATGATATTTATTGGTAAACTGATTATATTATGGAATGAGAATTCCTGGTGACTTTCTTATAATTAAAACCCTTTAAAGATGAGAAGAATGTTTTTATTTGCAACCTCTCATTTTCTTGTTTTCCATCATTATCTGCAGGTGTAGTAGGTTAGCATTTATCTTCTTGACACATTTCATGAACCTGTTGATTGGGTTTCTGAGTTAGAATTATATTATTTAGATTCAAATGAAGGCTTTCAGCTTTGATTTAATTTACTGGGTAAGGGTCTTATTTATTTTTACTTTTTTGAAATAGAATCTCTCTCTGTCACCCAGGCTGGAGTGCAGTGGCACCATATGGGCTCATTTTAGCCTCCACCTCCTGGGTTCAAGCAATTCTCCTGCCTCAGCTCCTGAGTAGCTGGGACTACAGGCATGTGCCACCACACCTGGCTAATTTTTGTATTTTTAGTAGTGATGGAGTTTCACCATGTTGGCCGGGCTAATCTCGAACTCCTGACCTCAAATGATCCACCCGCCTCAGTGGGATTACAGGCATGAGCCACTGTGCCCAGCTGGGGTCTTTTTAAAAAGGGTGCGCTATTAATTTTTTTGAACAGATAAGATGTTTATATTATTCCAATGTCAAAATATAAAAAGGTAGACTGAAAAGTCTTTCTTACCCTAGTTTCCTATCTTTTCAGTTTCCATTCTTCAAGAGATCATCACTGCTACTAGTTTTTTGTCTATCCTTCCAGGTATACAGTTTTTATATATGTGCAAACCAGTGCAAATACATTACTTTCTCCATCATATTCACTTAATAAATATATAAAGAACTTTTTTTTTTTCTTTTTAAGGTGGAGCCTCGCTCTGTCGCCCAGGCTGGAGTGCAGTGGCGCGATCTTGGCTCACTGCAACCTCCGTCTTCTGGGTTCAAGTGATTCTCCTGCCCTGGCCTCCTGAGTAGCTGGGACTACAGGCACGCGCCACCACGCCCAGCTAATCTTTTGCTTTTTTAGTAGAGACGGGGTTTCACCGTGTTGGTCAGGCTGGTCTTGAACTCCCAACCTTGTGATCTGCCCGCCTCGGCTTCCCAAAGTGCTGGGAATTCAGGCATGAGCCACCGCACCGGGCCCAAAGAACTTTTCTCAAAAACATTTGCACAGTATTCTCATTATGTGGACAGATTACAATTAATTAAACCAGTGTCCTATTAATTGACAATTAGTTTGAATATTTTGCTCTTATAAATAATGTTGCATTGGATAACCTTGAATACATAGGTTTATACATTTGCAAACAGCCTTGCAAGGTAAATTCCTAGAAATTGTCTTGCTAGGGTGGGTGTGATAGCTCATGTTTGTAATCCCAGCACTTTGGGAGGCCGAGGCAGGAGGATCACTTGAGCTCAGCAGTTTGAGACCAGCATGAGCAACATATGAAACCCTGTGTTTACAAAAAATACAAGAATTAGCTAGGTGTGGTAGTGTGCACCTGTAGTCCCAGCTACTCGGGAGGATCGTTTGAACCTGGGAGGTTGAGGGTACAGTGAGCCTGGGCAACAAAACAAGACCTTGTCAAAAAAAACAAATTGTCTTCCTGGGTCAAATAATATATACATTTTTAATTTTGACAGCTACTGCTTAGTTGTCTTCCAAAGATACTGTATAAATTTACATTCTCACTTAGATGTGAGGGGCCTGTTTGTCCACACCTCAGTACCTGTGTGTTTTGTCATCATTTTGGATTTTTGCAAAAATGATGATAAAACACACAGGTGGCTGGGCGTGCTGGCTTATGCCTGTAATCCCAGCACTTGGGGAGGGTGAGGCAGGTGGATCATGGGTTCAGGAGTTCGAGACCAGCCTGGCCAACATAGTGAAACCCTGTCTCTACTAAAAATACAAAAATTAGCTGGGTGTGGTGGCAGGCGCCTGTAGTCCCAGCTACTGGGGACGCTGAGGCAGAAGAGTCACTTGAACCCAGGAGGCGGAGGTTTCAGTGAGCCAAGATAGCACCACTGCACTCCAGCCTGGGCGACAGAGTGAGACTCCGTCTCAAAATATATATACATATGTAAATGAAAGTTCAGGAGCGTTAAGTATATTCACATTGTTGTATAACAGATCGCCCAAAGTTTTTTTATCTTTGCAAAACTGAAATTCCATACCCATTAAATAACAACCCAGCCCCTGGCCCACCATTCTACTTTCTGTTTCTATGAGTTTGACTACTTTACCTCATATAAGTGGAATCATACAGTTTTTGTCTTTTTGCAACTGGCTTGTTTCAATTAGTGCATTGTCCTCAAGGTTCCTCCATGTTGTAGCATGTGACAGGATTTCCTTTTTTTTAAAGGCTGAATAATATTCTCTTGTATGTATATACCACATTTTATCTATTCATCCTTTGATAGACACCGGTTGCTTTCACCTCTTTTCTGAATAATGCTACCATGAACATGAGTACACAAATATCTCTTTGATATTCAGCTTTGAGATGTTTTGAATACGTATCCAGAGTTGGGAGTCCTGGATCATGTGGTAGTTCTAATTTTAATTTTTTGGGAACCTTTATACTGTTTTCCATAGTGGCCATTACCATTTTACATTCTTGCCAGCAGTACACAAGGGTTCCAATTTTTCCACATCTTTACTAATACTTATTTTATTTTCTGTTTTTGTTTTTACTTTGTTTTATTTTGGGTAGCAGCCATCCTAGTGGGTTCAAGGTGTTAACTCATTGTGTCTTGTTTTGTTTTGTTTTGTTTGAGACGGAGTCTCTCTGTCACACAGGCTGGAGTGCAGTTGCGTGATCTCAGCTCACTGCAACCTCCGCCTCCCAGGTTCAAGCGATTCTCCTGCTTCAGGCTCCCGAGTAGCTGGGACTACAGGTGTGCACCACCATGCCTGGCTAATTTTTGTATTTTTAGTAGAGACAGGGTTTCACCATGTTGGCCAGGCTGGTCTCGAACTCCTGACCTCAAGTGATCTGCCGACCTCGGCCTCCCAAAGTGCTGGGATTACAGGCGTAAGCCATTTCAACCTGACCCTGGTTTTGTTTTGCTTTTTTAAGAGCACATGAGCTCCTGATCATTGTGGTTTTGATTTGCATTTCTCTAATAATGAGTGATTGAGCATCTTTTCACGTGTTTGGTGACCATTTATTTATCTTCTCTGGAGAAATGCCTGTTTAACTCCTTTGCCTATTGTACAGTTGGGTTTTTGTTGTTGTTGTTGTTGTTGTGGATTTGCAGGAGTTCTTCATAAATTCTGGATATTAACCCTTTATAATAGATATATGACTTGCAAGTATTTTCTGCCATTTCATTGGTTGCCTTTTTACTTCATTGATTGCTTAGAAGTTTTAAGTTTAATGTAATCCCATTTGTCTATTACTGCTTTTTTGCGTGCACTTTTGCTGTCATATCTAAGAAATTGCCAAATCCTGCCTCATGAAGCTTTCCCCTTGTTTTCTTCTAGGAGTTTCATAGTTTTAGGTCTTACATTTGGTTCCTTATTTCTTTTTGAGTTAATTTTTGTGTATGGTGTAAGGTAACGGTCCAGCTTCATTCTTTTGCATGTAGATATCCAGTTTTCCCAACGTCATTTGTTGAAGAGACTGTCCTTTTCTCATCTAATGTTCTTGGCCCCTTTGTTGAAGATCTTTTGACCATATATGTGAGGATTTATTTCTGGGCTCTCTATTCTATTCCGTTAGTCTAAATGTATGTCTTTATGCCAGTACTACACTGTTTTGATCACTATAGCTTTGTAATATGTTTTGAAATCAAGAAATGTGAGGCCTCCAACTCCTTGTTTTTCTTTTTCAAGATTGGTTTGGCTATTTGGGATCTATTACTGAAGTTTAAATATATACATAACATAATATTTATCGTTTTAACCATTTGTATGTTGATGCCAAATTACTGGTATTAAATACATTCACAGTGTTGTGTAGTCATCACCACTGTCTAACCCAAAACTTATCATCACCCCAACAAAAACTTTGTATCCATTAAACAATAACTCCTCCTCCCCGCCAGCCCTTGGTAACCTCTATTCTGCTTTTTGTCTCTCTTGCTCATCTCCTTTTAATACATGTTCCCATTCCGATAAATATAAAAACTTTAGGCCCTCTTCTGTTGTGATTTGAAATGAAAAATAAGTATAAAGAACAATAAGAGTGATAAGTTGAGAACTACATGTCTGTTCTCTCATTTCTATACCTTGAGAGTCATTGAGCTGTACCCTCTGGTTCAGGAGTCATAGTACTAGGGATGTGGTCTGTGACCATATACTTCTTTAGAGCAAGGCTAACTTGAATATGGAATCTGGTTCATTGGTTTTCTTAGCTTTAAGCCCTAGCTCAGTGGGTACTAATCCCAGACTGACAGTTTCAAATCTTGTTTTATCATTTAGTAAGCAGTAACAAATTTATATAAAAACCCAGATTTAATAATTTTTATTTTCTTTTAATACATCCAGCCGTTATTATTTACTAGTATCCCCACATTTCAGGTTTTAATTTAATACAATATGGTATTTAATTAATATAATATAGTATTACATACATTTGTTCCCATTTGGGAAAATGCTTAACTGAATGGCTTTTTTTTTTTTTTTTTTTTTTGAGATGGAGTCTTGCTCTGTCTGTCGCCCAGGTTGGAGTGCAGTGGCGCAATCTCAGCTCACTGCAAGCTCCTCCTCCCGGGTTCACGCCATTCTCCTGCCTCAGCCTCCCAAGTAGCTGGGACTACAGGCGCCTGCCACCATACCCGGCTAATTTTTTGTATTTTTAGTAGAGGCGGGGTTTCACTGTTTTAGCCAGGATGGTCTCGATCTCCTGACCTCATGATCCGCCTGCCTCAGCCTTCCAAAGTGCTGGGATTACAGGCGTGAGCCACTGTGCCTGGCCTTTTTTTTTTTTAAAGATAAGGTCTAGCTTTGTCGCCCGGGCCAGAGTGCCATGGTATGATCTTGGCTTACTGCAGTTTGTCTCCTGGCCTCAAGCAATCTTCCTGCCTCAGCCTCCTCCTGAGTAGCTGGGACTACATGCACACGCCAGTGCGCCTGGCTAATTTTTGTATTTTTAGTAGGGACGGGGTTTTGCCATGATGGCCAGGCTGGTCTGGAACTCCTGAGCTCAAGTGATCCGCCCGCCTCAGCCTCCCAAAGTGCTAGGATAACAGGTGTGAGCCACCGTGCCCGGCTACTGAATGGTTTCTTTTTTTTTTTTTTTTTTTTTTTTTTAATTGATCATTCTTGGGTGTTTCTCGCAGAGGGGGATTTGGCAGGGTCACAGGACAATAGCGGAGGGAAGGTCAGCAGATAAGTGAACAAAGGTCTCTGGTTTTCCTAGGCAGAGGACCCTGCGGCCTTCCGCAGTGTTTGTGTCCCTGGGTACTTGAGATTAGGGAGTGGTGATGACTCTTAACGAGCATGCTGCCTTCAAGCATTTGTTTAACAAAGCACATCTTGCACCACCCTTAATCCATTCAACCCTGAGTGGACACAGCACATGTTTCAGAGAGCACAGGGTTGGGGGTAAGGTCACAGATCAACAGGATCCCAAGGCAGAAGAATTTTTCTTAGTACAGAACAAAATGAAAAGTCTCCCATGTCTACCTCTTTCTACACAGACATGGCAACCATCCGATTTCTCAATCTTTTCCCCACCTTTACCCCCTTTCTATTCCACAAAACCGCCATTGTCATCATGGCCCGTTCTCAATGAGCTGTTGAGTACACCTCCCAGACGGGGTGGTGGCCGGGCAGAGGGGCTCCTCACTTCCCAGTAGGGGCGGCCGGGCAGAGGCGCCCCTCACCTCCCGGACGGGGCGGCTGGCCGGGCGGGGGGCTGACCTCCCCACCTCCCTCCCGGATGGGGCGGCTGGCCGGGCAGAGGGGCTCCTCACTTCGCAGTAGGGGCGGCCGGGCAGAGGCGCCCCTCATCTCCCGGATGGGGCAGCTGGCCGGGTTGGGGGCTGACCCCCCCACCTCCCTCCCGGAGGGGGCGGCTGGCCGGGCAGAGGGGCTCCTCACTTCCCAGTAGGGGCGGCCAGGCAGAGGCGCCCCTTACCTCCCGGACGGGGCGGCTGGCCGGGCGGGGGGCTGACCCCCCCGCCTCCTGGCCGGGCGGGGGGCTGACCTCCCCACCTCCCTCCCGGACGGGGTGGCTGGCCGGGCCGGGGGCTGACCCCCCCACCTCCCTCCCGGACGGGGCGGCTGGCCGGGCAGAGGGGCTCCTCTCTTCCCAGTAGGGGCGGCCGGGCAGAGGCGCCCCTCACCTCCCGGATGGGGCGGCTGGCCGGGCGGGGGGCTGACCCCCCCACATCCTTCCCGGACAGGGCGGCTGGCCGGGCAGAGGGGCTCCTCACTTCCCAGTAGGGGCGGCCGGGCAGAGGCGCCCCTCACCTCCTGGACGGGGCGGCTGTCCGGGCGGGGGGCTGACCCCCCCACCTCCCTCCCGGACGGGGCGGCTGGCCGGGCGGGGGGATGACCCCCCCACCTCCCTCCCGGATGGGGCGGCTGGCCGGGCAGGGGGCTAACCCCCCCACCTCCATTCCGGACTGGGGCGGCTGGCCGGGCGGGGGGCTGACCCCCACCTCCCTCCCAGACGGGGTGGCTGCCGGGTGGAGACGCTCCTCACTTCCCAGACGGAGTGGCTGCCGGGCGGAGGGGCTCCTCACTTTTCAGACGGTGTGGCTGCCGGGTGGAGGGGCTCCTCACTTCTCAGACGGGGCGGTTGCCAGGCAGAGGGTCTCCTCACTTCTCAGACGGGGCGGCCGGGCAGAGACGCTCCTCACATCCCAGACGGGGCGGCAGGGCAGAGGCGCTCCCCACATCTCAGACGATGGGCGGCCTGGCAGAGACGCTCCTCACTTCCTAGATGGGATGGCGGCCGGGCAGAGACGCTCCTCACTTTCCAGACTGGGCAGCCAGGCAGAGAGGCTCCTCACATCCCAGACGATGGGCGGCCAGGCAGAGACGCTCCTCACTTCCCAGACGGGGTGGTGGCCGGGCAGAGGCTGCAATCTCAGCACTTTGGGGGGCCAAGGCAGGCAGCTGGGAGGTGGAGGTTGTAGCGAGCCGAGATCACGCCACTGCACTCCAGCCTGGGCACCATTGAGCACTGAGTGAACGCGACTCCGTCTGCCATCCCGGCACCTCGGGAGGCCAAGGCTGGCGGATCACTCGCGGTTAGGAGCTGGAGACCAGCCCGGCCAACACAGCGAAACCCCGTCTCCACCAAAAAAATACGAAAACCAGTCAGGCATGGCGGCGCGCGCCTGCAATCGCAGGCACTGGGCAGGCTGAGGCAGGAGAATCAGGCAGGGAGGTTGCAGTGAGCCGAGATGGCAGCAGTACAGTCCAGCTTTGGCTCGGCATCAGGGGGAGACCGTGGAAAAAGAGGGAGAGGGAGACCGTGGGGAGAGGGAGAGGGAGAGGGAGAGGAGGGAGAGGGAGCTGAATGGTTTCTTATGTACAAATGACTAGTCAAGAATATGCTTTGAAGTTTTTTCCCTAGATTTTACATAAAAAAATTAAAAAGCTTTCAAGTTGTTTTTTATGCAGTAAAATGTACAAATCTTAAGGGTAATCAGTGAATTTTTACATATGTTGTACCCATGTAATTACCACCCAGATCAAGATGTAGAACATTTCCCCACCAAGACAGTTCCCTGATGTCTTTTCTCAGAGGAACACTGTCCCTCCAGAGGTAACCAATATTCTAACTTCTATCACTGATATTATTTTTGCCTGTTCTTGTACTTGATATAAACAGAATCCTATAGTATGTACTCTTTGGGTCTGACTTCTTTGTTTAACAATGCCTATGAGATATAGCTATGTTGTATGTAGCAGTGTTTCTTTTTTCAGTGTTTCTTTTTTATTAGTAGTTTTTAATTATATCAATATACCACAATTAGTCTATTCATCTTCTTGTTACCAGATTGGGCTATTATGAATAAAGCTGCTGTTAATATTCTTATTTGTAGCCATATGTACTTATTTCTTTTGGGTGTATGTCTAGGAGTGAAGTTGCTGGGTCATAAGATGGGCATATATTTAAATTTATTAGCAAATTCCAGATAGTTTTCCAAAGTTATTTTTCCATTCTACGTTCCCATGAGCAATATTTGAGAATCTAGTTGGTCCACATCCTGACCAAACTTGGTATTGTCTATTTTTAAAAAATTTTAGCCTTTCCTGTGTGTGTTTAATTTTTATTTTGCATCTTGCCGATGAGCAATAATGTTAAGTCTCTCCTCAAATTTTAAGTATAACATATACAGCAAAATGCACACATTTAAGTGTATGGCTTAATGAATTATTTATTACCTTGTTATATAACCCTCATGATCAGGAGTACTCTTCATTCATTCATTCATTCATTCAGTCAGCCAGCTAATTTACTGTCTATCTGCTATGTGCCCGGTATAGTTCTAGGCCTAGGGATACAAGAATTATCAAGATAATCAAAGGCTCTGTCCTCATGGAGTCCAAGTTCTTGTCCTCAAGTTTACATCCTATTGAGGGAGATAGACAATAAATAAATACAGAATATAATGCTAGATAGTAACAGTTGTAGAAAAAAATGTAGAAAAACACAGGGTAAAGGAATAGGAGTGGCAGGGGCTGCTGTATGTAGGATGATTAGAGAAGGAATCTCTGAGGAGATGACATTTGAACAAAGAGAGAGAACGATTCATGTGAATCTAGGAGAAGAGCATTCCAGGCAGACAGAATGGCAAGTTCAAAGGCCTTGAAGTGGTAGGTGCTTGGCTTGCTTGAGGCATGGCAGGTATTAGCTGAAGTGCATTGAGCAAGGGGTGATGCTGGGGGAGGAAGTTACCAGTTCCAGGGGCCAGGTCAGGTAGGGCTTGCTGGTCATGGGGAGCACTGAAGGGTTTTGAGTAGAGGAGTGACATGATCTGAGTTGTTTTTTCTTAAAAAACTGGCTTCTGTGTGAAAAATAGACTACATTAACAAGAGAAGCAGGGAACTCAGGAAGCTATGATAATAGCACAAGCTGTAAAAATCACGATGGCTTGGACTAGAGTGGTAACAGTGGAATGGCGAGAAGCAGTTGGATTTGGAGAATAGTTAGAACTTGCTGATCGTTTGGTTGTGGTATCTGAGGAAAATAGAGGAGTCAAGGATAATTACAGGGCTTTTGGCTTGAGCAGTTGGGTGAGTGGTTAGTACCACATACTGAGAAGGTGAAGACTTGGGAAAGTGTATGCTTTGGGTGATGAATAAAATCAGGAGTTCAGGTTTGGAGACATTCAGTTGAAATTCCTTCCCACCTTAGCAGTCATCCCTTCTGTTCAGGTATCCACTGATGCTGGGAATGTGCATTATTTGTTTCTTTTTCTTACTACTGCCAGGAACACCTGGCGTCTTTGCCCTTTCCTATGTCTTTACGCTGACATTAGTTTCCTGAGATTCCATTTTCATTTCTTTGCTACGAGAGCAAAGAGGAGTTTCCACTTATGTTGTAGAAGTTTCATCAGGATAAGTTAAGTTCCTGATACCCCAAGTTAAATTTAGAATATGTTTATGCAGCAATAGGTTTTTAACTTTTGGACATAATTTCAAACTTACTGAAAAGTTACGAGAATAATACAAAGAACTCTCTGATATGCTTTCTTTAGCACCAAATGTTAACATCTTGTCACGTTTGCTTTATCATTATTTCTCTCCATATTCATGTTATTGTTGTTTTCTGAGCCATTTGAGAGAGTAGGCTGTAGACTTCATGTTCCTCTATCCCTAAATATTGCAGCATGTATTTCCTAATCACAAAGTCATTCTCTAACATAAACCTGAAGAGTCAAAGTCCAGGAACTGAAATGTTGATATAATAGTGTATTTCCTGATGTACAGCTCCTTATTTCCATCTAGCCAGTTGTCCCATTCATGTCCCTTACAGCAGCCTCTTTTCTCCCGCTCTTAAGATCTAATCCAGGACCATGCATTATATTTAGTTATCATGTCTTCAGTCTCTAATCTGAAGCAGTTCTTCAATTTTTCGTTGAATTTCATGGCATTAATTTTTTTTTTTTTTTTGAGATGGAGCTCACTCCATCACCAGGCTGCAGTGCAGTGGTGCGATCTTGGCTCACTGCAACTTCCACCTCCCGAGTTCAAGCGATTCTTCTGCCTCAGCCTCCCGAGTAGCTGGGACGACAGGCGCACACCACCACGGCCAGCTAATTTTTGTGTTTTTAGTAGAGACGGGGTTTCACCATGTTAGCCAGGATGGTCTCGATCTCTTGACCTTGTGATTTGCCTGCCTCGGCCTCCCAGAGTGCTGGGATTACAGGCATGAGCCACTGTGCCTGGCCAATATTTTTTAATAAATACAGGCCAGTTGTTGGCAGATTGTCCTTCAATTTGTTTGGTGTTTCCTTATGATTAGATTCAGATTATGCAGTTTTGGCAGGAATACTATTGTAAATGATGTGTCTTTCTCAGTTAAGTATTTCAGGAGCCACATGATGTTCATTTGCCTTATTAATAGTGCTAATAACTTTGGTCACTTGGTTAAGGTGGTTTTTGCCAGGTTTCTCCACTTAAAAGTTTCCTCCTTCTCAAATACATTTTGTTTTTCAAAAAATTTATTTAACAACTGCTTAGATGGTGTTTGCTATGTACAAGCACTATTCTAAGTGCATTATAGATATTAATTTCTTTAAATAGTGTAATAAATGATCATCGTTTTCTAATTGGGCTACAGTGTATCTTATACCTTTCTATTTCCTTCTTACTGCTACATTCCTCACTCAAGCCCTCTTCAACTCTGGCTTGGATTAGTACTTATTTCTAAGTAATAGTACCTCTTTCCTAAGTTAATTGTTCTGTTTTTTAAATCTGCTATTTATCAAATTGCAGTTGTATTCTCAAGTACCATAATCCATCAAGTATCTCTTCTCGTTCAGATCTTCAATCTTTATTTCTCCTTGTTGGTTTCTGCCCTCTTTCCTAAAAACATGTTCCTTCAATCCTAAAAATAGCTTCCTATTTTCTCCTTAAGTGGGCTGTCTTCCCCCTCTTTTAGAAAGAGAAGTAGATATGTTCTTTTCTTCTACTTCTTTATTAGTCCACTTAACATCAATCTGACTTTCTTTCACAACTCTAGTGAATCTCTTTACCAATTTCCTTTCAAAATCCAATTACCTTTTTTCTTTCATAGTTGAGATTTTATTGGTTGTACTGAAGATCAGTACACAGACATTCAGTTGTACACAATTCTTAACGTATGTACCGAAAATCTAAAAAGCCATGTGTTACAATTCTGTTTTAAACAGTTATTTGCAGTGACTTAAAATTTGGAGGCAAATTTTCCTTAAGAGGATATCAAGTTCCAGTATCTTCAGATGTTGATAAGCCGTTAGGTAAGTCTTACCAATTCACAACTTAATATCATATACACAACATATGCAAATTTTTCACCTTTCACAGCACATTAACAAAATTACTAGGAAAACAGAGCTACCATGACCAAAGATGTTACAGAGCGCACACAATTCTGACAGGGAGAGCCATGACCAGGAGTGGTTTTCTTCAGGAAACAATTCTACGAAAAAACAACATGGTAATGGAAATAATTTAAAATGTTCAAGAATTGAATGCACAACTCTGACTCCACATTGCCATTGAGTATTGCCATTGCTTTTGTATTATAGGATATAAAAACTACCTGCCCAGCTGACACCCAAGATAGTCAAAGCTTTCCATAATTCAGTATCCCACATTATCTTCTGTTGTACCAAAAAATAACAAGCAAATAATTGTACCTCTTACAAAAAATCACTTACACTTAATAAATGGGACAATGTGGGAGTCCCTCCTACAATGTGGGATTCCCTCCTTCTAAAATGTTTCTAGAGCTACTATAAAACACATTTAAAAAATAGTTGATAAAAATATTTCTCTGGATTGTGCAAGAAGGGAGACTAGGACCACGGATAAGACAGGGTATTTGATATTAATCAAACTAGGCTTCTTTCTCTCTTGCTGCGTTGGAGGCTGAACCCTCCTCGTTTGTCGTTTCTCCATTTTCTGCAGGTAAATCTTAGTTTCTTGGTTAGCTACTTTGTCCTGTTTTCCCTTTGCTACCAGTTTTGCTTTTTGTTTGTGCTTTTTTGTCTGAAGATTTATCCTTTCCTGCTGTCTTTTTTGGCTTCGTTTCCCCCTTTGCAGGAGCAAGTTTAGGTGACAACCTTGTGGATAGAGATGGAATCTCACTGTGTTGATTAGGCTGAGGTGGGAGGATTGCTTGAGTCCAGGAGTTTGAGGTGGCAGTGAGCTATGATTGTGCCACTGCCCTCCAGTCTGGGCAACAGAGAGAGACCATGTCTCCTTAAAAAAAAAAAAAAAAAAAAAAAAAAAAAAAAAAAATTACATTCACCATTATCACCATTCATGTCCAGAACTCTTCATTTTGCAAAACTAAAACTCTTTATTCATTAAACATCCTCACTCTCTCCTTTCCCTCCAGCCCCCAGCAACTACCATTCTGCTTCCTGTCTCTATGAATTTGACTAGCTTAGGTATCTCACATAAGTGGAATCCTTACAACATTTGTCCTTTTGTGACTGGCTTATTCTATTAGCATCTGTCCTTAAGGTTCATCCTTGTAGCATGTGTCAGAATTTCCTTCCTCTTTAAGGCCGAATAATATTCCATTGTATGTATATACTTTATTTTGTTTAACCATTTGTCTGCTGATAGACATTTAGGTGCTCCACCTCTTGGCTATTGTGAATAATGCTGCAGTGAACATAGGTGTGCAGATATCTCTGAGACTCTACTTTCATTGCTTTTGCATTTTGAGCTAATTTTTTATGTGGTAGTGTATATTCTTTTGTATGTGGATATTCAGTTATCCCAGCACCATTTGTTGAAAAGATTATTCTTTCCCTGTTGAATTTTCTTGTCACCTTTGTTGAAAATAAATTGACCATAAATGTGAGGATTCTTGTCTATACTTTCACTTCTATTCTATTGATCTATATGCCTGTTCTTATTGCTGATACCATAAGGTGCATGTTGTTTTTTGAAGTATGAAAAGTCTTAAATTTGAATTCTAGCTTTTTTTTTTCTTTTATAGATTGTATGGTTTGTGCTTTTGAAGAACTCTCACTAAAAAAAAATCATGACCTTCCTCTTATGTTTTTTCTAGGGTTTTACAGTTTTAGCCATTTGGGTCTGTGATCCATTTTGAGTTAATTTTTATATATAGTATGAGGTAAAAGTCTGAGTTCATTTTTATGTATTTGGAAGTCCAGTTGTCCCAATACTATTTGTTGAAAAGACTCTCTTTTCCCTATTGAATATCTCTAGTGCCTTTGTTGAAAATCAGTTGTCCATAGATATGAAGGTTTATTTTTGGATTCTCAATTTTGTGCCCATTGATATGTGTGCCTATTCTTATGACAGTACCACACTGTCTTCATGACTGTAGCTTTATAGTAAGTTTTGAAATCAGGTAGTGGAAGTCCTCCAAAATTTTCAAAATTGTTTTGGCAATTCTGGTTTCTTTGAATTTCCATATAAATTTTATGATCAGCTTGTCAGTTTCTACAAAAATGCTTGCTGAAATTTTAATAGGGACTGTATTACGCTTATAAATTAAATTGGGAGAATATGAATGTTCCAGTTCATGAATATGGAATGTGTCTCTATTCATTTAGATCTTTAATTTCTTTCTCTCAACTATGTTTTCTAATTTTCAGAGTATGAGATTTGTACATCTGTTATTTTTATTCCTAAGTATTTAAGTTTTGTTGTTGTTTTTTTTTTTTTAAGAGACAGGGTCTTCCTCTGTCACCCAGGCTGGTGCAGTGGCATGATCATAGCTCACTGCAGCCTCAAACTCCTGGGCTCAAGTGATCTTCCTGCTTCAGCCTGCCTCCTGTGAGTAGCTGGGACTGTAGTTGCACGTCATTGTGCCCAGCTAATTTAAATTTTTTTTTGTAGAAATGGGGTCTCGCTTTTTTCCCCAGGGTGGTCTTGAACTCCTGGGCTAAAGCAGTCCTCTTGCCTCAGCCTCCCAAAGTGCTTGGATTATAGGTGTGAGCCATTACACCCAGCCTTAATTCGTGATGCTATTGTGAATGTAATTTTTTGTTAATTTTATTTTTGGATTGTTTATTGCTAGTATATAGATATACCATTACTTGCTTTCTATTTTTTTGAGATGGAGTTTCGCTCTAGTTGTCCAGGCTGGAGTGCAATGGTGTGATCTCGGCTCACTGCAACCTCTGCCTCCCAGGTTCAAGCGATTCTCCTGTCTCAGCCTGCTGAGTAGCTGGGATTACAGGTGCTCGCCACCACGCCCAGCTAGTTTTTGTATTTTTAGTAGAGATGGGGTTTCACCATGTTGGCCAGGCCAGTCTTGAACTCCTGATCTCTGGTGATCCACCGGCCTCAGCCTCCCAAAGTGCAGGGATTACAGGTGTCAGCCACTGCACCCAGCCAGATACCATTACTTTTTGTATATTGGTTTAATTATTAGACCTTGCTGAACTAATGTTTTAGTCCTTAGCAGTATTTTTGGTGTGTGTGTATATGTGTTTGGATTCCTTAGGATTTTCTGTATATGGGTCATATTATCTTTGAATAAAAACATGTTACTTCTTCCTTTCCAATTGTGATGCCTTTACTTTCTTTTCTTTTCTTTCATCCTTATTGCACTGACAAGATCTTTCAGTATGTTGTTGAAAACAAGTGATGAGGTGTGCATTCTTGTTTTTTCTTATCTAAGGAAGAAAATATTTTGTGTTTTATTATGGAGTATGATATTAGTTGTAGGTTTTTCATAGATGGCCTTTATAAAGGTGAGAACATTTCCCCTTTTTTAAAAACCATGAATGGGTATGGGTGCGTGAAAATGCTTTTTCTGTACCTACTGAGATGATCATGTGACTTTTATCATTTATTTGATTGATACTGTGTGTTACATTAATTGGTTTTTGCATGTTAAGCCAATCTTCCATTCCTGGAATAAGTCCCACTTGGTCATGGTATTACAATTGTTTTCTATGTTGCTGAATTTGGCTTGCATATATATATATATATTTATTTTCTTTTCTTTATCTTTTCTCTTTTTGAGACAGCGTCTCACTTTGTCACCCAGGCTGGAGTGTAGTGGCGCGATCTTGGGTCACTGCAGCCTCAACCTCCCAGGTTCAAGTGATCCTACTCCCTCAGCCTCCCAAGTAGCTGGGACTGCAGGTGTGTGTCACCACACCTGGCTAATTTTTAAAAATGTTTTTTGTAGAAATGGAGTTTCACAGTGTTGCCCAGGCTGGTCAAGACTCCTGAGCTCAAGTGATCTGCCTGCCTCGGCCTCCCAAAGTGCTAGGATTATAGACAGGCGTGAGCCATCGTGCCTGGCCTGGCTTGCTAATATTTTGTTAATGATGTATTTCTCCTATATTTATGAGGAATGTTGATCTGTAGTGTTTTTTTGGTTTGTTTTTGTTTTTGTTTTTTTGAGACAGAGTCGCACTCTGTAGCCCAAGCTGGAGTGCATTGATGCAATCTCAGCCCACTGCAACCTCTGCCTCCTGGGCTCAAGTGATTTTTTGCCTCAGCCTCCTGAGTAGGTGGGACTACAGGCACGCGCCACCACACCCAGATAATTTTTGTATTTTTAGTAGAGATGGGGTTTCACCATGTTGCCCAAGGTGGTCTCGAACTCCTGAGCTCAGGTGATCTGCCCGCCTTGACCTCCCAAAGTGCTGGGATTGCAGGTGTGAGCCACCACACCCAGCCTGATCTGTAGTTTTCTAGTGATGTCTTTGTCTGGTTGCAGTATCAGGGAAACATGGATTTTTTTAGTTTTCCATTGCTGCTGTAACAAATTACCACAAACTTAATGACTTAAAGCAACATGCATGTCTCATCTCAGTTTCTGTAGGTCAGATGTTGGGCACAATGTGGCTCAGATGGTTCTCTACAAGGTTGAAACCAAGGCAAGGCTTTGTTCCTTTCAGGAAGCTCTAGTGAAGCATTCATTTTCAGGCTCACTCAGGCTGTTGGCAGAATGCAGTTCCATGTGGCTGTAGGACTGAGGTTCCCAGTTCCTTCCTGGCTGTTGGCCTGGGATTCTTCTCAGCTTCTAGAGGCTGTCTGCATTTCCTAGCCTCCTGGCCCCCTTCAAAGCCAGTTACAGCAGGTTAGGTTCCTCTTGCTTCAAATCTGTCTTTCCCCTTTGCCACATCTCTGTGATGCATCTTTCTTAGCTCTAGCCAGAGAAATTTCTCCCGTCTTAAGGGCTCATGCGATTAGATTGGGCCCATCCAGATAATCCAGACTAATCTCCTTATTTTAAGGTCTGTGACATTAATTACATCTGCAAAGTCCCTTCGTAGCAGTACATAGATTATGTTTGATTGAATAATTAGGGGACAGGAATCTTGGGGAGATATCTTTAGAATTCTGCCTGCTACACAGGCCTCATAGAATTAATTAGAGAATGTTCTTCTATTTTCTTTTCTTTTCTTTTTTTTTTTTTTGAGACACAGTCTTACTCTGTCGCCCAGGCTGGGGTGCAATGGCACGATCTCGGCTCACTGCAACCTCCGCCTCCTGGGTTCAAGCAGTTCTCCTGCTTCAGCCTCCCAAGTAGCTAGGATTACAAGTGCCTGCCACCATGCCCGGCTAAGTTTTTGTATTTTTAGTAGAGACAGGGTTTTGCCATATTGGCCAGGCTGGTCTTGAACTCCTGATTTCAGGTGATCCACCCGCCTTGGCCTCCCAGAGTGCTGGGATTACAGGCATGAACCACTGCACCCAGACTGTTCTTCTATTTTCTTTTTCTTTTTTTGAGACAGAGTCTCGCTTTGTCCCCAGGTTGGAGTGCAGTGGTGCAATCTCGGCTCACTGCAACCTCCGCCTCCTGGGTTCAAGCGATTCTCTTGCCTCAGCCTCCCAAGTAGCTGGGACTACAGGTGCGCACCACCATGCCTGGCTAATTTTTGCGTTTTTAGTAGAGATGGGGTTTCACCATGTGAGCCAGGATGGTCTCAATCTCTTGACCTCGTGATCCCCCCACCTCGGCCTCCCAAAGTGCTGGGATTACAGGCGTGAGCCACTGTGCCCGGCCTGTTCTTCTATTTTCTAAAACAGTTTGTGGAGAATTCTATTATTTCTTCTTTAAATATTTGATAAGACACAATCTGGCCTTGTGCTTTTTTGTGTGTGTGTGGGAAGGATTTTAGATTATTAATTCAATTTCTTGATATCCTACCCTTTTTAAGTCAATCTTAGTAATGTAAGTTTTTCTAGGAATTTGTTCATTTCATCAGAGTTGTCAAATTTGTGGACATAAAGTTGCTCATAGCATTTCTTCATAATCCCTTGAATTTTTGTAGGGTCTGTAATGATGTTCTTTGTTTTATTCCTGATTTTGGTAAATTGTGTCTTTTTTATTCTGGTCAACCTATCTGTAGGTAAAAAGAACCAACTTTTGGTTTTATTGCTTTTCTCTAGTGTTTTTCCATATACTCTTTGATTGATTGTGGTCTAATCTGTAGTATTTCCTACCTTCTGCTTGCTTGGGATTTAGTTGGCTTTTCTTTTTCTAATTTCTTAAATTGGAAACTCAAGCTATAGATTGAAGACCTTTCTTCTTTTCTGCTATAGATGTTTTAAGTACCAATTTAGCTATACCCCATAAATTTTGATGTGTTATATTTTTATTTTCTTTCTTTTTTTTTTTTTTTTAGACCGAGTCTCACTGTTCCACCCAGGCTGGAGTGCAGTGGCGTGATCTCGGCTCACTGCAAGCTCTGCCTCCTGGGTTCACACCATTCTCCTGCCTCAGCCTCCCGAGTAGCTGGGACTACAGGCACCCGCCACCATGCCCGGCTAATTTTTTTTGTATTTTTAGTAGAAACGGGGTTTCACCGTGTTAGTCAGGATGGTCTCGATCTCCTGACCTCATGATCTGCCCGCCTTGGCCTCCCAAAGTGCTGGGATTACAGGCGTGAGCCACCACGCCTGGCTATTATGTTTTTATTTTCTTTCAGTTCAAAATATTTTCTAATTTCCTTTGTGAATTTTTTTTCTTTGACCCATGAGTTGTTTAAAACTATGTTGTTTATTTGTGACCAGCCTGGGCAACATGGTGAAACCCCATCTCTACAAAAAATACAAAAATTATTTGGGTGTGGTGGTGCCCACCTGTAGTCGCAACTACTTGGGAGGCTTAGGTGAGAGGATCAGTGAAACATGATTGTGCTGCCGCACTCCACCCTGGGTGACAGTGAGACCCTGTCTCAAAAAAAAAAAAAAAAAAAAAAGCATGTTCTTTAATTTTGAAATGTTTAGCGATTTCCCATATTTCTCTCTGCTCTTCATTTTTATTGAATTCTGTTGTTGTTGGAGAACCTACTTTGTATGATTTCAATCATTAAAAAATTGGGAATTTCTTATGATCTATTATAAAATTTAACAAGCTTTCTCTATAAAGGGCCATATAATAAATATTTTGGCTTTATGTGCCATATGGTCTGTGTTACAACTATTCATTTCTGCCGTTTTGGTGCTGAAGCCTCCAAATACAATACATAAATCAATGGACATGCTTATGTTAGCATAAAACTTTATTTACAAAAACAGGCAGTAGAGCTGACTTTGGCCCTTGGGCCATAGTCTGCTGATCCTTGGCCTAGTATATAGTCTGTCCTTGAGGATGTTCTGGCTGTGTTTGAAGAGAATATAATATTCTTTTCTTGTTGGATGGAGGAGTATTACTGATTTTCTGTCTGTTTTTTTTGTTTGTTTGTTTGTTTGTTTTCTGAGGCAGAGTCTCGCTCTGTCGCCCAAGCTGGAGTGCAGTGGCACCATCTCAGCTCACTGCAACCTCCGCCTCACGGGTTCAAGCGATTTTCCTGCCTCAGCCTCCTGAGTAGCTGGGGTTACAGGCACGTGCCACCACACCCAGCTAATTTTTGTATTTTTAGTAGAAACGGGGTTTCACCATGTTGGTTAGGCTGATCTCGAACTCCTGACCTGATGATCCGCCTGCCTCAGCCTCCCAAAGTGCTGGGATTACAGGCGTGAGCCACCGTGCCTGGCCCAGTCTGGGTTTTTAATCAATGTATTAGTCTGTTCCCACGCTGCAAATAAAGACATATCTGAGACTGGGTAATTTATAAAGGAAAGAGGTTTGACTCACAGTTCCACATGGCTGGGGAGGCCTCACAATCATAATGGAAGGTGAAAGAGGAGCAAAGTCATGTCTTACATGGAAGCAGGCAAGAAAGTTTGTGCAGGGGAACTCCCATTTATAAAACCATCAGATCTCTTGAGACTTATTCACTACCGTGAGAACAGTATTGGGGAAACTGCCCCATGATTCAGTTATCTCCACCTGTCCCCACCCTTGACACATGGGGATTATTACAATTCAAGGTGAGATTTGGGTGGGGACACAGCCAAACCATATCAATCAGTTATTGAGAGTGGGATACTTAAGTCTTTATCATTTGTTGAACTCTTTATTCTTTCTGTCAATTTTTGCTGCATGTATTTTAGGTCTTATTGTTTGGTGGATATATATTTATAATTCTGTTTCTGATGTCATGACTCTCTTATAATATGATTTCTCTCTGTCTCTAATAATACCATTTTATCTGATACTAAGCCCTTTTTTTATTGGTTTGCATGATATATCTTTTTTCATTCTTTTACTTTCAATCTCTCTGTGTTTGAATCTATGGTGTGTTTTTTGTAGATGGCATACAGTTGGATCTTGTTTTTCCAGCCACTCTAACAATTTCTGTCTTTTGAGTGGAGTCTTTTTTTTTTAAATTTTATTTATTTATTTTTTTGAGATGGAGTCTCGCTCTTTTGCCCAGGCTGGCGTGCAGTGGCACCATATCGGCTCACTGCAAGCTCCACCTCCTGGGTTCACGCCATTCTCCTGCCTCAGCCACAGCTGGGACCACAGGCGCCCGACACCATGCCTGGTTAATTTTTTGTATTTTTTAGTAGAGACGGGGTTTCACTGTGTTAGCCAGGATGGTCTTGATCTCCTGACCTCATGATCCGCCCGCCTCGGCCTCCCAAAGTGCTGGGATTACAGGCGTGAGCCACCGCGCCTGGCCGAGTGGAGTCTTTTTTTGAGACGGAGTTTCACTCTTGTTGCCCAGGCTGGAGCGCAATGGCGTGATCTTGGCTCACTGCAACCTCTGCCTCCCAGGTTCAAGCGATTCTCCTGCCTCAGCCTCCTGAGTAGCTGGCATTACAGGCATGCGTCACCATGCCCAGCTAATTTTTGTATTTTTAGTAGAGATAGGGTTTCTCCATGTTGATCAGGCTGGTCTCAAACTCCTGACCTCAGGTGATCCACCTGCCTTGGCCTCCCGAAGTGCTGGAATTACAGGCGCAAGCTACTGTGTCAGCCTATTTTTTGTTTTGTTTTGTTTTGTTTTTTGTTTTTTTTTTCTTGAGATGATGTCTCACTCTGTTGCTCAGGCTAGAGTGCAGTTACACGATCTCGGCTCGCTGGAACCTCTGCCTCCTGGACTCAAGTGATTCTCCTGCCTCAGCCTCCCGAGTAACTGGGATTACAGGCGCCCACCACTGTGCCCAGCTAATATTTTTTGTATTTTTAGTAGAGATGGGATTTTACCATGTTGGCTAGGCTGGTCTCTAACTCCTGACCTCAGGTGATCCACCTGCCTCAGCCTCCCAAAGTGCTGGGGTTACAGGTGTGAGCCACCATGCCCGGCCAGGTATTTGTTTTTTTGTGTATCTTTTGGCTTTTTCTGTTTGTTTGTACCTCTTTTATTGCCTTATTTTGTGTTTAATAGTTTTTTTAAGCGTATGATTATTTTATTGCTTTTGTCTTTTGTTTTTACTATTTTTCAGTTGTTTTCTTAGTACTTGTCTGGTCATTATAATAAGCATCTTATAGCCCAATTTAACTAAATTAATGCTAATTTAATTCTGTAATATAGCTTCTTTCTCCTTTTATGCAATTGTTTTCATGTTTATTATATCTATATTTGCTATAAACCTAATAATTCAGTATTGTTATTAATCTTGTATTACATAAAACAGTAATAATTAGTTGAATTCTTTTTAAAAATTTAAGAGAAGGAAGTTAAAAAATACATACTTTAGTTAAATTATTTTCAGTAGAAACAGGGTCTTGCTGTGTTGCCCAGGCTGGCCTTGGCCTCCCAAACTGTTGGGATTACAGGCGTGAGCCATTGCACCTGGCCAAAAATACATACGTTATATGTACCTACATATTTGCTTTTCCTAGTGCTCTTTCTTTGGGTACAGTCGGGTTACCATCTGATGTCATTTTGCCTTTCAACTTGAGAGACTTCCTTTGGAATTTCTTGTAAGTCAGGTTTGCAAGCAATGGATTCTCTGTAAGTCTTTGAAATGTCTTTATTTCACCTTCATTTTTGAAAGATAGCTTTGCTAGATATCAAATTCTTGGTTGCTGGTTTTTTCTTTTAGCACTTTGAATGTCATTTCTTGCCTTCTGGCTTCTTTTGCTTCTGATGAGAAGTCAGCTGTTAATGTTGCTTCCCTGTACATGATGAAGTATTGTTTTCATTTTTGTTCTTGCTGCTTTCAAGATCTTCTGGTTTTGGCTTTAATCAGTTTCACTATGATATGTCTAGATGTGGATCTCTTTGTGTGTATTGCAGCTATAATTCATTGAGCTTCCTGACTCTGTAGATACATTTAAAAAAAATCAAGTTGCAAATTGTTTTTGGTCACCATTTTTGTCCTCTTTCACATCACTTCTTCTGGGGCTTCTAATTTGTGTATAGTGGTATACTTGACATTGTTCCACACATTTCTGAGACTGTTTTACTTTTTAAAAAATTTTTACTTTTTGTTTGTTAATGTTTAAGAGATAGGGTCTTGCCTTGCTGCTCAGACTCATGGCTGATTGCAACCTTGACCTTCTGAGCTCAAGCCATCCTCCTACCTTAGCCTCCCAAGTAGCTGGGGCTACAGGCATGCGCCACCACACCTGGCCGATTTTTAATTTCTTATAGAGACAGCGTCTCACTGTGTTGCTTAGGCTGGTCTTATACTCCTGGCCTCAAGCGATACTCCAACCTGGCCTCCCAAAATGCTGGAGTTATAGGCATGAGCCACTGCACCTGGCTTGTATTTCTTCATTGTTTTTTCTCCCATTTCTTCAAGTTAGATAATTTCTCTTGTCCTTTCTTCAAGTTTTCTGATTTTTTTCTTCCACTCTAGTATTCATCTTCAGAATTTTGATTTGGTTGTCTTTTTTTATTTTCCAAATTTATTTGTGCCCTGTTTATATCATGGTTCTCTTTATTTTTTATTTTTTTTTAACCGTGGTTCTCTTTAAAAATAATTTCTATCTCTTCGTTAAGATTTTCTTTTTGTTTGAGGCATTGTTCTACTATTTTTTTTAGTCCTTTAAAGAAATTTGGAGGCCGGGCGCAGTGGCTCACGCTTGTAATCCCAGCACTTTGGGAGGCCGAGGCGGGCGGATCACGAGGTCAGGAGATCGAGACCATCCTGGCTAACACGGTGAAACCCCGTCTCTACTAAAAATACAAAAAAAATTAGCCGGACGTGATGGCGGGCGCCTGTAGTCCCAGCTACTCGGGAGGCTGAGGCAGGAGAATGGCATGAACCCGGGAGGCGGAGCTTGCAGTGAGCCAAGATTGCGCCACTGCACTCCCACCTGGGCTGCACAGAGCGAGACTCCGTCTCAAAAAAAAAAAAAAAAAGAAATTTGGAGTCTGTTTGCGAAGTGTAGCATTTGGGCCTACTCGGGGGCATTTCCAACTCCATGTGGTTGTTTTTTCACATGCCTTTGGGTCACACTTTGCTGCATTTTTGAATATCTCATAACTTTTTGTTGAAACTGGACATTTTAGCTACTATATTGTAGCAACTTTGATTTCTGGATTTTTCCTCCTTCTGAGGGTTTTCGTTGCTTTATTGTTTTTATTTTTTAAGTAACTTTCCTGGACTAAATCTGTGGAATCTTTTTCTCACTGTGGTATGTGGCTGCTGGTTGCTGATGTCTCTGCTCAGTTTTTATACAT
This sequence comes from Homo sapiens, assembly GCF_000001405.40. Classification (NCBI taxonomy): domain Eukaryota; kingdom Metazoa; phylum Chordata; class Mammalia; order Primates; family Hominidae; genus Homo; species Homo sapiens. The sequence continues at coordinate 49,453,499 of NC_000012.12, forward strand.
ATTTTTTAAATTATTATTTAAAATCAATTTGGGCTGGGCTCAGTGCTTCAGGCCTGTAATCCTAACACTTTGTGAAGTCAGGGCAGGAGGATTGCTTGAAGCCAAGGGTTTAAGACCAGCCTGGGCAACATAGTGAGACCCTGTCTCTGCAAAAAATAAAAGAAGTTAGCTGGGTGTGGTGGTATGTGCCTGTAGTTGCAGCCACCTAGCAGGCTAAGACAGAAGAATCGCTTGAGCCCAGGAGTTTGAGGTTGCAGTGAGCTATGATCGTGCCACTCCCTGGGCAACGGAGGAAGACCCTGGCTCTAAAAAAGACAAAATCCAAGCACGGGACACAGAATTGCAGCAAATAGCATTCTTTTTTTTTTTTTTTTTTTTTTTTGAGACGGAGTCTTGCTCTGTCACCCAGGCTGGAGTGCAGTGGCATGATTTCAGCTCACTGCAAGCTCCACCTCCCAGGTTCACACCATTCTCCTGCCTCAGCCTCCCGAGTAGCTGGGACTACAGGCTCCCGCCACCATGCCCAACTAACTTTTTTGTATTTTTAGTAGAGACAGGCTTTCACTGTGTTAGCCAGGATGGCCTTGATCTCATGACCTCGTCATCCGCCCGCTTCGGCCTCCCAAAGTGCTGGGATTACAGGCACGAGCCACTGCACCTGGCCGCGAATAGCATTTTTATAAGTAGCTAACCAGACATTCGAACTTCCACCCTTCTTTGTGACAGCTGAGGTCACTAGTGAACTCTGCTTCCAAGTACTCCTGCAAAGTACACCACAAGCCTGTCTATATTCTCAAGCCATCCGCTTCAGTTCATATGACCACACTTGCATGTCAGCAACAGAAGAGAACACACATCATACAGCATTTACAGCAGTGGACAAAGAGGTAGGGGAAATGCAAGTATTGGTTCATTTAATACATTCAACTAATGTGGGCTATCTAAGAACAAAACTCACTTAAAGTCTTTCAACAGATGTAGATGTTCTTTGAATGCAAAAAACATTCATACATCATTTGCTGTTATTGCTGTCTGCATACCCTCTCACCAAAGCTTCAGGATTGAGAGACACATATCACCAAGTTTAAAAATATCCATTATGGATCAGGCGTGGTGGCTCATGCCTGTCATCCCAGCACTTTGGGAGGCTGAGGCAGGAGGATTGCTTCGGCCTAGGAGTTAGAGACCAGACTGGGCAACATGGTGAAACCCTGTCTCTACAAAAGATAAAAAAATTAGCCAGGCATGGTGGTATGCGCCTGTAGCCGTGACTCAGGAGGCTGAGGTGGGAGGATCATCTGAGCCTGGGAGGTGGAAGTTGCAGTGAGCCAGGGTCGCACTGCTGCACTCCAGCTTGGGTGACAGAGTGAGGCTCTGTCTTTAAAAAAAAAAAAAAAAAACAGTCCATTCTGCACCACCAAGTTTTGTCATGTGCTCTTACCTCTTCACGTTCATGCTAGCCTTTCATATCTCAGCACCACCATCAATTGCACATAAAGTTTCAAAAGTGCACACAGCCTTTACCCTTGCCTTTGTAGCGTTGATACGATTTCATAAACTAAAGGGTCTGCTCAGTTTTTACCGTTTTTGGTTTTGTTTTTTTAATTAAAAAAAATTTTAAAGTCTGGCTTGCTGAAGTTACATCTGTATCTATTATCCTTCTGGTCAGTTAGCGATTGGTTAAAGGTTGTATTAAAACACCATGAGCCAGTAAAGCTTGCACCCTCTGTCTGTAGATCTTTGTGTGTTGGGAACTGCCTTCAAAGCTCATAATTTTTAATTTCCACTGGGCCTTTTTGAGTCTTTGCTGCTGCTATGTGTACGCTTATGGTCAGCCAGAGGTGTGTGGATAGTTTGGACCTTCTCCAATATCTGCATCATGAATGTGTGGAACATTTACCAAGGTCTCCTATAGTCTCTGTTTTCTGACACAGGATCTTGCTCTGTTGCTGAGGCTAGAGTTCAGTGGCACAGTCATGGCCCTCTGCAGCCTCAGCTTCCCGGGCTCAAGCAGTGCCCCCACCTTAGCCTTCCGAGTAGCTGGGACTACAGGTGTGTGCTACCATCCCTGGCTAATTTTTAAATTTTATTTTTTGTCAAGGTAGGATCTTACTCTGTTGCCAGGTTATGTTTGTTTGTTTGAGACAGGGTCTCATTCCGTTGCTTAGGCTGGCGTGCAGTGGCACAGTCATGGCTCATTGCAGCCTCGACCTCCTGGGCTCAAGCCATCCTCCCACCTCACCCGCCTAAGTAGCTGGGAGTACAGGCACATGCCACCATGCCCAGCTAATTTTTGTATTTTTTGTAGAGACACAGTCTTGCTATGTTGGCCCAGCTGGTCTCAAACTCCTGGGCTAAAGCAGTCCCCGCACCTTGGCCTCCCAAAGTGCTGGGACTACAGGCATGAGCCATGGTGCCCAGGTCCCTTAGTCTTGTTTCTGGATTTCCCTTTTAAATTTCTATCTAATCTCCTGTTCTTTTGCTTGCACCAACCATGACAGCAACCTCAGGCTAGCTGAGCCCTTGGTCTTGCTTGTTTGCCACCAAGAAAGCGAACTGTTACTGCCTGCCTGTGGGTATGGGGTTTTTCTGTGCTTTGCTTCACAAGTCAGCCCCCTCTGTCAGTGAAGCTGCTGGTTTTCATGGCTTTCCCTGCCTTGGTAGAACTACCTTTCCCAGTCACCTTGGGGGTATGTGATGGGAGCAGCCATAGACTGCCACTGTTCTTACCATAGGTTCAGTAGGTTTCTTGTGAATAACCACAGAGAAGATAACATTTGAAAAAAGACCTGAAGGAGATTGAGGAAGTATTCCATGTAGATAACTGTGGGAAATAACATTCCTGGCAGAGGGAACACCTTCAGAGCTCTAAGATGAGAGCATATCTAGAGTGTAAAAGGGATGATAAAGAGGCCAGTGTGGCTCCAGTGGAGTAAAGGTAAAGGAAGGACATCAGAACAGACAAGACTACTTAGGCCACTGTAAGGACTGGCTTTTATTTTGAATGAAATGGGGAGCTGCCAGAGAGCTTTCAGCAGCAGAAGTGGGACATAATCTGTCTTATAATTTTAATAGCAGCCATAGTGAAATAGCAGCGAGAGTGGCAGAGTAGAAGACTCAGGATGAGAGATTCTCGTGATTTAGACAAGGGTAGTAGCAGTGGATGTGGTGAGAAGTGGTCCAGCTCTGGATGTATTTTAAAGGTAGAACACATGGGATTCTTCTGATGGATTGGAGGTGGTGGGGAATGAACAGATTCAGGTCTTTATTTAAAGGGAAATTTCCTGTTTATTGTCTGCAAATGATTTTTCTGTTCCCTATATTGAGTCCTATAATTTTTAAGTCCTTGTATTGATTCCAGTTATTCTTAGATTGGATCATTTTTTGTTCCCTAATGTTATCTTCTATTATAATTGTTTTCTCTGTTTTTTCTTCTGAAAGGTTTGCTTCATTGCATTCATTCTATTTTCATCTGTGTCTATTCTGTTTCTTGCTATTTCTGACTTCTTATTGGATCCATAATTTTTTTCCAGTTTTTCTTTAACTTTGCAATCTGATTTACTTTCCTTCTATTTTTATCATTTATTTTATAGCTTTTTTTGAATTCAACTTGAATTCAAATTCTTATTTGAAATATTCAAATAAGTATTCAAGGAGGAATCTGCTTTTGGTTTGAGGGTTTATATTGTTTTCCAGGTTGGGTTCTTCATCTGTTGCATGGAAATTTCTTCTCTCATTGTATTTCTCTTTTTTTATAGTAGGTTTGATAGCTGCTATGTCATTTTTATTTATCTTCTTCATGTTATATGTGGATAGCTCTGTTTGCAGCTACAGAGTATAGATGAAATAACCTTGATATGTTTCTAAACTTCTTTGGGACCTATCTGACCCACCCCTGCTCATCCACTATGGTTAGTTGTTGATTGTTGCTTTCATCCTCTTTTTTTTTTTTGACACAGAGTTTTGCTCTTGTTGCCCAGGCTGGAATGCAGTGGCGTGATCTCAGCTCACTGCAACCTCCGCCTCCCGGGTTCAAGCAATTCTCCTTCCTCAGCCTCCCGAGTAGCTGGGATTACAGGCATGCACCACCATGCCCAGCTAATTCTGTATTTTTAGTAGAGATGGGGTTTCACCATGCCGGTCAGACTGGTCTAGAACTCCTGACCTCAGGTAATCCACCTGCTTCAGCCTCCCAAAGTGCTGGGATTACAGGTGTGAGCCACCATGCCCGGCCTCATCCTGTTTTCTTTAACCTGAGGACATGTGCTGTTGAGAAGCTTGCCACTGAAGGGTTCAGTTGTTTTTGGCAGATCTGAGTTCTGTTCTTTTTTCTAAAATCTTATTAAGTGTGCCCTATCCAGGGGTATATTCTGTATATTTCCATAGGCTTTGGCTGGTTCTCACAGCTTGGCTCAGTGTTCTGGAAGATGGTAAGTTTCAAATACTCACCCTGCTTTTCCTGAGGTCCCACTGTGGTTTGTAGAGGTTCTTAATCTTGATGGAATATTTTTTAAAACTTTCGCAGAATTACCTACTTGACTCTTCAGTCTCCTCTTTTCAAATTGGAAATTATTTAATATAAGTGTACTCTCCTTTCCTTCTTGCATTGCATTTTGTAAATGTTTTTCCAGTCAGGTGCCCAGGTATGAGTTCCATAATCCTTATAATGCTTAAAAAAATTATTTTTCAGCCAGGCATGGTGGCTCATGCCTGTAATCCCACACTTCAGGAGGCGGAGGCAGACTGATCACTGGAGGTCAGGAGTTCAGGACCAGCCTGGCCAACATGGTGAAACCCTGTCTCTACTAAAAATACAAAAATTAGTCGGGTGTGGTGGCAGGTGCCTGTAGTCCCAGCTCGTTGGGAGGCTGAGACAGGTTAATCGTTTGAACCCAGGAGGCAAAGGTTGCAGCGAGCCAAGATCGCGCCATTGCACTCCAGTCTAGGCAACAAGAGCATGACTCTGTCTCCAGAAAAAGGAAAAGAAAAAAAAAATATTGGCCAGGAGCAGTGGCTCACGCCTGTAATCTCAGCACTTTGGGAGGCCAAGGCGGGCAGATTACTTGAGGTCAGGAGTTCAAGACCAGCCTGGCCAACATGGTGAACCCCTCTCTCTACTGAAAATACAAAAATTAGCTGGGCATGGTGGTGCATGCCTACAATTCCAGCTACACGGGAGCCTGAGGCGGAAGAAATGTTGAACCTGGGAGGTGGAGGTTGCAAATTCCATCTCGTTTTTTTTTTTTTTTTTAATTGTTAGCACATCTCTGCTGGCAGGAACTTATGCTTTCTTTACCCAGAAATCTTGGGCATGTATCTTTAAAATGTTTAGTAATATAGAAAAACAGCATTTGTATCTTTGTAATTTAAAGGAGCTTCCTGCAATATGGACTAATCTCATTTTGATGTTTCAGTTTTCCATGTTAAAATTCCTTTGCACTTCCCTCCTTTCATGTGATAAAACATTTTAAATGGTTTGTTTTCAAGGCATGATAAATCTAAGTACTGGCAGCTGGCCTGCAAATGTAGCAAACTGCACAGCTCATGCACCTAGGTCACAATAAGCGAATAGAATGTAGAGGAGGGGTCAGCCCATAAAAGGGAAGAAAGTTTCGTAATTGGGAAATCAAAATTTAAGCAGAGAAGGAGATGGGGTATAACCTTATAAGGGGGATAATAAAACTTCGGCAATGTCCAGGAAGATTGTAACCCCATAGTACTCAACCAGTGAGGAACTGGTGGAGGGACTTGTGTGCTAGAAGATAAATTACCTGTTGTGACTGTCCCGGTGTGCCTGCCCACCAGACACCTGATCTTGCAAGACCATTATTATTATTATTATTTATTTTATTATTTATTTATTTTTTGAGATGGGGTTTCACTCTTGTTGCCCAGGCTGGAGTGCAATGGTGCGATCTTGGCTCACGGCAACCTCCGCCTCCTGGATTCAAGTGATTCTCCTGCCTCAGCCTCCTGAGTAGCTGAGATTACAGGCATGCACCACTATGCCCAGCTAATTTTGTATTTTTGGTAGAGACGGGGTTTCTCCATGTTGGTCCGGCTGGTCTTGAACTCCCAACCTCAGGTGATCTGCCTGCCTTGGCCTTCCAAAGTGCTGGGATTACAGGCGTGAGCCACTGCACCTGGCTAGACCGTTATTAAAAAGTCTCACGTTTGCTGTTCTTCGTGCCTCTAAGTCCATTCTTTGGGTTTGTACAGTGAGTGTGTTTCTCATTTCACGTCCCCCCCCCCCCCCATATTTTTTATAGCTATATTTGAGCTGGGAAACCTGAGGAGAGGTTAGATATAAGAAATTCTAGGCTCACACCTGTAATCCCAGCACTTTGGGAGGCCGAGGCAGGCGGATCACGAGGTCAGGAGTTCGAGACCAGCCTGGTCAAGAGACTAGCCTGGCCAATATGGTGAAACCCTGTCTCTACTGAAAAAAAAAAAAAAAAAATTAGCCAGGTGTGGTGGCAGGCGCCTGTAATCCCAGCTACTTGGGAGGCCGAGGCAGGAGAATCGCTTGAACCTGGGAGGCGGAGTTTGCAGTGAGCTGAGATTACACCATTGCACTTCAGCCTGGGCAACAAGAGCGAAACTCCGCCTCAAAAAAACAAACAAACAAACAAAAAAAGAAATTCTAGAGGAAGAGAATAGACCCTTGATTTGGATGGGAAGATCAAATGGCTCATGCCTGTAATCCCAGCACTTTGGGAGGCCAAAGCAGGCGGATCACGAGGTAAAGAGATAGAGACTATCCTGGTCAACATGGTGAAACCCCATCTCTACTAAAAATACAAAAATTAGCTGGGCGTGGTGGTGCACGCCTGTAGTCCCAGCTACTCGGGAGGCTGAGGCAGGAGAATCACTTGAACCCGGGAGGCAGAGGTTGCAATGAGGAGCCAAGATCATGCCACTGCACTCTAGCCTGGTGACAGAGCAAGACTTCATCTCAAAAAAAAAGAAAGATCTTAGGGAGTGGTAAGAGGTGTAACATTTTAGTTTGCAAAGCAGAGATGGGGATATTTCAGATGGATACAAAAAATAAGACTAAGAGAACATACTTTCTAAACTAAGAGGATAATCTGATTCTAAGATTAACTTTTCTTAAGAAAAATTCTGCTTTTCAGCAGCTACATTGTTTCTATAGTACTTAAAAACTAGTTTTGTATACAGAAATACAAAAGAAACCTTGTGGATATCTCAGAAATTTTGTACAGATAGTCATTACTGTAATAGTATATGTGTGTTTGTGTTTTTCCCTCCAGAATCTCCCTGGAAAAGGAGACATGAATGTCTGCAATGATACTTCCTGACAAGAAGTTGATACAAGAAAAGGAAAGGAGATTAACAGCTAGTGAGCAGAATTTCGAACAGCAGGATTTCGTATTTTTTGCTTCCAACTGCACACTTCCGTTGCCCACTTTTAAATCAGAGATACCTACACTCAAAACCCAGACAAGGCAAAAGGATACTTTTCTTGTATATTTTTTGAGATCGAAGAAACGACAATGTCCAGGAAACAGAACCAGAAGGGTAAGATTACATGTGGGCATAAATTGTTAAAAGCATAGTTATAATGATCCCCATTTATAGCTGTATATTTAAAAACTGTCCTTCTAATGTGTTTTGAATGGTTTTACAAGTATTTATGGATATTAGATTATCGCTTTGTGTATTACTAGTCTGGGAATTAATTCATATAACAATAGCTTTTCTACTCACACAAACTTAGCAAATTGTAATATGCTTAACAATCTTGAAGATGCATTTTTGAATACTGAACATATGTTAGGGAGATGTGTTAAGAGGGCTAGCTTGCTGCAGGATATTCTATGTTGTTTGAGTTGGCATTTTTCTAGAGAAAGGCAGTGGAGCAAGAGTAAATGTTTCTGGGTTTTGTTTCCTTCTTTAGCTTTCCTTCCGGGAATGTTCTTCTAGCTTCTTATCTAAAGTGAAATACAAGGTGCAAAGAGTCAGGAAATAGAAGGGTAGTTATAATGGAGGGAAGGACAACAAAGACTTTGTAAAACCTTTTTCTACTTTTCTAGAATAGCTGCAAAAATTTCAAGGGACAAAGTGAACAACAGCACTAGAACTATTGTACATAATTGGAATATATTGATTAAAAGAATGATCATAGATATCTTGGCGTTTTCCCCTCATTCAATTTAATTTCCAGTTCAAAGTTAATGTTCTTTAATTCAAAGCAAAGCTATTCATAGATCCAGGTCTCACATGTTAAATATGAAGAAAATTCTTTTAAACCTAATTTTGACTTGATAATTCAAAAACCTTATAAGAAAGTAAATAAACCAGATTTGTAGTTGTAGCTTCATTGTGTAGTAAATCTATAGGAAGAATCTGAGCTCTAAGGAATGCTTAGATTACTAAAGCTGAACTGTTCTGTGGAATGAAATTTACCAACGGAAAAGTTTTTTTTAATAACCCAAGTTTGTTTTTTCTTAGTTGTTATAATTCAGTTTGTTTTTTCCCAGTTATGCTTGAAACATTGAGCATCTGTTTTCACCCTGCAAATGAGAAATACTATAGTAAAAATAGGGTTCTGGAAAAGTTGAGCATTTAATTTTTCCAAAAAAAAAGTTAACTTCAGCAAATTACTTTGACCTTTTTAAAACTAGAGAGTCTTTATTTCATGTCTGTGTTTTGCCAGAGCTGTAGAAAAAAAGTATCATTGTGAAGCAGGATATTTCCCTGGCCCCTTTGCAGGAGTCTCTCCTTTACTCAGCCTGCCTCTCTCAACTCCTCACAGGAAGGAGAGCGCGAGTGAACAAGGAAGGAACTGGAGGGCATGAGTGCTGGAACCGGCTGGCTGCTTCAGTACCAGCAGGGGTGAACTCTGTGTGGGCCCCGTGGCAGCATCCAGGCTGTGGGGTGCCTGTGACCCCCGAAGCTCCAGAGGGCATGTTACAGTGCTCTTCTGGCTCTGCCATTTGTGGACGGCTTAAGTGTTAACAGCTCAGTGGGCCCTTTCCCCCCGTGTGTGGGGTGGCTGCCCTCTGCCAGCAAGGGCAAAGGGCCAGTGTGACAGCCTTTTGTATCTGCACTCGTGGCTCCTGAGCTCTTGTCTGGTGTCCAGGAAAAATGAGGTCACACGAATGAATTGAAGGATGGTAAATGCGGGAGATTTTATTGCTGATGAAAGTGGCTTTTAGCAGGAAGGGGAGCTGAAAAGGGGTTGGTGGGGTGCGGGTAGATAATCTTTCCCTGAAGTCCAGCTGTCTCCAGCTAGTTTTTTCTCCAAAGTTACACCATCAAGCTGTCCCTCTAAAGTCAACCCACTTCTCTCCGACATCCTGACGTCCAGCTAGTTCTCCTCTCTGCCAGCTGAGTCTGGGGTCTTTATAGGCACAGAATGGGGCAGGGTGGGGCCATGGGTGGTTTAGGAAAAGGCAACAAACAGGAAAACAGAGATATAAGTTCTCACATTGGGCCAAGGTTTCAGGCATTTTGGCTTGAGGGTGGCGTTTTAACCGGTGACCCACCCTTTTCTGCCTAGAATTTCTCTGCCTCCTGTCCCCATCAGTTGCTTTTTTCTAATTACTATAAAATGAATTTAAATATTAACTATAAAAGAATTTAAATTTTAGACTACAACATAGGCCGGGTCTGGTGGCTCACGCCTATAATCCCAGCACTTTGGGAGGCCGAGGTGGGTGGGTCACAAGGTCAGGAGATTGAGACCATGCTGGCTAACACAGTGAAACCCCGTCTCTACTAAAAATACAAAAAAAAAAAAAATTAGCCGGGCGTGGTGGCGGGTGCCTGTAGTCCCAGCTACTCAGGAGGCTGAGGCAGGAGAATGGTGTGAACCCAGGAGGCGGAGCTTGCAGTGAGCAGAGATCATGCCACTGCACTCCAGCCTGGGCAACAGAGAGAGACTCTGTCTCAAAAAAAAAAAAAAAAAAAATAGACTACAACATAGACACTAAGTGCTTACCAGTTTTGGTTGAACTTAGCCTAGATTTACACTTAGTTGGAAACAAAGTAAAGCTTATGTGTTGTTGGGACTTTCTCTGAAACAAATCTATGCATGTAATTCATTTGCATGTCTGATATTTGGTCCCATGACATATAAAATATTACAACATTTCATTTATTCATTTATACGTTTAAAGTGTCATTGCTTTGGGTTTTAGTAGTCTAATCTGTAAATACACTGACTTTATCAACTTGGTTATACTACATTAAAAAGAAGGGTCTATGGTAGTCATTGTTCTTAGTGGTATTTCATTTACAGGCTCTCATTTTGTAATGAGTTATGTTTTTATTCAGCAATAGACCATGTTTTCATATTTTCCTTTTGTCAGTAATACTTGTAAATTCCTTATTTAATGAAATACTTAGTGGAGTTAAACTTGAACAGCTTAAATTAAATTAAGTCAGTTTCAGTTAAAACTATTGATTACTCCAAGCCTATTAGCCAATATCTAGCAGAAGTCAGAGCTGTGCTTCTTAGAGTGTGGGCTGTAGACCCTATTCCTGTCTGTGAACTGGAGAAGTATATAGAAATGAAGAGTGTTTAGGAACTCTTTGATAGTGATTTGACAGTGTGGCAACATCTAAGCCCTTTTAAACACAGTTTTATTGAGGTATAATTTAAATACCTTAAAATTTGCCCAAGTGTATAATTTGATTATTTTTAGTAAATTTATGGAGTTGTGCACCATCACCAAAATCTTGTTTTAAAACACTTTCCGACTGGGTGTGGTAGCTAAAGCCTATAATCTCAGCACTTAGGGAGGCTGAGGCAGGAGAATGGCTTGAAGCCAGGAGTTCAAAATCAGCCTGGACAACATAGTAAGACTCTGTCTTAGCCAGGTGTGGTGGCTCACGCCTGTAATCCCAGCACTTTGGGAGGACAAGGTGGGCAGATCATCTGAGGTTGGGAGTTCGAGACTAGCCTAACCAACATGGAGAAACCCTGTCTCTGCTTAAAAAAAAAAAAAAAAAAATTAGCTGGGTGTGGTGGTGCATGCCTGTAATCCCAGCTACTCAGGAGGCTGAGGCAGGAGAATCGCTTGAACCCGGGAGGTGGAGGTTGCGATGAGCCGAGATCGTGCCATTGCACTCCAGCCTGGGCAACAAGAGCAAAACTCCATCTTAAAAAAAAAAAAAAAAAAAAGGACTCTGTTTCTACAAAAAATAAAAAAATTAGCCAATTATACTGACACATGCCTGTTACAGTCCCAGCTATTTGGGAGGCTGAGGTGGGAGGATTACTTGAGCCCAGGAATTTGAGGCTACAGTGAGCTATGATCACTACACTCTAGCCTGGGTGACAGAGCGGGACCATGTCTCTTAAAAAAACAGAAACAAAACCCTCTTTTCCTTATCCCCCAATATTCTCTTGTTTGTGATCAATTCCTGCTCCCTACCCCAGCCACAGGCAAACATTGATCTTCTGTCACTTTATTTTTGCATTTTCTAGAAATTTCATATACACATATTAGTACAATATAGATATTATGTCTGGCTTCTTTTCACTTAGTGTAATGTTTTTAAGGTTCCTCCATATTGTTGAATGTGTCAGTAGTTTGCTCCTTTTTACTACTAAGTAGTCTTGTTATAACACATTTATCCATTTAACAGTTGCTATTCATTTTGGATTGTAGTTTGTGCTGTTATGAATGATTGTCAATTATGTACATTTGCTTACAAGTCTTTATGTGGACATGTGTTTGCATTTCTCTTGTGGAGGTACTTAGGAGTGGACTTCTTTAACTTTGTAAGAAACTTCCAGACTGTTTTCCAAGGTGGCGATACACAGTTTTACAATCCCACCAGCAGTGTATCAGGATTTCATATTTTCCATATCCTCACCAACACTCGGTATGGTCAGTCTTTTTTTTTTATTATTATAGCTATCTTAATAGATGTGTAATGGTATCTCATTGTGGTTTTGATTTGTACTTCCCTAATGACTAATGATGTTGACCATCTTTTCATGTGATTATTAGCCATTTATATTTTTTTTGGTGAAATGTCTGTTCAAATTCTTGATCCATTTAAAAGTTTTGGAGTCTTATTATCGAATTCTAAGAGTTCTTTGTATATTCTGAATACAAGTTCTTTATCAGGTACATGATTTGTAAGTATATTCTCCCATTCCATGGCTTGTCTTCTACTTTTCTTAATGGGCCGGGCGCGGTGGCTCACAGCTATAATCCCAGCACTTTGGGAGGCCAAGGCAGGTGGATCACCTGAGGTCAGGAGTTCAAGACCAGCCTGGCCAACCTGGCGAAACCCTGTCTCTACTAAAAATACAAAAATTAGCTGGGTGTGGTGGCGGGTGCGTGTAATCCCAGCTACTTGGGAGGCTGAGGCAGGAGAATCACTTGAACCCGGGAGGCGGAGGTTGCAGTGAGCCAGGATCACGCCATTGCACTCCAGCCTGGGTGACAGTGTGAGACTCCATCTCAAAAAAAAATTCTTAATGGTGTCTTTTAAAAAGTAGAAGTTTTAAATTTTGATGAAGCCCAATTTATCTTTTTTTTTTTTTTTCTATCACGGATTGGGTTTTGGTATCGTGTCTGAGAATTCTCTGCCTAACTCAAAGTCAGAAAGACTTTTTCCCAGAAGTTTTATAGTTTTATCTCATATATTTTAAAGTCTGTGATCCTGTTTGAGTTAGTTTTTTTGGGTTTTTGGGTTTTTTTGAAACGGAGTCTCTCTCTGTCACCCAGGCTGGAGTACAGTGGAGCAATCTCAGCTCACTACAACCTCCGCCTCCCAGGTTCAAGCAGTTCTCTGCTTCAGCCTCCTGAGTAGCTGGGATTACAGGCGCCCACCACCACGCCCGGCTAATTTTTGTATTTTTAGTAGAGACAGGGTTTCACCATCTTGGCCAGGCTGATCTTAAACTCCTGACCTCGTGATCCACCTGCCTCATGCCTCAGCCTCCCAAAGTGCTGGGATTACAGGTGTGAGCCACCCCGCCTGGCTGAGTTAGTTTTTATATGAGGTATAAGAGTCTAAGTTTACTTTTTTGCATATGGATATCCAGTTGTTACAGCACGTTTTGTTGACGAGGCTATCCTTTCCTCCATTGAATTGCCCTGACACCTTTGTTGAAAATCAGTAGACCATGTGAAGATTTATTTCTGGACTCTGTTCTGTTACATTGATGTATATGTCTGTCTTTATGCTAGTACACTGTATTGATTAGTATGGCTTTATAGTAAATATAGTTTAATAAGTAAGGAAGATACATCCTCCAATGATTTTCCCCACAGAATTTTTTGGGCTATTTTGGTTTCTTTACATTTACATACAAAATTTAGAATCAGATTGTCAGTTCTTACAAGAATATCTGCTTGGAATCTGATAGAGAGTGCACTGTATCAGTAGGCCAGTTCATGTAGAATTATCATCTTAACAACATGGAAGCTTTCAGTCCATGAACTTACTACTATATCTCTGCATTTATTTAGATCTTAATTTCTCTCAGCAATGGTTTACAGATTTAAATGTACAACTCTTGCATTTTTCTTAAGTTTATTGTTAAATAATTTGTTCTTTGTTTTTTTTTTTTTTTTTTTTTTTTTTGATGGAGTCTCACTGTCATCCAGGCTGGAGTGCAGCAGCACAATCTCGGCTGACTGCAGCCTCTGCCTCCCAGGTTCAGGAGATTTCCCCTGCCTCAACCTCCCGATAGCTGGGACTACAGGCCCACACCACCATGCCTGGCTAATTTTTTTTTTTTTTTTTTTTGTATTTTTAGTAGAGACGGGGTTTCACCGTGTTAGCCAGGATGGTCTCGATATCCTGACCTCGTGATCCGCCCACCTTGGCCTTCCAAAGTGCTGGGATTATAGGCGTGAGCCACTGCGCCTGTCCCAGATATGTATAACTCTTTATATTTTCCTGACTGATCTCTGAGTCTAGCACTGGTTAGAAGAAAGCAGACTTGGGGAGTAATTCAAGGTTGGAAGTGGGCTTGTTTGTGATTCCCACAGATTGCTAATGCACTTTACATTGTTCCTAATTTCCTCTGAAGACAGACTCTAGAGATTAGGGAAGGATGAGATCAAGCCATTATAACTTGTTTTATATTTTGGGAGTCCTGATTTTGTCAGATGATATTTTTCTCCTGTATCTGACTATATATCAGAATCATCTTGAACATTTAAAACATCTTTTTGCATCTCTCTCTCTGGGGATGGTACACTAGACTCTTTTTTTCTTTTTTTTTGAGACGGAGTCTCGCTCTGTCGCCCAGGCTAGAGTGCAGTGCAGTGGCGCGATCTTGGCTCACTGCTAGCTCTGCCTCCTGGGTCTATGCCATTCTCCTGCCTCAGCCTCCTGAGTAGCTGGGTCTCCTGCCTGAGCCTCCTGAGTAGCTGGGACTACAGGCACCTGCCACCACGCCCGGCTAATTTTTTGTATTTTTAGTAGAGACGGGGTTTCACGGTATTAGCCAGGATGGTCTCGATCTCCTGACCTCGTGATCCACCCGCCTCGGCCTCCCAAAGTTCTGGGATTACAGGCATGAGCCACCACACCTGACCTTCTTTTCTTCTTTTCCTTTCTTTTCTTTTTCTCTTTTCTTTTCTCTCTTCTCTTCTCCTTTTCCTTCTCTTCTTTTTCTCTTTCTTTCTTCTTTTTCTTTCACTCTTTTCTTTTCTTTCTTGTTTTTTTTTTTCTTTTTTTTTTTGAAATGGAGTCTTGCTTTGTTGCCAGGCTGGAGTGCAGTGGCACGATCTTGGCTCACTGCAACCTCCACCTCCCAGGTTCAAGCAGTTCTCCTGCCTCAGCCTCCTGAGTAGCTGGGATTACAGGTGCCCACCACCATGCCCAGCTAATTTTTGTATTTTTAGTAGAGACGGGGTTTCACCATGTTGGCCAGGCTGGTCTCAAACTCCTGACCTCAGGCTATCTGCCTGCCTCGACCTCCCAAAGTGCTGGGATTACAGGCGTGAACCACTGTGCCCGGCCTTTTTTTTTGTTTTTGTTTTTGTTTTTGTTTTTTTGAGACAGAGTCTCCCTCCGTCACCAAGGCTGGAGTGCAGTGGTGTGATCTGTGCACACTGCAACCTCTGCCTCTGGGGCTCAGGCCATTCTCCCATCTCACCCCCTCAAGTAGCTGGGACTACAGATACGTGTCATCATGCCTGGCTAATTTTTGTATTTTTTGTAGAGATGTGGTTTCACCATGTTACCCAGGCTGGCCTCGAACTCCTTGGCTCACATGATCCACCTGCCTCGACCTCCCAACGTGCTGGGATTACAGGTGTGAACCGCCACACTGGGCCTAGAATTTTTTTTCTTGCTACGTAATTTTGCTGAGCTATAGAACTTTTGAGAACTGTGGTAATGTGGTATAATTATTTTTAATAGATGTGTTTGAAAGTAACCATAAGTCCACTTCTTTCTTCTTTTATAAGTTCTGTAACCATTTGATTTACATAAAGGAGTACTTAATAAAAATCTTTACAAAGTAAAATAAGGCTGGGTACAGTGGCTTACACCTGTAATCTCAGCACCTCTGGGAGGCTGAGGCAGGAGTATGTATCACTTGAGATCAGGAGTTTGAAACTAGCCTGAGTAACACAGTGAGACCCCATCTCTACAAAAAAATAAAATAAATTAATGGCCAGGCACAGTGGTTCACGCCTGCCATCCCAGCACTTTGGAAGGCCGAGGCAGGCAGATCACTTGAGGTCAGGACTTCGAGACCAGCCTGGCCAACATGGTGAAACCCAGTCTCTACCAAAAATTAGCTGGGCGTGGTGGCAGGCGCCTATAATCCCAGCTCCTTGAGAGGCTGAGGCAGGAGAATCACTTGAACCCAGGAGGCGGAGGTTGCAGTGAGCCGAAATTGCGCCACTGCATTCCATCCTGGGCAACAGAGTGAGACTCTGTCTCAAAAAAAAAAAAAAAAAAAAAAAAGCCAGGCATGGTGGTGTGTGCCTGTAGTCCCAGATATTTGGGAGGTTGAGGCAGGGGAATCACTCAAGCCTGGGAGTTTGAGGCCACGGTGAGCTGTGATCCTGTCACTGCACTATGGGCTGGGTCTCTAAAAAAAAAAAAAAAAAAAAAAGAAAAAACAAAGTAAAATAAAACTTTTCACAGCTGAGAAATATGGGCCAGGCACAGTGGCTCACATCTGTAATTCCAGCACTTTAGGAGGCTGAGGCGGGCAGATCACTTGAGGTCAGGAGTTCAAGACCAGCCTGGCCAACATGGTGAAACCCCATCTCTGTTAAAATACAAATTAGCTGAGCGTGGTGCTGCACGCCTGTAATCCCAGCTGCTTGGGAGACTGAGGCAGGAGAATTGCTTGAACCCAGGAGGCAGAGGTTATAGTAAGCCAAGGTCACGCCACTGCACCCCAGCTTGGGCAACAGAGTGAGATTCTGTCTCAAAAAAAAAAGAAGGAAAAAACATGCAACTCAACACTCTCTCCCTGAAAAATGTTTGATTTTTCATTCATCTCATTCAAAAAGGTTGAACTGTACTTTTTTGACAACTCAAAGACAAGATTTTATTCTGGCTACCAAGTTGTTTCTCCTTTTTTTTTTGAGATGGAGTTTTGCTTTTGTTGCCCAGGCTGGAGTGGTGTAATGGCACAGTCTTGGCTCACTGCAACCTCCACCTCCCAGGTTCAAGTGATTCTCCTGTCTCAGCCTCCCTAGTAGCTGGGATTACAGACGTCCACCACCACGCCCAGCTAATTTTTGTATTTTTAGTAGAGACGGGTTTTCATCATGTTGGCCAGGCTGGTCTTGAACTCCTGACCTCAGGAGATCCTCCTGCCTTGGCCTCCCAAAGTGCTGGAATTACAGGCATGAGCCACCACTCCTGACCCCATTTCTCATTTTTAGGAGTAATTTTTTTCTATGTGAAATAGACTGGTTTTATTGATAGTGCTAGAAATGTTTTGAGCCTTTTGTTCACTTCCACCTGAAGTATTTACATTATTTATATACCATTTTAAGTCTATTATTTTCTCTAAAAGTTAAATTCCAAACTAAATTGTAAATTATATTTGTGGTTTTGGTACAAATTAAAACAATAATAGAGATCAGAGAAAGAAAAATATAACTTAGGAGCAGTTCACCAGCTGGTAAATCAACTGCATTTGCTTCTCATGTACCTTCTGGTTCTTATCTGTTAGCAAGACTTCTTAAATTCTGCCTAGTGATAATCATGCCATAAGATCATCTCCTTCAGTTACCTTTTTTTGAGTGTGTCCCAACCACCTAGTACAGTTAGTTGTGTATGATCTTCTTGAGGAGCAATCAGAAGAGACTTGTGAAATATCATTAGCCTGTTAGCCTTGTTCCAGTGTTTTGTTGCTTACCCATCAAAACTTTAAACTTATATTCAGCATATTTGTTTCTGCCTTAATTTAAGCTCAGACTTCCTTTGTAGCTTCAAGGGAATAAAGAACAATTGTGTGACATCCTCTTTTTTAAAAACTTTGAAGGTAAATAAGAAAGGCAATGTGAACATGAGTAATAGTATAAAACACTGACTGTTAGAACCAAACAAACTCAATTTTTAAATTCCATCTCTGTCACTAGCTAGTTAGGCTGTCCTAGCAAGCTAGGAAATCTCTTTACTGCTCTAGGTCTCCTCTTCCTTTCCTGTAAAATGGCAAGATTGCAGAAGACTTGTATGTAGGGATATCAAGAGGATTAACTGAGATGATTCATGTAGAGCTCCTTCACAGTGTCTAGCAGAATGAAGCACTCATTAATGCCAGCTGCTGTTATGGTGGTCTGTTTAGCCTTTTTCAACTTGAGACCATTTATAATTCCTGTAACTCAGTAGTTCTCACCTGTTAGACCCATTGTTCCCTTTTTATTTATTTTTTATTATTATCTTTTGAGACAGAGCCTTGCTCCATCAACCAGGCTGAAATGCAGTGGCACAGTCAGCTCACTGCAGCCTCAAACATTTGAGCTCAAGCGATCATCCTGCCTTAGCCTCTTGAGTAGCTGAGACCACAGGAAAGCACCTTGCTAATTTTTTAAAAAATTTTTATAGAGACAGGATCTCACTGTGTTGCCTAAGCAGGTATCAAGTTTTAGGTTTCAAGTGATCTTCCTGGCTTGGCCTCCCAAAGTGCTTGGATTACAGGTGCAAGCCACTGTGCCTGGCCAAAATTTGTGTTTTAACCATTTTTAAGTGTATAGCTCAGTGGCATTAGTACACTCCCATTGTTGTACAACCATTACTGTCATTCATGTCCAGAACTGTTTTCATATTGTAAAACTGAAACTCTATACCCATTAAACAGTAACTTACCATTCCCTCCCAGTTGTTGGCAACCACCATTCTACCTACTGTCTTTGTGAATTTGACTACTCTAGGTAACACATATTTAAGTGAGATTAAGCTGGGTGCAGTGGCTCGTACCTGGATTCCCAGTACTTTGGGAGGGTCATTTGAGCCCAGGAGTTTGAAACCAGCCTGGGCAACACAGTGAGACCCTGTCTCTACAAAAAAATTTAAAAAATTACCCAGGGCATGGTGGGGCGTGTCTTTAGTCCTGCTTCTTGGGAGGCTGAGGTGGGAGGATCACATAAGCCCAGGAGGTTGAGTCTATAGTGAGCCAAGGTTGCGCCAGTGCACTCCAGCGTGGGTGACAGAGCAAGACTCTTTGTCTCAAAAGCGCCCCCCAAAACAAAAATTTATTATTGAAAAGTTTAAAATTATAAAAATAGAGGAGTATGAGGAACTCCTATATACCTATAACTCAGGTTCAATAATTAGCTACATATGGCTATTTTTTTTTGTCTGTCTTTCCACCCACCTCCAATGGGTTTATTTTGAAGCAACTTTCTCCCACTATCTTAAGGAAAGACTTTAAAAATAAAACATAAAATATACTAACCAAAATTGAAAAGAATTGATGTCAGTACATTATTACATATAGAATTAAGAACATCTGTTCATTAAAAGGCACAATTAAGAGAATGAAAAGGCAAGTTACAGAATGGGAGAAGAAACTTGGATTATATTTAACAGATAGAGAAATACAACAAATCAATAAGAAAAAGACAACTCCCCTTCCCAGAAACTGGGCAAGAATAGGCATGTCAGGAAAGAGAATATCCAAATGGCTTATTTTATATATTTTATATATATATATATATAAAATATTATATTATATTATTATATTATTCAGTCTCTTTAGAAGCAAGTGAAATGCAAATTGAAACCCTAATGAAATAACTGTAATACTGATCTCATACCAGAATCACTAAAATTGAAAAGAATAACAGGGCCAGGCGTGGTGTCTCATGGCTTTAATCCCAGCACTTTGGGAGGCTGAGGTGGTCGGATCCCTTGAGCTCTGGAGTTCGAGACCAGCCTGGGCAACATGGCTAAACCCCGTCTCTACAAAAAGTAAAAAATTAGCCAGACGTGGTGGCGCATGCCTGTAATCCCACTGTAATCTCAGCTACTCAGGAGGCTTAGGCTGGAGGATTGCTTGAGCCCGGGTAGTCGAGGCTGCAGTGAGCCATGATTATGTCACTGCACGCAGCCTGGGCAATAGAGTGAGACCCTGTCTCAAAAAAAAAAAAAAAAGACAACAACAACCACAACAAAAAACAGAATAATGAAAGCAAAGAGTGTATGGGGAACAATAGAAACTTGGCTGGGCATGGTGGCTCATGCCTATAATCCCAGCACTTTGGGAGGCCGAGACAGGCAAATCACCTGAGTTCAGGAGTTTGAAACCAGTCTAGCCATCATGGCAAAAAACCCATCTCTACTAAAAATAAAAAAATTAGCTGGACGTGGTAACATATGCCTGTAATCCCAGCTACTCGGGAGGCTGAGACAGTAGAATCACTTGAGCCCAAGAGGTGGAGGTTGCAGTGAGCTGAGATCACACCCACTGTACTCCAGCCTGAGCAACAGAGCAAGACTGTCTCACACACACATACACACAAAAAAAAATCTCAAACACTACTAGTGAGAATCTAAATTGGTACAGTGTCTTTGAAAAACTGTTTGACAGTATGTACTGAAGTTGAAGCTACACATATCATATTTAGTTCTATTTTTGTATATATTCAACAGAAGTGCATTCCTAGGTACACCGTAACACTTGTACAAGAATATTGAAAACAGCATTGTTTGTATTGTCCCAAAACTGGAAGCAACCCAGTTGCCCATCACTAGCAGGATAAGTAAGTAATGGCATAATCATACCGTGAAATATTATTCAGCAATGAAAACGAATAAACTGCCTTTACTTGTAAGAAGCTAACATGAGTCTTACAACATGATGTTGAGCAAAAATCCAAATGCACACCAAAAATAAAATGCATACAGGGTTATTCCTTTTACAGATAATGATAAAACTAAACCATAATATTTAGGGATGTATGCTTAAGTGGTATGAATTCAGTGATTGTATTAGTCCGTTTTCCTGCTGCTGATAAAGAAAGGAAGTGGAAGTCCAGAGAGCGATTACCTTTGGTGAGTGGGAGAGGATTGAGAGGGGGTGTGAGGAAGACTTCTAAGTACTAGCAGTGTTTTACTTATTCACCTGGGTAGTAGTACTTGGGTATTTGCTTTGTGATAAATTATCAGACCAGAATCCTTTATGTGTTTGCATCGTACCTGTGTTATATATCACCATAACTTTTTTTAAAAGGACATTTCATTTGGCCAGAACAGGCTTAATTAAACAAGTGTGTTACTTACATAGAGTGTCTCTTATCTTCACAAGTTTAACACTTAAAGCTGCCTTGTGATAATTTTAACAATTAGTTGGAGACAGGAATATTTATAATTGAAGTTGATTATTGACTTCTAAGTCGGTTTAAGAAAAAAGAATCTGACAGGTTTAATTCTCATTGATATGAAGGTTAATGAGTGAAGAGTGACAGATTTTGCAGTGCTGTAGTGTTATGAGAAAGGTCATGGTTTAGTTGGAGACAGAAGCATGCAATTAGGATTGACCTATTCATTTCTGTACTTTGAAGCAAGGTAGATGGGTGGAGAGGGAAAGCATTCACTCTTTTACAGTTCTAAAAGGAATATCCAAAACAAAGTCTTTTATAACAACAAACAACTTCTCTCAGATCTAAACTGGAATTAGTGCTATTATGTATGAAATGAAACACAGATTTAAAATAAGAAATCATTTCCCATTCCTCACTGTCCAGATTCTTACTAGCTATTCTGTACTGATCTTAGTTAACTGGAAGTTTAATACCTGGTTGTCTATCACTGGCAGAATAGATAAATAAATAATGGCATAATCATACAATGAAATATTATTCAGTGATTGTATTAGTCTGTTTTTTTGCTGCTGATAAAGACATATCCGAAACTGGGCGATTTACAAAAGAAAGAGGTTTATTGGATTTACAGTTCCACGTGACTGGGGAGGCCTCACAATCTTGGCGGAAGGCAAGGAGGAGCAAGTCACATCTTAATGTGTATCTCTATTTGCAACAGGCAGAGAAACTCCCGTTTTTAAAACCATCAGATCTCATAAGACCTATTCACTGTCACAAGAGCAGCACAGGAAAGACCTGCACCCATGATTCAGTCATCTCCCACCGGGTCTGTCCCACAACACATGGGAATTATGGGAGCTACAAGATGACATTTGGGTGGGGACGCAGAGCCAAACCATATGAAAATGAATAAGCTGCCTTTACTTGCAAGAACATAAGATGAGTCTGACAATATGATGTTAAGCAAAAATCCAAATGCACGCCAAAAATAAAATGCATACAGGGTTATTCCTTTATAGATAAAGGTAAAACTAAACCATAATATTTAGGGATATATGCTTAAGTTGTATGAATTATAACAAAGTATTTAAGATACTTTAATTTTCTGACTTACAGAATTGAATTTCTTTGAGTATTCTTGTTGCTACAAAAAAATTACAATTGAATTTCTTTACTGGTGTACTGGTAGAATTCTTGTTGTTGTTGTTGTTGTTGTTGTTGTTTTGAGACGGAGTCTTGCTCTGTAGCCCAGGCTGGAGTACAGTGGCGTGGTCTCGGCTCACTGCAAGCTCCGCCTCCCTGGTTCAAGCAGTTCCCCTGCCTCAGCCTCCCGAGTAGCTGGGATTACAGGTGCACGTCACCACACCTGGCTAGTTTTTAAAATATTTTTAGTAGAGAGGGTTTCACCATGTTGGCTAGACTAGTCTCTAACTCCTGAACTCAGGCAATCCACCCGCCTTGGCCTCCCAAAGTGCTGGGATTACAGGCATGAGCCACTGTGCCCAGCCTGGTAGACTTCTTAAGAATCTGAAAGACAGAGAGGAATAGGAAGGAATTTTTTTTAAAACTGCATTTCATTTCGTATGTAGGAAAACAAATTCCAGGCTAATGAGAGATGTCCTGGAGACAGAAGAGGGGGCATTAAAGTCAATATCATTGCCTCCTGGCTGTTCTCTAGAGTATAGTACTAATGATAGGGAAGTCGGGAAGGGAAGTGCTGGGAAGGGAAGGGCTGTGGTCCCTTTAAATGATATGGAAGGGTGGAAGGGCATGGTCCCTGGCTAGGGCTCCATCCTGGGCCTAAGACCTAGGTGAGGATAGGCATTTTTGTTTTCCTGGCCAAATGTTGCATTTCCCAAGACCACCCTGGCCTGCCACGCCCCCATCCTGTGCCTATAAAAACCCAGAGACCCCAGCAGGAAGACACACAGGTGGCTGGACGTGGAGAGGAGCACGTCAGGGGAGGAACACACAGGCGGCTGGAGGTAGAGAGGAATGCAACGACAGTCACCCGCACGCCAGCAGGTCACCAACCGGCAGAATGACATGGAGTTTGGCTGGGGCAGTAGGAGGAGAGCCTGGTCCGCCTAGTGGCCCGACTCCAGGGAAAAACCGTCTCCCTTCTGGCTCCCCCATCTGCCGAGAGCTACTTCCACTCAATAAAACCTTGCACTCATTCTTCAAGCCCATGTGTAATCTGATTCTTCTGGTACAAGGCAAGAAACCCCAGGATACAGAAATCCCTCTGTCCCTGTGATAAGACAGGGGTCTAATTGACACAACACAAGCTGCCTATGGATGGTAGGTTGCTAAACCGAAAGAGCATCCTGTAACACACACCCACTGGGGCTTCAGCTGTAAACATTCACCCCTAGACACTGCCTGTCCGTATGCTCCCCTAGAGGTTTGAGCAGCAGGGCACTGAAGAAGCGAGCCACACCCCCACTGCATGCCCTGTGAGGGGGACAAGGGAACTTTTCCTGTTGCACTAAGAAGGTTTGTGAAAGGTGGACTGACTTGGAGGAATTGACGGGATTATTACCAGAACAAACCTTTTAAACAATGAGACCCTCAATAGTTCTTGGAACTTGGCTGGGCGCGGTGGCTCACGCCTGTAATCCCAGCACTTTGGGAGGCCGAGGCGGGCGGATCGCCTGAGGTCAGGAGTTTGAAACCAGCCTGACCAACATGGAGAAACCTTGTTTCTACTAAAAATACAAAATTAGCCAGCCATGGTGGCACATGCCTATAATCCCAGCTACTTGGGAGGGTGAGACAGGAGAATCGTTTGAACCTGGGAGGCGGAGGTTGCAGTGAGCCAAGATCGCCATTACACTCCGGCCTGGGCAACAAGAGTGAAACTCCTCTTAAAAAAAAAAAAAAAAATTCTTGGAATTTAACAATTAAAAGCTTATTCTATTGCACCTACTGAAAACTCAGGAAATCTATGAGGGAAAGTAAGGTAGGATTTAATTGTTTGTCTACCTCCTTCCCGTAAAAACCCTGATGTTTCCATCAAGCTCTACCTGGAAAATTCAGAACTCATTCTAGAAGTTTGGAAACTTCTTGATTTAAGTGCTTTGTCTCATAAGAAGAGGCACAGCATCCTTCAGAATATAGTTGAAATGGCACTCAAAGGAGCAAAGTAAGGAAAAAATTTCATCAGCTGTTGAGACTATAGGCAAATGAAAGCTGAAATAACAGGAATATGAAAGGCTGTTTTCTTGCATTGAAGCAGATTGACTGGTAATTGGACAAGTGTGGATTTTTTCTGAACCTGTGAGTTGCAGTAGTCATCTGATAGAAGACTGATTGATGAACCGTCAGTCGGTATGCTTACAACCTCCGGAGAGGATACGTGTAGTTTGACCATTGGCAACAAAGATGGCGTTACTCTTAAATAAGTTTTGAAGAATTAAATATATATAAAAGTGTTAGCATTTCAAAAGGCTACAATAGCACACTATAGTAATATTAATTAAAGCAGACTAGAAGTCCTACAAAATGGCATTTGGACATATTTTTCTAAATTTCCCTGATGTGCTCTGATTTGGTCCCCTTCCAAACTTGATTCCCTATTATTTACACATTCTCTTTTTCATAAATATTTTATTTCCTACCAAAACAGTCGTATTTCCTCCAATAAGTGGTAAGTTGGTAGATGAAGATTTACCACCCAGGAAATTAAAGTTAGTGGCATCTTTAGTTTTTGGTTTTTGTGGTTTTGTCTTTTTTTTTTTTTTTTTTTTTTTAATTTTTGAGACAGGGTCTTGCTCTGTTGCCCAGGCTGGAGTGTAGTGGCATGCTCATAGCTCCCTGCAACCTCAGACTCCTGGGCTCAAGCAATCCTCTTGCCTCAGCCTCCCAACTAGTTAGGACTACAGATGCATGCATGCCAGCATGCCCAGCTACTTTTTAAATTTTTTATAGAAATGGGGACTAGCTGTGTTGCCCAGGCAGGTCTCAAGCTCCTGGCCTCAGGCGATACTCCTATCTTGGCCTCCCAAAGTGCTGGGATTACAGGTGTGAGCCACTGCAGCCAGCCAGAATCTTTAGTTGTGAAGTTCTGAATAGGCCTTAAGTACTAATTCTTGTGACAATAACTTCCTTTTCTTTGCACTTATATTTGTACAATATAACCCCAGTCCCCACATTTGCCATTAGTGCACATGAAGAAACTGAACTCCACTTGTAATTTTATTGGTGACTTACATGTGGATTATTCTCAAAGTTGGCATGAGACAAAGCAATTCCAAGCAATTGGTCACTTTCTTTTATGGTCCAATATTGGCTGTGTTCAGTCTGAAGGAGAACTTCAGGTTGTTTAATTGTTCATGAGATACCATTTCTGTAAGAATTGGCACTTACATAGGCTCTGCTCTTGAGTTTACTTTTTAGGAGAAAGTTGATACCATTAGAGAAAATATGTTAAGTAATAATCATACTTGTCAGGTTATCTAGACTTCTGGGCTTTACCTATATTTAACTGGATCTTACCTCTTCTGGTCTTTCTTTGGCCATGGTGAAATTGTTACGGATCTTTGGAGTGTCACTTTTCTGGCCAGAAACCTCTGTGGCCAGTGATGCCTTTGCCTGAGTTCTTGTCCTGCATCCAGGAAGAATGACATATACAAAGAAGTGGAAGGTGAACAAGATGAAAGAGGAGCTTTATTGAGTGTTACAACAGCTCAGCGGAGACCCGCAGTGGGTACCTCCTCTCTGTAGGCAGGTCGTCTCCTACAGAGTATTCAGCTCTCAGCAGAGAGGAGGCCCTGTAGAGGATGGTTTGCCAGCAGGTCGTCCCATTGTCTCTGCAGCTCTCAGCAGAGAAGGTGGCTCCTCTCTGCAGCAGGTTGTCCCTGTCCTCTCTCCATCCCCTGCCCAGCTCTGGCTGAGCCTGGGGCTTTTGTCGACCTTAGAGGGGAGAAAGTGCGTGCCAGTTGGTCCGTGGGTGGCCATGGGCGGGCCTGGAAAAGGCACCACAAGTCACTACCCGAGTATGCTGGACTAGCAGCCTGGCCCCCAGCCTTCAGAAGGTCCTCCCTGGCCTGACAGTGGGGCCTAACCAGGGACCCACCCCCTTCTGCCCAAGAATCTGCCTGCCTCCTGCTGCCATTCATAGCACCCTGGCTCAGCCAACTTTGCTGAGACTGGAGCAGGTGCCGACAACAGGGAGAAGCCAGACAAGCAGGAGCAGGCACTTCCTAGCCTGTGAGGGCAGGGAGGCCTTCCTGTGGCCTCAAGAGTACACGGATGCCTGAGTGTGCAGCTATGGTTTGGACAGCTACAGCTGGGAGATGGGGGGCTCCTGCCTGCTTCATGGAGCGGGAGGCCTGAGTCTACAGCCACAGTTTTGGCAGTGGCACCTGGGGAGTTCCTGCCCCAACTCAGAAGGGGTAGGGCTCCTGCTCCCCCTGCCACCCACTTTCAGGCTCCACTGAGTGTGTATCCCTGCTGGCCTGGTGGTGCCTCCCTGCTGCAGCCAGTATGATGTGAATAATGTTAGTACTCAACTTACTTTATGTATGTGTAAGGAATATCAGTAGATTATAGCAAGAATCTGAGATCCTTAGAAGAAAGGCTATATATCAAGGTACTGTTAAAATAATGGCAACTTGAGAACTAGTATATTTGGTGAGTTACACAGCACTAATGTAAAGCATAAAACCTGGACTGCCTTTTTGATTCTACAGTAGGATTTACTGTGTGACTTTGGGCAAGGAGTAGTACCGTGACTGATTTTCTCATCACTATGAGATTAAGAGAGGATATTCTGGGAGGGATTATAATTCCATTTTTCTCCTTGCTTGTCAGAGGGAATAATTTGCCATTATGTTAACAAAAGAAAGATACAAGCAATCCAAAACTGTTAAGTTTTTGGTTGTTGAATTCAGATACAAATTCAGTAACCCCCATGAGAATCCTTAGACTTACTCCATACCTGGGTTCCACCCCCTCTACACTTGTCTCTATGGTGAGCAGCCTAGAATTTGGGCATAGGCTTTTCCATGATGGAGATAATCTGCTCATGGATAATTGTATCAAATTCACTTCAGTACCTCTAAGAGCCTTACTGTGTGTTCATATTAGCTCTGCCATACCTCTTTAGATAGCACCCAAGGTGGTAGAGCTTTTAATAATTTTCACTCCATAATAATGTTATTGTGGAGGTCTAGCATATGTATTTAGTATTGTACAGTTAGATAAATTAATGCATTGTTGTTATATTGAGATGATTATTCTTTTTTTTTAATCAGTCTCTTGCACTAGACAGTAAAACTCTAAGAGGGCAGGAAACGTTTCTTGTTCACCGTTGTATCCTAGTGTATCTCAACGCCTACAGCAGTACATGGATGTACAAAACACCTCTTAGAGACCTTGGTGACATTTCTTTTGTGTGTATACCAAGAAGCAGAATTGCTGCATCATGTGGTAGTTCTATGTTTTATCTTTTAAGGAACCAACATGTGGTTTTTATTGGGGCTGTACCATTTTACATTTCCACTAGCAGTGCCCCAGAATTCCAGTTTTTCCACATTCTTGCCACACTTGTTGTTTTCTGTTTTTTTTTTTTAATAAATAAATATGCACCCTGGGTATAAATATAATCAGAACTTTAAACAAAATTAATTCTAAAACACTTAGTACAGTATGATCTTCAGGTTAAATTATAAATTAACAGCAGAATGAGACTGTGTTTTAAAGCTTGTCAAGACACCTGTTCAAGGTTGATTTAATACATGGAATAATCAGGCTCAGCTATTTCTATGTCATTCTCAGTGCCTAAAAACAACTTTTACCTAATTTTTGAAGCCAGCAAAAACAATAATAACAAAACCTGTAGTATTTACAAATATGTCATTTGTACTGTAAATAACATACTTTTTCTCAAATATACCTGAATGTGTGCTATTTGAAATAATTCCAACCAGCCTGACCAACATGGTGAAACCCTGTCTCTACTAAAAATACAAAAATTAGCCAGGCGTGGTAGCGCGTGCCTGTAATCCCAGCTACTGGGAATGCTGAGGCAGAAGAATGGCTTGAACCCGGGAAGCGGAGGTTGTAGTGAGCCAAGATCACAGCACTGTACTCCCCGCCTGGGCAACAGAGCGAGACTCCGTCTCCAGAAAAAAAAGAAAGAAATAATTCCAAAAAAACTTCTGAAATGGTTCCTGATAGAGTGAAATAAATAAGAAAGCTCAACAAGCTCAAGGCTTCCTCATTTTTTTTTTTTTTTTTTTTTTTTTTGGAGATGGAGTCTTGCTCTGTCGCCCAGGCTGGAGTGCAGTGGCTCATTCTCAGCTCACTGCAACCTCTGCCTCCCGGGTTCAAGCAATTCTCCTGCTTCAGCCTCCCCAGTAGCTGGAATTACAGGTGCCTGCCACCATGCCTGGCTAATTTTTGTATTTTTAGTAGAGACGGGGTTTCACCATGTTTGCTGATCTCGAACTCCTTACCTCAAGTGATCCGCCCGCCTCAGCCTCCCAAAGTGCTGGGATTACAGGTGTGAGCCACTGCATCTGGCCTAGGCATCCTCATATTCTTTATGAATCTTGCCTGAGAATTTTTTTTTTACCTGAACACCCAGGATTAGAGAATATTTAGCAGCACTTTTTCCTTAAAAATGTGTTTCTGATAGAATACATGCTCTCTTATCACAGCTAAATATTAATAAAAAGATGAAATCCTGCCTTATTTCTTACCAATAGAATTAGGTAAATCTTAAGCTTTCTTTTCATGAAAAAATAAGTTTAAAAATCACTAAGTATTGATGGGAATTAAAAATTACTTTCTGTATAATACTAAGAGACATTTAGGTGCCAGTTGATTAAAGTAAGGTTTTGAATCTACTTGAGGTGTTGGTTTAAGTTTAAAAAGGCAGTATCAGCTAGTGAGTAGACAAATTAAGATGTTAGATTATTGCTTTATCTTTTTGGTGACCTCATGTCATAGAATATAAATGCAAAATTGTCATTTGTGCCCTCCTGACCTATGTAGACCATCTCAGTGCCTCCCATGCCCTCTGGCTTACTTAAGTTTGGCCACTGGGCAGCATTGGCAGGAGATTCCGAGGAAGGGAGGAGAGTAAGGTAGGGGACTTTTATTCCTCTAATCTTTCTCTGAGGGGTAGCTGTGGGCTGAGTGTGTCCTTTGGCCAAAGGTCACAGCAACTGTCTGATGGCGCTTTCTATACCAGATGAAACAAAAATAAAAGGGCCCTTTCTGTCTTTGGCTCCTGTAACTGCTTCCTCCTCACACTCAAGTCTCAAGTAGCAGTGCACATTGCTTAAAAGCCAGCAAAAACAGTAACAAGAGGTACAGCCCTATCTTGGGTGGTTTCCCTACTCTTTGCTAACACCTTTGAAAATACTCCTATTATTAAACTCTATTAAGATTGCCCAATTTGAGTATGCCATTCGCTTCCTCTTTGGGATCTTGACTGAAATAGCTGCTTTATATATTTTTAATCATTATCCTAACAGTATTCCAGATAAACCCTAATTATACTAATTTATTTTGGCCAATAATTGAGTGTTTGCAGAACTACCCTTTGTTTTTTGTTTGTTTTTTGAGACAGGATCTCTCTCTGTCACCCAGCTGGAATGCAGTGGTGCATTCACGACTCATTGCAGCCTCAACCTGCCAGACTCCAGCTGTCTTCCCGCCTCACCCTCCCAATTAGCTGGGGCTACAGGCAAGTGCCACCATGCCCAGCTAATTTTTCTCCTTTTTATAGAGGCAGGGTTTCACCATATTGCCCAGGCTGCTCTTGAACTTCTGGGCTCAAGCGATCCACCTGCCTTGGCCTCCCAAAATGTTCGGATTATAGGCGTGAACCACCACACCCAGCCTTTCCTTTGTTTTTCTTGCAGTTTGTGTCATCTAGTATGTTGTTAAAGGAAAAAAAAAAAAAAAACAGAGCTAGATAAGAGGCTAGTAATAGAACCCAAAATGCTGTTTTGTGTTCCCTCTTTTCCCTAAAAGAGATTGGTGGTTTGATTCACTAATAAGTGGATTATTGATGTCCTTCATATCATTCCCACTGCTCATTAATACCTCTTTGGGGGAGGATACATTAAAACATTCGAGTTATATCATTTGGCTGATCTATAGGAATTCTGAGAAGGTTCTAAATAGTGCTTTGGTTCTATAAGATCTTCGTTTTTGTAGACTGTGTCTCTTTTCAATTAATAAAGATAATTGGGAGTTAACCATATTATATAGTCATCTAGAAAACTGAAGCTTAAATACTGTTTGTATAAGTGTTACCCGATTTTTCATTTGAGTAGCAGTCTAGAAATGGCCGGTATTAACAAAAGTTAAATCTAAATTAATTCAAGGTTCAAGATTAAGCCATGAAAGAATCTTTAATTGAAACATATCTGTAATAACAGCAAAATAATTTGGAAAGTGTACTAGAGTATTACCGTGGTTTTTTTGTACCCCTTTTCTTAACATTTTTCCTTTTACTTGCCTTGTTGAAATTCTAACTCCTAAGCTACTTCCAAGTACAGTGCAGAGATCAGTAATATTGTTATCACCTGGGAGTAAAAATCTGCCACAGGCCAGACTGCTGAATCACAACCTACATTTTAGCATAAGATTCCCTAGGTGGTAAGTATGCACATCAGAATTTGAAAAGCACTCTAACCATTTCCTGAGATTTTATCTTATTGGGTTAAAACAAAGCTATTGAGTGTTAAAGCTGAAGTAATTTATTGATCACATAGGGGTAAAGAAACTGATTAAATTTGCACATAGCCTTTTTCTTTGTAAGTACAGAGAAACCAGAATCTTTTTTTGTAATCAATCATATTGAACTGTTTTTCCATAACCTACAACTTGGATGCCTTGCGTCATCAAGCATTATATTAGGGACACACACATGAATGTATTCACGGGTTTATAGTCTACAAACATAACATGTATGGTTCTGGCTAGAAGAGGAAATAACTGTGTGTTGTTAATGCTACAGAAGCTCCCATCCCACTCACATTTTCAGATTCTTTAGTGTTAAATTTTACCATGGGGAGCTATTTACTTGTGACATTTTTAGAAGGCCTTAAGGTGGGATAATTAACAACGATATCAAGGATTACAGGACAGTCTAATATGGTTGATGTATTTAGTGTTTACCTCAAGCTGTGACAGTTTTTATTAAAATTAAATTTCTGTATTATAAGTTTAATTCAAAAGGCAGTTATATGTTATCTATGTAACAGAATTTGCCAAATAGCAACTAAGTTGCTGTTAATTGTTTTATGGGACGAAAGCAGCCAGTCTTGGCCCTTCTGTCTTAGGGATGGATTATATTTGGATCATGTTGAATATATTTTTCCCTTATTCTTTCAGATTCATCAGGATTCATTTTTGATTTGCAGTCCAATACCGTACTGGCCCAGGGAGGAGCTTTTGAGAACATGAAAGAGAAGGTAAGACTAGTCACTATGGATAGTAAACTTAAATGTCATAGGAAAATTTAGGTACTAATACGACTAGTGGCTACCACAAACTCATTATGAGACTGAAATTTTAAGAATAAAACAATGCCACTATATATCAGAGAGTGACGGCCATAAATAGGTTCTGATTGCGCAGAACCTATTAACAGAACCTATTAAATGCAAACATTTTCTTTGCCTATCTCCATGTATATTCATTCTAAATTCTTTTGAAGATATTCAGTATTAATTAGTTGATTAATATTTATGTGGCTGAGTGTATCTCACTTGGCAACATTCCTTAAGGAACAATCGAATAGGATCTTCCCAAGTACTTGAAGAGCATTCTTAAGTCCAGGAGCCTTCAGAGCCAAGACAAGAAATAGGTCTTTTTTTTTTTTTTTTTGAGACGGAGTCTCGCACTGTCACCCAGGCTGGAGTGCAGTGGCCGATCTGGGCTCACTGCAAGCTCTGCCTTCCGGGTTCGCGCCATTCTCCTGCCTCAGCCTCTCCAAGTAGCTGGGACTACAGGCGCCCACCACCATGCCCGGCTAATTTTTTGTATTTTTAGTAGAGACAGGGTTTCGCCGTGGCCTCGATCTCCTGACCTCGTAATCTGCCCACCTGGGCCTCCCAAAGTGCTGGGATTACAAGCGTGAGCCACCATGCCCGGCCGAAATAGGTCTTTTGTGGGTTTTTTCGAGACAGAGTCTCACTCTGTCACCCAGGTTGGAGTGCAGTGGCACGATCTCAGCTCACTGCAATCTCTGCCTCCTGGGTTCAAGTGATTCTTGTGCCTCAGCCTCCTGAGTAGCTGGGATTACAGGCGTGCATCATCACGCCCAGCTAATTTTTGTATTTGTAGTGGAGACAGGGTTTCTCCCTGTTGGCCAGGGTGATCGCAAACTCCTGGCCTCAAGTGATCCACCCGCCTCAGCCTCCCAGAGTGCTAGGATAGTCACCACACCTGGCCAGAAGTAGATCTAAGGAGCATTCTTTTGGAAGAAAACCAAGTGGTTTTAGTAATGAAACCGTCAACGAGCTGTACTGAGAAAAACATAAAAGCTTTATGGGCTCTCTTTTTTTTTTTTTTTTTTTTGAGACAGAGTCTTACTCTGTCACCCAGGCTGGAGTGCAGTGACGCAGTCTCGGCTCCCTTTAGCCTCCACCTCCTGGGTTCAAGTGATTCTCATCCCCCAGCCTCCTGAGTAGCTGGAATTACAGGCATCTGCCACCATGCCTGGCTAATTTTTATATTTTTAGTAGAGACAGGTTTTGTCATGTTGGCCAGGCTGGTCTCAAACTCCTGACCTCAGGCGATCTGCCTGCCTTGGCCTCCCAAAGTGCTGGGATTATAGGCGTGAGCCACTGCACCTGGCCTCTCTGTCTTATTTAAAAAAAAATTGTTGACTATGGAGTCCTGTACAGTGGTTGAGTACTATAAATACTTGTATTTTAAGTTATCAGAATCTTACCTTTATCGTAGAGTCTGTAAGTTTGGTGCCTTTTGTTGTTGTTGTTGTTGTTTTGTTTTCTGTTGTTGTGAGATGGAATTTCACTCTGTCGTCCAGGCTGGAGTGCAGTGGCGTGATCTCAGCTCACTGCACACCTCCGCCTCCCGGGTTCAAGTGATTCTCCTGCCTCAACCTCCCGTGTAGCTGGGGATACAGGTGCGTGCCACCATGCCTGGCTAAGTTTTTATATTTTTAGTAGAGAGGGTGTCACCATGTTAGCCAGGATGGTCTCAATCTCCTGCGTGATCCACCCACCTCGGCCTCCCAAAGTGCTGGGATTACAGGCATGAGCCACCGCATCCAGCAGAGTCTGTAATTTTTACCTAAACTTCCATTTTTTAGGGATCATTGCTGTGATTGATACATACTAAGTTGCTCATCTCAAAAATGTATTAACCTTCGTTGAATTACAGACTGTATACCTTCTCACTTGTATGGTTTTTTTATTTTTTGAAACAGAGTCTCCCTCTGTTGCCCAGGCTGGAGGCTGAGGCAGGAGAGTGGCGTGAACCTGGGAGGCAGAGCTTGCAGTGAGCCGAGATTGTGCCACTGCACTCCAGCTTAGGCGACAGAGCGAGACTCCGTCAAAAAAAAAAAAAAGAAAAAAAAGAGAGAGAAACCAGTATCTAGGAGCTAGGTGTGCTTATTGCTATTGAGGAGTCATTGTTTTTAGACTTTTTCGTGGATGAAACTAGGAGATTTTTTTTGTTAAAAAATGAGTTCACATTGACATCTTCAATTCAAATATACTATTAAAAGATCTTTTCTCATCTTATTTTAAACATGTATTTCTTCTCTCTTAACCAAATTTTTAGTTCCTAAAAACATTATTCACTGATTTGTTTTATTTTTATAATACTCATAAAATAATAAGAACCCTACAGTATAATATTACTACTATGTTACTAATGATAAAACCATTGAATAAAATTTAAGATTTGCAATTCTTTTACCCTTTAAATGTATCTCTCTAAACCCACACAGTAAGAATATTGTGTTCAAAAGTCAGTGGGGCCAGGCGCGATGGCTCATGCTTGTAATCCCAGCACTTTGGGAGGCCGAGGCAGGCAGATCACTTGAGTGAGGTCAGGAGTTCGAGACCATCCTGTCCAACATGGTGAAACCCTATCTGTACTAAAAATACAAAAATTAGCCAGGCATGGTGGTGCACGTCTCTAATCCCAGCTACCTGGGAGACTGTGACAGAATTGCTTGAACCTGGGAGGCAGAGGTTGCAGTGAGCCAAGATCTCACCACTATACTCCAACCTTGACAGAGTGAGACTCCGCCTCCAAAAAATAAAAAAACGGTCAGTGGGAAGATTTATTCTAGTTCACCCTTTCCCTGAAGGTGCAATATTTTTAAAACGGCAAGCTTACATAAGATCTCAGTTCCAATCTTTTTGTTTGGGTTTTTTGGTTTTGTTTGAGACAGTCTTGCTGTCACCCAGGCTGGAATGCAGTGTTGTGATCTCAGCTCACTGCAGCCTCAACCTCCCAGGCTCAAGCAGTCCTCCCGCCTCACCCTCCTGAGTAGCTGGGACCACAGGCATGTGCCACCACATCCGGCTAATTTTATTTTTTGTAGAGACAAGGTCTCACTATGTTGCCTAGGCTGATCTCAAACTCCTGAGATCAAAGGATCCTCCCACCTCAGCCTCCCAAAAGTGCTGGCATTACTGGGCTTAATGGCACTATGTGGTAAAACCCATGTGTTATTGAGACTGGCAAAACATGCCACAGTTACCTATTAATAGTTCAAGCTCACTATTCTGGGTTTTAGTTCCCTCTAGGGATTTCCCTTACTTCTTATGTTCAGCTATACATTTAAAATGATGTATATTATTTTTCATCCTGTATTTTTTTTTTTGAGACGGAGTTTCGCTCTTGCTGCCCAGGCTGCCATGCAATGGCGCGATCTCGACTCACTGCAACCTCCACCTCCCGGGTTCAAGTGATTCTCCTACCTCAGCCTCCTGAGTATCTGGGATTACAGGCATGCGTCACTGTGCCCAACTAATTTTTGTATTTTCAGTAGAGACGGCGTTTTTCCATGTTGGTCAGGCTGGTCTCGAACTCCTGACCTCGTGATCCGCCTGCCTCAGCCTCCTAAAGTGCTGGGATTACAGGTGCTAGCCACCATGCCCAGCCATATATTTTTAGTCTCAAAAAATATGAAATACAGGCCAGGTGCGGTAGCTCAAAGCCTGTAATCCCAGCACTTTGGGAGGTGGAGGCAGGCAGATCACTTGAGGCCAAGAGTTCAAGACCAGCCTGGCCAACATAGCAAAACCCCATCTCTACTAAAATACAAAAATTAGCTGGACGTGGTGGCACATGCCTGTAATCCTGACTACTCAGGAGGCTGGGGCACGAGAATCGCTTGAACCTGGGAGGTGGAGGTTGCAGTGAGCCGAGATCACACCTCTGCACTCCAGCCTGGGTGACAGAGCGAGACTGTCTCAAAATAAATAAATAAGAGATGCATTTATCAACATAGAAAAAATCTAAAACAATAATGCTATGTGAAAAAAACAAATTGAAGATAAATATATATGATATAATATTTATGTATTTATGTAGTGCAAAATAATAGTGTATATTACCTATGGATATATGCACATATCATAAAAATGCAAAAGCACGTATGGAAATAATACCAAGTTCAGGGTAGAAATCTCTAGCGAGACGAAGAAGGGAAATAGGACTTATTAGGTGTTCATGGGGGCTTCAATTATATTTATTTTGTTTTAATAAACTCAGTGGCATGCAATGGGTGTCATTATGTTTTATATGCCTAACATAGTTTATAATTTAAATTGTTTGTATAAATTATCTTTATTTTACAGTTAAATGATACAAGGTAAAATATGTTTCAAAAAATCTTACATAAAAATCTAAGTTGTTATTGTTGCTAGTTCATTTACCTTTCCACCTTTCTTTACAGTATGCTAAAAATGAGGGAATATTGATGCCACATTAATACCTGATACCGAAATTAAACCACCTTTTCTTTATATGAAATCTAGCATATAACTTCTATTTCTAGCAATGTTCTGCATTTCTAAGTTTTGAAATTAATTTTTCACATGCTGTTATCACTCATCTATTAATCATTCCCAGTGAGATGCTTGTATGTACTGTCACTGACACTAAAGAGTGATACATATTGTTAAAAATGAAATATCACTCTTTTCATTATTCTCTGTATAGGCCTCAGCTGCCTAGTGACCTACTAATGTTAGAATTAAATGACCCTGTCATCTTTTCCAGATAAATGCGGTACGTGCAATAGTTCCTAATAAGAGCAACAATGAAATTATCCTGGTTTTGCAGCACTTTGATAACTGTGTGGACAAAACAGTACAAGCATTCATGGAAGGTAATCCTGACTTAATTTTAAAAATAAATTTATATTTGCTCAAATAGAATTTGCTTCAGACTTTTATAACATTCAGCAATCCAGTGATTCATAGATGATAGAGCAGACCCCATGAAAACATAACATACCATGACATTTGACGATACCTCTTTCAGCTGAAATAAGCTATGTGGTGTCTATAATAAGAGATAAGCTGAGAAAACTCCATTGTTTCACGCTAAATG
This sequence comes from Homo sapiens, assembly GCF_000001405.40. NCBI lineage: Eukaryota > Metazoa > Chordata > Mammalia > Primates > Hominidae > Homo > Homo sapiens. Next base: position 49,489,798 of record NC_000012.12, read on the forward strand.
TTCTCTAATGGTATTTAAGAGGAAATCATGTGGCCAGTGGTATAAGGGACTTGATTGGACTTGGGTTGAATAAGAATTTAAGAGACTCTTAATAACAAAGCAGTGATTCAGTGGCTCACCAACAGATGGCAAATTCAAGGACTCAGTATTGTCTTCCGGATTCTAATATCGTTAGTTTGGCTGTGGCAAGTGACTCAAATGTGTGGGTTTGAATTTCCTTATCTAATACGTAGAAGAATGGCAGGCTTAGTCAACCCTTCAGATTTATAACATTGAGAAGTGTTTTATGAACCTTCCTTCCATGTAACCTGTTGGAGAAAAACTATCTGAAGCTATTGCGTCTTTGAATAGCAACATGAGGTTAGGTCTCCCTGTTTTTATTTTCCTGAATCTGCCAACATAGGATGCACAAGTTTGAATGTTGTAAAGTTTTTCTTTATCTTCATCTTTTTAAAAAATAATGTTAGTGTTTTGGTCTAGGGTAATGTGCAGCTGTCTCCAAAACAACATAGCCAAGGTGGGTGTGTAACTGGAGGGGAAAGGATGGCACACTTGGCTAAAACCAGTGTGCCATCCCCTTTGTATTTGGTCTAAGATGTATGGATAAGAGAATCTTCAAAATGGCCCAGCTACATTAGTCTCTTCTTAGAAGAACTTACTGAGGAAATTACTCGGAGAGGAGGGGTCTAAGTAGGCAGGTATTCCAAAAGGGAAGCATGGCATGATTATCTCATTACATTACTTTAGACCTGATCCTTAACTTTAACTTTTCTGTTAGGAGCTTTGTAAATTCTCCAGCAATTACAAAATGGGAGGACACTGACTCCTGCTTGACTACTGTGTGTGTGGTAGGAGACAAAATCTGTAATTGGTTTCTCTTACAGGTAGTGCCAGTGAAGTACTCAAAGAATGGACAGTAACAGGCAAGAAAAAGGTAAAATGAATTACATTTAAAAGCATGATGATGTGTATATTATTTTTAAAAATTTAGGCTCTGCAAAAATATTTGAAAGAAAAGGTTCACATACATATCTTCTGTTTACCTGGTTAAAAAACATCTTTGGCCAGGTGCAGGGGCTCACACCTGTAATCCCAGCACTTTAGGAGGCCAAGGCAGGTGGATCACTTGAGGTCAGTGGTTCAAGACTAGCCCGGCCAACATGGTGAAGTCCCGTCTCTACTAAAAAATAGAAAAAATTAGCCAGGTGTGGTGGCACGTGCCTGTAATCCCAGTTACTCAGGAGGGTGAGGCAGGAGAATAACTTGAACCCAAGAGGCAGAGGTTGCAGTGAGCCGAGATTGGGCCACTGCATTCCAGCCTGGGTGACAGAGTGAGACTCCATCTCAAAAAAAAAAAAAAAATTCTTCGACCTTGAAACATAGCTGTGTCTCACAGAGTACCACACAGTCCTCTCCGTGTGATTTAAGGCAGGAAACAGAATGACTTTGCCATGGTGCAGTTATTAGACGGGTGAAAAAGACAGCAAATCAAGGAAAGCAAGAGAAAGCGATCTAATTGAGTGGTTTTCAACCATATTCATACCATAAATCAGTTAAAACAGTTCAGATTTTTGGTCGGGCAACTGGGTTGTAGTCCTGATATTAATGAGCTTTGACATAAAGCTGTTAGGTGCTGGCCAGGCACGGTGACTCATGCCTGTAATCCCAGCACTTTGGGAGGCTGAGGTGGGAGGATCACTTGCGCCCAGGAGTTCAAGTCTGGGCAACATGATGAAACCTGATCTCAAAAAAAAGGCTATTAGGTGCCTTGCAGAGGGGTCTGATGTTCCACTTTGAGAGGTAGAAAGCACTCAGGCTATGGGATCAGTCAGAACTGGATTCCTACCCTGTTCCACTATCTACTGGCATTGTGACTGATATTGCTTAACATTTGTGCCTTAGTTTGCTCATCTCTAAAATAGAAAAATAGTTCTAATAAATACAAATACATAATACAACGCCTAACATATTAGTTCTCGTTCCTTTCTCCTTATTTACTTAAAATCAGATGCTTTTCCCAAAGGATACCAGCTGGTCTCAAAATTCTTCCCACAGCTCTGCACTGTAAAGGTAACCCCTTTAGGAAATGCTTGAAGTATGGATTTTAATCAAGTATCTCTGTGAAATCTGTTTGGGGTGTTCTTTTCTTTATTAAGTCAGTGCTGGAGTTCTGAAATGCTTTCATCATGACTCTTACATCACTTTTTAGGAGTCCTGTCAGGTCTTGAACAAAAACCAGGCTTGGCCTCAGTGACGCTTGAGAATTTTTTCCAAGGGTTACCTAATACTACACAGATTCTTCTGAAGCTCTTCATACCTGTAGTTTTGAATATTTGTTTAACTTCTTCCTGCTGCTTTCAACCTGTTACATAGATAACTGTGAGTGTCCTGGAAAACACCAGTTTCTTTTTTTTCTTTTTTCTTTTTTTTTTTTCTTTTTGAGATGGAGTTTTGCTCTGTCGCCCAGGCTGGAGTGCCGTGGCGCGATCTCGGCTCACTGCAGCCTCCGCCTCCTGGGTTCAAGTAATTCTCATGCCTCAGCCTCCTACGTAGGGCGGGACTACAGGTGCGTGCCACTGCGCCTGGCTAATATTTGTATTTTTTAGTAGAGACAGGGTTTCACCATGTTGGCTAGGCTGGTGTCGAACGCCTGACCCCAAGTGATCTGCGCACCTTGGCCTCCCAAAGTGCTGGAATTACAGGCATGAGCCACTGCACCCAGCTAACACCAGTTTCTTAATTTATTAGCCCAGGATTATAAGTTACTAGTGATATAAGATGTGCATGGACCTGGAAGAGGATGTGTGTTAGAGACACAGACATTCCTTAAAATTTGGAGAAAGAAATATGACTTCAGTTTAGCAGTCCCAAATGCACAAATCCAGTCCAGTCCACTTAACTGTTGGGATTAGTCCAATAGGATGTGACTCTGAGTGGGATAGTTATGATATACATGACCCAATGATATGAAAACTTAGCCAGTTCACATGGGGGAAAGTAAGAAAAAGAAAGATGAGGCCGGGCACGGTGGTTCATGCCTGTAATTCCAGCATTTTGGGAGGTCGAGGCAGGTGGATCACTGGAGGTCAGGGGATTGAGACCAGCCTGGCCAACATGGTGAAACCCTATCTCTACTAAAAATACAAAAAAATTAGCTGGGTGTGGTGGCACATGCCTGTAATCCCAGCTACTCGGGAGGCCAAGTCAGGAGAATTGCTTGAACCTGGGAGGTGGAGGTTGCAGTGAGCCGAGATTGCACCATTGCACTCCAGCCTGGGCAACAAGAGCGAAACTCCGTCTTTAAAAAAAAAAAAAAAAAAGAAAGAAAGAAAGATGAGAGCTGTTAAGGCAAAAAGTTTATCTAGAGTTCAATCATGTTTCTGCTGGAGAGGGTCACAGAAAGGACTTGGGGAAAAATTGATTCAGTTATTATCAGCCTAGCCTTAGGAATAGAATTAGGTGTTGCCAGTGGAGCTACGAGTTTGACAAAACAAAAGGTAAAGGACTTTTGTTTGTTTATTTTAACTTTACTATTTGCCTATGCAATATACTCACATGGCTCAAAATTCAAAAGTACAAGAGTTAATACACTGAAACATCTTTTTTTTTTTTTTTTTAATTTGAGATGGAGTGTCACTCTGTTGCCCAGGCTGGAGTGCAGTGGTGCAAGCTCAGCTCACTGCACCCTCCACCTCCCAGGTTTAAGTGATTCTCCTGCCTCAGCCTCCCGAGTAGGTGGGATTACAGGCATGTGCCATCACATCTGGCTGATTTTTGTATTTTTTATTAGAGATGGGGTTTCGTCGTATTGGCCAGGTTGGTCTCAAACTCCTGACCTCAGGTGATCCACCTACCTTGGCCTCCCAAAGTGTTGGGATTACAGGCATGAGCCACTGCACCCACCCAATACACTGAAACATCTTTATCCCATCCCTGTTCCCCAGCCATTTGGTTCTCCACCCCCAAGGCAAACAGTATTTTCAATTTCTTATATATCTTTCAAGATATTTTATGCATATATAAGTAAATAAGACCATTCTCCTCTTTGCCTGCTTCCTTTTTTCATGTAATATATCTTGGAGCTTATTCCATGTCTCAATATATAAAGAGCTTTCTTGTTTTTATGGATACATAGTCATCCTGCTGTTTAGACGTGCCACAATTTATTTAAGCAGTCGCCTATTGATCAACATTTGGGTTGTTTCTAATCCTGTGCTGTTAATAGTGATACTGCAATGAATAACCTTGTGTATATATAGAAATCACTTTGCATATGTGTTATTCTCATCTTGAATAAATTCCTAGAAGTAGGATTGCTAGTCAAAGAGTATGTGCATTTGTAATTTTGATAAGCATTACTAGATTGTCATGGAGAGTACCACTTTGAACTCCCAGAAGTAATACATGAAAATGGCTGTTTCTCTATACCCTCAACCTTTATCAATTCTACAGTGTTAACATACTTTTTGACCTTTGCTAATCTAATAAATGAAAAATGATAATTGCAGTGCAGTTTTAATTTATATATCTCTTATTAGACTGAGGTTGCATATCATTCTATATGCTTATAGCTTATACTATTTTTTTCTATGGGATTATTTTGCTTTTTCTGAGAACTCTGTATATATTTAGCTCTTTGACTATAAGCTGCACATATTTTTTTCACATTTTGTAATTTATCTTTTGATTTTGTTGAAGGTGGGTTTTGTCATGAAGAAATGTTTTATATTTATGTGTTTGAGTTTATCTAAAGTATAGGATTTCACATAGTAAAATTTTATTTTAGGCAATAGTTCAGCATATGTGAAAATATTAAATTTCTGAAAGAACATACAAGAAATTGGTAACATTGGTTACCTTTGGGTAGCTAGAGTTACCTCTCTAGGTTGTGGGGGAATCTTTTCTTTCTTTTCTTTTCTTTTTCAAATTTTTAATAACTTTAGAACAAAAAGAAGAAAAACAAACCGAAACCTGCCGCAGAACCAAGTAACGGCATCCCAGATTCCAGTAAATCAGTTTCCATTCAAGAGGAACAGTCTGCGCCTTCCTCAGAGAAAGGTGGTATGAATGGCTACCATGTCAATGGTGCCATCAATGACACTGAGTCTGTGGACTCACTCAGTGAAGGTTTGGAGACACTTTCAATAGATGCCAGAGAATTGGAGGATCCCGAGTCTGCCATGCTAGATACGCTGGATAGAACAGGTGAGTTTATTAACAGATTTTGAAAAAGTTGCATTCAGTTGAAAAACAGGGTTCTCCTCGTTGAGAAAGTGATCAATTAAATCTAGTTAGTCTTTTTTTATCCAGTGCTTGCTGATTAGTCTTTTTACTTTTTAGTTTTTGTTACTTTTTGTCTGAGTCACATTTTATAATTATCAAAGGCCTAGAAAAAAATACAATTCTTTTTTTTTGAGATGGAATCTCGCTGTGTCGCCCAGGCTGAAGTGCAGTGGCGTGATTTCAGCTCACTGCAAGCTCCACCTCCTGGGTTCACGCCATTCTCATGCCTCAGCCTCCTGAGTAGCTGGTACTACAGGCACCCGCCACCACGCCTGGCTAATCTTTTGTATTTTTTTTTAGTAGAGATGGGGTTTCACCGTGTTAGCCAGGATAGTCTTGATCTCCTGACCTCATGATCCACCCGCCTCAGCCACCCAAAGTGCTGGGATTACAGGCGTTGCCCACCGCGCCTGGCTGAAAAAATACAATTCTTGTTCCATTATATTTTAACTCTTGTCTAAATCAGTTTTGTGGAAATCATCTAACTTGAACCCTAGTGTTCCATTATTGGAACGCTGAGCATGTGGGAGTTATTCATATCCTACTGCTCAAGGTCATCGCCAAGATCTAATTTTTCCACTCATGCAAAAATTAAAAAAATTGCAGCCTCCGGCATAAATGGGTTAATAGCAGAGAAATACCTCAGTATTTAGAGACTACAGAAGGTGACTTTAAGTTGTTTTTTAAAAATTGTGGAGTTATTCAGGAAGATGATGATGTTGATATTATTATTTTAAGACCCAACATAGTGAGAAATATAATAATGATAATTTCAGCTTTTGTGAGAACTAGGCTGTTGGTTTTTATAGTCTCACATTTGTTTTCTAGTGAAGAATTAAGATTAGTGTTAGTTGTAAATTCACATATCTTGTACCTTTCTTTGTTAACCATTTTTTTGAGGGTAAGATACTGGAAATTTCTCTTTTAAAACATTACTTGTTAATCCAGTTCCCCTGCCCTGCTGCTCCTGGCTTTAGAAGTGTAATGCCAATATAAGATTTATGCTGTGCTGTTTAGGTGTTCTTTTATTGATTAGTATACACACATACACAAAAAAAGACTTAGAGAAAAACATTGCACTGACTCAAACCAACAATAGCCAGTGGTTTCCATTTTTTTCTGAACTAGCTTTCCTCTCATTTCCTAACTCTTCCTAACTTATTACACTTCTATCCCCTAGAGCGTTGTTGTTTGTTTGTTTGTTTGTTTGTTTTGAGAGACCTGGTCTCTCTCTGTTGCCCAAGCTGGTCTTAAACTCCTGTGCTCAAGTGATCCTTCTGCCTCAGCTTCCTGAATACCTGGGATTACTGGCGTGAGCCACTATGCCTGGCCCCTAAAGCTTTTTAAATTCTTCTTTCCTCGAGAGAGTTTAAAACTCTTTTTTTCTTAACATGGAGGCTTGCAGAAGTTGGTGATACTGACTTTCTTTGATTCCTTGTGCCAGACTTACATAGAAACTACCAAGCTACAAAGAAGCCACAGAGCCACAGGGATTGAGCTCCCTATCTAAAGATGTGTTGCCACAGACTCTTCTCTTCATTCCGGACGCCACTTAAGACTAAGCCCGAAGCTGCCGATAGCCATACCCAGCTGATTCTGATCTTTGTTCTATTGTTTCAGTTGATTTTGTTTACAGTCTTTTAAGAGGCATGGTTTTGCCTCAAACATTTTTACCTGTTTTCTTTGTGTACTTAAGAATGACTGGTTTACTCCTAAATTGTGCTCTAAAGTACAGTCCTCTTTCTTGGACAGGATCCATGCTGCAGAATGGTGTCTCTGATTTTGAGACCAAGTCTTTGACTATGCACTCTATTCACAATTCTCAACAACCCAGGAATGCTGCCAAATCTCTCTCAAGACCTACCACAGAAACTCAGTTTTCAAATATGGGGATGGAAGATGTTCCCCTCGCCACCAGTAAAAAGCTAAGTAAGTCAGAGGCCCACCTGTGAGAGAAAATGAAAAATCTGTGTTTTTGGCTAAAGAGGGCAAATTATCTCTGTTGCCATAAATAAGGTTTCAGAAGGGCATCAGTTAATATTTTTCCATTTTCCAGACAGTGACTGACTACTCAGCCCTTCCCCTAACCTTTGTGTACACAGTTGGAGTCTGAAAGTAGTTTAAATGCTGTACAATCTACTTACGACGGCACGTTTTGTGAATTAAAGTCAAACTCTACTGCCAGAATGATTTACCTGCTAACATTAACCTGTTTCTTTATTTGCTTTATTGCAACGTTTTGGTGCTATTTCTTTCATTTTTATCTTCTGGTTGACCCAACAAGTAAAAGCTCTACCTTCTCTGACATTGACTTTTTTTTTTTTTTTCCCCCGAGACTGAGTCTCACTTTGTCCCCCAGGCTGGAGTGCAGTGGCGCAGTCTTGGCTCACTGCAAGCTCCGCCTCCCGGGTTCATGCCATTCTCCTGCCTCAGCCTACCAAGTAGCTGGGACTACAGGCGAGTGCCACCATGCCCGGCTATTTTTTTGTATTTTTAGTAGAGATGGGGTTTCGCCGTGTTAGCCAGGATGGTCTCGATCTCCTGACCTCGTGATCCGCCTGTCTCGGCCTCCCAAAGTGCTGGAATTACAGGCGTGAGCCACTGCGCCCAGCCAACATTGACATTTTAAAGAAATATTTTCACTCCTCTTCATAACTTCATGCTCTTACTGAGCTAGAGTCCTCTGACAGACTCTAGCTTAGAAAAAGTAAGGTCATTTTCTCTTAAGTATGTGGCGTTGACTGGTGATAGCTCTTTGCTTAAAAAAAAAAGAAAACTACAATAATCATTTAAACAAACAGCCAGTAATTCAGCAGACAGAGATAATACCCTGTGTTTCCTATATCTGAGTTTCATACATCTAAGCATGGTGGTCCACTCCACTAAACAAATGAAACATAGAAATATAAAGGACACTTGTAATCAGTAGCTCTTTATGGAATTATTTATTACACATGAGCCAAATTTTAATTAGGTAAGCTCCCCTTTTTCATTGTTCTGGTAGCCCTCAGCCTGTTGCAGATCAGCAGGTTTGAGACTATCCAATCAAGCCAAAAAAAAAAAAAATATATATATATATATATATATATGCGCACAAGGCTTGAAAGCTTTTAGGTGGATTCTAAAAAATAAAATCAAGTTGAGATGAGGAAGAATTTAAATAAAAAAATTGGAAATGCATATCTTGGCATAGTTACAAACTTTTTAGATCCATGTTTCCAGCAATCAATTATATATGTAATTTGGGGATTGGTGAATATAGAAAGGTAAATAGAACTCTTGGAAATTGGTTAAAATGTGTTGAGTAGGTAAATGCAGTCCATCCTTTTCTACAAAGCTGGCTTCCTCATATATACAGTGCTTTGAAGTGTACTATACAGACAGAACATTTTAATTTTGTAATGTCCACATGGTGAATTATATTCTATTAAATCCTGTAACTTAAGGAATTTTGAAAATTTGGTACCTTTTTTAAAGTCTTTTTTCTCTGTGTGTTTCATTTCATTTTGGATAGTTTGTAAAACTGCTGTCTTCAACTGTATTCATCTTTTGTTAACAGTTTCTATTCTGCTGTTAATTCTATGCAGTATATGTCTCTGGCATTGTTTTATTTGTCTCTAGAAGTTCAACTGGGGTCTTTTAAGATATCTTCCATATCTCTTCTTACCACGCTTATGCTTTCCTCTACCTTCTTGAACATATGGTATCTATTTTTTTTTTTTTTTTTTTTGAGATGGAGTTTCACTCTTGTCACCCAGGCTGGAGTGCAATGGTGTGATTTCAGCTCACTGAAACCTCCGCCTCCCAGTGATTCTCCTGCCTCAGCCTCCCGAGTAGCTGGGATTACAGGTGCGTGCCACCACACCCAGCTAATTTTGTATTTTTAGTAGAGACAGGGTTTCACCATGCTGGCCAGGCTGGTCTTGAACTCCTGGCCTCAGGTGATCCACCCATCTTGGCCTCCCAAAGTGCTGGGATTACAGGCGTGAGCCACCACACCTGGCCCTATAGTATCTAATTATAATAGCTGTTTGATGTCCTTTTCTACTCAATTCTATCATCTGTGTCATTTCCGCATCTGCCTCTGTGATTGATTTTTTCTCTTACTTATAGGTCATATTTTTCTGTTTCTTTTAAGCTTTTTTAGGTGGGACTAGAGCAGCCTTTAGTCTAGAAATAATTTTGCCCTGTTGCTGAGGCAGTATCCTTCCAACTACTCTGCCTGCCATATATTGTGAGGTTTTTCCACTCTGGCTGGTGTGAGCACAAACTGTCCCTGGCCTGGTGAGCTCTGGGGATTGTTCTGCCTGGTTGTTTTGTTTTGTTTTGTTTTGTTTTGTTTTGTTTTGTTTTGTTTTGTTTTTTGGTGGTTCTTTGGTTTTGTTTTGTTTTTTTTTTGCCTGTTGTCTTTCCAGTCTTGGGTAGTTTCTTTATACTCATGCACTGGTCCACACTCAGAATCCTCTGTGGATCTCCGTGCAGCTCTCTCATGTGTGTAGCTCTTTCCTCACCAATACTCTGCCCCAGAATTTCAGCCATCTTGGCCTTTCCAAATTCCCAACTTTGTCCCTTCAATTCAGGGGGTCCACCAGGCTGTTGAGGATTTCTCCTCCCTGCATTGTAGCCTAGAAACTATTGAGGCAGCAAGTTGGGGCAATCATAGGCCTCACTTCATTTGTTTCTGTTGTCTCGGGAAAAGTACTACCTGTTACACATTGTCTGAAAACCATTGTTTCATATATTTTGTCTTTGTATGTTTTTAGTTGTTTAAGATAGAAGAATAAATCCAATTATTATTATTCCATCTTGACCAGGATCCTTTTTTTTCCAAAAATCTATAAAAACATGTTTTTCTCATTGGGGAAGGTGGTTATTTAGGAAAGATTCTTAGTCTACATGACATTTGGCTTTGGTGTTCAGATCCGACTTTCAAGTTACCTATATAATTATTCTTTTTTTTTTTTTAATATTTCGGTTTTTTTCCCCAAGGTTCCAATATTGAAAAATCTGTAAAAGACCTCCAGCGCTGCACAGTGTCTCTTGCACGGTATCGAGTTGTAGTTAAAGAAGAGATGGATGCCTCCATTAAGAAAATGAAACAAGCCTTTGCTGAATTGGAGAGCTGGTAATTTAAGCTGCATTTGATATCAGTAGCATAAAAATGATCATATATAAATATAAAGATGGTCAGCCATTCCCCAAGTTCATTCATTCATGACTAACTACATAGTAGGAGAGACTTATAAATCCTATGGTATATTTAGCTTTCTGCTTTGTTCTATTTCTCTTGGTCACAGTGTGAGAATGGTACAGATAACTCACAATGCTCTAGAAATGAGCTGGAGTTTAATATTGTTTGGAAAGGGACACATAATTATAGAGTAGATCATATACTTTAAAGTCTCCTTTTAGGCCGGTGCGGTGGCTCAAGCCTGTAATCCCAGTACTTTGGGAGGCCGAGGTGGGCGGATCTTGAGGTCAGGAGATCAAGACCATCCTGGCTAACACGGTGAAAACCCGTCTCTACTAAAAATACAAAAAATTAGCTGGGTGTGGTGGCGCGCGCCTGTAGTCCTAGCTACTCGGGAGGCTGAGGCAGGAGAATGGCGTGAACCCGGGAGGCGGAGCTTGCAGTGAGCCAAGATCTCGCCACTGCACTCCAGGCTGGGCGACAGAGCGAAACTCTGTCTCAAAAAAAGAAAAGAAAAAAAAAAGTCTCCTTTTAAACTAAGATCCTATAACAAATGACATGATGTATGTTTTTGAACAAAATTATAAAGTAGAAAAAATCTGTCTTTGCTTTCCTACCTTCTTCCATCCTTTTTAATTTATGCCACTCCAATAAAGTGCCCTTTTATTAATTATTATTATTATTGTTGTTTTTTGAGACAGGGTCTTACTCTGTCTGTCACCCAGGCTGGAATGCTATGGCACGATCACATCTCACTGTAGCCTCAGCCTCCTGGGCTCCAGCAATCCTCCCACCTCAGCCTCCCAAGTAGCTGGTACTACAGGCATGTACCACCACACCTGGCTCATTTTTTAATTTTTAAATATTTTGTAGAAATGTGGTCTCACTATGTTGCCCAGGCCAGTCTTGAACTACTGGGCTCAAGTGATCTGCCTGAAGCTGGGTAATTTATAGTGAATAGAGATTTATTTTTTACAGTTTTGGAGTCTGAGAAGTTTAAGGTCAAGGGGCCCACATCTTGGCAAGGACCTTGCTGTGTCATTCCATGGCAGATGGCAGAAGGGCAAGGGAGCATGCATGGGAGAGCCAGAGAGGGCCAAACTCAATTTTCTAATGAACCCACTCTCTCAATAACAAAATTAATTCATTTGTGGGACTCTCCCCTCATGACCTAATCATCTCTTAAAGGTCCCACCTCTCACCACTGTAGCACTGAGGATTAAGTTTCCAACACACGAGCTTTGGGGATCACATTCAAACCATAGCAATATTCTAATGTTTCCTGGAACACTGAAGCTGTTTTAACTGTTAGATATTAAGGTGTTAACGGATATTTGTTTTTTTGTTTTGTTTTGTTTGTTTTTTGAGACGGAGTCTCTGTCGCCTAGGCTGGAGTGGAGTGGCCCAATCTTGGCTCACTGCAACCTCCGCCTCCCAGGTTGCAGCCATTCTCCTGCCTCAGCCTCCCGGAGTAGCTGGGACTACAGACATGTGCCACCATGCCTGGCTAATTTTTTGTGTGTTTTTAGTAGAGATGGGGTTTCACCATGTTGGCCAGGCCGGTCTCGAACTCCTGACCTCAGGTGATCTGCCCATCTCTGCCTCCCAAAGTGCTGGGATTACAGGAGTGAGCCACCGTGCCCAGCTGGTGTTAACAGATGTTTAAATTCTAGCTCCTTTGTGGGAGGTATTTTATAAGGGATTTTTTGAAACTAGAAAAGACTTAAGGACCATATTAAAATGACAGGAAGACAAGCAGCTAGGGTGATGTTTTGAGACTTAGAACTTGTTCATTATACTTATTTTTAGTAACTGTCTAGATCTGAAATATGACAGGAAGTGTTCATGAAAAGAACAAACCATACATGCTTTCTTGCTGCCTGTAGACTGTTCCCTCAGGTTATACCTAACTGTGTCTCTGTTCACAAATTTAGTCTAGTCACTTTTGCCACAACATATAAGAGATAGAGGAGAGTGTAGGTCCCCTCAGTCCTCCTGGTCTCTGGAATTGCAGAGGAGTAGTTAATCAAAATGAAATAATGCCTCCAAAAAGTTAAATCATCAGAACCAAAACTTACTTTGGGGCTAGATAATTCATCTTAGTCTACCCATGCCTTGTCCTGAACTCTAAGTTTTACTTTTCAGGTTTTATGGCTAGGAATTTAATGTCATGTCTTCTGTTTTTCTTTGTTTGTTTGAGACAGGGTCTGGCTCTGTCACCCAGGCTGGAGTGCGGTGGCACGGTCATGGCTCACTGCAACCTCCACCTCCTGGGCTCAAGCCATCCTCCCACCCTCAGCCTCCCTAGTCCCCTAGCTGGGACTACAAGCATGTGCCACCACACCTGGCTAATTTTTTAATTTTTTGTAGAGATGAGGTTTCACCATATTGCCCAGGCTGGTCTCCAATTCCTGGGCCCAAGCAATCCTCTCATCTAGGCCTCCCAAAGTGCTGGGATTACAGCCATAAGCCACTGCGCCTGGCTGTCTTCTGTTTTTCTTGACACATATTTTTGCTCCTGCCAGATTACTCATTGTCTCAAAACTTAACATTCACATTTCCTCTTCCATCTACTAGTTAATGCCACTTTCCCAGCCTGAAAATGTTCTCCTATTCCTCTGTATTTATCTAAATCCCACCATTTCTCCAAACTTTCCTTAAATTAAGGTCTAACTTCTGGAAATTATTTTAGGTAACTGATTTTTCCCCTTTCTGAACCTCTAGGAGGAAGCACCATGCCCTTTGCACTGCATTCTTGTCATATAAGATATTGTTGGCTTGTTTAGAAAATAAAGAGCTGGCTGGGCACAGTGGCTCATGCCTGAATCCCAGCACTTTGGGAGGCCAAGGCGGGCAGATCACAAGGTCAAGAGTTCAAGACCAGCTTGGCCAACATGGTGAAACCCCATCTCTACTAAACATTCAAAAATTAGCCGGGCGTGGTGGCGTGCACCTGTAATCCCAGCTACTAGGGAGGCTGAAGCAGGAGAATTGCTTGAACCCAGGAGGTGGAGGTTGCAGTGAGCTGAGATCGCGCCATTGCACTCCAGCCTGGGCGATAGGGCGAGACTCCATCTCAAAAAACAAAGAAAAAAGAGCTGGGCGCGGTGGCTCATGCCTGTAATCCCAGCGCTTTGGGAGGCCGAGGCGGGTGGATCACGAGGTCAGGAGATGGAGACCATCCTGGCTAACAAGGTGAAACCCCGTCTCTACTAAAAATACAAAAAGTTAGCCGGGCGTGGTGGCGGGCGCCTGTAGTCCCAGCTACTCAGGAGGCTGAGGCAGGAGAATGGCGTGATCCCGGGAGGAGGAGCTTGCAGTGAGCCAAGATCGCGCCACTGCACTCCATCCTGGGCGACAGAGCAAGACTCCATCTCAAAAAAAAAAAAGAAAAAAGAAAGAGCTAAGTGTAGTAGGTCATCACAACTTTGCTTTGATAAGCCTCTGGTCTCCATGATTGTTCAGCTTACTGATTACTTAGTCACAGGATCTGATTCCATTCGGAACAAGCTTGAACCAGCAGGAAACGCAGTTCCGGGAGAGAGATTTGTGAATTCCTGCTGACTGGAACCCAGCCAGGAGGAGCCTCCTTCAATAAATGACAAATGAAATGGTTTCCTACCTGGGAACTGTGTATTTAGGATTGATTAGCTGACGTAACAACCAGGTCAATTTAACTTGAGGAAAGAGATTACCTGCCCTTTCCTGCTAGTATAAAGCCCTTTGCTCTGGTTGATTGAGTTTATAAACCACCTTATTTCAATGTTCCTTGTAGCCGCTACTTCAAGACATAATTGGCAAGTGAGCTAACTCCATTTGGCACCAAACCAGAGCTTGGAGTTAATGTCACTTAGAAAGACATTTCTGTGTTGGTTATAGCATAAAAAAAAGGCAAAGAGTTCTAACAGATTTGCCCCAGTAAAAGTACATTACCCCTGACAAGGCACTAGGGAAATTATACAGATAACTCCTTTCACTTTGATGCCGAACAAAAACTGACACACCTATAGAAAGGTAAACTCAGAAGCATTCTAATGTATAAAACTTAAAATTTCTTCTTATTGGTGACTTAGCAATAATCATCTCTAGACCCAAGTTTACTTTTCTTGTTAATTAGTAATATTTGTCTGCCTTTCATTGTTGGAGCTGTTAGTTGACTTAAGTTTAAGGATATTAAGGAGGCAGGATATGGAGTGGAACATGAAGCTAGAATATATAAACTCCTTTGGAAGATTGTCCTATAATGTGTTGATGAAAAATGCCAACAGGATACACACTCAGCTTCTCTTTTAAATAAAAAGTTTCCATTTTATGAAAGTCAAAAGGTATTTTTTAAAAGGAGAAATGGGTAAGAGAAAAAGATTATCAAGAAATTTGAGATTATATATCACAGAAAGTCATGTAAGTTTATGGTTAAGGTTTTGAAATTTTTCCTGATTCCTCTATGTCCTTTTATTGGCGCGTTTTTTTTTTTCCTGTTTCTTTTCTTTCTTTCTTTCTTTTTTTTTTTTTTTTTTTTAAGACAGGGTCTCTGTTGACCATACTGGAGTGTAGTAGCGCCATCGTGTCTCACTACAGCCTCCCAGGCTCAAGGGATCCTCCCACCTCAGCCTCTTGAGTAGCTGGGACTACAAGGCGGGTGCAACCATGCCCAGCTAATTTTTCTATCTTTTGTAGAGATGGGGTTTTGCCACATTGCCCAGGCTGGTTTTGAACTCCTGGGCTCAAGCGGTCCTCCTGCTTCAGCCTCCCAGAGTGCTGGGATTACAGGTGTGAGCCACCTCGCCCAGCTCAGAGCTTTTTTTTTTAACGTTAAATCAAGCTTAGTCTTACCGAAGGCTTTTAAGTCCTTACATTTAAAGGCCACATATAGATGCTGAAAACTTAGGAATCATTTTATGAACCAAACTACCTGCAAAATATTATCTCCAAAAATATCTAAAATGTGTAGAAATAAAGGAATGTGCTAATGTAATATGTATTATCAAAAATGTACATAGCACTGTAGTTCTAAATCATTCTTTGGTTTTTGAAGCTTAGTTTGTTGATATCTTGTTTCTACTAGTACTTGACACCATGGTTCTTGATATTTTTTTATTTAAAATTTAACTCTAACCATCTGTGAAAATAATTACAGGTTGAGTATCCCTTATCTGAAATGCTTAGGACTAGAAATGTTTTAGGTTTTTTATTTTTATTTTTTTCAGATTTTGGAATGTCTGCAGAAACTAGTTGAGCATCCCTAATCTAAAAATTCAAAATCCAAACTGCTCCAATGAGTATTTTCTTTCAGTGTCATGTCAGTGCTCAAAAAAGTACAGCTTTTGAAGCATTTTGGATTAGGAATGCTCAACCAGTAATAACATATGAAGAATATTTTACTGAACATGTTCAGTTATATTATTGGATTTTTTTAATCCTGATTTCTTTTCCACAAAGTAGGTATTGTTAATTCTGTTTTACTGAAAATAAATGTATGTCTTAGGTTAAGCAATTTGCCTAAGTTGCAGATCCAATATTTGAATGTATATATTCAGACTTATTAACCTATGATTTTCATCTCATACCTCATTGATGGCTCACTTCCCCACTAAAGCTTGGCAAGGCTAGAGACTGTTGGTACATGTCATATTACAGACAGTTCCCTACTTATGATGGTTCAACTTAATAATTTTCCAACTTTATGATGGTATGAAAGTGATACACATTCAGTAGAAAGCATACTTTGTATACCCATACAACCATTTTGTTTTTCACTTTTAGTGTAGTGTTTAATAAATTACATCAGATATTCAACACTTCATTATAAAATAGGTGTTGTGTTAGATGACTTTGCCCAACTGCAGGCTAATATAAATGTTCTGAGCATGTTTAAGGTAGGCTAGGCTAAGCTTTGATGTTCAATAGGTTAGGTATATTAAATGCATTATCAACTTAAGATATTTTCAATTTGCACATGCCTGTAATCCCAGCACTTCGGGAGGCTGTATTCGTCTGTTCTCACACTGCTAATAAAGACATACTCAAGACTGGGTAATTTATCAAGGAAAGAGTTTAATTGACTCACACTTCTACGTGGCTGGGAAGGCCTCACAATCATAGCTGAAGGCAAAGGAGGAGCAAAGTCACATCTTACATGGTGGCAGCCAAGAGAGCTTGTGCAAGGGAACTCTCATTTATAAAACCATCAGCTCTTTTGAGACCTACTACCACAAAAACAGTATGGGGGAACCACCCCTATGATTCAGTTATCTTCACCTGGCCCCACCCTTGACACTTGGCGATTATTACAGTTGAAGGTGAGATTTGGGTGGGGACACAGCCAAACCATATCAGAGGCCAAGGCAGGAGGATTACTTGAGTCCAGGAGTTCAAGACCAGCCTAGGCAACATAATGAGATCCCGTCTTTACAGAAAGTAACAAAATTAACTGGGCGCAATGACACGTGCCCATAGTCCAGCTACTCAAGAGGATCGCTTGAACCCAGGAAGTGGAGGCTGCAGTGGGCCATGATCTTGCCACTGTACTCCCACGCTGGGTGACAGAGCAAGACCCTGTCTCTTTAAAAAAAAAAAAAAAAATTTCGATTTACAGTGGGTTTATTGGGACATAACCCCATTGTAAGCCGAGGAGCATCTGTATTGTTTCCTCTTCAGCTTAAAGGCTATGTAACAGAGAAACCCCAATGTAGGAGAATTTAGGGACTAAGGAACTTAGTCATTATGAAACAGGTTAGGATGAGAAGCACCAGGATTTAGGCTGAGCCTATGAAAGTATTTTCTAAGTTCAATAAAGTAAAACTATAAGAATACTCCATCTGAATATTCAATGTTCTTTTGATTTTGTGATTCAGAAGGTCCTAAATCACTATTATTCTTAAGTCACAACTTGTAGTGCCTTGTGATTCTGGGATTCTTCAGGTCAGATCAGAGTAGCGGGAAAGGTTTTAAGATTAAAGGCAGGGCCACTGTGGGGTGGGGTTAATTAGAAAATATTTCTTTGGGGAAATGAATCATTATCAAGCTATGTAAAAAGCATGGTATTTACACTGGCGGAAAGGTTGGGGTGGACCACTGCATTTCAGAGATATGAGCAGAGGCATAGAAGGGACACGTAGGGACCACACACAGTCTAGCTGTTGCTATGGGGCAATAGTGAAAGTAGCGAGGGATGAAGTCAGAGGCTGAGGTATAATGAGAGCATTTGATGGAGGGATCTGAATTTTGTTTTTCCTTTTTTTAAAGATTTCATTATTCCCTCTTACTTTTACTATATTGCCCATAATTATAATCGTTTTATTAGATATAAGTAAAACTCAAAATTCTACCACCTTAACACATAAGTAATTTTTATTTCCTGCGTTCCCTTGTGTTCCTTATGTATATTCATACATATTCTTGAATAGTTGTAATCGCAGTGAGAGTGTAATTTCAATGTGATCTTTTCACTTAAAATTAGTTTGATTCATCACTTCATAACTGCCTACACTGTGTTAGTGTGCGTACATGTTTATTTAATAATTTCTGTACAATGAATCTGGAATGTATAATGATTTACCGGTTAATACGATTGCATTTTACTAAAGAGATATTCTGCTGAAACTGAGAAATCAAGATGAATACAAGAATTAAAATAATAATTGCTGCCGCTATTTACTGAGCTCAATTACTAAGCTTTTATTGTATGTCAGAAACTTTTATGTACAGTGCTTCTAATCTATATAACATTATCACTTGTGGTATTACGTTCATGTTATAGGTGAGAAAGATGGGCACAAAAATATTTTACCCAAAGATACTTTTCCACTACACCATTCTTTTGTTTTCTGTCTTACCAGGTATTCCTGTTTGTTTTATTCTGCAGTGTTTACCTTCCTACACCACACGTTTTCATCTTTTTTGGTTTCTGGAGCTTTTAGACATTGGTGTCATAATTCCAGTTTCTTTTTTTTTTTAGACTGAGTCTCGTTCTGTCTCCCAGGCCAGAATGTAGTGGCGCAATATCGGTTCACTGCTACCTCTGCCTCCCGGGTTCAAGCGATTCTCCTGCCTCACCCTCCCGAGTAGCTGGGATTACAGGCGTGTGCCACTACACCCGGCTAATTTTTGTATTTTTAGTAGAGACAGAGTTTCACCATGTTGGCCAGGCTGGTCGCAAACTCCTGACCTCAGGTGATCCGCCTGATCCGCCTGCCTTGGCCTCCCAAAGTACTGGGATTACAGGCATGAGCCACCATGCCCAGCCAAAATCACAGTTTCAAATGAGGATCTGGTCAGCCACTCACTAAGGGGGCTTAACACCCCAGCCATTTTTATTTTGTTTTATTTTAATTTTTATGTTTTTGGAGAGACAAGATCCCACTTTGTTACCCAGTCTGGTCTTGACCTCCTGGGCTCAAGTGATCCTCCTGCCTCGACTTCCCCAAGTGCTGGGATAGCAGGCATGAGCCACAGTGCCTGGCCCTGGCTCAGCCTTTTTTTTTTTTTTCTGTAGCCAACTAAAAACTTGAGGCCAGGTGCAGTAGCTCACGCCTGTAATCTCAGCACTTTGGGAGGCCAAGGCGGGTGGATCATCTGAGGTCAGGAGTTTGAAACCAGCCTGACCAACAAGGTGAAACCCCATTTCTCCTAAAAATACAAAAATTAGCCAGGCGTGGTGGCGTGCACCTGTAGTCCCCACTACTTGGGAGGCTGAGACAGGAAAATTGCTTGAACCGGGGACGCAAAGGTTGCAGTGAGCCGAGATCATGCCACTGCACTCTGGCCTGGGCAACAGAGTGAGACTCTGTCTCAAAAAAACTTGAACAACATACTCCTTAGCAATACAGATTGTTACTGGTTCTTTTTCCTTAAACAGATTATAAAATATCATCATTGAGTCACATGATCTCCTGGATTAGCTTATAACTGAGGTGCTTTTGACTATTGGAAAAGGAAAGAAAGGTTACTCCATTGAAAGCCTGTCACATGAGAACCGTGGCTTATGTTCACGTTCTAACTTCTTTTTTTTTTTTTTTTTTTTTTTTTGAGACAGAGTCTCGCTCTGTCACCAAGGCTGGAGTGCAGTGGCATGATCTCGGCTCACTGCAACCCCTGCCTCCTGGGTTCAAGCGATTCTCCTGCCTGAGTCTCCCATGCAATTGGGATTACAGGCGCACGCCACATTTTTGTACTTCTAGTAGAGACAGGGTTTCATCATATTGGCCAGGCATCATCTTGAACTCCTGGCCTCAAGTGATCCTCCGGCCTCGGCCTCCCAGAGTGCTGTGATTATAGGCGTGAGCCACTGCACCTGACCTTTTGGGGAGGCTGAGGTGGGTGGATTGCTTGAGGTCAGGAGTTCAAGACCAGCCTTGGCAACATGGTGAAACCTGTCTCTACTGAAAATACAAAAATTAGCCAGGCATGAGTGGTGCACACCTGTAATCCCAGCTACTCGGGAGGCTGAGGCACGAGAATCGCTTGAACCCTGGAGGTAGACGTTGCAGTGAGCCAAGATCACGTCACTGCACTCCAGCCTGGGCAACAGAGCAAGTCTCAAAAAAAAAAAAAAAAGGGAAGGAAAAAAACTATTGGCAATTCTCTTTTTTGGTTATTTTATATGGAAAGAGGAAACCGTCTTCAAAGAAAAAAAGGCGTCTGCATTGGCTTTGCTTGAATTTTTGCTTGGTTGGTTAGTGGAATTAGAATGAATAGGTTTTAAGGCCATTTATGGTGGCTCATACCTATAATCCCAGCACTTTGGGAGGCCAAGGCGAGAGAATCAGTTGAAACCAGGAGCTCAAGACCAGCCTGGACAACATAGTGAGACCCCCGCCTCTATAATTTTTTTTTTTTTTTAAATTAGCCAAGTGTGGTAGCACACACCTTTAATCCTAGCTACTCAGGAAGCTGAGCAGGAGGATTGCTTGAGCCCAGGAGGTCAAGGATGCAGTGAGCTATGATTACACCACTGCATTCCAGCCTGGGTGACAGAGCAAGACCCTGTCTTAAAAAAAAAAAAAAATCGTCCAGGTACAGCGGTTCATGCCTGTAATCCTAGTACTTTGGGAGGCTGATGTGGATGGATCGCTTGAGCTCAGGAGTTTGAGACCAGCCTGGGCAACATGGTGAAACCCCCATCTCTACAAAAAATGTAAAAAATTAGCTGGGCATGGTAGCTCGTGCCTGTAGTCCCAGCTACTTAGAGGGCTGAGGCGGGAGGATTGCTTGAGCCCAGGAGGCGGAGGTTGGCAGTGAGTCTTGATGGTGCCACTGTACTCCAGCCTGGGCGACAGTGAGACCCTGTCTCAAAAAAAAAAAAAAAAAAGATTCTAAGTTTTGAGCAAATAAAATTGTGTACAAATGTTTTCTGACAGTATTATTGAATGGTTTTGACTATTATCCCTTGAAATAATTGACCTGTGGAATTGTCAAGAGTTGTGTTTCCATTTTAATATTATTTTTCCAATGCAACAGTTATAAACAAATAATTAACAATTTTTTGGTACCAATGAATTATTGAAGGCAAGAGCTAGAATCTCTAACTGCATGTTAGATATCTGTATATTAATTAGAGGACTTGCTTCAAATGATAGACACAATTTGTGTTAGAGATATCAATGGGGATGCTTCAGTAACAGCTATTCTGAGCAACTAAATTATGCAAAAGCTTTAGGATAAATTGGGTGGGTGCAGTGGCTCATGCCTGTAATCCCAGGCAGGCAGATCACTTGAAGCCAGGAGTTTGAGACCAGCCTGGCAACATACCAAAACCCCATCTCTGCTAAAAATAGAAAAATTAGCTGGGCGTGGTGCCACGTGCCCATAGTCCCAGCTACTTGGGAGGCTGAGGCAGGAGAATCACTTGAACCCAGGAGGCAGAGATTGCCATGAGCCAACATCATGCTATTGTACTCCAGAGCGAGACTCCATCTCAAAAAAAAGAAAAAAAAAAAACACATCTTATAGAATAAGTCGAGCAAATGTGAACATGGTAAGGAAGTCCTGAAAAGGAAGGAAGGAAATATAGAACATTTAGTTACCAGTCTTTTTCTTTAGTAGCAGGAAGCAGTCATCCAAATCTATCTTTCATGATTGAAGAAAGGATATGGAAATTCTCAACACTGAATAAGGCCCAGGCTTAATAAGAACTAGTGTTGTTCCAAACAGGTTCCCAGCAATATTTAGCTGAATTTCATTAGCAGTTTTAGAATCTAGTCTGCCAGATGCTTGGTGCTTATTATGGCATATTTCCATTCAAGAAAGCCTTGAGAGAAGCTTAGTACCCTGAGGTATTGGAGTGAGCAAGGTAATAGAGAGTCTGAATGAGCCTTTCATCACTCTCTGGGAGGACTCATTGCTTGCCTTTCTGGCATCTAAAAACCATTACCTCACACCACAGGTACTTTTGAACCTCTTGGCCACACATACATACTGGAACCATTGTTTAGCTCAGAAACAGATGGAAAACTTTAGCTTAAGTTTCTGTGTTAAAAGTTGTGTTACAATAGATTATTGTTTTTAATTGTAAAAAATGCCTATGTTGTTATCCTTACACCTAACCTACTTTCCACTTTGAACTTGTCCCACCTTCTCCATTTATTTTGTGATGCCAACATTTCACTAACTTTTTATTATTAAAACTTTCAGATATATAGAAAAGTTGAAAGGATGGTATAATGACAGTGTATTTGCTGTGTGTGTGTATAATATTTTGGTGGAACCATTTGGAATTTGCAGATGTAGATGACATGTCACCCCTAAATGCTTTAGCATAAATAACCTAAAAATAGGTCATTCTTCTATACAACTATAATGCCATTATATAATTTACTTTTTTGATGTGCTTTTAATAAGAAATTTACTATTAAATTTTGACATTCATTTTTGTATTTTAAAGATGTAAAAATTTTAATGGAGAATTATAAGTGCTGATCAACCTTTTCTCTGAGAAATATATCAGCATCAGTTAACTAGTAGATTCTCTTGTTTAACCCTGGGCTGACATCATAGGACTTTTCACTAGATGTTATCAATAGATGGCAACATGACAAACAACAAACAAAAAGAAACAGAAGTTCTTACTGCTTTTCATTGTTTTTTGGCATGAAAACATAAGCTAATATATGTATTTTAATTTTAATTTTTGTGGGTACATGGTAGCTGGATATATTATAAGCTAGTTTTTTTTTAATGGAGGGGTTATATGGTTGTCCATGCACAGTCCTATGAATTTCTTGTGATCACCGAGTTAATCAAAAACAAAGTTTATTTAAATGAACACTAGTGATTCTCACAGGGAAAAAAAAATGCTATCAGAATGTACTAGCACAAATTTCCACAAAAAAGCCTGATTGTGTTGATGCAGACCTTGCTAAAAGTGTCATCTGACATTCTACTTCTCATAATAGATTGTAAGCTGCAAAAGGCTTACTTGTTTGCTGTAGTCTTTTAATAAATATTTTACAAGCTTTGTCAGAGAAAAAGGATTTGTCATCTGATGGACACAGCGTCTGCATCTTAAGGTGATTTGGCAACATAAGAGAGGTAATGTCAAACTGTAGGCCTGGCAGCTCCTGTCTCAGTTGTGCTTTTGTTTTGTCTTTTAGGTATTCCAATGCTGCTAGAGTTCTTGGAGCAAAATATTGCCAAGGTTTGGGAAATGCTTTCTTAGCAAAGTATTGCTACCCCACAATAATTGTATCTTCTCTCCAGTTTGATGCTTTTGGATTAATATGTCAACCAAATTTGTTTAGTTACAAGTCTGTTTATTAACATCATGCGTAACGATTATCAAACCTATGTTCTCTGGCACTTCCCTATAAAAGATTTGCTCCTTGAGGAAATGACCCTGCCTTAGACATTTTTGTATGTCTCACACTATAGTCTCCACATTAACTACTTTGTGCTAACATAACTATGTATTGAGCTAAATTGAATTAGAGCGAGAGAGAAAGAGTGTGTGTGTGTGTGTGTGTGTGTGTTTGAGTGTGATTACAACCAGAAACAAGAGTGGAACTTTTATTTACCCTGTAGTTATATTCCCCTTCAAAAGGAGAAATCAGAATGAACTCCAAATTTGAAGAAAGTTGGAACATTGCATGTTTGTGCAAGTATTAACATTCTAGATTTTTTTTTCTTTTTGCCACCACAAAGCAAAACCGATATGGTAAGGAAAATTATTTTCATCCAGAGGTTGAATACTAGGGTACTACTGTCTCCTTATACATTGAAGGCTGTGGGCTCTTTTATAACAACATGGAAAAGCTTTATGTGCCTATAAACCATTTATATTTGCAGTGGAAAAAATTCTAATTGCCTATTTAATGTTCTTTTTCTGTAAAAAGCCTACCAGAAATCTGTAATTCCATCCTTCCTAGTTACTATTATGTGTTTCTCAGAAACTAGCACACTATATGTCTATCTTTTGACTACTTTGCATTCTAAGTACTAAAATGTAAGTGGACTTGGTGCAACCATGGTCAGCTGTTGAAGACATACAAGTCCTAATCATGGATAAATTTACTATGCCCTAGTGGGGATATTGCTTGGTAAAAATTAATTAGATGCAAGGCCATCAAATTTTATAGACCAAAATATAAATATAAAAAGTATGAGTACAGGCCGGGCGCGGTGGCTCACACCTGTAATCCCAGCACTTTGGGAGGCCGAGGCGGGCGGATCACGAGGTCAGGAGATCGAGACCATTCTGGCTGACACGGTGAAACCCCATCTCTACTAAAAATACAAAAAAAATAGACGAGCGTGGTGGCGGGCGCCTGTAGTCCAAGCTACTCGGGAGGCTGAGGCAGGAGAATGGCGTGAACCCGGAAGGCGGAGCTTGCAGTGAGCCAAGATCGCGCCACTGCACTCCAGCCTAGGAGACAGCGAGACTCCGTCTCAAAAAAAAAAAAAAAAGTATGTGAGTACATACATGGTTAAGTAAGTAATTTCCACACGGACTTTTGCTTTAGCACAGCTTACTAAAAAATGTGTTTTGTAGCTTGCTACTGCCATCTGCTGGTTCTCAACTCTTAGACGTCTACAATTGGTGTACTGCTGCAATGTACCAATATTGCAATATAAAAGGGAATTGGGTCTATTTATTTTATTTATGGGAAAATCTTAAAATATTCTTTGTTGAGAGTAAGACATCAGAATTTGTATGTGATCCATACAATATTATTTTTTAGTATGCTTTTAGCAAACAAACTCACTGGTCTTTCTTTACTATTAATAATGTGCTAATTTTGTATTTGAGTTTCTGATCAAACTTTTTATTCCTTTGTCATCTTTTCCTAGTTTAATGGATCGAGAAGTGGCGTTGCTTGCTGAAATGGACAAAGTGAAAGCTGAAGCAAGTAAGATGATTGATCTTTAATTAAAGCTATTACCTTCATAAATAGTAGGTACCTACTTCCCAACCCTTATAACAAAAGTTCCATATAAATACCATAATAAGAGTTTATATATTTAAATAATCTTAAGCAGTTGCACTGTACTGGCATATGAATCCTTTCAGGTGAAATAACTTTAAAGAGCCTGTTTTAAAAATATTTCCAAATCTTAATATTTTGAATGCAGAGTTCAGTGTATAAGAGACTGCATCACGGTATCTGCCACCAGGTTTTTATTTTATTTTGTTTCTTCCTCTAGTGTTTAAGCAATTCCACTGGGATTTTTTCTACTTGGAAAAAAACCTTTAGCATAATCAGAGAAGACTTCATTAGGTTGCCTACGATTGTATGTGTATACTCCTATCATTACCTATCTCAGAACTTTCTTTGTTTTCTCAGTTTATAGAACAGTCTTCACTCAGTGTCTGTTATCAATGGGTAGGGGAAAAGTTAGAGAATTGAGGGTTCAAGATACCAGGTTTCTTGAAAGCTTACTAAAATAGATTCTGGAGGAATGAAGTCTAACTTTGGTGATTTGTGGGGTTTTGTACAGAAAAAACAGATACCTATTTTTTGATCATTTCTGTTAAGTGTTAGGTTAAACATACACAGCTACACGAAGACAAGGGAATACCAACTGCAACTTGTACAATGGCATTGATTTGAGGCATTTCGGTGGCAGGTTTTATCTTCCTGCATTGAACGCCAGATTAATTATTAGGAAAGTTGTTTATTTTAACCCACCCCCAAACTGGTAAGAATAGAAATGCTGGGCTAGGTCGAGATCATGACTCACAGTTAAATCACTTGTGTGTGTGGTCACGGGCCAGAGGATGCAGCTTTGAAGCACTGAAATGACTTCAGCTTTGGTCCATTTTAACTTGAAAATTTGAGAATGTAGCAGAGATGCCTTCCACTGTTTTTCAGAGGTGAGATTTCATTACATTGAGCAATATATTTTGAGTTTCTAAATTTGACATTTCAGTCCATTATTTTATCTGTATATTCTCTTTTTGAAAATGGAAATGCAGATAAACTAAAACCACTAAGAAGACATATTTCTTAGTTTTGAGAAGAAGGTCCTTTTAGGCCAGGCGTGGTGGCTCACGCATATAATCCCAGCACTTTGGGCGGATCACCTGAGCCCAGGAGTTTGAGACCAGCCTAGGCAACATAGTGAAACCTCGTCTCTACAAAAAATAAGAAATAAGGCTGGGCGCAGTGGCTCATGCCTGTAATTCCAGCACTTTGGGAGGCTGAGGCGGGCAGATCACGAGGTCAGGAGATCGAGGCCATCCTGGCCAACATGATAAAACCCCGTCTCTACTAAAAATACAAAAATTAGCTGGGCATGGTGGCACACGCCTGTAGTCCCAGCTACTCGGGAGGCTGAGGCAGGAGAATCACTTGAACCCAGGGGGCAGAGGTTGCAGTGAGCCGAGATTGCGCCACTGCACTCCAGCCTGGCAACAGAGCAAGACTCCATCTCAAAAAAAAAAAAAAAAAAAAAAAAAAAAATATATATATATATATATATATATATATATATATATATATATAAATCAGGCATGGGGTCATGTGCTACATGTAGTCCTAGTTAGTTGAGAGGCTGAGGTGGAAGGATCACTTGAGCCCAGGAGGTCGAGGCTGCAGTGAGCTGTGATTGCACCACTGTACTCCAGCCTGGGCGATAGAGCAAGACCCTGTCTTGAAATTAAAAAAAAAGAAGGTGCTTTTAAGAATATTAATACATCTTTTATATTAATAGAAAATTTTGGCCGGGTGCAGTGGGTCACGCCTGTAATCCCAGCACTCTGGGAGGCCGAGGCGGGCTGATCACGAGGTCAAGAGATCAAGACCATCCTGGCCAACATGGTGAAACCCTGTCTCTACTAAAAATACAAAAATTAGCTGGGCATGGTGGCATGCGCCTGTAGTCCCAGCTACTCGGGAGGCTGAGGCAGGAGAATCACTTGAACCCAGGGGGCAGAGGTTGCAGTGAGCCGAGATTGCGCCACTGCACTCCAGCCTAGCGACAGAGCAAGACTCCATCTCAAAACTAAAAAAAAAAAAAGAAAAGAAAAGAAAATTTCAGATAGCGAGGCTAATGTAACAAATTCCCATCACTCAGCTTCAACCAATTATCAATTTGTGGCCAATCTTATTTTATCAAATTCAGAGCTCAAAGTTTTACTTAACTTCATCAGTTTTATATCTTTAGCTCTTTTCTCCCTGAAAATCCTGGTTCTCAATGATATTACTCATTTACCAATGCTATCAAGAGTAATTACTCATTTACCAGTGCTATCAAGAGTTGCTTTTTGTTTTTTACATATTATAATTTTATTAAGTAACTGATAGGTTTGTAGTATTTCAATCTTTTCCAGTGTTGTATAATTAGGTCCTATGAGTTATCTGTTACGTGTAGAAAGCTTTTTATTCACCTCATTTTTGCCATTTTGAGAGCTATAATTTTGTCATAGAATCACTGAATGCTAGAGCTGAGAGAAACTGAAGTTGATACAAATGGCAAATAGGTTTTATCTTGGGACCTAAACCAATAGATCATTTGTAACTGTTGGGCTTTGGCGTTAAGAAACTTTTGTAGGCATGCTCCTGACTCCTGAGAAAGTGGGCCCTGATTGATTAGTGTGACTTGGGTCTAGGCAGCCCATGTGTGCATCTCTGTGGCAGTTGGGCTGAGTAAACTTGCTAAATACATCCAGCTCTCTGTAATACCTGGTGTAACTCTTTAAAACTTCTGTTTTTTTCTGACGTGAATTTGGCTAATTCCTCAGTGTGTTACAGGATTCTATGTATATCAGTTAGGGATTGAGTTTGACTACATGGAACAGAGTGGCCTAAATAAATGTGAGTGTCCTTTTTTCTCAGAAAATGAAAAGTACAGAGGTAAGCAACCCAGGGCTGGCAGGACATTTCCCAGATGACATTAGGGACCCAGGATCTTCTGTTCTTCTGCCCAGCCATTCTGAGAGTATGCTTATGGTCAAAAGACAACTCCCTAGGCTCCAGTCGAGAAGGAGTAAAACGTTACATGCTAAGACTCCCTTAAAACGCTTTCCTGTAAAGCCTGCCCTTTGAGTTCTGCTTATATCTCAATGGGGAAACTATATCACATGGCCGTTTCATCTGTAGCAAAGCCAGAAAATATAGATTTTTTTTTTACCCAATTATGTTGGTACCCAACAACATTGGATTTCTGATAGCCCTGAATGTTCCTGAATGTAGTTGGAAAGACTGTGTTCCATCAGCTAATGGTCTTTGCTACAGTCCTCCACTACCCAGTATCCCTCTTTTTTCCAAAATGAGAATATGTTCACCACCTCCTCAATAGCAATACCTCCAAAGTCTCATCTAGTTAGTTAATATTCAGCTGAAAGGCCAGGTCTTCAGAGTGATTTCAGATCTTCCAAGGATGGGGTCTCATAAATTAAAAGAAAGGCTAAATGCCCCCTTCTCCCATATTACATAGTTGGAGAAAGAAAAGGATAATTATAGTAAAAATTCCCACTTGGAAAAGCAATGATCAAATCTTGCTGGATGGGAAGGAATAGCAGAGTCCCTTCCCTGGTAGTAGAGAACATTCGTTGGGTGGTTTATCTGCTTCCTGGGAGGATTTCTTTGGTTTTGTTTCCACTGTAGCCCCTGTCTCTCTGGGAGATTTTTATTGTATGTTCTCTGCCATGACCATATCCAAGTTATATATCAGAAAGCATGCCAGAGAAGGTGGTTCTTAAAAGGGTGTAACAATCTAAATACCCATCACTAGGGAACTCGGTAAATAATTGTGGTATATCCACATACTGGGTGGCTGTTAAACAGAATGAAGGTGATCCAGATGTATTAATAGGGAATAAATTTAAAGATATATTAAGTAAAAATAGCTAAGGTAAAAGAAAGACCATGTGTATGATATACTTCCATTTGTGAGAAGGGAAAAAAGAGAGCTACATATGTATGCATGTTGTATGTACATACACAATATTTGGATGTGTACGTAAGAAATGGTGAACAGTCGTTTCCCCTGGAGAGGAGACCACAAAATCAGAAATAAGAGAGATGCTCTTTTCATTTTATACCCAACTTACTCTAGATGAATATTTTTTATTATGTGTACATATTTCCTTTTTAATTTATATGCATCTTGATAAAATTTTTTTGACTGGAAGGAGAAATAACAATGATTTATGAGTGTTTGTGATTTATAAAAAATATTTACCACTTAACTGCCTTCAGAGACCCAATGGAAGGTAGAGACCAGACTTTTGATATTTTCATTTTCTGGGTGGATAGGCAGCTAAGCCTTTGGCTGACCAAATACCTACTGCAAGGCTTATATTTCTAGTTCTTCTTTATCCTATTTAGCAGCAACATAAGGTTCACACTCACTTTTCCTCTACAGTGGAAATTTTGCTCAGCCGACAAAAGAAGGCTGAACTTCTAAAGAAGATGACTCATGTGGCTGTTCAAATGTCAGAGCAGCAATTGGTTGAGCTCAGAGCTGATATCAAGGTAAAACTTCTTTCTGCTTTCTGCCTTTCTTCTTATCCTCAGGGGCTAAAGTAAGAAATTTTCATAATTCATGGCCATATCTAATATATTAAACTCATGATCTTCCTTTCCCAAACCTGGCCCTCTTCCAAGTCCCTTTCTCTGTAAGTGGTATTATCATCTACCCAGTTGTCCCAGCTGGAAACCTTAGGAAATTTCTCCATTTCCCACCTTAAATCTGTCAGCACACTCCATCCATTTGACTAAATCTCAGATCTGACCTTATCTCTTCATCTCCACCACCACCATTATGATCAGGTTACCACCATCTCTTGCCTGGACTTCTGTAAGAGCCTCTTAACTGGTTCTGTTCATCCATTCTGTCTCTGCCCCACCCGCCCCACCCTCCATGTATGTTCCCCACACTACAGCAGTCTGCTTCAAACTTTCTGTTGCTTTTAGGATGAATACTATAATCCTTAATCCGGTCTGAAGGACTGTGCAGTCTTGCTCTGCCATTACCCTCAGTTCATACCATCCCCCCGGTCCTCTGCCCTCAAGCAGAGGCTGGAGGCTTCTACACTCCACAGACACACCTGCTTTTCCATCTGTCCAAATGCTCTTCTCCCTGCCTCCAACTACAGTTACCACTATTTTTTTTTTTTTTTTGAGACAAAGTCTCGCTCTGTCACCCAGGCTGGAGTGCAATGGCGTGCCATCTCGGTTCACTGCATCCTCCACCTCCTAGGTGCAAGCAATTCTCCTGCTCCAGCCTCCCGAGTAGCTGGGATTACAGGCGCCTGCCACCACGCCTGGCTAATTTTTTTTTTTTTTTGATTCGGAGTTTCGCTCTTGTTGCCCAGGCTGGAGTGCAATAGCGCAATCTCAGCTCACCGCAACCTCCGCCTCCCCGGTTCAAGCGCTTCTCCTGCCTCAGCCTCCCAAGTAGCTAGGATTATAGGCATGCGCCACCATGCCCAGCTAATTTTTTTATTTTTAGTAGAGATGGGGTTTCTCCATGTTGGTCAGGCTGGTCTCAAACTCTCAACCTCAGGTGATCTGCCTGCCTCAGCCTCCCAAAGTGCTAGGATTACGGGCATGAGCCACCACGCCCAGCGGCTAATTTTTATCCTTTTAGTAGAGATGGGGTTTCATGATGTTGGCCAGGCTGGTCTTGAACTCCTGACCTCAGGTGATCTACCCGCCTCGGCCTCTCAAAGTGCTGGGATTACAGGTGTGAGCCACCGCGCCCGGCCCAGTTACCACCCTTGACCTCCTCATCCTTCCTGACTTCCCCATCATATCTCCTCATTCTGTGGTTTCAGAGCGTAGTTATGACTTTATGTGCATTGGTTACTTTGTCTTCCCCACTAGATAGTGAACTTCACAGTGGCAGGCAGGAGCTCCTGTCTCTCCAAGTGCCTAGCACAGCACCTTGGCATGTACTTGGTCTTCTGTAAATAGTTGGTTGACCAATTCTGATTTTATAGAGAAAAATTATCTTTGAGATGTTTGTTATAATCTATTTATAACAATTACTTGGGTTCAACATTTATACCTTTTTAATTTTTTTTTTTTTTTGAGTCTCGCTCTGTCATCCAGGCTGGAGTGCAGTGGCGCTGTCGCCACTCACTGCAACCTTTACCTCCTGGGTTCAAGCGATTCTCGTGCCTCAGCCTCCCAAATAGCTGGAATTACAGGCATGTGTCACCACGCCCTGCTAATTTTTGTATTTTTAGTAGAGACAGGGTTTCACCATGTTGGCCAGGCTGGTCTCGAACCCCTGACCCCAAGTGATGCACTCATCTTGGCCTCCCAAAGTGCTGGGATTACAGGCATGAGCCACCACGCCTGGCCAAATTCTTATATAAAGAACAGTGTTTCTGAGACTAAGCATGTGAACCTGAGGGAAATTGGGATATTCACGGATGGTTGTGGTCATTGGCATTCTAAATAATTGCTTATAAACTGCAAGCTGTAACAAAGGGAGTTGGCCTTCTCCACACCTGTGCCCTTTACCTCTTCTCTTTCTGAACACATAAGATTTATTGTCACACTGAGAGAACACTTGCTGCAGAGGCTGTACAACAGTCTCTCTAAAATAAAAACAGAGGTGGAAGATCATCCAGGACCTTACAGGGATCCTTACTATCGTCTGACCCAGTGTTAGACCTGTGGAGTGGTGTTGTTCTCTCACTGCCTCCCCTTTAATTCTATTGGGGTGAACTAGCCAAACCATGCAAATGTTCAGTTACTGTTTTCTGTTTAACTAAAACTATATGATTAAATTTTATAGAAAGGCCTCCTCACATTGATGCCAGTCAGTCTCATTCAACTCTCGGGGAGAAGCCGGAAACCCCTTTGCAATTAGATGAGAATGCTGGCTCTCACAGGCTTCATCTGTTCCTCTTCCCACGTGGCTGAAAAGCTGCTAGAAATATTTCTGCAGGCTGACTAAGGATCTGTTTCTCTCCACTTTTTCAGTGTACTGAAGTGGGTGCTGTGCAATTTAAATGTCTTATTTCCAGATCATTTTATTTCCGTCATTCCTATTATGTCTTTGACTCAACAAACCCTAGAATTTGTTTCAGAATTAATCTCAGACTGATATTACATGTCTGAAGGCTTTGTAACAAGAGGTTCGTGTGCTTTCCTAAGCCACAACATACTCTGAAACTTTAGGAATTCAAGGCCGGAAGGTCATTTTTCTCTCTCCTTTCCCTTTCAGTGCTTCTGGTTGCTTCCCGAGAATTCTGATGCAGAGTGGTATTAGCCCACCCCCAGTTAAGAGGAGTGCTCTGAGGGGTTCAGTTCTTCCAAATTATATCTAGGCCTTTCACTTCTCTTTTTTATCTCCTTTTCATCTG
The DNA here is from genome assembly GCF_000001405.40 of Homo sapiens. Classification (NCBI taxonomy): domain Eukaryota; kingdom Metazoa; phylum Chordata; class Mammalia; order Primates; family Hominidae; genus Homo; species Homo sapiens. The sequence goes on from NC_000012.12 coordinate 49,522,029, forward strand.
AAAAAAAAAAAAATGATTCCAGTCTACCTTAGACATTGTTTAATGAAATAGACCCCCAGAAGCACTTTATTCCTGACATGTTTCTAGTCCCATGATTTTTATAGCATGGTTAGTTTTTGACTCAAGGGGTTGGTTACTTCTCAGCTCAGTCTGCTTAAAAGGATTAAATTACTTGCAGCATAAACTTCTCATTTGCAAAGTTGACTTTTCACATGAATGATTTTCCATCTCAAGAAATTGTTCCTATTTCAAGGACTAAGAAATCCTACTTTATTATAAAGAGATGAAGTAGGTTTCCTAAGGAAGTTCCTATTAACACCAAACCATCTATCTAAATGGTATCATTGTAGTACCTTGTAAAGATTTTTGCTGCCTCTGTTTCTATATAAAATGGAAAGACATGGAGAATAGCCAACAGTAGAAAGATGGCCCTCTACTATAAATTCTTCCTCCTTTTTTCTTTCTCTGTAGTTTCTCTTGATTATATCTAATGGGCTTTAGCCATCATGTAGCATTTCATAAACTTACAAACTTATCTGTGGGCTCTTGAGAAAATGAATGAATTTATTCGATCACCTGGCGTTGGTCATGTGATGGCCATTTAATAAACTTTGAAGCAATAAAAAGACAATTGAAAATGATTGTTTAATCTGTATAGCAAGTTATAGATTCCATGGATGTTGTTTGTCTAACCTGGAGGCCTTTCTTTGTCCTTTCTCCAGCACTTTGTTAGTGAACGTAAATATGATGAGGATCTGGGACGAGTAGCCCGGTTCACCTGTGATGTAGAGACCCTAAAGAAGAGCATTGATTCATTTGGACAAGGTGAGATGGTGAGAGGGTCTGGGCACTACAGGTGGTGATTATTAATTAGAGACTGACGTGCTGATTGTCTTCACCACTGATTCCTCATTAGTGCCTCTTGTTTGCTTGTTTATATGAAAACTAACTCTAGGATGCTTATGAAGTCCATGGGTGCAGATACTTTGAACTCTGAGGACAAGTATTTGCCAGCTCCCTAAATGTGAAAGACTGTTTTTTCATGCCATATTGAGAGGTGCATGATATGTGGTATAAAGAGCATGGGGCCCTACAGTCAGATCAAGTTTGAATCCCTGCCCCTACAGTAACCTCATTTTACTCCTCTCCAGAGTGGAGATAACAGGCCACGCGCCGAGGCTCACATCTATAATCCCAACAACTGGAAAGGCTGAGGCCAGAGGATCACTTTAGCCCAGGAGTTCAAGACCAGCCTGGGCAACATAGCGAGGTTCCATCTCTTCAAAAAATTCAAAAGAAAAAATTAGCCAGGTGTGGTGGCACATGCTTGTAGTCCTAGCTACTCAGGAGGTGGGGTGGGGGTGGGTGAGAGGGGGAAGATAGCTTGAGCCAGGAGTTTGAGGTTCCAGTGAGCTATGATTGCCACTGCACTCCAACCTGGGCACCAGAGCAAGACTGTGTCTCTAAAAAAATTAATAAATAGGAGAAAATAATACTTGTCTTGTCTGGCACATAATAGATCCTTAAATAAAGCATTAAAGGATAGGGGAGTGCCTGTGAGATGAGAGTTTCTAGTGACCTGTTTGTCAAACCCTGAACTCAGCCTCTCTGTTCTTTCTGTCTAGTATAAAAGTGAAATATTGCCAGGCGCGGTGGCTCATGCCTGTAATCCCAGCACTTTGGGAGGCTGAGGCAGGTGAATCATGAGGTCAGGAGATTGAGACCATCCTGGCTAACATGGTGAAACCCCATCTCTACTAAAAAATACAAAAAATTAGCCAGGAGTGGTGGTGGGTGCCTGTAGTCCCAGCTAATCGGGAGGCTGAGGCAGGAGAATGGCGTGAACTCAGGAGGCGGAGTTTGCAGTGAGCTGAGATTGTGCCACTGCACTCCAGCCTGGGTGACAGAGTGAGACTCCGGATCAAAAAAAAAAAAGTGAAATATTTCACCTATGGCAGCAATTATAAACTCATCATTAATCCAGCTTAAAGCCAAGAAAAAAATCTAGAGAGTAGTTTTAAACCACTGGAATTCTAACACAATTTGAACTGAAAATATTAATATTTTTTTCAGTTAGATAGGTACTTTGAATTTGGGATTAATTTTGCAGAAAGAAATTTGGCAATATACATGTTTGTTATAAAGATTAGTTCTATTCATATTTAACTGATCTTGATTATTTATACCTTGTATCATTCAAAATTCTTTAAAAAGAATTTAGTAAAGATTTTATTTATGTACCTTTTTCTTTCTTTGCAAAGGCTGTTCCTTAGAATGTTTCTTGCATAGGAAACTGAACATATGGTCTGTACTATTGTTCCCAGGCTTAGTCAGCTGCTAGAGCCATAGTCAGGAGTTTAGGTAGTACTAGATCCAATCCCAAGAAGTCATTAGTTGGTGGGGAATGGGTAACTTTGATTTTAACTGTTCTCTTGTCTAAGAATTCCTTTACAAAGCAGTGGGGCTTTGGAGGAAGTGGAGGAAGAGGGCAGAAGGGAGATTTTTCTTCCTGTTACCAGTTTTATAGGTTTTTCTTTATTCGAATAGACAGTTCTTTATCTTAAATTGCTCATTGTGAAATTGAGAAAGTAGAAACCTTATCCATTGTGCTGTTCTATCATATGATCATATATTCCTCATATTTCTGTTTCAGTGTCTCATCCAAAGAACAGCTATTCGACCAGATCCCGATGTAGCTCAGTTACATCTGTGTCCTTGAGTAGCCCAAGTGATGCCTCTGCTGCTTCCTCTTCCACCTGTGCCTCTCCTCCCAGCCTTACAAGTGCTAACAAGAAAAACTTTGCACCGGGAGAGACTCCTGCAGCCATAGCAAACTCCAGTGGCCAGCCCTACCAGCCACTTCGGGAGGTAACCTAGCTTCTACACTGAGCATGTTAGGAAGAAAACCCTCCAGATTGTCAAAGCTTAAATGCTGTTAGCTCAGTATATTATCTTCCTCTCTATTCCCATTCCATGCCTGTTTTGAATCCCTCCAACCCAAGTTAGTTCCTGAGAAAGCATTAGATACGTATGTTCCAAACTGCCAGCCAGTTTAGATTTCCTGTTGCCAAGAACTGCTGACTTTCTTGTGTTGGCAGTGATCCCTGCTGTTGTAGATAGTATTGCCTGGTAATTAGTCACACTGGGAGTCGTGCACCCATCTCAAGGTAGACAGGCACCACAAGTGGCAGTTTTACCAGTGTGCATCTGAAAGCAGCAGCTCCCTAGAAGCACAATGTGGAATTTACAGGGAAAGAGAGAGTGAACTGGTGGGGATGGGGGGAAAACACTAGAAAGCTGAGGAGTAATCCATAGGTTCTTCTCCTGTTTGAAGAATAAACACAAGAGCAATCCAAGGCAGTACTGTCAGTAATTCTTCAGAACTGGTATGATGTTTGGAATTGGAGGACAAAAATAAAATCCCATACCGTAAGCTTTCCGGATTATAATGCGAAAGATGTGCTGAATGCCACAGCAGCATACTTTAATCTGTAGTTCATGACATTTAGCAAAGCAGGCCATAGTGATGTTTACTTTATTATTCCAAATGTGTATTATCTTTACCAATGGCCTTTTATCTGCAGAGTTCAGACATAATATAATATACTTGTCCAATCGAGGGCTTGTAACAACCCAGAGAATGTTCTTTCTTCCTTATCTTTCTTCTTGCATCCAGCTAAAGAAAAGTAAATTCTTCAGTGGAGAAGAGCCTGGGCATGAAGAGCAGGGAAAGATGGATTAGTTCTGAAGTAGTGGCTAGGTTGGATTGGCTGAGAGAATTCTTTGAGTCTTGAGAGATAACTGAGTCCCAAGCATGGGATACCACAATTCTGCTTTCAGAATACTCCTGTAAAGTGAACGAATGGGGTACCATAATGCTAGAGCACCTTGAACATTGTATTCTTTCATCTTTAGGTATTGCCAGGGAACAGACGAGGAGGACAGGGCTATAGGCCACAAGGCCAAAAGTCCAATGACCCCATGAACCAAGGGCGGCATGACAGTATGGGTCGTTACAGAAACAGCTCGTGGTATTCATCTGGTTCCAGGTATCAGAGTGCTCCATCTCAGGCACCAGGAAACACCATTGAAAGAGGCCAGACTCACTCTGCAGGGACCAATGGAACTGGAGTCAGCATGGAGCCCAGCCCTCCCACGCCTTCATTCAAAAAGGGGCTCCCCCAGCGCAAACCCAGGACCTCTCAGACTGAAGCCGTGAACTCTTGAGAGAAAATCCAGTTGGCCTCTCTCCTCTATCCACACAATTCAACTTGATAACTGGACTTTAGGAAACTTACAGTTAGATGTAATAACAAAAAGAAGTTTATGCGTATCACTTTTTGTGCCATTCTAAGTATTTTTGGTTTCTTGTCTCCTTATTTCCTCTTTACCATTTTTGGAGGGGAAGCTATTTTTTTTCCTTGATCTTTCCCAGTGATATGGATTGAATCTGGTTGGTCATTTCCACCAGGAATCAGAGGCAGCTGTTACCAGGTTTCGGCCTTCCAGTTGATCCCTCCACTGTCCAGGCTGTCTCAGGAGGAGGTGAATCAGAGCTAGTCTGTCACCTTTCCAATCTAAGCCGAAGCCACAGGTGCCTGACAGGTTCCCTTCTAACAACTATTTGACCAAGAGAGGCAATCAGGGGGTTGTATACTGCACTGGATTCGCCAGAGAAGGGAAAATTTAATTAGTGAAAAGGAAAGAACACTAGGAAACATTTGAGAACCTGCCTCTATCCCAGAATGTGCTGGAGATTTGACACTCAAATCAGTGTTTAGTCTTCTGCTTGGCACCATAGCTTAACCTGCAGTTTCTTCAAAATGCCCAATGCCTTGTTTCCTATTACCTTAGATTGCAAACCAGTCTAGGGAAGTCTATGAGAAAGTAGCATTTAATTAAAGTTTAAAAAAAAAAAGGTTGGGCGTTGTGGCTCATGCCTGTAATCCCAGCACTTTGGGAGGCTGAGGCGGGTGGATCACTAGGTCAGGAGTTCAAGACCAGCCTGGCCAACATGGTGAAACCCTGTCTGTACTAAAAATACAAAAATTAGCTGAGCATGGTGGCGTGTGCCTGTAATCTCAGCTACTCAGGAGGCTGAGGCAGGAGAATCGCTTGAACCCAGGAGGCGGAGGCTGCAGTGAGCTGAGATTGTGCCACTGCACTCCAGCCTGGGAGACAGAGCAAGACTCAGTCTCAAAAAAAAAAAAAAAAGCATTTTTCTGTTTTAATGTTTGGAGACTTTTTTTTTTGTTCTCTCCCTTTCCTGAACCCTATTCTGATCCTGAACCAAATTTATAGCAATATAATTAGTGTTAATCTAAGGCATTACTCATCAAAAAAATTGCTGCAGTCTTTACAGTTGAATAAATAAAAACAACTGCATAAATATGCCCACTTTTGTTTCATAGCAGCAAGTGGTTTCATTTCATTATGTTTTTCTTTGGGCCTCATGGGGGTAGAAGTCACTCAGACAGCTTGTTCCAGGATTAAATGAGGGTATCTGATTCCCAAGTCATTTGTCTGCCACCACTGCGTAGCTTCAGAACCAAATTAAAATATGAAAGCCAGGAAGAGCAAATGCAGTTGTTCCTAGTGAGAAAGGATCATAGGATAGGGAATGGTGACTTTCCAAAGGAGAACTTAACCACTTTAAGAAAACCACAGCTCTCCAGGCTCTCCCAGGTAACCAAAGTTTATAATGGCACTGCTCTCCCCAACTCCCTGTCCCTTGACTGAGTATTGAACGTAACCGTATAATTGAGCTCCTGCGTGTAGCAGGTGGCATGGGTGCCAGACCCTTCCACCCCACACTCACCCCCAGCATCTGTGATTTAATCACAGCAGAGCTTTTCTTTCTCTGGCATGTGTTCTCCCAAGTCTGAAGCCCAGACTGTAAGTGGCAGCCGTGCAGAACGTAGCTGCCTCAGGGCTTCCCTTGCCTCCTTGGCTGAGTGAAGCTGAGCTGCCAGGGTTCAGGTTGGTTGAACACATTCAGAGAGAGTGTGTGTGTCTGTCTGTCTGTCAGTAAAGAAAACAGTAGTCAAGGAGTTCTGGGTATTTTCCAAGAGCACCTCATTTTGGGGAATTTGTCCAACGACACCAACAGCCTGCTGGGTGTCAGGAAAAAGCCCTGCATTTCTGATTAATTGCTTACCTGTACTTTATCAGAAATCCAGAGATTGAAGTGACCTTGAAGGATTATGAGGTCTGTCCCTGTATCCAGGCAAGACCGTACTTAACCACCCAGACAGATGGGACAAGGCATGTTTATCAAAAATGCCTTGAAGTTGAAATTAAAATCTCCTTATAGAAAAATATTTGAAAATTTTTCATGACCACAAAAAGTTTGAAAATTATGAATTAAAAAAGTTTTTATTACGAAAGTAGTATTTAAAATATCAGTACAGAAATATAAAAGGAAAAAAAGTTATCCATCTTTCCACTTCTCAGGGGTAATGACTGTTAATTTGGCATATATCCTTCTACACCTTTTTTCTTTTTAGAAATGGGGTCTCACTGTGTTGCCCAGGCTGGAGTGCAGTAGCTATTTACGGACATGATTAGAAGGGACTCTTGGGCTTAAGCAATCCTCCTGCCTCAGCCTCCTGAGTAGCTGGACTACAGTTGTGCACAATCACTCCTGGTTAGACTGTTTTTAAACCATGTATGTGCATATACACATGAGTATATGGGTTTTTAATTTTTTTTATACAAAGATCATACTGGGCTGGGTGCGGTGGCTCACGCCTGTAATCCCAGCACTTTGGGAGGCTGAGGTGGGTGGATCACCTGAGGTCGGGAGTTCAAGACCAGTCTGACCAACATGGAGAAACCCCATCTCTACTAAAAATGCAAAATCAGCTGGGTGTGGTGGTGCATGCCTGTAATCCCAACTACTCAGGAGGCTGAGGCACGAGAATCACGTGAACCTCGAAGGCGGAGGTTGTGGTGAGCCGAGATCACGCCATTGCACACCAGCCTGGGCAACAAGAGCAAAATTCTGTCTCAGCTAGGCGCGGTGGCTCTTGCCTGTAATCCCAGCACTTTGGGAGGCTGAGGCGGGCAAATCATGAGGTCAGGAGATCGAGACCATCTTGGCCAACATGGTGAAACCCCGTCTCTACTAAAAATACAAAAATTAGCTGGGCATGGTGGCTGGTGCCTGTAATCCCAGCTACTCAGGAGGCTGAGGCAGGAGAATCACTTGAACCAGGAGTCGGAGGTTGCAGTGAGCTGAGATCGCACCACTGCACTCTAGCCTGGCGACAGAGAGAGACTCTCAAAAAAAAAAAAAAAAAACGAAACTGTCTCAAGAAAAAAAAGATCATAGTACTATGTATATTCTGTAGTTTTTTAAATAATATGTGTAAACTATAATTCATTTAGGATCTCATGCTGTGGATCTTCTCCTAAATTTGCCAATTTGACTCTTCTTCAATGAGAAGTTAGGTTTATCCTAAGTTTGAATTGTGTAGCCCATTCCTCATTGCCCATAGTGGTTCTAGGCTTCCCAAAAGAAGGAAGATACATCCCCTGGGCAGTTACCACTGGTGCACCAAGAGGCCTTACCTAACCATTGTTTGTCCTTCTCTTTCCACTTCCTCTTTCAGACAAATGTCTCACCCTGCCCAACTTAAGAGATAGGACTGCAACTTTAAGTTGTTTAGCTCTGCCAGTTACATGACACTTGAGAGGCAAAATTTAAATTAGCATGGCTTCATTATGAACATCATATATTTCCTATGCCCCTAATTTATGGCGATTTAAAAAAAATGTGCTTTTAAACAAAAGTGCAGACCAGCTTTTTTTTTTTTTTTTTTTTTTTTTTTTTTAAAAAAAAGGGACCGGGCTGGGCGCGGTGGCTCACGCCTGTAATACCAGTACTTTGGGAGCCCAGGCGGGCAGATCACAAGGTCAGGAAATCGAGACGAGACCATCATGGCTAACACAGTGAAACCCCGTCTCTACTAAAAAATAGAAAAAATTAGCCGGGCGTGGTGGCGGGCGCCTGTAGTCCTAGCTACTCGGGAGGCTGAGGCAGGAGAATGGCGTGAACCCGGGAGGCGGAGCTTGCAGTGAGCCGAGATCTTGCCACTGCACTCCAGCCTGGGCGACAGAGCGAGACTCCGTCTCACAAAAAAAAAGGCGGGGGACAGGGTGCGGTGGCTCACGCCTGTAATCCCAGCACTTTGGGAGGCCGAAGCTGGCAGATCACCTGAGGTCAGGAGTTTTCAGACCAGCTTGGACAACATGGTGAAACCCCGTCTCCACTAAAAATACAAAAAAAATTAGCCGGGCATGGTGGCGGGTGCCTGTAATCCCAGCTACTTGGGAGGCTGAGGCAGGAGAATCTCTTGAACCCGGGAGGCGGAGGTTGCAGTGAGCTGAGATCGCGCCACTGCACTCCAGCCTGGACAACACAGTGAGACTCGGTCTCAAAACAAAAACAAACACAAAAAAGGGTACATAGTAGAAATTTAAAAGTTTTCTCTACCTTGTCCCACTCCCCCGAAGAAATCGCTGGTTTCTTACATGTCTTTCCAGAAACTTTCTAAACCCAAACATAGAAGTACCTTTTCTTTCTTTTGCATAAATGGGATTCATACTGTGCATACCCTTATACAAGTTGCTTTTTTCACTTGTCCTCACTTTTTGTAACTCATTTTTTTGTTTTGTTTTAAGAAAAATCAAGTATATTTCTACTTACTGACGTGGATGGAGGTCTACGAGGTATAGACCTCTGTTCTGTGGCTGCATAGTATTCCATTGTATAAGTTTGTTATTATTAGTTTAACCAGTCCCTAATGATGGTTTTCAGTTTTCTGCTATTACAAGTATTGCTGCAATGAGCATTCCATAATGCATATATCATTCCTCACTTGAGAGAATATCCCTGTAGGATAAATTCCTAGGAGTGGAATTACTAGGTCATATAGTTATTGATAAAGTATTATTTTGATAAAGTTGCACGGATTCACACATGCAACTTATTTATTTAGAGATATGGACTCTCTGTCACCCAGGCTGGACTGCGGTGGTGGGATCATAGCTCACTGCAGCCTCAAACTCCTGGGCTCAAGGGATCCTCCTGCCTCAGCCTTCCAAGTAGCTGGGACTACAGGTGCATGCCACCACAACTGTCTAATTTTTTATTTTTATTTTTTGTAGAGATATGGTCTTGCTTTGTTGCCTAGGCTGGTCTCGAACTCTTAGCCTCAAGCAGTCCTCCCACCTTGGCCTGCCAAAGTGCTGGGATTACAGGTGTGAGCCACTACACCCAGCCACCAGGTTTACATTTTCTACCAGTGTTTGGCAATGCTTTGTACAGTTGCTGAGCCAGAAGCTAAGGAGAGAAACAATCCCTGACTTCACATGGCTGATAAACCAGTTGATGCAACTGAGAATACCAATAAATAATACAAGGAAATAGTGTTGCTTGAAAGTGCCATGCTGTCTTCGAGGTGGAGGGAGCACAGCCGAAAGGGCTGGGTCCCATGCTTGAGCCAGAACTATACCAGCATATGATCAGGCAGTTGTGCAGTGGTGTATGGAGATAGTGACATTCCATTATATTTCAGAATCCCAAACCAGGGTACAGTCTTGTGAGTATGAATGTATGTATGGGAGGGAATAGGATAAACTAGTTGAAGTTAGGAGTGACCCGGAAAATTCGGGATGCATGTCACTCATCTTTGTACTAACCCGTTCTCTTGGAGAAGGTCAGTAGAATAATGTCTTGTTGCCCCTGAAAATTCTACCATCTGACCCAAGAAAATGAGGTTCTGTCTTCCCTGATTTGTAGGGTTCATCCCACCTTCTGGTCCCATTTGGTGAGGATTGTATCCTTATGGCAGCACATTTCTTGGAAGAAACAGGTATACATGCTGGGAGGCTGCCAACTGATACAAGAAACTATTTTATCACTAGTTTAACCAACGAGTTCAAAGTACCGGCTCACAATGCTGGTAGCCAGAACAACATACTATAAAATCAAGTTTCTGGTTGTTGTAGCCACTTGGGCACATTTTCTCTCCATCATACATTGAGGTACCTACTGTGTGCTAGGCACTCTGCTGAGTTCTGAGCCAGAAACTATTCTAGCTCATTCTTCTTCTTTTTTTTTTTAATCTATATTTTTTGACACAGGGTCTCACTCTGTCACCCAGGCTGGAGTGCAGTGGGGCCATCTCAGTTCACTGCAACCTCTGCCGCCCTGGTTGAAGCAATTCTCTTGCCTCAGCCTCCTGAGTAGCTGGGATTACAGGTGCCTGCCACCACACTCAGCTAATTTTTGTATTTTTGGTAGAGACGGGGTTTCACCATGTTGGCCAGGCTAGTCTCAAACTCCTGACCTCAGGTGATTTGCCTGCCTCAGCCTCCCAAAGTGCTAGGATTACAGGCATGAGCCACCAGGCCCAGCCCTAGCTCATTCTTCAACTGCTTTGCAGGTAAAGGAAGTAGAGCTCGTCCTTAAACCCTTGGGAGCCCTGCCTGTTGGCCAGGCAGTGTGGTAGAGTATAAAGATTCAACTTGGATTTTAATTCTGGCTTCACAGCTTGGTAGCTGTGTGACCGACTGCCCTTGGACAGATAACAGCTTTGAACCTCTTTCTGAACTGTGAAGTGGGACAATGGTAACGACTTTATGAGACATCTAGCCAGGTGCTACAAAACAGTGCCCTGCGTGTCTAGGCTAACCCATGACAAGTTGAATGTTCACTCCCCATAGCCCCTTTCCTTTTCTGTCTGTCCTGCTTTGTTGAAAAGTATATGAAAGAAGACTTCCCCTATATCCAGCCAGACAGACCTTATTAATCACAAAAATACTAAAAATCCAGCTATCCTATTCCTTCTGTAAATTTTCTTCCTGAGTGCATGCCCCTCCAGCATGGTGAGCCCTGTGCCCCTCTTGTCTGTCTGCCATACCTATCAGAAAATGCACCCCTACCCCAGTTTCAGAGCTACGTGGGTGTGGCAGGCAGATGCTGATGGAGCTGACCTCGGCTAACACAGTAACCATTGCAGCAGCACACAGGTGAAGCTGGGGCCAGGGTTTCCCAGGGGAAAGTCAGGGAACATTATTTCCATACAGGTGATGAGGGAGTTTTATTACCTACCTTGATACTCAGTTCCAAGGAGGAAACTATCCAAAAAAGATGCTTCTGGGTTAAGAAACTCACCCAGCAGCACAACTATTCTCCTGCCTGTCCCTTCACTGCTGTCAAAACAGCAGGAACAAATACCACCCACTCCAATTCCTTAGGGAAAAGTCAGGTCTCCTTTTTATGTCTCTTCAATTTAACCGAGTTAGGCTTTCTCTGTAACTCGATTTCAGACACACCTGTTTTCTGGTGCTGCTAGAACACACGGATTGAGAGGATGAGATTTCTCAGGAGGCTGGGCACATACTCCCTCGCCAACTCCGGCAGGGCTATGTTGGCCACCTTCCCTTCGGGTCCTGCAGTTAACTGCAGTGTCTCACCTGGCGTGGAGTCCAGGTGTTGTTCACAATGGGCATTCACCACAGGTCACTGACCATCTGTCAGAAATAACCATGCCGTTCCCTTTTCATAGGCTGTTTACCAAAGGAGAAGACAAAGTGGCCGCACTGCATGGCATAGTCCTGAATTGCCGTCATCCTAGTCAAATCTTGGTTCAGACCTGATTCTTTTTCTTACTAGCCAAGCAATATGGGCCAGTTTCTTTATCTGTAAACACAACTCTGTGCCTCCCAGGTTTCCCTTGTTTGAAAGTTGATTGTGGGCCGGGCGCAGTGGCTCACACCTGTAATCCCAGCACTTTGGGAGGCCGAGGCAGGCGGATCACCTGAGGTCGGGAGTTCAAGGCCAGCCGGGCCAACATGGTGAAACCCCGTCTCTACTAAAAATAAAAAAATTAGCTGGGCGTGGTGGCACATGCCTGTAATCCCAGCTACTCAGGAGGTTGAGACAGGAGACTCACTTGAACCTGGGAGGCGGAGGTTGCAATGAGCCGAGATCACACCATTCAACTCCAGCCTGGGCCACAAGAGCAAGACTCCATCTCAAAAAAAAAAAAAAAAAAGTTGATTGTGGTCTGTTCCCACTCTACTCTAGCCAGGGTCTTCCACTAAAAGAAAAGGAATCTCCTAGAATGAGACAGCCAAGGTGTGGCCAAATACTAGAGGCCTCAAAGAATTCCAAAATGTTTTATTTTGGTGGGGAGGGGGAACCCTCAGGCTTCATCCTGAGCTCATTTCCCTGGTCCCAGCACCGAGGGCCAGAGATTGGTTGTGGTGGTTGTTGTTGTTGTTGTTGTTGTTGTTGTTGTTGTTGTTGTTGAGACAGAGTCTGGCTCTGTCGCCCAGGCTGGAGTGTAGTAGCACGATCTCAGTTTACTGCAACCTCCACCTCCTGGGTTCAAGCAACTCTCCTGCCTCAGCCTCCGGAGTAGCTGGGATTACAGGCGTGTACCACCATGCCCTGTTAATTTTTGTATTTTTAGTAGAGATGGGGTTTCACCATGTTGGCCAGGCTGGCCTTGAACACCTGATCTCAAGTGATCCGCCCACCTCGGCCTCCCAAAGTGTTGGGATTATAGGCGTGAACCACTGTGCCCGGCCAGGCCAGGGCTTTTTAAAAATAACAGCTGGCTAAGGTTCATTTCACAAATCAAAAGACCCGATGCTCTGCAAGATAAAGTACCTCTGCACACCCTGGGTCTCCCAGCTGGCCAGTGGCAGAGCTAGATTGGAACCCCAACTAGTCTGACTTGAAAGCCCAAGATTTTCCCACCATACAACACACCTTAGAAGCAGAGCCTGGCCTTGCTGGCTGAGAGCCAGGCTCAGGCCTGGGGACCTCCAGAGAGGAAGGTGGAGAGAGTGGGAAGAGACGGGGAGAGGGGAGGGGCCCCTGGGCTCTGTTCCTCGACAGCCGCCTATTCCCACTCCCTGAGCACAGTGTCTGACTCCGCCTGCGCTTTGTGGTTGCGGGGTAGGGGGACTTTTTCCATCCTTTGTGTCTTGAGCGGTTTTTTCCTTGCTTTGCGCTTCCCTACTGTCTCTCCATATTCCTTTTTGTAGCTAATACTCCCACAGGCCTCCCACGGCAGCTCCAAAATGCAGCCTCCCGAGTTTCTTGTTGACAGAGGCTTTGAGCATCTCTGAACAGGGATCCTCCTCAACATTCCCCTCCCTGTGACTCCCCACCACGGCCAAATGCGTCAAGAGCTGGCGGAAGGGGAGAGGAAAAGGAGTTACAGTGAGGAGGACTATGGTGCCCATCTCCCAGGGCCCTGCTCAATTTTCAACTCCCCAATGCCCGTCTTACTCTCTCCTAAATGTGGGTCCCTGCCCTTTGTGCATGTGGGTTGGGGGCTGGAGGAAAGATGGAAGGAAAAGATAGGGAATTAAAAGAATAAAAGAGGACCAAGCAAGGTGGCTCATGCCTGTAATCCCAGCATTTTGGGAGGCCGAGGCAGGTGGATCACCTGAGGTCAGGAGTTCAAGACCAGCCTGGCAACCCAGGTGAAACCTCGTCTCTACTAAAAATACAAAAACTAGCTGGGCATGGTGGCAGGCACCTGTAATCACAGCTACTCGGGAGGCTGAGGCAGGAGAATCATTTGAACCCAGGATGCAGATGTTGCAGTGAGCCGAGATCATGCCATTGCACTCCAGCCTGGGTGACAGAGCAAGACTCCGTTCAAAAAAAAGGAATAAAAGAAAAAACATAAAAATTAAAAAAGAATAGAAAAAAAAGATAGGGAATTGTGACTAAGAGCTGGGGGAATCCATACAAACAAAAGCCAGGTCTGGCAGGAAGATCTGAGGGACTGGGTAAAGGTGAAGAGAGAGGATAGTGGGCTGAGATCCTGTGCCTGATCACGCTCATCTAAAACAGGCCACATAAAGGAAAGGGTCAGTGGCGGTACCCCCTCCCAGTACGCATTCACATGAGTTCTTTGAGGGGCAATGGGGGAAGGGGTTTAAAGGCCCAAACAGGCCTTTGACTTTTCACTCTGCAATAAGAATGGTAATAACATTCCATAAATATTAGTGTATTTTCTTCTCCTGGAAGTGGGAACCAGGGCAGCAAAGGGTGACATGGGCATTGTGCCTGGAGCTGCTGGAGGAGGCAGTGCACCTCAGACTAGGGACTTGACCTCGCTGCCCCAAGTTTTTCATCCGTGAATTGGCAGTTATAGCTAATAACTAGCTCATAGCGTTATTATGAAGATTAATGGGACGATCCAAGTAAAGCACTTTGCACAGTGCCTGGCACAAAGTTAATGCTCAATAAGTGTAAGCTGCTGTAATCCTCAGGGGCACCCCACACATTCCATCTCACCCTGATCACCCTAACCCAAGGTGTCTGGTTTGGCTTAATGCCCAAAACCAGCCCCAGCAGGTGAGCTGGAAGCCTGAAAGTCTAAACACTTAGGCCTTACAGGGATAAGTGTAAGGCCACCCAGACATGCTACACAAGCCCAGATGACCAGTCCTCTGAGTGCCCACACAGTTAGGCTAGAGAGAGGTAGACCCAACGACCTAGGGCTGGGAGACTGTCAGGGTTCTAACCCTGGCTGTGTCATTTATCAACTCTGTTACCTTGAGCAAGTCTCTCTCTCCCTCCTCCTCCCCCTCCTCCTCTTCTCCCTCTCCCTCCCCTCCTCCTCCTCCTCCACCTCTTCTTCTTCTTAACTTCTTCCTTCTTCTTCCTTCCTCCTTTCTCCTTCCTCCTTTCTCTCTTCTCCTTCTTCTCCTTCTCCTCCTTCTTCTTCTTTCTTCTTTCTTCTTCTTCCTCTCTCCCTCTCTCTCAGCTCTGGTTCCTCCTTTGTGAAATGGAGCATAAGGAGCCCCCACCCTGGCTGTTTCACAGGGCTCCTAGGAGACTCAAAATCAGACAACAAACATTTACATGTTGCAGGTGTCACACACTGTTCTAGATCCTCTACACATACTCACTCATTGAATCCTCATTACGACCCTCTGATGTTATTATTAGCATCCGCATTTTACAGATGAGAGAACTGAGTCAGAGAAGGGTTAATAACTTGCCTTTAAAAATCACACAGACAGGCCAGGTGTGGTGGCTCTCGCCTGTAATCCCAGCACTTTGAGAGGCTGAGGCGGGCAGATCACCTGAAGTCAAGAGTTCGAGATGAGCCTGGCCAACATGGTGAAACCCAATCTCTACTAAAAATACAAACATTAGCGGGGCGTGGTGGCGCATGCCTGTGGTCCCAACTACTTGGGAGGCTGAGGCAGGATAATTGCTTGAACTTGGTCGGCATAGGTTGCAGTGAGCAGAGATAGCTCCAATGCACTCCAGCCTGGGCGACAGAGGGAGACTCCGTCACAAAAAAAAAAAAAAAAAAAAAAAAATTCACACAGACCAAAATTAAAAAAAAAATTTAATCACAGGGACAGCAAGTGGCAGACCTGGTTCCCAAGTGGGTGGGTGATTTCAATTGTGGCCTTATCCTGTCTCAAAGTGAACTGACTCCTAAAATGTCCTTCTTTTTAGTAGACAGCTGGACCGCCGCCTGGAGAGGAAGCCTTGAACGGCTGGGGGAGGGGATTACTTTACAGCCAGGATCCAGCCAAGGCTGGGGATGAGATGGGAGTAGGATCTCCCGACTCCTTAGGGTCACTCCTCAGGGTCACTCCTCGTCCTGGGGACCAGATTCCAGGCTTCACAGGACCGGAGAAGGAGGAGCGCGTCCTCCCTTCCCAAAGCGCCAGCTCATTTAGATACAGGTGCCTGGGGCTTTGGCTCTCGTCGCTGATGAGGGGTAGCATCTTTCTGATGCTGGTGACTGTGAGTGCGTCTCGAGGGATGGGGGTGCTGAGCCTACCGCTTCGCTCGTTAGGGAACAAATTGCTGTTTTGGCCCCGGCGGCTCCTCTGGGCGCGGGCGGCAGCCGCGCTCGCTGGCAAATCGTGGGAGGGAGGAGGAGCGGCGCTGGCAGGCAAGTCCGGGGGACCGTCGCAGCGCGGGAGGCCAAGAAAAGACGGCCGCCCCGGGCCCGGCTCCGCCCCGCCGGGAAGGGGCTCCCTGCAGCCGCCCCAGGGCAGCACCCCGCGCGGCGCCGCGCGGAGCTCTCCAGGACGAGCTGCGTGAGGCGCGGGGCTCGGCCTTCCTCGCTCTCCTGGTGCCAGGACCCGCACGCACAAGGTTCGGAAGTTTTTTCGCAGTGTCTGACCCCTGCCGGTCCCCTGTATTTACCACCTGACCCTCTAGCGCGCTTAGGAGAGGCAAGAGGTGACAAATGCCAGAGGGAAATGGAGGGGCAGGACAAGGGGTCTGGCGCTCCCCTCCCCACCACACACCCTTTCCGCCCACGGGGTCACACGGAGGACGTCTGACCCTTACTCCTAGGGCTACCCACCCTCTGGTTTCCAGGCAGCTCCTGCTTGCGGAGACACCTCATAGGAGCAGCTGGATCCATTTTCCAGAGCGTCAAGTTGAGGATGAGAAAGTCTCGAGGGCCGGGCAGCTGTGCGCGCAGAACCCCCGCCCCATCTGCTTTTAGATTTCCCGGGTGCGGCTGGAGCCCCTCTAGAGCGCCGGCCTCCGCTGGCCGCAGGGCCTTCACCTGCGCCTGTCGCCCTGTCCCCTTGCCCACTGCATTTTCCTCGGGGAGAGCATCTTCCACAGCATGCGTCCCCTGCCCCCCACGCCCCGAGCCCCCCTCCCATTCCGCCGGGGGAGGAGAGGCTGCTAGGAGGCTCTCGGAGAGCCCCCGGGCTGCAGAGAAAGACGCCTCCCCTCTGCGGCTGAGGCCGAGTGAGCCAAAGGGGGCCGGCCGCTCGCCAGTGGTTCTCCGAGGTACGGGCGGGGAGGCCCGCGGGGTGGGATCAGGGCGGCCGCCACCTCCCCGCCCCCGCCGAGGTCCCGAAGGGAGGGGAGCCCTCCGCGGGAGGCCTGTCCCTTTAAGGAGGCGGCCCTGGCTGGGTGTGCCCCGTCTCCATGGTTACCCCGGTGCAGGCGGCGGGCGCGGGAGGGAGGGAGGGAGGCTGCAGCTTCTCCCCGACAGACGGAGGGAGCTGCCGAGAGCCGGCGCCGAGCGAAGCCGAGCGGAAGCCCACCCGCAGCCGACACGCGAGCCGCTGCCGCGGCGGGAGGTGCTGAGAGCGCGGCGGCCGCGGGGCCTGGAGCCCGGGATTTGTGGGCGGCGAGGGCGCGAGGGGCCGCGCGCCATGCTCCGGGCCCCGACGGCGCGGACGCCCCCTCGCGCGCCAGCGTCCGGCGCGACCCCGGATCCCGGTCTGCGCATTGCCCCCCGACGGCTGCGCTAGGGAGCGCGGGGCCCGGCGGGGGGCGGCCGAGCTGGGCGCCCTCCCCCGGCGCGGAGTCCCCGCACCCCGGAGGGATGGGGCGGGCAGCCGCGGGCGCCTAAGATGCCGGCCATGCGGGGCCTCCTGGCGCCGCAGAACACCTTCCTGGACACCATCGCTACGCGCTTCGACGGCACGCGTGAGTCCGACCCTCGCCCACTTGCACCCGGGCCGCCGGACCCTCGCCAGGGCTCCCGCCTTCCCCGAACCCCCAGCAGCCCAGCTTGGCGCCAGCCTATTCTCACCCTCTCCTCCCTACCCGCCCCTCTTGAGGCTGGGGCCATCGTCTCCTGCTAGGCGCTGTTTCCCCGAAGGTTCGAAGGTTCGGGGTCAACACTGCTTCAGGCGAGGCAACAGGGCCAGAAGTCCCTGGGTGTGGGTCCTGGGATGCTCTCTGTTAGCCGGGTCTCGAACCCGAACCTAGTCAGTCTGACCCATCCCACCCCTGCGTCTGGCGCTGTCGCAGCAACTACCCTCGGACTGGTGGGGTAAGGCGAGGCGGGTGAACAGTGCTCAGGGACAGCTGAGAGGGCTCAAAACACAGATTTAGAAAAGAGATTTGCAAACGGAGATAAGAGTAGGCGGCACTCGGGAGAGCACCGTGTGTCCAAGCCCCGTGTCTCATAGCCTGAACCCCCTAGACTTGGGGAGGCCATCTAGCCCCAAGAAGATGGTTTGGGGACTCCCATCAGGACTGGGGAAGTTTGGAGAAGGCGCCCCGAGCTCTGGATCCCCGGTTCTGGGGGCTCTGAGCACAGGGGAAGTGATGAAAGCCCCTCCCTCCTCCTCTCCCTCACATCCCCCGTGGGGCTTCCCAGCTCTCTGCCTAGGTCCTCCTTGGTCTCCGGTTCCTGATAGGGGGTGGGAGCCCAGCCCTGCGCTCTCCCCACTCCGGGCTCCTCCATCTGCTTTGCCAGTGTGCTTGGCTCCTGCAGCCTGCTGATTCAGTGCCCCCCACTCCCCAATACATTCCTGGCTCCTGGCTCCCGTGCTCAGTCACCATTCTTACACCCCCATTCTTGATCACATTCACTAATTCCTGAGCCAGGTCAGGCAGCTAGGGCTAAAACACAGACAGCAGGATGTATGGTGGTCTGGGGTTGCCTCCAGTCTAGGTGTGTCTCAGTGGGAGAAGCCAGACAGCCAACCTGGGTACCTGGCTAGTGGGTGAGCCTGGCAGAAGTAGAGGTGGGGCTGAGGCTGGCCCAGAGCTGGCAGGGCAGTCCTCATTAGGGATTCCCCAATCCCAGCCCTTACCCCACATTGCTCAGGACACCCTCCAGAAGGCACAGTGCCCGCACAGCGCTTCATTCACCGACCTCAGTTCACATGTGCTGATCCTTGAATGTACTCACACCTGCTGCAGGGCACTGACAAACAGGTGACACACACTGATTGCTATTCATAAACAGCCCTGCCTTAACACACGCAGGATTCCTGGGGTTTGGAAAACCCACTCTTTGGTTGCAGGCATTTGAGAAAGGAGGGGTGGTAGGCCTCCTGCCCCTTCACCCCACGCCTCCTCTGAGAAGTGCTCTCTTGCAGACAGTAACTTCGTGCTGGGCAACGCCCAGGTGGCGGGGCTCTTCCCCGTGGTCTACTGCTCTGATGGCTTCTGTGACCTCACGGGCTTCTCCCGGGCTGAGGTCATGCAGCGGGGCTGTGCCTGCTCCTTCCTTTATGGGCCAGACACCAGTGAGCTCGTCCGCCAACAGATCCGCAAGGCCCTGGACGAGCACAAGGAGTTCAAGGCTGAGCTGATCCTGTACCGGAAGAGCGGTGAGGGGCCACCTGGCCAGCCTGCCTCACCTTTGCAGTCTCACCCAGCCTGGCACCAGCCCCATCCACTGTCCCTCCTCCTTTCTGTTGCCATCTTCTCCATCTCCCCATGTCATCCCATCTTCCCATCCCCCCATCCAACCCCTCTTGCTCCATCCCACCTCTTGCCCCGGCTCCCCATCTCTACCTGCCTCACCCTAGCCTCAGCCTGCATTCAGTTCCAACCTCGGGTTTCCCGCATCCAACAGAAAAACATCCGCATTTCGGCAGGGCAGATCTACCACACGACAGGTCTGACCGTCATGTTTGCTCTCCCTTGCTTCCTTCCCCCAATTCCATCAAGCCCTGCCTTCAGTGAAACTGGACTGCCAGCCCTTCCCCCAGGAAACCGCTAGATCCTGCCTGTGTCTTGCCCGGGATGTCAGTGGAGCCAGGGCCTCTGTCACCTCAGGCAGTGCTGAGAATAGGAGGTGGGCTGAGTTTGTTTTTGTGCCCAGGGCTCCCGTTCTGGTGTCTCCTGGATGTGATACCCATAAAGAATGAGAAAGGGGAGGTGGCTCTCTTCCTAGTCTCTCACAAGGACATCAGCGAAACCAAGAACCGAGGGGGCCCCGACAGATGGAAGGAGACAGGTAGGTGCATGTAGGTGCTGTGGTCGGGGTATTGGGTGCCGCAGGCCCGGGCGGGGCCTTGGCACCCAGTCTGAGTACGGGGGTCCCCCATGCACCTGCATTCATTTCACTCCCACTCAGGCTGCCTGAGAGGCCTGTGCTGCTCTCATCTCCACATTCCTCGGTATGGGAATATTTTTTCCAAATAGACAGATTGAGACAAAGTTGGAGTTTTTAAGTCAACTTTATTAAGAAACTGAAAGCAAACAAACCCAATTGTACCTGTGAAGCAGGTACTTTCTGACCAGTTAATAAGGTTGAGCACAGACCCACCAGGTTCCTCTTTCCTACAGCAAACCTGACTGGGGGTGGAGCTCTGGGCAAAGCCTGCTTTTAAGTTCTTCGAGTCTTTCCCCTCTTGTGTCCTCCAAGGCTGGGGCAGGCCTTTGGGCAGGTTACAAAGCTGTCAAGGCCTCTTTGCCATTTGGGGATGCTGGGGGTACTCTCCACTCCCACTCGCGTACTCCCAGTGCTGGGTCTGCCTCTCCATGATGTCAGCCTTCATTGTCACCCTCTGGTCCCTGCACTAGCTCCTGGGCTCCTGCTGTAAGTTCCCACACCTCTGCTGACGGCCTCCTGCTAGTTCTCCACCCTGGCCCTGTGAGGTACCTCCTCGCTTCCTGTCCCAGGCCTTTCCCCGTAGAGATCCTCTGGTCCAAACCTCCTCTTCCTGGAAGCAGACCCCAGAGGTAGTGTCTGTAAACACTCCTAGGACTGCCCATTGCTGGGCTGGGCAAGTGAACCCAGGAAGTGAGGAATACCTGAGCCCCCAACTCTAAACATTCTAAGTGGTCAATGAGCCAGACCAGTCCATGGGCCAGCAACTGTGTCCTACACCTGACCCGGAGCTAGGGTGTGTGGGCACACACCCATCATCTTCATGGGCCCCTCTTCTTTCGCAGGTGGTGGCCGGCGCCGATATGGCCGGGCACGATCCAAAGGCTTCAATGCCAACCGGCGGCGGAGCCGGGCCGTGCTCTACCACCTGTCCGGGCACCTGCAGAAGCAGCCCAAGGGCAAGCACAAGCTCAATAAGGTGGGCTCAGCCCTGGGATGTGTGGGAGAGGGGAGGGGCAGACGCAGAAGATGGGGAAGGGGAACCTGATCTACCACAGAGAGAATGTCCTAGGGGCCACCCAGGCCTTGCCAGCACTTTGGGGGTTGGGACTGAAGGAGGGAAGATCACATGCCTGATCCATCAGAAGAAAGTCCTGGCCTGGGAGGCAGATGGGCCTTGGTTCAATCCTGGCTCCTCCCCTAAGCAGCTGTGTGGCCAAAGCTAAGTCACTTAACTTTCCTGATCTTCAGTTTTCTGATCTATAAAATGGAGATGCTAATGCCATCTCGAAGCAGATGCTGCTTCGATAATGCAGGGATAGAAAGGAGGTGGATGCGGGTCCCAGACTCTATCCAAACTCAGCCTGTGCCAATATTCTTTCCTCTCTGCCTGGACCTGCCCTGCCTCACTCAGGGGGTGTTTGGGGAGAAACCAAACTTGCCTGAGTACAAAGTAGCCGCCATCCGGAAGTCGCCCTTCATCCTGTTGCACTGTGGGGCACTGAGAGCCACCTGGGATGGCTTCATCCTGCTCGCCACACTCTATGTGGCTGTCACTGTGCCCTACAGCGTGTGTGTGAGCACAGCACGGGAGCCCAGTGCCGCCCGCGGCCCGCCCAGCGTCTGTGACCTGGCCGTGGAGGTCCTCTTCATCCTTGGTGCGTGCACTCTGCCCCTTCCGCCCCACCCTTTGCTGGCGCCCTGGGGCTTTGCTGGGGATAGTCCACGTGGCTTCCAGGGTGCTACAGTGCCCCCCTCGCTCTCTCTCATTTGTAACCTGTGAGCTTTGAAATCAGACCTAGGTTCCAAACATCTGCCACTTAGAAGTTATATGACCTTGAGCTGGTCAAAGCCTCTCTGAGCCTCCATAAAATAGATTCCCCCTTTGTAAAATAGGCAAAATGATGTCTACCTGTTACAGTTACTGTGAGAACTAAGACGATGTATGGGAAGGGCCGGGGACAGTGTCAACTACTGAGAAAGTGAGCAGGTGTCCAGGCAAGAGTGGCTGCCCCCCCAGCCCCAGTGCTGACTCCCACCCGGATTCCCCACAGACATTGTGCTGAATTTCCGTACCACATTCGTGTCCAAGTCGGGCCAGGTGGTGTTTGCCCCAAAGTCCATTTGCCTCCACTACGTCACCACCTGGTTCCTGCTGGATGTCATCGCAGCGCTGCCCTTTGACCTGCTACATGCCTTCAAGGTCAACGTGGTCAGTGTGGCTGGGCTGGCTGGGTGGGTGGGCTTGGCCAGGGGACAGGCAGGGCCGGCCCGCTGACCTCCCTCCCTCCCTCCCTCCCTCCCCGCATCTCAGTACTTCGGGGCCCATCTGCTGAAGACGGTGCGCCTGCTGCGCCTGCTGCGCCTGCTTCCGCGGCTGGACCGGTACTCGCAGTACAGCGCCGTGGTGCTGACACTGCTCATGGCCGTGTTCGCCCTGCTCGCGCACTGGGTCGCCTGCGTCTGGTTTTACATTGGCCAGCGGGAGATCGAGAGCAGCGAATCCGAGCTGCCTGAGATTGGTACTGGAGGCTCCCTCTGCATGTGGTGGGGAGGGAGTTGTGTCAGAGGAGTGTGAGTGCCAGCGTGGGTGCAGATGTGTGGTGTCCCTACCTGTGCAAGTCTGCACGTGTGCAAATCAGAGAAGAGGGTGTGCAGGTGTGAGTGTGACAGCCACCACCACGTGACGGGCCTGTTCTCCAGCAGCTGGGCCTTGTGGAGAAAGCCCAAGGAGTCCCAGTCGCCCATCCAGGCCTCCTGTGGCCAAATGTTGGTCACATTCCTTAAACCCCTGCCCCGTTGGGAAGGCCAAGCAGGGAGCCACTGCCCTCCAGGGTTTCTCTGACACCCGGCACTCCCCACCCCTCCCCCCGCATCCTCTCTGAAGCTTGTCCCCACCACCTTGGCTTCCAAGGCCCCTGCCTTTCTCTTGTCACCTCCAGTCCACATTTCTTCTGTCATCTCTAGTCCACATTTCTCCCCGCTGCATCCTGCTCTCCCCTGGCCTAAAAAGCAGGCTTTCTGCGTCCCCAGCATCTTCACTCTCCTTCATGTCACCTCCTCTCCTTCCACAGCTCCTCTCTGCTCACCACCCACTCACATCTTAACTCCTGCTGGGAGGGCTTCCACCCCCACCTCTGCACCCAAAATGTCACCTGGAAGGTCACAGTGACCTTCTGGGACCAAACCCTCATCCTCCTTGAAGTCCCTGTATCACCTGACCCTGCCAACCATAGTTCCTCTCAGCTGTGGGTGATGCAGCCCTCAGCTGGCCTCCTCCCAGCTCCTCCAAGTTCCAGGGTCTCCAGACCTTTCCTCACAGCTCTCCCCCTTCACCTTGCTTTCCCTCGGCTATTCCACTGACACCGAGTGAGCATCTCAACTTCCACCCTTTCTCTAGCCAAACCATTCCATTCCAGCTGTTTTTAACTCTCGATGCGCCTCAGGTCCAAAATCAAACCTGACCTCTTCCTCCCCAGCCCTCCAGCCCTTTGTCAGCTTCCAGGTAACTGACATTTAGCCGGGTTTCCAGATGCAGGTGGCTTTTTTTTTTTTTTTTTTTTGAGCTGTCACTCAGGCTGGAGTACAGTGGCGTGATCTAGGCTCACTGCAAGCTCCGCCTCCTGGGTTCACGCCATTCTCCTGCCTCAGCCTCCCAGGTAGCTGGGACTACAGGCATCCGCCAGCACGCCGGCTAATTTTTTGTATTTTTAGTAGAGACAGGGTTTTACCATGTTAGCCAGGATGGTCTCGATCTCCTGACCTTGTGATCCACCTGCCTCGGCCTCCCAAAGTGCTGGGATTACAGGTGTGAGCCACCACACCCGGCAGGTGGCCTCGTATGACTGTCTGCTCCTTGGCAGAGTCACCAGGTGTCCAGATCAGCCTTAGAAACCCGGTCTGATCAGTTTCCTGGGAACTACAAGGCTCCTGTGAATCCTCTCTCCCTCTGCAAGCTCACAGGAGGCCTGTGTGTGTCACAGAGGACCCATTTGAAATTTTCCCCAAGTGCTCTCACTGCTGAGTAGGTGGAAACCAGGACACTCCGGGCAGTGACACCTCCTTGGTGCCTGCTATTCCCAGAGGAAGCCTGTGGTGTCAGCTGCTCTGGGGTCAGACGGCCACAAGATGGACAATGGTGAAACAAAGCCTGTCTCCACCACCCCCAAAGTGGGCTGAGACACCAAATCCCTAGGTCCACTCCCGCCCCCTGAAATGGGACCCAGACACCCTTGGTCTTGTGTCCACGAGACTCCTCTCTTCCAACCACCTCACAGGGGTTGCTGATCTGACATTAAGAAGACCTTCAGCTCCCAAGAATCTCTGAGCTCCACAGGATGGGCAAGGGTGGATCGACCCTTGCAGATACACATTATATTCTTTCACCCTTGACCCCTGAGTTCCAGGGTGGTTTCGTTCCATTTGAGCCGGTACTAGTCTACATTTAGAGACTTTACAAGTTCTTCACATCATCATCTCCTCTTTCTCCAGGGAATCTGCCCCCTAACTGGGTTGGCACCAAACCCAGACCTCTCCAAGTCCAGCCCTGGCAGGAGAGTTCCTTGCAGGGGGAGGTGAGGCTGAGGTGGGGGGGTGGGCAGCTGGCCCAGTTCAGTCTGGTGGGCAGCTCCTTCTCCAAGCTTCCTTGCCTGGGTTTCCTTTTCCACTGCCCATGATGTGGACAGAGTTCCTTCCCCAGGTTCCCACTAGCCCAGTGGAGGTGGGCTGGATTTTCACAAGACTGTGCTGAGTATTGAGGGAGAGAACTCAGAGCACTCCTTGGTGTGCGAGCCCCCAGCCTCCGGGACAGCTCCTGCTGGCCTGACCCCGCCCACCTGGAGGCACAATCCTGGCCCCAGCTTCAGGGGTTGCTGATGCCCCATGGCCAAGACTGAAAGATCAGAGGCCTCCCTGCCACCCTCCCCTGTGTCCTGCTGCTTCTCCCCACCTTCCCTATCCTGGGCATTTGGCTTTGGGTAGCTTCACCCTCAGAGGCCAACTAAACAGTGACTGTGAAGAGTTTTACGTACTCCAATTTTATTTTATTTTTTCTGGAGACAGTCTCACTCTGTCACCCAGGCTGGAGTGCAACGGCGCAATCTCGGCTCACTGCAACCTCCGCCTCCTGTGTTCAAGCAATTCTTCTGCCTCAGTCTCCCGAGTAGCTGGGATTACAGGCATGCGCCACCATGCCTGGCTAATTTTTATATTTTTAGTAGAGATGGGGTTTCACCATGTTGGTCACGCTGGTCTCGAACTCCTGACCTTGTGATCTGCCCACCTCGACCTCCCAAAGTGCTGGGATTACATGCATGAGCCACTGCACCCAACCATGTACTCCACTGCATTCTTATGGCACATCTCAGATAATGGGAAGGTGAGCCCCCACCTTGGTGCAGGTCTTAGTACATCCTCCTAAATTCCTTAGCCTGGAATGTAATGCCCTCAGTGTTAACCCCACATTCTAGCCAAACTCAGCTACTTGCCTGTACTTGTCTTAAAATATCAGTCTCCAGGTTTGGCTCGTGCCTGTCCCTCCACCAGGAATGACCCCCTCAGTTTCTTTGTATCAAAACCCTACTACCCTTTGAAACCAAGCACAAATGTCCCTTCTTCCAGAAGCCTTCTAGCCCTAGCCCATGGCACTTGGTTCGAGCCCCCCTCCCTTCCTGCCGTGTGGCACCTCTGAGATGTAGTTCTGGCCCTATGTCACCTGCCCTTCTGAACTGGAGCCCTCAGGGAGCTCCTGTGGGGCCCCCAGCTCCTGGCACACAGTGTGTGAGGTTGCTGAATGAATGAGTGGGTGGATGACAAGTGTGTGCGGGCCACAGGACCCATATGCCTGAAGTGTTGGGGAGAGTCTGGAGTAGGGGGTCTGTGCTGAGGTGGGAGGAGCAGGGCACAAGTGGAGAGGTGGGGTCCAACTGCATCCTGTGACCCCAAGCCACAGCCACACATACCCTCTGCCTCACCATTCTAGATCAGCCAATCCGCCCTCTCTCCCTTGCACCCCATGGCCCCCAGCTCTGCCAGGACCTCTGTGGATCTTGGGATCCCCCATCCAACACCCTAGAGCTCCTGCAACCCTCCAGCTAGGCTCAAGAGTGACTCCCAGCACACAGCCTTGGGAGAGACCTCAGCGCACAACCCTACTCCATGCCAAGGCCAGGTGGAGAACTTCGGGCTGAGGGGCAATCCAGCCTCTGCTCCGTGGCCCGGTCTAGCCTGTGACTACGTGTGTGTGTGTGTGTGTGTGTGTGTGTGTGTGTGTGTGCGCGCGCACCTGTGTGAATGTATTCGCCTGTGTGCTCTTGTCCACGAAAGTGTGTCTTCACCCTCTGCCTGAGTGACAGTGTGTAGGTACCAGTGTACCTTTGTCCCTCTCCCAAGTGTGCACAGCCTTTTCAGTGAGTGGCTGTGTTGAGGCGCCTGTAAGGGGCATACATGTGTCCTTGTCTTCTTGACTGTGTGGGGCACACACATAGCCTTAACAGTGTGTGTGCATGTCCATGCAGGCGTGCTTGGCACCTGTGTGTGAGGCTGAGTGGTTTGTGTGGCTGTGGGGATGGATGAGACTGAATGGGGAGGGGAGGGAGGGCCTTCTGGAGTTGATGGGCTCAGAGAAATGCAGGAAGAGGAGTCCCGTTGGACAGGTGGAGGTGAGGGCGGAGGTGGCCTCACCATCCATCTTTTGGGGTTGAGGCTGTGGTTGAATGCAGTGAGCACCCCAGTCCTTTTGCCCACGCCAGCCAGGCCCTCCGACTGGGCCCGTTACCTGGGATGGGTGCCAGCCATGGGGGAAGGGGTGTGATTTCCCTTGTGTCATCCTCAGTGCCAATAGGAGCTGGCTGGGGAAATGGCAGACTCTTCTGAGGGTTGAGGGGGTGGAGAGGGGTGTGCTAGGCTGGCAGTGAAGGGGCAAAGCGGCGGGAAGCCATGGGGCTGGGTCTGTGTCTGCGTGTCCCCACCCCCAGGGCCCGGCATCCTCGCCCACAGTCTTCCTGCCTGCTCAGGCCCTGCTGTTCCCCCCTCAGGCTGGCTGCAGGAGCTGGCCCGCCGACTGGAGACTCCCTACTACCTGGTGGGCCGGAGGCCAGCTGGAGGGAACAGCTCCGGCCAGAGTGACAACTGCAGCAGCAGCAGCGAGGCCAACGGGACGGGGCTGGAGCTGCTGGGCGGCCCGTCGCTGCGCAGCGCCTACATCACCTCCCTCTACTTCGCACTCAGCAGCCTCACCAGCGTGGGCTTCGGCAACGTGTCCGCCAACACGGACACCGAGAAGATCTTCTCCATCTGCACCATGCTCATCGGCGGTGAGCCCGGCCGCGCGCGTCTTCCCGGGGCCACTCCCAGACTTCTGCCCGCAGGCGGCGCCGTCCCACTCCCCGGAGGGCCTGAGGCCGGGGGCTCTTCCGCTTTAGGTGGCCGCGGAACCCGAGGCCGGGGGTGGGGGAGACTTCGCCCGCACAGCGGCCTTCAGGCCTTGCCTAGGAGCGTGCGGGCCGAGGACAGATGAGCCCAGCGTGGTGTCAGGCCGGGCCAGGTCCCCTAGGTGACCCCCTCTCGTCACCCTCCCCCAGCCCTGATGCACGCGGTGGTGTTTGGGAACGTGACGGCCATCATCCAGCGCATGTACGCCCGCCGCTTTCTGTACCACAGCCGCACGCGCGACCTGCGCGACTACATCCGCATCCACCGTATCCCCAAGCCCCTCAAGCAGCGCATGCTGGAGTACTTCCAGGCCACCTGGGCGGTGAACAATGGCATCGACACCACCGAGGTGCGGCCTCCGGGGCTGGGCCTGCTAGCCTTTGCTCCCTCAGGGGGTTTGCAATAGCCTAGAATTATCAGGAGTGGGGGAGGATGAATGCAGAATTTTGGCCCCTGTGCCTCCCTTCTCTCTTGAGGGGACAGCGGCATGGGACAGAGGGCAGCTAAGAAGGCTTGGAGGGCCCTCTGAACCGCAGTTAGGTCTGGGGGCTTGGTACTCACTGAGGTGGGAAGCTGGGCTGCTCTGGGCGCTAAAGTGATTGAGAGGGAGGTGGAGGAAGCCCCCTCGCTGCCACCCTGTGTGGAGCTTGGAGTTGTGAGAGAGGCCTCAGGTCCCTCCCATGCCTCCCCTGTTCCTGAGGCCTGCCAGGGTGGAGAGGGGCTGGCTGGAGGCCACCTCCTCTTCTGCCACTCCCAACCCCCCCACCCCCGCACCTGCTCACCTGCAGCTGCTGCAGAGCCTCCCTGACGAGCTGCGCGCAGACATCGCCATGCACCTGCACAAGGAGGTCCTGCAGCTGCCACTGTTTGAGGCGGCCAGCCGCGGCTGCCTGCGGGCACTGTCTCTGGCCCTGCGGCCCGCCTTCTGCACGCCGGGCGAGTACCTCATCCACCAAGGCGATGCCCTGCAGGCCCTCTACTTTGTCTGCTCTGGCTCCATGGAGGTGCTCAAGGGTGGCACCGTGCTCGCCATCCTAGGTTTGTGAGGGTGGGAGAGAGGGCGTGGGGGCACGTGTGTGTGAGACCATGGCCCTGATCTGTGGAAAACCTGGAGAGGGGACCTCCACAAGGCCACTGAGAGAGAAACAGCCAGGGTGGAGTCAGGAGTAGTTATGGAGTCCTGGTCAAAGCTCAGAGAAGCCCCAGTGACTGCAAGGTGGCAGCGTAAGTAGGTGGACACGATCTCGCAGGTGTCCCTGGGGCCGAGCGAGTGGAGGGCCAGCCTTTGAAAGGAGCCAGTCTATGGGGGACAGAGGGGAGCTGCCCTTCCTTCAGGAGGAAAATCAGAAGCTAGGGATGGAAGTGCTGGGGAGAGTGTCAGGCAGGGCTAAAAAGGGGAGGAACAAAAGCTGTCTTTGTGGTCCCCCAGGAACAGTGAGATGTGACTTTCCTGAGGCAGATCACAGAGCAGGCCCAGAGCCCAGATGGGTGACAGAGCTCAGTCTCCAAACAGTCAGGGAGACTCATTCTGATGAAATGGTATCTACAGTGTATATACTTCCCTTCCTGGGAAAAGAAGGAGGTGAAAAAGGAAATCAGTTCCCTAGACGCAGATGAAGAAATTGCAGGTGTGGAATGGACACAATAGTAGTGCTGATAACAGGGGGCTCACAGCGTGACTAGCCCTGTCCCAGCTCCTTACTGCTTTGTCTCACTCTAACCTCACAAAACCCATTATTCCTATTTTGCATAGCAGGAGACCAAGGTCAGAGAGGTTAATGAACAGCTAGGAATCGGCCAGCCGGGGCTGGAGCCCCATCCACCTGGCGCCAAGTCTCATGCTTCTTCCACAGGGCTCCCAGGTGCTCTGGGGGGAATTGGGACTGGCAGGGAGGAAGCCATCGTTAGGAGGGTTGGACCTGCACTCTAGGATTTGGAGAGTTGGGAGCACATTCTAACTCTCAGGGAAACATGGGGCTGTGTCTGTGAAAAGCCACTAAAGGACCGGGCGCGGTAGCTCAAGCCTATAATTCCAGCACTTTGGCAGGCCGAGGCAGGCAGATCACTTGAGGTCAGGAGTTCAAGACCAGCCTGGCCAACGTGGTGAAATCCTGTATCTACTAAAAATACAAAAATTAGCCGGGTGTGGTGGTGGACACCTGTAATCCAGGCTACTTGGGAGGCTGAGGCAGAAGAATTGCTTAAACCCAGGAGATGGAGACTGCAGTGAGCCAAGATTGCACCACTGCACTCCAGCCTGGGCGATAAGCGAGACTCTGTCTCAAAAAAAAAAAAAAAAAAAAAAAAGAAAAGCCACTAAAGAGGAGCAGAGCTCTATGGCTGCAAGAGACTATCACCGTGACCCTAGAGGGCGGGGAACATGTGACCGGTGTGGGTAGTCAAGGACTTGTACATGTGGGGAGGTGGTGACCTGACCACTGCTGACGACATCGAATCCTCAGGCAGCCAAGGCACGTGTAGATTCACTGTGGGGACTGCTGAAGCCCTGGGGCTGAGGTTTCTCATTCATCTGGCAATCCACAATCAAGATGAGAAGCAGGAAAGGGCCAGGAAGGTGGGGCGGTGTCACCAGACGCAGCTACTGTGTGTCCATCCTTGCTCCCTTGAAGAGGATGACCTTCCAGCTGGAAACAAGAGGAAAAAAATGCCATCGGGGTCTTAGACCCCAAGAGTGGGGACAGGCTGTTCACACCCTTTGTTTTACATCTTTCATGAGTCCAGCTTTGGTGCCTACATGCGGTTTATGCCAGCATGAGAAAATGGAGTTATGCCAGTTAAGTGTAGCTGGCAATCCTTGGAGAGATTCCGAAGGGCACAAGGACAGATTTTCACCACTGTAGACTGGTGAACCCAAAGCAGGATTGACGAGTGGATTACGAAACAGATGGTTTCCAGCCTGGAGCCGAGGGAGTTGTGTGGCTGGGAGCTGGCACAGGTCCTCTCAGAGCATGCCTTTGCTGGTGCCAGGCACCACGTCTCAGAATAGCCATGTTCAGTGTGCAGTATTCAGTGCCACAAGAATGGCTACAGCCTGTGCCCTGGGCCTTTGCCTCTACAATGTCCCTAGCACCAGGACTTATGCCACCGTTGATCCATCCTGTCACCTTCTATATGTTTTGGGTGAACTACTTCCCTGTTGACTTGGAGGCTCTAGATGCCCTGGTGAATGCCTGGTTCCCCGACCCCAATCATGGTCGGGTTCTCTGCTTTGCCTTCATACCTACCCTCTCCTCACCTACCTTTTTACTCGAACATCCAAGTGCATCCTGTCTGCTTCAGGCAGCTCTGGGTTCTGGCGCTTGCCTCTGTTGATGAACTGCTGGAAGCTAAGCATACGCAAAGTCCGTTGTGAGGAAGGAAGTAGTTTGATGAGCTGCACCTGGTGGGCAGTCTCTGGTCCTGAGACTCTGCCCTCGGTCCTGTCCTGTTTCTCATTTTCTCCCACCTCTTAGATGAAGACAAGAAGCACGTGCTTATTCTATTTCAGATGACGCCAATGAAAAGAGAGCACATTCCCCAGATGATCACATTGAGATCCAAACAGCACTCAAAACGACCCAGAAGGATGGCCTGAAACCAAGAAAATCAAGTGTTAAACTATACTTAAGTTGGGGTGCATTCTATACTTAAGTTGGAGCAAAAGTCCAGGAACATGTAGAGGAGACGTGAGCTCAGTGTGTGCTGCTGGCAGTGTGAGGTAGTCCATAGCAGGGCCATCCTTTTTGAAACACTTTCTAACAGTCTGAACTGCCTGGCGGTGGTTGAGCTGCCTTGAGGGTAGTGAGTGCTCTGCCCAAGCCCGGACTGCGTGCCTATCCCTGTTGGAAATGAATTTTTTTTTTTGAGACCAGGTCTCACTGTCGCCCAGGCTGGAGTGCAGTGGTGTGATCTCGGCTCACTGCAGCCTCGACCTACTGGGCTCAAGTGATCCATCCACCTCAGTCTCCAGAATAGCTGAGATTGCAGGTGCACACCACCACACCGAGCTTAATTTTTGCTGCTGTTGTTGTTGTTGTTTGAGACAGGGTTTTGCCATGTTGCCCAGGCTGGTCTCAAACTCCTGAGCTCAAGCGATCCTCCTGCCATGGCCTCCCAAAGTGCTGGGAGTCATTGTGCCTGGCAGGAATGATTTATAGGGGGTTCTATCTGGGAGGGAAAGGAAGAAAATGATTTCTTTTTGGTCGTCTTTGTGTGAGGCACTTTATCTACATTAACTCTAATTTAGCCTCAACATGTCCCTGGACAGACACACCCTATTTCATTGATTCTAAGACACACATCTCACCCACCCTACCCAATCTAACATCTCTGAGATTACACCGCAGGCTCTAATTGATGCCATTTAATAATTACTGTCAGCCAGGTGGCAGTCTTAACCTGCCTGTGGGAAAACCTCCATTGACCCCTTCTGGTGAGATCAAGAATATTCCCTAGACTCAGTTAAATGCAGCATCTCTTGTAGAGCAGAGGCAGCTAGGGCTCAGGAAGGTAAGCCTGGCTGCCTGGCATTTTCCCTATGCCACACAGGGCTCTAATTTGCTGGTTCCAAACACTGATTCCTGGACAAGCTGCATCTGAATCACCTGTGGGACTTAAAAACAATCAGACTGTGGGGTCTCCCATAGATACTGTGACGCTGTAGGTAGAGATAGGGCCTGGGTGTTTGTTCTGACTTTTGCAGGGGATTCTAATCAACATAGCCAGCTGTGAAACACTAGAACTGATGTTCAGTCTCTCTCAGGGCTATAATTCAGGTTTTCTGGCACAGTGGTTTTGATCCTGAATGTGTTTGAGGGCCTGGGTCACAGAGCTCTTTACCCCAAGCCCATGTGGGAGCCAGTGAGACAGGCTGCAGGCGTCAGGCCATGTCCCAGGCCTCTTTGCTCCTCTCTCTGCTGGCTTCAAGGCTTCAGCTACAGAGGCCCAGCCCAGCTCTGAAGGGAATCTCAGCAACCTGCAGCCCCCTCTTCTCTCCTCATGGCTGAAGCTCTCAGGGCTTGCTGACCTCTACTTCCTCTCCCCAGGGAAGGGCGACCTGATCGGCTGTGAGCTGCCCCGGCGGGAGCAGGTGGTAAAGGCCAATGCCGACGTGAAGGGGCTGACGTACTGCGTCCTGCAGTGTCTGCAGCTGGCTGGCCTGCACGACAGCCTTGCGCTGTACCCCGAGTTTGCCCCGCGCTTCAGTCGTGGCCTCCGAGGGGAGCTCAGCTACAACCTGGGTGCTGGGGGAGGCTCTGCAGAGGTGAGTGTGCTGAGTATGTGCTTGGAGGGGATGGGGGTGCCAGGGAGCCTGGTGAAGTGGGCAGAGGCTGGGGATGGTGGAGAGCTGTGTGTGAAGTGTGGCCTGGTATGAAAGCTCCCACCTTGGGCAGGGGTCTACACCCTCTCTGCCCTTCCACACTCATGTGCCCAGCCCAGCATGTGCAGCCACCCCTGCCAGCTCTCCTTGGCCTGTCTGAGGCAGCCTTACCCTGTCCAGAGGAATCTTAGTGAAGGTAGATGAATGCATCAGTGCTGGCACAGGGAGGGGTGGCTCCTGGGGGTCAGGGGCTGAGCAGGGCAGAGACAGGCACCAGCTCTTCAGGTTGCTTCTGAAGAGAGCCTGGTGGCCCCCTGTGTTTTTTCATGGTGAAACAGGATTGTTCTGAGGGGCTTTTGAATTTCCCTGGATTGTCACTAATTCCAAACCAATTTTTAGCGCCGCATTCTCTTGGATAGTTTAATTAGGCTGAGGGACCTGGTAGAGGAGTGGTGGTGTCCGTATTTGGCTAGAATTTTGAGAGGTAGTTAACACCTCCAGGGCTTTGGTGGCTTTAGATAGATTATAGATTAAGATAGTATCATCTGGCCGGGCGCGGTGGCCCACGCCTGTAATCCCAGCACTTTGGGAGGCTGAGGCGGGTGGATCACGAGGTCAGGAGATCAAGACCATCCTCGCTAACACGGTGAAACGCCGTCTCTACTAAAAATACAAAAAAAAAAAAAAAAAATGAGCCGGGTGTGGTGGCGGGCGCCTGTAGTCCCAGCTACAGGCTGAGGCAGGAGAATGGCATGAACCCGGGAGGTGGAGCTTGCAGCGAGCCGAGATCACACCACTGCACTCCAGCCTGGGCGACAGAGTAAGACTCTGTCTCAAAAAAAAAAAAAAAAGATAGTATCATCTATAGGACCTTCAGTTAGAATAGATGTTGGCTATTCTAACAAAGATGGCTCATCCCTTCCAGGGTAGATGAAGCCTTGGTAGGGGAGGTGAGTGGGACACAATAGTGACCATCCATGCCGATTCCCTGTCCCTCACTATCCCTAGGTGGACACCAGCTCCCTGAGCGGCGACAATACCCTTATGTCCACGCTGGAGGAGAAGGAGACAGATGGGGAGCAGGGCCCCACGGTCTCCCCAGCCCCAGCTGATGAGCCCTCCAGCCCCCTGCTGTCCCCTGGCTGCACCTCCTCATCCTCAGCTGCCAAGCTGCTATCCCCACGTCGAACAGCACCCCGGCCTCGTCTAGGTGGCAGAGGGAGGCCAGGCAGGGCAGGGGCTTTGAAGGCTGAGGCTGGCCCCTCTGCTCCCCCACGGGCCCTAGAGGGGCTACGGCTGCCCCCCATGCCATGGAATGTGCCCCCAGATCTGAGCCCCAGGTGAGCAGACCCTAGGCCCCCGTGGCAGAGATGGTGGTGATGAGGCTGAGGCCCTGGGCAGGCGCACCCTGCCCTAGGTGCCCATCTAACCATCTTAACTCCCGCTAGTCTATGTGGGCCAAGCCTGCCTCCTCCAGGAAGCCTTCTGTGCTCCTCCTTTCTCCTGCTGTCCCACTCCACTGTGTGGTGTGTGGCACACGCTGCTCTGAACTCTTGCATCTCATGCTGCTCAAGCTTGGCCCCCCAGCTAAACTGTAAGCTCCTAGGGGAAGGGACCCCATGTTAGCTTTCTCCTGGGCTCCTGGTCAGTTCCACGCTCCTGCAGCCTGTGTGTGTGGACGCTGGGGCATCCCGTCCCGTATGACCCCACAGTGGCTGCCTGTCCATTGATTTGTTGTCCTGGTACCTGGGTTCACAGGGTAGTAGATGGCATTGAAGACGGCTGTGGCTCGGACCAGCCCAAGTTCTCTTTCCGCGTGGGCCAGTCTGGCCCGGAATGTAGCAGCAGCCCCTCCCCTGGACCAGGTACCAGGGCCCCGGGATGGTCTAGGTTGGTGGGGCAGCCCCTTTGCCTTGTGAACCTCAAGCACTGTTGACCTCTGAGCCTTCAATGTTAGAGAAACTGGCAGACTGCCTGGAGGCCGTCTCACCCCACTACCCCTTGGTGTCGTGCGGGCAGGGGAGTTTGGTGGTGAAGACCAGCACTTTAATTTCGACGCAGCCAGGAACTGGGTTTATATCCTTGCTCTGTCAGCTTTCTAGCAGTGTGAATTTGGCTTCTCTGGCCCCAGCTTCCTGTCTGTAAAAAAATGGGTTGATGTTTACGTTATATAATGTAACTGAAAGCCTTAGCCCAATCTCTGGCTAACTGAAGGGATAGAGGGCTGGGGATCCAGGGGTGAAAATGTCTCCAGGCCAGGGAAGTGGACAAGGTAATGAGCTCCTAGGAATGTCCATTTGCCTGGAGGACAGAGCAAGGGACAGGCACAAAGAACAACTTTTTGAGGGGAAGGAGAGCACTAGGCAGTGTGGCTGAGGGCTGCTGGGTGGTGTTTTCCCTGCCCCTGGAAGTTTGGGCAAAATTCAGCACCTTGGGCAAGGCCAGAAGAGATGATCCTAGGAGTCAGGTCCTACCAGGTCAATGTGCTCTAACTGGGGCAAGGCCTAGACCCCCAAATTGCCTATCTCCTCTTACCAGCCCCAGCTGATAACCCCATCCTACTACCCACAGAGAGCGGCCTGCTCACTGTTCCCCATGGGCCCAGCGAGGCAAGGAACACAGACACACTGGACAAGCTTCGGCAGGCGGTGGGTGAGGGGGAAGGTGGAGGTGAGGGGGGCACCAGGGGAAGGCACTCCATGGCTGACTCCATTCTGACCTCGCCTCCTCCCTCCCCCAAAGGTGACAGAGCTGTCAGAGCAGGTGCTGCAGATGCGGGAAGGACTGCAGTCACTTCGCCAGGCTGTGCAGCTTGTCCTGGCGCCCCACAGGGAGGGTCCGTGCCCTCGGGCATCGGGAGAGGGGCCGTGCCCAGCCAGCACCTCCGGGCTTCTGCAGCCTCTGTGTGTGGACACTGGGGCATCCTCCTACTGCCTGCAGCCCCCAGCTGGCTCTGTCTTGAGTGGGACTTGGCCCCACCCTCGTCCGGGGCCTCCTCCCCTCATGGCACCCTGGCCCTGGGGTCCCCCAGCGTCTCAGAGCTCCCCCTGGCCTCGAGCCACAGCTTTCTGGACCTCCACCTCAGACTCAGAGCCCCCTGCCTCAGGAGACCTCTGCTCTGAGCCCAGCACCCCTGCCTCCCCTCCTCCTTCTGAGGAAGGGGCTAGGACTGGGCCCGCAGAGCCTGTGAGCCAGGCTGAGGCTACCAGCACTGGAGAGCCCCCACCAGGGTCAGGGGGCCTGGCCTTGCCCTGGGACCCCCACAGCCTGGAGATGGTGCTTATTGGCTGCCATGGCTCTGGCACAGTCCAGTGGACCCAGGAAGAAGGCACAGGGGTCTGAGTACCAGCCCTAGAACTCAGCGTTGCCAGGTGTGCTGCCATCTGCTGTTCGGCCCAACCTCAGAGTGAAGGCAGGGTGGCAGCCTCCCCACGGACTCCATGCGGCCCGCTGGCTCAGGGCAGGGAGCCTGGAAGCAAAGGAGGACCTGGCTCCTGACTCTCAGAGAGGATAGGCTGGATCCCTGGGGCAGGCCTCTCCTCGGCCTGCTCCTCTGACCTCCCGGTCTCCCTCTGCAGGCTGGGGGCAGAGGCCTGAGGACAAGGAAGAGCTTTGCCATCCCCTGCATGTGCCCCTGCCTCTACCTGTCCCCAAATTTTTATATTAAAAAAAAAAAATAAAATAAACTACTTTGGAACCTGGTGCTTTTTATTTACAAAAGAAAAACAATAAAAGAAGAGTCTGAGGCTAATCAGCTGGAGACACAGGAGTGAAGGTGGCAATGGGGGGTAGGGTTGTTTTTAGAGAGAGGAAGATGGGGAGGGGCTCTGGATCTAGGGAAGCCTGAGGTTCTCAGCCTCTGCTGGCTTCACAAAGGCCAGCCCTATCCTCCCTCAAAGGCTCAAATCAATGGCCCGCAGCTGAGCCTCCCACTGCCCAGGTTTTTCCAGGAGCCTGAGTTCCCAGCTCAAGGGGGCTGGAGTGGCAGGGGAAACAGGCCGGAGAGGGCCCACGAGTCCTGCCACCACTCCTCACTGTGGTGTGATCTTGGCAGCCTCAGCCCTGATGAGGGCAATGAGGTCCTGGTTGATAAGGAAGACGAATCGCAGGCTGGCGATCTGGGTGGGAGACAAAGGTGGCTTAAGACAGAGGTGGCACCAGGACCAAGTTGGTGTACTGGCTCACCACGCCTAGGTCTCATCCTGGCCTTCCTGCCTCCTCCCCAGCTCACCTCCACCACAGAGTTGTTGCTGAGGCGCCATTTGGAGCCACAGAGCACCGGCCGTCCATCGATGTAGATGGGCCGTCGACCCTCATTGGCAATGAAGAAATCACCGTTGTTCTTCAGCTTGATGACACCTGTGGAAGCAGAAAGAAAGAAGGGATGATGGGATGGGGAGGGATTGATGGGATGGGGAAAGGCCAGAGAGAGCCAGGAGCTTCCATGGACCAGCTCTGCTTCCTGCAGACACCAAGGAATCCCTGCCTCAGGTGGTCCACGAGGGTCCCCATGGACACCAAGCCCAGGGCTAGAAAGGACAGCGAGAGGCTGGGAGGGACGACCTCACACTGCTTCCTGCTGGGGCAGGGGGTGGGGGATACCTTGTTTCCGGGATATCTTCCAGGCCGGACCCTCCAGAGACAGGTCCACATCAATCTGGTTATCCTTGGTTGCTCTGCCCAGGGTGATCTGGGGAAATGGGGCAGGTGAGGGCTGGGACCTGAAGAATTGGGGGAGTAGGTCTATGCAGGCCAGAGAAAGATGGGAAACCAAGGACTACGCAGAGAAAGGCACTGACAGAGGAAGCAGCCTAAGAAGGGCGGGGATGGGCCTGCCTCACCTCACGCGAGCGCATCAGGTACCGCACCATGCGGCCCCGCAGCACTGCCAGTGTCTGGTTGTCGAAGTCCGGAGAGCTCATGCCTGGGAGAAGAGGGAGTTTGGAAGAGCCTACCCCTGAGGGCCAGAATGCAAGGCAGGGAACCAGGGCAAGGTTTATAAGGGAAGGGGGTCGGGGCCTGGGAAACGAGGGTCTCCCCAGCCAGGCAGCAACAGGGGCACAGGCTGGGGCGAAGGATGCTGAAGAGTGAGCCTTCTGGTGCCCAGGCCTCCTCACCTGTGATGCTGTCCACTAGCACCTGCCACTTATGCAGTTCCTGTTCCAGCTGCCGAATCTCTCGCTTCTGGCGCCGGTCAGCCACCATCAGCTCTGGGGTGAGGTGGGGTGGTAAGGAGGGATGCTCTGAGGCCACCAGCACCTTGTACTGGTCCTCTTGATTCTGGCAGGAGCTTCCATCCCCTCACCACCCCATGAGGCCATACTTACCATGTTCCAGGACCTCATCTCGCATGTCCCTGAGGGGCAAGAAGAGAAGGAAGATTTAGGTCCACCTTCAGCTTGCCTGTTACTTGGCTCATTAGGGCATCCCTGAGCCCCTTTAGCCAAGTGGCCTGGAAGGTGGTACATCAGGCCTTGGCCCAGCCTCCTTCTCTGGGGTTGGGCTGGGGATAAGGGTAAAGCAGCGGAGCCTAAGAAGGCCCCAGTGGGAGGGGAGGGGGCTCAGCCAGGGGGGGCCAAGCACCAACGGGAGCCCAAGGGCTGGGGCTGGGCAGCCTGGGGCGCTCTACCTGACAGGAGTGACTCGGCTCTCTCCACCCCTTCCTGTGTCTCCAGCCACTCACTTGAGCTTACTGTCATCAATCAGGTCCTCTGCATCAGAGAAGTTCAGCACTTGGTCCCCTTTGGGCAGCGGCTGCACTGAACAAAGGACAGAGAAAGCGTGAGCACCAAGGGTCTTGCTGAACCCGATGCTGAGCGGACCACTAAGCCAAGTGGACCAGCTGCAGACTGCGCTGGGTGGAGAGCCCAGCACCAGCAAGGGTGCCCATACCAGATTAGGCTGGGCTCTAATTTGGCACAAAGCATCTTTAGGCTTAGTTGAGGGTAGAGGTGGTTCTAGAAAGGGAAGGAAATTAAAATTGACCTTTTGTATGGGCTTCTTGGTGTGCAAAGGGCTTTGATTACACAGCCTTGAACTAAGCAGGGGAGGCACTACCATTAGCTCTATTTTACAGATGAGGAAACAGACACAGGAGAGGGGTTAAACTATGTGACCCTAGTTTGGGACGGAGGCAGGATTTAGATCCTGCTCTCTCCATTCGAAATCTCAACCTCTCCTTCCATCACATCATATGCTCTCCAGCATTTCCTGCCACGCTGTGAGGGGCTGGGAGGCACCTGCCAGCCAAGTTCCACTGAGAAAGTACGTGCTGGTGGGCGCCGCCCACCTTAAGCCAATGTCTCTTGATCTGGGGTCATGACCTGCTAATGGGTCATGAAATCAGTTTCATTTTTTCAAAAAATGAAATGGAATAGGAAAATGAGCATCAGAGCCCATCAGATATGCTCAGGATAAATACAGTTTCATGAAAGTCTGTTTTTTTTTCTGGCCACAATGTGAAAGGAAGTCGGGAACAGTGGTGTGTGCCCACAGACCTAGCTACTCGGAGCCTGAGGCAAGAGGATCTCTTGAGCTGAGAATTCAAGTTCAGCTGGGCAACAGGGAAAGACCCTGTCTCTTAACAAAAATTTAAAGGGATAAAGGCCCCCCAAATCTGAAAACCTCTGCTTTTAGGCCAGCCGTTCCCAAGACTGTAGGGTGTGCTCTATAGCAGCTAGTGGCCATGCAATTGTCAACTGAGGAAGTGAGGGGGAGTGTGGAGGGGCCATAGATGCTCCTCTTCCTCCCACTGAGGTGAGACCATATGGGGGGAAGCAGGGCAGTCACTCCATCAAGTCCCTCCCCACCAGAGCTGCCTGAAGTTCCACGAATCTCATCTTCCGCTGACTTGACAGCTAAGCAATGTGTCCTGCCTATTCCTAGGGTCTCCTAGCTCTCAACGGCAAAGGAGAAATCAAATCCCTTTTGAAGAAATACAAAAACTCTTGAAGGAATAAATAAAACTTTCATGATAAGGCTTTTAGTTAACAAATAAATTTACACAAAATAACTTTCTTTTCTTTTTTCTTTTTTTGAGATGGAGTCTTGCTCTGTCATCCCAGCTGGAGTGCAGTAGCGCGATCTTGGCTCACTGCAACCTCTGCCTCCCGGGTTCAGCAATTCTCCTGCCTCAGCTTCCTGAGTAGCTGGGATTACAGGCGTGTGCCACCAGGCCTGGCTACTTTTTGTATTTTTAGTAGAGACGGGGTTATACCATGTTGGTCAGGCTGGTCTTGAACTCCTGACTTCGTGCCTCGGCCTCCCAAAGTGCTGGGATTACAGGCGTGAGCCACCATGCCTGGCATAACTTTTAAAATAGTGACAAAGGAACTAGCTTTAGCAGTAAAAAGAAAAGTTATCCAGTCAGTATCTGTTCTCTCTGTGGGAATTCTGTGATATCTGAGTCTGAGGAAGAGGCAGAATTTTGGAAGCCGCAGGAATAAAGAGGGCTGCCCCCGGGCCACTAAAATCAGAGGTCCTTAGGAACGGAAGATGGGGCCTCCTTCTGATGAGATTTCCTAAAATGCTCCTGCAGGAATCCTTTTTCCTAAGCAGAAGCTGCGGGACCCTGGTAGTAAGGTGATGGGTACCAATGAAGCTTCATGTTTGAACTGTGTGAAAAACTATGTAGACGGCAATGGGCAGTACTTTTAGAAAGTGAGAACGTGCTTGTACTATGGAAATCAGAACCCGAATTACAGACCTCACTGGGGAGTTCCTCCAGTTTAATCACACTGTTTTCTTACCCCATCACTGGGAGAGTGAGTGCTGTGCTGTTGAGGCAAGAGGAAGTAGGGAGCAGTGAGGCCCTTGGGGAAAGGGAGAGACAGATGGACTGGGTGTGAAGTCCCAGTGGGGATTTATGAATGGCCTGAGGGCAGCTTGACAGCACTAACGGCCTAGTGGGAAAAGAAGAGGAAGAAGGAAGACAGAAGGAAGAACGGAGAGAGGCAAAGAGCGGAAAAGCTCAGAAAAAGTGGTTATTACCTCTAGGGTGGAAAACAAACTGAAGGGTGGGCAGGAAAGTGGACTTTCTTATTTTGCTCATGTTTGAATGTTATCCATAATAATTCATGTGTTATTTATGTGAGAATAAAATATGTCATGAAAAAAACAAAAGACAAGAAATGGTAGATAACTCCGCTATTTGGACCTTTTGCCAAAGATTCCAGGCAATGTTGGCTACTCTTACCATGATGCTGAAGACCATTCCAGCCACTTTCTCTCTCTGGAAAGTAGTTTTTTTTGCAATGTGAGGTGAACAAGACACTGGGGATCACTGAGGAATCTGTTACAGGGCACTTGAAGGCAGCTGTGTCGAGTACTTCAGACACACACACACATGCACGTGCACACACCCCCATTCTGCCAGCTCCTGGGGCGTTACCTGTCTGGTCCTCCAGCAGGTAATACTGCTTCATGAGCTGCCAGTGGGCCTGCAGGGCCTTCGCGGTACGGGCCAGGTAGAAGGCATCAGGGTGTCTGTGCAGCAGGTCCTGGAAGGTCTCCAAGGTGGGCTGGCTGGTCTAGAGGGCAAGAAACATTCTCTAGGCATCTGGGCTTTTTCACACATGCCTCTCTGCCTTACCATCTCTACCTCCCACCTCAGCATCCCCCAGGAGCTGGAAGAAGCAAGCTAGTCACCCAAGAAGTCAGGCTTGGCTCTTCCTGAGGCCCCTGTCACAAACGCCCCTGCCAATGTGCACACGTGTGCATGTGCACATATCCAGACAGTGGGTGGGGAGCTCTCCACATCAGTGGTTTTCTAGGTGGTCCAGCTCTCGCTGTGCCCTGATCCTCCACCTTCCCAGCCCTCAGCCTTACCGATCCCACTTTGCTCAGCAGCTGCTCCTCAGCCTTGCTAAACAGGGCCTTGCTCTGGATGGCTGCAATAGCCTCTGGGTGCAGCTGCCTCATGGCCTGACAGGCCAACCTGGACACGGAAAGAGACAGAGGGGAGGGGTGAAGGAAAGGTGTCAAGCAATCTGGGGTTCCTACTATTTCCCCCAAACCTACAGGCTTTTGAGATCCAGAACCTAGAGGCCAGGCCCTCATTAGGAAGGGCCTAAGGCTTAGCAGATAATCTGTGGCTCCACAGGTTTGTCAAGTGAATGAACAGCCAACTCAGAAAACGGAGGCCCCTATGTCCCCTTCAGACCCAGTCCTTCCTGAGGCAGAGCCTTGGACCAGCTGCTGCTCCCTCCAAGTCCTTCCTCCTTACTTGGCCAAAGCTGCCACCCCCTAGCCACTGCCTACCACCTCCCCTTTCCAAGCTGAGCCCAGCCCATTTCCTGGTATATCAGAACTGCAGCTACAACTTAAGTGGTACCAGGGTCTGTGGAGAGGATGGGTGTTAAGCATCCAACCAAGCTCTGAAGACATTAAGTGACAGAGGAAGAGGAACTGTGTGTTGCATGTGTATGAGTTTATTTGGAAGCCTGTGGCTACTGGAGCTAGAAGGGGGCTTGGTGTTCTTCTATTCGACTCCCCCTTGTTAGGAGGATGAAACTGTAGGAGGTCAATGTGGAAAGGCTGGAGGTGACCCGCCCAAAGCCACAACACACACAGTGCACTCCGGGCACTCATTTTAGTTTTCTCCGCCCAAAGCCACAACACACACAGTGCACTCCGGGCACTCATTTTAGTTTTCTCTCCCATGCTATTCCCTCTGCCTGCAGACTCCCTTGCCTGGAGGCAGGAAGAAACTTCTCTTTGAAGCCTCTCAGGCCTCAGTATCACCCCCAAGGAGCCTCCAGGAGTCCTGCCTCCCAGACCCCTCCTGGGGCCCTGGTACAATTCCCTCTGCTCCAGGACCCAAATTCTGGTGTCCCAGTACCTCCCCACTGCTGGAACCAGCTCCCACTCACTTGGAGATGACAGGATCGTAGAGCAGGGCGTACCAACGCTCCTGGACCTCCCGAAGGGTGAAGCGGCAGCTGAATTTCACGCCCAGGTGGACGGAGGTCAGGTCGTTGGTCTGCAAGGCCCCAGAAGGATTTGCTCCAGCCTTGGAGCTGGGAACAACCCTTCTTTGCCACCCACAGGGCCCTGTTGGGCTAATTTTGGGGTGCGAACTGGAGGTTGGGGGAAAGGGGCACACTGAGCCTATGGTGGGGGCACTACCTGCAACACAGCATTTATGAGCAGGAGGTCATCTGCAGGCTTCCAGCGGCCCAGATCCTTGGTCACCTGAAGTGGCTGTTTACTCTTCTTCACACGCTTGGTGAGTCCAGGGGCTGGGGCTGGGCTGGGTGGCACAGGAGTGCTGGGGGCTTTGGATACCTGGGCAGAGGACAGGAACAAACCAAGCTCAAAGCCAGCATCCAGTCAGCTGGCGCTTCATGACTAGAGTTTCACATACTCTGTGGCAGCGGCAGCCCCAGCCCCAGCCTCAGCACCAACTCCAGCCCACAACAGGAAGCACAGGAAAGGAGCTCAGCTTTCTAATACCCACCCCCATCCCACCAAGTTACTTCTATATAGTCCTTGACCATACGGGGTCTTCTCTTTGCTGGCAGTATCCCCGACCCCAGAGTGAAAGTTGGGTGGGGAGGATACCGGGAAATCACTCTTGCTGGTGCAGTGTCTAGGGCCACAGCAATGCCACCTGGGGGTTATTTTTACACTCTGCAATGCTGGGAACAGGCTGTCTGCTCCCAGAATAGATGCATGCTCCATGCCTCCCACACGGAATGTGATACAGGATGCAATGGCAGGGTTGGGGGTGGGGGCTGCAGCAAGAAATGGGGAGTAGGGAGAGGTGTGTTCCCAGGAGGGGGGCATCTGAGATGAGGGCTGGGGCAGCTTGGTCCTCTCACCAGCCTGCTCTGCAGGGCTCTTGGCAGCTGGCAAAGGTTCTGGGGAAACATGAAATCTGGCACTACCTCCCATCCCCTAAGTCTCCCAATTCCTCACCTTCTTCTTCTCACTGGAGGAGGGTTCACTCCCCGAACAGCGCCCTGGTTCCACCCCACTGGCCCCCTTTGCCCGGGTAGAAGATTTTGCCAGGCTGCTCTCCACCAGCTCATCATCGAACTTCTTCCTCTTGATGAACCTGTAAAGGGTCCTGCCCAGTGAACACTCCTTACCCCACCCTGGTACCCATTCACACACCCCCAGCCCCCAAAAGAGAGCAGGTGCCCAGTAGGGTGCTATCTGCTCCAGCCTGCTTTCACTTTACGCCACAGCCTGGTTGTGGCCATGGAACTGCTACACTCCAGCCCTCTGAGATGACAGGGTATCACACCACAAAGACTTCACGTCAGAGACCTAAGATCTCCCTCCCCTGCCCTCAGTCCCACAGGGAAGGATTTAGCAGGGACAGGAAAAGCACAAGGCTCTGCCAATACTAAGGCCCCAGAGGGGCTCAGGCAGCCATTCCCAACAGATGGGGAGGCATGTGGCACTTAACGCCACAGACCTTCTACCCTTTCCCAGTTCCTGGCCCTCCGAACCCTTACTACCTGGAGGAGCTTCTCCGTTTAGGGATGGTGCCCAAGGCCTGGGA
The DNA here is from genome assembly GCF_000001405.40 of Homo sapiens. Lineage (NCBI taxonomy): Eukaryota > Metazoa > Chordata > Mammalia > Primates > Hominidae > Homo > Homo sapiens. The sequence continues at coordinate 49,566,121 of NC_000012.12, forward strand.
GGAGGCTCGCTTCTGCCCTGCCAGTGACTCCTCATCCTCTGAGCGGCTGGCAGTGCCTGATGCCATCAGGGATGAATCTAGCAGCCCCTGAGAATCTAGCAAGAGAGAAATGGTGGATTCGGGCCTCCTAAGATCCTAGAGCCTCTGCAAATGGGACCCCTCCCCAGCCCCCTTCCCCTGCCAGCCCTCTTGGCCCCTCCCCTGCCTCCTTGACACTTGAGGTTTTAAGGTAGAGTTCCTTGGCCATCCAGATCCCATCTGGGCTCAGACCTGGCCCAGACCTTCCACGCTGGGCAGTTCCCCCGGTGCCACGTGTCATGTCGTGCAGCACATGGTGCTCAGGTCAGACTGGTGATGCCGACACGCTGGGCTCTGGGCATAACTGCTCCCTCTGCCATCAAAATGCAGCCGTGCTAAAGAGCAGCAGCTCAACAGCAAGTCAGTCAACTGTGGCTCTGCCGACAGGTACATGGGTGGTGCTGGCCCAGGGGGAGGTGGCAAGGCCTAGCCAGGACCGAAAGACACACGTGCCAGGCACAGAGTGGAATCAGCAGATGCTTGGCGCCCGAGCATTTGGGGAGCTGTCCCGGCCTCATACTACCTTTGTCCATCCTCTTACAGTCCCAAAGCCACTGGTTCCAAACCACCGGGCTAGGAGGAACGGTCCCACAGGCTCATCCAAGGATTCTGACCAGGTGAGCTTAAAGGCTGAGAGGAGATTCTGCAAAGGAGAAATGAGGCTCCCTGAGGCTCAGATTTCCAACTGGCCAGCCTCACTTCCTTATACTGGCTCAGGTCCCCCAGGGTCCCATAAGCTAGGGAAGACATAAGGACAGGAAAGAGGCATAAGGCCCCACTCTGCCAATAATAGCCTTAGACATCAGTCTTGTGAAGGTCACTGGCACCTTTCAGAGTATGATAACAGCTATGGACTGCAGAAAAGGGTGCAAACACATACTATTTTAGAGGGTTCATAGACCCTTTAATTCTACTGGTATCTCCTAGGTTAAGCGCCTTGACTATAAACTAGCAAGAGACAAGGGATTCTTTGGCCCACATTTTTCTTTACTTCAGCTGTCCACTCAGCTCAGCAGCACCAGCCTTCCCCTCCCAGGCCAAAGCAGGAAAAAAGAAAGGGAGACAAAACTCCAACCAGTCCATCTCGTTTTTTTTTTGTTTTTCTTTTCCATTTGGGGTTTTTACTGAAGATTTAGTAAGTGGTATTTCCATGAGATACCATCTCGTGGAAACCAAAAACCACTGTTTGGGAACTGCGTGATTATCAACCACGCTGTGCCCCAACAACCCCTAGAGAACCCAGGTACTGGACTTTCTCGGGGCGCTCCTCTCGTGAGTCCCCACTTCTAACCAGGGTGGCTCTTAGCTCAGTGTTCTAGCCCTGTCCCCAGGTGAGCCTGTCGCTCTCCGCTCCATAGGCTACGACTAAGAATCTTGACATCTGAGGAGAGGGCGAAGGGGCCCGAGCTTGCCGGCAAACTGAGGTAGGGTCTGTGCCCCTTCCTTACCGGACCCTCCGCCCCTCGTTCTCCCAAGAGTGCACACCCAAGGTAGGGGATCGGTCCAGGTCTGTCTCAAGAACTCGGGGTAGGAGCATTGATGAAGTCACCTCTGCAACTCAAAGCAGAGCACCAAGTAGCCTTGGTTTGAGACCCACAGGCTGGTGGCTGGGGAGGTGGGGGTAAACTCGCAAGCCCATTCTCACCCCACGGTCTCCATGCCTTTGCGCATGCGTAACACTTCGAGCCAGATTCTAACCCGGTCCGGCCCACGCATGCGCAGCTTTTCGGGGCGCCACTGGGGCGGGGCCCCAAACTTGGGGGGTGGTCGTCCCCGGCGGCACTCTGCAAAACTCCATTTCATCCCCAACTCCTCTGAGAACCCTCAGAGGCGAACCGCGAGGTCTCACCATTCCTAGACTGCCAGATCCAACAATTTCTCCGCGGCGACGGTAGCAGCCGCAGGGCCAAAGCCGGCTTCCGTGAGGTACGTCTACTTCCGGTTAACGAACCAGGGGGCTGGCAATCTCTTCCGGTTCGTCTTGGCAACGTGTGTGAAGGGGGCGTGGCCATGGTACGGAAAGTGTAAATATTTTACCAATAGCGGAAAGTAAAGGCTTTCCTAGTTGGGACAGCATATAGGGAAACGTTAAGGATTATAGGCACCGGAGAGGTAACCCGGCTTGAGGGGTTGGTTAAAGGGAAAGGCGAGACTTAGGGCGAGACCGAGCGGGGCTAATTGAGGCGACCCGGGGAGGGGCGGGACCGCGGACTGGATTTCGACTTCCAAATTCCCACGAGGTATAGGAGTCTGAGGGTTGCACAGGACCTTATGCATTGTTTGACTCCTCCAGAGCCTTTAGAGAAACTTCTATCAGGCCCGCCTGCTAGGCACTAGTCGGGGAGATAATGTAGCCAGGGAGATGTGGCGGACAGAAAGGGCAGAGAGGCTCTCTGAGGAGCGGATGGAGGATCGTGGGCCGCTTTACTGAGAAGGAAGAGACCCTGCGAGAAGGAGTAGTGTCGACTTGGTCCCGTCAGCCGGACCCCACCTGGACGGCTGGGGCCACTTGTGGTCGCCGGGAGGTAAGAGAGAAAACCAATGGAAGCACCTTCAGAGGAGAGTGCCTTGGAAGGAATCTTGGGGTGGGAGAACGAACCTGTCGGAAAAATTGGGAATTTGGGGCTGTGAGAGATGTTCCGGAAAACTAGAAAGACTGTTGTCTAAAAGAGGAATTCTGTTTTATGCTTCCTTTGCGAGGTACTAAAGTCTAGCAGCTATAGAGAGACATACTTCAGCTCAGAATAAGAAAGATTCAGTTCCAAAGCTGTCCATCAGAGGTGTCAAGAACACATAACATGGACATTGCTAGGGAATTCAAGTGTCAAATGAGAGACTGGCCCTTTTGGCCCTGACGGTATACTATGGCCCTCTGCTTCGAGAGTACCAACCTCATTTACTGTTCTGTGGACTTGTTTAATGAGTATGTACTTATTTTAACTCCCATGAAAGAGTGTGTGTTTTATTTTTTAACAGGCACTTGATTAAATATATTATGTAAACTTGTGAAAATATCAGAAAACCAATGAAATTTTTTTTTTTTGAGACAGAGTCCCGCTCCATAGCCCAGGCTGGAGTGCAGTGGCACAATCTCGGCTCACTGCAACCTCCGGCCCCCGGGTCTCGGTTCAGGCAATTCTCCTGCCTCAGCCTCCCGAGTAGCTAGGATTACAGGCACGTGCCACCATGCCCAGCTAAGTTTTTTTTTTTTTTTTTTTGTAGAGACAGGTTTTCACCATGTTGGCCAGGCTGGTCTTGAACTCCTGATCTCATGATCAGGCTGCCTCGGCCTCCCAAAGTGCTGGGATTACAGGCATGAGCCACAGCACCCGGCCTGAAATAATTTTTATAAAAAGTGATTACACAGAACATTAATAATATTAATGTTATTAAATATATATGAATTCATGATAACTATTAAAAACATACAAAGGAAAAGACAGTTGAAGGAAATGCACCAGAATGTTAACACATGTCCAAGTGGTAGTAGTAGTAATTCTTCTCTCTAATTATTTTCCAGTTTTTTAATACATGGTTTTTAAATTTTGTTTTATTTTTTTTGAGACAGAGCCTTCCTCTGTCACCCAGGCTGGAGTGCAGTGGAGCGATCTCGGCTCCTGCAACCTACACCTCCCGGGTTCAAGCGATTCTCATGCCTCAGCCTCCTGAGTAGCTGGGATTGCAGGTGTGCGCCACCATGCCTGGATAATTTTTGTGTTTTTAGTAGAGATGGGGTTTCACTATGTTGACCAGGATGGTCTCAAACTCCTGACCTCAAATGATTCACGCACCTCAGCCTCCCAAAGTGCTGGGATTACAGGTGTGAGCCACTGCGCCCGGCCATATTTTACAATGAAAAAAAAAATAGGTTCTACACAACTTCTTTTTATTGATTGATTGATTTTGAGGCAGAGTCTCGCTCTGTCACCCAGGCTGGAGTACAGTGGCACAATCTCGGCTCACTGCAACCTCCACCTCCTGGGTTCAAGTGATTGTCCTGCCTCAGCCTCACAAGTAGCTGAAATTACAGGTGCCTGCCACCTGCCTGGCTTATTTTTGTATTTTTAGTAGAGACGGGGTTTCGCCATGTTGGCCAGGCTCGTCTCGAACTCCTGGCCTCAAATAATCCACCCGCCTCAGCCTCCCAAAGTGCTGGATTACAGGCGTAAGCCACTGCACTGAGCCACAACTTCCTGAGTGAAAGAGGAGAAAGGAAAACTCTTGGCTTCCAGCTGCCTGAGGTAATTCCTTCCCCCAAGGTGTCACGAGGGAAAGGTGGTGGTCACCATCATCTCCTGTTTGGTACCTGGAAACTCAAACTTCCCCTCTGGTCCTCAATCCTCCCTACTATTGGATAAAAAGAAACCTAGGCACCCTTGTGGTATGGATGCAGGGATTTCTAAAGGGCAGCTTCCTGCTCAAGATTGTGTTTTCTGTTTACACAGCGTGGTGGACTATACTAGCTATAGTTAGTATATATAGTATAGTATCTATACTAGATGAAAGTTCTCAGGATGGTCTTCTATGAAGAGGTGATGACTGAGCTGAGATTTGATGTCGATAGGCAACCAGTCATACAATAAGGTGGGGTACACCGACCCCATCAGAGGGGATAGCTCTGGCTCCAAAGCAGGAAGGAGTTTGGTGAGTTTGAGGAACAGGAAGGACCCCGGTGTGGCTGGAGCAGGGCGATCAATAAAAAGAGGGAAAGAGTTGAGAACAGAGGAGTCATCAGAGGGCAGCCCATGCCAGCCCGTGTAGTTCTCAGTATGGATTTTGGCCTTTATTCTTGGTTCATTGCAAAGCTCTTAAAGGATCACAAGCAAGGGCATCCTGTGATATGATCTAAGTTTGAAAATGATCCCTCTGGCTGCTTGTGAAGACTAGATTGCAGGGGGCAAAAGAGGAAGCAGAAAGATCAGGTAAAAGGGTATTGCAGTGATCTAGGTGAGAGGTAAACCCAGGTGGTTTAGCTGGCATGTGGGGGTGGTGAAGATGGACAGGAACTGTGACTGTGGCACATTTTGGAAATAGAACCCCAAGGAGTTGCTGATGGATTGGATATGGGATATGAGGGAAAAGGAAGAATCAAGGATGAGACTGAGATTTTTGGCCTAAGAACCTGGGTGGATGGTAGAACCCCCTGCTTCAGAATATATCCAGAATGTGACCCTATCTTACCAGTTTTCCACGGTCTCCTGGTCCAACTCCCCATTATCCATTATCTGTTACCTGGACTATAGCAAGAGTTCCCTAACTGGTCTCCCAGCTTTCATCCTTACTGCCCTTCTTTAGTTTATTCACAGCAGCTGGGGTATTCCTATTACATTGGCAATCTACTCACATCCTGCTTCTGTTCAAAGTCCTCCATCTTCCTCAGGATAAAAGCTCATGGCCCACCCCCTGTTGCTTCTCTGACTTCACCTCCTGCTCTTCTCACTTGCTCTTTCAAAAATTTCAGTCCTCATCCCCTGCTCACTGTACCTCTTCTTGGCTTTCTCCTTAGCCCTTATTATCTTCTAATTTACTTATTTTTTTCTGTTTACTATAGGTTTTCCAGTAGTAGAATGTAAGCTTTAGGAAGGCAGGGTTTTTGTCTATTTTGTTCACTGCTATAGTAGGTGCTTAATAAATATTTATTGAATAAGTATCTTATGTAAATTGACTGCAGAGAAGTCTGTGGGAGGAGCAGGTTTGTACAGGGGCAGAAAAAAAGTTCTGTTTTAGACATGTTAAGTTTGAGGTGCCTGTAAGGCATCTTGGTGGTGCTGTAGAATAGAGAGGTGGGCACGTTAGTTGGGTCAGGGAAGAGGCCTGGACTGGAGATATCCACTGGGGAGTCATCATCAGGAAGATCTGGATGTGGATGCTTAAGGAGAGAGTGTGGATAAGAGAATGAGGAGGGCTCAAGACCATTGCATGGGACATGCCAACATTTAGGGCAAGGCAGAGGAAGAGGGGCAAGAAAATAAACCAAAAGAAGAATGTGGATAAAAAGAAAAGCTAGCAATGGCACCCATTATCCAGCTTCCAGTTAACTCTTCCTGGCTCTAGAACAGTGGTCCCCAAGCATTTTGGCACCAGGGACTGGTTTTGTGGAATACAATTTTTCCACAGACAGGGGGTTGGGGAACATGGTTTCAGGATGAAACTGTTCCACCTCAGATCATCAGGCATTAGATTCTCATAAGGATGGTGCAACCTAGATCACTCGCATGTGCAGTTCACAATAGGTTTCTCCCTCCTATGAGAATCTAATGCCACCGCTGATCTGACAGGAGGCGGAGTGCAGAGCTCAGGTGGTAATGCTCACTCGCCTGCTGCTAACCTCTTGCTGTGCAGCCCAGTTCCCAACAGGCCACAGCCCAGTACATGTTGGGGACCCCTGCTCTAGAGTAGTCTTTCATAGTCAGGCACTCTTTCCCTGGGGCTGATGTGGTTTACAATGGAGGCCACATTCATGGTTCCTCCTGGAACTTTGCTCAGGGCCCCAGGCTCCATCTTCTGGGGGATTAGAACACAGTGGTTAAGAACATAGGCTCTGACCAGACCTGGGAGCTCACGCCTATAATCCCAGCATGGTGGGAGGCCGAGGCGGGCAGATCACTTGACCTTAGGAGTTCAGGACCAGCCTGGGCAACATGGCAAAACCCCTTCTCTACTAAAAATACAAAAATTAGCCAGGTGTGGTGACACACACCTGTGGTTCCAGCTATTTGGGAGGCTGAGGTAGGAGGACTGCTTGAGCCTGTAGAGGTCAAGGCTGCAGTGAGCCATGATCGCACCACTGCACTCCAGCCTGGGCGACAGAGTGAGACCCTATCTCAAAACAAACAAACAAACAAACAAAAAAAACCCTCCAAAAATATAGGCTCTGTGAGTATGTAGAACTAAACAATCAAAAAGAACATAGGCTCTGGAGCCAAAGTACGTAGTTTGAAACTGCCTCTATCACCTATCAACTTATGACTTTGAGCAAGTTACATTACTGTGCCCCAGTTTCATCATCTGTGGGGAAATAATAGTCCCCACTTCATTAGGATGGTTGTGAGGAGTAAATCGCTTACTACTGAAACACACAGGTGGTATATAGCAAGTGTTCAAAAAATGTAAGCTGTTGTTACTGCTCTTAGGGCTTAGGTCTGAGTGCCTCCTTTCAGGTGGTCTGACTCTAGGACCCAGACTTTGATAGCACAGCCCCTCCCCACTCTTGTCCACTAGAGCAGGACTAGTTGCTGTCTTAGCTAGGGCAGCTACCTCCTGGGACCCAGTCAGAGGACACAGGATCTTGCTGCTGTTGGCTCAAGTATTTTATCTTCCTAGGAAGTCAAATCAAATAAAGCTATTGACCAATACGAAGTTACCTTGGGATTCACAATGCAATTTAAGTCAGCGTACACTCTACTTGAGATCTGTATACTGTGTTTTGTTTGTTTGTTTGTTTGTTTGTTTCTGTAAGGGAAAAGAAACTATCTGCAAAGGAAGATTCTCATGCACAGATTGAAACCCTCTGAGATATCAACCCCCTAGGTAAGAGAATCACAGACAAAACTGTATGAAACCTCTAGCCTCTGTAACATGATAAACACATTTTACTCCAAAGGCCAGCATCATGCTCACTGAAGAAATCTGGATTATTCTGATTAATTAGGTATGTTACAAGGATGGCCCCATGACTCTTTTTATTTAATTTTCCTTTGGGAGTACTGGCTTAGGCAATTAAAGAAGAGAATGAGATATAAAAACTAGAAGAGTTAAAATATATATGATATGATAGCGTACATGAAAAATCCAAGGATATCAACTGAAAAACTAATACAAATAAGATATTTTAGGAAAATGGGTAGAAATGAGTATTTTTTTTAAAACCGCCTGTTTGAGAATATAAGAGAATAGACTGTATTGTTTACAACAGCAACAACACAGTAAACCAAGCACAATAAATGTGCTAGATCTAGGTACCTACATTAGTCTGTTCTCACACTGCTGTAAAGATAATACCAGAGACTGGTAATTTATAAAGGAAAGAGGTTTAATTGACTCACAGTTCCGCTTGGCTGGGGAGGCCTCAGGAAACTTACATTCATGGCAGAAGGCGAGGTAAAGCAGGCAACTTCTTCACAAGGTGACGAGAGAGAGAATGAGTGTGAAAGAGGAACACTTAGATAACCATCAGATCTTGTGAAAAGTCACTATTACGAGAACAGCATGGGGGAAACTGCCCCTATGATCCAATCACCTCCCACCAGGTCCCTCCCTGGACATGTGGGGATTATGGGGATTACCATTCAAGATGAGATTTGGGTGGGGACACAGAGCCAAACCATATCAGTACTCAAAACTAAAATGCCACCAAAGGAAGTTTGAATAAATAGGAAGGCATATTCTATTTTTGGGTAGAAAGACTCACTATTATAAAGATGTCAGCTCTCCATAAATTAATCTATAAATTTAACACAGATCTAATAAAAATACCAACAGAGTACGCAACCTGAATATAAATTCATATGGAAATTTTTGCATCAGGGATAACCATGTTGCTTCAGTAGCATCCTCAGAATGAAAAACAACCAACCAAAACAAAAAGAATAGCCATGAGAACATTTTGAAAAGTAAGGTTAATGAGAGGAGAAGCACTATACCACATATTAATACAATAGTTAAAAAGTAAAATCCAGAGGACACTAGCACACGCATAAACATTTTGATCAGGAGAACATAATAGGCTGGGCGTGGTGGTTCATGCCTGTAATCCCAGCACTTTGGGAGGCCAAGTTGGGCAGATCACCTGAGGCCAAGAGTTCGAGACTAGCCTGGAAAACATGGTGAAACCCTGTCCCTACTAAAAAAATACAAAAATTAGCCTGGCATGGTGGTGTGCACCTGTAATCCCAGCTACTCAGAAGGCTGAGGCAGGAGAATCGCTTGAACCTGGGAGGCAGAGGTTGCAGTGAGCCGAGATGGCGCCACTGCCCTCCACCCTGGGTGATAGACTGAGACTCCATTTCAAAAAAAAACAAAGAGAACATAATAGTCCAGAAGTAGACCTGAGGCATTAAAAAGTTCAGTAAATGATAAAGATGGCATTGTCTGTCAGTAGGGAAAAGATGGATGATATACTAAGTAGCACTGAGACAATTGTGTAGTCACCTGGAGAAAAATAATGTAGTGTCTCTTTTCAGTTCTTACACTAAAATAAATCCATATGAAACAATTATGTTTAAATAAATGTAAGAGGCCAGGCTTGGTGGCTCATGCCTGTAACCCCAGCACTTTGGGAGGCCGAGGCAGGCAGATCACTCGAGGTCAGGAGTTTGAGACCAGCCTGGTCAACATAGTGAAATCCCGTCTCTACTAAACATACAATAAATTAGCCAGGCGTGTTGGCAGGCACCTGTAATCCCAGCTACTCGGGAGGCTGAGGCAGGAGAATTGCTTGAACTTGGGAGACAGAGGTTGCAGTGAGCTGAGATTGTGCAACTGCACTCCAGCCTGGATGACAGAGTGAGACTCCATTTCCGAATAAAAAAAAAAAATGTAAAAGAGTAAAACCACAAATTTATAATGTCACAGTAGAGAAAGTGTTTTCTAGAATGGCACACATTTTCTCATAGCTTTAAAAAAAGACAAATTCTGTCAACATAAAAATCTATAATTTCTACAGAGTGAAAAACACCATAAACAAAGACGAATGGCAAAGTAGGGAAAATATTTGCAACCCGTATCATAGTCAGAGGGGCTAATTTGCTTAATATGTACAAAATCTCTACAAATCAATATGAAAAATAGCAAATTCAATAAGAAAATGGGATGGTTAATGGAAAGATAAACATCTCTTAAACATGAAAAAATACTCAACCTCACAAGACAATTGAAACTACATTTGGTATAATTTTTCACCCACTGATTGGCAAAAAATCTAGATGTTGGACACTTAGCCTTGGCGTGGTTGTAGGGTAATAAGCACTCTCGTGTTGCTGTTAGAACTGTAATTCATTAAGACTTGTCAGAATTACAAATGCATAGAATTTCTGATCCAATGTACTTTCACATATGCAAAATAAATTACATATAAAATTATCAGCCAGGTGTGGTGGCTCACACCTGTAATCCTAGCACTTAGGGAGGCCAAGGTGGTAGGACTGCTTAAGCCCAGGAGTTCAAGACCAGCCTGGGCAAAGTGGCGAGACCTCGTCTCTACAAAAAAATGAAAATTAAAAAATTAGCTGGGTGCAGTAGTCCCAGCCACTTGGGAGGGTGAGGTGGGAGGATCTCTTGAGCCCAGGAGTTCAAGGCAGCAGTGAGCTATGATCATACCACTGCACTGCAGCATGGGACAAAGTGAGACCGCCTCTCTTAAAAAGAAAAAAAAAAGAAAACAGTTATCAGCTGGAGCATTGTTCATATTAGCAAGTTTAGCAAAAACCAACTCACACATCTCTCACTAGAGGACTGATTAAATAAATCATTGCACATGCATACAATGGAATATCATACAGCCAGGCTGAAGAGCTGTCACAAAAATCTTTATAGGCCATGATTGGACTTTATCCTGAGAAGAATGAAGAGCCATTAATGAATTTTTAAGCAGAAGTGTGGAATTAGACCAGCATTTTAGATATCTCTGGCTTAGTATGGAGCATAGATTGAAAGAGTAAAACAGAAGCCAGGGAGATTAGTTGGTGGCCCAATTTAGGGTAGTCACTGAGGGGAAGACACAAAAGATGTAGACGATGACAGGGCTTGGTGAGAGATTGCATGAATGGGTGCAGGAGCTCAGGCACCTATGATGCCCAGTTCAGGCTTTGGCAGTGGATGAGGCTGGCAGATATGCATTGAGACCAGAGGCACAAGTGGAGCTGCAGGGTTGGGGATGAGAAGGAAAGGTGATGAGTTTCATTTGCATTGATTGAGTTGGAGGTGCCAGTGGGCAGCCAGTTGGGATGTGCAGTTGAGCGTTTGCATATACAGCTCTATGACTCAGAGGAGAGATTGGAATTGGGGATGGATTTGGGAATCTTCATCATACAGCTGATGTTTGAGGCAATAGGGCAATCTGAAGTCATGTTGGGATGTCCTGTGGCATGAGAGGAGAGTCCAGGCACTGGAGCAGCCCCTAGGGAACACAGGCAGAAGAGAATGAAAATCCGCGGGAGCTGGAGGAGTGTGGGGAACGTGGGTGGGAAACCAAGAAGAGCATCATATCACGGACCTCAAGGAAGAATGTGCTCGGGTTTTACTGGTGTCTGTCTCTCCCTTGATTTAAAATCCTCCACATAAACTGGGTTTTATTTTTCTTTGTTTTCTCCCCATCTGTCTTATCCCACCTTCAATCGGCATGAGGTTTTGTGCATAATAACTATGTCTGTGGACAAACAAAGGCATGAGTGAGTGACTACAGTTGTAGCTGGTTCTTTACATGACTGTTGTGCACACCTCCACACCTGCTCCTCTCCTTGCTCTCCCTGTCTCCATTCTTCTTTAAATTCTCCACGTTGTCATCAGTGGCTCTCCACTGCCTACAGAGGAGCATCCTCTGGTTGGTCTTCAAGCCCATCCACATCCAGCCCCAGCTGGGCTTATCTCCTACAACACGTGGTGTGGAACTACACCCAGGCTGGCCGCTTGCTGCCACATGAACATGCTCTGTGCTTACAGTGTCCTTTTCCCTTGGATTTCCTGCCTCCCGCCCCCTGCAATAGTTCCACCCATCCTTCCACATTTCATGGAGATCCCACTTAGTCCCAAAGGCCTCCCCAGACCTTCACTGCCATATGTCTTCCCCATTCTCTGTTGCACTTTGTCTTGCATTCCCACACTAGCTCCCTACCAGTTACTACTCTTTCTCCACACTGGCGTGTGAGGGGAGTCTGTCCCAATGTCACCATTCCCCCATGACTTGCCTCCCCACCTTTTCAAGTCTCTACTCAAGCGTCACCCTGCGAGGCTTGCCATGACCCCTCTGTTTTCATCGCCAACTCCAGCACTTGGCACAGTACAATTGCTGAAGGAGTGGTGGGTAGATTGTGAGTCCTCGGGAGTTCAGGACAATACTTGAATTTATTTCTGTAACTGTGCCAGTGCTTTGCATCCAGTCAGCACCCTGTGTTTGCAGTAGGCTCCTGGGAAATGAGTTTTACTCACTTCCGTGCCCCTGCTGCCTAATACAGATCATGGCACCACAGTAGGTGCTCAATAAATGTTTAAGGAATCAATAAATGAAAAATTACACATTTAATTGCCCTCGGGAGCCTCCAGAGAGGCCACTGATTGTGCAAACTCACTGGTTTGTGTGTGCTTCCTGCCAGTGCTGACAGGCTGCCTTATGGGCCGGTGACAAGCTGTGTCCTGTAAACCTGGCTGTGCTGAGGGACGGTGACATGCAGCTCACAGAAGGCACTAGGGCTGTCATGGTGGCCAAGCATTTAATACAACGATTGTGGTGCTCCAGGCAGAAACACAGCCCGGAAGAAGCCTCAGAGGCAGCCAAGGAGGGATGGGAGCACTTACTCCTTAGGGAAAGCTTGACTTGGTTTCTACTGTGTGCATGGCCCTCTGAAGGTCCGGGTAGAGGGGAAGCTACAGCTGTGAGAGCAACTGGGCATCCGTCTTAAAGAGTTTCAGGTCTAGTGGGGTTGAGGACAGGCTCACCGATAATCCCAGAACAAAGGCAAGATGGACCAATGCTGGAAGAGATCCACGCACAAAGGCAGGAGAGCCCGTCCCCAGGAGAAGGGGAGGCTTAGGGAGGATTAGTGGAAGCTTCGTGGTGGAAGGGCCATCTGAGCTCATTGACTAAGCATTTTTTTTTTTTTTTTGAGACAGAGTCTCACTCTTGTCTCTCCGGCTGGAGTGCAATGATCTCGGCTCACTTGAATCTCCACTTCCCAAATTCAAGCGATTCTCCTGCCTCAGCCTCCTGAGAAGCTGGGATTACAGGTGCCTGCCACCATGCCTGACTAAGTTTTGTATTTTTTAGTAGAGACAGGGTTTCACCATGTTGGCCAGGCTGGTCTCAAACTCAATCTCAGGTGATCCACCCACCGCGGCCTCCCAAAGTGCTGGGATTACAGGCGTGAGCCACCACGTCCGGCCTTCATGACTAGGCTTTCTGAATGGGGTGGGAATTGAAACAGCTTCCAGCTGGTCTCCCTGCGCCCTGCTCCCAGTCTATGCTCATGGTTGCAGCCAGACGATGCTCTTGAATTGAAGGGCACATGATGTCACTTCTCTGCTTAGAATTCTGCAATGGCTCCCATTGCATTCCGGGTGAACAGAGGTCCTTACGGTGGCCTACAAGGCCTTGTGTGACCGGCCTCCCAGTGGCCTCTGCAACGTGGCTCCTCCCACCCTCCCACTCACCCACACCAGGTACCCCGGGCACCTTGCTGCCCCCTGAGTGTGCCAGGCAGGCTCTCACCTCAGCCTGCTCTCCCTGCCTGGCACGCCCTTCCCGCAGCTCACCTCCTCACCTGCTTCAAGTCTTCACTGAAACGTCCTGCCATGCCCTCTCTGCTTTAAATGGTAACACCCACTCCCCTGCACTCTGCTGCCTTATCCCTCTTGAAATTTGTGTTTCTCCATGGAACCTTTTACGTTCTGACATAACTGTGCATTTTACTACTTATTTTTGTTTCTTGTCTTTTCCCCCCATAGAATGTAAGCTTTGTGAAAGCAGTTTTTTGTTTGTTTGTTTGTTTTTTGAGATGGAGTCTCGCTCAGTCGCCCAGGCTGGAGTGCAGTGGCACGATCATGGCTCACACAACCTCCGCCTCCCGGGTTCATGCCATTCTCCTGCCTCAGCCTCCCGAGTAGCTGGGACTACAGGCGCCCGCCACCACGCCCGGCTAATTTTTTTTATTTTTAGTGGAGATGGGGTTTCACCATGTTAGCCAGGATGGTCTCGATTTCCTGACCTTATGATGTGCCCGCTTCGGCCTCCGAAAGTGCTGGGATTACAGGCGTGAGCCACTGCACCTGGCCATGAAAGCACTTTTTAAAAATCTGTTTTACTCACTACAGTATCCCTAACACCTAGAACACTGCCTCATGTTAGGTGCCTAATAGGTACTTGTTGAATGAATGAATGAGTAAATGAATCAATGGGGCCATGCTGCATGCTTGAGGAAGTCCATGGGAAGGGCCTCCTGGCAGAGCTCCTAAAAACTGCTGCCCAAAGGGTCATTTGCAGGGATAGATCTGTGCCATACAGAGCAGAGGACCTGCTGGGGGTAGGCGATCAAGCGAGGAGGAAGGGTCCCCAGTCCAAGGGAGAGCAGACTCCACAACCATGAGTCCTCTGCAGGATCCCCGTGTCCCAGCATGGGTCAGGAATGCCTTCTCCCTCTGCTGCACTTGCTGTCCACGCTCCACCTGCACCTTCCCAGGAACTCACCAGCTCCCCTCCTGTCAGTCTTCCCGCAGTTCCCTCCCTTCTAATTCTTGAATTCCCGGCCCCTCTCCAGGCCAGCTGAGGCCCTTAGACAAGCACTTTGCTGCCTCCTTGTGGCTTCTGCAGGAAAGGCTTCTCCTCTCTTCCAGAGAGTGAGGATACGGGGCGCCTAACAGACAGCCTGGGGGTGATGAGAGAGGAAACCGAATCTTCTTGACCAGTGGTGGCCTGAATCATTGGCAGCTGCCCGCTCACAGCACTGCTGCCTGTGGCAGTGAACTCTGTGGCAGCGCCCTGACTGGTGCACTAGCTGGACTCAGGCTTTGGTTGTTCCAGGCTGCTCAGCTCCTGGGAAAGAATGTGAGGCAGCAGTCAGACCCCAGGGCCTGCCTCAAGGGTCACTGAGGTCAGTGACTAGTGTATCCAGCCTCCACCTGCTCAGCTTCCTCCCAGCTCAGAGGCAATAAATAGTGTTTGAGGGGTGATGAAGCCACCAGCCAGCGCAGGGCCTCCCAGGGTGTGCAGAGAGCAGGGGCAGGGTGTGACACAAGAGCCAGGGCCAGGATATGTAGAACTGGAGCATGGGAGGCCACTCAGCCTCCTAATTGGCTAATTGGCTGGGATGTTACCTGCTTAAGCTAATTGCCCCCAAATGGAGGAATATTCTAGAAGGCTCCTGGGTTATCTAGTGGACCCATAACTTACAAGACTGCCTGAGAAGACTGCTTTATTTTTTACTTTACTGGGTAACTTTTTCTTTCTGGCTGCTTTCAAGTTCTCTCATCTTTGGTTTCAGGTTTGACTATGATATGCTGAGGTATGTTTTCCTTTGTATTTATCTTGCTTCAGTTCTCTGAGCTCCTTGGATCTGTGGCTTCTTGTCTTTAATTTTGGAAATTCTCAGTGATTATCTCTTCAAGTAGCTTGTTAAATATTTCTTCTCCCTTTTTCTGGGACTTTGATCACATGTGTGTGAAACCATTGGTATTGTCCCACACATCTTGGGTGTTTGGTTTGGGGGTTGCTGATTTGTTGCTTTGTTTTTACTCTCTCTGTGTTATAGTTGGCTAATTTCTATTGATCTTGCCTCAATTCACATATTTTTTTGCCTTGCTTTTGTCTAGTTGGCTGATAAACCTGCCAAAGGATTTCTATATCTCTGATGTTAAGATTTTCTTTTCTTTTCTTTTCTTTTTTTTTTTTGAGACAGAGTCTCACTCTGTCACCAGGCTGGAGTGCAGTGGCACAATCTCAACTTACTGCAACCTCCACCTCCTGGGTTCAAGCAATTTTCCTGCCTCAGCCCCCCAAGTAGCTGGGACTACAGGCACGTGCCACCATGGCCAGCTAATTTTTGTGTTTTTAGTAGAGACGGGGTTTCACCGTGTTGGCCAGGATTGTCTCGATCTCTTGACCTCATGATCCGCCCACCTTGGCCTCCCAAAGTGCTAGGATTACAGGCGTGAGCCACTGCACCCAGCAAGATTTTCATTTCTGGCATCTTCAAGTTTCCATTTCTTTTGTACAATTCCCTCTCTCTACTCAAATTCCACGTCTGTTCCTGCATGTTGCCCACCTGTTAGAGGCAGATCCTGTAACATGTTAGATGTAGCTACCTTCAAATTCCTGCCTTCAAAGCCCTCACTTGATAGTTAACAGCATCCCAGCCATACACATCTTCTCTTCTTGAGAAGGTGACTCCTCTGATCATAGAATCATGCTCATCTGTTTTCTGACTTTTCAGACCATGCATGGCTTTCCCCTCCCTGGCTCTATGCCTGGGTTGTTTTTGAAGGGGTTTTCTCCTTTCCACTGTATGCCTCTGCAGTTAGTCAAGGCCAGAGTAGACCCTTCTCCCATGTCATCTTCCACATTTGTTTTGGTTCCTCATCTGAGGCTGTGGGCCATGCAAGCAGAGCTATGGCCAGTCCCCGAATATGGCTTGAAGCAATGCTCAAAAAAATACTCCTTCCCATGCCTTGTCTTCCCTGAATTTTTTGGGGGTAGAAGCAATACATTGACCAGAAATGTCAACTTTGCTCTTAAAAAAAATTAGGCTCCTGTATAGTATCAGTGAACCTCATCACTAGAAAAACACCCGACACACACACACACACACACACTTACACATATATACACATGCATACACATACATGTATACACACATACACATTTATACACACACATACACATATACACACATGTGCACATACATACATAAATACATCCACAGCTACATAAATACATACATATATACACAAACGTATACATACACACACATATATACACAAAGATACACACACATATATATTTGTCTTCCAACCCTCTTGGCTTCACAGCTTGGCCCGTGCAGGCTTTCTTTGCCTTTAAGAAGATGAAATTGTTACCAAAGCAGGAGAAGAATGTCAGACACTCTGCATGCTTGCCAGAGAGCTCGCTAGAGGACGTGCAGAAGGTCAAAGTCCTCCATCACCAGAGCAAGTTCAGCCACCAGGCCCCTTAAGCACAGTGCCAAGAGCCTGTGAAAACATGAAACCTTTGAAAATATGGGTGCCAAAATATAAAAACAAAGAATGTATGAATAGTATGAAATCTTTATAAAACATAATATTGTCAGTTTCATTCACTGTCAAATTTAATATTCAAAATAGTCTCATTACATTTATAAAACTTGTTCAATTTCTTCTCTGTGCATTCTGATTGCTGAGATGTCACTCACAGCTAAGTACACATTAAATAACTTACTCATAGCCAGTTAATTTCTGAAGCAAGGTTATAAAAATGCTTTCTAATTATTTAGAGCGATACATTTAGTGTGAGGGCATTTTAAGATGTTAAGTATCATTGGGGTGAGGCCTCCAGAAAAGAAAGAGCCTGGGACCCGAGAGGCTGGAAACAGCCCAGGGCCAGCACAGCTGTGCTGTGCATGTGTCCTGCATCATGATGCCAACTCCCCTTCCTCCCACACTAGGCATCCTCGCGATATCTTAAGCTGCGACTCAGAAAACAAATCCTACTCCTGGCATCATCCACAGAACCAGCTGTTCACACCCCACATCCTCCTCAGCTTTCTGGAGTCTCAGCCTTAGGCTGGAAGCAAGGATGGGCGCCATTCCTGAGGAAGAGAACCGCTGGACATGGGTTCTCTGAGGATGGGGTAATTTCCTATTTGTATGCCTGTTCCCTAGGCCAAGGGTGCTGGTGAGTGGAGAAGGACAGGGTGGGGGAGACTCAGCAGGGACCAGGCAAGCAGCTGTGTGTCAAGAGGAGGGTGTGTAGGTGCTCGTGAGCTGATTGAACTAACCGAATTAGTGTCTTAACTGAACTGACAGACGCTTGCCAGAGACGGCCTCCTTAGCCCACACCGTCTATATTTGAACCTCATGTCTCCATGTCTTCCACCTTTGTCCTCAGAGACACGCTCACCTTTGCCTCCCACCTTATGACACCTGGCTCTGGTCTGTATTTGGTATCTCCTTTTGTTCTCACCTTCTGAGCTTTCATGCAGATCACTGGCATGTCAGTGACATATCTGTCCATATTTTGATTAAATGAAGAGTTACACCTACTAAGTGCCAGGTGCCAATCACAGCTATCTCGGCATGTTTGCTCCCAAAGGACACAGACAACACTCAGAGGGTTCTAAAACTGAGTTGAGGAGGTGTGGGTTTCAGCAATGAGACAGAATTTTAAAATAAACCAACCTCTATTTTATTAAAATGTAGAGTTTGGGGACTGCAGGAGGGAAGCAGTGTTTCTCAAAGTTCTAGGAGTACTCAGCAACCCCCAGAGGGTTTCTTTAAAAGCACCAGCTGGGAACCTGCATTTTGACCAAGTTCTCTGTGGGTTTCCGTCCCTCAGAAGGTTGAGAATCACTGGCTGAGGGATGCAGTGGAGACTGGGGCTGTCTTGATCCTTCTGGCTTATTTGGGTTCCAGGGAGTGACTCGCTTGACTTTTTTTGAACAAGCTAAGCGGATTCATTTGTAGGTTCCTGGCATTCCTTCCTTTGGTTCGCTGAGGCGCTGCAAGAGTTAGTAGAGTTACAGGTGGGGGAGTAACTGAGACAAGGCCCAGGCCATGTGAGTGCCATCCCACACCTGAGCACTTCCCAGAGCCAAGTCCAGAGCTGAGCCCAGACTCAGCCTGGACACAGAACTGCTCAACACAACGTCCTCCCAAGTCCCAGGGGCTCTGCTTCTCTTCCTGCGAATCTGCCTTTTGCCTGACCTCACAAAAGACTTCCTCTTCCCTCCCCTCATTCTTTGCTCCTTCCCACCCATCCATGTTTCCTCAGCCCTAGCCCCATCTAGTCTCTTTCCCAGAGGCCGCATTGTAAGCCCTCCTGTCGTCTCCAGCATGTTAGATGCCTGTGTGAGTCTGTTCATGTGCATCTCGGTGTACACGTGTACCAGCATGGTTTTTTGTTTCGTTTTGTTTTGTTTTTTAAGATGGAGTCTCGCTGTGTCCCCAGGCTGGAGTGCAGTGGCGCAATCTTGGCTCACTGCAAGCTCTGCCTCCTGCGTTCACACCACTCTCCTGCCTCAGCCTCCTGAGTAGCTGGGACTACAGGCGCCCGCCACCATGCCCGGCTAATTTTTTGTATTTTTAGTAGAGATGGGGTTTCACCATGTTAGCCAGGATGGTCTCAATCTCCTGACCTCGTGATCTGCCCACCTCGGCCTCTCAAAGTGCTGGGATTACAGGCGTGAGCCACTATGCCCGGCCTGTACCAGCGTGTTTTTAGCTGTGCAGGAACAGACCCTGAGCAAGGGGAGGGCATAGCACTCAGAGTCAAGGCTAAGATTGTCCAGCTACAGAAAGCATTTGGGATCTGCAGACACACACAGCTCTCCCACCTGTCAGACAGAGAACCCAGGGGACATGCTTGTAAGACAAAGCTGAAAAAAATCTCAGAGAAGGGGGGCTGCTGGGTTTTGAGGGATGCAATCTTCTAGCATCTCAAACCATGGAGGGAAGATGAGCAGCCCTCCCTCACATGCCGAGAGGACGCCCCAGTGGGCTCAGAGATGAACAGGCCGTCAGTGCTAGGCAGACCAGGAGAATGGGACATGAGGTCAGGCCTAGTTATGAACCCAGATGGGGCTGTGCGCCAGACAGCATGGCCAGGGGAGCCGGTGAGGTCGGCAGGACCACAAAGAGGTGAGTGAGCCAGCACCACGCAGCAGGTGGATGTGAGGATCCATGGTGGGCCAGGAGCAGGTGGCCCGAGAAAAGGTGCACTTCAGGGAGTGGAGCAATGTCCAGGAGGGCACGCCCAAAGGAGGCAGCACGGCCACCACCCTGAGGTAGCAGCCTGGGCAGGGACAGAGAACTTTTGTTAGAGACCAGCAGATCCTCATGCCAAAATAGCGGACCCCAAGACAATGCAGGGAGCCCCCACACTGAGACATCAGGAGCAGCCTGACACGCAGGGAGGTGGTGGCAGCCTGGGATGTGGGTAAAGAAGACAGCACAGCAGGCTCTGCCTCTGCACCTGGTGGTGAGATCAACGCAGTAAACAGGTACAGGGTTGAAAGCAGGAAGAAAATTGTCTTCATCTAAGTTCCCTTAGAAAGGGGAAGCTGTCTTTGCTGGGAACAATATTTTGATAAGTGCCTTAAGCCTGAAACTGGGATCCCAGTGGAGGCCTGGGTGTGGGTGGAACAGCTCTGCTTGAGACATGAAGGAATTTTAGAATTGTGCATGTTTTACCAGAGAGGCGGGGAAAGAGGGAAGAAAGGAGGCTGCTGCTTGGTGCTGTTCAAAATGAATCCCGTTTCTCACTATCCCTCTATATTTTCAGAAAGTTACTGACGTCATGAGTGTATGGGCTCAAGTGGGGTGCATACCCCTGATATTTATATGCACATATCTCCGTGTGTGGAAAGAACAAAGGGGCTTGCCCGAGACTCAGAAGCTGGGCAGATCCCAGGCAGGGAAGGGATGCGGAGAGGAGAGACCCCACGATGGGGAGGTCTTTGGGTAAGTTTAACCAAATCTCTGCCAGGCCAGGCCCCAGTTGACCACTGGGTTACAGTGTTCTCCCACAGTGTTGTTTTGGTTATTCTCCATTCTGTTCGCTGTATCTAAATCAACAACCAACAGCAACACACATGCACATCCCCCTTGGAAACCCTCCAGGAATTGGAAACCAGGTTTCTGCACTGGGTGGGCTGGAATGATAGGACTCTCAGCTGGAATGCTGGCCCATTTCAGAGCGCAGGTGCGGCCAGGGATTCGCCCTCTTTGATGCTGCTATGCCTCCCTGTCTCACTGAGGTCTCCAGTTGGAGGATGGGAGAAGCACCAGTATCTTCAGGCTCTTGGCTCTGGTTAGGTCTAGACTGGAGGCATCAGGACCCTCTCCCCATTGGGGATCTGTAACTGACACAGGGCCAGGGTCACAGGAGGCAGATGGGATTGCTCATGTAGAGAGGGTCCTTAAAAGAGCCTTGAGCCTCCAGTAGTGACATCTACAAGCCCAGAGAGGCAAAGGAGAGCTAAGACTTCTAACCAGAAAAGCCTCTTGTTGGCCCCTGGAGTCCCACCTCTGTCCCCTCAGCTGTTCTTTCTAGGGACCGTTCTTGAAGATAGTAAGGAAAGGAAGTGACAGGCCCAGGCCCAAGGCTCAGGTTTCTCAGGCAGTCCAAGGGCTCCCTCATCTCTCCCTCCCTACACCTGGCTCCCCTGAGAACCACCCCCAAGGCTAGGGTGAGATGGGGCTCTTCAGAATTTATGTGCAGCCCAGGAGGCCAGTGTGAAGGAAAAGCCCCCTGGTGGCCTCTGAGACACTAAGGAAACCCTTCACCAGAACCGAAGTGCTGTTGGCATGGGGACCCCGCTTACAGCCGCCGAGCAAAGGAACCAGGTTAGCCTCTCTCTATCTGGTGTGGGATAGCAAATGAGGTCATTGTTAAAGCCTGGAGAGAGATTTATTGGGGAGAATCCACATTGACCATCAGCCTCGCACCTTACTGGGCCTTCAGGAAGTTCAGGCTTTTGTGGCAGGAGGACTACACGTCCAGTGTCAACAGCCGGGGAATATCTGGGTGTCCCCTCAGCTGGTCCCGGGGAAGGCTGGCAGGGGTCTTTTTTTCTATTGCGTAACTGGAGGAGGCCACCTCGGTCTTCCAGACAGCCTCCATCTGCTTCCCCTGTTGGCTGGGAGTGGGGAGTTTGGAGAATGTGAAAAGCAACAGAGAGAGATTGAGATGCAAGAGACTCTCCAGAGCCATCAGGCCCAAGTGAGCTTTGTCTCCTTCCCTTCTCAAATCGAGTGTGTCACTGCCCTCCTCATCTCCCCTCCAACACTGAGTCTGAATCTCACTTCCTTGGGGCTCCTCTGGCTGAGGAGCTGCTGGAAGAGGTTCCCAGGGCGGCCCCTGTCCTTCAAGGAACAGGCCCTGGGGCAGAAGCCCTGATCTAGGCCATGCAAGGGTAGGTGTGGACCAGGGTCCTTTTAGCGCCCCAGAGGTTCACAGTGTCTCCAGAGCCTGCAGGTCACATGGTGGGGAGGTTCAGGCTTGTTTATAGGACAGACCAACGGCAGATGCCAAATCGATGCTCAGGGTAGAAAGGTTATAAGTTTTCAGGTGTGGGTCCTCAGAGTCTTTCCGTCGCATAGTTTGAAATGCACTGGTCAGGCTAGTCCCTGAAGCCCACACACTATGACATACACCCCACCTGTGGGTCAGTGGCCAGCACTGGGGAGGGCAGCTGAGAAGACAGGCACTTTGCAACTCGTAGGGTGATATTGGCCTGTTGGTGCCCTCACTTCACTGCCCACCTCCCCAGGCTGGTCACCCCTGCTCCCTGCCTCTTCACCCATACAGCTGCTGCCCCCTCAGCTTCCCAGAACCTACCGGGCCATCTGCAGGGGCACACATGCCCGGTGCCTAGACAGAAAGGGCTGCTTGTAGGTGGGGCCACTGGGGCGGATGTGCCGGGGTGAGGCTGCAGGCAACTTGCATTTCTTTGGCTTTGGCGAGGTGACCTCAGGGATGTTCAGGTGAACGTTCCACTCCAGCTGGAGCTAGAGGAACCAGCAGAGAGGCATCAGGGAAACAGGAAGTTATCTCCTCTCTAGGTCGTGAGGAGGCTTTGTCTGTTTGTTGGTGCCCCTGCTGGACTCAGGGCTGAGTGGAGAGGGTAAGGCCCAGGGAATCCCTTCAATTAGAAACCCTGGGACCACAAGGTATCAGACCTTTGCTGGAAACTCCTTGAACTCTTTTTTGCTGTGTTAGTTCCTGTTTTCTCCTTTGTTGTGAGGAAGCTGGATAATGGGCAAAACAGCAAGGAAGAAAATGAAACCAGAGCAGCTGGAACCCATGAGAGCAGCTCCAGGCAGGGTTCATGGCAGGGGGCCAGGTTGTGCCTGGACTGCACTGGGTATCTTTTCGTCCAGCCCCAGCCCTGGCACTGGGTGAGGAGCTGGGGGAACCTTCACAGCCACTCAAAGAATTGTCATATCCCTTTCATTCTCAATCCCCAAACAAACAGCCAGTCAAGATGCCTCTAGGAGATTATCTGGACTGGTATAAGGTGATATGAAACCTCCATGGCCAAGGCTCTTCTGGCTGCCTGATGCCAGCCCTCACACCAATGCCTCAGCATGCTGCCTCCCCTAGACTCAGGCCACTGCCACTCAAGACTCGGGGGCAGGTGGTACCTCCTGACCCAACCCTAGGGCAGGTCCCAGCAGGCTCTGACTCACAACTTTGGGCTCCTCCAATCCCTCCAAGCTGCCCCTAGGGACCACGTCGGCACTTGCTGCTTTTCTGCTCCTGGCAGCCTGAGCCTCAGGTCTTGAGCTGAGGGCTGCTCATCCCAAAGCCAGTGTTGCAAATGAAGGAGTCTGGCAGGGAAAGATCCCATACTCATGGGTGGTGCAGAGAGCTATTCCTGCCATATGAAAGATGGATATGGATATAAACTCAATACTTGTATAATGGGGACAAAATTATTAATCGTCCCAAAGGGTATGAATTCTAATTTGCTGGGTTCCTGTTTTACATCTGTTGTAGAGAATCTAGAAACGGGCAAAACATCAGTGAAAAAAAAAAGACAAAGAAGTTAAATCTATATCTATATATCTATAATAAAGAATCAAGGCTGGGCGCGGTGGCTCATGCCTGTAATCCCAGCACTTTAGGAAGCCAAGTCAGGCAGATCATGAGGTCAAGAGATTGAGACCATCCTGGCCAACATGGTGAAACCCCGTCTCTACTAAAAATACAAAAATTAGCTGGGTGTGGTGGCGTGCATCTGTAGTCCCAGCTACTCGGAAGGCTGAGGCAGGAAAATTGCTTGAACGCAGGAGGCAGAAGTTGCAGTGAGCCGAGATCGCACCACTGCACTCCAGCCTGGCAATAGCGAGACTCTGTCTCCAAAAAAAAAAAAAAAAAAAAAAAGTCAAAAGAGGAGAATATAGGAGTCTTTTATTCCATTATTCCCAAGTTTCAGCTGTTATCTCTTTGGCCTTTTTTTTTTAATTGTATACTATTTTGCATTTATTTTAAATGTCAGAAGTTTCAAGGATTCCAATATAAGTTTTTTTTTAGTAATTCAGTATATAGACAATTAGTGGTATACACATGGATCCATTATCCCTCAGTGGTGTATGGCCCATAGATTAGTAATCATTTATCTAAACAAAGAGAAAAGGAAGTTTGGGTGTCAAAGACTGTTTTGGAGTTTAAAGAGGTTTTCTGGATATGAGAGAATGGCAGAGGAGAGGAAAAAATAAGAAAATCTCATGATTGTGAATTATAAGTTGGACCCACTTTAGTGATTATGAGTGACCCAATTAAAGATTGGGGTTACTTTTTTATTATTTTTGGCAGGTGAGTGAGCATTATATCTCTGAATGGGATATAATGGATACAATGGCATAACCAGATCACATAACATCTTGGGATTTATTTGGGTTGTACTTGATGTATGAATGTTAAAACCAGGTCTATACATTTTGGATGGTTACTTTACTGAATTCTGCCAAGGTAAAGTGGGGTGGTGGGGAGGGGGTGAAAGAGTAAGGTTTCTGCTAGTGTTAGTTTTCAGAGGAAAAACACGAGGTCTCAGTAAGGACATGGAAAAGATGAGGATAGGCTCCAAGTGTAGAGATTAAGAGAGTGAGTGATACCTTCTCATTCTGTTGGCCTAAACCCATATGGTTCCTAACCCATAGGGCATGGTCCCCTGAGGGGCAATGGATTTTTTGCCAAGAGCCCAAGAATGTAAGTACATACTTAAAATTGTACAAAAATTGAATAAATAAAAAGTAAAACTACTAGTATATAGGAATTCTTGGAACTTTTAACATTTAAAATGAATCTTAATAGTATAGGATTTTTTTTGAGGAGATAAACTAGTGATAATGGAATAACAAGGACTAGTTTACTATTCTCCTGTAAACAACTAGTAGGCCAAACAGAATAGATGAAAAAATGATGTATACCCATTCAGACAACAGGCAGTGCAGGTCAATGATCCCCAAAAGGAATGAAACAAATGAGACAATGTCCAGGCCCCAGCACAGGGCAGGGAACCCAAACAGAAGCCAGCAGCCTTGCTGAGATGAGGAGACAGCATCTGGGTATCAGGGAAGCCAAGGTGACTAGAATTTGAAAACCAGAGTACCAGAGAGGAGGAAGCCACATGGCAAGGAATCTCCAAAGCTCTGCAGAGGGGTCCCGTTAAGTCTCTGTGCAGGCCTGGGAGGAAACCACCAAGGCTGGGGGAAGAATCACTGGGCAAGAACAGGCAGAACCATCCTCAGAGCTCATATATCCCTGGGAAGAGTTTGTGTTTACATCTGTAAAATACCGAAAGAAAAAGCTGCCCACCTAGAATTCTACATCCAGCAAAAACATCTTTCAAAACTGAAAGCTGAATAAACCTTTTCAGACACCAAAGCTGAGAGGATTCATCACCAGCAGATAAGCAGTGTGAGAAATGTTAAAGGAATCCTTCAGGCAGAAGGAAAATGATACCCAAAATACATTTGGATCTACACAAAAGAGTAAGGAGCACTGGAAATGTTAAGTGTGGGGGTAAATAGATTATTCTTTTCCCTTTGCTTAAGGGAAAAGTAATAACAATGTACAGTTGTCCCTTGCTATCCGTGGGGTATTGGCTCCAGGACTCCTCACAGGCACCAAAATTTGTGGATGCTCACATGCTTATATAAAATGGTGCAGTGTTTGCATATCACCCACCCACATCCTCCTGTATATATTAAATGGTCTCTAGATTACTTATAATACCTAATATAATATAAACACTATCTAAGTAGTTGTTATACTGTTTAGGGAATAACAAGAAAAAAAAGTCTGTTCATGTTCAGCACAGACACAACCATCTATTTTTTTCTCCGAATATTTTTGATCTGTGGTTGATTGAATCCACAGATGCAGAACCCATAGATACAGAGGGCCAACTGCATTAGGGGATTTATAAGTTACATAGAGACAAAATGTATGACAACAGTAGGACAAAGGCCGGGAGGGAAGAAATAGATGTATACTATTGTAAGGTTCTTACACATGAAATAATATTATTTGAAAGTAGACTATGATAAGTTAAAGATTTATATTGTAAACCCTAGAGTGCAGTGGCTCACGCCTGTAATCCCAGCACTTTGGGAGGCCGAGGTGGGCAGAGCACATGATCAGGAGTTCGAGACCAGCCTGACCAACATGGTGAAACCCAGTCTCTACTAAAAATACAAAAATTAGCTGGGCGTGGTGGTGTGCACCTATAATCTCAGCTACTCAGGTGGCTGAGGCAGGAGAATCTCTTGAACCTGGGAGTTGGAGGTTGCAGTGAGCCGAGATCATGCCACTGCACTCTAGCCTGGGCAACAGAGTGAGACTCTGTCTCAAAAAATAATAATAATAAAATAACAAAACAGGCTGGGCATGGTGGCTCAAGCCTGTAATCCCAGCACCTTGGGAGGCTGAGGCGGGTGGATCACATGAGGCCAGGAGTTCGAGACCAGCCTGGCCAACATGGCAAAACCGTGTCTCTACTAAAAATACAAAAAAATTAGCCGGACATGGTGGCGGGTGCCTGTAATCCCAGCTACTCAGGAGGCTGAGGCATGAGAATCGCTTGAATCCAGGAGGCGGAGGTTATGGTGAGCTGAGATCGCACCACCACACTCCAGCTTAGGAGAGAGAGAAAGACTCTCTCAAAAAATAAAAATAAAAAATAACAAAACAAAGAGGTATGGCTAATATGTAATATGTCAGGAGTGGAGATAAGATGAATTTACTTGAAAAGCTCAGTTACTCCACAAGAAGGCAGGAAAAGAGGGAAAAAAACAAAGAACAGATTAGACAAATAGAAATGAAGAGCAAATTATATATTTAAACTCAACTGCGTTGATAATCACATCAAATATAAATAGCCTAAAACCACCAAATAAAAGGCAGAGATTGACAGATTGCATAAAAAAGCAAGACCCAACTATAAGGTATCAATTAAAAACCCAATTTAAATATAGAGACACAGTGCTCACTTCGGTAGCACATATACTAAAGTTGGAATAATACAGAGAAGACTACTAGCATGGCCTCTGTGCAAGGATGACACACAAATTCATGAAGTGTTCCAGTAAATAATATATAGACACAGAGGTTAACAGTGAAAGAGTGGAAGAAGGTATACCATGCAAATAGTAAAAAATATTTAAAAAGCTGCAGTGACTATATCAATACTGATGTACACTGAAGAGCAAGGAATATAATTAGAAACAAACGGCCGGGTGTGGGTGGCTCATGCCTGTAATCCCAGCACTTTGGGAGGCCCAGGTGGGCGGATCCCCTGAGGTTGAGAATTGGAGACCAGCCTGGCCAACATGGCGAACCCCGTCTCTACTAAAAATACAAAAATTAGCCAGGTGTGGTGGCAGGCATTTGTAATCCCAGCTACTCGGGAGGCTGAGGCACAAGAATCACTTGAACCTGAGAGGTGGAGTTTGCAGTGAGCCAACCAAGATGGTGCCACTGCATTGCCTGGGTGACAGCAAGACTCCATCTCAAAAAAAAAAAAAAGAAAAGAAAGAGGGCCATTTCATAAGGATAAAAGTCCAAATTTTGGGCCAGGTAAGGTGATTCATGCTGTAATCCCAATACTTTGGGAGGTCAAGGTGGCAGGATCGCTTAAGGGCAAGATTTGGAGACCAGCCTGGACAACATAGTGAAACTTCATCTCTATAAAAATAAATAGTAAAGGTCAAATTTTCAAGAGTACATAAGCAATCTTAAATGTGTATGCACCTAATTACAGAGCTTCAGAGTATTTGAATAATAAACCTATAAAACTGAAATAAATAGACATAACTGGAGATATACAGCATGCTCATGAATTGAAAGAATAAATATTATTAAGATGCCATTTCTCAGTGCTGGGTAGGTAGGGAATTGGTGGGTTGGAGTTTGTGGTGGGTACTTGGGCCAAAACTAGAAAGACACTCAGAGTAAAAAGGGGCTCACAATGACACCCAGGACATTCAACCCCCAAGGCAGCAGCCAATGATATATATCTGTGGAGGATGTCATGCAGAAAATGAAATAAAATCCAGGGATCCAATCAGATGCAGAGAATGTGTATACAGAATAATATTCAAGAAAAGGACTGAAAGATTGGTGGGTTTTGATGCTCAGTGAAACCTGGGAATTCAGAGGAATGTCTTCACTTACACCTGAATTTCCCTCTTAATGTTTCTCATTGTTGTATAGCTTTCGGTTTTGCATATAGTAGATCCCCCTTATCCTTGGGGGATACATTTCAAGAACCCCAGTGGACGCCTGAAACCTCAGTACCAAACCCTTTATACACTGTTTTTCCTGTATATACTTAACTATGATAAAGTTTAATTTTTAAATTAGGCAGAGTAAGAGATTAATAACAATAACAAAATAGAACAATTTTAACAATATACTATAATAAAAGTTACGTGAATGTGGTTGGTCTCTTGCTCTCAAAATATCTTACACAGGCCGGGTGTGGTGGCTCACGCCTGTAATCCCAACATTTTGGGAGGCCAAGGTGGGTGGATCACCAGAGGTCAGGAGTTTGAGACCAGCCTGGCCAACATGGTGAAAACCCATCTCTACTAAAAATACAAAAATTAGCTGGGCATGGTGGCGCATGCCTGTAATCCCAGATACTTGGGAGGCTGAGGCAAGAGAATCGCCTGAACCCGGGAGGTGGAGGTTGCAGTGAGCCAAGATAGCACAACTGCACTCCAGCCTGGGCAACAGAGCAAGACTCTGTCTCAAAAAAAAAAAAAAGGAATGCCGCAGACTGAAAGATAATATCCACGAAATACAGATCTGGTATAGAACTTGCATCCAGAATATGGGATGAATTTTTACAACCCAATAATATGCTTTGCCAAAGGAGATAAATGGATGACAAATAAGCACATGAAAATATGCTCACATTATTGTTAGGAAAATTCACGTTGTATAAATTAAAGTCTTAGTATAAAATAGTTCTACAATAGCATGAAAACATATAACCTGAGTTTTAAATTATTATTTTGAGTTTTTGGCTAAAGGAGCAGAGGAAATGGAGACGGTCATCCTGTAGATGTCATGAGGCAAGCTGGGATTAAGGTCACCATTGCAGGTCTGGCTGGAAAAGACCCAGTACAGTGTAGCCTTGATGTTTTCATTTGTCCTGATGCCAGTCTTGAAGATGCAAAAAAAGAGGGACCATATGACATAGTAGTTCTACCAGGAGGTAATCTGGGTGCACAGAATTTACCTGAGTCTGCTTCTGTGAAGGAGATACTAAAGGAGCAGGAAAACCAGAAGGGCCTTATAGCCACTATCTGTGCAGGTCCTACTGCTCTGATGGCTCATGAGATCAGTTTTGGAAGTAAAGTTACAACACTCCCGCTTGCTAAGGACAAAATGATGAATGGAAGCCATTACACCTACTCTGAGAATCGTGTGGAAAAGGACGGCCTGAAATTCTTATAAGCCCAGGGCCTAGGACCAGCTTTGAGTTTGTGATTACAATTGTTGAAGCCCTGAGCAGCAAGGAGATGGCAGCTCAAGTGAAGGCTCCACTAGTTCTTAAAGACTAGAGCAGCAAGTGGCTGGGCGCGGTGGTTCACGCCTGTAATCCCAGCATTTTGGGAGGCTGAGGCAGGCGGATCACGAGGTCAGGAGATGGAGACCATCCTGGCTAACACAGTGAAAACCCGTCTCCACTAAAAAATACAACAAAATTACCCGGGCGTGGCGGTGGGTGCCCATAGTCCCAGCTACTCGGGAGGCTGAGGCAGAAAATGGCGTGAACCTGGGAGGCGGAGCTTGCAGTGAGCCGAGATGGCGCCACTGCACTCCAGCCTGGGCGACAGAGCGAGACTCCGTCTCAAAAAAATAAATAAATAAAAATAAGACTAGAGCAGCGAAATGTGACGATCACTTAGAGAAACAGGCCATTAGGAATCCATTCTCACTGTGTTCGCTCTAGACAAAACAATGGTAGATTAATGTGTTCAGAAGCCACCGTCATTACTGCTTTTGCCGAAGTATAGTTGTGAAGTCACAACTACACAGAGATTTCTCAACCTACAAAGTGTGTCTGTACATTTCTTTTTTTTAATAAGCCTTGTTTGCAGAATAAACAAGGCATTTAGCAAACTAAAAATAATAAAATAGGCAGAGCAGGAGTTCAAGACTAGCCTCGGCAATATAGTGAGACCCCCGTCTCAAAAAAAAAAAAAAAAAAAAAGCAGGGGCAAAGGACCTCAACTGACATTTATCCAAAAAAGACATAGGTACTCTGGGCCACTCTGCCTATGGGACAGCCCTGCTCTGTCTGTGGAGCAGCCATTCTGTTGCACACTGTTGCTCTAATAAACTTGATGTCTTTAAAAAAAAAAAGACATAAAAATGGCCAACAAGTATATGAAAAGGTGCTCAGCATCATTAATCATCAGGGAAATGCAAATCAAAACCACAATGAGCTATCACCTCACACTGCTAGAAGAACTATTATCAAAAAGACAGGCGATAGCAAGGTCATGGCAAGGGTGTGAAGAAAAGGGAACCCTGTGCACTATTCATAGGAAGGTAGATTAGTACAGCCATTGTGGAAAACAGTATGGAGGCTCCTAAAAAAATTAAAAATGAAATTACTATGACCCAGGGATTCTCTTCTGGGTATATACCCAAAGGAACAGAATCGCCACCTTGAAAAGATATCTGGACTCCCATGTCCATTGCAGTATTACTCACAGTAGCCAAGATATGGAAACAACCGAGGTGCCCATCAGTGGACCAATGAAAGAAACTCTGGTATATACAGTCGTGCACTGCATAACAACATTTCAGTAAATGATGGACCACATATATGACCGTGGTCTCATAAGATTATAATACCATATCTTTACTGTACTTTTTCTATGTTTAGATAACACAAATATTCACCATTGTGTTCTGACTGCCTAGAGTATTCAGAATAGTCACATGCTGCACAGATTTGCAGCCTAGCAGCAATAGGTTACACCATATAGTCTAGGTGTGTAGCAGGCTATCCCATCTAGGTTTGTGGAAGTATACCCTGTAATGTTCACACAACAAAAAATTGCTTAACAACACATTTCCCATAACAACCCCATCATTAAGTGATGCATAACTGTATATACAGTGGAATATTATTCAGCCTTAAAAAAGGAGATCCTGCCATTTGCCACAATATGGTTGGCCCCGGAGGACATTATGCTAAGTGAAATATGCCATGCATAGATGGAAAAATATCGCATGATCTCACTTATATGTGAAATCTAAAAAAAACAAAAGGCCGAATTGAGGAGACAGAAAATAAAACAGTGGTTACCAGAATTGGGGTGGGGGTGGGAGGAAATGGGGTGACATAGACCAAAGGATACACAGTAGCAAATACATAGGACTAAGAAACTGAAAGCTCTATGTGTTGGATTATAGTTAATAGTGTATTGTGTTCAGGATTTTTGCCAAATGAGTAGATTACTACTGCCCTTGCCAGAGGAGAGAGAAAAATGGCAACTATGTGAGATGATGGATATGTTAATTTGTTTTACTATGGTAACCATTTTACTATATATGTATCTTATAATGTCATGTTATAAACCTTAAATATATACAATAAAACATTTTAAATAAATAATAAATAATAAAAATTGTGGCCGGGTGTGGTGGCTCATGCCTGTAATCCCAGCACTTTGGGAAGCCAAGGCAGGTGGATCACTTGAGGTCAGGTGTTCAAGACCAGCCTGGCCAACATGGTGAAACCCCGTCTCTACTAAAAATGCAAAAATTATCCAGGTGTGGTGGTGGGTACCTATAATCCCAGCTACTCGGGAGACTGAGGCAGGAGAATAGCTTGAACCTGGGAGGTGGAGGTTGTAGTGAGCCAAGATTGTGCCACCGCACTCCAGCCTGGGCAAAAGAGCGAGACTCTGTCTCAAAGCAAACACATTTTGAGGGATTATGAGGGAAAATGGATTCTAAGCTAGACTTCCACATCCAAGCAAACAGTCAATTAAGAGTGAGGATAGATATTAAGTAAAGACATTTTCAGACAACCAGGGTCTCAGTGACTTAACCTCCCATGCAATCGTTGTCAGAAAGTGAGTGGAGGAGGGACTCTACTAAAACAAGGAAGTGAACAAAGGAAGAAGAGACCTGGAATCTAGAAAGCCAAGGAGCTGATTCAGGGAGAAGCAAAGCAAGTCCCTGTGAGACAGTGAAGATGACGGCTGTGCACCAAGCCTGGAGAGCCACCAGACTGACAGGAGCAAGGCACGGAGAACCACAGGGGAGGGAGAATCACAGCCCAGAGCCAGGACTGCAGGATCCAGCTGCCTCCTCTTCTCCAGAAGAACTCTTCTCTTCCACAGATCTTTTTGAAGAGACATCTCTCTCTCTCTGGGTTGCTCTCCCCAGAAACAGATTGGAAAGCTGCCCACCCCCATGCTCAGGCCACCACCTGCCTTCACCTCTCCCTGGTGCAGAGGCTTTATCCTGCCTTCTCCTTTCCCTTCTGCCCCTGGTCCCGCAGTCTCAGCCACATCCCCACGGGTTCATTTCAGGCCCCAAGCCGACTGGCTGTGCTGACCCCAGGAGGCGGAGTGGCGGGGGGGTCAGGGCGGGAGGCCCACCTTGGGGAACATGGTCACCATGCTGCTCAGGCACTCTCGGTGCTTCTCCTCCAGCCCCTTCTGCTTGTCCGTCCAGGCCTGCAGCCTGAGACTCTGCAGGCGGTCAATGTTTTCCAGGAAGATGTAGAGGTTCTGGGCCTTGTAGGAAGCCTCCGTTTCTTTCATGATTTGTACATGGTTGATCGCTTCTTGCCTGGGAAAAGAGGAGAAGCAATTTAGGGGGTGGAGAGGCCTCCTCTATCCCCCAAGTCTGTTAACCAGAGATGACTTTGTTTTCTTTAATTCCTTAGAGCAAAAAGAGAAATGGAGGCTGGTGAGAGCTGGGGAAAATGGGGCAGAGAAAAGTGGGAGGTGGTATGAAGTGAGGAGCCTCAGGGCTGGGATGAAACAGAAAGAGAAAGGAAAGACAGGGGAGCACATTAGGTGGATTATAGACAGGGCCATGGGAAGAGAGGAAGAGAGAGGGAAGTTGCTTAGAGGAAAAGCCCACTACAGGGAGAGCAGTGCTCAGTGCCCTTCTTCTCACATCTTCAAGGGTTGCCCAAGGCCCCAGGCCAGACTTGCTTTCCAGGCCCCCACTCAGGAGACCCTGTCCAGGCCTGGGGTGGCTCTCCCCATCCCCCCTTGCCCTGTGTTCCTTCTCTCCCACTGGGTTTAGGCTCTGCCAACATATTGCAGCAGGTGGGTGCCAGGTGGGTTCCAGGGAGGACCTACCGGAGGCTCTGGAGGCGTCTATAGAAGATGTACTTATGGCACAGGTACTGCAGCCTGAGCGCGCCCAGCTCCATGGTGGTGGTGGTGAGCTCCAGTGCTTTGCTGCGCAGGTAGTGGGGCAGCCTCAACTCAGACTCCTCACTCAGGAGCTGCAGGTTCTTCCTCTGGGCCTCCATGTCCATGTGGTACACCTTCTTCTTAATATTTGCAGGGGATATCTGCAAAGAGGGCCAGGTCAGCCTTCGGATGGATGTCCCAGTGACAGGAAAGGAGGCAGATTTCTTGGGCTTTGTGGGAACTCGGCGGGTCCGTGGTCTGTAGGTAAACTCCACTGAACTCATAGGTCTCTGCTTTCCCAGGGCAGGCTGCTGGGTACTAGGAGACATGGGCAAGTGTGGCCTCCTGCTTTGGTGAGCAGATTGGGTCCGGCTTGGGGCAGGCACTAATGATAGCTCTGCCTTCTCCAAGTCCCTCCATCGACTGGTGGGTGTGAAGATCCTCCTCTCCACATCCTCCCCTAGCTGCTCTGGCTCTCTCCGTGGGCTCTCCTGCTCCTTTTCTAGCTGGACCCATCTCCGCTGTTGCTCCCTGGCCAGGTCTTCCAGATTCCACTGCCGCAGCTTCTCCTGATGCTCCTGCTCCAGCAGGGCCCACTTCTTCTGCCGCTGCTGCCACATCTCCTCCTCCTCCAGCCACAGCTGCCTCCGCATCTCCCGGCCGAATTCCTCCTCCCAGGGCTCCTCTTGGCTCTCAGAGGTCACCTGCCTGGAGCTCTCTAGAGACAGCTGCTTGCTACAGTGGAACTTAATTTGGAGTCCTCCCTTCTGGAAGTAGTCCTCCTGGTCTTTGTCTTTGTGGCCTAAGCTTTCTGCCACCGGTCTTTCCCATTTCTTAGGAAACCTGCGATCTACTAAGGGTAAAAGCACAGGCTCAAGGCTCTCAGTGTCCTTGCTGCCGAACACATCTGCGACCCTCGAGCGCACAGTCATGGTGGAAAGTGGCTGGTGCCCTGCAGCTATAGCACCACTGTCCCGTATCATGGCCATGGGACTTGGGGGAAGTGGCGAGAACAACTGCTCCTCCTTCATCGGTTCCTGTTGGCTTTCCTCCATGACTGTTTCTTTCCTTGGGAGGGTCTCTCTCTCAGAGGGACCTGGGGAGTCAACAGAAACCTCAGCCAGGTCTTCTGCCTGACCTGTAGCATTCTGAGCCTTCTTCAGCTGGAACTCCAAGGCCTGCTTCATCAGGAGAAGGTCATGGTACCTTCCCCCTAAGATCTCTACCTGCTTCAGCAGAGCATCCCTCCTGCTCTCAAGGACCTCCATGAACTGCTGGAAGTGCAGCCTCTGGCTGCTGAGCTCTTTGGTCGCCTGCATTTGCAGGTGCCTGTATTTGGTCTCCAGGCTCCTGTTCTCCTTGTGTTGGAGGATCAAGGCCTTGTTGAGGTTCTCCACCACAGTGGCCATGTACCTGATGGCCCTGACCTCCCCCTTGCTGAACATGGTAGAGTCCAGGAGCTCCTGCAGCATGGACGTCACCTCCGAGGCCTTCGTGTTCATGGTATGCTGGTCCTGGAGCATCTGTTCTGGGCTTAGTGGCTGAGGATGGGATGGAGATGTCTGTGGGCTTCTTCCCTGCCAGCCCTGCCAGAAGGTGCGTTTGGACACTGGGACAGGTAGAGAGAAAAAAGTCAACGATTTCTCATGGGTCCCAAGGATTGCATTGATTCTCCAAACCCTGCAGGGCCAAAATGGCAACCCCCTTAGGGATTTGGCGAGAGTAGGGAGCTGGGGCTGTATATGGGGCCAGGGACAGTGCTGTCAGGACAGACCTCTGCTGAGTGCAGAGCTTGCCCAGAGCCCAGCCTCAGGGTCTGCCAGCTCCACAGCACCTGCAGAGACCAGAAGGGCCTGGCATAGGCAATCCAGCACAGCTCACTGCAGCATCCTCCTGGTCTTCCATGTTCTCCTGGGGTAGAGTTATTTTTCTAATCATGCCACTTCCCAGCCTCAGTATCTGTGTTTGCCTCCTATTGTCAGCTACTCAAACCCCTTACACCCAACTAGGAAGCCTGGTTTCCCTTTCCCATTAGCACTGGACTCTGCTTATGGAGAATTTATCACATGGTCCTCCAACTGTTCACATGTTTTATGTTTTTTTTTTTTAATAACTAATGTCTTTTTCCATTTGGGGGATCCCTTTGATACTCTGAGGAAAGCAGCAGACCCTCTCTCCCCAGGAAAATGCACTACACACAGATTGTGCCTGCCATTAGCAGATCTCAATTTTTCAAAGGCTGGGTCACGGTGGTCATTGTACCCCCTTGGACCTACTATGTATAGAGCTGGTGGAGTGATTATCTTGGAGCATCCATTCATCTGCCTATTTAAAAACATCACTGGTGGAAAAAACAATGCTAACTTCAGATGAGGGGTAGAGGAAATATAAAAATTAAGGGATACTGAAGTTGGGCTAGCATCTAGCTAGTATTGTCAGAGAGGCCATGTGGCCTAGTGGTCCAGAGTTTAGATTCTGCAATAAGATAACTTGGGTTTGAATCCCATCTTTCTGATTTGCCTTGGGCAATTTTCCTAACTTCTCAGTGTCTCAGTTTCCCAATGTGAAAAATGGGGATAATCATAGAATCTATGTCATAGGACTTAGATTATGCATGTTTAGTGCCAAGTGCAGTAACAGGTACCTAGTAAGTGCTCAATAAATCATCCCTAAAAAGAAAGAACTAAAGACACAGTCTTTACCATTCATAAGTTTATAATCTAGCGAGGGTCTAAGTATACAATAAGTGTATTTGAAGACATAGTACGGTACAGATTGCAGAAGAGATTGTTTCCTTATCCACTTTTCCCTGCCTTCTCCCTCCTGCTGACCTTACTTGATTGATAATGAGGCTGGCCATGAGGAACAATGGTAAATGCTGATGGTTAACTATTGTTAATTAAGCCCTGAGCATGTTCCAAGCATGGTGTCAGACACCTCACACTGTGTGGAAGCCTCCCCACAAACCTGGAGCTAGGCAGTATCCTCTTCTGTTTATATATGAGGAAACTGAGGCTCAGAGAGATGAAGTCCTTGCCCAAAGTGATACAACCAGAAATTGACAGAGATGCAATTCAAACTCTTGAGTGAGATTAAGAAGCCAGAAAACCTATGTGTGGGGCCACAGCCTTTCCTTGTGCTCCCTTCTCTTCTCTGAGCTTCAATGTTCTCATCTACAAAATGTATGAGTTCGATAATATCAGGTTCTCCTAATGTTGATGGGAGTAAAAAGCCAAGGTTCAGCTATTTGCTGATGGACCACCTCTGCAGCAGCCTCTAGCTGAGCCTCCCCAACCTTCCTAGCTCTGTTGCTGGGTTTGGAGTGAGAATAGGATGGCCCGCAGGTTCTAGCTGCTAACTCTAGCCCTCCTGGCCTCCCAGCTTTGTTCCTCAGAACCTACGTGAGGCCACAGCTCCAGTGAGCACACCAGAGACCTGTCTCCACATCACACCTCCCTTAGCGCTGAAGGACAGCTCAGAGCTGCTCAGTGCTTGGCCTGGGCTCAACCCTCAGCCCCTCACCACTGCCCATCCATCTCAAATCAAACTTCTGTGATGGAGGAGAATCAGAAAGACCCCA
This sequence comes from Homo sapiens, assembly GCF_000001405.40. Taxonomy (NCBI): domain Eukaryota; kingdom Metazoa; phylum Chordata; class Mammalia; order Primates; family Hominidae; genus Homo; species Homo sapiens. The sequence goes on from NC_000012.12 coordinate 49,603,106, forward strand.
GGCCCAGCCTCTGACTTCCCCTGCCATGGCTCCACCCCGTCCCCACCTAGCTCCCTGGCCAGGTGCTCCTAGAACCTACCTTGTGACCTTTTCTTTTGTCCTTCAATGAGAGTGGAGCAAAGGGCAGTGAGTGACTCGATGCCTCTTTTGGTGGCAATGAGGGACAGCGGTAACACTTTCTCCGTCACTTCAATCCATTCGTCCAGAGCTGCTGCTTCCTCTTCACTCTTCCTGGGCCCAATCTCATAGGTCAGAGTGTCACCTGGAGAAGGGATGGGAGGTGCAGGCTGAGAGCAGTCTGTCCTCCAGGGGGACACAGACAGCCCTATAGCACAGGGGTTCCAGCAGCTGTGAAGTCACATTGATTTTACCTCTTACTAGCTATGTGATGTTGGGCAAGTCACTTATCCCCCTGAGCCTCAGTTTCCTTCCCTATAAAAGAACTGCGTGAAGATTAAATGAGATAATACATGTGGAACAGTTAACATGAGGCCTGCCATGTAGAAATTCACAATGGACATTAAATAGTATTGTCTGTACAGCAGGGAGGTATCTGACTTGTTACTGCTCTATGCCGATTGCCTAGTCCAACATCTGGACAACTGAATTAATTAAGCAGAATCAACAGCTCTGTCAGTCTTGAGGGCAGCTGAGGGACCACTGAACTAAGAGCTTCCAAGCATGGGGTAGTATGCAGGGGGCAGGGCACATACCAATACCATCTTCTTCCAACACTGGAGCATCCAGCACACAGCACACAGGTCCTGTGATGGGATGACTCTGAGCTGAGTGGGGGGTAGCACTTAGCTTTAGGGTTTAATGCAGCTGGCCCACACCCAAATGGCTGCACCAGTTGCTCACAGCTGGCATCAGGGCCCATGCAGTAAAGGTCATTCAGTGCTTTGAATATCACCCAGGGGTGCTCTATAAAATAGCTAATGTGGGTTTGAATTTAGTTTCTATCCTGCACAAAAATGAGATGTCATAATGGACCCGTGACTTAGGCTTCATCATATATTCAGCTAATGTCATGATCTGTGATGTTTGGACACTTCTGTGTCTGCCCCTCAGGAGCATGGAGGTGATGTGCTGTGACACGAGTGGTGGAATGCTTCACTGGAGAAGGGGATGTGTCCTGTGCTGTCCCTGTGCTCGCCACCCACACTCCCCTCCCAGAGGAGGCACGGTGCCCAGCCTGCAAACTCACCCCAGTCACCCAGCCAGCGGAGAATGTCATACAGGTGCTTCTCCTTCATCATAGCATCTTTGGAGAAGGAGGCAATTTTTTCCAGCAAGATGAATCTCTTCTTGCCCTTTGGATCTCTCTGCTGAGATTTGGCATTTTCTTTTAAATCATATCCTAATTCTTCCTGGAAGCGGTTGATGACACAATTGACATTGTCCAAAATGTCTGAGAGCTGGGTAGAAATATCCTATAGAGAAGCAGCAGATTGTAGTGTTAGGGCTGTGGACTTGAGCCAGAAGCCACATGCTAGCAGCGTGACCTTGGACAAGTCGCTTAGCCTCTTTGGGTCTCAGTTTTCTTATATTTAAAGTGGGAATCATTATAGTACCTATGTCACAGGGTTTCTGTAAGGATTAAATGAATTAAATATTTTAAAGTGCTTTTAATAGTACCTGGCACATTACACAAAAGTGGTAGCTTTTATTATCATTGTGATTATTAAGAAGGTCAAGAAAGTATAGAACACCAAAACCCCACAGCAAACATTTCTTTAGAATTTCAGAGGTTGCTGGGGGTTTCTGGATGTCTTTCCTCACAAGGATCCACAGGCAACAGAAGCTTGGAAAAGTGAGGCCCCAAGAAACTCTAGGATCAGAGGCTCAAGTAAAAAATGTACTAGAGCCTCGTGTACAGGGTGATTTGAGCCTTTGGACATTTCCCCAACCCCTATGAACTTCCTGGGCTCAGCTTGGGGGATTCTGGAGGGTTGCCAAGAACAGATTCTGGGTCCTTTCTCCTGCCCTCTAAAACCCACCACACCACCACGATGTGCCTCAGGGCTATCCTCGAGCTTCCTGCCCCCTTCCCGGGCCCCAGCCCTGCCTCAGGCGGGTGGTTGCTTTCAGCTCACCCTGTATATGCCAAGTTTAGGAGAGAGATAATTTATACTAATCTGTCTGCAGACCCAGGTTGCTGAATATCCCAGGGCCTCTGAGGACCCAGAGCTGGAATCTCACTCAAACCTGGGATCAGCCCCCAGTCTCCGCATCAGATCCCAATGTAAGAGTGATTCCTTCATCTCAGGGGCTACCTCTTGAGCCCGAGTTAGCTGGGCAGCCTCAATCCTCAGGATGATGGCTTTCACTGATGTGGGAGTCACCAACTGTGGGGGGTCATCCTTCTCCATTTTGGATCACTCTGTCAGTCACAAAACATCCTGTGTTTCTGGTCCACAGGCCTGGACACACAATGTTGCCTGCTTTGGAGGTTAAGGGCACCAGGGTGTCTCCTGGGTACCCTCTGCCCAGGCACAGCTCCTCTGGTAACTGCCAAACACCAGGTTCCAACTGATCCTCTTTTCCCCAGTGACATCATCAGTTTGATTAGAAGAATTAGGAGATGAGACTCCCCACTATCTAGCTTTTTGTCCATTACCTAACATATATTTACTTGACTTGTTGCCTTTTCTTTTTTTTTTTTTTTTTTTGAGACGGAGTCTCCCTCTGTAGCCCAGGCTGGAGTGCAGTGGTGTGATCTCGGTCACTGCAACCTCCACTTCCTGGGTTCAAGTGATTCTCCTGGCTCAGCCTCCTGAGTAGCTGGGATTACAGGTGCGTGCCACCACGCCTGGCTAATTTATTTTTTGTATTTTTAGTAAAGACGGGGTTTCACTGTGTTAGCGAGGATGGTCTCGATCTCCTGACCTCGTGATCCACCCACCTTAGCCTCCCAAAGTGCTGGGATTACAGGTGTGAGCCACCGTGCCCGGCCTACTTGTTGCTTTTTAAAAATTACTAAATGTTATGCTCCCAAACAAAACATTAATGTCTACAAATAAGAAAAAGCAATTAGCAAAAGTTATTTTCCTGAATAAAATATTTTAAATTTGTAAAAATTAGAGCCAATCAATAACCAAATGGAAGCCAGGCTCAGTGGCTCACGCCTGTAATCCCAACAATTTGGGAGGCTGAGGTGGGAGGATCACTTGAGCCCAGGAGTTTGAGACCAGCCTGGGCAACATGGTGAGAGCCTAGCTCTACAAAAAAATTTAAAAAATAGCCAGGCATGGTGGCGCATGCCTGGGATCCCAACTACTTGAGAGGTTGAGATGGGAGGATCACTTGAGCCCAGGAGGTCAAGGCTGCAGTGAGCCATGTTCACGCCACTACACCCCAGCCTAGGTGATAGATACCCTGACACACACACACACACACACACACACACACACACACACACAAACATACAGAGGGAGGAACATCCCATAATGCTAAAGATGTCAATTAATAAGGAGAACATAATTCTAAATGTGTATATACCTAATAACATTGCTTCAAAATACATGAAGTAAAAAGCTTCCAGAACTGAAAGGAGGAATAGGTAAATCCAAAATTATAGTTGGAGATTCCAGCACTTCTCTTGCAGGAGTTGATAGAAGTAGCAAAAAATAAAAAGTATAGAGGTTTTGAAAAATACTATCAACCAACTTGACTCCATTGACAGTCATAGAACACTTCACCCAACAACAGGACACATATTATTCCCTACGCATATGGAACAATGATCATATAAACCATAATTTGGGCCATAAAACAAGTATCAATTACCCTAAGAAGTCTAAAATAATACAAAATATGTTCTCTGACCACTATGGTATTAAACTATAAATCAATAATTGAGAGATCTTTGGAAAATTCCCAAATATTTTACAAATTAAGCAACATACTTCCATATAACCCTGAGTCAAAAAAGAAATCACAGGGAAAGTTATGAAATACTTTGAACCGAGCAAAAATAGAAACATATCACAATTTTGAGGATGCTGCCAAATCAGTGCTTAGAGGAAAAAACTAGAAAAGGAAGAACAAAAAAACCCAAAATAAGCAGAAGGAAGGAAATAATAAGAATAAGAATAGAGACCAATAGAAAACAAACAAAAATAGAAGAAAATCAATGCAACTAAAATCTGATGTTTTGAAAAGATTAATGCAATTGATAAAACTCTAGCCATATTTACCAGGAAGAAAAGAGAGAAGACAAGCTAACAATATGAAGAATAAGAGACTACAGACTCTACAGTGGGAATAATATGAGAGAGCAATATGAAAAACCTTTATGCCAATAAAGTTGGTAAATTAGATGAAATGGGCAAATTCTTTAACATACGTAACCTATCGATGCTCACTAAAGAAAAAAAAAGCTTTGAATATCCGTAAATCTACTAAAGAAATTGGATTCATAATATAAAAAACCTTTCCCTCAAAGAAAACTCCAGCCCCAGATAGTTTAATTGGTGAGTTCTGCCAAACATTTAAGAAAAAAAAGATACGGTTCTATAAAAACTCTTTCAAAAAATTGAATAGTAAAGAACACTTCTCAAATCATTTTATGAGGTTAGCATTATTTTTATTTTATTTTTTAATTTTTTCTGAGACAGAGTCTTACTCTGTTGCCCAGGCCAGAGTGCAGTGGCGTGATCTCGGCTCACTGCAACCTCCACCTCCTGGGTTCAAGTGATTCTCCCACCTCAGCCTCCCTAGCAGCTGAGACTACAGGTGCGTGCCACCACGCGCAGCTAATTTTTGTATTTTTAGTAGAGATGGGGTTTCACCATGTTGGTCAGGCTGCTCTCAAACTCCTGACCCCAGGTGATCCACCCACCTTGGCCTCCCAAAGTGCTGGGATTACAGGCATCAGCCACCGCACCCAGCTGAGGTTAGCATTATCTTGGTACCAAAACCAGAAAAACATGACAAGAAAAGAAAAAAAAGTACTACAGACTAATATTGCTCACAAATATAGACATAAAAGAAAATGAATTGATTGGGAGGCTGAAACAAGAGGATTGCTTGACTGCAGGAGCTGAAGTCCAGCCTGGGCAACTTAGCAAGACTTCATACCTTAAAAAAAAAAAAAAAGTTGGCCGGGTGCGGTGGCTCATGCCTGTAATCCCAGCACTTTGGGAGCCTGAGGCGGGTGGATCACTTGAGGTCAGGAGTTCAAGATGAGCCTGGCCAACATGGTGAAACCTTGTCTCTACTAAAAACATAAAAATTAGCTGGGTGTGGTGGTGTGCACCTGTAATCCCAGCTACTCTGGAAGCTGAGGCAGGAGAATTGCTTGAACCCAGGAGTCCTGGGTTGCAGTGAGCTGAGATCATATCACTGTACTCCAGCCTGAGTGACAGAGCAAGACTCCGTCTCCAAAAAAAAAAAAAAAACCAAAAACCTTTTTTTTCCCCAAGATGGCAGATTTGGGGCTGTTAGTGTGCCTCAGTCACTTGGAAATTGCAAGGTAGTGCATAAAGATCAACTCTGTGGGCTTTAATTCAAGAAAGAAAATGGGAATCCAACAGAATCATGAAGAACACCCTAGGTCTCAGGGAGGAAAACAAAGGCAAACAGCCCCCGTGATGGCATTTGGCTCATAAAAGTGAGTGAAGCCCCAGTACATGAGAGAGGCAGACAGGCTCTTTCCATCCAGTGGAAAGGGCACTTTGGGAAAGTGCCCTTTCCACTGGAGATACAAGCAACAGAGGCCAAGGGAGAGCACTTTGTTTCTCCCAAGTCCTGGAGGTAACTTGAGAAGATATTTGGAGACACTGAGAAGGAAAGACACTGGGAAAAGCTGTAGGCATTTCCCAGGCCCAGGATGCCACTTTTAATCCAGGCATACAAAGTTAGTCATTCTTTGGCGACACAGTAGCGTGGCCACACAGGCATTTTAGTCTTGGGCCAGAGATTGGAGTGCCTGCTCTCGAGGTGCATAGAGGTTTCTACAGCCAGAATTGTAGAAAGCACCTTGCAGTAGGTGCTGGCAATGTGCTCTTCCCTGTCACAGGACTGGGGTGGGAAAGGGACTGCTACAGCTGTGGTTTCTCCTAGGCAACAAGATGCAACCAGGGTCAGCTTGGTGACCTGTGGACTGGTCTGAGTGAGTTATTGCTTGGTATGCTAGACTGTTCTCCTGAGATCATGGTGCAGTGGGGCCCTCTCAGCTCAACACTCAGGGAGATCTCCAGGCATTTGGAGCACCCACTCACCCAGATCAGCAGCCTGAGCTGCCCTATCCTTCCTGTGCAGACACTCTAGTGAAGTGGGGCTCACTCTGCTCCACACCCAGGCAGATCTTCAGGAATTTGGAGCACCTGCTTGCCTGCATTTGCAGTCTGAGTTGGCACACCCTTCCTGTATAGAGACCATGGTGAAGAGGCACCCTATCCACCCCATGCCCAGACAGATCTCTAGGCAGTCGGAGCATCCGTTCACATGAATTAGCAGCCTGCCACCCCACCCTCCCTGTGTAGAGATTGTGGTGCAGCAGTGCCCTCTGCATTCCACACTCAGACACCTGGAGCATGCACTCTCCTGGATTAGGAGTTTAGGCCACCCTGGTTCCTTGTGCATAGAACTTGGGGCCAAGGAGGTTTCCCAACTCAACAACTAGCAACACCTCTGGGCACTGGGTGGCAGCCCACTGGATTCTCCCTTGGTGTTGGTGCTGTGCCTGCCATTGAGGGACCTGTAGACAGGCCTGCTCTGGTCCAGCCCCACTCATCTTACCTCCTGGGACTGAGCAGGGAGCTCAAGCCACTGTGCATTCCATGGATCAGCCCATTGCCTGAGGCAACAGAGAGCTTCTGCCAGTAAACAAGGATCAAGAATATACCCAGCCACGCTGGCCACAGCTGGCTCTTACTTATAAGTGCCATCTACTGGCCTGTACATCAAACCACACAACCCAATATAAAATCTGCTGATAGTATACAAGGCTATAGAAGCAAAGCCAAAAGACCCAATCTAATATTCTCTACAGTCATTACCCCCTAGGCAGGGGAGAGGGAAAGGGAAGGTGGAAAAAAAAAAAAAACCGATATTATAGGGAAAGAAATAAAAAGAAAAAAATTCTGTCCCCCCACACACAAATTAGAATTGCCAGCATCTCCAGATGAGAAAGAACCAAAGCAAGAATTCTGGCACCATGAAAAATCTGAATGTAGTGACACCACCAAAGGATCGCACTAGATGTCTAGTCCTTAACCAAAATTGAAACTCAGAAATGACAGATAAAGAATTCAAAGCATGGATTGCTAGGAAACTCAACAAGATCCAAGACAAGGTTGAACATCAACCTAAAGAAACTTCTAAAGCAATCCACAAAATGAAGGAATAGATAAACATCTTGAAAATAAATCAGTCAGAGCTTCTGGAATTGAAAAACAGGCTGGGCGTGGTGGCTCACGCCTGTAATCCCAGCACTTTGGGAGGCCGAGGCGGGCGGATCATGAGGTCAGGAGACTGAGACCATCCTGGCTAACATGGTGAAACCCCGTCTCTACTAAAAATACAAAAAACTAGCCGGACACGGTCGTGGGCGCCTGTAGTCCCAGCTACTCAGGAGGCTGAGGCAGGAGAGTGGCGTGAACGCGGGAGGCAGAGCTTGCAGTGAGCCAAGATTGCGCCACTGCACTCCAGCCTGGGCGACAGAGCAAGACTCCATCTCAAAAAAAAAAAAAAAAAGAAAAACTCACTTAAAGAATTTCAAAATACAATTGAAAGCTTTATCAATGACTGGACCATGAGAAGAAAGAATTTTGGAGCTTGAAGTTTGGTCTTTTGAACTAACCTAGTCAGACAAATATATAAAAAAGGTAATTTTTAAAAATGAACAAGGCCAGGCACAGTGGTTCATGCCTGTAATCCCAGCACTTGAGAGGCCAAGGCGGGCGAATCACTTGAGGCCAGGAGTTCGAGACCAGCCTGACCAACATGGTGAAACGTTGTCTCTACTAAAAAAAAAATTAGGCCAGGCACAGTGGTTTATGCCTGTAATCCTAGCACTTTGGGAGGCTGAGGCAGGTGGATCATCTGAAGTCAGGAGTTCAAGACCAGCCTGGCCAACATGGTGAAACCCCATCTCTACTAAAAATACAAAAATTAGACAGGCATGGTGGTGGGTGCCTGTAATCCCAGCTACTCAGGAGGCTGAGGCAGGAGAATTGCTTGAACCTGGGAGGCAGAGGTTGCAGTGAGCTGTGATCCCACCACTGCACTCCAGCCTGGACGACTGAGCAAGACTTCATTTCAAAATAAAAAAATACAAATACAAATACAAAAATTAGCCAGGCGTGGTGGCATGCACCTGTAGTCCCAGCTATTCAGGAGACTGGGGCATTAGAATTGCTTGAACCCAGGAGGCTGAGATTGCAGTGAATTGAGACTGCACTGCTGCACTTCAGCCTGGGCAACAGAGCAAGACTGTGTCTCAAAAAAATAAATAAATAAAAATGTAGGCCGGGCGCAGTGGCTCACACCTGTAATCCCAGCACTTTGGGAGGCCGAGGCGGGTGGATCACGAGGTCAGGGGATCGAGACCATCCTGGCTAACACAGTGAAACCCCGTCTCTACTAAAAATACAAGAATTAGCTGAGCACAGTGGCATGCACCTGTAGTCCCAGCTACTTGGGAGGCTGAGGCAGGAGAATCGCTTGAACCTGGGAGGCGGAGGTGGCAGTGAGCTGAGATCATGCCACTGCACTCCAGCATGACGAAAGAGCGAAACTCCATCTGAAAAATAAAATAAAATAAAATAAAATAAATAAACTTCATAGTTGAAGGAGAAATAAAAGCTTTTCCAGACAAGCGTGCTAAGGGAATTTGTTACCACTAAACTAGCCTTACAAGAGATCCTTAAGGGAGTTCTAAACATGGAAATAAAAGAACAATACCTGCTACCACAAAAATACAGTTAGGTGAATAGCTGACAGATTCTATAAAGCAACTGCATAATAGAAACTACAAAGCAACCAGCTAGTAACTTCATGATAGGATCAAAATCTCACATATCAATATTAACCTTGAATGTAAACAGTCTAAACGGCCCACTTAAAAGGCACAGAGCTGCAAGTTGGATGAAAAAACAAGACCTGTCTGTCTGCTGTCTTCAAGAGGCCCATCTCACACATAATGATACCAACAGGCTTAACATAAAGGGTTGAAGAAAGATCACACAAATGGATCTTTCTTCAAAAAGAGCAAGGGTCACTATTCTTAGATAAAACAGACTTTAATCCAACAAAGTTTTTTTTTTTTTTTTTTTAAAGGGACAAAGAATGGCATTACATAATGATAAAGGAAGCTTGTCCAACCTGTGACCCATGGGCTGCATGTGGCCCAGGACAGCTTTGAATGCAGCCCAACACAAATTCATAAACTGCCTTAAAACATTATGAGGTTTTTTTATGTGTGTTTTTTTTTTTTAGTTCATTAGCTATTGTTAGTGTTAGTGTATTTTATGTTTGAGCCAAGACAATTCTTCTTCCAGTGTGGCCCAGGGAAGCCAAAAGATTGGATATCCCTCTCAGATAAAGGATTCAATTCAACAAGAAGACTTAACTATTCTAAATATATATATGCACACAACATTGGAGCACTTAGATTCATAAAACAAGTACTTCTAGACCTACAAAAAGACATAGACAACCACATAATAATATTGGGAGACTTTAACACCCCAATGACAGCATTAGACAGATCAACAAGGCAAAATACTAACAAAGAAATTCAGGACTTAAATTCGACACCTGACCAATTGGACCTAATAGACATTTACAGAATACTCCAACCACCAACCTCAGAATATACATTCTTCTCATCTGAACACAGTACACACTCCAAGATCAACCACATGCTTGGCCATAAAGCAAGTCTCTATAAATTCAAAAAAATCGAAATCATGCCAACCATATTCTCACACCTCAGTGGCATAAAAATAGAAATCAAAACAAGAAGATCTTCAAAACCACACAATTACATAGAAATTAAACAACTTACTCCTGAATGACTTTTGGGTAAGCAATAAAATTAAGGCAGAAATCAAAATATTCTTTGAAATAAATGAAAACATTCCAAGAGGAATGTTTACAGCACTAAATGCCTACCTCAAAAAGTTAGATCTCGGCCTGGTGCAGTGGTTCACGCCTGTAATCCCAGCACTTTGGGAGGCCGAGGTGGGCAGATCACGAGGTCAGGAGATCGAGACCATCTTGGCTAACATGGTGAAACCCCATCTCTACTAAAAATACAAAAAATTAGCCGGGTGTGGTGGTGGGCGCCTGTAGTCCCAGCTACTCAGGAGGCTGAGGCAGGAGAATGGCATGAACCTGGGAGGCAGAGCTTGCAGTGGGCCCAGATCATGCCACTGCACTCCAGCCTGGGCGACAGAGCAAGACTCCATCTCAAAAAAAAAAAAAAAAGTTAGATCTCAAATTGGCCGGGCGCAGTGACTCATGCCTGTAATCCCAGAACTTTGGGAGGCTGAGGTGGGCAGATCACTTGAGCTCAAGAGTTCAGACCAGCCTGGGCAACATGGGAAAACCCCATCTCTACAAAAAATACAAAACTTAACCAGGCATGGTGGCATGTACCTGTAGTTCCAGCTACTTGGGAGGCTGAGGCGGGAGGATCACTGAGTCCAGGGAGGTCAAGGCTGCAGTGAGCTGTGATCACACCACTGCACTCCAGCCTGGGTGACAGTGAGACCTTGTCTCAAAAAAACAAAAACGAACAAAATAAGAACTGGCCGGGCGCGGTGGCTCACACCCGTAACCCTAGCACTTTGGGAGGCCTTGGTGGGTGGATCACCTGAGGTCAGGAGTTCAAGACCAGCCTGGCCAACATGGTGAAACCCCGTCTCTACTAAAAATACAAAACATTAGCCAGGCATGGCAGCGGGTGGCTGTAATCCCAGCTACTTGGGAGGCTGAGGCAGGAGAATCGCTTGAACCTGGGAGGTGGAGGTTGCAGTGAGCTGAGATTGTGCCATTGCACTCCAGCCTGGGCAACAAGAGTGAAACTCTGTCTCAAAAAAAAAAAAAAATTAAAAAACAAAACAAAACAGAACTACCATTCAACCCAGCAATCCCATTACTCGGTATACACCCAAAAGAAAATAAATTGTTCTACCAAAAAGATACATGCACTCATATCCATCACAGTGCCATTCACAATAGCAAAAACATGGAATCAACTTGATTCCATGACATGACCACCAACAGTGTTTTGGATAAAGAAAATGTGGTCCATACACACCATGGAATACTAGACAGCCATAAAAAATAATGAAATAATGTCCTTTGCAACAACACGGATGCAGCTGGAGGCTATTATCCTAAGCAAATTAATGCAAGAATAGAAAACCAAATACCACGTGTTCTCACTTGTAAGTGGGAGCTAAACATTGGGTACTTATGGCCAGAAAGATGGCAACAAAAGACACTGGGGAGTACGGGAAGCAGGAGGGAGAAAAGGAGGAAAGGGCTGAAAAACTGACTATTGGGCACTGTGCTCAATATCTGGGTGATGGGATCAATCATACCCCCAACCACAACATTCACGCAATATACCCATGTAACAAACCTGCACATGTACCCCCTGAGTCTAAAGTAAAAGTTGTGGGAGCTAAGCTATGAGGACACAAAGGCATAAGAATGATGCAATGGACTTTGGGGACTCAGAGGAAAAAGTGGGAAGCGGGGTGAGTGATAAAGGACTACACACTGGGGCCGGGCGCAGTGGTTCACGCCTGTAATTCCAGCCCTTTGGGAGGCTGAGGTGGGCGGATCACGAGGTCTGGAGATCGAGACCATCCCAGCTAACAGTGAAACCCCGTCTCTACTAAAAATATGAAAAATTAGCCAGGCGTGGGGGCGGGTACCTGTAGTCCCAGCTACTCAGGAGGCTGAGACAGGAGAATGGCGTGAACCCAGGGAGGCAGAGCTTGCAGTGAGCCAAGTTCGTGCCACCACACTCCAGCCTGGGTGACAGAGCGAGACTCCGTCTCAAAAAAAAAAACAAGACTACACATTGGGTACAGTGTACACTGCTCAGGTGATGGGTACACTTAAATCTCAGAAATCACCACTAAATAACTTATTTATGTAACCAAACACCATCTGTTTCCCAAAAACCTATTGAAATTTTTAAAAATTAAAAAAAATTATGATCACAATTACAAATGGAAAAAAGTAAAAGCTGAATTTATTTAAAAACAACAACAAAAGAAAATGAATTGAAAGCTACTGACTAGACTAAAAAGTATTTGCAAACATGTATTTGATAAAGGAGTTGTATCCAGAATAGATAAAGAGCTACTACAACTCAACAAGAAGACAAACAACCCAAGATTCAAATACACACATCACGAAAGAAGTTATACAAATGGGCCAGGTGCAATGGCTTACGCCTGTAATCCCAGTACTTTGGGAGGCTGAGGTGGGTGGATCATGAGGTCAGGAGTTTGAGACCAGCCTGACCAATATGGTGAAACTCCGTCTCTACTAAAAATACAAAAATTAGCCGGGTGTGGTGGCACCTGCCTGTAGTTCCAGCTACTTGGGAGGCTGAGGCGGGAGGCTCACTGAGTCCAGGGAAGTCAAGGCTGCAGTGAGCTGTGATCGTGCCACTGCACTCCAGCCCGGGCAACAGAGCAAGATTGTGTCTCAAAAAGAAAAAAAAAAAAGAAAATATACAAATGGCAAATAAGCACATAAAAAGATTCTCAACTTATTAGTCATTGCATTAGGGAAATACAAGTTAAAACCATGAGATCCCAACTCTGATAAGAATGAGTCAGATGATAAAAAGTGTGACAATACCAAGTGTTGAGGAAGATTTTGGGAAAGTGAAACTCTTATATGGTATATTGCCGGTGGGAATGTACAGCCACTTTGGAAAAGAGTTTGGCAGTTTTTTTTTTTTTTGAGATGGAGTCTTGCTCTGTCGCCCAACCTGGAGTGCAGTGGTGCAATCTCGGCTCACTGCAACCTCCGCCTCCCGGGTTCAAGCGATTCTCCTGCCTCAGCCTCCCAAGTAGCTGGGATTACAGGTGCCCGCCACCATGCTCGGCTAATTTTTGTATTTTTAGAAGAGATGGGGTTTCACCATGATGGCTAGGCTGGTCTCGAACTCCTGACCTCAGGTCATTCACCTGCCTCGACCTCCCAAAGTGCTGGGATTACAGGCGTGAGCCACCGCACCCAGCCAGCAGGTTTTTAAAAAATATGCATTAGCATATAGCCCAGCAATCCCACTCCTAAGTATTTAAATATTTATTATAAAACATATGTCCACACATAAATCTATACAGAAGTATTGATAAACCTGAAAAAAACCCAAACACAACAGTCCATCAACTGGTGAATGGATAAACAAATTGTAGTATGTCCGTGTGATGAAATATACCACTTCACATGACAAAGGAATGAACTACTGACACATGCAATGACATGGAAAATTTCAAAAGCATTATACTAATGAAACAAGCCAGATACAAACTCCTACAAACTATATAATTCCACTTATATGAAATTCTAGGAAGGCAAAACAATAGTGATAGAAACCAGATCAGTAGATGCCAGAAGCCAGGTCAGCAGGGAGGAGACTGACTGCAAAAGGGCACAAAGGTTTTTGAGTAAAGGAAATGATGATGGTGATGGTCACATGACTGGATACATCTGTGAAAATTCATTGTATTGTACACTTAAAATTGCCATTATATGTAAATTACACCTCAATAAAGTTGATTTTTTAAAATGCAATGTTTTGTAATGCTCGAGACTGTGGAGGGATTGTGGGCAACCAGGGCAAAGGGCTAGCAATTAGGAAGGTACTGGAGGGTGTTAGGAAATAACTCTTCTTCCTTTGTCAATGGTGAGTCTCCTTTATTTGCATACCCTTTTCCCCTGGGACTGGGATGCTCCCTCTTGTAGACATTAGTCCTTCTTAGCCCCTCTCACACGAGCAGCTTGGTGGCCGGCTACAACACCTTCACCACAGTTCAAAGGCCATAGTTTGGTGATCGCTAGCCCGGGAGAGATGTTTACAAACTTTAAAACAAACAAACAAAAAATCACCCAACCCCTTCTCAAGCAAAGCTGTATGCAGACCCTCACTAACCAAAACAAAAGCAATATTTTGGCTGGACATGGTGGCTCACGCCTGTAATCCCAGCACTTTCGGAGGCCAGGGCAGGCAGACGGCTCGAGCCCAGAAGTTTGAGACCAGCCTGGGCAAAATGGTGAAACCCCATCTCTACAACAAATACAAAAATTAGCCAGTGTGGTAATACATGCCTGTAGACCCAGCTACTCAGGAGGCTGAGGTGGGAGGGTCACCTGAGCCTGGGAGGCAGAGGCTACAGTGAGCCGAGACCACACCACTGCACTCTAGCCTGGGTGTCAGAATGAGACCCTGTCTCAAAAAAAAGCAATATTTTATTAGTACACATTTACATTATAAGTTTAATTTCATGATAGCTTTCTATTATAAAGTCATTTAATGTCAACAAGCCTGTTTTCATGAACCCAGAAATTTGATATTCATATGTATATTTTTAAACTACTATTTTAAAACCAGTTAAAATATACTTAAAGTTTCTGGGTAAAAAATGGTAGATTGAACATGAGCATCCAAATTTGTCCACTGAAAACCCATGTAGCCAAGGGATTTTTAAAGGCATAAATCCATAAGGACAGGGAAACAGGAGAAGAGACGAGCAAAATATTTTCAGAAGTGGAAGCCAGATGGATGAGAGATTACTCACTTACACTAGAGAAGGACAGATCCTAAGGCAGCGGCAGAACTCTATGGCAAATGGAATTGGTTGTGCCAGACCAGAGATGGGCAATCTCCTCTGTCTGACCACACTGAGAAGGAAAACCTAGGAATGCTGACATCAGAAGTTCCCAGCCAGATCACTGTGCAAAGAAGCTCATGACTGGCCGGGTGTGGTGGCTCACACCTGTAATCCCAGCACTTTGGGAGGCTGAGGTGGGTGGATCACAAGGTCAGGAGATTGAGACCATCCTGACCAACACGGTGAAACCCTGTCTCTACTAAAAATACAAAAATTAGCCGGGCGTGTTGGCACGTGCCTGTAATCGCAGCTACGCAGGAGGCTAAGGCAGGAGAATCACTTGAACCAGGGAGTTGGAGGTTGCAGTGAGCTGAGATCACGCCACTGCACTCCAGCCTGGCGACAGAGTGAGACTCCGTCTGAAAAAAAAAAAAAGAAGCTCATGACTGACAAGCCCATCCATGTACCACCTGAACAGAGAACAAATGCTTCCAGTCAGCTTTTAGGTGACCCATCCTTAAGTGTGAGCAGACAACCAAGGAGTCTAAGACCTCCAAGAAAAGAATCTAATATAGAAGACAGAGACCAAAACAAAAGAAAAAGAAATTTGGAGCAGAGATTATGTAGAGAAAAAAAAATGACAGAACTATCAGTAACAGCTTCTGAGATAAGATAACCCTGAAACAAAATATGCTATAAAAAGGACAATTCGGAGAATAAAAATAAAGTGAAAGTGATTAAAACCTTTAAAAGATGGAAAAACTCAGAAGAATGGGAAGATAAAGTTGAGGAAATCTCCCAGAAAATAAAGTAAAAAAGATGCAAAGCTAGAGAGAAAAATAAGAAATTAGAAGGACCAGTTCAACAGGTCCATTGTCCAAGTAATAGGAGTTCCAAAAAGGAAAGAATAGAGAAAATAGGAAGAAATCACCAATAGGATGATTCAAGATTATTCCCCAAAAGTGAGGGGCACTGAGTGCCCAG
Organism: Homo sapiens; assembly: GCF_000001405.40. Lineage (NCBI taxonomy): Eukaryota > Metazoa > Chordata > Mammalia > Primates > Hominidae > Homo > Homo sapiens. Next base: position 49,618,906 of record NC_000012.12, read on the forward strand.
CACAATGGAAGATAATAGCCACTCACCAAGACATATCACTGCAATTTCAGAACATTGGAAACAAGAAGTTCAGAGAGGGGAAAAGTCACCTAGAAAGGACAAGGAATTAAAAGGCTTCAGACTTCTCATTCTCCACAGCAGTGTCAGAAGCTAGAAGACCATGTAGCAATGCCTTCATAATTCTGAAGGAATTCATTACCCAGCCAAACAACCAATCCAAGGGTCACAGTTGAAAAATGACAACAGCAAAAACGCAAAGTTCCAAAATAATTTACTGCTCCCTTTCTCAGGAAGCTTCTGGATGATGGTCTCCTCAAAAAAGCGGGAGTATTATAAATCAAGAAAAACACAGGCACAGGTGGGGATCAGAAGCCGGTTGGTGTGTGAGGGGGTTTTCTCGCTCTAGGGAGATTATTCAAGCAATCACTGTGTCAACAAATACAGATGTTTCCCTTCATATGATGAAAATCTAGGGATCCAAACTTATTTGAAAAGCTAAAGAGGCACCATTCATCCCCACTGGAATGGCAGGTTTTGCAGCAATTGTTGCATATGTATTATACAAACTGAAGAGCAGGGGAAATACTAAAATGTTGCATCATCTGATCCACATGTGTGTGGCAGCCCAAGGCTTTGTTGAAGGAGCAATGACTGTTGGTATGGGCTATCATTCCATGTATCGGGAATTCTGGGCAAAACCTACACCGTAGAAGAAATGCTATCTTGGTTTTGTTGGAGGAGCTTACTTTAGTTAGACATCTCTTTTTTTTTTTTTTTTTTTTTTTTTTGAGATGGAGTCTTGCTCTGTTGCCCAAGCTAGAGTGCAGTGGCACAATCTTGCTCACTGCAACCTCTGCCTCTCGAGTTCAAGTGACTCTCCTGCCTCAGCCTCCTGAGTAGCTAGGATTACAGGTGATCGCCACCACGCCCAGCTAATTTTTGTATTTTTTTTTTAGTAGAGACGGGGTTTCACCATATTAGCCAGGTTGGTCTTGTACTCCTAACCTCAAGTGATCCACCCACCTCGGCCTCCCAAAGTGCTGGGATTACAGGCATGAGCCACCGCGTCCACATCTCATTATTGAAGCTACATATTAATGATTAAAATAAACTATTTGAGTGGGTTCAGCTGATAACACGGCATTGTGAATACTGGCCTTCTTTCTTGCAGGCTTGATTTGCCTGGTGACTGAATTACTAGTGACTAGTTTACTAACTAGGTCATTCAGGGGAGTCAAATTAACACAAAAGAAACATGTCACCTAAAAGATGGTGTTGAAATGTCCACCTTCTTAAACTGTTAGGATAAAATTAGTTCTAAAGAAGATAGCAAACCAACCCTGAAGTACTCCTAGTTTGCTGCAGAATCTTGCATGTTTTGGATGTTATATGAGTTCTATTTGCCCCAGTTAATTTAACTTTTTTCTGCCTGTCTTGTGGACTGGCTGGCTCTTTTAGAACTCTGTCAAAAAAGTGCATGGAGGCTGGGCGCGGTGGCTCACACCTGTAATCTCAGCACTTTGAGAGGCCAAGGCAGGTGGATCACGAGGTCAGGAGATTGAGACCATCCTGGCTAACACAATGAAACCCCATCTCTACTAAAAATACAAAAAAAAAAAAGTGCATGGAATATAACTTGTAAAACCTCCCACAGCTGAAAGTATATATGTGTATGTGTTTAAATCAAATCTAGGAAGCTTACAATAGAGCTGCATAGTAGTAGCATTTATTAAAGAATCATAACTGTAAACATGAGAATAACTTATGAATTCTAGTTTAGTTCTTTTGTAATTGTAGATATCTGTATTTGCTGCTGTAATATAAGGATAATTTTTAAATGTCATCTTGAAACAGAAACATGTATTTCAAGCACTCATGGAAGGTAACTGAAGAACACTTTTTAAATGGAGAAAATGTTATTTTCTCCGTAAGAATTGTAAACGTTAAACATATTACCTATAATGGAATTAATGATTTATAAGCAAGCTGGTTTGAACAGACATTATACACATGCTTTTCTATACTACAGAATGCCATTACACTTGTGAAATTCTCTTGTCTAACCTGAATTTACATTCCATGGTGATAACATGGTATATGTATTGTTATAAAAATAAGTGACCATGTCAAAAAAATAAAAAAAGAAAAGAAAAGCATAGAATATGGCAAATAAAAATCCCACAGAAGAGTGAGGCAGCCAGGCAAAGTGACTCACGCCTGTAATCCCAACACTTTGCCAGGTCGAGGCAGGCAGATCACTTGAGCTCAGGAGTTCAAGTCCAGCCTGGCCAGCATGGTGAAACCCCATCTCTACTAAAAATACAAAAATTCGCCGGGTGTGGTGGCGCATGCCTGGAGTCCCAGATACTTGGGAGGCTGAGGCAGGAGGATAGCTTGAACCCGGGTGGTAGAGGTTCAGTGAGCCACTGCACTCCAGCCTGGGCAACAAGAGCGAGACTCTGTCTCAAAACAAAACAACAACAACAAAAGAATGAGGCAAAGAACATGCCCAGGAGAATGAGAAAAGAGATGCCAGGTTGCCAGATGTGCAGCAAGGTGAGGGGATGAACAGTCAGATTGGAGAAGGTCAGCAGTCTCCAGCAGTGATGTCTTCAAGAAGATGAAATGGAGAGAATTCTCTGCTATATCTAGATATTCTGAGAGGAAATTTAAGCAACTGGGGGAAGAATTTGAGGTAGAGTTTGTGAGAAATACATAGAAAATAAATGATTTTAAAAAACAAGATTATTAATTCCAGGAAAAATAAAAGTTTGTGCAGGAAAAAACAGAAGGTCTCCCTGGGGAGGACAGACCCAAGGAGGAAGCTGGGCAGGGAATTCCAGGGTCCTAGGTATTCAGAATATGGTCTAATCCTGGGCAAGTGTGCTTTGCATGGGCAAATCCCCTTGGACCCCTTGCCCTGTGGGGAGGGCTGCAGCTGGGGGAAGGCCGGAGATGTGAAGGTAAATGCCAGAAGAAACAGCTAAAAGAGGTGAAAACGTTGCCTCCAGAGAGGGGAAGACGATGGGGGCAGGGCTCTGCTGTTTGTCTTAACAAATCTGGTACAATTATTCGATTCTATATGTGTGTACATGTTCTAAGAAATATTTCATTAAAGAAAAGAAAAGCATTTAAAAAATAAAAATGCAATTCATGAAAGTTCACGGAACCTCTGGACCACTTCTGCTATACTTAGAGATCTCAATAATAGTTTGAAAATCGCCCCAGCTGCGCTGGCATCGCGGCAGCCCCCGGGGGAAGGTGGGAGCGGTGGAGAGGCCGCCGGTGGTCCGTCCTCCTCCCCCCGCCCGCCCCCTCCATTCCCCTCTCCTGCCGCGGCGGCGGCTGCGGGCCGCGCGCCAGTCTCCTCACCCCACCTCCCCCAAAAGTTTGAAAACCACAGGACCCAGCGTGGGCAGTACAGGGAGACGTCGTCTCCAAAAAGTTACAAAATTAGCCGGGCGTTGTGGCACACGCCTGTAGTCCCAGCTACTCGGAGGCTGAGGGAGAAGGACCGGTTGAGACCAGGAGGCTGAGGCTGCAGTGAACCCTGATTGTGCCACTGCACTCCAGCCTGGGTGACAGATCAATACGCTGCCTCAAATAAGAAAAGAAAACCGCAGAGCTGGGCCTTCATTTGAGACCATGTGGGTATCATTTTGATTAAACCACAAAGCATTTTCTCTCTACAGCAGCCCACAAGGGTGAATCCCACTTCCTTTTCCTCCCAGGTGTCACCTCTAACTCTTCGTGTCAGGAGTTTTTCTACCTCTCCGGAGTTCTTTGGCTCTCAGGAACCTAGCACGGCATCACGCGAGTCCCGGCTCAGGTGAGGGGGGAATAAAGGGAACAGGAAGCGCCTTTTGCGGGGCTTTGCAGGCTGGCGGTCAGCGCCTTTCTGCACCCGTGTGCCTGGGGCCTGTCACTCTCCAGCCCCAAGGCCTTCAGCGCATTCCCCGCAGAGCTCCAGGTTACAGTTTCCTCAGCCGCACAGCAAGCATGTACCTCACATTTTTAACTTCTGTCAAAGAGTGGGCCCTGCTCTCATGAGTTCAGCGCTCAGTGGGAGCCAGGTCCCAAAAGTGAACTTCAGGGTCACGCGAGAAGCACGTGTACGCCCCACAAGGGCGTGATTTCGGGGATTTGTCTTTTTTTTTTTTTTTTTCCAAGCTGCTGTGTGCTCAGTCCCTGAGACAGACCCTGCCACCTCACAGGTGCTCAACAAATAGTTCTGGAGTTAACTAACTTAAAAGTACTGTAAAAGAGCTACACAGCAAATTAAATTCGCTGTGCAGCGCAAAGGCACCCTACACACTGCGTGAACGCTTCGGCTCCTGGAGCGCCGGCGACTGCGAAGCCAGGACGCAGGCAGCGGGGAGAGGCAGAGGCGCCGGCCCCCGACCGTCAGTCAGAGGCGGGAGCAGGCGTGCCCCGCCCCCCGGGGGGCGGACCCGGGACGCGGCGGCGCGGGGGCGGGGCCTGGTTCTCCGTGCCGGGGGGGCGGGGCCGGGACCGAACACACCGGGCCGGTTGGGGCCCCGCTCGCCGGCGGGAGCCACCGGAGCCCCGGCCACGAAGGGGTGCGACCCCCCGCCGGCCCCGCCCTCCCGGCTGCGGCCTGGCCAATCAGAGCGGCTCTTACTGGCGGGTGGGCTGAGCCGGCCCAGCTGCTCGGAGGCTCTGGCATGGTAACATCCCCGCGCGGGGGTGGAGGGGCTCGGGGCGGTCCCACAGCGCCCCCTGCGGCCCGGGCCGTGGCCGATGGGGCGGGGAGGCCGCTGGGGATAGCTGGGACCCCGGGGAGGGCGAGGGAGGCCAAGGGTGAGGGAAGAGAGCCCGGGAGGGGGGATGGGGGCGGGGACTGGGGGCGAAGGGGCGGGGGAGGCCATGATGGAGCCTGGCCGGGGGCGAAAGGTGCGAGAGTGGCGGGACTGGGTGAAGAGTGGGATTGGGAGAGGTGGGGGTGGGTTCGCGGAGAAAGATCGGGAAAGAAGAGAGAGGGCGGAGATGAGGGGACTGAGGGGACCAGGGGACAGGTGGGGACCAGTTTCCCCTCCTGGGATATTTGGTGTGCGACATGCCCTTCCCCCAGCCCCAGCGCCCGTTCCCTTTGGAAGCCTGGGTGCTCCTCAGACCACTTGGGGACTCCCTGCTTCACCTTCCTGCATTTGCAAGAGCTTGTCTCCTGAGGTGGAGAGGGGGCCTCTGAAGAAAGGGGCTCCCAGCCCAGGCCATCAACAAACTAACGACTCTGTGTGACCTTGGGCAAGTCACTACCTTTCTTTGGGCCTCAGATTTCCCATCAATTTTTTTAAAAAGGAAATGCATGAAAATTAAATCCCAGATCTCTTCCAGGGTCTAAATGAATAGGTTTTTGAGGAGGAAGTTTAGGAGAATGGGTTTGGTAGGGAAGCAAAGGAAAGGATGAAGATGGAGGCGAGGCCTTGGGCTGGGGCTGGAGAAATCCCCACGGGTGCGGGGGGATGGTAGACAGAAAGCCTGCCGGGCTGGGGCTGGCTAGCCTTATCCTGTTGGAGGGATGGAAGAACTCTAAGGAGAGGAGGAGGTTGAAACCTAACTCCACAATGATGGAGACCAAAAGTAACATTCGCTTCTTCAGAGGGAGAGTGATGAGATGGCAGGATCAGAAAGAAGCAACAGGGGCCGGGCGCGGTGGCTCATGCCTGTAATCCCAGCACTTTGGGAGGCCGAGGCGGGCGAATCACCTGAGGTCAGGAGTTGGAGACCAGCCTGACCAACATGGAGAAACCCTGTCTTTACTAAAAATACAAAATTAGGCGTGGTGGCCCATGCCTGTAATCCCAGCTACTCTGGAGGCTGAGGCAGAAGAATCACTTGAACCCGGGAGGCAGAGGTTGTGGTGAGCTGAGATCGCGCCATTGCACTCCAGTCTGGGCAACAAGAGCGAAGCTCTGTCTCAAAAAAAAAAAAAAAAAGCAACAGGAAGATACTTTCTAGTAAGGCAGATCTTTGGGGAGCAAGAGGAAGAGTAGGGCTGGTCCAGGAAAGTTGGAAACTAGGATGGTCTTTGAAACGGAAGGGCAGGTGCTGTTTGGGGCAGCTGAAGAAGGGCCGCAGGTAGATCACAGGGTAACCAGCTGGTCTCTCAGCCTTTTTTTTGATGATGGCTACCACTTTCTGAGAGATGTGCCTCCCAGCCTTCATCTTCAGGAAGTGGGAATGAGTCAGACCAAGCAGACCTTGGGAACACCTGGCTCGCTGAGGATTTCTGGATTGTGTAAGGATTGGGGTTAAAAAAGAAAAAAGGAAATGTATCTGAATGTAAGCAGTATCATCTGTGGCGCCATCATCCTTGCTGGGAGGCAGCTTTGTGAACTGGTTGAAAGCACAGGCTTTGGAGTCAGACTGCTTGGATTCCAAACCTGCCTCTCCCATTTAATGTCTTGGAACCTTGGTCAGGTTACTTAATCTCTGAACCTCAGTTTCTTTATCTGTAAAATGGGAATAATAACCTCTGAGATGGTTGCCAGGATTAAATGAGTGTTTGACACAGTATCTGGCTCATAATAAGTGCTCAGTAAATATTAGCTATTAGCTGTTATCATTCCCTCTTTCTGTTTTTTTTCCTACTGCCTCTCCATTCTTGTCCTTTTCTCCTTTTATTCTTCTGAGTGCTAAGTTCTGAGATGCCCCTTAGATGTGAAGTCCCAGAAGTATTGATTGCATCTTTGGTGGTGGGAAAGGGGTGGCCCCTCACTGGCCCAGGTGAACATATGATGATCAGATGATCAAGTGTCTCTTCATCATCTCTCAGCCCACAAATGTGTTTTTGTTCCAGGGAAGACACAGGATCTGCTTCTCTTTCAGCAACCATTTCTATATCCTTCCCTGTCACTAGTTAATGTCTTCATATTCTCACCCAGAAATAAAATAAGACCCAAAGTTTTATGGCACTGCAGCAGGTAGGAGAGGGACGGGGTGTTTCAGGAAAGCAGGGACACAACACGGGAAGCTCAGCGAAGGAAGGGCTTTGGAAGTTCTGTAGTAGTTTATGTTTATTCCATTGTTCTGTCCTCTGTGGGGAACTGTCCAGAATAGGCCAGTGTCTGAATCCTGGCCAGAGGTCTTCATCCCAAGTTGAAGATGACTGTATACAGTTAGCTTTATTAGGTTTTCTCATGCCAACATTTCAATCCAATTTCCTTTTTCCAAGCCACAAAGACTTCTGCCAAGCTACCTCTCTCTGTCACAGCCTGTATGTCAGAGAATTTATACAGATGTACATATGCACACGTGTATACACTGTTTTCAAAGTGCATTTTAGGATATTCCAGTATGCAAAAATCTAATAAGGTTAGAGATGAGACTGCATTTTATCACAGCACTTTGTGTGCAGGGCCCTGACTAAACACTTGGGGGAGGTATAAAAGGAGAAAACTCAATCCCTGAATGTAGGGAAATCCCCACATGAGTGGGAGACAAGCAGTCCCACATGAAACACCCAGCAAACATTCACAGAGTAGCATGTCACTCTGCAAAGTAGTGCATCATTTATCCTGAAGGGACACAGGTAGGAGTGTGTGTATGTGTGTGGGATAGTCATAAGGGTAACCTGAAGGAGGTGAATATTGGATCATCTTGAACAAAGCATGAGACTGTAGAATAAAAGAAATGTGTTTCACTTGAGGGTAATCTAACAATTCTGTGCAAAGAGAGGAGGAGGGAAGCCATTGAGTCAGGATGAGCAAAGAAGAGTGTGGGGCGGCCTTCGTTGCAAGGCTTTGACTGTTAGATGAAAGATTTTGTAGGGTAGGCAATCGGGAACCGGTAAGTTCTCAATAAAACGTTGAATCATTGGTGATTTAACCACTTAGGTTGCAGGGGATATACTAGATTGCAAACAGACCTGTTTCATGTGGTAGGAGCTTTGCTTTTAAGGGAGGAGGGCTAGAGGGCAGATTGGATCCAGTCCCAGTTCTGTCCCTAACCAGTGGTGGCTCCTTGGACAGATTATTCCCTGAAAAAGGGGGATACCTTGGGTGACTGCCAGAGTCTCCTCCAGTTCTGACATTCTATGTTCCCTGAATAACTACTAGACCTAACTTACCAGTGGCCCCCTACTGTTTTGTAGGACTTGCCAAGACCATTTAGTCATTCAGTTAACACATACTTATTAGCACCTAGTTTGTACCCATAGATGGTGGTAAGGAAAACACAATGGGAACTGGATATGAGGTGAGCAAAAACAGATGAAGTCCCTGCCCTTCAGTGTTTTCAGTCTAGTAGGGGCCACGGATATTATATTTCATTAATTCTGAGACTCATATTTGAACATTTGTCAAGTCAGGATGCATCTTCAAATTGACAGGATATTATAATTTAATTGGCAGCATTTGTTTTTTATTCATGCCAAATAGAAAAATAATATAATCAGGATTATACAAATAACTATAAAATTCTAATGGATAATTGCCGAAGGAGAAGGTACATGGTGTTGTACAAGTATATAAAAGCGGGCTCTGACTAGTTCAGGGAGTTGGGAAAAGCTTTCGTGAAGAAATGATTGGTAGATGTGAAGTGTAGTAGGCAAGGTGTGTGGGGTTGGCAGGGCCAACCCAGTTTTCTCAGGCAAAGGTGGATGCCTGAGGTGGGAGAGCTGAGAGAAGGTGAGTAGGGCTGGAACTGAGACCCAGGAGCTCAGCATGGGGGAGATTGGCAAGGTAGCTGGGTAGCAGACCCCCTCATAGTACTGGGTAGGGGGTTTACTATTTACCCTAAGAGCAGTGGGAAGCCATTGAAGAGTTTTAAGCAGGGGGCTAACAGTCTGAGGTGCACTTTGAAGAGCTTGTTATAGCTGCTGATTGGAGTGGATGTGGGGAAAACAGTTGGGAGGCCACTGCAATTAGATGAAAAAAGATGGTGGCTTGGGCAAGATGGGTGGTGGAAAAGGAAATGGAGAGAAATGGATAGATTCAAGAAATCTTGAGGAGGTAAAGTTAACAAGACTTGGTGATTTATTGGCAAGGAAGAGGGAGTTGTGGAGAGTGACTCATAGGTTTCCATTTGGACAATTGAATGGTGTGGTGCCAGTCTCTGAGACGCTTCTGAGGCTCCCCTGGAGCCTGGTAGGACCCAAAGATGTTAGAGAGGCTCCTGAGGCAGCTTGAGATGGGAAAGTGTGACACAGAAAATTGTATTTCCTCCACTATTGATTAGTTTCTGACTTCCCATGCTGAGGAAAGCGTCAGGGGCAAGAGCAAGTCTGAATACAGAACTAAAGCAGTTGAGCACTTAGAAAAGATGAGTCACATTGGAGAGGTTTAGCTCATACCCTTTTCTTCTTAGGACAAGATGAAGGACAGTTTGTTGTTGTTGTTGTTGTTTTGTCTTTTTGAGAGTGTCTCACTCTGTCACCCAGGCTGGAGTGCAGTGGTGCAGTCTCAGCTCAATGCAACCTCCGCCTCCCAGGTTCAAGCAGTTCTCGTGCCTCAGCCTCCCCAGTAGCTGAGACTACAGGCGTGTGCCACCACACCTGGCTAATTTTTGTATTTTTAGTAGAGGTTTCACCATGTTGGCCAAGCTGGTCTCGAACTCCTTACCTCAGGTGATCTGCCCGCTTGGCCTCCCAAAGTGCTGGGATTACAGGCGTGAACCACCGCACCAGGCCAGGAACAGTTTTTTTTTTTTTTTTTTGGAGACGAAATCTCGCTCTGTCGCCCAGGCTGGAGTTGGAGTGCAGTGGCGCCTCGGCTCACTGCAAACTCCGCCTCCTGGGTTCACCTCATTCTCCCACCTCTCCCGAGTAGCTGGGACTAAAGGTGCCTGCCACCACGCCTGGCTAATTTTGTTTTTGTATTTTTAGTAGAGACAGGATTTCACCGTGTTGGCCAGGATGGCCTCGATCTCCTGACCTCATGATCTGCCCTCCTTGGCCTCCCAAAGTGCTGGGATTACAGGTGTGAGCCACCGTGCCCAGCCAGGAACAGATATTTTAAAGGCAGACATGAAGGGCGTTTTTAAATGCTGAGCATTCTCAACATAGGGGAAATTGGCAGCAGTGAGGTACCTTCTCTTCAGCCAGATACCACCTTTCCCCGGGATTCCTCCCTATCACCCCCTAACTTTCAGGCAAAGAGGCAGAAGGGCTGGGCCCTTTAGCTGCATCTCCAAGCCTCGGTTCACTTACAGTGAGTTTGTTTGTTTTTGAATGGGCAATATAGTCATATGGCTGCGTATTCAAAAGATACAAAAGCCATACAGGGAAAAGTCTCCCCTTTATCTCTGTCCCTTTCTACCATTTCTTGTGTATCATCTTTTGTCTCTGACTTTTATACAAATGATAAAAGTTTGCTGCACCTTGCTTTCTTTCCCACTTGTTAATACATCTTAGAGATCATATCGAGACAATAAGCTTCTTCATTCTTGTTTATAACTGTATAGCACTGCATTTTATGTGTATATATAATTTCATAGCTCCTTACTGGTGGCTATTTAGGCTGATTCCAATCTTCTGTTTTTACAAATAATACTGAAATGAAAACCTTAAACATACAGCATTTTGGCCATGTAGGGCTATACCTATAAAATTAATTTTTAGAAGTAGAAGGTTCTATATAGAGATTTGTTCTGTTTGTTCTTCGTTCGTTCAATATTTGCTGAATACCTATTATGTGCCAGATGCTGGTAGGTACCAGGAATACAGCTTCCAACAAGTCAGATATGATCCCTGTCTTCATGGAATGTTATTACACTCTTGTTGGGGAAAACATATCCAGGCAAACATAATAATTACAAAATTATGTACATGAGGAAACTAAAAAGGGGATCAGATAGAGAAATAGGAAGGAGCTACTTTAAATACAGTCAGGAAGTTGTCTTAAAATAAGTGATACTTAAGCTGAGAACTAAAGGATGGGATGCAGACAGCCATTAGGGGTAGGACAGGGCAACCTAAGCTGTTCAAAGCCTACATCCACAGGGAGATAGTTCAGGATTTGTAGAGGAGGGGATGGACACCAAAAAGGGGATGGAGATAAAGCCAAAGAGATGAAGTTGGCGATTGGAAGTGGAAGATGTCAAAGAAAGTAGGTGGCTAAGGATGAGGTCAGTTAGGGGAGGAAGCTGGTCATGAAGAGATGAGAATTAGGGAGACAAGCATTTTAAAGGACTAGCGACTATTTGTGTTGAGAGAGCTTTGGACTGAATCTCTGTAACTGGGATAATTAGGGGAACTAGAAAAGAGGCGACTCCCTCCCTAGATACTTTGGGAATAAAAGAGACCTCTAACTTATTTGAGAGAGGCACAGCCTTGCCCACAGGCAGGATAATGGATTAGAAGCCTTAGGTAGAGCCAGTCTGTGCCTGTAGTGAAGCCTCCTTCATCTTTTCTGTTGCTTTGACAAAATGGAAACTTTCAAAATAAAGATGACATTCAAGGGGCTCAGCCAGCTGGCTCTGAGCTGGCACAAGAGAGAGCAAAAGCACAAGAGAGAGCAAACCTACCAAGGGCTAAGGGCTTGGGGTGGGCAGGAAATCGGGCTTGAAGACCCTCCTGAATTTTGTGCTCCTTTTTCATCCTCACCACTTCTGCTTCCCTTCTGCAAAAAGCCCATCTCTGTGCCCATCCTGGGTCCTATGACTTTTCTCTCCCTCAACAGTCGGTTCCCGATTCTGGTCCCCGGCCCCCAGCAGCGCCTGCCCCCTTCCCACCGGGGCCCCCCATGATGCCACCACCCTTCGTAAGTTTTATGTCTTTCCCTGGGCTTGGCTTTTCCAGCCTGCACCCCCAACTCCCCAGCCCCTAGCCACTGCTGCATCACCAGCACAGTTTTCCTGTAATGCCCCTTTTGCTGACCTTGGAAGAGGGATGGTTTTACTTGAGCATTGGGTTGGGGAGAGCTGTTGTGAAGCCCTCAGTACATAACATTGACAATTCCCCCTTTGTCTTTTTGACCTTAGGACACACTGGGGCTAGAGGTAGGAGAAGTGGAAGGGAAAAGACCCCATTAATGTGAGGGCAGGGTGGGACTATCTATCTCTTTCACTACTCCTTACCTATGCTCTTTAAATATGCCACAGAATTCGGGCTGGAATGGCATTGGTGGTCATGAGTTGGAGAGAAAGGGATGGGAGGCAGGGGACTGGGGTACTTGGGTACCTGGATACCTGCCTTCTGCCCCTTCATCTGAGAGGCCTCTTTGGGGGAGAATTGCTGAAGAGGTGGAGCCTTCCAGTCTCAGTCTGGTGCTGTTAAACCTCCCTTATTCCTTTCCTTTCCCGTTACAATTAAGAAGCTGTGTGCTTGCCTGTTAGACCCCAGTTGTCAGTCTTTCTCAGTGGTGAGGAGGGAGGCAGTTTCATGCCTTGTGCTTCTCAAACTAAAGCCTTGGAATTGCCTCAGAGCAGGGTGGAGGGTTGGGGAGGGAGGTGGTGGATATTTCCTGACAGGTCCTCTCTACCTCTGACAAGGCGATGTCTTCCCTGCTCAGTATCTCTTCCTTTACTCATTTCCAGATGCCCCCTCCAGGGATCCCCCCACCCTTTCCTCCGATGGGGCTACCCCCCATGAGTCAGAGACCACCAGCTATCCCCCCCATGCCACCTGGCATCCTGCCCCCAATGCTTCCACCAATGGGGGCGCCACCACCACTCACACAGGTAATTGTCTCTCCTCCCCTGGGGCCTCAGAAAACCCTGTCAGTTTAGCTGGGGGTGGAGATAAGAGCGGGCATGTAGGCCTCAGAAACTGGGGAAGGAAGGGAGCTTTGGGCCAAACCCATGTGGATTTGTCTGCTGAATGACTGAGACAACTCTCAGGCAAGGTGAGAGGCCAGAATCTGGGGATTGCCTGAGGAAGTGCCCAAGTGAGGGTCATGGCTCCAGTGAGATGTCTCAGGACCCTTTGAGGTACCCTGTCCCTCCTGTTCCAGCCCTTACCTTGGTGGTTGGTTTCTGTCTTCTTTGTATCCATAGATACCAGGAATGGTACCTCCGATGATGCCAGGAATGCTGATGCCAGCGGTGCCTGTCACCGCAGCGGTAAGCACTAGGGGCCAGCAGGTAGCAGGCTCTGCCCTGCAGTCCCGTGAGTCTGACTTGGAATGCAGGACTATGACCTCCATTCTTTCCCTCTTCTCATCGCATCCACCCAGGTCCCCGGCAGCACTCCCCACACTCAAATCCTTCTCGCCAGCCATGTACTCAGCTCTTCTAGTTTCCCACTCATCCCCAAAGGCATATACATTCTCTTGTTACTCACGTGCCTTGTCCAGCTCCCTTAAGGAGCACACTTATCCTCACAGAGCCACACACTGTGGACACATGAATATAGTTCTTCACATCCTCTTTGTCCCCAGAAGAGTCAGTAGCACCTGGGGATCTTGCTGTGCCTTCTTATGCTATCGCTCAGTGTAGCAGAGTCTGGGTAGGATATAGAATTTGGCATCCACTGTGAAGGAATGAGCCTCGGGAGTTGTCTCAACAAAATACTCTCACTTGAGGAGAACGAAGAATGGAGCTGCTATGCGATTCTCCCTTGGGATCCCAGAGCTATGGCCCTGAAGGGTGGGGGAAGCCTGTTAGGGAGCAGAGATCTCTAGGAGCAGGACACATGGATTCTGGCCTGGCCTGCTTCTCCATCCCCCATGGCCTGGGTCCTGGGGGCCACTGGGCTTGGCCCCAACCCTTCCCCCTCCTCTTTCTTCGGCAGACGGCTCCGGGTGCGGACACCGCCAGCTGTGAGTCTTCTGGGGGCCTGCTCCCCCCAGGCTCGGAGGTTGGGGGGCATAGGGGAGAGGGGACCGTGGACTGGAGCCCACCCTGGATCATGCCTGTTGGGATGCCAAGGAGTCTGGGATATTGATGGGACCAGGGGACTATTTACTGGGGCTGGAATACGGGAGGCATAGGTGGGAATAAGATGGAGGTCGGAGCAAGGACTTAGTATGTATCCTTTGGCTTTTTTCTAGCTGCTGTGGCTGGGACAGGCCCTCCGGTGAGTTCTTCCAGCTCAGGGGTCTCTGGGTAGAAAGCCTGAGAGTGGGGGACTGATAGTTAAATCTTTGGGGTGAGGAGAGGCTTTGGAAAAGGGGCCTTGACCACCATTCTGTGCCCCCCCCCCCACCCAGAGGGCCCTATGGAGTGAGCATGTGGCCCCAGATGGGCGCATCTACTACTACAATGCTGACGACAAGCAGTCCGTGTGGGAGAAGCCCAGCGTGCTCAAGTCCAAGGCAGAGGTCCTGAGCTGGGCTTTCTGGCCCTTCCTTTCAGCTGCCCTGACCCTTCCAAGTCCTTGGCCTTCCCTTAGTCTCTAACCATATTCATGATGGTTCCTCTGATCCCAAGGTCCCTGACCATTCCTCACCCTCCCTGGAAATGCCTCCATAGGATCTCAAGAAGTCCACCTTCCCCAGTTTGAACCAGGCCAGGTGGTAGCTAAAGGTTCCTGTGTCCTCTACTCACTAGGTCCCCTTAGCTCCCCTGACTGGCTGGAGAACTTGCCCATCCCACTGATGGCTCCTATCCCATCCACTTGCAGCTGCTCCTGTCCCAATGTCCCTGGAAAGAGTACAAGTCGGACACAGGCAAACCTTATTACTATAACAACCAGAGTAAAGAGTCCCGCTGGACCCGGCCCAAGGATCTGGATGACCTAGAGGGTGAGATGTCCTACGGGTGGGCCAGGTCAGGAGCTCTGGGGGCTCCCTATTGCCCCTGTGACTGACTGTGTTATCTTTTCCCATCACAGTTCTAGTCAAACAAGAGGCTGCAGGGTGAGTGACTTGCCCACCTATCCATTTATAGTTGGGGCACCTGGAGTGTGGAAGTAGACTCTGTCGCCATGATCTCTACACTGTGGGAGGAAGAGCCAGCTCTGTCTCCTTGTGGAGTCATCCCCTCTGGCCCCAGTCCTTCCCAGGATAGAGAAACCAGCCAGCCCCTGAAGTCCTCCATTCTTGCTCTCCTCCTGGACACCGCCCTTCTGGCTCATCTGCAGGAAACAGCAGCAGCAGCTGCCACAGACACTTCAGCCACAGCCACCTCAGCCACAGCCTGACCCCCCACCTGTGCCTCCTGGCCCCACCCCAGTGCCCACAGGCCTCCTGGAACCTGAGCCAGGTGGGAGTGAAGATTGTGATGTGTTGGAGGCCACCCAGCCCCTGGAACAGGGGTTCCTGCAGCAGCTGGAGGAGGGCCCCAGCAGGTGAGGGCTGCCCCCCATGGCATTCCCAATGTTGGCCTCAGACTCCCAGCCTGGTTCAACCCTTGTCCTCTGCTGGGCCTCTCTCTCAGGAGGGGTTTGAAGATCTGGGTGTGACCTCTGAAGGGCAGAAAAAGGCTGCCCTGGGGAACAAGGAGGGGGTGATATGTTGCCAGGAGTTCAGGGCACTGAAAGCTGTGAGAGCTGGGGGACCCTGTGGCTGAGTCCCCTGTGCCCTCCAGTTCTGGACAGCATCAGCCACAGCAGGAGGAGGAGGAATCAAAGCCAGAACCAGAGAGGTCTGGCCTCAGTTGGAGCAACCGGGAGAAGGCAAAGCAGGCATTCAAGGAACTGCTGAGGGACAAGGTGCTGGAGTGGGGCTCCCAGGGAAGGTTTGGAGGGGGCTGGAGCGGGGCAGGCCCCATGACTCCCACCTGCTTCATTCCAGGCTGTCCCCTCCAATGCCTCATGGGAACAGGCCATGAAGATGGTGGTCACCGACCCCCGTTACAGGTAGGCCTGGGCAGAGGGAGCCAGGCCCTGTTCATGAGAGCAGCTGTGCTAGGGACTCCCTAAAAAACCCCAGCTCAACACTCAGCCCTAAGGGAACCAGAGTCAGGACAGTGATAGATTGGGTTGGGGTGCAAGGGGAAGAAAAGCTGGAGGGCCTCCAGGAGAAGGAAAGGAAAGGTATCTGACACAACACGTTCAATAAATGCTTCCTGAATTGAATCAAACGGAATTGAATTAATTGGGGAATGAGGGTGCTGGATAGGGTGACTTGAGAACCCCAAAGGAAAAGGGCCCAGTATTTGCAGTGTCTTGGAGCTGCATCTCTTCCCCTCACTTCCTGTCACCCCTACTTCTCCATGAATGGTGTTCAGATCCCAGACATCTGTGCCCTTGGAGCCCCTGCAGCCTGCAGTGTCTCATGACCCTCCAGTGTGGGCTGTGCAGAGTGGTTCGGGTGACTTCTCTATCCCCACCCCACTCCTACCCTCTATCCCAGTGCCTTGCCTAAACTGAGTGAGAAAAAGCAGGCATTCAATGCCTACAAGGCGCAGCGGGAGAAGGAGGAGAAGGAGGAGGCCCGGCTAAGGGCCAAAGAGGCCAAGCAGACCCTGCAGCATTTCCTGGAGCAGCATGAACGCATGACCTCCACCACCCGCTACCGGTCAGGGGGCCAGGCTGGGCTGGGACTTGGGAACCCTGAGAACACAAAGGTCCAGGGTCTCTGTTCTCTGTCTACCTACTCACAGCTTATATGCTCCACAGGCGGGCAGAACAGACCTTTGGGGAGCTGGAGGTCTGGGCTGTGGTCCCTGAGAGGGATCGAAAAGAGGTTTATGATGATGTCCTCTTCTTCCTGGCCAAGAAGGAGAAGGTAATGGTCCCTGGGCAGAATCCTTCAGCCCATCTCATCCTGGACTTTCCTTGTCTTTGCTTTGTTATGGACCCTCGCCATTTACTTCTCTACTTCCCCAGTGTCCCAGCTTCTGACTTGGAAGCTGGTATGGGACTTGCACATCTCATTTCTGCTCTGGGCCTATAGTCCTGGGTGTAGCAGGGAGGAGGAGTCTCTGAGAGATGGGTCTGTAACCTGTACTCCCTCCCCTTCCCTGAGACATGAAAGTCTTGAGTATGGCCTTCTTCCTAGGGTTCCCTAGCTACCTTTCCCCAGGTCCTCCTCTGCCCAGGCCTACTTGGGTAGCTCTGGCCTGCCCTGCCTCACCCTGATCCTGTGGCTCCCTAGGAACAGGCCAAGCAGCTCCGGCGCCGCAATATCCAGGCCCTAAAGAGCATCCTGGATGGGATGAGTAGTGTCAACTTCCAAACCACGTGGTCCCAGGCCCAGCAGTACCTCATGGATAACCCCAGCTTTGCTCAGGACCATCAGCTGCAGAGTAAGCCTGGGCCTCCAATCCCAGCTATCCCTTTCCCTTTCTTTACTGGACCTGGGACCCCAGAGTCTGCCTCACCCCACTCCCCTGTACCTCCTGCCCTCCCGGACACCCTAGGAGTACTCAACACTCACCCAGTCCTTGTACCTCTTTGGACTCCGGGGATACCAGAATGTTTCAGGACACCCCTCCCTCTGGGGTCCACTCTTGGCCTAGACATTTTGTGTCCTTGGAGGAAGAGCTCTGGGATAGGAATCTTAAGTCCTAGAGATGTCAATGATGATTTTAGCTCATGTGAATATGGTCTTAAAGCATCATAGAACTACAGGCCTTAATTGGTCACGTTACAATAGACTGTTGTTGGCCTGTAATTACTGATGATACTCAAATTCACTTTCTGAAATTGCATCAAAGCCTGATTGATTCCCAGTTCCCTAAGGTGTGAAACCTCAGATCCCAAGACAACCGGTTTCATGTTATGGCTTCTAATAACTGAATTCACAAGAGCTGAATACTTGCTTATTTATTCTTATACAATTAATGATCCCCTCTTAAGAACTACCATTGCAGTGGCTGCTCCCACAGAGCCCCCTCCAGGCCCTTCCCCCACCACCCTGGGTATCCCTAGCACCTGTAGGACAGCATCGTTGAAACATTAGGGGTGCTGGGGTCTGAGAGGGTATCCTGCTGGGACAATGCCCGCGGAACCTCCTGCCTGTCTTTAGACATGGACAAGGAAGATGCACTGATCTGTTTTGAGGAGCACATCCGAGCTTTGGAGAGGGAAGAGGAGGAGGAACGGGAGCGGGCCCGGCTTCGGGAGCGACGCCAACAACGCAAGAATCGGGAGGCCTTCCAGGTATCTTTGCTGTCCTTTCTAGATCAGAGCTCAGCTCTGCCCTAGAGCACAACCTCTTCACCCATTCCCTGCCCCCTTCTGGATACGCTGCCTGTTCTTTCTGTGCCTAGCCCTGTCCAAGCTCTATGAGACCTCTCTCTGCCTGCAGTCTGTTTCTGCTGTACCTCCTCAATTCTGGACTGTGCTCTTCTAGGGAGACTAGATGTATGCACCACCCAGAAACTGCCAGTAGAGAGCACCCTACAGGCATGACTTGGCAGCTAGGCCATGTTTATTTCCCTTGGTGGGGCACCCGACAGGCAGAGTTTATTCCCTCAGCTTGGGGGTGGCAGTGGTGGTGGTAGTGCTAGGGGTTACTGCAGGCAGGTTTCTGTTTCTTTGCATCCCGGGACTGGCTTGTTCTCACCTTTTTGTTCTGTCCCTCTCTGTGTATTTACTTTCTCTCTTTTTGCATTGTTCTCAGCCTTCCATCTGCATCTCTTCATCTCTGCCTCTCTTGCCTGCATTTCCTCAATCTTGATTGTCCCTGCCTCTTCCTCTGCCATTCCCTCTCTTCCCCCTCAGTCTGTGGCTCTGCCTCCCTGTCTCACTCTCCCTATAACTGGCCTCTCCCTGCTCAGACCTTCCTGGACGAGCTGCATGAGACAGGGCAGCTGCACTCTATGTCCACCTGGATGGAGCTATATCCAGCAGTCAGCACTGATGTCCGCTTTGCCAACATGCTGGGCCAGCCGGGTAAGGCAGCCAGGCTCCCCCTTCTCTGGCCTGGCTTCCTGCCCTGCCAGCCTCTCTGCACCCCCTACTACCGGCTCCTGTCCTCGGCCCAGCCCCCAGGCCTTGGGAAGCTGCCGCCCGCCAGGCCCCCCTCCCTCCCTCCTTACAGGCTCCACCCCTCTGGACTTATTCAAGTTCTATGTGGAGGAGTTGAAGGCACGATTCCATGATGAAAAGAAGATCATTAAGGACATCCTTAAGGTGAGGGAGGCTGGGGTTATGGATGGATACAGGATGGATGCAGGGCACACTCCCTGCAGAGGACTCCCTGATAAGTCCTGTTTTGCAGAAGCATTACAGCTTGGTTCAGCAGATATCTACTGTGATCCTTTACTGCACACTAGGGATACAGTAATGAATACACAATTTCTACCACAGGAGCTCATGGTCTAATAGGAAGATATACATGAGAACTGTTATACAAAGGGGCAAGTGTTATTACAGAGACAGGAATCTGAAGAACTAACATTTGAACTGTGCATTTAGAAATTTGTAGGTGGAAGAGGTTGGAGTGTACACGGGGTACTAAGAGCAAAGGCAAGGGGGTGGAAAGGGCATGCCAGGTCTGAGGAGGAAGAAGCATAGCTAATTGTAAACTGGTAGCACACAGATTGTTCTTTCTGGCCTGTACAGTGTTCTGTAAAAATTTGGAATTTGTTGCTAACATTTTAAAACCAGGAAACTTCACATAGAAAATCTGAATCTTTAGCTTCTCTTGTCAATATGGATTATCTAGCAGTACTGAGCTGGATTTGCAAGGCATTCTGCAGACTCAAGCTGAGATGCCACTTTAGAAAGGGCAAGTCATCCTTCTCACCATTCCTTAGTGCCTTCTTGATACTGTCGCAAGTGTCAGCTGCCATTTACCATCACACATGGCCTGTTGCTCTTCTTCTACTGGAGAAGAGAAATAGTTCTCAATATTTACATCTTATCAAAAGTGGAAAAGTGAGTGAGTGATGGACTAAACCTTGTGTTCCAAAAGAAAAAAACAAAGAGCATATTTCTTTATGGAAGTGAAGATTCTAATGCATTTGAGGAGATAATACAGTACAGTGGTTAGGAGCGGGACTGGAGGCAGACTGCCTACAGTAAAAGTCTAGCTTAACTGCTTGCTAGTTGTGTGACCTTGGATAGGTCACTTGACCTTTCTGACCCTGTTTCCTCATCTAAAAAATGGTGAGTGTTCCACCAGAGTACACCTAATTACAGAGATTAAATGGTACCTGGGTTGAAAGGGATCTGGAAATAAAGCTAGAAATGTCTCACTGCATATACATTTCTTTGAAGTACTGTTTTGCCTTACAAATTCACGTAGGTGTTGCATTTTAACACCATATTACCTATTTAATATAAATTTAATATTTTAAATTACTTACCATTAGGTAAGATGTATCATACTGTCCTGAGGTATCCTCTCTTTCTCTGGAACCACATGCCCCAGCTTGGAAGTAGAGCCCTGCATGTAAAGTGCCTTGAATGCTAAAATAAGAAATTTGGATTTTTCTCTCGTAAGTAATGAGGAACCGGGGAATGATCAGATTAGATGGTGTATAGTAGAACCTTTCAGTCTAGAGTACGTACTTATGTCCTTAGGGAAGGTGGTGGTGCTAGGTAGAGCAGTTCTTGAAGCCTCAAGATACTAAAACTGATAGTGGTAATTCAAATAGTCATATTCATTTCACTTATCCCCAGACCTCTCTCCTACTGTTGGGGCTACTTGGTACAAAAGTCCAAGAAGCACTAGATGCTAGGAGCTGGGTTAGAGGGATGGAAGAGGGTGAGCAGGGAGAAAAGTCAGTAGGCTGTGCAGGAATCTTGTAGGAGGTGATCCTAGCCGGGGGCAGTGGGGACAGCAGAAGAGAGCAGGCTGTAGCGCTCCAGCTGTTCTTCTGAGACACTCTGGGTTTCTATGTAGGTGCCTTGAGACAAGCAAGGGTTGGAGTTGAGTATGGGGGGATTTGGTGCTGCTTCCTGTTTTCAAGTGAAGCAGCTTGAATCTTTTTTATGCATAAAGGTTCTACATAAGATTTCTATTTTAATAAACTGTTTCTGCTGTTTAAAAAAAAAAGGGAGAATTCAACACCAGTGGGATAGAGTCACTAAGTAGAATTGATAGATTTTGTGAAATGGAGGGAAAGGAAGGAATCAGAGGTGTCAGGGCAGTGGATGATGGCACTATTGATAAGGATAAAACAAGAAGAGCAAGGCTGTAGAAAATAGGAATTCTATTTGGGGAATTACTCTCAAAGCAAATATATTTTAAAACAGAATAATCGTATAAAGTAGAAATGCCTTATCCTGGGATAGCTAAATTTTATTGGACAATTAACTTTTAGCCACAGAGTGGCTGGTTGATAGGCCTGTAGGGGCCTATCCTCACTGAGTCCTGTCTCTCCACACAACCTGAGAAAGCAACTTTTTTAGACAGTTCCCTTCCTCTTTCCCCATTTGGGTTCCTGCCTATGGAGGGCAGATGAGCCCAGGAGTCCCTCTTGCTTTCCACAGCCAGGCAGACCATGATGGTGCCTTTCATCCCATAGGATAATGCAAAGAGCCCTGGACTTAGAACAGGCAGACAGATCCGGGTCAGGGAGATCCATGGAGGATGCTCATGAGAAATATATTCTCTTGAGATCTGTTGAATTTTAAGTGTCTGAAATATCCAGTCTAGGATGTTTGAAAATCAGGAGAGATGAAGGATGAGATTGCGAGGGAGTACAGATTGGGTAGTGAAAGAGGACTAAGTGCTGTTCTCAGGAACATGCATATGCAAGAGAATAAAAGGTCAGAGAGGGTGTGACCTGGAGAGGGGAGTGTTGAAGAAGTAAGTGGTAGAGGCACTGAGGACCAGATGAGTGAGGACAAAGAAGGCGGCCTTGGATTTGGCTAGTAGACACAAGCAACCTTTGGGAGAGTAGAGTCATGGAGGTGGCATGGGGGCAGCACATGTTTTAGAGTCAGATTACTCCTGGTTGCTTATTGGCTCTGAGACCTCCGTAAGTTCCGTGTCTCTGAGCCTGTTTGCTCACCTGTAAATCAGGGATAATTCATAGGTAAGGTTGTGAGAATTAAATAACATCTGTAAAGTGTCTAATAGGTTCTCAATAAATGTTTATTCCTTTTCCTTTCTGCTGCATTTCAAGAGGTTTTGAAACAATGGAAAAGAGCAGAGGTAGTTAGCTTGATGAAGGGGAGAGCATGGTGGAAAGGATGTTCCAGGTTAGGTGAGGTGTCTGCTTGATGGAAGGAGCCAGTAACAAGGGTGACTTGGAGCTTTCAATTCCCTGAGAATGAATGCTGTGTTGATAAGGACTGTAGCAGGGTTGAGGAAGTACCCTTGGAAAGAAGAAAGAGGAGCACACCTCTGCCATCAGCAAAAAGGCCAGAGGAGGTGAGAGCTATGTGGAGGGAGAGAAAGGGAATCTGGCCTGTGCTTAACTGACGTGAGAGCCAGACTTTGAACTCCAGTGGCTTCATTTACCACTCATGTCATCTTGGGCCAACTGAGATCACTTTTCTAAGCCTCTGCTTCACTGGAATGTTGTGAGGCCTAAATGAGAAGCATAGAGCCTGGCCTGTGGACATGTTTTTAGTATTGGTGGGGAGCTGCACACCTGGTGGCCTCCGTTTCTCCCATGGACTAAGTCATCTGGGTGGGTGTGGTGCTTGAAAGCAGACACTTTGGGGATAGAGAGCCCCCCCAGGGTAGGGTTCTTGCCCAGCCGTATATCAGCTGTGAGACCTTGGGCAAGTGCTCTAGTTTCTCTGAACCTTGGTTTCTCCTTCTGTGTAAAATTAGGATACTAGGACCTATTCTTAAATGTAGAACCAAGAGGATTAAATGAGATAATGTGTGAAACACTCATCATGGTACCTGGTACATAGTAAGCACTCAATAAATAGACCCAAAGGGTAGGGGCCAGCAAATGTTGATTGAGAATGCATGGAAGCACTGCTGAGCAGCAGGAGGGCCCAGCTGGGGCCAGAGCTTTAAGCCAAAGGAACAAAAGTTAATTTTGAGAAACTCAGCATTAATCAGCAGTTGGGAGACATCTCCCAACCCCTTCAGCTCTGTGTGACATCCAAACCAAGGGTAGGCATGGGGGCTTAATTGTCAAGTGATGAGGACTTGGATAACTTGGTTTCTAATGCAGACCACAGTCCTGTGGATCTCTTCCAGAGGCAAGGGCCTTCTTGACCATCTGTAATGTGACCACTCTGCCTGCCAGCTTTGGCCTCAGGCACGTGGTGCCCCTGCTTCATGCACTGCTGTACCCACAGGACCGGGGCTTCTGCGTGGAGGTGAACACGGCCTTTGAGGACTTCGCCCACGTCATAAGCTTTGACAAGAGGGCTGCCGCACTGGACGCAGGCAACATCAAGCTGACCTTCAATAGTGTGAGGGGCTGGGCGGGGCGTGGGAAGTTCTCTAATTCATCTGTGTCTTGCTCCATTCCTTCTCACTCACTGTCCCACTGACTATATTCCCAATTCAGGGGATGGTGGTAGAAGCCCAGACCCTAACTTTCCACCTCCTAAGGTATGCCTGAGTGGGACCTGGCATCCACCCTCCTGGGTGACCCTGTTCCGTGTCCCTTCTTTCCTCAGCTGCTGGAGAAAGCAGAGGCACGGGAGAGGGAGCGGGAGAAGGAGGAGGCACGCAGGATGCGGCGCAGGGAAGCTGCCTTTCGAAGCATGCTGAGGCAGGCTGTGCCTGCTCTGGAGCTAGGCACTGCCTGGGAAGAGGTCAGGAGCGTAGCCTGGCCCCAAGCACCCCTCAAGCCTGAGGGCAGCGGTGCTTCACCACTGAGGGCCCACCCCAGTCACGTCACAGCCCTGGGCCAGCTCCAGTTCCCTTCCTTTCTCTGCCCCAGCCCTGCCCTGTGCTCATGGCGGTGTCCAGGCCAGGCTGAGTGGGGCCTAGTCTGATCAGCAGTGCTCTCCTCGTTCAAGGTCCGTGAGCGTTTTGTGTGTGACTCAGCCTTTGAGCAGATCACCCTGGAGTCGGAGCGGATCCGGCTCTTCCGGGAGTTCCTACAGGTGCTGGAGGTGAGGCAGGCTTGTCCTCTGGATCTGCCTCAGGCCCTTGAACTCATTAGACCAGTTCAACAGAGACCTCAGTGGCCTCCCTCTTACCCTTAGGGCACTCCTGGCCAGCTAAGGAAGGGGAGGCCTGAGGATCCCTGGGATAGGCAGAAGGCTCTAGTCTGAGAAAGGGAGGCAAAGCCAGATTTTAGGAAGTAGGATCCTTCCTGGGGCTAAGTCTGGTGCTGTCCTCACCCTTCTTCCTCTGCCTCTAGCAGACTGAATGCCAGCACCTCCACACCAAAGGCCGAAAGCATGGCAGGAAAGGCAAGAAGCACCATCACAAGCGTTCCCACTCACCCTCAGTGAGTAAGCGTGTAGAAGGGACATGGGGTGAAGCTGGGTTGTTTTGGGGAAATAAACACTTTGTTTTCCCCTTACAATATCTCCCTTGGAGGGAAGTTTGAGGATTCCTTTGGCCCTGGGTCCTCCTCCTCTCTCGAATTCCCAGACGAGGGCTTCTGGAGGGCAGAGAACCTCTGCACTGACATGTATCTGCTGATCTGCCCAGGGCTCTGAGTCAGAAGAAGAGGAGCTGCCCCCACCATCTCTCCGGCCCCCCAAGCGGAGGAGGCGGAACCCCTCAGAGTCAGGCTCTGAGCCCTCTTCCTCACTTGATTCAGTTGAAAGTGGGGGTGCTGCCCTTGGAGGACGGGGCTCCCCTTCCTCCCATCTTCTTGGAGCAGGTAAGCAGTTGCTGTGAGCGTAGAAGCTGGAGAACTGTTGTCCCAGACTGAGAGGATGCCCTCCACAAGCCCCAGCTCCTTTGAGGGTAGACTGGATTGGGAGGGCTGCACCTGTGGAAGTAGAAAGAACTTCCTCTACCTGCCCAAGCAAGAAGCTGGAGAAGGAAAACTGGACTTAGACTTCCTCAGAGCATGAGGTTCCTGCCTGTGAAGAATGAACAGAGGGGCTAGAACAAAGAAAAAGAGCCTGTCTTTCTCCTGTTGGGACTTAGTAGGGATTTTTCTATCTCTAGATCATGGCCTTCGGAAAGCCAAGAAACCAAAAAAGAAAACTAAGAAGAGAAGACACAAGTCGGTGAGTGAAGGAACTTCTACCTAAGCCCCTGCTATTTTGTGAGTTCTGTTCTACCTGCCTCCCAGGCTATCCACAGGAACTGAGGAGGTGGGCTCTGGACTCTTACAGAATAGTCCTGAGAGTGAGACAGACCCTGAGGAGAAAGCTGGCAAGGAGAGCGATGAGAAAGAACAAGAACAGGACAAGGACAGGGAGCTCCAACAGGCAGAGCTCCCTAACCGTTCCCCAGGCTTTGGAATCAAGAAGGAGAAGGTGAGGGGCAGGGGCCCTAGGCCAGTCAGCACGCTGGTCAAGCTTCCACGGCCCTTAGTGCAGGCTAAGGGTGAACTGTGCCTTTGCTCCAACAGACAGGCTGGGACACGTCAGAAAGTGAGCTGAGTGAGGGTGAGCTGGAGAGGCGGCGGCGGACACTCCTACAGCAGCTGGATGATCACCAGTGACCCAATGAGCTGTTCTCTGCCTCGGGTCTGTGTGAGGCCATGGCTCCTGGGCCACCCTCACCGTCTGCCTCAGACTTCTTCCTTAGTCTGGTCTGTGTCCACTTTTTCTAAAGTAACCCCACCCCCAGCACACCATTGTTGGCACCTCTCAAGGTTGCTCTTGGTGTTCAAGGGTCCCCTACTCCCTGGACTAGTGCAGTCCTTGCCCTCAGCCCCAGACCAGAGATGGGTGGTATATGCCATGTGGGGTGGGTGATGCCAGTAGATAAAAGTGTGAGAGAAGGGGTCTCCAGGGAAGAGTCACAGGCTGTTGGACGCAGCCTGGGTGGCAGAGGGCAGGGTCATCACCCTCTAGCATCAGTGCCTGCTCCTGCCTGCCCTGGCCCTGAGGCTCCACCACTTCTTCCTCCACCCAGGACCTAATGTACGTGTGTTTTGTTTTTTGTTTTTTAAATAACAATATTTATAACATGGCCAGTGACTCTTTTCCATGTGCTACTGGGGCAGGCTGGGGACTGGACACATGCCCAGCAGAGGGCACTAGTGTCTCATGGCAGGCCTGCTTCCCTTTGTGTGGCTAGAGCCCACCTAGCCGGTTCTCCTTTCCCCAGAGTTCTGATCTCATCTCCTCCAAAACAGATGCAGTGCCCCAAAGATTTCTTTTCTATCCCCATAGCCCAGGTCAGACTAAATGGCCACCCTAGCCCCCTAAGCTCAGAAAGAGGAGACAAAGTCAGGCCTGGTGCATCAAGCCTTTGTTGAGAGGGGGAGAGTCTGAGGTTTATGTACAGTAAGAGGAAAGGGAGGTGGTACATGTACAAAAAAGTGGGCCCCCACATTCCCTTCCAGGGGCAGAGGAGAAACGGGAAGGTAAGCAAATAGCCAAGACCACCATGCTCCTTGTCCCCTGCCAAAAAAAAAAAAAAAAAAAAAAAAACCGTAGCTGAGGAAAGAAGGTGAAGAGTTGGCACACCCTTTCTCCAGCCATCTGCAGAGAGTGGTTGGTGCAGAGAAGACCTCTGCTCTTCTGCCCACCTTGACAAGGACAGTGTGAGCCTAGAATGAAATGGGCAGAGAAATAAGGGCAGTGAGCCTGACATCTCTCCTCTTACCCTTATCACTAGGGCACAGCTGGCACGGCCCATGCTTCAGAGGGCCTTGCTCCTGGTAAGAGATGAACTGAGACTGGCAGGGTCCCAGGGCTCCCTAAGCCTAGATACATCTAGACCAGAGCTGACCATGGGCCTGCAAAAAGGAAGGGAAAAAAAAAGAAAGAACAGTTGCTCTCTCCTCTCATCCCTCTGGGCTCTAGTGGGAGAGATCTATGTGCCCTGTTTAGGCTAAGGCTGGAAATGGTTTTTCCTAGCCCTGAGCTGACCCTTGGTGACCCTTCAGGAAATGAAGTCAAAGACCTTGGGGGCAAAGTGCAGTACTGGAAGCACCAGGGACCTACAGACCTAGTGCCCATAGTGGCACAAGTAGAAAGATCCAGCCTCAAGAGCTGGGGCGGACATGGTTGAGAGAGCAACACAGCCCTCTCCTGAGCCCTTGGCCAATTCCAGGTCCACTGGTTGGACTTGTAGGACTCTGAGGGGTGAAGTGCTTCTGCCTCCGAGAGGGTCTCAGTGGGGGCCTGGAGCCCGAGGGGGACCACTGGGCGGTGCAGCACTCCTGGCTTGGTGGCGAACAACCATAGGCTGGCAGTGGAGGCCTGTGGGGGAAGAGAGAGACCTGTGAACAGGATGGGAGGGTGAGCCAGGACAGTGCCCTCAAGAGCAGCCCCACAGGTAGGGCCAGGGAGGAGCCAGCAGTGAGGCAGATAAACAGGAGGCTTAGATAAGGCTTGAGGGGTACCCAGTTGGGGAAATTGCTGGTTGGGGAGATTGCTGGGCTTTGCATTTCAGAGGATCAGGTTGGGGTGACTAGAGGCCACTGGGCAGTGGAGAGAGACAAGGTAGATGCATTCAGAAAGAGCCAGAAACTAGGAAAAGACCCCAGGCTGACTGGACGTCAGGAAACAGATCAAGGGACATCTGATACCTCCTGGTCAGAAGCTACTACCAGAGCTCTTATGAGAAGAGAACCGTAGGGAAAGGTTCCTTAGGCCTGGGAATGGACCCTCAACCTCAGCCTCAAAGATCAGAACTGTAGGTCTGGTCCTGCCTGCTCTGGCCTGTTCTCAACACTGGCCTGGTGACTCCCTACCCACTTGGTCTTAGTAGAAGCCAGGACAGCATTAGTGGGAGAGAGACCACTTCCCTAAGGACACATGCAGGGGATATGCCACACTTCTCAGAGCATGGGGCATGCAAGAAGTATGTGTCCCCATTGCTGGGAGGCTGCCAGAGGGTGATTGCAAGTCATGCAGGAAAGAAGGTGCCTGTGGTCTCCCAGCAGGAATCCTGGGAGACGGGCATGCAGAGGGGGCAGCTGCGGTGCCCAGTACCTGTCGGGCCCCAACCTTGGGGGCTAACAGTTTGACTCATCATGGTGGGCTGCATCACAGAAGAAGCGTGAGCCCCGCTTGGCAGTACGGGCCGTGAAAGGGACACTCTTCAGCACTGTGGCCCAGGAGAGAGACACAGTGGTCAGGCCTCATGGGGGGTGGGGTGGGAGGAGAGCCCAAAGGGGTTAGGTTGAGCTTTGGGAGCTGGGTGCAATGGCCAGGCCCCAGGGAGTGAAAAGGGCCCCACCTGTGATGATGTCCTCGATGGTACCATCCTTCCCCTCATAAACAGGCCGGTGTTCCTTGGCCTGGCGCCGCCTCAACTCTGCTATTAACTCCTGCTGTTGCCACTTGTTCCGCTGGGATGGGGTCTAGGGCCAAGAATGTGGAGGGGAAGGAAGTCATCACTAACCTAATGTGGGACTGGTTCCTGCCCCAAGGTGCAGTCTGAGGATGCCACTGCTTGTGCACTGCTAGGAATCCCCAAAGGCCCTCCCTCCATCCCTCTGGATGCCAGCCCACTGGCCCTCTGGGTGGTCTGTCCACTCCAAGTTTTCATCTCCTCTAGCCTTCTGACCCCCAGCCCCCACTCTTTTGCCTTGTCGTCCTCCAGGCCCCAGCTCTTGGTCCCACCCACCTTGGCATCCAGTTTCTTGGCTTCCTGAGCCAGCTGCTTCTCCCGCATTACCTCCTCCTGCTTCTTGCGGGCTTCATTCTCTTGTTCTGCTTCCTAAGAGCCATGGAAGATGGGGGGTGGGGAGTGAGGCTCATAGGCTGTGAGGGGAGGGGCTGACACTGAGGTGGAGAGTGGGTGGCAGTGGGACCCGCTAACTCCAGGTGGCCACCCTCTGGAGGGGCACTTCCTGCCCCAAACAATGACAGGAAGGTCCTGGGCCCCACCCTGCCCACCAGTTCACAGCTAAGAGGCCTGTCACCAGCTTGCATCGCTCCCTTCCCAGGACTCGGAGGAGGAGTCGGAAAAGGCCCATACTTTAAGCCCAGGCTTCTCTCCCCCAGCCAGTTTTCTCGCAACCAAACTTCTTAAAAAGCTCTCTGCAGCTTACCTTGTAAGAACGAATGAATCGGACAAATACTGGGAAGAATACAGAAGGAGGTGTAGTCTTGGGACTCTCGCCAAAGTAGCGCACAACTGCATTGTAGGCCTCCTGGGGAAGGGGTGGGCAGAATGGGTCACCCTGGCAGGAAGATCAGCCCAGCTCCCACACCACGGATGAGAGGCCTGCAGAAAGCAGAGCCCAGGGCCAAAGGGAGGAAAACCAAGCACCCAGGCCCCTGTGAGCTGGAGGGAACCTGGGGCTCCCAAAGCTCCTGAGTATGAGTCTCCAGAGGCAGCTGCCTGGCACTCCCAAAGCGCTCTCTCTCCCCTACATGTCTCCAGAGGCAGCTGCCTGGCACTCCCAAAGCGCTCTCTCTCCCCTACATGTAGCCAGCCAGCTGCTTGATTTAAAAAAAAAAAAAAATAGAACTAGGGCCACCTAGAGGGGCCTGGTGCCTTGGCCCTGGTTGCTCCCACCGCCTGCACCCCGTGCTTGCCTCAGCCGTCTTGGCGTCCCGCTGGAGCTTGTCTAGTTTGCCTTCATTGGTACTGAGGAAGTTCCGGAGGACGCTGTTGTCATGGATGCTGCACTCACGCCGAATCAGCTCCATGCCCCGGCCCAGCTCCTTCACGTCCAGCAGCACGTTCTCCAGGGACACTGGTCACCAAAAGCCTGGCTGAGGAATGCCTAGGGCCTGGCATGCTCACCTCCCAGCCCAGAGCTATATCAAACTCTGGCCCTCCCCCTCAGCATGGGCTCACTCAGGTTCACATACCTGTATGGACATAAGGAAGTACACACCAAGCTAGCTGATCCCTCACAGGGGGAGGGAATGGAATGGAAACTGAGCTTGTGACCCCAAAGAACACAGTAGCAAAGGCAGGCAAGCCACAGAGACTGCTGGTCTCCAAAATGAAACTGCCTCAGGCCTGCCCTAGGGTTCATGGGTGGGGCAGAAATAACAGCTACCTCATGTCTATAGAGAGCTTTATGATTTTTTTCTAAGCACTTCACATACATCATACACAAAACACAAGACCTCTGGGGCCAGCTTGAGGGAGTTGGGAGTAAAGAGCGACTGCTCCCCTTCTTGTTCCTGCTCCCACTGTACCTAGCTGGGAAGGGCTGGGCTGGGCCAGGCCTGGCGCCTGGAGGAAGGCTCCCTCTGGAGTGGCCCCTGCTTAAGGCTCCAGCGGAAAGCTTTGAAGTGGTCAGAAAGAAGATAACAAAAGCCAGAAACAAATGGACCCAAGTGTTCTCTCTCCTCATAGCTTCCTGGGATTGTCCTGGGCTGGATGTGAGGGCAGGCCCACCCAGCCAGGCTCTCCTCACCTGCTGCAGCCTTCTCAACAAAGTGCAGCTCATGCCAGAAGTTAGCCAGGTCTGGGTATTTCTCCTTCACTGTCAAGGCGATGAAATGAAGCAGTGTCATCTTCCGGTCAGTGGACTTGGTATCCAGCAGCTAGGAGAGGGGGTGAGGGCGGTGCACAAGAGCTAAGCACTCTGGCTCCACAACTGCTGCCCCCCAGGCTTCCTGGCCCACGCTGCCCTCACCATCTTACCAGATCCAGGCTCTGGAGCTTGAAGCCATACACAGCTCCCCGCTTGCTGCTGTTCATGTAGTTCCCCAGTGCAAGTATGATCTGTCCAAAGAATGTGTGGGAGGCAGGTCAGGCTCAGGTCCTGAAGGCTCCTTCTTCCTCTCTGTATAGCCCCAGGCCCCCACCTAGGACCTGAAAACCCCCAGCACCCCTGTTCACAACCTCTTCCCACCTCCAACATCTGCTTCAGCTTCTGTGAAGACTTGACGGAAGCGGACGCCGCAATGATGGCATTGAGTTGCTGTAGGACAATATGAACACTGAAGTAACCCCAGGCTGAGATGGGGTAAAGACAGGGAGGGGTCAGAAGGACTGGAAGGGCAGGGGAGGTGACTAGCAGATGGAGGGTGGAGGGACAGCTGTCCAGAGCCATGAGTTGGGTGGGGGCTGTACCGGTGTGAGCATCTGCAGGTTATCCTGGAAGTTCCCCAGGAAGGCCATGCCAGCCATTCGCTGGGTCAACCGTTCCACCTTGCTGAAGAGCAGCATGAAGCGGTCCTCAGCTGCCAACTCCTCCAGGGGCTGCCGCTCCCGCTCATATTGCCGCAGCAGCTTTACCTCAGCCTCTGTGGGCAGGAAGCGCATCAGGCACTCCACGAAGTCCACAGGTAGTGTCTGCAAGTCAAACCTGTGGAGGAGGGAGGGACCACCTCAGTTCTCACATCTCTCCACGTTTTCCCTCATCCCTTTTATTCTCCAAGCTCCTAGAAGAACTGGACAGGGGACTGTACACGGAACACAGCCAAAGGCAAAGGACCCATTGCATCATCTGTCACAGCACCAGCAATGATCCCGGGGGAACACTCCATGCTCCTGTTTAATAAGCCCTTTGATGTACTCCCACTGTACCTAGGGTGAAGTCCAAACACCTGAGCATGGCTTACGAGGTCCAGCCTGCAAGACTTCTGCCCAACTCTCTACCTTCTCCTGCTCCTCTCCCTACACTAAAGCCAGATTCAATTTTTAGTACCCAAGGCACTATGCTTCTCCCTCCAGGCCCTGAACTGGACTAACTCATATCTTTTCTTCAGGTCCCAGTTGAGACATTACCTCCTCTGGGAAGGCTTCCCTCATTCATCACCAAGCTCAGCTACATGAACCTCCCTATTCTCCCAAAGCTGCCTGTATACTTCTACCATCCTGGTGGTATCACTCAGTGTTACTGCACTGTTCCCAATAGACTGAGAGCTCCTTGGGTGAAGGTCTGGGCTGAACTGCCAGCACAGATGCAGTAAATTCTAGCCAAGCCAGTGGATGACTAGGGGGATGTGAGGGAGTTCTGTCAGATGACCTGGAATCTAGGGAAACCCAGGCTCCTGGGTGGAGAACTGGGTTGCCAACAGACTAGGGACCAGAGCCAGGTCAGTGGGAGCCTCACGTATGAATGGCCCTGCAGATCTCCTCAGCCGAGCGGCCAGCCTTGCGTAGGGTGATGGCCAGGTTCTTGGCACGATTGGCTTCCAACAGAGTCACCTTGCTGGCAGCTTTTTGCGCTGTCTTGTTTTTGGAGCAGATGAGGTCAAGGGCAGGGCCCTGCGCTTTTGTCTTGAATAATTCTTCAAACTTATCAAGATCCAGGTCCTGGCAGGAATAGGTGAGCAAGGAAAACGCTGTAGCCTCATACTAGTGGAGGACCTCATGACAGCCCACCCAGCATTGGCCCAGAGCTCTGTCACTCTGGAATATTTCCTGAATACAAACACAAAGTGTTGACACAACTAGAAATATACGTACACTCAAGAATGAAGGGTTGGTGGAGCTAAGCCTGGCCTCACCCTGTCTGATGGCTTTTCTAAGACCAGAATCTCCTCAAAAGGCAACCAGGTCCCTAGCCCTCAACCTTAGCCCTCTGGACCCCAGGCCCTGTTACCTCCAAGATCTTCTCATCATCAAGTTCGCTGAAGACAGTGCCACTGATCTGGTTGGGTTTCAGTGCTGTCCAGTTGAAGACAGGCAGCCGGAACTTGGTCTTGATAGGTTTCTTAATTCGAATGGCTAATTTGGAAGGAGGATCAGTGACACAGGGGCCAAGGACACACACCCCTGGTCCCACCAGCCCTGCCCAGAGCCCTGGGGATACTCACCTGACAGGCCCACTGTCAACACCACAGAGGGTGCAGCACCAGGGAGAGGTGGGGCTGGGGGACACTTGTCTGGGGGAAGAAGAAATGACACAGTGACCCAGGCGTCAAGAGACTCTTCATAGGCTTCCCTCCCCTCTGCCTGTCCCACCTTCTCTGAGAGTTAAAAAAAAAAAAAACTCTCAGAGAAGGAGCCTACATGAACTCTGCTCAAGCTGCTCCCAGAAATCTAACTCTGACAGGGCAGTTGTTGCTGGTCTCTGACCCAGTTTCTATGGCTACAGTCTAAGCCTCTCCTTGGCTGTCTTCAAAGGAATTGGGAGCAACATCTTTATGATCCTTAAAACAGGTCCACATCTGCCTTTGGGCATCCCTGTGCTGATAACTTGAGCTTCCCTCAGATTCCAGGCCTCCCTCACCCTGATTTTATATCCCTCCAAGTCCTCAGATAATGCCATTTTCCCAGCTTCTCCCTGAGGAAGACACTGCTGACTACAGTTTTGGTCCCCACAAAGAGGCTGCCCCTGTTGGCTCCCAGGGGTCGTCGTGGTTACCTGGTAATGGGGGAGGTGGAGGGGGCAAGGGCGGAGCTGGTGGTGGAGGAAGAGGCAGGACCTCCTCAGGGGGTGGGGCTGGAGCCAGAAGGTCCAGGTCGGAGGGTGGCATGCCCTCACTCAGCTCTGCAGGGCCTACTCTGGCCAGGGCCTCACTGTCCACAGACTCCAGGCCCCGGACATTTGGCTCCAAATGACATCGACGCTGAAAGGCCTCCTCCTTCTCTTTAATGAGCCTCCGCAGGGTGTGCACCTGGTGGCTTGTGTTCTCATATGTCTCCTGGCAGGCAGACAGCACCATTAAGGGAAAAGTGGGCTGAAGGCATAGTCATTGCCCCAAGAGTGAGAATTCCTACCCAGGGTTCTCTTAACGAGGGTCTCTGTCAGGGTACTCAGAGGCTCAGAGTGGCAGAAACCCAGGTGGGGGAATGAGGAAGCTGGAAGGCAGCAAAACAAAAGAGGCAAGCAGAAGCTGCCTCCCTCCGCTGGCACCCTGAAGTGTCCTCTCTGCTCCAGCCAATTCTCACTGCATGGGCCCCTCAAAGCCCAGGAAAAAAGGTTGCCCCTGTGAAACTCTCCTTAATCTACCACCGGTCTGACATAGCGGCTCTCTCCATAACCCTTTGGGCCTCATTTTGCTTTAATTTCACTTGGCCTTGTATAATGGCTCAATTGGAAGCCCCCTATAAACAAGACCCTGTCTTAACCATCTCTGTATCCTCCATAGCTCCCAATACAATGCTCAGCAGAAGCTGGGCAGATACATATTGAGCTCAACAGAGCCAGCATATATTCTTCTGAAAGAGAAAGTAGGATGGGGGCATGACTTTATAATGAACAAAAAGTCAGGAGAAAATACAGAAGAGAATGAAATATGAAGAGTACCTGCCCTGCCAATTTAGGATACCTGGTGGACATCCTAATACACAGAGCACTTGGTCACTCTGCCCCTGCTCATTAAACATGGCTGGGGGAGGAACACGGGGGTAGAGGGGAGAAAAATCAATGGGATGGGCTGGTAGGAGGAGGCCTGGGTTGGAACTCCAGAATGCTTGTGGGTGCCCCAGCTGTTCCCACCCTCTTATGTGTGTGTCTGGCTCACACTGGCCCCACCTTTCCTCTCCAACTAAAAAAATGGGGTGAAATCATCAGCCCACCCACACCTGAGTACCTCAAGGGTGAATCAAGATCTAAATCCTAGAGAACTTGATATGACTCAGGGAAAAAAAGCAGAACCCCAAGGCGCTGGAGCCCAGGATCAGTCAGGGACTGCCTTCCCCAGAGTACTTGTACCTTGATGCTCTCTAGTTCCTTCTCCCGCTGTAGCAGCTGCTTCTCTAGTTCTGCCACCCGCATCATGTTTTCATTCTCTAGGTCCAGAAGCTTCTCTGTGAGCTGCACAACAGGAAGGGCAGGTTCTGTGCTGGCCCTAAAGCCTGGGCACTCAGCACAGCCTGAACCCTAGTCAAGACCTGAGTCGGACCCCTCAACACAAGGCCACAAAGGCAGCTTAGTCAGGTGGTTCCCTTATATTCCAATAACAGATACAAGACAAAGGCCACATTCTGACTGTCTCAAGACCAATGCCACCTCATGCCCAGCCCTGGAGGTCGATGTGTATTCCAACTGGTGGATGATCCAGTGGCTCAGGCCTGAGTATGCTCTTGAGAGCCCTGGTGGGTTCTAAAGCCTCCCTGGGACTCAATCTGGAGGCAAATGGGTCAGCTCAGGATTCCTGGTTACTTGAGCTTCCATCAACAGTGGCTCTGGCAGGCAAAGGAAGACCACCTACATGGGACACATGCTCCTCCAACTCCTCCACCTTCTCCAGGGCTACATTCTTGGTCTCAGCATCCTCCAACAAACCCCCGACATCAAACACGTTGTCCAGATATGCCTGAATCTGCACCTGCAGCTTCTCGCTCTCTGTGTGCCTTGACTTCTGGGGGAAGAGCAGAGAGTAGGAGTAGTTGTAGGAGCAGGCAGATCATCAGGGGAACTTTCTGAGAAAGTCTTAGTCCTCATCCCCCTTCGCCACCACTTCCCAAAGAGTTCCTGCTGCAGGCCATGTCAGATTCTCGCCCCCATGGAGCTGCCTGACTGGGGAGTTAGCTGCAGAGGTCCTGAGTCCCAGGCTACAGAAGACAGGCAGGGTCCCAGGAGCATCAAGGATTAGGCACTTATAAAAGAAAAATCATTTGTGATACGGCTAAACTGATCCCAAAGCACCTCACCTTACAAGGACCCCAGCCAGCTCACCTGCAGGAACTCCTCTAGCCCCAGCTTGGTAAACTCATACTGCAGGTGGACCCGGAAGTTCATGTCCTCCACCGAGTGCACCACGATGTTGATGAACTGCATGCAGGCCACCTGAAGAAGAGGAGGCCCAGAGAAGCAGCAACAGGAAGGGCAGAGGAAAGGCAAGAGACCAGGAGGATAGGCGGCTGTTAGAATATCATCATCATGTGGATAATTACAGGGAGTCAATTAAAGAGTTAAGTCTTTATGGGGGCAATAAGAGTATTTTAATTTTAAAAATGTCATTTAATATTCAGTGTATAAAGACAAGTAAATTACATGAAAAACAGATGTAAGTGAAGATATAGCTATCTGATTTCCTTTGTACATCAACAGGTATTCCTCGAGACAACCTTACCTAGCCAAAGACCCTGCAGTGAGGGGAAGAGAAGCTAGAGGAAGAGCTTAGGAAAGGGAGGGCAGCTCAAAAAGGATCCAATTCAAGGACAAAAAGGCCACAGAAAAGAGGAAAAGGAGGTAGATCTGATATACACAAATGATATCCTGAAGTTTCTAAGAGCTCTCTGGGGTAGGCAGGTGGACAAGAAGCATTTGCTGAATAGAATCATTCTGGGCTCTACGTGGAATATCAAGATACGCTGTTGGCCTCACCCCTGTTGTCAAGGAACACACACACAGCCCTGGTGGGTATGTGCTGGACCCAGGCCCAGTTCCTCACCATGAAGTCAATATTGCTGTCCTCATTCCGGAAATACTCCATCAGCTTCTCAAAGCGGTGCAGCTCCTTGCATACCTGAATGAGCAAACTTTCTCAGTGAAAGGATCTGCTCCATGCAGAACCCAAGCCCCTGCGCTCTGGCTCCTAGGAACATCATGGCAAAGGACTGGTTCAGACCAAGCTTAACCACAGCTCTATATATGAAATAGGCCATTCTGGACACTATAAAAGAAAACCTGGGGCCAGGCGCGGTGGCTCACACCTATAATCCCAGCACTTTGGGAGGCCGAGATGGGCACATCACCTGAGGTTAGGAGTTCAAGAACAGCCTGGGCAACATGGTGAAACCCCATCTCTACTCAAAATACAAAAATTAGCCGGGCATGGTGGCACATGCCTGTAGTCCCAGCTACTTGGGAGGCAGAGGCAGAAGAATCGCTTGAACCTGGGAGGTGGAAGTTGCAGTGAGCTGAGATTGTGCCACTGCACTCCAGCCTGGCCACAGAGTGAGACTCCATCTCAAAAAAGAAAATAAAGAAAACTGGGACCTGCAATCTGGCTCTGGGTCTGTGGTCCCCCACCAAATTGCTGAGGGAATTCAGTAAAGCCTGTGCCCTTAAGCTGGGCTTTAGGTGCCTCTGGGGATAGGCCAAGAAGAAACATAGGGGTCTGATGCTGCCAAGTTACTAAAGGAAGGAGGGAAAGAAGGAGGAAGGGAGGAAGGCCATGCCTGAGACAGGAGGCTGCAGTCCTAGTGGGGATGCAGGGGAAGGGCCAGTGTACAGGAAAGCCCTCTCTGAGAGGGGTCTAGAGGCTCCTCTGAGCCTCTGGGCTTCAAGGAGGAAGAGCCATTTCCTGGCTTGAACAATGGATGCTAGGGAAGAGGTCCAAAGAAGAGGAAGGGGTGGGACCACCAGCTGTGGCTGGATGTCGAAGAATCCTATGTTCAAGTAGATAGGGGTTTCAGAGGCAGGCCCAGGGGCTGGGGGAAATTCCACACAGGAGTTCCTTCTCCCCTCACCAATAACAGCCAACAAATCAGGAGACATCCTTGCTTACCTTCTCCTCCCATTTCAAAACACATGTGCTTTGGGTTCTACCAATGGGTTCACCGCATCAGACTCCCATCTGGGGAGTCACTTAAGTACATATACTCAGGCCTCCAGTGGGTCTGAACTAGAGCACAGGGATCTGTACTTTTAACAAGCTCCTTAGGTGATTTGGATGCAGGGCCCAACTAGGACCATTGGACTATAGCCCTCAGCTAGCTGAGGGTATCTTTAGCTGGCCAATCAGGAGGTTTCCTGGCCTGAAGATCTAGTAAGACTAAAGTTCTGGTTTTAAAAATACTGGGAGTTCAGGAGAGAGGCTGCTTGGCCAAGCATTGGGATGTTAAAAATCATTGCAGATCACAGGAAATGGTGCTTACCAACCTAGCTCCCTGCCTTCTCCCCCGCAAACACACACACACACACGCGAAGCGAAAAGACTGACCTCTTTGAAATTGTCAAAGGCAGCAAGGATGATTTCGTGACCTCCTCGCACCAAACACACAGCTGCCAGAAGCTCTAAGACAAGGGCTTTGGTCCTAAGGGGTGAAGAAGGAAGATTAACACCCTAACTCCCCATCCTGACAACCACACAGCTCATTTCCCTGACTGGGTAAGTCCTTTTGGAGAGTGGAGAAAGCCTCAGTGGTGAGGAGAGAGGGTGGGAGAAAGAGGGCTTGCTCCCTTACTAAGCTGTGTAGACCAGAGGAGAGCCAGGGACACTTCTCTTCCAGCAGAGGAGGGGGCCAAACCAAGGCTCTTGACAGGACTCCAAGGCCAGGCAGAACTTGTCAGGAATACATGGAGTACAGATCTCCAGAGCCCTGGACAGAGTGGGGAGGAAAGGGGAGGGAAGGAACTCACCTTGGATTCTTGTTATTGAGGCTAAGTGCAATCTCATTGACAGCATGGGGGTGGGACATGACCAGGTTGAATCCGTACTGCAAGGGAAAGGACAGAAGGAGGGGACCTTGATGGTGGGGAAGGGGGAGCCCAGCCAATCTCCTTGACCGTAGGCCCACCAGCAAACCTGTCTTTTATAAGCTGATGCCCTCCTAGCTCTCCTGGTTTTGCAGATGAGGCAGAAGAAGTAGAGCACCTATGGCTAGTGCTTCCCCCTTACCTGATAGTTCATGATGGCTCTGAGACAAAGGATACAGACGTGGACGTCATCCTTCTGGCTCACTAGGCGGGAGTTCTTCAGGGCCCTGCGCCCAGGGAGAGTGCTATACCTGGGGAGATGGGCCAGGCAGTCAGGTGGGAGCTGAGGCTGCCAGTGAAGCATCTAGGGACACTCACCATCACCCGGACAGCAGGCTGCCCCTTAGCAGTGGCAAAAAATAGGGAATAGCACCTCGTACCAACAGCCAAGAGGGACAGGGTGCAGGAGGCAGGGTGGTCAGCCTGTTTTCACCTCCTTAAACAGG
This sequence comes from Homo sapiens, assembly GCF_000001405.40. Taxonomy (NCBI): domain Eukaryota; kingdom Metazoa; phylum Chordata; class Mammalia; order Primates; family Hominidae; genus Homo; species Homo sapiens. The sequence continues at coordinate 49,657,386 of NC_000012.12, forward strand.
CCTTTGTCAGCAACTATTCAGGATCCCGGTTTTATAACCAGTGCCCCAACCCTAGAGATCCTTCAAAATACAAATAGTAGTTGTGTAGGCCTTCCTAGTCCCTGAGATGGCTCCAGAGACACAGTCATTTGAGCATTCCCTCCACCCACTTCCAGTTGCTGCACCTTCTGCACAATCTGTGGGACAAGAGCGTCATGGCTCCCATCCCACTTCTGTATCACAGAAAAGGCAGAGCTGACCCCTAAAGGCTTCAGCTGGGCCACAGGGCTATGTCTGGCTTTGCACCACCCCTCCACCCTCTCAGTGATGTTTCATGGAAAAGGGAGGAGACACATACAGTATCTGCTCATCCATGACAAGAATAATCAACAGTGTCCAAGGGACACAACCCAAAGGAGACTAGGAGGAAAGCATGGCCACAAGAGAGACAGAAACCAAGGAAAGGGCCATGGGACCCAAAGGAAAGCCTCCCAGAGTAGGAAGGGGCTCTGAGAAGTCATCCAGTCCATCCGCCTACCTCCAGGCAGGGCGGCTCTTAAGACACCGCAGACAAATGAGCATGTGGCAGCCTCAGAGAGAAAGGCCTGAAGGAAGAGGTGAAGGGAATGCAAGGGGCAGCCAGGTTGGGTGGGAGCTGGTCTCCAAGCAGCTAAAGGGGCAGAGTGAAGAACTAGAGGGAAACAGAATGAGAGTAGGAGCTGGATCACCCAGTGAAGGCCATGGACCTGTATGAGATGTGCCCTGCTCAAGAGACCCAGGAGGAATGGCAGAGTGAGAGGAATGAAGGGCTCCCCCAGAGAGGGGTGAGGAATGGGGAGAGCTGGAACCCCACGTTGGGTAAGTGCAGCTGAGACCATGTACTTACCCAGGACAGACCGCTGGGCAGAGTCAAGGAGACAGAGAAGACAGACCAGAGACAGACTGGCAGGCAGAGGGCAAGAGAGCTGAGCCTGGAAGCAAGAGTGGAGGGAGGAGCATGAGCACTCACTGCTGAACCCGAGACCTGCACTGAAGGGTAGGGTGGGAGGCAGGTGGGCAGAGCAAAAGCACACATACCGGAGCACAGACTGGCGCGCAGAGCGAGCGAGGCTGTTGGTGAAGGGGGCCGACAGGGCGCTGGGTGGCTGCAGGTCCTCGATTGACCTGCTCCAGGACCGGAGTTTGTCAAATGCACCATCGTCACCACTTTCCAGACCCTCAAAGTCAAACCTGGAGCATGAAAGGACACACATGCGCATACACAGGCACATACACAGGAGAAATTCAGTGCCAAGGCCCCCCGTGAGCCCACCCCCACCCTTCAGGCCTCTAGGGCAACAAGCAGCAGGGGTAGCAAGGAGAGAAAGCAGAACTGGGGAGCAGAGACCTGATCCTAGCTGGAAGAGCCACTAACACAGAACAGCGGCAGAAGCAGCACAGGCAGCAACAAGGAGGGCAGTCTAAGGAGATGGGAAGCTGATGGAGGCCAACTCCTCTGCTCCCCACTAGCCAGGAAATTCCAGAAGGAGTGTCCTCCCCATGGGCCACTCGGGAGCTGGCAGTCTTTCTGCACTCCCAGCTTAGTTGGGACATCTCCGGGAAGCTGTGGCTCCCCATGAAGAATCTGCCCCATAGAGGGAATGGTGGGGAATGAGCCAACTGCAGGTCTTGCTAGCTGGCAAATGCCAGCAACCAAAGGGCCCTTCAGTGCTTTGAAGGAGTCCAGTTGATTCTGGATGGCAGGACTAAATGGAAGGGAAAGGGGGTTCTGGCAAACCCAGAGTGGGACAGTCCTTTATTGTTTGGAGGAGCACCACTGCCCCATCTTAGCACTGGGTTTTAATGACCAGGTTCTCTATGGTTCTGGCTACTTGAGGTTTCTAGGTTTTTCAGGTATACAGGCTCCCTGGGCTTCAGTTTCCCTGGGGGAAGAAATTACAAGTTGAGATTGTAGACCAGGGTCCTGTAGTATAGCCTCTGCAGGAGTTGAATGGTTTGTCACTTTCTGCTCCTGGAACAGATGTCTTCCACCATCAGCAATTATTATTATTATTATTTTTTAAAGAGACAGGGTCTCACTCTGTGGCCCAGGCTGGAATACAGTGGCACAGTCATGGCTCACTGTAACCTCTAACTCCTGGGCTTAAGCAATCCTCCAGCCTCAGCCTCCCGAGTAGCTGGGACTACAGGTGCGTGCCACCATGCCTGGCTAATTTTTTAAAATTTTCTTGTAGAGATGGAGTCTTGCTATGTTACCCAGTCTGGTCTTAAAACTCCTGGGCTCAAGCAATCTCTCATCTTGGCCTCCCAAAGCTCTGGGATTACATGTGTGAGCCACTGCACCCAGCGACCGTCAGCAGTTTGTCAATGTGGCCAGGACAAGGAAGATGGCCAAGATCACAAACTCACAGGGACTCCTCTCTTATCATCCTCACTTCAGGATATACCCCTCTGAGAAACAGTCCCTCTCCTCCTTCTTGTCCTCTTCCTCCATGTAGGTCATTAAAGACTAAGGGAGCATCTCTTACAGGTTCTTCTCCCCCAAGAAGCATTCTGCTCAGACATGGGGTCAAAGGCACAGAGGTTGAGGCTTTCTGGAATAGGAAGGGATATTTACAGACGTCAGAATGTTCCAAAGGAAGTGGGAGCAGGCTTTAGTGTCCTCATGATCAGGAGGTGTTTAATGGGGCTCTCAAGTAGACATCAGAGGAACCTCCTGACAGGGAAACAGCTTGCTGATTCCATCAGTAACACTGTATCCTCTTGTACTGGTATATGCAGTTTACAAACAATTATCTTCACTCCAACTCTATTTAGCCTCACCCTTTCCCTCTCAATCCTTCCTAAAACACACATTCTCTCCCCCACACAAAGTCCTTCTTTTTTAAAAACAGAGTCAAAGGTATTGCCATGGACACTACAATACTGAGGTTCCAGGGTACTCTTGGTTTAGGGTGGCTGGAATTTGTTTGCTTTTCAAGTAAGAGAGAGAGGCTTATTTGGAAAAATGAGCTACATTTTTTACTATAAAAGCTCTGAATTTTTTAAGAAAAATTATTTCACCAAATGTTTTTCATTTCTTTCTATAAAAAGAATTTTTTTTAGGAGATAAGAGAATCACACGAGGTATGACTTCTGCTGAGACAAGAATGCAGTGGGCCACTCTTGGTTTTAACAGGATAACCTGGAAAAGGTGAGAGGCGCCGAACATAGAAGAAGCATCAAATTCCTAAGGGGATGACACTGAAGACCTGCTGGACAAAGAAGAATGGCCAAGGGGGCAAGGACAGTAGTTAGAAAAGTGGAAGCTGGTTGGGAGCAGCGGCTCACGCCTGCAATCCCAGCACTTTGGAAGGCCAAAGCAGGGTGGATCGCTTGAGCCCAGGAGTTCGAGGCCAGCCTGGGCAGCATGGTGAAACCCCGTCCCTACTAAAAACACACAAAAAGTTAGCTAAGCATGGTGGTATACACCTGTGGTCCCAGCTACTCAGCAAGGCTGAGGCAGGACTGAGGCAGGAAGACTGCTTGAGCCCAGGAAGTCAAGCCTGTGGTGAGCCAAGATCGTGCCACTGCACTCCAGCCTGGGCAACTGAGCAAGACCCTGTCTCAAAAAAATGTCAGGGCTAAGTCCTAGGATGGAGGAGTTTCCTGGGACGCTGGGGAAAACTAGGGAAAGTTATGGGCAAACTGGGAAGATTGGTCTCCCTAAGGCTGACCTGTCTTAGGTGTAAGTCTAAATGTGTTGGTCATTATGTTTATTATGTAATTTCATATATTCAGGTAATTGTGGTAGGGTATGCCACTTTAAATAATAATAATGAAATTAACAATAGATCTGCTACCACAATACAGACCCGGTATGTTCCAAATAATACTAAGTGCTTTAACACACGTTATCATCTAATTTTCACAACAACCCTGGAATGTGGATCTCCTTTCATAGAAGAAGACACAAACTTGCTTTGAAGTCACACAGATAGTAAATAACAGAACTGAAACCCAAACCCAGCTTTGTCTGACTCAAGAGCTCTCATTCCTTCCACTATACCAGGCCGCCTTTTCTGTGCTAACTCACTTCTGGCTGCCTCCAAGCCCCCCTGCCTGCTAGAAAAAGACTCCTGAATACTTCATTTTTCTATCCAGGTCAAAAGGAACTCACTGTTCCTGGGTTCTTCAACAATGACCTGGAGTAACCTTCTCACATCTGGAAACCCAAAGTTGCTTCTGGAAGACTCAACTCTGCAAAGATGAATGGATCCCACCAAGGCATCTCTACCAGAAGCCAGGACATTTCCCTGGATTGCTCACAGCTTGGCATTTGGATGCCTTGGGTTCTGATTCCAAGCTCCCTTTCCATCTCTCTGTCCTGTTCTCCAAAATGCATCTTATCTTCTACTCCAGCCAAGTGCCATTCTTCACTGATCCCCAGACATCTCCGGGCTTGCCTGCCTACTTCCACACCACTGCTTGGGCTACTCCTTCCTGTCCAGGATTCCCATTTCCATCTTCATTGTTGAACTCTCACCCTTCCTTATCAAAGTAGAATGGAACTATGTCCTCCCCCAACTGGTCCCCAACTTCAGCCCCGGGGTGGTACTCACATGACAGAACACTGGGCAAAGGACAGGTAATCCACCAGTACATCCAGGCCTTTGTTTTCATCATTCAGAAATTCCCGCACCCACCTGCAGATAAAGGAAACACAGTGGAAGGGGTCTGCTAAAAGTGGGTCAAGGATGAGGGGGGTGACATGCCTCTGACCCAACACCTCCTCCTCCTGGAACCCAGCACCAGGCTAAGAAAATTCTGAAGATCAAAACCCATGACAGACCCATCCACGGTCATGGACTTCCCCTAGGCAGGGAAGTCAGGGATGGGGAAAGTTCAGGCCCTTCTAATGCCACTTGCTTTATCGTGAAGGTGCTTCAGACAAACAAGCTCTCAGGTACTCCCTCCTTAAGGGCCAGACCCTGGCTCAATTATTTTCTGCATCCCTCCACATGTCCTTGCTCAGTGTTTGTTGGAAGAATTTAGGAAGCATCAAGAGCATTTACTACAGGCCCGTGTGCAGAGTTGTGCTTGACCGAAGCCAGCAAGTCTCCAACTTGACTGAAGCCTCAGTCAAGACCCCAGCAGGAAGGGTCAAGGAGAGCTCTGGAACAGAGGCATCCTGGGGCAAAGCACTCTCTACTAAGTTTAAGGAGAGGAGTTTTAGAAAGCAGTGAGCAGAGATGTATAGAAGTTCTGTATTTAGTCATGTTGAGTTTGGCAGAACCAGAAAAAGCATGGGAGATGAACAGGAACTCAAGGAACTCCAGGATGTCTATGACCACTCAGAGTCAACCTGAGTACGTGGGTCCCCCTCAGCCAGGAAGGTAGACAACAAAGCACCTAAGGACCATATCCCAGGGCATTATTTTCCCTTCTGCTTTCAGTTCTTTTGGGCTGAGATATTCCTGGAATGAAAGTCAAGGGCAAATCTAGGGAACTGTTATATGACAGGTTCATTCCATAGCAGAAACATAAAACGCTCAGGATGAAACCCTAATCTAGAGTGCTCTACTCCTTCAGAATTTCTGGGGGTCTTTATAGGAAAGCTCCTCCCAAACTGCCCTGCGGGGCCTTTCTCCCCAACAGCTGGAAAACCAGTGCCATGTTGGCCAGCCACACCCCAAACTACAGAGAGACTCTGGAGCTACAACACCAGGCCCAGCTGAGATTAGGCAGCAGGCTCTGGCTGAAGCTGACTGACACCGGAGCTGCCTGAAGTTAGCTTCCTCTCTGGGGGCCAACAGGCCTCCCGTTTCCTGTCTGTCTGCTCTCCAGCTCCCCACCCCCTTCTCATTTCCTGTCTGAGTCTATACTGCTATTTCGGGATCTTGACACTTTGAGGAGAGGTTAAAGGGTGCTTAGGCAAGGCACAGAAACCAATACAAACCAGGGAAAGAGGAGCTGGAGAGGCTCTGGAATCCCACTTCCCAGCCTATCCCTCTCCAGAACCTGAGTTCCCATCTGCTGCTCCTGCACACCCAACTTCTGCAAGCCCTGGGGCTGATCAGGCTGTGACCAAAGCAGGATCCTCCTCTCCCCACCTTGCCCTGGGTTCCTGCCACCCTGAAGCACCCACAATCTGACAAACTCTTCCTGCCCAGAAATCCAGGAAGGATCTTGGTCCTTCCACATAACTCTACCCAGAGAAGCCGCAGTTCAGATGGCAGGCATGCCTAAAATGCCAGGCACTGAGCTATTCCCTGGGAACAAAGGACCAGGTCCAGGACCTCTAACTTGTGTGCCAACTGCCAAGAGGCCCCAGGCCTGGGAACCACGCTGCTTTGGACATAGCTCCTGGCCAGCAGCCAGAGGGGCAGGCACCAGGTAGAGGGGGCAGGCAGCAGGGACTATCATAAACTGCTCTGTGGCCTTCTCCCAATAAAAGCACACCCCTATCCTCAGATGACTACAGCAAGACTTAATCAAGAAAACAAGGCTAGGTACTAGTGGCTCCACTTTGGGATCCTCAAGGAGGATCACTTGAGCCTAGGAGTTCAAGACCAGCCTAGGCAACTATCTCTACTAAATTTTTTTTTTTAAGTGGCCAGGCAGGCCAGGCACGGTGGCTCACATCTGTAATCCCAGCACTTTGAAAGGCCAAGACAGGCAGATCACTTGAGCCCATGAGTTTGAGACCGCCTGACCAACATGGTGAAACCTCATCTCTACTAAAAATACAAAAATTAGCTGGGCGTGGTGGTACACGCCTGTAGTCCCAGCTATTCGGAAGGCAGAGGCAGAATGGCTTGAGCCTGGGAGGCAGAGGTTGCAGTGAGCCAAGATGGCGCCTGGGCGACAGAGCTAGACTCCATCTCAAAATATAAATAAATAAATAAAATAAAATGGCCAGGCATGGGTGTGTGCCTGTGCTCCCAGCTACTTGGGAGGCTGGGATAGGAGGATCACTTGAGCCCTGGAAGTTGAGGCTGCAGTGAGTCATGATCATGTCACTGTACTTTATCCTGGGCAACAGAGCAAGACCCTGTCTTAAAAAACAAATAAACAAAAAGAAGACAGAAGGGCTGAGAGGGACAGAAGGGACCTATGGAGGAATGCGGAGTGGTAGGGGGCTCAGGGTGGCAGGTAGCACTCAGGGTTGCCATCGGTGTCCTTCTTGCCCTCACACACAGGGGTACTAAGCAGCCCCTGCCACTTTGTCCTTCAGTCAGTGAAGTCAGTGAAGGACTGACCAAACAAAGGAAGAGGCTTGGCCACACCTTTCTCAGCAGCTTGACTTTCAATGTCTGATTCACAGATGAGGTACAGAAGCCATACTCTGGCCACCAGAGCACAGTTACTGAGGCCAGGAACCATCCCTTTCCTGTTCTCTCCTGTGCTGTTTCCCTTGTGATTGCTGCTACAGCTGGCTACACACAGGTGTCCCCTCCCTCTAAAGAATCCTGGGAAGGCTTGCCCTGGGGGCGGATGAGGGCTGCTGCTACAACAGGAGGGGAAAGGCTAATGATGTCATTTGGCTGTCTCTAACCCCCTGTCAGGAAGCCTGGGCACCCCACCCCCACCTGGGCCTCCACTGCTCACTCATAAGCACTGGACATTTGTGCCAGGCCCTCCCATCAGGTCTATACCCCTGCCTGCAGTTCTACATCACGTGTCCCTCACTGTCCTTTTGCATAAGCACACATACGCACACATATACACACTTTCTCTCTCTCTCTCTCACTTTCATATACCTTTGCATATACCTTTGCTGATTACAGTTTCGTAACACTGAGGCCAATACCCTCTTTCACTGTACCTTACACATTAGCTCTTTGCTTGTTCAGCAATTCCTGGTTTCCCACTCAGGGACTGGAAAAAAAAAAAAAAGACTCACACAGTTCCTAAGGGCCCTATCAATGTGTTGGGGACACCAGGGTCTGTGAATATAGAAAACATTCAGCTCCTGCCCCCAGTGCCTTACATCTTTCCTGGTGCTTAAGGAAGCTTCTGCTCATGAACTAAGATTATCTTCTCCCAAACAAGCAAATAAACTTCCAGGCACCAAAAAGTCCAAATAGTCACCGAATGGGAACTAGGTCTCAGCTACCCAATATAGTATGTTCTCCCCACCCTCAGCCTTCTCTGAGCCTCGCTTGGCCCAGCACCAGGCCACAGGCAGACTCCAGTCTCAACTGCTGTGGGAATGTCTTCCACTCAAAGCCACAGGCAGAGGACCCCAGGAGAGGCCTCAAGCTTGCCAGAAACATCTAGTCAGCAGCTGGCAGAGCTGAGGGGGTAGAAAAGCCAGTAAAGAACCAGTCCAAAGCTCTGGGGAGCCAGAAGCCATTCAAGGGGCAACTCTGCCCCATGGCAGGGAAGATGAACAGGAACACCATCCTCAGAGGACACCAGACCCTGTGTGCCCAGCCAGCAGCCTGGGGCCAGATGAAGAGGCTATACGGCCAATCCAACTCACCCAATGTGGTTGGTGCGAAGAGAGATCTCCAGCTCCCTTAGTACTTTGGTTGACTCCTGCACCCTCCTCCTGAACTTCTGTAAAAAGGGTAGGAAAGGAAGGGAATACAAGAGGGCAGTTATAGACTTTCCCTCCATTACTGGCCAGCCATTCCAGGCCCTTGGCCACAGAACCCTGAAATCCAACTCCCAATGCTCAGAAACAGATGTCCAATATCCAAGTCAAAGGGTTTGCCCCCAAACCCCACAGGACTATAAAGGGTGGCAAGACGGGGACTCTCTGCCTCATACTTCACCTTCCGAGTTACACTGGGGTCCAAGAAGCTCTGGAGTTTCTGAATGTAAGTGTGGGGAGGATTCTTCACCTGGAATCGTTCCTGTAAGGGAAACATGCATATGCGTATCCACAAAGACAACCAGAGACCTGAGGAGGGCACTGAGGAAGAAGAGCATTCATAGTGTTCAGTGTGAGGGGGACTCAGCCTCTCCAAGTTGTCACCTGGCTCTAGATATCACCTAAACTTGAGGTTCCCTTCCTTGACTTATCCCCAGGTGTTACCACCTGTTGCCATCTCCTCCTCCTCCAATTAGTGCTCCCTGAGCCTAAAATGTTTTTCTATGTCAAAAAGTATTTTAAAAGTGTGCTGCTTGCTACAAAGATGTTGGGGATTACAGAGTTGTGAACAGCACCCAAAATAAAGATATAATTGATTGCGCTTGGGAGGTCGAGGCAGGGGGACTGCTTGAGGCCAGGAGTTTGAGAATAGTCTGGATAACATAGGAAGACTCTGTCTCTACAAAAAAAACTTTAAAAAATTAGCCAGGCATGGTGGCTACCACATGCCTGTAGCCCTGGCTACTTAGGCTGAGGTGGGAGGATCCCTTGAGCCCCGGAGTTTGAGGCTACAGTAAGATATGATCATGCCATTGCACTCCAGCCTGGGCAACAGAGTGTGATCCCTCTCTAAAAAAAAAATTAAAAAAAGATATGATTGGGAAATGCTGTTCACTGCCTGGCCAACTAATGGATATGGGTTAGGAAGGCCAAGGGGAGAGGAGCTTGGCTTTGTAGAATCCAACTTTCTCAGCAATGAACTCTGCAGTTGGGACTGGAATGGTTTTGCTGAGCTGACACAGCTCAGGGCTGCAAACACTGCTCCTTGCCCAGACTCCCAACAATCCAAAGCAACCTCAAATACTGAAGGCTGCATTCAGCAAGGTCATCCCTCGATTCCCTTCTACCTAGGACCTGGGACCACGTCCTACTTTAGGCCAACCCCTTCATCTGACCCAAAAAGAAACTCAGGGAGTACCCCTTAGCATTCTGGTCCTATTAGAGCTGCCACCACCAAGATATCTGAAGAGCTGGTGGGTGGAGGGGCTGAAAAATGTCCAGGAGAATGATATAATGTTAGAGAGTAGGACCTAAAAACAAATCAAAGAAAAAAACGAAAGGTGTGAGAAACAGCTGAAATTATCTGACCTAGGAAAGACTGAGAGATCAATTAAAGACCCTCAATATCAAAGGGTTACTGTTCTCCAAACCCCAAGCAGGTGCTAACCAACTCCTCTTAATGCAGAACACAAGGATATGGACCTTTGTTGGAGAAGGGACTTGGACTAAGATCTCTGAAGCATACTACTAGCTTACGTCAAGCAGCATGACCTGGGGAGGCAGTGGAACAGAACAGTTAACACAGACTTGGCATCTGCTTGCCTGAGCTCAGCCCTGGCTTCATCACCTACTAGCATTAGGCAAGTTACTGAGCCTTGGGTTCTTCATCTATAAAATGCCAACACTGCCTTCCTCAGAGGGTTCTGTGATGATTAAATGAGATACTTCAGTGTGTTGAGTACTTGGTCCATAACAAGCACTCAATAAATGTTACCTATTATTATTTCACCCAGAGCCTGAAAAGAAATAATAAAATTGTACATGGCAAAGTGCTGGGTAAACACACTACCCACACTGCCAGATACTTCCATCTCTACCAAGATGTAAAAAGGTAAAAGCCAACTCTCCCAGCCCTGCATACAGTCCTGTCTCATTTCACAGACTCGTGACTCATGATCTTCAAATGCATGCAAGGGAAAGAGCCAGGTCATATGTGTTAGAAGACTCTCAACTCTGAGCAAAGTAATGATTTCTATTCTCTTCCAGCTCTCAACACTGTTCATGCAGAGAGAGTTTCCAGACCTTGACTCTTCTGAGATTTGGGAACAAAAGACTAGAGTCTGGGGCTTCTCATTCCTAGAGGCCCTGAGATAATGAGAAAGACCCTGCTATTTGCCAGGGCTAAGACAGAGTGAGAGATCAACAGTCCTTTGAGCACCCTACCGGGCATAGCCCTGAACCTGCACAGCCAATCCTATACCCCTGATCTACACAAATCCCCTTATACTATTGCCCATTGGAAGAAATCAAGACAGCTCTTTGTGGGAGCTAGAGGGGAACTTGGCCTGCCAGCTCTGTCTCTGTTATGAGAATCCTCTTGGAAAAGAAAGTGAACACAGATGAGGCCAAGCTTAGGCCAGGGTTCCTCAAGGAACCCAAGGCTGCACTCAATGCCTTTGGCCCCACAGCCTTAGCCAGCCCAAGACACAACTCCCTACCTCCCTCCTCTTTCCCAAACCCCATACCTGGTCACAGATCAGATCCCATTTCTTCTCATTGTCATACTGCCGCAGGAGCCGGGCCTTGTCTGGAGGCAGGTTCATGGAGCTCTGAGGAGAGAACCTGAGTCAACAAGGCTGAAACCTCCCCTCATCTGGAAAAGAGAAAGACTAGACTGCCCACACCTTTCTGCTACTGGGCCCTCAGACTTCACCCTGACACTCCATCGCTGATAAGGCAGGCTTGGAAAGGTAGAACAGTCCTCCAGCCTCCCCTTCATGTTTGGTTGAGCAATGTTTTCCAAACCACTGGTAGTAGAATCAATTTAATCAGTCAAAATTAACTCTATTTTAAATGAAAACGAGCTGATTAAAATAGGATAGAAGATACCAGAATTCGGAAGTATAAATAATGTTTTGTGAAGCTTTAGTTTCTTTTCTATTTTATGTATATAAACAAATATGTCATATACATACATCATACCATAAAATGTGACGGGAACATGAGATGGGTCAAAAAATTTGAAAACCCACCAGGTTAAAGCAGCAATTTTTTTCAGTTTGCTTTTCCCCCATAACCTGAGAGATGGGCAACTTGCCTACAACATCCATTCCCATGGGCAAATCCTGAGCCACCCACAACCTATGTAGATGCTATAACTGTGACCCTCTTGCCCATATCAGCACACAAGTGAATGAGAAGAACATTAGCATGAAGATAACTGCTTAAATTTTTTTGGAAAAGAATTTTTAGGCAAAAATTCACAAAAGTACCAGACTTTAATTGTTAGTAGCAAATTTCTTATGAAACACCTCCCAATTAATTAAGACACAGCAAAGCACCCTAACCCCTTGGCAAGCCACTCTAATACAGGCTATTTGAAGGACAGACCAGGAATCATTTTATCTTGTTCACCACTGTTTGGTGACTGAATAAGGTACGAGAGAATGAGTGAGTGAAGCCTAAGGACTTCATCCATGGACTAGCCCTACCCATGCTAGGAGGCTACGTTCCCTACCTTTATCCCCATTCAGTCAAACCTTTCTTCTCATCAGTCTGGCTGTCTTTGTTCCAGGTCACAGCCCTTACCTCTAAAGGCAGTCTGGGCCAGATGCAGTAGCTCACACCTGTAATCCCAGCACTTTGGGAGGCCGAGGTGGGCGGATCACTTGAGGCCAGGTGTTCAAGACCAACCTGGCCAACATTGCAAAATCCCATCTCTACCAAAAATACAAAAATTAGATGGGTGCAGTAGCGCACACCTGTAATCCCAGCTACTCAGGTTGCCAAGGCACAAGAATTGCTTGAACCTGGGAGGTGGAGGTTGCAGTGAGCCAAGATCACGCCACTGCACTCCAGCCTGGGCAACAGAGAAAGATTCTATCTCAACAAAACAAAACAAAACAAAACAAAACAAAACAAAACAAAACACACAAACAAAAAAGAATAAAGGCAGTCTGACACTTTAATCAGACCACTGTACCTGCTCCCTCGTAATCTTGAATCAAATATGATCGCCTACCCAAAGTGTCGCAGCTGCGTGATCACCCATGTGACTTCCCACAAATTCAGCTTCTTCTTAAGCATAGTGCCAGCCACCTAGAAGGCTGCCTCTCATCTTTCTCTCCTTTAACTACTGTCCAGGTTCAGCTCTAACTCCCTGGTAACCCAAGCATGACCACTTCATTTACCTCTGCCCAATTCTTGGCATCCTCATCCCTGGGGACATGAACTGTGTGCATCCAGGGTCCCTGAGGAGTCACATAGGCCCTGCATTATTCCAGAAGAGGCAAACAAATCCTAGAAGGAGGTCCTCTAACTTTCGATGGAACCAAAAGAAAATCCCAAACATTTATTCTGTCATATTATCTATTTATTATAAACATAACTCAGATATACTCCTAAACCAGCTGTATACTCATCTAGCCCCTAAAGTGCTGTGTCTATTTTCACCATCTCCAGCTCCCAATATGCATCTAGTGGGGGCAGTAAGGTGATAATAAACTTATGTGGAAGAGGTCCCAGGTCTGAGCTACAAGCCCAGCTACTGGCTGGAAACGAGGTCACTATAGCTCAAAAAGGAAGTAGGGTTGAAGTCTTCAGTTGGAATTTATACATGGAAGAATTTAGGACCAAAGAAGTGGGGCAGGTGAGAGAAACAAAGAAGGGGAAGAAAGCCCCACATCATACCTCTCCCCATGGTTCCTGCTGCACTATGCATCTGCCTGAACTTCCACAGGAAAGTGAGGCTGAGTCCTCCTCACAGTCTATGTAGGATGGATGGCAAGATGGTCAAACACAAGCCTGGAATGTTCTCTCTGAAACTACTTTGTTAAGGCCAATCTCAGCATACCCGTGTGGACAGCAGGACAGGAGCAAGAGGCCTCAACAAAACAAGGACTCAAGGTCAACCCAGAGTAGATCTCCTAACTCAGCCTAACTGTGGCCAGGCTGCTGCCAGATGAACTCAAGACAGAACTGAGCAGAAATAGTCCTCAGGACTGGCCCTGGCTCTGTGCATATCCTAAACACATCGCTGCCATCTGACCATTTCTCCTAAGTCTGTGCCATGAAAATAGTTTTCTGTTGTCTCCCCTGGAAGAAAGCTGCTGGAATGGAGGAGGGGGCAGCCTGTCACTGCTGTGGCAGACATCACATCCTGTCTATGCCAACTTCCTCCCTCAGCCACCCACTGTCAGCAGCTGTGGCTCATACTTCTCCACCAGGTGAACTGATGAGGAAACACTTGGTCCCCTCGGTTTGAAAAACTGGGCAAAGTCACCCCCTTGGGGAGTCCTGGCCTAAGAGCATGGAAGAGGCACAGCAGGGACCTGGTCAAACTCTAGATCCCCAGGAAGGAATGATCCCAAAGTATGGAAACGGGTGGTAGAGGCATGAAGTAGGTCTGACCATAGCCATATCCTCCTGTCTTGAGCTTTGGGTGGCACTTTCTTGACAGTGGTCTCAGACTTCTCTGCTTCTTCTGGGCTGAAGTGTGATAGGGAAGGAGGTGGGTAAGGGGAATTCCCCCAAGCTCCAGCATTCTCAGAAGAAACGGGTCACTGGCTGCCAGTGGGAGCCACCTGCCAAGGGGGCATAAACCAGAGCCTGGCCTGGACAGTTCTCTTCCTGCTAGACAAGGGCATCAGGGCTTTTGCCTCTACCTGATAATGTGTGTGAGTCTGGCAGGGCTCCAATGTCCTAAGGAAGCCTCTCTGCCCTTAGGAATGACAACTTCCTGAGTTCCGGGGACAGCAAAGTAGCAAATTTGACACAGTTCCGGTCTCAGTCAAAAGTTTGTTTCCTTGACATTTTTTCTTCAGTGGTTCCACAGACACTGTAGGCTCCCAGAAGGCAGAAGCTGAGCTAAGTTCTTGCTAACTCCTCATTGAGACCCTTGCTGAGCAGAAAGGAGGCAGTGGCTGTCTTGGAAAGGAGAGGGCACTAAATGTGGGTGAAGTCAGAGGGCCCAAGATCAACTTTGGGCTCTTCAGAGTTATGGAGCCTTGGTGAACGCATCCATAAACGAGATAATCTCACTACTTCACAGGGTTTTAGCTGAGGATTAAAAGATAAATATTTTATGTCTGTATGTGTCTGGAACACTGTGGGTGTTCAACACAGTCCCCCTCACCGCCTGCTTCCTCCCGAAAATCTTGTGTCATGTTCTGATGTCCGAGGGACCTGCCCTCTTGCTTCTAGGCTGTCTCTCTCTCTCTGCCTCCATCCCACCTTCAGCAATTGCTTCGCAACACTCTGACTACAGAGCAATCCATTATCCCTTCACTGATCCTGCTCTGGCTTCCTCTAAGACTAGGCGCCAATTTTGGTATCATTATCTTGAGGGGTGGGGGACATGGCAGGAGACTCCAAGGAAGAAGTAAGGGAGGTAAGTCACAGCCAAAACAGTCACAATAGGAGATGTGAGGAAAAGGGGAAGATGAACTCAAACTGAAAGCAACTCTGGGACCGATTCCTAAATCACAGGGAACCAGCAAAACATCTAATAATAAAAATCTATAATGGGAAGAAGCCGAAAGGCATGGAGCTGGTGCTTCTCCAGCAAGGCTGCTCTGTTTGCCAGTTTGAGGCCAGGCAAATCTCCCTGCACAATGGGGTGCATGTGAGCAAGGCCTGGTCCCTCCAGCAAGGTTTCCTAACTCTCCACCTGACCCCTGACAGCCCCAGTCAAGCCAAGGAGGGAGGCAGCTCTGGTGGCAGAGGTTCCCTTCCCTTTCCCACTCTGCACCCCCAGCCCAGTGAGCCCCTCCTCATTTCCTTCCCACTGCAGGGGAAGGGAAATGCCGGTAGGGTTTGGAGTTTCCTTCAAAGCTGTGAGCTCTGCTCTGGGACTTGCCCCTACTCTGACAGTCTTCTTGAGCCAGGCCTGGGGAAAACCCAAAAAACAGAAATAGGAACCACCAAAAATTCCCAACTGTTTTTGTTGGTCCCTATCATGATAAATCTTAGGAACAGAGACCAAAATGGCATAGCTTCGAGAGACAGGGAGAGAGACGTTTGTAATGTTCCTGGGAAAGAAACTGGAGGCTTTAGGGAAGCTCCAGCAGGGGCTGTTTGTTTTGAGCAAATACAGAAAGTGAGAGGTAGTTTTATTAATGTTTTCCCTCTTGAACCACCTCCCACCAGGTTTCCTATGGCTGTCTTCTCCCAAGTGTGGTAGCCTCAGCCCCCACACTCAGCCCATGGGGACAGGGAGTCCTGAGAAACTGAATCTAGAACTGCCCCACAGATTAAATGAGTGCTGTCCTGGGCACCACACACTTCTCAACGTGCTGCTGAGCCCCTGACCGCAGGTCCAAGTCCTCCGTGGCATCCACAGATCAGCTCATTGAGCAGATGAGCAAAGATGGAAAGTGGCAAGTGGACACAAAATTTGGGAGTCCAGAAGACTGCTGAAGGAGGAGCTGTAACACAGTGTTCCCACCCCATGTTCCCATGTTCCCACTAGGATTCCCCTCACAAACCAACAGATCTGCCCCAAGCCAGTGGCAAAGCAGGCAACACAAGGCACAAAGGCCCATTACTAGCTGCCAAAAGGACAGAGTGTAAGGAACGGCCTCCACATGTCTCTACTGGTGGGCAGTAGGCACAGCTGTGGCCAGTTGGGCCCTGCTCCCAAAGGGCAAGAGCCCAAGGAGGTGGGAGGTACCAGCTCCTGCTGCCTTGGCCCCTTGGCGGCCACAGCCAGTCCTGCCGCAGTAGCAGCTCCTAGACAATGAGAGTTATTTTCAGCCAGCACTTTAACACAAGCCAGCTGGCCAGTGAGCAGGGCGGGAGTCCTCCTCCACCCAGCCCGCCCAGACGGCAGGCCAGCCGGCCCAGCCCATTGCCTACACTGCTGCTGCCGCCGCCTCCACGTCACTGTTTGTTTATCTCATTGTTCCAGCACAGCTCCTTCTAACTCCCCTCAAAACTGCAATCCTTTGTAAAAGGGAATCAAAAAAAATCAGAGAGTTTGATCAAAGGTCCAAGAGCTAAAATTTTAAAAGGTCCAGACATGGGAAGTACGGCAGCCCCTCCAAACACCCACACTTTTCCCCAGCCTTGTGACTGGCTGGGGTAGCACAGGGGAGGAAATGGAACAGATGGATGGTCAGATCTCACTGCAGCTCTCACAGACCAAGGCCAAGCCTGGCTTCGCTGCCAACCTGGGGAGACAAAGCTCAAGACTGCTCTCCTTGCTTTGACTCCCTCCCATCCTCCTCTCCAGAGCTCGGGTTTGGAGAAGATAACTTGAAACAGACAGCCTGAAATGGGCTGAGTCAACTATGAAAGGTTCTGGGCAAAGATCTATATCCTGTGGCAGAAAGGAAATCACAGAACAGTCAATAACACTTGGCCAGAAGGACAGGCAACCCCCTGCCCTGCCTCGATAGAGTAGGGGCAAACACTTCAGCTGTACCACCCCACCACCACACCAAAGCACTCAAGAATATAAAGGATGAAAGGCAGCAGTTACCTCCCTGGACTCTAGGCCTCCAGCCCTGGTCCTGCCAAACTCTACAGCCTCCCCAGGGCAGCTCCCCATTACTACTCATCTCCTTCCTTATGTGACCCCACACACAGAAGCATGTGAGTACAAGTCTAGCTACACAGCTTTCTCTAGGCCCCAGCTGCCCTCTTAGACATCTGAACAAATTGCTTAGGTACCACATGACAAAAGGCATAAGAAAAATGGGTGCTCCTTAAGTGTCTGTAGTATCTTAGATCTGCCTTGCAGGTTTTGTTCAATTGAAGCTACCACTCTGGTGATGAGCTGCCAGGGAAAAGCCAGCTCTCACAGGCTCGGAACCATGTCTGGAGAACGTGCTTTTGTGGTCACTGAGGACTCTGTAACCAGAAATGACTTGCTGAGCAGTTACGGGCCAAGTCCCTGAGCAGCCTGGAAGAAAAAGAAATGGATTCACCAGATGTCTCTGGTTGAGCTCTGCAGTTCACACCAGGGAAGTCAGATGAAGGAGAGGTCCTAAAAGGCCAGCATCATTCAAACAAAGAGATGGCTTTTTCTAAATACAATTATACCCCCGGGGCCTCTTCTTCATCCTAGAGAATTCCTCCACCGGATCCTGAGAAGGCAAAGGATATTGGCCATGTCCCCAAAGTTGGTAAAGCCTCAAACTCTTTCCTCTGCCACACTGTTGGCCTCATACCTGACATGAGATAACCTCTGCAGGTAACCCTGAGGTCCCCAAACCCTGATTAAGGCCACCCTTTCTGGCCTGCCCAGTCAAAAAATATACAATCTCCGATAGGAGCTTCTGTCAGCGCTTCCCAACTGAGCACCCAGGCCCTAGTAAAAAGCTACTGCCACAGCAACTTGATCTGTCTATTGGCTCCTCGGCCCCTCCTCGTGGTTAGCCAGACCCACACACTCCCCAGTTACGCAGAATGGAAAGTATTCTGCTGGGGGCAGCTTATTTTCCAAAGCCAAGGAGTCTTGGGGCAGAGCCTCGCATTCTCCCTGCAGCCAACCAACGACCTCCCTCTCTTCATGAGGTTCTGTCCTCCCACCTGGGGAGCCCAATGGGCAGTGCTACCTCTCAGAGGACACAATATTTCTGGGGTCACAACTCCCTTTCTCCTCATACCAACAGGCCCAGTGAGTCTCCCTCCCAAGGTCTCTCATCTATATTTGCCCTTCCATTCCCACTGTCATCACCTGGGTGGGCCGTTACTGTTCACTTGCCGCCCTCTGGGATAAGCTTCTAGCTGGCATCCCTACTTCCAATACTTTCCTCCCTGCCATCCTGCACATGAATGAAACTTTCAAACTTCCAAGCACATAAGATAAATCATGTTTCTCCTTGGTTCAGAAATCTTTTTTGACTCCTTATCATTTATATGAGAAAACCTGAGCTCCTTGGCCTATTGTTCTTAGCATCTTACAGTAAGAGCTTCTGAGGTAAGATTCTCTCCAGGCTGGCCCCAGCTTCTCTGACCAGCCTCATCCTCTCCCACTCTATGGAATCTCTCTCTCCTGGGACAGCCACTCTTCCCATTCCTTAACCCTAGGATTTGCTTGTGATTGATGTTTCCCCAATCTGCTGACTCCCTACCTACTACCTACTACCTGACTTAAAATCCAGTAGCTCTATGACTACCCAACCTAAAATAATCAGCCCCTCTCTTGAGCTCCAAGCATAATCACATTTAAAGAATAAAATGGCAGAGACCTGCCTGTTATCCCCCAACCTCTTCTCCTCCTCCTCCTTAGTAGTGAACCTCCAACGCTGAGTTGGACACTTGACAGCCTAGAATTAATATGTTTGTCAGCTTCCCTTGCATTTAGGTATGGCTATGTGATCATGTGGGATGTAAACAGAAGTCGTGTGCACAACTTCTGAGAAATGTCATTAAAGGGAGGGAATATAACCTTCTTTTCTCCTTTCTGCTTCTAGCTAGTTGGAATATAGACAGTGGACGAACCTTCAACAACTATTTTAGACCATGAAGTGACCTTGGAAATGAAATCCACATGGATGAAATAACAAGAGAGAAAATACCAGGACACTGATACCATGGACCTTTAGCACAAATTGAATGTTTCATAGTGGGTTTTTTTTTTTTTTTTTTTTTTTTGCATATGCTTTCTCTATTCACAACTAGAAAGAACATAAACTCCTTAAGGGTAGGGGCCGTCTTATCCTTCTTTGAATCATGTGCAGGTGCTTAATAAATAAGTGATTGATCCTGCTCCTACCACTCCTACCACCAAGTCCCTTATTTGGTCTCCTGGTTAACTGGGGAAAGGGAGGATCCTTTAACTTTTTACCACTGTCCTTACTATTTCTGAGTTCTCTTATCTATAATCTGTCTTATGTCCTATAGCACAAATCACTTTATATATTGCTTTCCCCTCAGCAAACTCCTACTTTTCATTCTGAGTTTCAACTTCAGTTTATGCCATAATCTAAGCCACTTCCCTGCTCTTCTCTTTAACCAGACTCATCTTCTTATAACCTGCTAGAACACAGGCTTCTGAGAACAGGAATCACCATCAGCTTGTTTAGCACTTTAATAGGTGAGCAATAAAGATTGGGCAAATCGAATTTCTCCATTCGTATATTCCTTCTGTCCCTAAGTTTTCTACTCCATTGTACCCCAGAGAGATTACCTCCTTTCGAATTGCCAGCCATGCTCCTCCTCCAATTCACAACAGGTGAAATCTACCATCTCTAGCAAATCCTTCATAAATGACAGTAGTAACATCCACTCCCCTAACAGTGTCTCTGCACATTTACTAATTACTTTTAAATGTGTTCATGGAATTGTGACTTATGGTTAATGTTTCTTCACCTTTTCTTGGACAATCAATATATATGTTTATCATAAATCTCAGTGACCCTCCTAGAGGCACACATACAATGTAGTGGTTAAAGCACTAACTGTGAAGCCACACTACCTGGGTTTGAATCCTAGCTCCACCACTTACTAGCTGTGTGGCTTTGGGAGAGTTATTTAATCTCTGCAAGCCTCAGTTTCCTCACCTGTAAAATGGAGGCAGGAATAATAGTACTTACCCCATAGTGTTGCTATGATGATTAAATAAGTTAATATATGTAAAGCATTTAAATCAGAACCTATATAGTAAATATTACACATAATGCTACCTATGTTTTTTCAGTTTGGTTTTTTATTCAACATTTAGCTGGGAAACAACTCTATGTCAAGCACAAGCTAGAATTTGGCGATATCAAAATAAATAGGGTATGGTCACTACATTCAGAAAGTTCATATCCTGAGGAAAGGTATACATGCAAATCAGGGGTCAGTATAGACAGCATTGCTGTGAAAGAGGCACATACACTACTGTGGGATCCCAAGGAGGTAACATCTAATTAGACTGTGGAGTCAAGTAAGGTGTAAGACTTCCTGAAAGAAATGTCACAGGATTTATTTTATTATTATTATTTTTGAGATGGAGTCTCGCTCTGTTGCCTAGGCTGGAGTGCAGTGGCACGATCTTGGCTCTCCGCAAGCTCTGCGTCCCAGGTTCACACCATTCTCCTGCCTCAGCCTCCCAAGTAGCTGGGACTACACACATCCGCCACCATACCCGGCTAATTTTTTGTATTTTTAGTAGAGAAGGGGTTTCACTGTGTTAGCCAGGATGGTCTCGATCTCCTGACTTCATGATCTGCCTGACTCGGCCTCCCAAAGTGCTGGGATTACAGGCGTGAGCCACCGTGCCCGGCCTATTTTATTTTTTTTGAGACGGAGTCTCACTCTTTGCCCAGGCTGGAGTGCAGTGGTGTGATCTCGGCTCACCACAACCTCTGCCTCCCGGGTTCAAGTGATTCTCCTGCCTCAGCCTCCCAGGGAGCTGGGACTACAGGCGCGCACCACCATGCCCAGCTAATTTTTGTATTTTTAGTAGAGACAGGGTTTCACTATGTTGGCCAGGCTGGTCTCAAACTCCTGACCTCGTGATCCACCTACCTCAGCCTCCCAAAGTGCTGGGATTACAGGCATGAGCCACCACACTCGGCATTATTTTTATTATTATTTTTATTTTGAGACAGGGTCTCACTTTGTCATCCAGGCTGAAGTGCAGTGGCACAATCTTGGCTCACTGCAGCCTCGACCTCCCAGGTTCAAGTGATCCTCCTGCCTCAGCCCCTCAAGTAGCTAGGACTACAGGTACTCATCACCACACCTGGTTAATTTTTGTATTTTTAGTAGAGACAGGGTTTTGCCACGTTGGCTAGGCTGGTCTCGAACTCCTGGACTCAAGCGATCCACCCACCTTGGCCTCCCAAAATTTTAAGACTACAGGCATGAGCCACAGTGCCCCACCTTGAATTAGTCTTAAACATCAAGCGGGAAGGAATCAGGCAAAGGCAAGAGCAGAAGGGAAGATGGTGATATTCTAGGCAAGGAGACAGTATTTGCAAATACTGGCAACACAAAACACCATTACAAATCCAGGAGTCTGTAAGTGATTTACTACAAAGGCATGAAAGTATGTATAAGGAAATTACAGCAGGCAGAAAAGTCGGGTGATAAAGGATATGATGAGCTAAGTAAGTAGGTGGCATAAGTAGGATAATAACAATAATAACACTACTAAAATGAAAACAGTAATAATGAAAAAAGCTAACATTTATTGACAGAACTGCGATAAGCACTCTATATGAATTATCTCATCTAATTCTCAAAACAATGATATAAAGTCCTATGAAGTAGGGACTATCATTATCCCTATTTTACAAGCAAGGAAACGAAGGCTTGGAAAGGCCATGGAACTTGCCCCGCATCACAAAGCAAGCATACGGTGGATCTGGGATTTGAACCCAAGTCTGACCCCAAAGTCTAAGCTTTTAACTCCTCACAATGTCTCCTCTGAGACAATGAATCGTATTAGCCCTTCTTTGCACCTTTCCAAATTGTATGCATCCTTCAGGACCAATCAGTACCATCTCAACCTTCCTCATGGAACCTCTCCCAAACAACCCAGATCTCTGTGCATTCCTTCCTCTGAATTTCTGTGGGTTTTCTGCCCTAACCTCCCATTAGCACTCATATTCAATCATTCTTGGAACAGCATTTGTGTCTTTTTTTTTTTTTTTTTTTTTTTTTGAGACAGGGTCTCACTCCATCACACAGGCTGGAGTGCAGTGGCAAGATCTCGGCTCACTGCAGCCTCGACCTCTTGGGCTCAGGTGATCTTCCCACCTCAGCTTCCCCAGTAGCTAGGACTGCAGGCACACACCATCATGCCTGGGTAAATTTTTTTGGTAGAGACAGGTTTCACCACGTTGTCCAGGCTGGTCTCGAGCTCCCAGGCTCACGCAATCCACCCACTTTGACTTCCCAAAGTGTTGGGATTACAGGCGTAAGCCACCACACCCAGTGACATTCATGTCTTCTATGTACCATGCACTGCGCCAACTGGGGGACCTGTTTTGCCTTGCGATAACTCTTGTATTTACAAACAAGGGGGAACCTGAAGCTTATAAACATCTACTCTGGGCCAGGATGATGCTAGACCCTTCAATTGCAAGATTTCATGGAAAAGTCACTTCTCTCTCATATTGTTATTCATTTTTCACATTTTATATTATTTCCTGAACTAGAATATAAGCTCCTTGAGGACTTTGCCTTGAATACACTTGTTCCTAGCAAGTATGCCTGGCACACAGAAAAAGCTTAATAGATAGATACTCTGGGCTGCCCAAAGAGACAGCAGAGGCCATTTTGGGGGGCAGCACCCAGTACACTGGCCTAGGGCCCAGCTCTGGCTTTCCAGGAGTCTCATGACACATCTAAGAGCTTATTATAAAGCCATAAAACTTAATGAATCCCTTCCTACTTCCAGACACATGTGGGAGGGCATGACCCCTGCTTTATAGAAAGATAAACTGAGGTCTGGCACAGGCACACATCTGTCACAAGTTGTATCAGCTAGGGAGAGGCTCTACAAGTCCTGCCTTTCCTTGCTTTCAAATGGAGGTACATCCTCAGCGCCTCAGTGCTTCTATCCTCTTTTGGGAGGAATCATAATAACCTCAGTCTGCTCTAGATCCATGAGCTGTCCTCCCAATGTTGTCCCCTCTCACGCTTTGAAGGCTAGAACTTGACATAGAGGTCTAGGCTACCCACAGCCCAATGCTATTTTTGAGTTGTTCCAGCTTTTTTACATCTCGTTTGATTGTACAGCTAGGAAAAAACACCTCTTTAGACTTAACCTTTTGAGAGTTCCCTCCCCACGACCCAAATCTTCTCTGCTTCTTGAAATGTCTGATGTCCTAAGTGTTATATTCACTCAAGAACACGGATGAAAAACATTACTACTCATCTTTTATATGCCAGGCACTTTTCTCACATTCTCTCACTTACTATTCTCAATAACCACTGAGGGAATTAAGAATCTGAGACCAACTGGCTCAAGGTTACACAGAAAGTAGCAGGACCCAAATTCAAACCCAGACGTGTGGCCTCCAACATACAAGGTTTTCTACCATGTTCGCCCATCTCCTTACAAAGAAAACAAATCTCTTTTTCTAACTTGAGAAGGTCCAACTTGATTTATCTGACTGGCTTTGGTTGATCATTACACAATGCTTCCCTATTCTGCACAACTGAGTGAAACCAGCTGAACCAAGTATGAGTATGTGTGCTGAACATCTGAAGTTCAAGGCTTCACAGAGTAAGAGAGAGACTGTGCACAGTACAGATGCAAGGAAACTTGTCCTCTTGGACACAACCTAGTGACAAATTCTTACATCTGAGTAGCATTTTATTTTATTTTTTGAGACGGAGTCTCGCTCTGTCGCCCAGGCTGGAGCGCAGTGGCGCGATTTCAGCTCACTGCAAGCTCCGCCTCCCGGGTTCACGCCATTCTCCTGCCTCAGCCTCTCTGAGTAGCTGGGACTACAGATGCCTGCCACCACTCCCAGCTAAGTTTTTGTATTTTTAGTAGAGACAAGGTTTCACGGTGGTCTTGATCTCCTGTCCTCATGATCCACCCGCCTTGGCCTCCCAAAGTGCTGGGATTACAAGCGTGAGCCACTGCGCCCTGCCTGAGTAGCATTTTAAACTTTCCAGTACAGCACAGGCTTTGGAATCAGGGATGACTGGATTTGAATCCTGTTACTTTTCACGAGACAGTCAGAAAGTTCTCACTCTGCTGCCCAGGCTGGAGTGCAGCGGTGCGATCATAGCTCCCTGCAGCCCCAAACTCATGGGCTCAAGTGATCCTCCCACCTTAGCCTCCAAGTAGCTAGGACTACAGGCATGTGCCACCACGCTTGGCTAATTTTTTTTTTTTTTTGTAGAGACAGGGCCTCGCTATGTTGCCCAGGCTGAACTTGAACTCCTGACCTCAAGCAATCTTCCCACCTTGGCCTCCCAAAGTGCTAGAATTACAAGTGTGACCCACCGTGCCCAACCAGGGAAAGTTATGAAACTTCTTTGAACTTCAGTGTCTTCATTTACAAAATATGGATAATATCTGCCTCTTAAAAATGAATAAAAGGGATTTTGCACAGTGCCTGGCGCAGGAGAAAGACCCTGTAAGTGGTAACTGGAATGACCTACTCCAGGAGTCACATTTGACTCAAGTTAGCTTCTAAGTACATACGCAAAATACAAATACAATTTCAACCTTTTTTTTTTTTTTTTGAGACAGAGTCTCACTCTGTCGCCCAGGCTGGAGTGCAGTGGCTAGATCTTGGCTCACTGCAAGCTCTGCCTTCCAGGTTCACGCCATTCTCCTGCCTCAGCCTCCCAAGTAGCTGGAACTACAGGCGGCCACCACCACACCCAGCTAAGTTTTTGTATTTTTAGTAGAGACGGGGTTTCACTGTGTTAGCCAGAATGGTCTTGATCTCCTGACCTCGTGATCCACCTGCCTCGGCCTCCCAAAGTGCTGGGATTACAGGCGTGAGCCACCGTGCCTGGCCCTCATACTATTTTTTTTGAGACAGAGTACAGCAGCATAACCACAACTCACTGTAACCTTGAACTCCTGGACTGTTACAATCCTCCCACATCAGCTTCCCAAGTAGCTGAGACTACAGGTGTGTGCCATCATGGCTGCCTATTTTAATTTTTTATTTTGGTTGAGACAAGGTCTTGCTATGTTGCCCAGGCTAGTCTTGAACTCCTGGTCCCAATTGATCCTCCCGCCTTGGCCTCCCAAAACATTGAAATCACAGGTATGAGCCACTCTGCCCAGCCTAATTTCATAGTACTTTAAAATATATAAAAGAGTATAAATGTATAGTTGAATAGTATAGGTTAAACATACGTAAAGTATGATTCCCTCATCTCATGTGATCTAATAATTCTGTAGGTTAGAGCAGTTGTACCCTTGCCCCTTCAAAAGATAAAATCAAGAAACCAACAGCCACCCAGGGGATTCACAGGAAAACTGAGACCAGAACTTAGTGAAATGAAGTCGACTCACTAAGCTGCTCTGCTATTTGAGCAGCTGAGTGATCTGGGACAATTCTAACCTTTTGGGGCCAGGGTTTTGTTATCTGTGGAGAGATATGGGAGAGATTTTGCCAGGTTATCTCTAGTGTTCCCGCCTCATCTCAGATTCCTCACTTCCCCTACTGTCTCCTAACTTCCTCGGGTCCACTTCTGCCACAAATCTGTTTTTGGCCCCCTCAACTAACTACTCTTCTCAACAACTGTGCTTCTCTCCTTGTGACCTTACATAAGTCCTAGGAGTTGTCCCTCCCCATCACTGAAGGGCTGTGCTGTGAGACTGGAGAAAAGCTCACATTTTTATTGACAGTAGGCATAGATGACTCTCAAATATGTATTTCTATCCCAGACTTCTCCTTTGAGATTCAGCTTTAAATACTCAACCCCCATTAGACATTCCACCCAGACTTCCACAGGCTTTGCAACCTCATGTGTCTCAAAGTGGCCTCATCACTTTTCCTTCTAAGGTATTTCTTCTACTGTGTTCCCTTGTTAGAGTAGTTAACTCTAATCTAGCAAGCTAGAAATCTGGGTGCCATCCTCAATGCCTCCCTTCTCCCTCACCTCTATCCTCACAATGTAAAATCTAATCAGCCATCAAAAATTGAAATAAAATCTAATCAGTCATGAAAATTTAACTATTTATTAATAGTTAACATTTATTTGACTGTCCCATCATCTCCATTGTGCAAACTGGTCCCAGTTTAGGCTCCCATCATCACCACCACAGAGCCAAGGCCTTCCACTCAGCTGCCTACCTCCAATTCTGGTTCCTTCCCATGGTTGCCAGACTGACCTACCCACAACTCACAATCTGACTATGAAACACATAAAGCACAGTCTCTTCCACATGGCATTCAAAGCCCTCCTTACCACTTGAGCCCTGCCTCCCACGAGTCTCTGCCTTACACTTTACACTTCAACGGCACTGAGCAGCTCTGAGAGGGTTCTCTGAACACATCATGCTGTCTCAATTTAATGCCTCTGCTCATGCTGTCCTCTCTACCTGGAATGCTTTCTTTTCCAAACTTCTGTCCTATTCCTAAATACCCTTTTAGCCAGCAGAGATTTCCTTCTCTGGGCAATATTCCCCAAGCCCCACCTCTCTACTGTGCTCTCCCGATGCTTCCTGCATCTCTACAGAACTGCACTTAGACAGCTTTATGTTATAATTACATGTTTAATGTGTTTGTCTCCCCCTCTAGACTGAACTCCTGGGGGCAGGATGACTGTCTTAGTCACCTTTCTCCAGCTCTTAACACAATTCTAAGCACTTGCTGAGTGCATGAGTACTAGGCTACACTTGCTGAGTCTTTGAGGGCTGCTATCTTGCCCCCTCTCTGTTTCTAGGCAGGGAAAATGACACCTTAACCATTCTCAGTTCACCACCTCAGAGGCCCTCCTGAGTGCTGATGTGATTCTTTAGCCGCCCTGCCACAAAATAAGGCTCTCTCTGCCCTCTTGCCTCCAAGACAATCAGAAGCAGCTGGTAGTGCTTTTGTACTGTTATGACACCAACTTGACATTTCCCTGGATCTGTGGGCAACAAGTACTAGATGCTTTCTTTACAATTCTTGGAAAGAATCAACTGAGAAGCCAAATTCTACTGGACATTGTCTAGCTGGTTATCCTCTAGCTTCTGAGATGATGCTCAAAACTTTTAACAAGGACATTCTAGAGAAATGACAGATAAATGCTTTGGGACGCCACCGCGACCTGTTGCCCCATAAATGCACAAGAGATTCTTAATTCTTTAGTCAGCCACCATGCCAGCAATAATTAAACAAGCCCAAAGGGAGCAATTCATAGCTGCTATTGGACCATCAATCTGGAACTCATGACAGATGCCATCAGAAAATAATCTGCAGACGTGAGCACTTCATGAGGGAGCAGATTCACCAAGTGTCCTGCCTGCCAAGGGCCTGAGGATAATGAGTGCTTATATGAGGTTGATTCTGCTGAGTGGCAAGTAAAAACAAAATAACCACAACCACAAACGAGAAGTCTGTCCAAAGTAAGGGGCCCAAGCATACTCTGGACACAGAAGGGGTCCAAACAAAGATGCTCTTTCCTGGTCAGATATCTCTGGCCCATCCATTCTAGAACATTGTCTGGGCCTCACTTCAGGGCTGGCATTGAAATGAGAGGAGTATGTGATCTCAAGTCTACGAAATGAGCCCATATAACAGCAACTCTACCACCCCAGAGTTCAATAAAATCCCAGGAGCACAGGTCTCAACCTCAGCTGGTGTATGATGGTTTTACCCTTGGTAAACGCCCCCAGTTTTAAAATAAGGTCCAGGCCGGAAGCAGTGGCTCACGCCTGTAATCCCAACACTTTGGGAGGCTGAGGCAGGCAGATCACTTGAGCCCAGGAGTTCGAGACCAGCCTAAGCTGCATGGCGATATCCCTAGCTGGGCATGGTGGCACGCGCCTGTAGTCCCAGCTACTCAGGAGGCTGAGGCAGGAGAATCACCTGAACCCAGGAGGTGGAGGTTGCAGTGAGCCAAGATGGTGCCACCGGACTCCAGCCTGGGAGACAGAGAGAGACTCTGTCTCAAAATAATAATAATAATAATGTCCCTCCATGGCTACACAAGAGACAAAATGTGCTAAAGGGCAGGCCAACAAAAGCCAAGAATTACCCCAGTACCTGGAGGTCCCTAAAGCCTGTGGAAAGGTCATGACTAGGCCAACATTATTGAGTATAAAAGAAAGGTGACTAGTACGTGCTGTTCAGTGACTTTACAACTTCAAGGTACAGAAAAACAGTCTCTACCCTTCAACAATAATTCTTATTTCTTAAATATTTTTGTTAGGCTCCTCAATACCAGATCTCTGATTCAAGAAGTTAATGGCCTTCAAATAATATTTCTATTTAAGGCTGGGTGCGGTGGCTCACAACTGTAATCCCAGCACTTTGGGAGGCCAAGGCAGGGGGATCACTTGAGGTCAGGAATTTAAGACCAGCGTGGCCAACACGGTGAAACCCCGTCTCTACTAAAAATACAAAAATTAGCCAGGCTTGGTGGCGGGCGCCTGTAATCCCAGCTACTCGGGAGGCTGAGGCACGAGAATCACTTGAACCTGGGAGGCAGAGGTTGCAGTGAGCTGAGATTGTGCCACTGTACTCCACCCTGGGCGACAGAGCGAGACTCGGTCTCAAAAATAAATAAATAAAAATTCTATTTAAAATGTTTTGGTTTTTGGAAGGGGAGGGTTTGAGACAGGGTCTCACTTTGTCACCCAGGCTGGAGTGCAGTGGCATGATCATAGCGTACTGCAGCCTCAATCTCCCAGGCCCAAGCAATCCTTCTGCCTCAGCCTCCCAAAGTGCTGGGATTACAGGCATGAGCCACTGTGTCCAGCCTTCTACTTAAAATGTACTGAGCATCCTGGCTGGACGTGGTGGCTCACACCTGTAATCCCAGCACTTTGGGAGGCCGACGCAGGCGGATCACGAGGTTAGGAGACCAATACCATCCTAGCTAACACAGTGAAACCCTGTCTCTACTAAAAATACAAAAAAATTAGGCGTGGTGGCGGGCGCCTGTAGTCCCAGCTACTTGGGAGGCTGAGGCAGGAGAATGGCATGAACTCGGGAGGCGGAGCTTGCAGTGAGCAGAGATTCCGCCACTGCACTCCAGCCTGGGCGACAGAGCGAGACTTCATCTCCAAAAAAAAAAAAAAAAAAAAAAGTATTGAGCACCTTTATGTCAGTCACTGAGCCCCAAAACTCTTAAAAAAGGCTTGGCTGAGCATCCATCCCTACACTCCTTGCAGCTGCTTCCCAGACCAGACTTCATATTTCTCTTCAAGACCAGAACACACAGAGTGACTTCAGGAAATCTTGAGAGAATCAGACTTGAGAAGCCTAGGAAAGACAAGTATCTATTTACAGTTAATCAGCACCCTACCCGGCCCTGCAGACAGTTCTGACAACTGGAGCCAGGAAGAATCAACCACAGGCTCTGACTGGGGCCCACCTGAGGCTAGGAGCCAGTTGGACCCCCAGATGAGTACTGACTCTGATCCCCACCCAGACTGGCTGCACTGCCATAGGGAGCCCCTTCCTCGGAGACACACTCAGGCACTGGGATCCAAAGTTCATGGAAAGTTTCACTTTCTCTTATAGCTCAACCCCCAAAACTGCCTGATAATCTTATCATCTTATCTAAATATCTTCCCCATTCCTTTTTTTTTTTTTTTTGAGACGGAGTCTCATTCTGTCTCCAGGCTGGAGTGCAGTGGCGCGATCTCGGCTCACTGCACCCTCCGCCTCCTGGGTTCAAGTGATTCTGCTGCCTCAGCCTCCCAAGTAGCTGGGACTACAGGTGCCCGCCACCACGCCCGGCTAATTTTTGTATTTTTAGTAGAGACAAGGTTTCACCATGTTGGCCAGGATGGTCTTGATCTCTTGACCTCGTGATCTGCCCACCTTTACCTCCCAAAGTGCTGGGATTACAGGCATGAGCCACCGCGCCTGGCCCCTCTCTCTTATTTTTTAAGAGACGGGGTTGTCCAGGCTGGACTCAACCTCCGAAAGTCAGGGGATCCTCCTGCCTCAGCCTCCCATGCAGCTGGGACTACAGGCACATGCCACCACACCTGGCTATAACCCCCAATGACCATCTATCTCTTTATCTTACCTTCTTTTTCTTCATGGTACTTCTTGCTACTTAACACTATATTATATACCTGTAGATTTGTTTATTGTTCTCCCCAACAACAATGTGAATGCTATGAGACTGGCTTGTCTTTTTTGTTCACTGTGGTATCACTGATGTCTAAAATACAGAGTAAACACTCAATAAATAGTTGTTGAATGAATAAACGAGTGATCATGCAAAGATTTTTAAACTCTGCTTCCATCCTAGTGGGGCTACATGAGAAGCAAGACTGAATAATGCCTACTTTCCAGAAAGCCCTATAAACCTGTTGCTGAACCCTAACATTCCCTCCAAATATCTCCCTAAAGTCCTCCACATCTCACTCCCAGGCCCACAAACCCTAACCCACCCCAGAGCAAGTATTAAAGACAGAAAATGGAACAGCACCCAGGGAGGAGACACATTTTTCCTCCAGTTAAGTACAGTCCAGAACCTCTGCAAATTAAAAGCTCCCTCTTCACTGAATCCACTCAGCTATAGTTATAGGTCACACTTTTTATTTTTATAACCAGCCAACCCATCAAATTATAGGCTCAGGCCACTGGGAGGCACGCCAAACACTGGGGCCAGCCTAGCCTAGCAGAGGCACTGCCCCTTCTGGCCTGAGAGGGGGTACAGGAGTGAGGACTGAGCACCAGTCAAACCTGAAAGGGCAGAAGCCACCATCACCCTGCAGGGGACAGTCTAGCGAGAAGCCTGGATCTCACTCAGGCCAAACTGCTGCCCATAAGGGAGACAGATTCCAGGATTCTCCACACAGCAGACAAGAGAACTCTTAACCTTATAAAGCATACCTAGAAGTTTCCCTACAATTAATTTCCAAACTCCTTACCAAGGCCAACAAGGTCCCACATAATCTGGGCCCTGCTCACCTTTCCTATACCTTCTCGGACTCTCCTCAGCATCCTTGTAGACCAGTCTGGCCTTCTTGCAGTTCCTCAAATGTGCAAAGTTCTTTTCCACCCCAGGGCTTTGCAAAAGTTGTTCTCTTCCTAGAAAACTCATCCCCCAGATCTTTATATATAGCTATGATGATGGCTTGTGGTAAGTGGGTCTGCAAGAATGAACCAAAGAAACTGCTAAGAAGTCCATTACAACAGACCAGGCAAGAGCTGAAGATCAACTACAGTAGTGGTAGTACAGATAGAAAGGTGAGAGGGACAGCAGCCCAGACTAACTCCAAGTGCTTGGCCTGGATAATTAGCTGGAAGAGTGCCATTCCCCCCAAAATACAATGTATAAGAAAACACTAGCAGGTATAAAGTGGCTCACAAACATTGGACACTGTTACTATGAAATGAGATATATTTATTGAGCATCTACTATGAACAAGGCATTGTTAATAATAAAAATTATTTAGTACAAGACAACATTTTACCCTAAAGAAAGGCAAAAATGGGCTGGGCATGGTGGCTCATGCCTGTAATCTCAGCACTTTGGGAGGCTAAGGTGCAAGGATCACTTGAGCCCAGGAATTCAAGGCTGCAGTGAGCTATGATCACACTACTGCACTCCAGCCTGGGCAAGAAAGAAAGATCCTAACTCAAAAAATAATTTTTTTTAAAGGAAAGCAAGACAGATTTGGCAATGGAAAGAATTAGTTCAAAACTTGCTGACTAGAAATGGAAGCTTCTACATTTGAAGACTTCTGCAGTTCAAGGGTAACACATGGGATCATTTTCTATCCAGTTTCACTTAAATCAAATTATTCTGATTCTCTAACCTATGAGGATTGAGCATTTATCTCTCATATATATCAATCATTCAACTTTAAATGAGAAAACTCATGAATGGCCAGAGACCAGTTACCAACTATTCTCTATTCCCTGTTGAAACCCTGGGCAGGAAAGTCCCTTTTCTAACAATCAAGAAATGTTCAGGCTAGGCACGATGGCTCATGTCTACAATGCCAGCACTTTGAGAAGCTGAGGTGGGCAGATATGGCTTGAGCCCAGGAGTTCAAGACCAGCTTGGGCAACACAGCAAGATACCATCTCTACAAAAAAGTAAGAAGCACAACTGTAGTCCCAGCTACTAAGGAGGCTGAAATGGAGGACGGCTTGAGCCTAGGAGTTGGAGGCTACAGTAAGCCATGATCACACTATTGCACTTCAACCTGGGTGACAGAGCAAGCCCATTTCAAAAAAATAAGAAATGTTCAGACAAAACTCAGTGTGTACTGGCCATCTGTCCTGATCCAAGCTCACATCTGTCTATAACTAAACTCCTCTATTCCAGCAGCAGGGCTCCTGGCTGCCCCTCATATAGCTGCTTCATTCCTCCTCCTTAATTCCCTCCCATACAGCTCTGGCCTGGAACAATCTCCTCTCTCCTGATCTACAGCTGATTAAAGACCTGACTAAATCCCCTGTCCTCCTTAAAGCACTGCCTATTTAGCACTCCTATACCACACTGATCCTCCCCTAGCTCTCCAATCTTTCTGTGTTTATAGCTGTGTGGCACCCTATCACCTCATGATCTCACTTGGTCTTCACAAAAGCATGTGATTGGGCAAGACAAACAGTATTCCCACATTACAGATAAAATACAGCACAGAGTCTCACAGACAACCTGAGGACATGCACTTGCTTTAATTCTCTAGTTCAAAATATAGTTTTAAGTACATACACATTTTGTCTCTCCAACTCAGATAGCAAGCATTATCTTCTATTTATTTTGTATACCCCCAAGTACAAGGGAAAGTGCTGTGTATACAGCAGGCACCTATGACGTATTAACTTAATAAATCATGAAAGAAAAGAAAATGGAATGAACATTTAGAATAGACCCAAGACTTCCCAACCTAAAGCCTTCTTTGTTACACTCTCTCTTAACAACCTGTTCTTTGCCTTCCAAGAATATATCATAATTAAATATTTATTTAATATCTGTATTTTCCTCTAAACTCTATGAGGGCAAAGGAATTCTTAGATTTTTCACCACTATATACCTAGTGATATCAAGAGCACGTAGTAAATTTAAAACAAAAAACAAGAAAACAAAACTTCTCGAATAGCAGATGTCCTAGTAGGATAGCTAAGATCCAAACCCAAATCTGGCTGACTCTAAAGCCCAAATCTTTCCACCACACCTCTTAGCAAAGGAGAACTTGTTCGGTAAACTTTCCCCTATATTCTGCCACAATCCACTCAATCCACTCCAAAGCAGTAGTAAGAGCAAAGGAGAGTCAACCCCGCAAAAAGGAAACTATAGTTAAGAAAGTGGAGCTGGGCGCAGTGCCAGCACTTTGGGAGGCCAAGGCAGGAGTGCGAGACCAGCCTGGGTAACATGGTGAAACCTTGTCTCTACAAAAAATACAAGAATTAGCCAGGCGTGGTGGTGCACCTGTGGTCCCAGCTACCTGGGAGGGTGAGGTGGGAGGATCACTTGAGCCCAGGAGGCTGAGGCTACAGTGAGCCAAGATTGCGCCACTGCACTCCAGCCTGTGTGACAGTAAGACCCTGTCTGAAAAGCAACAACAAAAAAAACTGGGCTTTGGCATCAGGCTGCTTGGACTCAAATCCCAACTTTGCCACCTACTAGTGTGTGATCCTAGGTGAGCTATTTAACCTACCTGGACCTCAGTTTCCTCTTCTATAAAATGGAGATAACAAGTACTTCACAGAGTTGTGATGATTAAATGAGATAATGTGTGTAAAGTGTTTTGCATGGTGCCTGGTATACCATTATCACACAATAAATGTTAGCTATTAAAATTATTAGCTATCCTTATTCCTAGAAGGCAAGAACCTAGAGAAAATGATTGTCACGGTGGTCACAGCTGCTGAACCGACTTGACTTTGAGAAGCTGAGATGCAGCACAGCCTAGAGCTCAGGTTTATTCTCTTTGTGGACTTCTAGGGCTATGGCTGTGCCAAGGCTGGAGATGCAGCTTTCACTGGCCTGGAAATGACAGAGACTAAAAATACATAGCCTGCCTGTATCTGGGGGACCAGGATCATGCCTACATTAAATAATTTAAAATACAGCTTCAGCGCAAAAGAGCATCTCTTAGGATTCTTTTTACTGTGGAAACAGTGCCAAGCTCAGCACAGGGCACAGGGCAGTGGCCAGTTGCTGACCCCACTGGTGCCCTTTCTCTCTCTCGCACTTTTCTTTTGGCTTAGTGCGAAAAGTAAGAGAGGAGCCTTTTTTTTCCCCCCATTAAAAGTTGGGTCTGGCCAGGTGCGGTGGCTCACGCCTATAATCCCAGCACTTTGGTAGGCCAAGACGGGTGGATCATTTGAGGTCAGTAGTTTGAGACCAGCCTGGCCAACATGGTGAAACCCCCATCTCTACTAAAAATACAAAAATTAGCTGGGCGTGGTCTTGCACGTCTGTAGTCCTAGCTACTCGGAAGGCTGAGGCAGGAGAATTGTTTGAACCCGGGAGGTGGAGGTTGCAGTGAACCAAGATCACGCCACTGCACTCCAGCCTGGCTGACGTAGCAAGACTCCATCTCAAAAAAAAAAAAAAAAAAAAAAAAAAAGTTGGGTCTGGCTGGGCACAGTGGTTCATGCCTGTAATCTCAACACTTTCAGAGGCCAAGGCAGGCAGATTGCTTGAGCCCATGAGTTCAAGAACAGCCTGGGCAACATAGCAAGACCCTGTCTATTCAAAAAATACAAAAATTAGCCAGGCATGGTGGTGCACGCCTGTAGTCCCAGCTACTTGGGAGGACTGATTGAGCCTGAGAAGTTGAGACTGTGATCACACTACTGCACTCTGAGCTAGGCAAAAGAGACCTTGTCTCCAAAAAAAAAAACTTCAGTCTACCCCCTCCCTACCCAATTTTTATTCCTCCTTTTCTCTTAAAGGAGGAATACACAAGTAGATAATGTAAAAGAAAAAAATTCAACCAACTCAAAGCTTATAGAATAAAAAATCAGTCACTATTCAGCCCTCAACCCCACTCAATCCCCTCCACAGTTCACCACAGTTAATAGGTTGGTGTTTATTTTTCTAGGCCTTTTTTCTATGTATTTATATACAACCATATATGGTTTTTATAAAGCATTATATATACAGTCTTCTAATTGCCTTTTTAGATTATATTTACACGTACATATATATCTTGGAGATTCCCATTTGCCACAGCCATTTATTGAGTGCCTACCCTGTGCCAGGTATTTGGCTGTACAGTGATAAGCAAACATAATGTCCCCACCCTCACTGAATCAACAATCTGGGAGATGCATAATAAACAAGTAATCAAATAATTGTACAAGGGAAAAAGAATGAATAGGATGCTAACTAAGAAAAAGAATAGTAAGTGGGGAAGATCTGAGAGGTGGCATTTTTAAAAATTGAGACCTAAAGTATAAACTAGAAAGAGTCGTTTTAACATCCAGGCAAAGGGTATCCCAGGAGAGGAAACAGCTTATGCAAAGATCCTGAGATAGAAAGGAGCTTGTCCTGAACGAAAGAGGGCTAATGTGGAACTTCGTAAACAGGAGGGCAATAAGGTTAAAAAGGTCAGCAGGTGTCAAATGATGCAATCTTAAGGGTCCATTGTCAGGAGTTTGCATTTTTCCTTTTAGTATAATACAAAGGGAAGCCATTAAAGGTTTTTAGGCCAGGGAATGATGCTATTTAATTTATATTTTAAATTTGGGTGCTTTGTGGAGAATGGGTGGGAAGATGGAGATAGGGATAAGAGAGGAAAATGGAAAGCCAGATGGTTGGCTGCAATACAAGCAAGAGCTGATCTTGACTTAGACCAGGGCGGTGGCAGTAGAGAAAAGGGACAGGCAGATTACATATACATATAGAGAGAGACAGTTTTTGTGTTTGTTTGTTTTTTCACTTTTTGTTGTTTTTTTTTTGAGATAGTCTCGCTCTGTCACCCAGGCTGGAGTACAGTGGTGCCATCTTGGCTCACTGCAGCCTCTACCTCCCAGGTTCAAGTGATTCTCGTGCCTCAGCCTCTCCAGTAGCTGGGACTATAAGCACGCACCACTACACCCAGCTAATTTTTTAGCAGAAACAGTTTTGTCATGTTGGCCAGGCTGGTCTTGAACTCCTGGGCTGAAGTGATCCACCCGCCTCAGCCTCCCAATCTTGGTTTTTTTTTTTTTTTTTTTTTTTTTTTTTGAGACAGAGTTTCGCTCTTGTTGCCCAGGCTGGAGTGCAATGGTGCAATCTCGGCTCACTGCAACCTCTGCCTCCTGGGTTCAAGCAATTCTCCTGCATCGGCCTCCTGACTAGCTGGGATTACAGGCACGCACCACCACACCTGGCTAATTTTGTATTTTTAGTAGAGGCGGGGTTTCTCTATGTTGGTCAGGCTGGTCTCAAACTCCCGACCTCAGGTGATCTGCCCATTTCGGCCTCCTCAAGTGCTGGGATTACAGGCATGAGCCACCAACAATCTTATTTTTTTTAAAGACAGGGTCTCATTCAGAGGCCCGGACCGGAGTGCAGTGGCACAATCACGGCTCACTGCAACCTCAAACTCTTGGGCTCAGGTAATCCTCAGGGATTGGACTACAGGCACATGCTACCACACCCAGCTAATTTTTATTTTTGTAGAGACAGGGGTCTCACTATGTTGCCCAGGCTAGTCTCGAACTCCTGGCCTCAAGTGATCCTCCAGCTTCAGCCTCCCAAAGTGCTGGAATTACAGGCATGAGCCACCACGCCCAGCCTATTTTTGGAGATGAAATCAGCAAGACTTACTCATACAGTGGGTATGGAGAAAGGACAAGAAAAAATTAAAAATAACTCCCAGGATTTGCCCTGAGTAGATGAATGGGAGAGCAGTAAATTTAAGCAAGGAGTGGACAATCAGGCTCTTCCCCATTCCTTTTTTTACGTTAAACAATGTAGCCCCGATTATTCCTTACATGCACCTTCCGTCACATGTGTAAACTGTTCTGCAGAATGGTTTCCTAAAGGTGAGGTGGGGGAGTTAGAGAACACGCACATTTTAAATGGATAAACCCTGTAAAATGCCTTCCAAAATGTCTGTACCGAATTACTCTGCCATTAATATTGACCACGGACATAGTCAGTCTTCAAAATTTCACCCAGATAATTAGTATAATAAGTATATCAGGACGAGTGCGGTGGCTCACGCCTGCTATCTCAGCACTTTGGGAGGCCGAGGCAGGTGGATCACGAGGTCAGGAGTTCCAGGACCAGCCTGGCCAAGATGGTGAAACCCCGCCTCTACTAAAAACTACCAAAAATTAGCCGGGTATAGTGGCAGGCACCTGTAATCCCAGCTACTCAGGAGGCTGAGGCAGGAGAATTGCTTGAACCCAGGCAGCAGAGGTTGCAGAGAGCCGAGATTGCGCCACTGCACTCCAGCCTGGGCAACAAGAGCGAAACTCCGTCTCAAAAAAAAAAAGTATATCCTCTAAATTTTCATCTCCTTGATTTCTAGTGAAGTTAAAAAACTTTTTCTATTATTTAACTTTTAATTACATAACTAATACATAAATGAATTATCCTTGTAAAAAAAAAAAAGTAAACATTATAGCTAGGCATGGTGGTACACTCCTGCAGTCCCAGCTACTCCAAAGGATGAGGTGGGAGGGCCCAAGAGTTCGACTCCAGTTTAGGGAACAAAACATTGTCTCTAAAAAATATATAAATAAAAATTTCAGATGTAAACATTATAGATAAAGCTAAATTCCTCTTGAATCTGTTCTTCCCATCATGGTTCCTCCCCTAACCCTGAATCCCAGAGGTAACTAACTAGTGTTATCGGTTTTATTTGTACCCTTACAGATACTTTTTTATTAATTTAAAATCTATATATAAAAAATAAAAGATTAAGCATCTTTTAGAAGTTGTTTTTCCAACAGTCCTTTTAGCATGAATAAAAAATCTAACCAAAAATAGTTTCCTTAAGGCCTAAGTTAGTGACATTTAAGCTGAGACCATCCCCGCTTAGTTAACCCCTCTGAGCCCTAGCTTCATATTGCCTGTAAAAAAACACTGCAGTGAAATACTGCCTCATAGAGTTGTTGTTAAGTTAAATGAGATAAAACATGTCAAAGTACGCGGCATACATCCAACAAATGTTAACTGTCTTTCCTTAACCTTTACAAGTTAAATCCAGGCAGTCGGTAAGGACCAGACACTGAGCCATTCCTAAAAGGATGAGATGAGGGACTCTACTCAGAAAAAAACAGAGTGTTGTCTTAAAGATTTTTTTTCATAAGTCCCCCAAAAGATGTAAATTTTCCTACAAAAATTCTGTTATGAAATATCCGAGCAGTCAAAAAAGGTACAGGTCATTTTTTTTTTTTGTAAGGTAGAAGAGAGGATTTAAGCATTGCTAGAGAAACAAACGTTCCATCCATCCTTCTCCCAGGCAGATGCTGGGAAGCTCACTACCCAGATATTCCCCCAAGGACCTCAGGCCTGCAGGAAAGAGTTGCTGCTTTAGGCAGGTAGTACCTCCAAACACAGGATATTATCTAACCTTTGGCCGTCACTGCAAGAGGCCACTGGGTTCCTGGGATTTGTGAAAATATAGCTGTCTCTTGGTATTTGAAGGGGATTGGTTCTAGGACCTCTCTAGAATACCAAAATCCCCAGATGCTCAAGTCTCTGATATAAAATTATATAGTAATTGCATACAACCTACACACATCCTCCTGTATACTTTAAATCACCTCTAAACTGTTTATAATACATAATACAATTAAGTGCTATGTAAATACAGTTGTCCCTCAGTATATGTGGGGAATTGGTTCCAGGACCAGACCAAATGGCTCCAAGCCTGGTCCTGGAACCAAAACCTGAGCATACTCAAACTCCACAGGCCCCATGGAACCCATGTGTATGAAAAAGTCTGCCCTCCTTGTAAGGTTTTCAATTCTTACTACTCAATTCTCGTTTGATTGAAAAATCTGCGTATAAGCTCACCCACACAATTCAAGGCCTTGTTGTTTAAGACTCACCTACAGTTGTTATACTGTTTTGTTTACAGAATAATTACAAGGAAAAAAACGCTACATGATCAGTACATGCACAATTTTTTCAAATATTTTATATCTGAAGTTGGTTGAATCCACAGATACAGAACCCACAGATAAGGAGGGCCAGCTGTACATCCTATTATCTCCACCTGGATCTTCCCAAAGGTTGAGGGCTAGGGCCCTAGTTCAAAGAGGTAGACCCCATCACAAAGGATCCTTAATCAAAGTTAAACTGTCCAGGGGCCTGAATATCTTCCTCTGAATGGGAATCACCCAAGTTTCAACAAGCTCTTTTTGTTGGAACCACTAACAGCAGCATTATTTTATCTGAACCAATAACCAGGGCTCCTTCTTACCAAGGATCAAGAGTACTAAAACTGTATCAAGGAGTTCCTGCAGTAGAGTTTCCTCACCCAGCTATCACTTCCCATTCCTCCAGGCTGGCAGCCAGGGCTTCCTCAGCAAATCCAAAAATGGTCTTTAAAACTCCCAAAATACTACATGTGTTCATACATAGATGGGAGGGGGAGAGGGGAAATAGGGACCACAGGTTTAACTGGATTTCCAAAGGAATCTGTTACCCAAAAGATTGAGAACTACTGTTGACAGATCTCTCAAACATATTCCCAACTTATAAAAACTTTTACTCTGGCTTGAGTAACTGACCAGGGGGTGAGTGTAGTATGTACATCCCAAACTGCCACTTGATGAGTTTTAGGGTAGAGCCCACAGTACAGAGGAATCAGGTATTAAACCAACAGGCAGAGGTAATAAAAAGAGGTCCACCTCTTTCCTAAAGGTGTGCTAGGAAATGGGAAAACCAAGAAAGCACCACACACCATGGCTCTGTCTTCCCTTTTACTGCTCTTGAAGCTTCATCCTCAATTGGTACACAGGACAAAGGAGGTACAGATAAGTGGAAGGCAAATCTCAGTAGGGGTGCCAATCACATTTTGGGCAGGATCCTTCTTCATTGTGTGGGACTCACCAAAACATGACCCAAACACAGAGGGATGTTTAACAGCCTTGGCTCTCAGCTAGAAAGCCTAGCACTCCCAGTCAGTATGATAATCAAAACATCCTCAAGTGCTTCCAAAAACTCCCTCCTGGGACAATACCTCCCTCAGTTGAAAGCTACTTTAAATTATGGAATTCTGAGACGAGATAAAGTGGGTAATGTATATACAATAAATATTTATTTTTAGCACCTTTATAGGTTACAAAGTGTTTTCACTATGTTGTCTCCTGTAAGCATCCTCAAAAACCTGTAGGATAGGTATTATCCTCACACGTGTCATAAAGGATGAAATTGACTCAGAAAAGTTACAGGATTTGCCTAAAGTCGTGCAGCTGAAAAAAAAAAAGACTATAAAGCTGGATCAGAACCTAAGTCTTCTGATTCCAAAACCAATGGTCTACTGCTTCCTCCCAGAACAAAATTTTTTTTAAGATTTCATGGGAAACACTAGGAGGATCTATTGACTGGCTCCCCAGCTTCTGTGTAAAAACAAGAACAGAAACTGCTCTAAGCTATAGGTAGTTTTTAAAACCAAATATCCATCTCCTAAAGTACCCAACGACCAGGCTCATGTCAACTTTCTTAGAGAGGCACCGTACAATTAAAAGAGGATTATGATATTCTCCATTCTGAATTTGAGTAGAAATGAGCAAACAGGGGAGAAACAAAGTACGTATCTTCCCTGTTGGTGTGTATAAGGGACCCAGAGGTAAGATCACCAGCCCCAACTCCAGTTTTGGCCATAACTCTGGGTGAGGGGGGATAAGGTGGTAAAAGAGATGGACGTGGGGGATAAGGATAAGAATTAAACCATCACTAATATACAAGAGCCTAAACTTGTCCTCTACTGGCAAAATCTGCCATGTAAATAATTCTGCTAGCCCCTCGTGGTTCTGGACATTATTGAGAACACCTTTCAAGGACCTAAAAATACTTTATAAACTAAGAAGAGTATGCATAATAGTAAAGCTGCAGGAGGGGAGATACTGCTCCCCACCCCCAAAAAAAAAAAACACCCTATCCATGTCCTCCCCTACCCAACACACAAACCCCAACCCACAACTTTGTTGTGAGGTGATGGAAGACAGAAAGCGTAAGAGAACCTGGAAAGAGGAAGATTCTAAAAGAGGAAAAGAGAAGTAGAGAGGAAAGTGGGAGGCAAAGACAACAAGAGTATCTCCAGGACACAGAGGGAGCTTGACATTTCTACACCTTTCCTGGGGGACTGACTCACTCTCCATGTGAAAGGAAAACAAGATACAAAGACATAACTTTGCCCAGAGAGGCAAAAGAGAGAGACTGGAAATGGAATGCAGGAATTCTAGCTGCCCAGCTCAGTTCTATTCTGGAATCCACTTCACTTCTCTATGAATGACAATCTTAAATCCCTGAAGTTCTCACCTGCTGCTATTCAGAAGTACCCAGCAAGAAGCAGGAGAGGAGGAGCCTGTGTGCTGACAGGACCGTCCCCTCCTCTATCTTCAAAGAAAAAGGTCCTCCCCTTCTTTAAAGTCATTTCCGAACCGCGATGAACCCCTAGCCTTTCCCTGGCTCTGCTATTGCTCAGCTCAGACGTGGGAGAAATGTTTCCCCAGAATGGAAGAGACTGGTCTGGAGACGTGGGAGAAATGTTTCCCCAGAATGGAAGTGACTGGTCTGGCAGACCAGATGACACGCTGACTTCAGGCAGCCAACACTGCTGTCCCATGGGCTTACTACAGTCACTTCTGGGGCACATACTTTGGTGTTGACCACAGAACCAGGACCCCGGCTCTGCCCAGCCTCCCCAAGCAACCTCAGGGGCAGGGGAGGATCTGTGGTCTCATTTCCTCTCCACTTTGGCTTCTTTTTTCACTTCACTGAAGATTAGTTATTTCCACCAAGACCAGTTCCTGTTCTCACCAGCTGTAGCAGTTGTTTCCCCACAGACAGAATTAGGAAGCACTGGTGTGGCTGCCACCTGGACTGTCCCAGCTGCAGAACACAGACCCAATGAGTCCTGAGAAAGGGCTTTTTCATCCCAGATAAAGTAGCAGGAAGAAAGTAACGGGCAGGAAGCAATTCCAAGAACTCCACAGTGGATACAATGGCATCCATTTTATTATTTTAACCTTACATAACAGTTACATATGCTTTTATACGTGAAAAATATTTTATAATGAAAAACTATACGAAATGTATACATTTATTACATAGACATATGTATATAATAAATCCCCAACAGAGAGCAAAGAACGCAAATAAAAGATGGCCAAAACACTTAAAATGAAATGTTCAGAGAACTGCAAAGTAAAACAAGATACCATGTCTAATTAATCAAACTGGCAAAGGCTTTAAAAACATTAATTCACTCAGTAACGGTTAGCTTACAGAGAAAGGTAGACACATATACTATCAGTGGAAAAGGTAACTGATAAAACTTTTTCAGAAGATATATGTCTCAAACGCCTTTAAAAACCATATACCCTTTGGCCCAATAATTCCACTTCTAGCAATTTATCCTAAGGAAATAATCAGAGATGGACACAAATATTTATGCACAGGATGTTCAACACAGTGTTATTTGTAACAGCAAAAAAAAGATTTTAGGCTGGGCGTGGTGCTCACGCCTGTAATCCCAGCACTTTGGGAGGCCGAGGCAGGTGGATCACGAGGTCAGGAGATTGAGACCATCCTGGCTAACATGGTGAAACCCCATCTCTACTAAAAACACAAAAAATTAGCCAGGCGTGGTGGCGGGCGCCTGTAGTCCCAGCTACTCGGGAAGCTAAGGCAGAAGAATGGTGTGAACCCGGGAGGCAGAGCTTGTAGTGAGCCGAGATCGAGCCACTGCACTCCAGCCTGGGCGACAGAGTGAGAATCCGTCTCAAAAAAAAAAAAAAAAAAAGAGATTTTAAAAGGGTAAGATACGCTGGACGCAGTGGCTCATGCCTATAATCCCAAAACTTTGGGAGGCCGAGGCAGGTGGGTCGCGTGAGGTCAGGAGTTTGAGATCAGCCTGGCCAACGTGGCAAAAACCCATCTCTAATGAAACTACAAAAATTAGCCAGGCATGGTGGCATGCACCTGTAATCCCAGTTACTCAGGAGGTTGAGGCAGAAGAATTGCTTGAACCCAGGAAGCAGAGGTTACAGTGAGCCGAGATCGCACCATTGCACTCCAACCTGGGCGACACAGCAAGACTCCACCTCAAAAAAAAAAAAAAAAAAAAAGGCAACATAAGGCAGTGATAAAATATTATAGAGTACTATGCAGTAATGAAATCATGATACTGGGCCGGGCGCAGTGGCTCACACCTGTAATCCCAGCACTTTGGGAGGCCGAGGTGGGTAGATCTAAGGTCAGAAGTTTGAGACCAGCCTGGCCAACATGGTGAAACCCCATCTCTACTAAAAATACAAAAAAATTAGCCAGGCGTGGTGGTGGGCGTCTGTAATCCCAGCTACTTGGGAGGCTGAGGCAGGAGAATTGCTTGAACCCAGGAGATGGAGGTTGCAGTGAGCCGAGATCGGGCCATTGCACTCCAGCCCGGGCAACAGAGTGAGACTCCATCTCAAAAAAAAAAAAAAAAAGAAATAATGATACTGAATAATATATAAGCAAATGAGAAAATGCTTAAAATAGTAAATGAACAAATCAGTTTACAAAACAATATACACAGTATGATCCCAATTGTTAAAAAATATATATACACGTACATCAAAGTGTTAATAGTAGATGGTGAGATTATAGGTTTTATTATCTTCTTTACACTTTTCAGTAAGTTCCAAATTTACCTAATAAATATTTATTATTTTCATAATCAGGAGAAAAGAAGCTATTCTCAATCCTCTTCCATCCTTTTAAAAACCTTCTCATACATTATTCCCTCTTTTAAAAACCATTTGGAAACAAAAACAGTTATATCCTACAATCTAGCAAGTTCTATTTTGAGTTTCTATCCCAAGGAAAACTCTAAATATTGAAAATACTTTGTACACCAAGATGTTCATCACAGCATTGTTTATGATGACAAACAGAAGCAAAAAACCTAAATATCTAAGAAAAGGT
The DNA here is from genome assembly GCF_000001405.40 of Homo sapiens. Classification (NCBI taxonomy): domain Eukaryota; kingdom Metazoa; phylum Chordata; class Mammalia; order Primates; family Hominidae; genus Homo; species Homo sapiens. Next base: position 49,701,574 of record NC_000012.12, read on the forward strand.
GTATGGGTAAGCAAACAAAGGTACCTTCACTTGATGGACCATCGTACAAGCATTTAAATGTTTACAGGCCAGGCTTGGTGGCTCTTGCCTGTAATCCCAGCACTTTGGGAGGCCGAGGTGGGCAGATCACTTGAGGCCAGGGGTTCGAGACCAGCCTGGCCAACACATGGTGAAACCCCGTCTCTACTAAAAACACAAAAATTAGCCAGGCGTGGTGGCAGGCGCCTGTCATCCCAGCTATTTGGGAGGCGAGGCAGGAGAATCGCTTGAACCCAGGAGGCAGAGGTTGCAGTGAGCAGAGATTGTACCACTGCATTCCAGCCTGGGTGACAGAGTAAGACTGTCTCAAAAACAAAAACAAACCACTTACAATTACTAGCCTGGGAAAACTAATGAAATAACAAAAGCAAAAAACAAACAAAAAAACTGGATAAAAAACATATATACTGGCAGGGCATGGTGGCTCATGCCTAAAATCCCAATACTTTGGGTGACTGAGGTGGGAGAATCACTTGAGCCTAGGAGTTTGAAACCAATGTGGGCAACAAAGCAAGACCCCATCTCTACAAAAAATGAAAAAATTAGCCAGGCATGGTGGCGCACGCCTGTGGTCTAGCTACTCAGGAGGCTGAGGCAGGAGGATCACTCAAGCCTGGGAGTTCAAAGCTGCAGTGAGGTGCAGTGAGCCATGATCATGTCACTGCACTCCACCATGGGTGACAGAGCGAGACTCTGTCTTAAATAAATAAATCAAATATCAAAACATTGTATAAAACTCTATGCAGAGAAAAAAATATAAAGGTTTTAAAGCACATCAGCTGCATTTGGTAAAGGAACTAAGAAAATATTTGCATTTGGTAAAGAAACTAGAGAAAATATGGATGTTTTTCTTTAACCTAAATCTTTAGTCTTTTCTTCTTTCTGAATTGTCCCATACTTTCTTTAGAGAATAAGTATTACTTTAAGAGGAAAACAAAACAAAACAAAACAAAAAAACGCTGAATCTCCCTCTGGGCAATGAAAACATTCCCAAATGACAGAGTCCACTCCATCAGTCCCTTCCCCACCACACACAGGCTTCCCCCAGACTAAGGCAGGGTCATATCAGAAGGTCAAGGGAATAAGACTCCTCTCTGTGGTCTAGGGTCTTCTCTGTGGGGTCTCTGAACAAGAAGAAGGTTCCTCTGACCAGCTGCTGTGAAAGGCCCTTTCCCTGCCCCCTCCCAAGTTCTATTCTAGCCTGAACTAATTCACCACAATCCTGAGGGCTGGGAAAAAAATTTCCACCATGGTGATTTGGAACCTGATATTTAGTCCAAGTTTTTCCCAGCCCATTTCTGTGTCAAAGGAGGCCCCTCAAAGCCTCTTAGACAACTAGCACCCAGGCCAGCTTAGCTCCCACATCAATGCTACACTTACAGAAAAACCCCCAAGTTGTCAGTCATCACCAGGGAAATGTGAGAGGAGAAACTGCAGCAGGGATAGCTCCTGTCACACAACCCTACCCTTATGCCCTGAAAGCCTCCTCCTAAGGGATATACAGGGCTTTTTCTGGCATCAGAACTTTTAGACTCCATGTCAAGTCTGTAGTAAATCAACAAAGAGAAAAATCAGAGTACAATCACAACAAAGACAGACAGCTATCCTTTCAAAGACCTTAGAGCCCTCTGCCTCCCCTCTCTATGGAAAGTCCAGTACTGGCCAGAATACTAGCTTCTGAGCAACTGAGTTTGGGTAGTAATCTAGTTTGGACCAAAACACACTGGGACTGTATCAGACCAGAGATTGGCTCTCATTCTGGTATTCATAAAGAGGAGCTCCATTAATTGCCCCAACCCCAAACTTCTCAATACCCAACAGAATGGGAAGTGCTACTCAGATAGGGGGTAAGGAAGGATGCCAAGAAGCAGTGTAACACAGCAGCTTCACAACCTTTTTCCCATCGAGGCACACCTAGAAAATATTACTGTTTCTACAGTACATGGGGTAGAAGCTGATCCCATCCAGAGGGGACTGACTGGGAACTTTAGCTGCCCCTAGGAATAAGGGGATCAGTATTCCAGCACATCTGTGATCCATCTGCAGCACACTAGTAGGGAAGCCCTGAATTAAGGCACTGGGCTGGGTTAGGATTCTTGGAATCAATGTTCTCATCAAATCTTCTCATAGCCCTCATCTCAAGCTCTTCAACTTTGGCTGACAGATCATGTGTCTAGAACAGAAGGCTGGGAGCCTGTGGTCTTGACTCAGCACTGATACAACTTCCCCAGCGAGGATACTCTTCAGGGGGTTTTCCACAGACACACTTGGGGCTAAGGAAGCCCTCCAGCTTACAGCAGCAGCCATATTCCGAGACTGGATATACACAACAGGGTAATTGGTTTTATCAGATTTCTAAACTTTAAAACCCCTTTTTCGGAACACAAGTGATCTCAGATCTGAGTCACTGCTGAGAGGTACAAACTTAAAAGCTACCATTTACTAAGCATATAGTAGATGCCAGACTCTGCTAAGTATTTGACTTCCAATTTCATTAAATCCACACAACAACCTCATGTGGCAAATGCTATTATTATCCCCATGTATAAGAGAAGACTGGGAATCAGATTAAGTAACTTGCTTGAGGTCAAACACTCTTCTAACCAAAGACTATGGATGAAACAGTTGAATCCACTCTGACTTCAAAGTCCATAAGCTTAACCAGGACACCACTATGTCACCTCAACAAACCTCCCAAATAGCTTTTTCAAAAAACCTAACCAATTATAATGAAGCTGACAATCTAGGAAAGAAAAAGGTGAGAAAGGAACAGTTTATCTGACTGTTTCACACCATCAACAAAAATAAGCTAATCTGGCCAGGCACAGTGGCTCATGCCTGTAATCCCAGCACTTTGGGAGGCCAAGGCGGGTGGATCACCTGAGGTCAGGAGTTCGAGACCAGCCTGGCCAACATGGCGAAACCCCATCTCTACTAAAAACACAAAAATTAGCCAGGCTTAGTGGCACGCGCCTGTAATCCCAGCTACTGGGGAGGCTGAAGCAGGAGAACTGCTTGAACCCGGGAGGCTGAGTTTGCAGTGAGCTGAGATCGTGCTGCCGCACTCCAGCCTGGATGACAGAGCCAAACTCCATCTCAAAAAAAAAAAAAAAAAAAAAAAAAAGAAGCTAATCTATAATCTATATTGAGTACTTACTGGGTGCCAAGCACCTTATATACAGGGGCTCACCTAATTCTCACAATCTCACCAGAACAGGATTACCTCCATTTTACAGATGAGGAAGAAGTCTAGGCTCAGAGAAGTTAAGATACTTGCTAAGCCAGAGTCCTTGATTTTTCTACTACACTATGCTTCTCCTGACTGTTCAGGAAATACCCCTAAGCCTGTACCTGGGTCAAACACCTGACTCAGTCAGTACTGTTCCCAAAGCATGGTAGAAAGGGTACCTTTCAGAACAGTGGACACAGGGACACTTAAGAGCCCCCAGAGAAGAACTCAAATCCCCAAGAAGGGATGATTTCCCTGTATTGGAAAACTGAGGTGAAATCCCGTCTCCTGAGACAACTAACTAGCTCTGGCCTGCCCTGTTCCAACCCTTCATCAGCAGCAGCTCAGGCACACAGAAACAAGACCAAAACAAAAGGCATGAGGAAACAAATCAAAATTTTATACAGAAAGGAAGGCATGCAAGTGGGTGGTCCAGTCCCCCATTTGACCTGGGTTCTCCTGGTGCTCTGGTGTCCTGGTTAACTAGGACATCACGTGCATTTTGTGAATATTAAGCCATTAGTTTGCTAACTAAACGAAATGGTCAACCAAGGGCCAATGAGAACATGATGGATTCTGGTTCTGAGCTCTCACAAAAAATGGCCTGGCAGCTCCCACCTAAGGCAGCCTCCCACCCAATCCACCTCACCCCATCCCTTTCTCCCCAGTTTCTATAGCTAACTTGTGTCAGCTTGCTGGGGATTTTCACACCCCCACCAGAGTGCAGATCCCCTCCCACTCTTTTCCCCAACAGTTGGGCTCTTGTTCTCAAGGCCACTAAGTCCCAGTCTCTCCTCCTCAGCCTGTGAGATGGTCACAGCACATTGGTAATCACTGACTCACCCGATCCCCCGAGGAGGCTGGGGGAAATGCAGAGGGCCACAGGATGTATGGCCCACATCCCTTTGGCCCTTCGCAGAGCTGGCGGGCAGAGAGGTGCCAGCGACACCACTTCCCCTTGGAACACTGTGGACCCTCTTTGAGCCAGCTCTGGTGCCAGTGGGCTGATGTCAGATTCTCTACCATCGGAGAGGCCAAGATCTCTAGACAGCTCCACTGTTGCCAACAGATCTAATCTCCTTATTCCAAGGCAGATGAAATCCAATAAGGCTGCTAAGTCCACAACTTATCCCTCCTGATGGGCAGAGGCAAAGGCAGAGTCGGCCATACCAACAATAACGCCAGAATTATTACTGCTTCTTAGAAAACTCTTTGGGGAAGTGAGAACTATTTCCCCAAATTTCTCAAAGATTAACCCCGGTTTACCAATGTTTTCGCTCTGCAAAACTTCATTTTCAGCGCAAACATATTTTCTGGCTCCTTCCCGGTGATACCAGCTCAGAACCTCTCGCTTCATAGAGCCACTGACATCAATGTCCAATTCCCACACCAAAGAAGAATCCCAAAGTCAGCTCTAAAAACCCATTTATACAGACCGTTTGAAACCCACAGAAAGACTAAAAAGCACAGGCTAAACAACACAAACCAGTCACTATGGCTTAACGTGAAAAGGGGGGGAGGAGGCGGGATGGTTTGTGTATTGTTTCACTTGGAGAAATACCCCAGTGAAATGGTTTATCCACATGTTCAGCCTTTCAGGCAAATCCACTCTAACTTAGCAGGATGCCTGCAGGCCGTTCTGAAAATAAGCAGAATGGCATACTCTTTATTCCACCCCCTTCAGGAGCTGCCAGCCGCCTCCCCATCCCCCTCTCCCCCCAAACATCTGGTCTGGGCTGGGAGTGGGACCCACTCCCTGGGAAGCCTCCATGTTCGCAGGAGAGGCGGTGTCCCCACTCAGGGAAGCCTGCTGAGGAGCGAGCCGGCCGCGCTTCTGAATTCCCCCCACCCGCGAGAGGCTCCGGGCTGAGAATGCTAGGGACGGGGAGCCTGGCGAAGAAGCGGGGAAACGGGAAAAGGGCAGCAGAAGGGGGAGGAAGAAGGAGGGAGAAGCCTGGTTCCTAGGACGGTCCCGAACTGGGGACTTCTCCTAAGGGTCCAGCGGTGGAGGCGTCGGTCCCGAGATCCCCGACGGGGCTGTCCGGGCCGGCCAGCGGCTGCTCAGAGGTTCCTGGGAAGACACTGGAGGCCGGGATCCGTTCGGGACCCCGACTGAAAGGGTGGGCGGGACGGGGGCCCAGCACAAAGTCCCAGCCCGGGCGTCGGGACCTGAGGGGCGGTACGCGGGGGAAGGGGCTGGGCTCAGCTCTCACCAGCACCAGGGCGAACCTTTCCTCCAGCTCACAGGGCTCAGGCATCGGCATCTTGCCGGGCGGCAGCAACAACGGGACAGAGGGGGGCTCTCCCGGGACCCCCTCGGCGCTCTCCAGGTTGCCCATCGCGGCGGGGCCCCCTCAGGGGCCTCGGCCCCCCACCTCCACGCTCCGGAGCTTTCGGCTCCGCGGCTCCGACCAGGCTCCTCCCTCAGCGCCGGCTCCCCGAGTCCCGACTCCTCGGCCCCGTCGAGGGCGCCGGGGGTTCCCTGGAGTCCCGCTGGCGGGGGCGCGCGGCGAGGGCGGAGGCAGCGTAGCGGACAGCCGCACCGAAGCAAGGCGGACGGAGGCGGCCGGCTCTTGCTCACACCCGCCGCCTCGCCGCGCTCGGCGCGCCGCCCGGGCGCTGCCCCTCCCCGCCCCCCGCGCTCTTTCCCTTCCCCCGCCAACCTCGCTTCCTCCCACCCACACCCGGCCGAGACTCGGGCTTCCCCCGCGAGCGCCGACTGCAGCCCGCGCGACGCGCGCCCCATTCATGCAGGCCCCGCCTCCCGCCCAGAGGCCTCACAGGCGGCCCGGCCCGCCCCACCTGCGCCCGATTGACGGCCGCGTCTGCCAATCACAGCGCCTCCCGCCCTTGACGGCCTCGTGCCGGGCGCCGAGCGCTCCCTGGCGGCCTCAGCCGGCATCGAATCACCGCGGTTCCCAGAGGGCGTGAGGGGCTGGCGTGGACACACCGGGAATGGACCGTACCCTTTTTCAAAAGGAACTCATGATGTATACAAGTAAGTAAAATATTATACAAGGCATGGCGTACAAAACTAACTACAAGAGAAGTAGAAACAAGCAGGATACTCAGAAGAGGGAGAGAGATAGTACCTGTTAAGAGTCGGGGTGAGGGAGATCATAGTTGGACCAGGCATTGAGGGATGAGGAAGCCCTTACCCGACAGAGGCAGGGGAAAAAACGTTTGGGAGGAGAGAAGCTTAACCATCTGGCTGCGTGTGAAAATGGAGAGGCGGGAGAAGAACGCTGTTCTGGGCTCAGTCGGCGGCTGGGTCGTTGACATTTGCGGTGGAAATTTGTTGTCTAGCCGCCATCTTCTTCCAGTGAGAGCACCCCCTTTTCTTTTAGGAAACCACCTCTCCCCTCTTCTCAGTCTAAATGGAGCTGAATTTTATCCCCAGTTCCAAAGGACCGCATGACCCAGGCCCAGTCAGTCACAACATTTTCCTCCTCTACCCATGGACACTGTTTTAGGGATTGTCACTTGACCCAAGCCCAGACAATATGATATATCCAAGGCTTTCTCTGAAACAATCAGGAAAGAGGCACTCACTCTCTCTCCATTTAGGCTGCAAAATTATTAGAATGTAAACCTGCAGCCGCTGGTGGCCGTCTTATCATCACCTGTAACACATCAAGCCTGCTTGAGAATGAAGCCAGCGCAGAGGAGAGAAAAGCTATGAGACAGGACAAAATTCTAATGACATGCCAAGAACCTGGATCTAACCATGCCTGAAGTTATCACCTAGATTTTTAATTCATTTATTCAACAAATATTTATTTTAGAAAGTTTATTCTATGCCAGATACTATTCTGGGCATTGAAGGTACATCTGCGAACAAACAGGATATACATTGTGTCCTCTTGGAATTCACAATCTGTGTAGAAGGAAAGGTAGACAATAAACTAGACGAGTAAAATGTATAGATGTTAGTGATCAGTGTTAATAAAAATAAAACTGAAAGGTGATAGAGATGGAAGAGGCATTAAGATTTTAAATAGAGTTGCTTACTTGGGAGGCTGAGGCAGGAGGATCAATTGAAACTAGGAGGTTGAGGCTGTAGTGAGCCATGTTCATGGCACTCCACTCTAGCCTGGGTGACAGGGTGAGGCTCTGTCTCAATAAATAAATAAACACAGCTGTTGCTTGTCACAGGCATGATGGCTTCAAGGTTAATTTTCAGAGCTGGAGCGCTAGCCGCATAGGCCTGAGGGCTTACAGTCCCAATGGGGTGGTTGCAGTGTGCTTCATGGCATCTGGAGGTGGCGTTCCTACTGATGACAAGCAGATGACTGGGCTGGAGAGGGAGTTCATGACAGCCATGTATGAGATTGGACCCATACAATATATTACCCCCAAAGGCAGCTTCAGGCACCAGGGAAGACCCTAACAGCTCCCTCCATCACCAAGATAATAGTGAGCTGCATCGGTGAAGAGGACAACAGTGCTGTCAACTGGTTCTGGCTGCACAAAGGCGAGACCCAGTGATGCTCTAACTATGAACCCATTACAAGCTGATGTCCCACAAGTTGGCCCAGTGAGCCCTGGCACTAATTGCTCAAAATGTGCTGTAAAGTATCTTCTCTCCAATAAAGACTAGTCATTGCATTGGCTCCTTCTTCCCCTCCCTCATAATAAATATTTTAAATAGGATGATCAAGGAAGGACTCACTAATAAGATAGCATTTGGATAAAGATCTGAAGGATGCAAGGAAATAAGCTATGTGGCTATCTAGGGAAGAATTATCCAGACAAAGGGAATGGCAAGTGCATACTATCTCTGATGTATTAGAAGAACAGCAAAGATGCCAGTGTAGCTGGAGTGCAATGAGCAAGGAAAAGGGTAGTGAAAGATGAAGTCAGAAAGGTAACCAGAAGCCATATATTGTGTAGGATATTGTAGGCTATTGTGTGAGGACTTCGGTTTTCTCTAAGTAGGATAGGTAGCCATTGGAGGATTTTGAGTAGAGGAGTGGTATGATCTAACATGTTTTGTAACAGGGATCACTCTGGCTCTTGCATTGAAAACAAACCAATAGAAGTATGGACAGGGAGACTAGTTAGCAGGCTAGTGCAATCATTTGGGTGAGAGATGGTTTGAACCAGGGTGGTAACTGTACCGGTGGAAAGAAATGGTCAGATTCCTTATTAAAGACTTGAAAGTAAAGCTGATGGAATTTCCTGATAGTTTGAATGTGGAGGGTGAATGAAAGATAACTGCAAAGTATTTGACTTGAGCAACAAAGATGGTGGAGTTTTCACTAATTGAAATGGGGGAAGTGATAGGAGGAGTAGGTTTGGTGAGGGGGAACTGGAAAGGGAAGGTCAGGAACAAGTTTGGGCCATGTTGAGTTTGATTTGCCCTTTGGACATCCAAGTAAAGATATCCACTAAGCAATTGGATATAAATGAGTTTGCTCTTCAGACTCATATATGTCTTATTGCGATTGCACCCCGCTGGGACTGCAAGCCCTCAAAGCCTTCATGGCCAGCGTTCCAGCTGTGCAAAGTAACCTTGAAGCCATCATGCCTGCGACAAGCAGCAGCTCTACTTATTAATTTATGCAATTTGGCAATGTAAATTTGGAAATCATCGTCATATAGATGCTATTAAAGCTAGTAAATTCTTTTTCTTTTTTATTTTATTTTTTTATTTTATTTATTTATTTTTTTTGAGACGAAGTCTCACTCTGTCGCCCAGGCTGGAGTACAGTGGTGTGATCTCAGCTCACTGCAAGCTCCGCCTCCCAGGTTCACGCCATTCTCCTGCCTCAGCTTCCTGAGTAGCTGGGACTACAGGCGCCTGCTACCACGCCTGGCTAATTTTTTTGTATTTTGAGTAGAGATGGGGTTTCACTGTGTTAGCCAGGATGGTCTCGATCTCCTGACCTCGTGATCTGCCCGCCTCAGCCTCCCAAAGTGCTGGGATTACAGTCGTGAGCCACCGCGCCTAGCCAAAAGCTAGTAAATTCTTTTTCTAACTCACTATGCATTGGGTTCCTGTTGTTTACAACCAAGAGGTAGAGTCCCTGTCTTTCCAAACCATTGAAACCCTTTCCTGTGAAGCTCAGCCTCTTCTAATCAGTGAACAAATTAATCAGTTCACATCTTATCCCCTTTCTTCATCTCCACTTCTTACCCTAAATACGTGCCTTCCCAACTGCTGTGGCAGACTCTTCTAAGCAGAGGGGTTATAACAAGACTGTAGACTTCCACTAGACAAAAGTTGAGAATTCAAGAAGGGAAATAATTCACCATTTATCATGGATGCACAAGGAACATCTAGCAAAAAGAAGAAACTCGATAGGACAGTGAACAGCAGTGTATTCACCTTTTGTGTGGTTTCTTAGTCCCTAACCTTTTAATTCTGTTTTTGCTTGCCTCAAGCATAACCACCAGATTTATATACTCTAGGGTCTTTGGGGATCTGCTAGATTACTTCTTTCATTGTTAACTGCCTGCTCACCCACCTTTAAATGCTTACTTTCTGTAGGATAAAACTAAAACTCCTTATTCTGATATTCGAGGGTCTATCTCTAAACGCTAATGTCTTCTAATCAAATCAACCCTTTGCTTCAGCTGGAAAGGTCCATCTCCAAACATTAGTTGCTCATTCTTATGTCTGGCTTTGCTCTTTGTGGTAGACAGAATAATGGCTCCCAAAGTATCCATGTCCTAATCCCCAGAACCCGTGTATATGTTATCTTACATGGCAAAAGGGACTTTGCAGATGTGATTAAGTTACAGATCTAGAGATGAGAAGACTCTCCAGGTGATCTCAATGTGATGACAACGGTCCTTATAAGAGGAAAGGCCAAAATGAGGGAGGGAGATGTGATGACAGAAGCAGGAGTCAGGGTGAGGTGGAGCCATGAGCCAAGGAATGCAGTAGCTTCTAGAAACTGAAAAAAGTCAAGGAAACAGATTCTCCCCTCAATCCTCTATAAGGAACATGGCCCTGTCAACACTTTAATTTGAGCTCTGTTAGACCTAATTTCAGACTTCTGATCTCTAGAACTATAAAATCATAAATCTGTGTTGTTCTTAGCCACCGTTTGTGATAATTTGTTAGAGAACCAACAGGAAACTAACACATTCCTGCTGCGTCCCTGATCTGGATTTCTTCTTCCTTCTACTCCATCTATCCAAATCCCACCCAGGCTTAATACAATCTTTAGGTTTATTGGGTGCTTATGTGCAAAACATCTGACTAGATGCCGGTAGATAAAGAAAGAATGCAAGATGAAAAGGTGAACAAGAGACCTGCTGCCAACTTCAAAAGAGCTCCAAGTCTGGTGCAGGAGAGGCAAGGTAGAGCGGAGGAGTGTGGACCCAGTTTGAAGGAACCGTGTAAGATCATTGGTATTATATTGGTGGGTACCAAGTTTCATATCCCATCCTGGAGTTTTCTCAAATTCAAATGATCATGACTCTTGTTTTCTCTACTTTTCATTTGGAACTTGTAGATATGTAACTCTTGGTTCCTTTACTGCCTTGTGCTGTTTAATTTTTTTTTTTTTTTGACAGAGTCTCACTCTGTTGCCCAGGCTGGAGTACAGTGGTGCAATCTTGGCTCACTGCAACCTCCACCTCTGGGTTCAAGTGATTCTCCATCCTCAGCCTCCCGAGTAGCTGGGATTACAGGTGTGCACCACCACATCCAGCTAATTTTTGTATTTTTAGTAGAGACTGGATTTCACCATGTTGGCCAGGCTGATCTCCAACTCCTGACCTTCGGTGATCCACCTGCATAGGCCTCCCAAAGCTGTTTAATTTTTTGTCTATGTCTTGTCTGGTCTGTGGAGCTTATTTGTTTATTTAAAAGTATATATATCCAGTCCTCTTTTATTTCAGGTACTAAGGAAGATCCAGATATGAATAGGTGTCTTTCTTCCCTGTGCTCACAATAGGGCTAGTAGGAATCTAAAAGCCTCTCAAACTAATGTTTACAAAACAGTATGGTAAGTGTTGTCATAGAGGGTCATGCCAAGTGCTATTGAGAGAACTGGGGAGTGGATGACACTGGAGCCAGCGCTTAAGGGCGAATAGATGTGCCAAATGGAAAAGAGAGAACAGTGTGATTAGAAGGTGATGGAAGGATGATCAGGAAGGAGAAAAGGCATTCCAGAAGGGGGAACAATACAGGTGAAAATGGATTGTTTGAGCAATAGTAAGAAATTCAGTGAGGCTGAAGAGTAGGGTGTATAGCAGGAAGAGAGGAGATAAATCTAGAAAGACAGGTCAAATCAAGTTCAAAAAGAGCCTTGTGCTAAGCTAAGAAGTTTGTCCCTTTTTTTTTTTTTTTTTTTTTTTTGAGACAGGGTCTTACTCTGTCACCCAGGCTGGAGTGCAGTGGTGCGATCTCTGCTCACTGCAACCTCAACCTCCTAGCTCAAGTGATCCTCTCATCTCAGCTTTCCTAGTACCTGTGGCTACAGGTGTGTGCCATCATGCCCAGCTAATTTTTGTATTTTTTTGTAGAGATGGGGTTTTGCCATGTTGCCCAAGCTGGTCTCAAGCTCCTGGGCTCAGATGATCTTCCTGCCTCAGCCTCCCAAAGTGTTGGGATTATAGGCACAAGCCACCATGCCCGGTTGAGTTTGTCCTTTATTATGTAGATAGTAGCATGTCCTAGACAATTTTTAAGTAAGCTCTATGGAAAAATTCCTTTAGGAGCATTTGAAAATATAGAGGGTCTACAGAAACGACATAGGGAAGATAGAAGCCTGAACCAAATCAGAGCAGGGGGATGAACAGAAGTAAATTTGGCGAAGGAGATATACCTGAGATACAATCAACCAGACTTCATTGCTTATTACATAATAATACTGACTGGTGGGGCTGGGTACGGTGGCTCACGCCTGTAATCCCAGCACTTTGAGAGGCCGAGGCAGGCAGATTGCTTGAGGCCAGGAGTTCAAGACCAGACTGGCCAACATGCTGAAACTCCGTCTTTACTAAAAATAAAAAAATTAGCCAGGTATGGTGGCGCACACCTGTAATCCCAGCTACTTGGGAGGCTGTGGCAAAAGACTCGCTTGAACCCAAGAGGGGAAGGTTGCAGTGAGCTGGGATTGCACCATTGCACTCCAGCCTGCGCAACAGGCTGTGGCAGGAGACTCGCTTGAACCCAAGAGGGGAAGGTTGCAGTGAGCTGCGATTGCGCCATTGCATTCCAGCCTGTGCAACAGAGTGTCTACTATAAAGACACATGCACATGTATGTTTATTGTGTGCACACTGATCATTTGCAATAGCAAAGACTTGGAACCAACCCAAATGCCCATCAATGATAAACTGTATAAGGAAAATGTGGCACATATACACCATGGAATACTATACAGCCATAAAAAAGATGAGTTCATGTCCTTTGCAGGGACATGGATGAAGCTGGAAACCATCATTCTCAGCAAACTAGTACAAGAACAGAAAACCAAACACCACATGTTCTCACTCATAAGTGGGAGTTGAACAATGAGAACACCTGGACACAGGGAGGGGAACATCACACACCGGGGCCTGTTGGTGGGTGGGGGGCTAGGGGAGGGATAGCCTTAGGAGAAATACCTAATGTAGATGACAAGTTGATGGATGCAGCCAACCACCATGGCACGTGCACTTGTGTGACAAACCTGCACATTCTGCACACGTACCCCAGAACTTAAAGTATAATTTTAAAAAAATAGTGACTGGTATTATTATAGTGTTTTACAATTTTCAATATTTTTTCACATCCATTACCTACTTAGATCTTTACAACACTATACGAGGGAGATATTATCATTATCCTTGTCTTATAGATGAGAAGGCAGATTTTAAAAAGTGAAGTCGTATGAACAAGACCACCTAATGAGTAAGTGGTATCCCTGGCTCTGAACCCAGGCCTTGTTTCAGAATTCCATGCCATCTGATTCTCTAATGAGAAGTGAGGAAGTAAAGAAGACTGAAGAGTTTAGGCCAGCTTAAGGATGCCCTACCTTTATCCTCTAGGGAAGCTCTTAGGTCAACTGCTTCCCCCTCCTTACTGACAGCACTTTCAAACTCCAGCTTCCACCCCTGTCCTACCCATCGAAGAAGCTTCTACATTCTCCCTACCTCCTAGTCTAGCGCCTAGTCTTTAGAAACACACATCTCCTCACCCCATCTCTTTCCTAGGAAGGTGTGGGAGAAGTGTCAACACAGATATTTAAGAGTTTTACTTAATAATTTGCCCTGGCAAATTATTACAGGCGGTGGCTCACACCTGTAATCTCAGCACTTTGGGAGGCTGAGGAGGAAGGATGACTTGAGCATAGGAGTTTGAGACCACCGTGGGCAACATGGTGAAATCCCGTCTCTACAAAAAAATAACAAAAATGAGCTGGGCGTGGTGGCATGCGCCTGTGGTCCCAGCTACTTGAGAGGCTGAGGTGGGAGGATCACTTGAGCCTGGGAGGTCTAGGCTGCAGTGAGCCATGACTGCACTACTGCACTCCAGCGTGGGGGACAGCGTGAGATCCTGTCTCGAAAAATAGTAATGAAATAGTTTTCCCTGTTGCAGATAGAATGCTCTTCCCCTTCTTTGCTGGCCAATTCCTACTCATCTGTTAAAACCAAGCTTAGAGATTACCTCTTTGATGACATCTCTACCAAGTCTGATTGAGAACATCTCTGTGAGCACATAGTATTCTAACATCTCTATCATCATACCATGAAATCATCAGGTAATGTAAACTCCTTCAGGGAAGGTAGGTATTCCTGATGTCTAGCTATAGACCCACTCCATGTCTGTTACATGCTTGTTGAACAAATGAATGCCTTTCCACAGTCCCATTTTTCCCACATGATAGAAGATGTTTTTTGTTTTGTTTTGTTTTTGTTTGTTTGCTTTTTTGAGACAGAGTCACTCTGTGGTGCAGGCTGTAGTGCAGTGGCATGATCTCGGCTCACTGCAACCTCCACTTCCGGGGTTCAAGCGATTCTCATGCCTCAGCCTCCTGAGTAGCTGGAATTACAGGCACGCGCCACCATGCCTGGCTAATTTTTGTATTTGTTTTTAGTAGAGATGGGGTTTCGCGATGTTGGCCAGGCTGGTCTGAAACTCCTGGCCTCAAGTGAACCGCCCGCCTTGGCCTCCCAAAGTGCTGGGATTATAGGAATGAGCTACTGTGCCCAGCTGAACATGTTGGATTCTTTATCATTCCTCCCAGATACATCCTGACTGCCTGTATCACTCAGGATAGTTGGAGGGGATTCGGTGCAGAAAACAGAAACCCCTGCAACTATCTTAGGGATACAAAGAGTTAAGTGCTTACGAAATCCTTCAGAAAGTCTAGAGGAATGGCCGGGTGTGGTGGCTCACGCCTGTAATCCCAGCACTTTTGGGATGCCGAAGCAAGTGGATCACGAGGTCAAGAGATGGAGACCGTCCTGACCAACATGATGAAACCCTGTCTCTACTAAAAATACAAAAATTAGCTGGGTGTGGTGATGCACACCTGTAGTCCTAGCTACTTGGGAGGCTGAGGCAGGAGAACCGCTTGAAGCCGAGAGGCGGAGGTTTCAGTGAGCCGAGATCGCGCCACTGCACTCCAGCCTGGTGACAGAGCAAGACACAGTCTCAAAAAAAATAAAATAAAATAAAATAAAGTCTAGAGGAACTAGCTCTGGGTTGAAACTCCAAGAATAACCACCAGAACAAGGTAAGAGTGCTCCAACAGGGAAGCTGTTACCTCTACCACAGTCAGGGAGGGTGAAGCACCTGAAAGTCTCCACTAACTGGGTTTAAGAGTAAGTGGCTGCAGCTATGATCCAGCGAGCTGGCAGCTGTATCAGGACATTGCCACTGCTACACTCTGATGCAGCCACCTCTCAATATTTGCAAAGCTAGAGACCTCACAGTATCACTGCTATAGAAACATGACACATCTCTACAACCTTGCTTGGCCAGGAGAAATAGTCAAAGTAGCAGGGTGATTGGCCTTTTTCTCACTTCTGCATTCTACTATATATATTTTTTGAGACAGAGTCTCACTCACTCTGTCATCCAGGCTGGAGTGCAGTGGCACAATCACAGCTTACTACAGCTTCGAACTCCTGGGCTCAAGGGATCCTCCCATCTCAGCCTCCTAAGAAGCTGGGACTACAGACATGTACCACCACTCTGGCTAATTAAAAAAAAAAAAAAAAAAGGTTTGTAGATACAGGGTCCCACTGTATTGCTCAGGCTGGTTTCAAACTCCTGGGCTCAAGCAACCATCCTGCCTCAGCCTCCCAATGTACTAGAATTACAGGTATGAGCCCAGCCTCACTTCTGCATTCGAAATCTCACCCAAGTACATGTGATTGGATGTAAGGAATTCTGAGACATATAATCCTTAGCTTTTTAGCCTCTTCAGGAAAGTATGCTAAAAGGAGATGAAAATGGATGCTGAATGCTAATCAATCATCCATCACATTGCTTGTCTGAAAATCCACCCAATTGTCTTATCATCCACAACTGAGTCTCTTCCTTTACACCTACACCCCTTGCCCAGTACCTGCCCCTGTGGCTGGCTTAGTCTCTGATTCTTGCCCTTAGTCAGCTCCTTCAGGCTACGATTTGATCTTTTCTGCAACTTGGTTTAGGCAAAATGTCTTAGCTATGATTCCAGAAGCACAATCCATAAAAGAGCAATTGATATATTATACTCTATCAGAATTAAAAATTAATGCTCTTTGAAAACTACTGTTAGGAGAACTAAAAACAAATCACAAGCTAGGACTGGGAGGAAATATTGCAAATCACCTATCTGACAAAGGATTTGTATCCAGAGTATATAATGAACTCTCAACACCTGGCTGGGCGCAATGGCTTACGCCTGTAATCCCACCACTTTGGGAGGCTAAGGCAGGTGAATCACTTGAGGTCAGGAGTTCGAGACTAGCCTGGCCAACATGATGAAACCCCGTCTCTACTAAAAAATTCAAAAATTAGCTGGGAGTGGTGGTGCGTGCCTGTAATCCCAACTACTCAGGAGACTGAGGCAGGAGAATCACTTGAACCTGGGAAGTGGAGGTTGCAGTGAGCCGAGATTGCACCAATGCACTCCAACCTAGGTGACAGAGTGAGACTCCATCTCAAAAAAAAAAGAAAAAGAAAACAAACACCCAACTCAATAGCAACAGGTGTTAAGCAGCCTCTGCAAAAAAAAGAAAAGAAAAAGAAAAGGAAAAACAAACAGCTCAATTAAAAATAAGTTAAAAAAAAAAAAAACAACGGCCAGGCATAGTGGCTCATGCCTATAATCTTGACACTTTGGGAGGCCAAGGCTGGAGAATTGCTTGAGTTGCTTGAGTTGCTTAAGTCCAGGAGTTGAGGACCAGCCTGGGCAACAGTGGGATCCCATCTCTACAAAAAAATTAAAAATAAAGTTAGCCGGGTCCATGGCACACACCTGTAGTCCCAGCTACTTGGGAGGCTGAAGTGGGAGAATCACTTGAGACCAGAAGTTCAAGACTGCAGGGAGCCATGATTGCACCACTTCACTCTAGCCTGGGCAACAAAGTGAGACCCAGTCTCAAAAAATGATAGCGATTTTTCAAAAATTAAGAATAAAATAAAGGCCGGGTGTGGTGGCTCACGCCTGTAATCCCAGCACTTTGGGAGACCGAGGTGGGCGGATCACGAGGTCAGGAGATCGAGACCATCCTGGCTAACACGGTGAAACCCTGTCTCTAATAAAAATACAAAAAATTAGCCAAGCGTGGTAGTGGGCTCCTGTAGTCCCAGCTACTTGGGAGGCTGAGGCAAGACAATGGTGTGAACCTGGGAGGCGGAGCTTGCAGTGAGCCGAGACTGAGCCACTGCACTCCAGCCTGGGCGACAGAGCGAGACTCTGTCTCAAAAAAAAAAAAGAAGAAGAAGAAGAAGAAAATAAAATAAATTTTAAAAATATAGGGCCAGGCACAGTGGCTCACGTCTGTAATCCCAGCACTCTGGGAGGATGGGAGGCTGAGGCGGGCAGATTGCTTGAGCCCAAGAGTTTGAGACCATCCTGGGCAACATGGCAATACTTGGTCTCTACAAAAAGTATAACAAATTAACCAGTAGAACATATCTATAGTCCCAGCTACTTGGGAGGGTGAGGTAGGAGGATCACTTGAGCTTGGGAGGTCAAGCCTGCAGTGAGCTGTCATCACACTACGGCACTCTAGCCTGGGCAACAGAGTGAGATTCTGTCTCAAAAAAGATGTGCGTGTGTGTGTGTGTGTGTGTGAGAGAGAGAGATGGTTTGGATTTCAGTGTGTTTCATTTCTGTTAGCTGCTTTTTCTCATAACCATTGGCCAGAACAAGATCAGTGCATTTGAAATGAAAAGGAGGGATCAGAAGGAGGGTTATAAAAGTAGACAAGGAAAGGTGGGAGATATTGGCAGGGGGCAATGGTTCACACATGTAATCCCAACACTTTGCGGGGCCAAGGCTGGAGGATCACTTGAGTCCAGAAGTTCAAGAACAGCCTGGGCAACATAGCAAGACCCTTTCTCTACAAAAGAAATTAGCCAGGTACAGTGGCATGCACCTGTAGTCCCAGGTACTCAGGAGGCTGACATGGGAGGATCGCTTGAGCCCAGGAGGTCAGGTCTGCAGTGAGCCATGATTGTGCCACTGCACTCCAGCCTGGTGGCAGAGCGAGAGAGAGAGAGAGAGAGAGAAAGAAGGGAGGGAGGGAAGGAAGGAGAGAGAAAGAGAGAAAGAGAAAGAAGAGAGAGAGAAAGAAGGGAGGGAAGGAAGGAGTGAGAAAGAGAGAGAGAAAGAAAGAGAAAGAAAGGAGAGAGAGAAAGAAGGGAGGGAAAGAAGGAGTGAGAGAAAGAGAGAGAAAGAAAGAGAAAGAAAGAAAAAGAAAGGGGAGGGAGGGAAGGAAGGAAAGAGAGAGAGAGAAAGAAAAAGAAGGGAAAGAAAGAAAGGAAGAGGCCAAGCACAGTGGGTCATGCCTATAATCCCAGCACTTTGGGAGGCTGAGGTGGGCAGATCACCTGAAGTCAGGAGTTCAAGAGCAGCCTAGCCAACATGGTGAAACCCTGTCTCTACTAAAAAAAAAAAAAAATTAGCCAGGCATGGTGGTGCACGCCTGTAGTCCCAGCTACTTGGGAGGCTGAGGCAGGAGAATTGCTTTAACCCGGGAGACGGAGGTTGCTCTGAGCCGAGATCATGCCACTGCACTCCAGCCTGGGCGACAGAGCGAGACTCCGTCTCAAAAAACAAAAACAAAAAAAAAAAAAATTTAGACGAGGACCTCGAGGTCATTCCCAAATTGCTTCCACTGGTTCTCCTCTCCATCCTTGCCCTGGGCTGAGGGATTTAATCTGCTTTTTATCTCTCACTCTGCCACACCACCTCCTAACTTTGGGAAAGCAGATCTGTGGCTATTTTCCTACCTTCCTCCCCTCTACCTTCTTACTCCCCCCACAGCCTTTAAAGTCAAGTCCAACTGCCATTTTCCTTTAAAGGTTTTATTTATTTGTTAAAAACCACAAAACTTTGCAAAGTTATGCTTACCAATACATGCCAATTGTGCCACAAGAGGCAGCATAGCATAATGATTAAGAGCATGGGCTCCAGAACAGTCACCAGAGCTCAAATTCAAGCTCTGTGACCTTGGACAAACTGAATGAGCCTTTTCGTCATCTGTAATGTAGTCATTGTTCCTACTTCCCAGGGTGATTGCAAAGATTAAATGAGTTAATACATTTAAAACATCTTGAACACCATCTAGCATCTCATAACCAGAAAACACTGTGAAGAAAACCCTTAGAAATAGAGCTGAGGAAGACCTTAAAGAGAGGGTTCTCACGCATGTATAACTGATAACAAAAAAGATTCTACAAAAGCCACAGTTTTGCACAAAGGCCACCACAACCTTTCACAAAAAAAATACTGCTGCAAAGACATCTGCCCAGCAATTGCTTGTCCAACCTCAGACTGGTGTCGGCCTTGTTATTGATCTTTGTAGCCAAGGATAATTATTTCAAAATAATTATGTAATCCTCATTTTTTCCTTTGAAAACCTTTGTCTTCCTTTACCTTCCTGAATATGCATATAGGTTACTATGGCACATGTATTCTCATTGCAATGCTCTATTCCCAAATAAATATCATTTTCTTTTGGGAAGCCTCTCCTGTTTGTTATTTAGGTTGACATATGCATTTAAATGACTCCTGTGCCTTTTCATGGCTTGATGGCTCATTTCTTTATGGCACTGAATAGTATTTCATTGTCTGAGTGTACCACAATTTATCCATTCATCTACTGAAGGACATCTTGGTTGCTTCCAAGTTTTGGTAATTATGAATAAAGCTCCTGGAAACATCCATGTGCAGATGTTTATATGGACATAAGTTTTCAACTCCTTTGGATAAATACCAAGGAGCATGATTGCTGGATTGTACAGTAAGAGGACGTTTAATTTTCTTTTTTACAATAATTTTAACTTTTATTTTAGATTCAGAGGGTACATGTGCAGGTTTGTTACATGAGTATATTGCATGATGCTAAGGTTTGGGTTACAATTGATCCCATCACCCAGGTAGTGAGCATAGTACCTGTATTAGTCTGTTTTCACACTGCTGATAAAGACATATCCAAGACTGGGCAATTCATGAAAGAGGTTTAATGGACTTACAGTTCCACGTGGCTGGGGAAGCCTCACAATCATGGCGGAAGGTAAGGAGGAACAAGTCACATCTTACATGGATGGCAGCAGGCAAAGAGACAGCTTGTGCACGGAAACTCCCCCTTATAATACCATCAGATCCAATGATACTTATTCACTATCAGGAGAACAGCACAGGAAAGACCTGCCCCCATGACTCAACTACCTCCCACCAGGTTCCTTCCACATGGGAATTGTGGGAATTACAATTCAAGATGAGATTTGGGTGGGACCATATCAGTACCCCAATAGTTTTTCAACCCTTGCCCCTTCCCTCCCACCAACCATATCAGTACCCAATAGTTTTCAACCCTTGCCCCTTCCCTCCCACCCCCTCTAGTAGTCCCCAGTGTCTATTGTTGCCATCTTTATGTCCACGAGTACCCAATATTTAGTTCACACTTATGAGAATATGCAGTATTTGGTTTTCTGTTCCTGTGTTAGTTCACTTAGGATAATGGCCTCCACTTGCATCTATGTTGCTGCAAAGGACATGATTTTGTTCTTTTTTATGGCTGTGGTATACTTAGTTTTCTAAGAAATTGCGGAACTCTCTTCCAAAGTATCTGTACTATTTTGCATTCCCACCAGCAATGGATGAGAGTTTCCATTGCTCCACATGTTTACCAGCATTTGGTGTTGTGAATGTTCTGAATTTGGGCCATTCTAAGAGGTGCACAGTAGTATTTAATTGTACTTTTAATTAGTATATCCCTGATGAGATATAATGTGGAATACCTTTTTTATAAATTAATTTTTTTTTGAGACGGAGTCTCGCTGTGTCGCCAGGCTGGAGTGCAGTGGTGCATTCTCGGCTCACTGCAACCTCCGCCTCCTGGGTTCAAGCGATTCTCCTGCCTCAGCCTCCCAAGTAGCTGGGACTATAGGCACCCGCCACCACGCCCAGCTAATTTTTTGTATTTTTAGTAGAGACATGGTTTCACCATGATAAAGCCGGGCACGGTGGCTCATGCCTGTAATCCCAGCACTTTGGGAGGCTGAGGTGGACGGATCACAAGGTCAGGAGTTTGAGACCAGCCTGGCCAACATGGTGAAACCCCATCTCTACTAAAAATACGAAAAATTAGCTGGGCATGGTGGCGGGTGCCTGTAGTCCCAGCTACTTGGGAGGCTGAGGCAGGAGAATTGCTTGAACCTGGGAGGCGGAAGTTGCAGTAAGCTGAGATCGCACCATTGCATTCCAGCCCGGGAGACAGTACAAGACACCGTCTCAATAAATAAATAAATAAATAAATAATAATTATTATTATTATTTTGGCAGAGACAAGAGTTGCCTAGGCTGGCAGGGCACGGTGGCTCATGCCTGTAATCCCAGCACTTTGGGAGGCCGAGGCGAGTGGATCACGAGGTCAGGAGATCAAGACCATCCTGGCTAACATGGTGAAACCCCGTCTCTACTAAAAACAAAAAATCAGCTGGGCGTTGCCATGGGCGTGGTCGTGGGCAAATAAGTATACGAAAAATGCTCTAGTGCTACACAGTGGCTCACATCTTTAAACTCAGAGCTTTAGGAGGCCCAGGCAGGGAGATCACTTGAGGCCAGGAGTTCAAGACCAGCCTAGGCAACTCTTTTTTTTTTTTTTTTTGAGACGGAGTCTCGCTCTGTCGCCCAGGCTGGAGTGCAGTGGCATGATCTTGGCTCACTGCAAGCTCTGCCTCCCGGGTTCACGCCATTCTTCTGCCTCAGCCTCCCGAGTAGCTGAGATTACAGGCACATGCCACCCCGTCTGGCTAATTTTTGTATTTTTAGTAAAGACTGGATTTCACCATGTTGGTCAGGCTGGTCTCAATCTCCTGACCTCGTGATCTGCCCTCCTCGCCTCCCAAAGTGCTGGGATTACAGACGTGAGCCATCGCCCTTGTCCACCATCTGTACATCTTCTTTGGTAAGGTGTCTGTTAAGGTATTTGGCCCATTTTAAATTTTTTATTTTATTTTGTCTTTTTCTTTCAGATCAAGTGAACAAAATGGCCCATTTTTAAAAAATAGGGTTGTTTGTTTTCGTATTGTCGAGTTTTAAGAGTTTTTTGTTTATTTTGGTTAATAGCCCTTATGTCTTCTGCAAATATTTTCTCCCAGTCCGTAGCTCAATTTTTCATTCTCTTGACAGTGTCTTTTGCAAAGCAGAAAATTTTTGTTTTAATGAAGTCAACCTTTATCAATTATTTCTTTCATAGGATTATACCTTTGGTGTTATATCTAAAAAGGCATGACCAAATCCAACGCCATCTACATTTTCTCCTATGTTATCTTCTAGGAATTTTATACTTTTGAGCATTTATACCCTTTGCCCACTTTTATGTTGTTTTTTTTCTTGTTAATTTGTAGAAAAAACACTGTTTCAGGCTGGGCACGGTGGCTCACACCTGTAATCCCAGCACTTTGGAAGGCTGAGGTGGGCGGATCACTTGAGGTCAAGAGTTCGAGACTAGCCTGGCCAACATAGTGAAACCCTGTCTCTACTAAAAATACAAACAAAACAAAACAAAACAAACAAACAAAAAAACAACCAGCCGGGTGCAATAGCTCACGCCTATAATCCCAGCATTTTGGGAGGCCGAGGCGGGTGGATCACCTGAAGTCAGGAGTTCAAGACCAGCCTGGCCAACATGGTGAAACCCTGTCTCTACTAAAAATTAAAAAAAAGAAAAATAGCCAGGCGTGGTGGCAGGCGCCTGTAATCCCAGCTACTTGGGAGGCTGACGCAGGGAGAATTACTTGAACCTGGGAGAAGGAGGTTGCAGTGAGCAGAGATTGTGCCACTGTACTCCAGCCTGGGCAACAGAGCAAGACTCCATCTCAAAACAAAAATAAATTAGCTGGGCATGGTGGCATGTGCCTGTAATCTCAGCTACTCAGGAGGCTGAGGGAGGAGAATCGCTTGAACCCTATAGGGGAGGTTGCAGTGAAGTGAGCTGAGATTGCGCCACTGCACTCCAGCCTGGGCGACAGAGTGAGACTCTGTCTCAAAAAACAAACAAACAAACAAAAAACACTAAGAACATGAATAGACAATTCTCAAAAGAAGATATACAGATGACCAAAAAACATACAAAAAATGTTCAACATCATTAATTATCAAGGAAATGCAAATCAAAACCACTAATTATCAGGGAAATGCAATACCACCTTACTCCTGCAAGAATGGCCATAATCAAAAAATCAAAAATAACGGATGCTGGCATGGATGTAGTAAAATGGGAACACTTTTATACTGTTGGTCGAATACTACCACTATGGAAAACAGTGTGGAGAGTCCTTAAAGCGCTAAAAGTAGATCTATCATTTGATCCAGCAAACCCACTCCTAGGTGTCTACCCAGACGAAGTCATTATATGAAAAAGATACTGACACATACATGTTTGTGGCAGCACAATTTGCAATTGCAAAAATATGGAACCAGACCAAATACCCATCGATCAACGAGTAGAAAAAGAAAATATGGTATATACACCATGGAATACTACTCAGCCATAAAAAGGAACTAAATAATTGCATTTGCAGCAACCTGGATGGAATTGGAGACCATTGTTCTAAGTGAAGTAACTCAGGAATGGAAAATCAAACATCATTATGTTCTCCCTCATAAGTGGGAGCTACGCTTTGAGGATGCAAAGGCAGAAGAATGACACAGTTGGACTTTGTGGACTCGGGAAAGGGTGGGACAGGGGTGAGAGATAAAAGACTATACAGTGGGTACAGTGTACACTGCTCTGGTGATGGGTGCACCAAAATCTCAGAAATCACCACTAAAAAACTTATTCATGTAACCAAATACCACCTATTCCCCCAAAACCTATTGAAATAAAAAATAAATAAAATTTTTAAAAAAGAGGGTACACTGTTTCAATATCTATGCCACCCCAAACTTGGTGGCATAAAACAACAACAATTTTATTTGGCTCATAGATTCTATGCAACAGGAATTTGGACTGGGCACAGCAGGGTATCAGCTGGAAGGACTCAAATGACCGGAATCATCTGGAGTCTCCTTCATTCACATGTGTAGCATCTGGGCTAGGATGACTCAAAAGCTGGGCTTAGTTGGGATTGTTGACCCGAGCACCTAAAGATGGCCTCTTCAAGTGGCTTGGGCTCACAAGCTGGTGGCTGGGTTCTAACAGGAAGTATCCCAAGAGCAAGCATGTTCCAAGAGACTTAGGCAGAAACTGAATAGCTTTTCATGACACAACCATAGAAGTCACACAGCATCACTTATTCTGTAGTCTGTTCATTGAAACAGCCACAAATTGCCCACATTCATGGGGAGAGGATATGGACTCAACTTCCCGATGAAATCTGTGTCAAAGCATTGAAGATCATGTTTAAAAAACCATCTCAAATGTGGCTTCTAATTATACTGCTGAGAGAGTAACCAGGACTGGGAACAATTGAGGTACAGCATTTTGTATGCATAGTCAAAAGATGTTTATTATCTATAGGACATTGTTTAGAAATTTGCTCTACTATTTAATTTGTGATAAGTGATTAGTAAACATGTTTATCAGTGTAAAACTCATAGAATGGCAAAAAAAAACTACCTCAGTTTTAATTTTCAGAAGTATGCTTTCCCCCATTTGGGGGAAGCATTAGCCTTCCAAGTCTTTTATTTTTTCCATTTGAAAAATTGGTATAAAAATTGCAGTTGATGGCAACTCCATCCTTCTAGGTGCTCAAGTAGTGGCTGTAAATATGTTCTTAAATTCTTTGATATCCCACCTTCAAAAGGTGTAGTCTAATTCCCTTCCCTTTGAAAGTGGACAAAACTCAGTAATGGAAACAGGGCCACTCTTACAGTGTGTGGGACCCCAGGCAAATTTGCTTTTAATGAGATCCCATCTATATAATGATTTGATTTAAAATGTATTACATTCTTAGATATGACACATAAAGCTCAAGCAACACAGATTTTATCAAGCAACCAAAGAAAATGGATAAATTGGATTTCTTCAATATTAAAAATGTTCTGGCCGGGCTCAGTGGCTCATGCCTGTAATCCCAGCACTTTGGGAGGCCAAGATGGGCAGATCACATGGTCAGGAGTTTGAGACCAGCCTGGCCAATATGGTGAAACCCCGAATGTATTAAAAATACAAAAAAAAAAAAAAAAAAAATTAGCCAGGTGTGGTGGGGGGTGCCTGTAGTCCCAGCTACTTGGGAGGCTGAGGCAGGAGAATCGCTTGAACCCAGGAGGCAGAGGTTGCAGTGAGCCAAGATTGCGCCACTGCACTCCAGTCTGGGTGATAGAGCGAGACTCCGTCTCAAAAAAAAAAAAAAAGAAAAAAAAAAGGGGAGGGCGCAGTGGCTCACACCTGTAATCCCAGCACTTTGGGAGGCTGAGGTGGGCAGATCACAAGGTCAGGAGATCAAGACCATCCTGGCTAACACGGTGAAACCTTGCCTCTACTAAAAATGCAAAAAATTAGCCAGGCATGGTGGCATGCATCTATAGTCCCAGCTACTCGGGAGGCTGAGGCAGGAGAATAGCTTGAACCTGGGAGGTGGAGGTTGCAGTGAGCCAAGATTGTGCCACTGCACTCCAGTCTGGACAATAGAGAGAGACTCCGTCTCAAAAAAAAAAGTTATTGCTTCAAAAAATCATTAAGAAGGATTAAAAAAACAGCCCATGGAATGGGAGAAAAATATCTGCAAGCTATATATCTGATAAGTATCCAGAATATATAAAGAGCTCTTAATATCTCAACAATAAAAGACAACCCAAGTTAAAAAAAAATGGGCAAAAGTCTTGAATAGACATTTCTCCAAAGAAGATATACAATGGCCAATAAGATACTCAACATGATTAGTCATTAGGGAAATGCAAAGCAAAAACACAGTGAAATATCACTTCGCATCTAATAAGATAGCTATAAAGAAAACCATGGGTAATAAGGAATGTTGGCAAGGATGTAGATAAATTAGTGACCACAGAAACTGCTGATGAGAACATAAAATGGTACAGCCACTTTGGAAAACAGGTTGGCAATTCCTCAAAAAGTTAAATCTAAAGTTATCATATGGCCAGGCACGGTGGCTCATACCTGTAACCCCAGCACTTTGGGAGGCGAAGCGGGCAGATCACCTGAGTTTGGGAGTTTGAGACCAGCCTGGCCAACATGGCAAAACCCCGTCTCTACTACAAAAAATTAGCCAGGCCTGGTGGCAGGCATCTGTAATCCTGGCTACTTGGGAGGCTGAGGCAGGAGAATTGCTTGAACCCAAGAGGCAGAGGTTGCAGTGAGCCGAGATTGCACCATTGCACTTCAGCCTTGGCAACAGTGAGACTCTCTCAAAAATAAAATAAAGTTACCATATGATCCAGTAACTCTACTCCTAGGTATATATCCAAAATAAATGAAAGCATATGTCCACACAAAAATTTGTACATGAATGCTCATAGCAGCATTATTCATAATAGCCAAAAAGTGGAAACAACCCAATGTCCATCATTGGACATTTAAAGTGAATGGACAAACTAAATGTAGTATAATCATACAATGGAATATGATTCAGCCATAAAAAGGAATGAAGTACTGATACATGCTACAACATGGATGAACTTTAAAATATTATGCTAAGTTAAAGAAGTGAGATACCAAAAGCCACATATTGTATGATTCTATGAAATTTCCAGGATAGGCAAATCTAGAGACAGAAAGTAAATTAGTAATTGTTGCGGTTGTGGAGAAAGAGAGAAGGAAATTAACCCTGCTAATGAATGGAGGGATTTTTTTGGAGGGTAATAAAAATGTTTTGAGGGCTGGGCATGGTGGCTCATGCCTGTAATCCGAGAATTTTGGGGCATCAAGGCGAGAGGATTGATTGAGCCCAAGAGTTCAAGACCAGCCTAGGCAACATAGTGAGACCCTGTCTCTACAAAATTAAAAAAAATTTTTTTTAATTAGCCAGGTATGGTGGTGCACACCTGTAGTCCCAGCTACTTGGGAGGCTGAGGTGGGAGGATTGCTTGAGCCCAGGATGTCAAGGCTGCAGTAAGCCATTATTGTACCACTGTACTCTAACCTGGGCAACAGATCGACTCCCTGTCTCAAATATTTTAATGTAAAACTATTTTTTAAATGAAAATAAGGTTCTGGAATTAGTGGTGATTGCACAATCTTGGGAATATTCTAAAAATGACTAAAATGTACACTTTAAAAGGGTGAATTTCACATTGGGAGGCTGAAACAGGAGGATCACTTGAGTCCAGGAGTTGGAGACCAGCCTGGCCAACATGGCAAGATCCCGCCTCTACAGAAAAAAAAATTGTTGTTTGTTTGTTTGTTTGTTTTGTTTTTGAGATGGAGTCTCGCTCTGTCACCAGGCTGGAGTGCAGTGGCACCATCTCGACTCATTGCAACCTCCGACTCCCTGGTTCAAGTGATTCTCCTGCCTCAGCCTCCCGAGTAGCTGGGATTACAGGCATGCTCCACCATGCCCAGCTAATTTTTGTATTTTTAGTAGTGATGGGGTTTTGCCATGTTGGCCAGGATGGTCTAGATCTCCTGACCTCATGATCCGCCCGCCTCGGCCTCCCAAAGTGCTGGGATTACAAGTGTGAGCCACTGTGCCTGGCCAAAAAAAAATGTTTTAAAATGCAAGGCATGGTTGTACACACCTGTGGTTCCAGCTACTCGGGAGGCTGTGGCAGGAGGATTGCTAGAGCCCAGGAGTTCAAGGCTGCAGTGACCCATGTTTGCACCACTGCACTCCAGCCTGGGTGACAGAGCGAGACCCTTTCTCAATTAAAAAAAAAATTGGGGCCGGGCGCGGTGGCTCACGCCTGTAATCCCAGCACTTTGGGAGGCCGAGGCGGGCGGATCACGAGGTCAGGAGATCGAGACCATCCTGGCTAAAACGGTGAAACCCCGTCTCTACTAAAAATACAAAAAATTAGCCGGGCGTAGTGGCGGGCGCCTGTAGTCCCAGCTACTTGGGAGGCTGAGGCAGGAGAATGGCGTGAACCCGGGAGGCGGAGCTTGCAGTGAGCCGAGATCCCGCCACTGCACTCCAGCCTGGGCTACAGAGCGAGACTCCGTCTCAAAAAAAAAAAAAAAAAAAAAATTGGGCCGGTAATTTATAATAATTAAAAAATAAATGGTAATTTTTTTTTTCTGAGACAGACTCTCACTCTGTCACCCAGGCTGGGTTACAGTGGCACAATCTTGGTTCATTGCAATCTCCACCTACTGGGTTCAAGAGATTCTTGTGCCTCAGCCATCTGAGTAACTGTGATTACAGGTGTGTGCCACCACGCCCAGCTAATTTTTGTATTTTTAGTAGAAATGGGGTTTCACTACATTGCACAGGCTGGTCTCAAACTGCTGGCCTCAAGTGATCCACTCGCCTTGGCCTCCCGAAGTGCTGGGATTACAGGTGTGAGCCAATACGCCTGGCCTAAAATGGTAAATTTTATGATATGTAAATTATGTCTCAATTTTTAAATATATCACAAAGTTTATGAGACTGTGTGAAGTATGACGACATATAGCAAAATGATATATCAATGAAGACTTAGAATAATGGGTAGAAAAGAGATATCAGCTTATTGTCCATATCAGAGCATGTGATGATTCTTCACAGTGTGCAGGTACCACCTTTTCTTGTTCAGGTCCAAAAATCATGTTCTTCATGTTCTTTATTGTCAAATATGCCATTCCTGGCTAATTTCATATCTCCCACCAAGAGAAAAAGGTAGTAACTCCTGTTACTATAATTCCACAGGTCTTTGCAACCTGTTTGTAGTGAAACAATGTAGATATTTTTGTTTCTGGAGTTCCTTAATACTCTTGGTTACAACATTACTCATGATACATTATTCATGATGTCGTCCATGACTCTCTCAAAAATTATTACTGTATTTTCTTTTTAAAATTTTTTTATTTTATTTTGTTTTATTTTATTACTGTATTTTCTTGATTATGATCACAAATGCAAGTCTTACCCAGAGAATGCCCAAAAATGTAAACAATAATTTGTTTTATGGTCATGTTAAATTTTCACTCAGAATTTTATCTAATAAACATAGAGCATCACTTCTTCTAACCCTATCTTCTTTTGCACACTTTAAACCATAATTACGACATTCCTAGGCTATCAGTTCTTTGAATGATGACCACATGCCTATCTTTTGGACACCATCACCAACAGGGAAGATGTGTGAAGGGCCCATGGGTGCAGCAAGAGGAGTGATCCCATTCCTGCATGCCTCATTTGGCATGACTTAAGACAAACATTGAGGGAGCATTGCATCACTACATCAGTCAGAAGCAAAAGGACATCAGTTGGAAAGGGCCCTTTGGCACTGTGTAGCAACAATCCCAAAATCATTGGACTACCCAGGGAGGACTGCCTGACACCTATCATGGAATCTTCTGCCGGGGTGGGGTAACTACCCTGGGTGCGAGTGATGGGGCAGAAAGGAGATGGCATGCAGTCATACACAGAATAAAAGATGTCTGCTACCACTCTGTAGTCTTCAGGTGCTGTGGACCACCAGCAGTTCCACAGTCAGAACACTGACAAAGGAAGGCCAGCACAAGGTCCCCAACACATGGCTCATGACCAAGGGTTGGTAGAGGACTGTCGATAGCCCAGAGACCTGAACTCATCTTGTGTTTGACCCCAAATAAGCATGTCAACACTATTCTGGAGACCCAATTTCACACTATTTTATGAAAGAACTGTGCTAGCCAGCAAGAGTGACTGACTGACTTACCTGCAAGGTGCTCTCAAATTCTTGTTTTCTTTTTTGTAGAGCTGGCATCTCGCTTTGTTACCCTTACCCAGGCTGGTCTTGAACTCCTGACTTTGAAGGATCCTCCCACCTCAGCCTCCCAAAGTGCTAGGATTACAGGCATAAGCCACCATGCCTGGCCTCAAAGATAACATAATAAATGATTATTGTTTTAAGCCACTGAGTTTTGTAGTGCTCTGTTACAAAACAGTAGATAAATAATACATACGACTAAAAACCTAGGTGTCATCCTTGACTCCTCATTCTCTTACATCCCACATCCAATCTGCCAGCAAATTATATTGGTTTTACCTTCAAAATATATCCAGAATCTACTTCCCACCACCTCTACCACTACCACTTTGGTGTGAACCTTCTAACTGTACTGCTTTTACCCTTGAATCTCCACAATTTATTTTCAAACAGCAGCCAGTGTTACTGTAAGAAGGTAAGTCATATTATGTTAGTCCTCTGCTAAAAACCCTGCAATGGTTACCTATTTTCCTCGGAACAAAAAAGCCAAAGTCCCAAGTCTTTCAAGCCCCTACATGATCTTCCCCTGCTACACTACCTCTCTGACTGCATCTCCTGTACTTCTGCCCTAATTTATACCACTGCAGTGGCCTTCTTACTGTTCTTCACCTGTGCCAGGCATGTTTCTACTTAAGGCTTTAGCCCTTACTGTTCCTCTGCCTGAAATACTCTTTCCTTGGATCCCGTGTTGTGCAATCCCTCCCTCGTCTCCTCCAAGTTATTGCTCAAGTCTCACTTCCCAATGAAGCCTATCACCTCTGTAATTTCTACATGTCCATCTCTGAACTTCTTCTTTTTTTTGAGACAGAGTCTCACTCTGTCACCCAGGCTGGCGAGATCTCGGCTCACTGCAACCTCCGCCTCCTGGAATCAAGTGATGCTTGTGCCTCAGCCTCGGGAGTAGCTGAGATTACAGGTGCATGCCACCACACCTGGCTAATTTTTGTATTTTTCGTAGAGACAGGGTTTCACTGTGTTGCCCAGGGTGGGCTTGAACTCCTGACCTCAGGTGATCCACCCACCTCAGCCTCCATCTCTCTGAACTTCCGATACCAATTATCCTACTCTATTTTACAGCACTTATACTCTAACAATACTATACAATTTACTTATTATGCTTATTATTTAGTTTTTCTCTTCTAGAATTTAAGCTCTATGAGGGCATGATTTTTGTATTTTGTTCACTGATATACCCACACATGCCTAAAGCAGGCACGTCGTAGGTACTCAATAAATGAATAACCTGTGTCACTCAAAACTGTGCAGGCAGAACTCTTAGCAAGCTCTTGTCCTAGGCACATAATTTAAGCCTGACAAAAGGTCAATTGAACCTTAAGTATGCCATGAAAACAGAGCTGCAGCACCTGAAAGGGCCACACTGGTACAAAGGTAAAAATCTTGGGGACAGGCATGGTGGCTCACACCTGTAATCCCAGCACTTTGGGAGGCCATGGCAGGTGGATCACCTGAGGTCAGGAGTTCGAGACTAGCCTGGCCAACATGGTGAAACCTCGTCTCTACTGAAGATACAGAAAATTAGCCAGGTGTGGTAGCGTGCACCTGTAATCCCAGCTACTTGGGAGGCTGAGGCAGGAGAATCACTTGAACCCGGGAGGCGGAGGTTGCAGTGATCATGCCATTGCACTCCAGCCTGGGCGACGGACTCTGTCTCAAAAAAAAAAAAAAAAAAAAAAAAAGTGGATATATGATCAGGTCAGGCAGTTGGCTCATGCCTGTAATCCCGGCACTTTGGCAGGCCGAGGTGGGTGGATCACTTGAGCCCAGGAGTTCAAGACCAGCCTGGGCTACTTGGTGAAACCCTGTCTCTACCAAAAAAAAAAAAAAAAAAATTAGCCAGGCGTGGTGGTGTGCGTCTGTAGTCCCAGCTACTAAGGAGGCTATGGTGGGAGAATCACTTGAACCAGGAGGTGGAGGTTGCAGCGAGCCAAGATCGTGCCACTGCACTCCAACCTGGGTGACAGAACGAGACCCTGTCTCAGAAAAAAAAAAAAAGAGTGGATATATGCTCCGTGGAGCCTGAAACATATACAATTGTGGGGCTCTAAAATTATGTAATAAATTCAATATTTATTTAGAGTAAATAAACTTATGTAATAAAGAATTAAATGATGTCATAAAGTCAGTATTTAAAATGAGAAGAATCATTGTAGATTTTGAAATACTGACAAAAACCACAGACATCACAAAGTCCAGAAAAATAATATTAATAACTGCCCAGCAACCGCTATAAGTCTTCACCCATCTTGCATTTTTTAGTTGCATACTCTTTGCAACTAAATGACCATTTTATAGAGATGTTAGAAAGATAAATTAGTCAAAAATAGATTTTAAATAATTGATAGTCTCTAAACTTTGTATTATCAGCTTTCCAACTCCTTGCTATAATGTCTTGCACGGGTGATGCTTCTCGCTGAGGAAAAGCCCTGGGGAGAATTCCAGCCCTTTGATCTCCCTTGGCTTGGTCTCCAAAGGGGCTTCTAAGACAGCTCCATCTGGTGGTCACTGCCCTCGTCCCTAGCCCACCGACCCTAGTCCACCCTCAACTGACACTTGGCCTGAGAGAATGACCTCCATGCTGGGGTCCAAGTGTCCGATGAAGGGCTGGTAATACTTTTTTTTTCCATTCTGATGGAATGAGGTTCAGAGTAAATATTAGGTTGTACAAATAAGGGAGGAGACCACCCCTCATATTGTCTTACGCCCAATTTTTGCCTCCAAAGAAAGAAGAAGTAAAAACTAAAAGGCAGGAATGAAGTCCACAAGCAGACAGCCTGGCACCACACTCTGGGCCTGGTAGTTAAAGATCAACCCCTGACCTAATCGGTTATGTTTTCTATAGATTACAGACATTGTATAGAAAAGCACTGTGAAAATCCCTGTCCTGTTCTGTTCTGATCTAATTACCAATGCATGCAGACCCCAGTCACGTACCCACTGCTTGCTCAATCGATCACAACCCTCTCAAGTGGACCCCCTTAGAGTTGTGAGCCCTTAAAAGGGAAAGGAATTGCTCACTAGGGGAGCTCGGCTCTTGAGACAGGAGTCTTGCCAATGCTCCTGGCTGAATAAACTGCTTCCTTCTTTAACTCGGTGTCTGAGGGGTTTTGTCTGCAGCTTGTCCTGCTACATTTCTTGGTTACCTGATCGGGAAGCAAGGTGATTGGCAGATGGTCGAGACAGCTCCTTAGGCGGCTTAAGCCTGCCCTGTGGAACATCCCTGTGGGGGACTTCGACCAGCCCAAGTGACGCAGATTCTGAGAGCGCTCCTGGGTAGGCATTTGCCCAGGCGGGATGCCTCGCCAGAGCAGTGTGTGGCAGGCCCCTGTGGAGGATCAATGCAGTGGCTGAACACCAGGAAAGAACTGGTACTTAGAGTGTGGACATCTGAAACTTGGTAAGACTAGTCTTTGGAACTTGCCTACTCCATTTGAGTGGAAGCGTGGCCTGATCACCGACGGCATGCTTTTAATGGCACTTTGGTTTGGTTTTGGTTTTGGTTTTGACTTGGTTTGAATTGCTTGACAAGACCGGTCTTAGGAACTTTCCCACTCCATTTGAGTGGAAGCGTGGCCTGATCACCCACGACGTGCCTTTATCGGCACTTTGGTTTTGGTTTTGACTTGGTTTGAATTGCTTGACAGGACTGGTCTTGGGAACTTGCCTACTCCATTTGGGTGGAAGCGTGGCCTGATCACCCACGGTGTGCCTGTACCGGCACTTTGGTTTTTGTTTTTGACTTGATTTGGATTGCTTGATACTTTGGTTTTGGTTTTGACCTGGCTTGGATTTCTTGATACTCTGATTTTGGTTTTGATTTTGGTTTGGTGTAAACTGCAAAAGTGTGTGTGTGCCCTTTTTACCTGTTCTTTGTTTTGTGGTGTGCGTGTGGTGTGAGCATGGTGTTTTGTCTCAAAGAAGCATGGGTCAGGCACAAAGTAAGCCCACCCCACTAGGAACTATGTTGAAAAATTTCAAGAAATTTAAGGGAGACTATGGAGTACTATGACACCAGGAAAACTTAAAACTTTGTGGAAGATAGACTGGCCAGCATTAGAGGTGGGTTGGCCATCAGAAGGAAGCCTGGACAGGTCCCTTGTTTCAAAGGTATGGCACAAGGTAACCTATAAGCCAAAGCACCCAGACCAGTTCCCATACATAGACACTTGGTTACAGCTGGTTTTAGATCCCCGACAGTGATTGATAGAACGGCAGCATAAGTGGCTGGCAGAGGCAAGGAAAGACCAGGAGAGAGAGAGAGAGAGAGAGAGAGAGAGAGAGAGAGAGGCAGAGAGAGAGAAAGAGACAGAGGCAAAAGAAAAGTCAAAGAGAAAAAGAGACAGAAAATCAAAGAAAGAGAGATATACAAGTAGTTAAAAGAAAAGTGTACCCTATTCCTTTAAAAGCCAAGGTAAATTTAAAACCTGTAATTGATAATTGAAGGTATTCTCCGTAACCCTATAACACTCCAATACCACTTTGTTGACAGTGTAAACAAGGGCGTATCTTGAAAGCACTGAGGCCTTCCTATCAAAAATCCTTAACCCAGTAACCCGTGGATGGCCCAAATGCATTCAATCTGTAGCGGCAACTGCTTTGCTAACAGAAAAAAGTAAAAAAAAACTTACAGGAAACCTCATTCTGAGCACACCTCACCAGTTCAGAAGCATCCTAAGGAATAAAAGGGGGGGGGGGGGGGGCGGAATTTATGTAAAAAGAGTATTATATGGTAAATTTTTGTCCTGAATTAAATTAACTGGTTGTTTAAAGAAAGAAATATTTGTAATAAGTCAGAAAGTTGAAGCATGTCAAAGAATTGTCTGCAAAAGTTGTGAAAGAGAAAAATGTTATTAAAAAAAGAATTTATGCAAGAAATTTTGTATAATTTAAAAGTAACTAGGCCTCCTGAATGTAAACAACAAACAAACAACAGTTTATGTGCAAGGTGTATAAGGAAAGTAAAATATACCTGTGGTAAAAGAATTATAAGGAGGCATGAGAATATAAATTTTTACCTACATTAAAAGGCTAAAAATATGTATATTTTGTTTTAAAGGTTTAATCAAGTTTTAAAGTGTTAATTGGAAAGAAAATTCTGTGTGTAAACATTGGCTAAAGTTAAAGCAGTATCATCCAGTTTTTCTGTAAACTGGACATTAAAATAAAACCATAGCAGGTTTTTCTTAAAGCACCAACCTGCTCTTTAGCAAAAATTATAAAAAGTTAAAAAGAGTCTATAAAATCTTACCTTGTGGTCTAACATTAAAAATTGCATAAATATGTCTACAAGGTTTTGTTAAAATTAGGTTTAATATTAATAACACACTAATATAAAAGTAAAATTTAGCTTATCTGGTGTAAAAATCATAGAAAAAGCATTGTTAAATGTAAAATGGTATTTGGCTTTCTTTGGTTTAAAAACTAATAAAAATAGGTGCTAAAGAAAATTTCTCAGTAAAAAGGCACTAAGGACTAAGTCCACTGCCAAGGTCCCCACATTTAAAACAAAAGGTCAATTTCTTAAAAATTATATACTTGGTTTATCTTCCACTTTCCTTTCCCTCAAAAACTAAAAGTCTTTTAGCACATGTACCACCCCTAGAATTTCCGGTAAACCAGCACCAGCCTGAAGATCACGTTCTCATCAAAGGGTGGAAAGAAGAAAAACTCGAGCCAGCCTGGGAAGGACCCTACCTTGTGCTGCTAACCACCGAGACTGTTGTTTGTACAGTGGAAAGGGGATGGACTCACCACACCCAAGTCAAGAACCCCCTCCAGAGTCGTGGGCCATAGTCCCAGGGGAAAACCTTACCAAACTAAAGCTAAGAAAAATTTAACTTTTTCATCTATTCTATTACTCTTCCTTCTTTCCTCGCTCTATTGCTAACCGTCTAGTTATTAACATTACCAAGTCAATTTTGCCTCAAACTATTGCATTTAATGCTTGCCTTGTTATACCCTGTGGGGACTTGCCAAGTCAAAGACAGCTCTTTACTTCAGAAAAGTACTTCTGTCCCTTCTGACTCTCCTCAGATTGGGCATTAGTAAATTAGGACCATTTAATCTGGGGAAATTTCGATAAAGATTCCAGTGTCAACCAGGAGTCTTGCCCCACAATGTAGAGCTTTTATGCTGTAGTTGGTCCAACATTCTATGGACCACTAAAGAGCAAGGATGGACTGCCCTAACTGGTTTTTGTAATTTCCTAAAATCATACATTCATTTTACTAGAGGATCATAGAAGTTAAAGACTTAAAACAAACTTTAGCAGTTAAGACAGGATACCAAGATGCAAATGCCTGGTTAAAATGAATCAAATATTCCATCTGCACATTAAACAAAAGCAATTGTTATGCTTGTGCACATGGCAGGCCAGAGGCCCAGATTGTCCCCCTTCCACTAAGGTGGTCCTCCAGTTGACCAGGCATAGGTCTGCATGGTAGCTCTTTTCCAGGATTCTACAGCCTGGAGTAATAAGTCATGCCAAGCTCTCTCTGCTATATCCCGAAGTCCGGCACCCTGCGGGTCAGCCCCCAAGGGCTATCCAGCTTCCGTCTCTCAACACTAAGTTCACTTCATGTCTCCCTGGCATTCCTTGGAGACCTGAAAGGATGCAATGAGCTTAAGAATTTTCAAGAGCTTATCCATCAGTCAGCCCTTGTTCATCCCCGAGTGGATGTGTGGTGGTATTGTGGTGGACCTTTACTGAGCACTCTGCCGAATAACTGGAGTGGCACTTGTGCTTTGGTCCATTTGGCTATCCCTTTCACCCTGGCATTTCATCAACCAGAGGGAGAAAAAAATAAGACATCGTAAAGTGAGAGAAGCCCCTTATTGGTCTTCCGACTCTCACGTCCATTTAGACACAATTGGAGTCCCACAGGGAATACCAGATCAATTTAAAGCTTGGAATCAAATAGCGGCAGGATTTGAGTCAATATTTTGGTAGGTGACAGTTAATAAAAATGTAGATTGGATAAACTATATTATAACCAACAGCAACAAGCTTTTCATGAGTTAAAACTCATGTCGGCCCCAGCCCTGGGGCTACCTGACCTGACAAAACCCTTTACACTCTATGTATCAGAAAAAGAAAAAATGGCAGTTGGAGTTTTAACCCAGACTGTGGGGCCATGGCCAAGGCCAGTGGCCTATCTCTCAAAACAACTGGACGGGGTTTCCAAAGGCTGGCCCCCATGTCTAAGGGCCCTGGCAGCAATGGCCCTGTTAGCACAAGAAGCAGATAAACTAACCCTTAGGCAAAACCTGAATATAAAGGCCCCCCATGCTGTGGTAACTTTGATGAATACCAGAGGACATCATTGGCTAACAAATGCTAGATTAACCAAGTACCAAAGCTTGCTATGTGAAAATCCCCGCATAACCATTGAAGTTTACAACACCCTAAACCTTGCCACCTTGCTCCCAGTATCAGAGAGCCCAGTTGAACATAACTGTGTAGAGGTATTGGACTCAGTTTATTCTAGTGGGCCGAACCTCCAAGACCATCCTTGAACATCAGTAGACTGTGAGCTGTACATTGACAGGAGCAGCTTTGCCAACCCCTGCAAAGTGACTCTGAAAAAGACGACAAGCCCTGCTCCAGTCATATCCGGAAGCTGACTAATCCACACACGGCTGAAGCATGAGAAAACTCATCACGGGACTCATTTTCCTTAAAATTTGGACTTGTACAGTAAGGACTTCAACTGACCTTCCTCAGACTGAGGACTGTTCCCAGTGTATACATCAAGTCACTGAGGTAGGACAAAAAGTTGCTACAGTCTTATTATTTTATGGTTATTATAGGTGTACCGGGACTCTAAAAAGAACTTGTTTGTATAATGCTATTCTATACAAGGTATGTAGCCCAGGAAATGACCAACCTGATGTGTGTTATGACCCATCTGAGCCTCCCATGACCACAGTTTTTAAAATAAGATTAAGGACTGAGGACTGGTGGGGAGGACTCATAAATGATACGAGTAAAGTGTTAGCCAAAACAAAAGAAAAAGGGGTGCCCAAACAAGTCACCTTGAAGTTTGATGCCTGTGCTGTCATTAATAGCAATAAGTTAGGAAGGGGATGTGGCTCTTTTAGTTGGGAAAAAGGCTATATGACCGAAAATAAGTACATTTGTCATGAATGAGGACTGTGTGAAAATGAATGTGGATACTGGTCTTGTGTCATTTAGGCCACTTGGATAAAAAATGAAAAGGATCCAGTCCACCTTCAGAAAGGAAAAAATGGCTCTTCCTGTACTAAGGGACAATGTAACCCCTTAGAGCTAGTAATAACCAATCCCCTTGATCCTCGCTGGAAAAAAAGGGGAGCGTGTGACCTTAGGAATCGACAGGGCTGGACTGGATCGTCGAGTAAATATCTTAGTTCGAGGAGAAGTCTGTGGAAAATTTAACCTTACCAATTGCTGCCTGCACATAGATGATCAGAGGCAAGTAGTCGAAGATATAGTTAAAGACATGACGAAACTGGCACATGTGCCTGTACAAGTGTGACACGGATTTGACCCTGAAGCTATGTTTAAAAATGGTTCCCAGTGCTAGGAGGATTTAAAACTCTTATAATAAAAATTATAGTAGTAATAGCCTGCTTACTGATCCCTTATTTACTATCTGTACTCATTCAAATGGTAAAAGGTTTCATCACTACTCTAGTTCACCAGAATGCTTCAGCACAAGTGTACTACATAAATCACTATCGATCTGTCATGCAGGAAGACATAGGTAGTGAAGATGAAGGTGAGAACTCCCACTAATAAAATGAGTGAGAGTCTCAAAGTGGGGGAATAAGGGAGGAGACCACCCCTCATATTGTCTTATGCCCAATTTCTGCCTCCAAAGAAAGAAGTAGTAAAAACTAAAAGGCAGAAATGAAATCCACAAGCAGACAGCCAGGCACCACACCCTGGGCCTCGTAGTTAAAGATCGACCCCTGACCTAATCGGTTATGTTATCTATAGATTACAGACATTGTATAGAAAAGCACTGTGAAAATCCCTGTCCTGTTCTGATCTAATTACCGGTGCATGCTTGCTCAATCGATCACTACCCTCTCAAGCGGATCCCTTTAGAGTTGTGAGGCCTTAAAAGGGACAGGAATTGCTCACTCAGGGAGCTCAGCTCTTGAGACAGGAGTCTTGGCCGATGCTCCTGGCGGAATAAACCGCTTCCTGCTTTAACTCGGTGTCTGAGGGGTTTTGTCTGCGGCTTGTCCTGCTACACTACAGCAAAAATTAGGTTGTATTATAGAAAATTAACTTTTTTGGTTTTTTTGAGACGGGGTCTCGCTCTGTCTCCCAGGCTGGAGTGCAGTGGCACCATCTCGGCTCACTGCAACCTTCACCTCCAGGGTCAAGCAATTCTCCTGCCTCAGCCTCCCGAGTAGTTGGGATTACAGGCACACGCCACCACGCCCAGCTAATTTTTTAAATTTTTAATAGAGATGGGGTTTTACCATGTTAGCCAGGCTGGTCTCAAACTCCTGGCCTCAAGTGATCTGCCCACCTCAGCCTCCCAAAGTGCTGGGATTACAGACGTAAGCCACCACGCCCAGCCGAAAATTAACTTCTATTAATTGCATACCTGGGTTTGCCTACTGAGAATCATACCCTGGATATTTGTATTCTTTACTGAAAAGAACTGTTCTATCTTTCCAGAAAGTGGTTTCCTAAATTCTGGTTTTCCTCCTGGAATCCTGCTATTTCCTTCTCGCATACTCTAGAGAAATCGAAGTGTTTTCAAAGGTGCTCTGAAGCTTACGCTCCACTAGTTTCACAGTAAATCGCCCCTTGCGAGGGCGCTTTTTTTTTTTTTTTAATGTGTTCTCTGAATCGCTTTCCCCCTTTAACACTGCATGACAAGACTAAAGCCAGAATCCCAAGACTGCAGCGCTACCCCTTCACAAGCCGTCGGGCTGTCCCGGGCGGGGCCGGCCCATTTTCACTTTCTCCACTAGAGGCAGCAGCGCACCGTGACCCTGGCTTACTACGGTAAGAAAGCGGAGACCTTTTGCTTCGAGGCGGTTGGTGGCCAGTAGTCTTGATCGACAAGCTCAGGCCTCTGAACTAAGCAGCCGCTGTTTATGCACGTACAGCCAATGGAAAGGCAGGAGTGCGGCCAACGGCCAATGAGGACTGGTCTTAAGCGGACCACAGGGCGGGGTTTCCCTCGAGAGGCGAACGCCGGGTAAAAGATCGGGAGCGGAAGTGGGCGAGTCAGAGCACATCCGGTGTTAGAAGCGCTGGTAGGCCTTGGAGAGGCGGGTTAGGAAGGTACGTCTGAACCTAGTACTGGGCGAACTGGGAGTGAGAAATGGAAAGGGAGTTAGCAGTTACTGTCTGAGCAAGAGTGGCAGTAGCTTCCTTCTGCGGACAGATGGCACCCTGAAGGAACGAGGCCCTGCTCGGAGACCAGACTCGGGAAAACAGGGTGTGGAGGGAAGCTAGGGAACTAGTGCTGCGCGTGCGCAACAGTGCTGAAGCGGGGGTGGGGCGGAGGCGAGTCTGCGGGGGTTTTGGGGGGTGTCGAGGCCTCTATTCTGCCCCAGAGCGCTGGCGAAGGCCCCTTCTCAGCCCGCCTTTTCCTTTCTCCCGCTCCTTCTCCTCTACTAAGTGTAGACGCAGGGCCCCTTGGCCTAGCTTCGATCGTTCGAATTCAGAGCACGTCCTTCCGAGGTGAAGGAACGCGAAACTCCACCCATCCGATTGCTGTTCGGCTGCGGGCGGGTCCTTTGGTCGGGCTGACCCTGGGTGAGCGGCCCGGAGCCAAGACTCGAGGTAGGGCCTGGCGGGCGGGTGATGTCACACTCCTCTGTGACACGCGAGGCTCCTCAGTTACTTAGCCAACGGCAGAGGCGGGAAGTGAGAGGAGTCTGGGGCTGGGGCTGCCTTCCAGGCCCACGGGGCGGCCCCGCTCTTTTCGGATTGGTTACCTTTGGGCAGGTGAGGTGGCTTTGCTTTGCTTGGTCTTGAGGTTTTGTGGGCGTCTTTCTAAGTCTGCTCAGCAAGGGCGTCGTTGGGCAGTTTTTATCTTGGGCCTACTTGCTGGACCTGTGGTAACAAGTAGGCTTTGGTATCTTTGTATATTTACTGAGTGTAGAATTACTACCCGGTGCCAGCCCGGGCTGCTTGGGGTCATCAGCCTTTCATTGACCACCCCCACAACAAAAATCACTATGAACTTGAGACTGTGTTCTAGCAACTTGTGAATGTGTAACCCAGTAGAAGGGCTGACTGTGCTTGAAACAGACAAGGATTTTAAGGTCAAAGGTAAATAAATGGCAAATGGACTTTTCTAGTTACTTATTGATATTTATTTACAGTTTATCTTTTGTATGTGTGGTTTAAGAATTGAATTCTGGAAAGATACCGGAATTGCATAAACACATTTCTTATGACCTGCGTATACACACTTTTTTCTGTAATTATTGTATTTACACTCTTTGGTGTTTTCTTATTCTTTGTGTCTAATATTTTTGTTCTGGCCTAAAGAATATGTTGACATTTAGATTCTCTGCCGCCACTTTCCTCCAGTAGGGACAGAATAGTTGAACCCTTGAGAAATACAATCTGTACTTTTGATCCATAGTTTGCTTCTTCCGTTATTTATCTGGTTGTGGAAACATGGTTTAGTACCTTCCTCCTCTTTTTTTTTTTTTTTTTTTTTGAGGCAGAGTCTCACTGTCGCCCAGGCTAGAGTGCAGTGGCGCAGTCATGGCTCACTTGAACCTTGACCTCTCCTGGCTTAGGTGATCCACCCCAGCCTCCTGAGTAGCTAGGACCACAGGTGGACGTCACCAGCTCCAGCTAATTTTTGTATTTTTTGTGGAGATGGGGTATCACCATGTTGCCCAGGCTTACCAACTCCAGAACTCAAGCGATTTATTTATTTATTATTATTATTATGTTTTTTTTTTGAGACAGTCTCACTCCCTTACCCAAGCTGGAGTGCAGTGGTGCAATCTCGGCTCACTGCAACCTCCGCCTCCCTGGTGCATTCAATTCTCATGCCTCAGCCTCCTAAGCAGCTGAGATGACAGGCGCGCACCACCATGCCCAGCTAATTTTTGTATTTTTAGTAGAGACGGGCTTTTGCCAAGTTGTCCAGCCTGGTCTCGAACTCCACACCTCAAGCGATTCGCCCGCCTTGACCTCCCAAATTGCTAGGATTACAGGTGTAATCCTTTCCTAAAGAAAAAGAGTCATCTCTCCTGAAGAATAAGAAAAGGTAAAATTAATCTAGATACTTAGCATTTTCAAGTTATTTTCCCTGATTATAGATATAGTTCGCGCTCTTTATACAAATGCTGAAAATGCAGAAAAATGTCATAGGAATCAATGTATGTTTTGGGAGGGTTTTTTTGTTTTAAAGATTTGTTTTCACCTATGGCTGAAACTTTTGAAAGCTTATATAAATGAAAGCTTATTTTTCTACTGTAGGATGGAATAGTAAAAAGAGCACTAGACTATAGTGGTCAGAAGACCCCAAATCTGGTTCTGGCTCTGCTATTTAACTTTCTAATGTTGGTCAAATCAATACTAATGTTTGTTTTAGTACTTTACGTTGATTTCACACAGATTTTCTTATTGGCATTCAGTAGAGCAGGTATTGATCATC
Organism: Homo sapiens; assembly: GCF_000001405.40. Taxonomy (NCBI): domain Eukaryota; kingdom Metazoa; phylum Chordata; class Mammalia; order Primates; family Hominidae; genus Homo; species Homo sapiens. Next base: position 49,743,956 of record NC_000012.12, read on the forward strand.
ATCGTTATCTTACAGATGAGGAAGCTGAAATAACCTTAGGTAAAATGATTTTTCCTAGGTTATATAGTAGAAAGTGGCAGCACTTGTGACACCAAATCCTGTCCTCTTGCCACTATTACATTGCCTTTTTGAACTTAAAAAAGATGTATAAAATGGGCCTAATCTTTCCCTTTCCTTGTGGGTTGATGTGTGAGGATTGAAGGTGATACATATATAAAAGCACCTTAAAAGTTATAAATTTTATATAAATATAGTCAGGAGTATTAGTATAGAAGGTACTACTGCTGGCCTGACGAGTTTCATTTTATTTCGTAAACTGCCCAAGGGTATTAATTTTCTCTAGAGAAACCATTGAATATTCTGATGCTCTAACTTCTGATTTTTTTTCCTTTACTACTTTGACCTGGTTGTAGAATCTGGTAGAAATGTCTTCTACCACTCTGTTTTGTTCCCCCAGAGTTTCTAACCAAACTGCATGCAGCCCTTCGTAGTTTTTATACACATTTTGTTTTCCAAAGATGGTGTTCGAGACCAAGGAGAGAAAGGCTGTCTCCTTGACTTAAAGGTTACCTAAGTGACCCCTTGAGGTAGGTTCCACTCTGAGCCAGCTGGGGAATGTTGATTTGAGGTTACAGCACTCTTGATCTGATAATAGGGTCTAAATTTGCTCTAGAGACTTTGTAGTGCTTAAATCTTGGGGATAGCTGAGCTGAACCAGATGCAAGCTCTGCCCTCAGGGTGAGAAGTTTCTGCACAATTAACTGGAATCCAAAACACGTGAAAAAGGAGCTTCACCAGTGAGGGTGAAGTGGGTATGCTGTTTGTCTTAATTTATGTGTGCTCCCCATTTGGGCTAAATATGGTGTTATTAGGGAGGGATTACTGGTTTATACTGGAAGAAGATTATGTATTTAGGATTTTGGGGCCTTCTTAGGATTCAGTATCTGTCAAACGTTATAGAGAGGGAGATGAAGTAGTGTCAACGTTTGGTACAAAAAATAATTTACTGAAGGCAGTAGGCATTTCATCTCCAGTTACTGGTTTGGTTTTGAGGCAGCCCCCTGGAGGAGATGGATTCAGTATTAGCTAATCCAGGGATTTGGGTCCAAGTTAAGGGAGAGGCGGGGACATCTAGGGTGTCCACCTGGGAAGATCAAAGCTTGGTCCTAGTTGAATGAAACAATTCCTTGGATGGTTCCGAAACTGAACTGACCTACCTCCTGGGAGTGGCAGGGAAAGCATCAAGCTTTTGCGCATTTACTTCATCAAATCCTTTACCATATCAGATTATCACTTAGTGGCTATTAGGCTGTCTCAAAATGTCCATGGCCCTGTGGGACAAGAGAGATAGTATAAATGTGCTAGAAGAAAGGTATGCCATTTAAACAAAAGTACAGACGGGCCCCAATTTATGATGATTGGACTTAATGATTTTTTACTTTATAATGATGCAAAAGTGCTACCTGTTTGCTAGAAACTGTACTTCAGGCCAGGCATGGTGGCTCATGCCTGTAATCCCAGCACTTTGGGAGGCCGAGGTGGGCAGATCACTTGAGGTCAGGAGTTTGAGACCAGCCTGGCCAACATGGCAAAACCCTGTATCTACTTAAAATACAAAAATTAGCTGGGCATGGTGGCACACACCTGTAATCCCAGCTACTTGGGAGGCTGAGGCATGATAATCACTTGAACCCAGGAGGCAGAGGTTGCAGTGAGCTGAGATCGTGCCACTGCACTCCAGCCTGGGCAACAGAGCGAGACTCTGTCTCAAAAAAAAAAACCCAGCACATTTAGAATTTCCATCTTTTCCCAGACTAGGGATATCTGGTATGATATTTTCACATGAGATATTTAACACTTTATTATAAAGTAGGCTTTGCGTTAGATAGTTTTGCCCAACTTCAGACTAATGTAAGCGTTCTGGGCACATTTAAGGTAAGGTAGGCTAGGCTTAAGCTATAATGTTTGGTAGGTTATATGTAGTAAGTGCATAAATTACGATACTTTCAGTTTACAATGGGATTATTGGGATGTAACTTCATTGTAAATCGAGCATCTATACTTTTACCAGTAATGAGATTTTTCAAGTGCCTTTATGTTTCAGTTTATAATTTTCTTTTCTCTCTTTTTTTTTTTTTCTTTTTTGAGACAGAGTCTCACTCTGTCGCCCAGGCTGGAGTGCAGTGGTGCAATCTCGGCTCACTGCAACCTCCGCCTCCTGGGTTCAAGCCATTCTCCTGCCTCAGCCTCCCAAGTAGCTGGGATTATAGGCGCCCACCACCACGCCTGGCTAATTTTTTGTATTTTTAGTAGAGATGGGGTTTCATTGTGTTGGCTGGGCTGGTCTCGAACTCCTGACCTCAAGTGATCCGCCTGCCTCAGCCTCCCAAAGTGCTGGGATTACAGGCTAAAACTAGACTTTTAAAAGAGAATAATCTACTGAAGATATTGTAGTAATGAGTACACCAGTAATAACAATGTTAGTACACCAGTAATAACAATGGTTACCATGTATTGAACTCATTCTATGTACAAAGAGCTATTTTAAGAACTTTATTTGTATTATCTCACCTAATCTGCAACCTTAGGAAATAAGGATTGTTATGTACTAGTATTTTACACATGGTAGGTGAAACTGAAGTACAGTGAGGTTAAGTGCCAGCAGCTTGCTGCATGTCCCACTGCTAAGGAAATAACTAGGATTCAGAAGTAGCAGGCAGTCTTAACCACTATGCAGGGGACATGGTTATACAGTGTATGAACATTACTCAGTAGTAAAAACTAATGAATGGAAAGCTTTCTTGGCCAAAAACACAGAAGAAGAAGAAGAAGAAGAAAAAAAACTACTGACAAATTACTAACAGTTCTTCCCCCTCCTTTTTTTGTTTTTGTTTTTTTGAGACAGAGTCTGGCTCTGTCACCCAGGCTGGAGTGCAGTAGCGCAATCTCGGCTCACTGCAAACTCTGCCTCCTGGGTTCAAACGATTTTCCTTCCCTAGCCTCCTGAGTAGCTGGGATTACAGGCGCCCACCACCACATCTGGCTGATTTTTGTATTTTTTTACTAGAGACTGGGTGTCACCATGTTGGCCAGGTTGGTCTCGATCTCGTGACCTCAGGTGATCCACCCACTTAGGCATCCCAAAGTGCTGGGATTACAGGCATGAGCCACCGTGCCCAGCCCTTTCCCCTCTTTTAAACTATATGGGATTTTTCTTCTAAGTATCAATTTGGTCCCTTCTAGATATGTGGGAACAAGGTTCAGGATGGTTGAATTTATACAACAGGAAGAAAGAACCATGTAATTGACAAACTAATTTTTTTGTTTTAATTTTATAAAACGGTTTTGCTGTGTTGCCCAGGCTGGGGTGCAGTGACACATTTTTGCTCTGTTACCAGGCTGGAGTGAAGCAACATGATGATGGCTCACTGCAGCCTGAAATTCCTGGGCTCAAGCAATTCTCCTTCCTCAGCCTCCCAAGTAGTTGGGACAACAGGCGCACACCACCACACCCAGCTAATTTTTTAATTGTTTGCAGAGATGAGGTTTTGCTGTGTTGCCCAGGTTGGTCTGGAACTCCTGGGCTCAAGCGACCCTCCCACCTTGGCTTCCCAAAGTGCTGGGCTCACAGGTGTGAGACATTGTGCATGGCCTTTTTCCTTTTTTGTTTTTTGGAAGTGAACATAACCTTGAGACTTTATTGTCTTCATAATAAAACATAAACTGATATTTAATTAAATGTGCGAACAGTGTTTCTTTGACTTGCTGTTTTAATGTTGCTGTACACACTGAGGCAAAGTCTGTCTTGGCTCCAGCATTGCATAGAACGCATACTAAATCCACGATAGTTTTGTTTTGCATAGCTTTTGGCTACTTCAGCATGTTTCATGTTCACTGTAGCTCCTAGGTGTGTGGGAATAGGACTGAAGAGAATGGTTGTGTTTTTTTTAATTTTTAAATTTTTTTTACACGTAGTCTCGCACTGTCACCCATGGTGGAGGGCAATGGCGTGATCTCAGTTCACTGCAACCTCCGCTTCCCTGGCTCAAGCGATTCTCCTGCCTCAGCCTCCTGAGTAGCTGGGACTATAGGTGCCCGCCATCACGCCCAGCTAATTTTTGTATTTTTAGTAGAGACAGGGTTTCACCATGTTGGCCAGGCTGGTCTCCAACTCCTGACCTCATGATCTGCTTGCCTTTGCCTCCCAAAGTGCTGGGATTACAGGCGTGAGCCACCGCACCCAGCCTGTTTTTTTTTTGTTTTGTTTTGTTTTGTTTTTAATTTAAGGCTGGACCCTTGATAATAGTCTTTCATTTTAGGACAAGGGTAAGGGAGATACCTAGAACAAAACAAGGCATTTAACATGACCTAGATGTCCACTGCTAAGAATGCCTGTCTCCTCCTACCAGCCCCTGCTGTCCCTGTCTTCCCAAGCAAAAGCAGACCACAGGAATATCTAACTCAAACAATTGTGTTTACTTGAGTTTTTTCTTGGGAGAGCTATGTATTAAGCTCTTAGCTTTTTGTTTTTGCATGGCTCTGGCAGAGGAGGCTGGTCAGGGATACCACAGAATGATGACACTTCAGCAAAACTTTAGCAGTATGTGCATGACATGTTGACAGCTTCTGACAGGTTTTCCTCTCCTGGGATGAAGGCATAACAGGAGGCTCTGAATGAAATTAGAGGAATTTGGTTATGATTAACACCTGAACATTTACTTTTCAGTTACAAACGCAGTATAGGCAGATTTTCCACAACTCCAGGAGGCACTATCCACATTGTATTCTATGTAAATAACCCCTCCTCTTTATTTTAGAATTGAATTAGTAAGTAATAGGCTTAGAGGTGTGAAAGGACTGCTGTATTGAATTTTTTAGCAGCTTGTAATGTACTTTTTTTCTTTATTGTGGTAAACTATAACATTTTAATGTGTTTTTTTAAAACAAAGATTTTCATTTAACTGTGGGCTCCTCTGGAATGTTAGCGAGTTACTTGGTTAATGGTACTGAATATAATACTTCAAGCTCTTAAGAGCTGATTGCTCCTAGAATGGAAAATACTTGATATGAGAGCTGCTATTTTTGAGTTAAGTGCAACTTAATCTTGTTTGGCTGAGTTTGCATATCGGCCATTGAAATGTAGGTATCTTTTCTGAGCTTCGCTAGTTGAAGCTAAGATTGAAACTTGGTAAGTTTATTTTATCTGGCAAAACTTGTCAGAACAGTTTGATCTCATTACTTATCTGTATATTCTTGTCTATTTGGAACAGCTCTAGAGCAAACTATCATATTTCTTTGATTCTAAGACCTATGTATTCCCTCTCACATTTTAACATTTCTGAAATTGTCATCTGTACATTGTGTCATATACATTAAATGTATACAGATGCTCCTCAAGACGGGGCTGCATCTGGAAAACCCCATCATAAGTTGAAAATACCGTAAGTTGAAAATGTAAGTCCTTTTCTTTTTGTAAGTCATTTTTGTTTTTTTTTGAAACGGAGTCTCGCTGTGTTGCCCAAGCTGGAGTACAGTGGTGTGATCTCGGCTTACTGCAACCTCCACCTCCTGGATTCAAGTGATTCTCCTGCCTCAGCCTCCCAAGTAGCTGGGACTACAGGGGCGTGCCTCTATGCCCAGATAATTTTTGTATTTTTTGTAGAGACAGGGTTTCGCCGTGTTGGCCAGACTGGTCTCGAACTCCTGACGTCAAAGTGATCCACCTGCCTCGGCCTCCCAAAGTACTGGGATTACAGGCGTGAGCCACTGTGCCCAACCTGTAAGTCATTTTTGAGTCAACGATATTTTTAATTTACAATGGGTGTATCCAGATGTAAGCCATCGCAAATCAAGGAGTGTACCGAATGAGTATCAATTTCTCCCAGTGATAGGTCAACCCTGGTAAGTCAGGGACCATCTGCTTTACCAGGTTTCTTTTTTTTCTCCATAAAGCTAATAAAATTGCTGTGCCCTTTTGCGTCTATAATATTTGGTAGTTACATGTTTTGTTTTAAATTTTGAAATACTGATATTGAAAAACAGAAGTTTTAGTTATTTTTTAATGATTTCAAACCACAAGCTTCTATTAAATCAAAGTGAAATTGCCGTTTGACATCTCATCCCCCTGCCCCAACCCACACAGCCTTTGATGGTTTTGGTTTTTCCATCAACAGTTGTTAAGAGAGAACCAGAAAGAGGCAGTCAGTACCCCCTGGGAAACGTCAGAGAAGTATCTGAGAAAGGGGAGTTTCTGCCATTCTCCCCTCGAACAGATTCCGCCAAGCAGGGTCTGGTTACATGAGCATTGCCTCTTTCTTAGAATCCCCTGGGCGTTTGAGGATCCACCCCGCTCCATCCCTTACCTTTCTTTAATTCTTGTAATTGGAAGCAAGAGGTTCTTTAGCATTGCTGTTGTGAATACTGAGAAACTTGGCTCTGAAAGTTGCTTCAGTATTATTGTAAGTGCTGTCTAGGGATGTCATTAGGGGTGTTAATGGGAAACCTTAAACAAAGACACTTTCCAGGTGCTGAATTCTGCCATGCTGTAAGTGTGCTCTCTAGAGGACATAGTCATATTCATCTTGGTTATGGAAGGCTGTGGTTGGCCTTGTAACAACCTGCAATAATTGCACCATCTAGATCAAGAGGGCCCAGATCCGTGTGACTCAGAGGAGAGAGCAACAACCTTAGTAGGTTCTGCAGCTTCTCACTGTATCTGTCCTTAAGAACAGAATTAACAAAAGTTCTGAGGTGAGTAGTGATGTTAATGAGAGAAGGAAAGAAGAAACCAGAGAAAGCAAGCCAGCCATTGTGATTGTTTCATTTGTGGGAGAGAGCCTCAGGAAGCAGATGATGTTTATATCTTTCCACTGGCCCAGGATTCCTTAGGAAATTTGTTTGGGGACTGTAACTTTTATTATTACCTAGATGAATTGTTCTGAGTGTTGGGCTGGGTGCTGATTAGAGTGCTTCATTCAGTAGGTGGCGTTTCACACAACTTTATGTTTGAATCCCTTCCTCCCTGCCCCTCCTTTTCTGGTAGATTTAAAATGGATGGGCATTATGGCCCTGATAGGAGTTTGGAGGATTTATATTTAGAAGAGATGAAAGTTCTTGACTGGATCTTTAGTACTGTAGATTGAACACGTTTACTTAGGATTGCATGTGAAATAGGGGAGGGAGCAAAACTTAAGAACTTGACTTTATGGTGTTGATATGATCTAACCTGGATATAGTTCAGTTTAAAAATGCCCTTTTTGACATTGGGACAGTTGGCAAAAATCTGAATAAGGTCTGCAGATTAGAAATAGTATTGCATTAGTATTAATATCCTGATTTTGATCATTGCTTTCAGGATATACACACTGAAGTGTTTAGGAGCACTGTGTCTGTATGGTTAGGGAAAAAATATTTTTACATCTGTCTATATATTGCTATATAGAAAGAAGATGAAGCAAATGTGAAATATTAGCATTTAGGAAATCTGGGTGAAGGTTGTACAGGAATTCTTTGTACTGTTCTAACCTTTCTGTAGGAAAGGTTCTGAAACTGTCAAAAAAATACCCCCCAAAAAATCCTCCTTTCTGCATAAATTCCTTTTTTATGGAGGTAGGAACCTCTCTTTTTTTAAAATTGTGAGTCCTTTTCAGTTCAGTTCTTAAATGTGTTAGGTTAAGAAAATTTGATACGCATATATTTAAAATGCAAGTCTTAATGCCAGACCCAGCTTTATAGTTTTTGTTTGTTTTGTTAAGACTAGTCAAAGTTTTGTTTTTTATCTTTGAGGTGCTGCTAGTGAGATAATTTTTTTTTTTTTTTTTTTTTTTGAGATGGACTCTTGCCCTGTTGCCCAGGCTGGAGTGCAGTGGCGTGTCTTGGCTCACTGCAGCCTCTGCCTCCCAGGTTCAAGCAATTCTTCTGTCTTAGGCTCCTGAGTAGCTGGGATTACAGGTGTGTGCCAACACACCCAGCTAATTTTTGTATTTTTAGTAGAGACAGGGTTTCACCATGTTGGCCAGGCTGGTCTCGAACTCCTGACCTCAGGTGATCCGCCCACCTCAGCCTCTCAGAAGTGCTGGGATTATAGGCCTCAGTGAGCCACTATGCCCAGCCAAGGGAATTCTTTAGCATCTTGAAACAATGACATAAAATTGCTTTATGTGCCAATGTCTAGGTTCCTTTAACTAGATTGTTAATTGAGAATTTCTTTTATAAACTTACTGCCTTTTAAAGTGGCAAATCACCTGAAAGAATAGAAATCAGATGATAGTAACAAAATAGTTTGAGGGAGAAGAAGATGCATTCAATTCCTCTGTCGTCTTTAAGATGGTTGACTATGATTGCAAATATATTGTAGGACACATAAAAATAAAAATGGTTGTGTTAGGGCTGTAGAATTTTAGGCAAGTTTTCATCTTTCTGAACTTACATGTTGCTTTTTTTTTTTTTTATAAGCTGTTCGTGTGATTCTGTATGACTTAATGACTCTAACCTTTCTTTATTCTGCAGAGTGGAGACTGCTGCACGGACTCTGGAACCATGAACATATTTGATCGAAAGATCAACTTTGATGCGCTTTTAAAATTTTCTCATATGTAAGTGTTTTGACCTTGACTGGTTTTGTACTGCATTTCTTTTCATATCTCTTTGTCCCTTTTCTGCATTTATAACTTTTGTGTGTATAAGCTAACAAATTAACTTGGCCAGAATCCAGAGGACCTGATGAAAATGTCCAAATTCTACACGTTGCTGTGTGGTTATTGGAAAGGCATTTATTCTAGTTTGGGTACTGATTATTCATAATTTTGGGCATTTGGTCTTCCTCAGCATTTAAGGTTCTGTTAACCTATTTTCAAAATATTATTTTTTATTGTAATATGCTTTCCTAAAAGTATTTCAAACTATTTGTAACAGAACTTTTACATATTCCCAGGAAGGGAAAGAGAGAAATGATTCTTCTTAGCTTAAATATGAGATTGATCTGGGACTGATTGCTCTTATTCACATTCTTTTCTTAGAACCCCGTCAACGCAGCAGCACCTGAAGAAGGTCTATGCAAGTTTTGCCCTTTGTATGTTTGTGGCGGCTGCAGGGGCCTATGTCCATATGGTCACTCATTTCATTCAGGTAAGAACGATTTTCTCTCCTGGTTGCTGTGGTACAAATTACATTAGGAAAAAACCAGCTCAGCAAGGTGGTCCAAGGGACCCTGTTCCTCTCTTTAATCTTTATCAGTAGTTTAGGATTTAAACTCAGACATTAAATCAGGACATGTAAAGCCATTTTAATTTTCTGGCAACTGTGCCCCCTCTAGATACCGAAAAACAGAATGCCTTAACCTTGGCACTGAATGGTGTGCTGCTGACGTACAAGACCCCCACCCACTGAGTAGGCGCATGGCATGCATGCTGGGATTCTTTGGCACAGAAGCTTTTTTATCTTTTCCTCCATTCTTCCTTTACAAAACTCTGATTGTGTGATTAACTATCAGGAGAGGCAGGATTGAGATCTTTTTAAGGAATTGACCTGTTTTATTTTCCGATAACTGTTGTCTGCATGGTTGGGTAAAAACCTTCAACAATTTGTTTTCCTGTATTGAGAGAGAATCTGGGTTTGGTCAGCAGGAGTAGAAGGTACAGTTTGAGGAATAACCAGAAAGTTTGAAGACTCCCTAACATAGTCTTGTGCCTTTGTAGAGTATTCCTTTTAGCATAAATGTAGAGGTGGGCCTCTGTTGGCATTTGCCACTGTTGAGAACTATCCTTATGTTCAGGCATCTCCTGGCAGGGATTGTGTGAAAAATTACTTTAGACACTCAAAGGATAGGGCTTTGATCGCTTGAGTTTTAGGCAAGGTTAGCCCTTAAATAATTTAGTAAAATACAGTCAATCCTTGTTATTCACAGACTCTATATTTGTGAATTCACCTACTCATTAAAATTTGTAACCCCAAAATCAATACTCATGGCACTTTTTTTTTTTTTTTTGAGACAGAGTCTCGCTCTGTTACTCATGGCACTTTTTGCAGACAGTCACAGAGTGGTGAAAAAGTTGAGTCACCCTGCTGTTGCAGTGTTTTCAGCTGAGGTTGAACAAGACAGTGCTCTGCCTTCTTGTTTCAGTTCTCGTATTGTAAACAAATGTTCTTTTCATGGTCATTTAGTGCCACTTCCTTTGTATTTTTGTGCTTTTAATTGGTGATTTTGCTGGGTTTTTTGAGTGGAGGTCTTGTGGTGTCGTCCTGACTGGTCTCAAACTCCTGGGCTCAATTGATCCTCGCACCTCAGCCTCCCAAGTAGCTGGGAATACAAGCACATGCCACCATGCTTGGCTTAATTTTGCTGTTCAGAATGCAAACAGCATAGTGCTGAAGTGCTGTCTAGTATTCCTGAGTGCAGAAAGACCGTAATGTGCCTTATGAAGAAAATGTGTATATTAGATAAGCTTCATTCCGGCATGAGTTGTACTGCTGTTGTAACTGTGAGTTCAATGTTAAGGAATCAAAAATAATGTCAAATGAGGTGTCCTTAAACAGAAACACATATAAAAGCAAGGTATCTATTGATCATTTGATGAAAATGTTGTGACCTTAGGCTTGCAGGAACCTACCTACCTTTTATTTCCCTCAGGAACAAGGGTTTACTAATTCATTGTCCACTGTGATTTTATAACATAAACACTGAATAATGAGAATCAACTTCTTCCTTTAAAGGAAGGAAGGAACTTCAGTGTCTACGTCCATCCTTAATGATTTCTCTTTTTTCTAATGCCTATAGTTTTTCCCACTTGGCGTTTTTAAAAAAAGAAACACTTTTTTCTTACTACAAAGCTAATATGTGTTCATTTTAGAAAATTCAGAAAACAGACTAGCAATGAGAAGGAAGTATTTTAGAAACTTCCATAATCCCATCATCCAGAAATAACTACTGTTAACATTTTAGTACTTTGCAGTCTTCTGTATATGTATGTGTCTTGGTGTTTTGGTGTTTGGGGGTTTTGTTTGTTGGTTTTTGTTTTTTTGAGACGGAGTTTCACTCTTGTTGCCCAGGCTGAAGTGCAATGGCGTGATCTTGGCTTACTGCAACCTCTGCCTCCCTGGGTTCAAGCAATTCTCTTGCCTCAGCCTCCTGAGTAGCTGGGATTACAGGCGTGTGCCACCATGCCTGGCTAATTTTGTATTTTTAGTAGAGACGGGGTTTCTCCATGTTGGTCAGGCTGGTCTCGAACTCCTGATCTCAGGTGATTTGCCCACCTCGGCCTCCCAAAGTGCTGGGATTACAGGCGTGAGCCACCATGTTTTTTTTAAAGTGACCAAAGGGGGATCATTTCTATTTGTTCTACAGATGGAATGTACTTTAAGCACTTGTCACGTTTCATTCATCCTTTCTATTTTTTGGGCAAGACTCACTCATAGTTTGACTTGGGTAGTTGTACTGTAGTTGAAGGACTACGCAAGCCAGAAGAGCCTCCAGCATCCACCATGGTCCTAACTCTGTGCTTCAAGGCTTCTGGGTTATCTCCTCAGCCCCATCCCTGAGAAAACACTACTTTTTCTCCTGCCTCCAGGTTATAAGCAAATGTTAGGAAGTTCAGACGAGTGTTTGAACCCAATAAAGGTCTCTTGCAAAATAAATTTGAAACTTTCAAGTGTTTAATGATTGATTGATTCTGACTCTAACAGGCTGGCCTGCTGTCTGCCTTGGGCTCCCTGATATTGATGATTTGGCTGATGGCAACACCTCATAGCCATGAAACTGAACAGAAAAGACTGGGACTTCTTGCTGGATTTGCATTCCTTACAGGTACGTTAAGGGATTTGTCTAATTTTGAGGGGTGAGCTATATTTTCAGTATCTCTTAATTAGTTCCCCCCCCTTTTTTTTTCTTTTTTTTTTTTTTGAGACAGAGTCTCGCTCTGTTGCCCAGGCCAGAGTGCAGTGGCTTGATCTTGGCTCACTGCAAGCTCCGCCTCCCAGGTTCACACCATTCTTCTGCTTTAGCCTCCCGTGTAGGTGGGACCACAGGCACCTGCCACCACACCCGGCTAATATTTTGCATTTTTAGTAGAGACGGGGTTTCATCGTGTTAGCCAGGATGGTCTTGATCTCCTGACCTCATGATCCGCCCGTCTCGGCCTCCTAAAATGCTAGGATTACAGGCATGAGCCACCGTGCCTGGCCCTTTTTTTCCTTTTTTTTTGAGACAGTGTCTCCGTCTGTCACCCAGGCTAGAGAGTGCAGTGGCGTGATCTTGGCTCACTGCAAACTCTGCCTTCCGGGTTCAAGCGATTCTCCTGCCTCAGCCTCCCAAATAGCTGGGATTACAGGCATGTGCCACCATGCCCGGCTAATTTTTGTATTTTTAGTAGAGATGGGGTTTTACCATGTTGGCCAGGATGGTGTTGATCTCTTGACCTAGTGATCCACCCACCTTAGCCTCCCAAAGTGTTAGGATGACAGGCGTGAGCCATAGTACCCTGCCTCCTGGCTTTTTTTTTTTTTTTTTTTTTTAAGATGGAGTCTCACCCTGTGGCCAGGCTGGAGTGCAGTGGCGAGATCTCAGCTCATTGCAATCTCTGCCTCCCAGGTTCAAGCGATTCCCCTTCCTCAGCCTCCCAAGTAGCTGGGACTACAGCGGCTAATTTTTTGTATTTTAGTAGAGACGGGGTTTCACCATGTTGGCCAGGATGGTCTTGATCTCCTGACCTCGTGATCTGCTCGCCTCAGCCTCCCAAAATGCTGGGATTACAGGCATGAGCCACCACACCCAGCGCTTTTTTTTGTTTTTTTGTTTTTTTTTTTGAGACTGAGTTTCACTCTTGTTGCCCAGGCTGGAGTGCAGTGGCACGATCTTGGCTCACTGCAGCCTCCACCTCCCAGGTTCAAGCGATTCTCCTGCCTCAGCCTCCCGAATAGCTGGGATTATAGGCATCAACCACCACGCCAGCTAATCTTTTGTATTTTTAGTAGAGATGGGCCACTATGTTGGCCAGGCTGGTCTCGAACTCCTGACCTCGTGATCCGCCCACCTCGGCCTCCCAAAGTGCTGGGATTACAGGCATGAGCCACTGCCCCTGGCCCTAATTTTGTATTTTAGTAGAGACGGGGTTTCACCATGTTGGTCAGACTGGTCTCGAACTCCTGACCTCAGGTAATCTACCTGCCTCAGCCTCCCAAAGTGCTGGGATTACAGACGTGAGCCACTGTGCCTGGCCTTCCTGGCCTGCTTTCTAATCTCATATAGGTTCATTTTGTTTCCCCATCCATTAGGGGAAACTCTGTGAGTAGCCACTGTGACTCTACTTTTGTGTCCAAAAATAGCCATTGTGTACTTGAATGAATGAGGTTCAAGAGCTTAGGTAGCATAACCTATTAATAGTAGGCATAGAACTTTTAATAAACTAGACTTGAGAATCCGACATAGTTGCACCCATACTGGCAATTATCATAGGAGCTTCTGTTCTGAGTCTTACAGACAGTGCATTAAAGCTATACATTGAGATCTATTGTGCAGGACACTTTGCTGATTCTCAAAAAAAGAAAGGCACAGCTCTTCTAGAATTGTCATAAAGGAAACAAGACTCAAGCTATGTAATAAAAATGTTTGCAAAACATTTGAATTAGAACAGCTTGTTCTGAGTGACAGTCTAATATACGTAGGAGAAATTTTAGAAAGGAAGAGATTTAGGGATTAAAATTTTTGCATCAGGGCAAGCTAGTTTTTGAAGGCATTAAGGGGTGGAATTATCAGAAGGAAAGAGGAAAGTAATTAGAACGAAAGAAATGTTAGAGCTGGAACAGGTTGCCCTCCTGTTGGCAGGTGTCCACCTGCAGAACCAGTCTCACCTTTCTTTGCTACAAAGGGGAGTCAGTCCTACATGACTATAAGGTTGCTGGCCACGAGGCACTGTTTTGCTCTTTATCCTTTTTTTCTAATTCCTGATCTGGCCTATATTACCATCTTACATCACTCTAGCTCTGAAATGTTTGGCATGCCTACTTTATTTTCTTGTAATCTCTGTACCCTCCCTGAGGTCATCCATGATTTTCAGCTAAGAGGACAATTTTGCAGCTATTTCTATAAAAAAAAAAAAAACAACGCAGTCAGGTATACATTTTATTGAAAACAATTACAGCGGAGGGGAGAGAGATTTAATTCTTTAGTCCACGTTTGTTAAGAGCATGAGTATGCCTATATTTCGGGATCAGCTTTTGGATGAGGATCCTATTCAAGAATTGATCGTAATACTGTGTTCTGGGTTTTCTGTTTTCTAGGAGTTGGCCTGGGCCCTGCCCTGGAGTTTTGTATTGCTGTCAACCCCAGGTAACTCTTTTGGTAGTGTCTTATGTGCTTTTATCTTTATGAATATACCTTCTAAATGTAGACCGTATACCTGTAGCCCTTAATCTAATGGTCTTTTTTTCTAACAGCATCCTTCCCACTGCTTTCATGGGCACGGCAATGATCTTTACCTGCTTCACCCTCAGTGCACTCTATGCCAGGCGCCGTAGCTACCTCTTTCTGGGAGGTAAGTGTGAACTGGGAAACAGGGAATGGGGGCTCCTTTTTAGCCAGAATTCTCACTAGTACTCCTTCCTTACCCCTAACTCCTTTGCGACTATTGAGTTGAGATTAACCTTCATTCTGGGGGAAGTTAAGGAATGGCTTTAATGGGATTGCTTTACTTTGCCTTGGCTTCTCTCAAGACAGCTTTTTGCTGTGTCTTATAGGTATCTTGATGTCAGCCCTGAGCTTGTTGCTTTTGTCTTCCCTGGGGAATGTTTTCTTTGGATCCATTTGGCTTTTCCAGGTAAGACTTAGCCTGGAACTTTCCAGCAGCCATTTGCCTCACACTTCTTTCTTTCCTTTTTTTTTTTTTTTTGCACTTCTTTCTGTACTACTTTGGGCAGTGCTCTCTAAGCCTTCCCATTATCCTTCATAGGATGGAGCCTTCTGCCACAAGTGAAAACAGGCTGCACAAGGTTGGGCATTGCTAAGAGAAAATGGTTTGCTCAGACACCATTTGTGTAAGGCCAGTCTGGCAGTGGCTGATTGTTAAAATGATTGAAACTCTTCCAGTGACCAGTGCAGTATTGTGCCTAGGGAAGTAAAGTGGTCTTCACCCTAGGCTGCAGTTCTCGTGAATGGTAATGTTCATAGGGTTCACATTTGATGTACTTTCAAGTGACTATGAGCCAGAAAGTATGGCTGGTTTTTTTTTCTCTGCAACTTCTGCTGTATAGTAACTTCATCTCTTACATTTGTTAGGCAAACCTGTATGTGGGACTGGTGGTCATGTGTGGCTTCGTCCTTTTTGATACTCAACTCATTATTGAAAAGGCCGAACATGGAGATCAAGATTATATCTGGTGAGTGTGGGAACTAGTCTTTAACAAGCATGAAGGTTGAGGCATACCGTTCAGCAGCTGAACTTAGGTTGGCATTGGCTGAACATAGGTGGCCAAGCTTTGGGAGTGTATGTGGTAGGAAACCCACGGTTTTGGAACTGTGTACCATAATCTTCCTCAATTCCTGAAAGATTTCAGATTTTTTAAAAATCTGGGCTAATAGGCCAGGTGTGGTGGCTCACACCTATAATCCTAGCACTTTGGGAGGCTGAGGCCACTGGATCGCTTGAGCTCAGAAGTTTGAGACCAGCCTGGGCAACATGGCGAAATCCCATCTCTACTAAAAATATAAAAAAATTAGCTGGGCATGGTGGCACATGTATATAATCCCAGCTACTCAGGAGGCTAAGGTATAAGAATCATTTGAACCTAGGAGGTGGAGGTTGAAGTGAGCCAAGATTGCACCACTGCACTCCAGCCTGGCAACAGAGCGAGACCCTGTCTCAAAAAAAAAAAAAAAAAAGTGTGGGGGCCGGGCACGGTGGCTCACGCCTGTAATCCCAGCACTTTGGGAGGTCGGGGCAGGCGGATCACGAGGTCAGGAGATCGAAACCATCCTGGCTAACACGGTGAAACCCTGTCTCTACTAAAAATACAAAAAATTAGTCGGGCGTGGTGGCGGGCACCTGTAGTCCCAGCTACTCAGGAGGCGGAGGCAGGAGAATGGTGTGAACCGGGGAGGCGGAGCTTGCAGTGAGCGGAGATTGCACCACTGCACTCCAGCCTGGACGACAGAGCGAGACTCCTTCTCAAAAAAAAAAAAAAAAAAAGTGTTGGGGGGTGGCTATATATTTACATATCCATAGTGGCTACCTCCAAGCAGAAGTGAGGGAAAGAGATCTTTCTCCTTTTCCTATTTATACTTCTGTATTTTTTAAACAATGAGTAGAAGATACACTCTTTTTTTAGAGACAGGGTCTCGCTCTGTTGCCTAGGCAGTAGTGTGGTGCCATGAACACAGCTCGCTGCAGCCTGAATTTACTGTGCTCAAGCAGTACTCCTGCCTCAGCCTCTTGAGTAGCTGGGACAACAGGCACGTGCGACCATGCCAGGCTAATTTATTTTTTGTAGAGATGGGGTCTTACCATATGCCCAGATTGGTCTCAAGCAGTCCTCTTGCCTTGGTTTCCCAAAGTGTTGGGATTACAGGCTTAAGCCACCATGCCCAGCCACTTTTTTTTTTTTTTTTTTTTTTTGAGACAGTTTTGCTTTGTCACCCAGGCTGGAGTGCGGTGGCAACATCTCAGCTCACTGCAACCTCCGCCTCCTGGGTTCAAGCGATTCTTGTGCCTCAGCCTCCCTAGTAGCTGGGATTACAGGCACTCTCCACCACGTCCAGCTAATTTCTGTAATTTTAGTAGAACGAGGTTTTGCCACGTTGCCCCGTGAGGACATGGTGTCGAACTCTTGGCCTCAAGCAATCTGCCTTCCTCAGCCTCCCAAAGTGGTGGGATTACAGACATGGGCCACCATGCCCAGCTCACTTTTTTTTTTTTGAGACGGAGTTTCGCTCTTGTTGCCCAGGCTGGAGTGCAACGGTGTGATCTTGGCTCACCGCAGCCTCCGTCTCCCGGCTTCAGGTGTTTCTCCTGCCTTAACATCCTGAGTAGCTGGGATTACAGGCATGCACCACCATGCCCGGCTAATTTTGTATTTTTAGTAGAGATGGGGTTTCTCCATGTTGGTCAGGCTGGTCTCAAACTCCTGACTCAGGTGATGCCCGCCTCAGCCTTCCAAAGTGCTGGGATTACAGGTGTGAGCCACTGTGCTCGGCACTTTTTTTTTAATGTAGTGATTCTCTCAGTCTCATGACTAATTAGTGGTAGTTAAGGGTTCAGACTTGGACCTCTGCAGAGTTCAGAGCGCTTGAGACAGGGCTTGCTCTGTCACCCAAGCTGCAGTAGGAGAGTGGCACTGTCATGGCTTACTGTAGACTCAAGCTCCCTGGGCTCAGGTGTTCCTCCCATCTCAGCCTCCTCAGTAGCTGGGATTACAGGCACATGCCACAATGCCCTGCTAATTTTTGTAGAGACGGGATTTTGCTATGTTACCCAGGTTGGTCTCGAACTCCTGGGCTCAAGCAGTCCACCTGCCTCAGCCTCCCAAAATGTTGGGATTACAGGCATGAGCCACTGTGCCTGGCCCAGTCTCTTTTCTCTATGCTGCATGACTTCGATGAGTCTAAAGGATCTCAGACACCAGAGTTTTACTTCCTTAGTTGGGGGTAAAGTGTGGGAGAAGCTGGCTCGTGGGGGTAGGGGTGGGGTTTATATTCTGCATCTTTGTGGGCTTGTGGATAAAAAAGTCTGAAGTACAGATCCTAATCTGGTTCTTGCCTTTCAGGCACTGCATTGATCTCTTCTTAGATTTCATTACTGTCTTCAGAAAACTCATGATGATCCTGGCCATGAATGAAAAGGTTAGTTAGCCTACAACCCAAAGATGAGACAATAATGGCTCCTGAGCTTGGCATGTGTGTATACTTCAGATTTGAAAACTTGCTCACACACTGTGTTAGGTCCAGGGTAACTGTAAGGCAGGCCACTGAGTAAGAGGTAAGCCAGAAGTCTTCAGTTGTTAGAAAAAAAGCAGCAAGTGAAAAAAAAATTTTTTTAACTAATTCCTGCGTTTAGTATGAAAGGGAAAAAAGCTTCAGTGGCAGTAAACACAACCTGCTACATGAATAATTTAAAGGCTATATAGTTGTGACTCAGAGAAAGGTATTGTGGAGGACGTTGTAAATTTCAGAAGTAGACTAATTTTATCCATTTGTTAATTTTTTTTTCCAAGGAAGCATTCTATATAGGGCTAATGAGTATCTAACGTAGTTGAGTCAAGCAGTGGGGGAAACAAATGAAATGAGCTTTTCTTTATAGACCTTATGGAGCTTAGAGATAGCATAGTGGTAGCGGGAGTAGTTGACCAGATAGGATTGCTGGCTCTGTCTGGGCTATGCCATGGTTGGACTGAGCACTAGGCAGATGTACAAGTTTCAGAACAAGCAACTGAATTTTCATTCCTTAATACATTGGGCTTCCATCCAAGATTGAATGAAGAATTCTGCTGGACCAAATTATTTCTGAATGTCAGTTTATGCCAGAGTCATGCTCACTTTGCAGGGTGGAGCACTTCTCGCGCCTAATGGTTGGTTGGTGGTCTTGGCCTCTAGTTTCACTCTTTGAGGATAGAGTGCCATCTGCAGCCTTCACTGTTGGGATCTGAGCTGTAGTGGCTGTGAATAGCCTAGAGTGGTCAGGCAGCCCACCTCGGCACTCCTGGGGTGGGGGTGGGGACAGCTGCTTAACCTTTATTCTTGGTCGGTCTGTCGGCAACTTTGGGAACCACCAGTAGGATGTGGTTAAGATTCAGTTCTTGCTGAGCTAAGGAAGCATTTCTCATTTCTTTTTAATTGTCTGGCTCACTTCTAGTCCCTAACTAAATGCTCACTCAAGAGTTTTAGCTTGAATGTCAAATGTCAAAAAATTAATTGGGTGATTTTTCTCCATTTCTAGGATAAGAAGAAAGAGAAGAAATGAAGTGACCATCCAGCCTTTCCCAATTAGACTTCCTCTCCTTCCACCCCTCATTTCCTTTTTGCACACATTACAGGTGGTGTGTTCTGTGATAATGAAAAGCATCAGAAAAGCTTTTGTACTTTGTGGTTTCCTCTATTTTGAATTTTTTGATCAAAAAACTGATTAGCAGAATATAGTTTGGAGTTTGGCTTCATCTTCCTGGGGTTCCCCTCACTCCCTTTTTTGTCAACCCCATCTGTAGCCTCTTCCTCTACTCAGGCAGTCGACCCGCCACGAT
Organism: Homo sapiens; assembly: GCF_000001405.40. Taxonomy (NCBI): domain Eukaryota; kingdom Metazoa; phylum Chordata; class Mammalia; order Primates; family Hominidae; genus Homo; species Homo sapiens. Next base: position 49,763,174 of record NC_000012.12, read on the forward strand.
GAGAAGTGGGACCAGCAGAGGGCGCCAACTTCAGGAGTCCGCTTTCCCACCAGGCTTCATTCACCCAGTGGACCTGAACTGTTTGGTAGAGCCACCCGGCCCTTCCTTCCTCATTGTTGTTTGGTATGCGCACAGTTCCTGTGGGACTGGGCCGTGAGTTTTCCATTGGAAAGAAGTTCAGTGGTCCCATTGTTAACTCAGCCTCAAATCTCAACTGTCAGGCCCTACAAAGAAAATGGAGAGCCTCTTCTGGTGGATGCTTTGCTCCCTCTGAGCTGCCCATGCTGGTCTGGCAAACACACCTTTCTGCTTTGCCTTCACAAAAGTAATGTGTTCCCTTTCCCACCCCTTGCCTGACCCTCAGGGAGTCAGCCTGCTTCCATCCATGGGTGGGAAGACTTCAGCACAAAGGAAAGACTAATTCTTGTCAGGCATTTTTGAAAAGGCTGATTATGTGTATCAAGGTACAGCATCGTAGGGTTCCCCTAAACTTGCCCTGTTTTTGTTTTTTTAGTTTGTTATCCCCTTACTGAGCGGCCTCTACTAGGTGGCTGTGATTAAATGTCCCAAGCAAGGATAGGGAAGGGGAATGGTTGAGCCTCTGGAGATCATTGTAACCAATCCTGCCAGACCTGTTTGGGGCAGTGGGGAGCAAACCTAGATAAGGACCTGTTTGGGGCAGCAGGGAGCAAAATCTCCTTTAACAACCAAGCAGTTCCTCATTCACATCAACAGAGCGAGGCTGTGATAACTTAGGAGGCAGCAATCCTAATAGTCCTTCAGTGCATTTTAGTCTGTCTCCAACTGGACACCAGTAGGTAGTGTCAAGCCAGAGATTCGGGGCAGTAGATAAATGTTCATTTTACTGATGCACTTTAGTTTTTGGTCTGTTACCTGTTTTCCAGAAATTTGTGGCCTTTTAGGCGGGAGTTAGGCGACCAAACCAGTGAGAGCCCCAATCCCTGCAGTTTTGTGGCTTCAAGTGTGGGTGGACAGTCCTAATGGGGATCTCCAGCTCCTTCCTGTGGGCTGCCACAGACAGCTACCCCCAGAAGGGTCAATGTTGGGAGTGGTTGTGGCTCTGAGCTGCTCTACAGAGCTTCAGTGTGAGAGGATCGAGCCATTGAAAGCTCATTACCAGTAGGACATAATTTTTGGCTCTCCCTATTCACAACCAGTGCACAGTTTGACACAGTGGCCTCAGGTTCACAGTGCACCATGTCACTGTGCTATCCTACGAAATCATTTGTTTCTAAGTTGTGTTTATTCCTGGAGTGACATGCCACCCCGAATGGCTCACTTTCACTGAGGATGCTGTCCTCTGATTTAGCTGCTGCCTCCAGCCTCTGGCTTGAGAACTTACTAAAGGCACTTCCTTCCTGTTAAACCCCTGTTAACTCTCCATAAATTTGGTGATTCTCTGCTAGGCCTAAGATTTTGAGTTAACATCTCTTGAAGCCAAACTCCACCTTCTGTGCTTTTTGCTTGGGATAATGGAGTTTTTCTTTAGAAACAGTGCCAAGAATGACAAGATATTAAAAAAAAAAAAGAAAGAAAAAAAAAAAAACACCTACTTTTAAAGAAAATACCTAACAGATTTTTAATATAGTTATCTCTACCACTTTCTTTTCTAGTTTCTTGATTTTCAGCTCAGGCTGCATTCTAACTCATACTGTGAAGACAAAGGTGTTTTTGATTCAGAAATATATGAAATCTGCATAGTCTTAATTTGTAAAAAATAAAGAAAATTCCTTAACCTTTCCTGGTGTTTGTGTTAAATTCAAGGGTACAGCTGGTCATGGAGCTTGTGATACTGCCAGGGTTTGCTACTGGGGGCTGGGAGTGGGACACGATTGAGTTCGTGTCATAAGTATGAACAGAGACAAAGACCTCCCACTCTGTAGCCCCAGCATGCCACAAATGTTGAGAATTTTCTCTGTCAAATATGTAAGCCAGTTTTTTTTCCAGTCCTCTCCACCCCCTGCCACCTTTGCTATATGTTGTTTGTGGTGATATGTGCAGTTGGTTCAGATGTGCAGCCAAGCTTTGGAGTTTGAGGATGCATAATGGAAAAAAGGCAAATGATACCCACTCATTCTGCAAGTATTTTTGTTCACCCACTGCTGCCCGGCTGTATTCTAAGTGCATTAGTTAATAAAGATGTAAAAGTTGGCCAGGCATGGTGGCTTATGCCTGTAATCCCAGCACTTTGGGAGGCCAAGGTGGGCAGATCTCGAGGTCAGGAGTTCAAGACCAGTCTGGCCAACATGGTGAAACCCCATCTCTACTAAATACACCAAAAAAAAAAAAAAAAAAAAAAAATTAGGCAAAGTGGCAGGCACTTGTAATCCCAGCTACTTGGGAGGCTGAGGCAGGAGAATTACTTGAACCTGAGAGGTGAAGGTTGCAGTGAGCTGAGATGCACCACTGCATTCCAGCCCGGGTGACAGAGAAAAAAAGTCGGCCAGGCGTGGTGGCTCACGCATGTAATCCCAGCACTTTGGGAGGTCGAGGCAGGCGGATCACCTGAGGTCAGGAGTTTTGAGACCAGCCTGGCTAATAAGGTGAAACCCCGTCTCAACTAAAAATAACAAAAAATAGCCCGGCATGGTGGTGGGCGCCTGCAGTGCCAACTACTCGGGAGGCTGAGGCAGGAGAATCGCTTGTACCCGGGAGGCAGAGGTTGCAGTGAGCCGAGAGCGCACCACTGCACTACAGCCTAGGCGACAGAGACTCCCATCTCAAAAAAATAATAAAAGTCCTTGTCATAGTTCAGATATGAGATTATCAATCGGAACTTGCATTACAATCAGGTTGCTCAATTCTGTGTTTGTGTTTTTGTTTTGATTTTTGGAGACAGGGTCATGGTCTTGCCCTGTCACCCAGGCTGTAGTGCAGTGATGCGATCATGGCTCACAGCAACCTCAGTCACCTGAGCTCAAGTGATCCACCTCAGCCTCCCGAGTAGCTGGGACCACAGGAACATGCCACTGCACCCCGCTGATTTAATTTTTGTAGAGGTGGGATCTCACCATGTTGCTCAGGTTATGTTGAACTCGTGTTCCTCAAACGATCCACCTTAGCCTCCCAAAGTGCTGGGATTATAGGCTTAAGCCACCATGCCGAGCCTAGTAGCTCAATTTTACCATGCTTGTTCTCCGCTTGTCATATTCATTGTAGACCCAGGCCTTCCTGTTAGAATTTGACCATTATTCTGACTGGTTCATCTAGGTTACTCCCAGTTGACCTGTTCGGACTCCACATGTGCCCGTGCCAACTAAGGATAGCCATTTTCCTTAAGCTTGGGAAATATTCCTTAAGCATCTTTTCTCTCTTGCTGACTTTGAGAAAAGACTGGTCCTAAAGACTCTTTAAAGCCCCCATTTTATCTGCTAGGGGAGAAGTACAAGGTGCAACACCTTTTGAGTGTTTACAAGGTCAGGCACTGTACAAAGTGCCTTACATGGATTGCTTAACATCCCCAGTAGTTTAAGAAGATGGTGTATTTACTACGTACGGTCAGTTACTTCCAGGGCTGGCAGATGTGTGCCCAGAAAGAATCTAGGCACACTATCTCCAGAGCCCCTATCCTTTACTGTTAACCTATGTAAGCAGTGTTAAGGTTAGTCCTCCTGGGCTGGAGTCATCCTTTCCATCCTGACCTACATCCTGGCTATGGCTCTGGCCAAGGGTGGAAAGGGAAATTGTGAAGGGGTTTGAGCAAAATCTCCCCACCCCAAATCTTTGTAACCAAAGAAACGTAGAAGAGTGAGCGGCCTTTTTAGTCTTTCTTCCCCCAGCCAGCCCACCAATTACCAATTAAATGGAAGAGGATAACAAACAGCAGCTCTTTCCATGTGTAGGAGACCTGCAGGCCAAAACTAGACCAAGGAAGACCCTAGTGGGCGGCAGAAGTGGAAGGTCCTCTGGGTTGAAAGAAGAAACAGTATTTTTTTTTTTTTTTTGGAGATGGAGTCTCACTCTGGCCCAGGCTGGAGTGCAATGGCGTGATCTTGGCTAACAGCAACCTCCACCTCCTGGGTTCAAGCAATTCTCCTGCCTCAGCCTCTCCAGTAGCTGAGATTACAGGTGCATGCCACCATGCCCAGCTAATTTTTCATATTTTTAGTAGAAAGGGGGTTTCCCCATGTTGCTCAGGCTGGTCTCGAACTCCTGACCTCAAGTGATCTGCCCTTAAGTGATCTGCCCACTTCGGCCTCTCAAAGTGCTGGATTACTTACAGGCATGAGCCACCACGCCCAGCCAAGAAACAATATGTTCTTTCTAAGCATGGTGAGCAGATGAGGGGATCTGTCTTGTTTAAGCTGGGGATAAAGATGTAGAAGACAGTTCCTGCCTTGGAGTCCTTCACCACTGAGTAGTGCTGGAGAGCCACATGTGAACATTACATGTGAATAGGAGTTAAGCATAGTGGGCCATGAGACAACAGCAGGAGACACAGCCTGGTCTGGTCGGTCAGAGAAAGTGCTTTGTAGATGACACCTCAGCTAAGTCTAAATCTCAAAGTTTGAGTCAAAGTGAGGCAAGTGAAGAGATTAAGAAAGGCAGTGGGAGTGGATGTTTCTGATCAAGGGATCAGCACGAGGAAAGACAGGAGTACGCTCCAGCATGGGGAGTGCAAGGAAGGAGCTGCAAAAACAGGTTTTGCTAACTAGGAAAGTTGGAGGAAACTAGTAGGAAATGGAGGGGGTAAGTCAACAGTTACTGAAGACCTGGTATGAGGCACTGTTGCATCAAACCTCTGATGAAGCTGGGCGCAGTGGCTCACACCTGTAATCCCAGCACTATGGGAGACCCCAGGCGGGTGAATCACCTGAGGTTGGGAGTTTGAGACCAGCCTGACCAACATGGAGAAACCTAAAAATACAAAATTAGCTGGGCGAGGTGGTGCATGCCTGTAATCCCAGCTACTCAGGAGGCTGAAGCAGGAGAATCGCTTGAACCCAGGAGGCAAAGATTGTGGTGAGCCAAGATCGCACCATTGCACTCCAGCCCGGGCAACAAGAGCGAAACTCCGTCTCAAAAAAAAAAAAAAACAAAAACACTTTTGATAATGAAAGTAGATAATGATAATATAAGAATGGCCACTAATGCCGGGCGCAGTGGCTCAAGCCTGTAATCCCAGCATTTTGGGAGGCAGAGGTGGGCGGATCACGAGGTCAGGAGTTCAAAACCAGCCTTACCAACCTGGTGAAACCCCCTCTCTACTAAAATTACAAAAATTAGCTGGGCTTGGTGGTGCACACCTGTAATCCCAGCTACTCAGGAGGCTGAGGCAAGATAACTGCTTGAACCTGGGACGTGGAGGTTGCAGTGAGCTGAGATCATGCCACTCCACTCCAGTCTAGGCGACAGAGTGAGACTTTGTCTCAAAAAAAAAAAAAAGAATGGCCACTAACATCATATTAAGACAGACAACCTGACATCACATACCTTCTGATAGAAGTAAATACTACCAATGAAGTGTGTATTTTTTTTGTTTTTGTTTTTGTTTTTTTGAGATGTCTCATTCTGTTGCCCAGGCTGGAGTGCAGTGGCATGATCTTGGCTCACTGCAACCTCTGCCTTCCAGGTTCAAGTGATTCTCCTGCCTCAGCCTACCAAGTAGCTGGGATTACAGGCACCTGCCACCACGCCCAGCTAATTTTTTTATTTTTAATAGAGATGGGGTTTCACCACATTGGCCAGGCTGGTCTCGAACTCCTGACCTCGAGTGATCAGCCCACCTCAGCCTCCCAACGTGCTGGGATTACAGGAGTGAGCCACTGCGCCCAGCCTACCAATGAAGTTTTCTTAACAACAACAAAAAAATTGAATCTGGGCTGGGCACGGTAGCTTACACCTGTAATTCCAGCACTTCGGGAGGCTGAAGTGGGTGAATTGCTTGAGTCCAGGAGTTCGAGACCAGCCTGGGCAGCATGGCAAGACCCCATCTCTACAAAAAAATATAAAAATACACCTGTGGTCTCAGCTACTTGGGAGGCTGAGGTGGGAGGATCAGTTGAGCCTGGGAGGTTGAGGCTGCAGGGAGCCATAAACGCATCGCTGCACTCCAGCCTGGGGAGAAAAAATTGAATCTGAATCATATTAAGTTCTGTGTGAGGTAATAATACATACGTCAGTTCACTAGATTTAATCATGCCACAATGTGTATACACTTCAAAAGATGTTGGACACATATATGGTTTTATCTGTCAATTAATAATAAAAAGAAAACTTTAAGTTCAAACTATTGGTTTCTTTTTTCAAAAAATATGGCAAAGAACAAATCCAAAAAGAGAGGGAAGGAAACCTAGACATTAAGAGACTTATAAGCCATATCAACAAAATGCAATCAATGATGTGATCTTGTTTGAATCCTGATTCAAATAAATCAAGTATAGCCGGGCGCAGTGGCTCACGCCTGTAATCCAGGCACTTTGGGTGACCGAGGCTGGTGGATCACTTGAGGTCAGGAGTTCAAGATCAGCCTGACCAACATGGTGAAACTCTGTCTCTACTAAAAATACAAAAATTAGCTGGGTATGGTGGTGGGCACCTGTAATCCCAGCTACTCAGGAGGCGGAGGCAGGAGAATCGCTTGAACCTGGGAGGCGGAGGTTGTAGTGAGCTGAGATTGCACCACTGCACTCCAGCCTGGGCGACAAAGTGAGACTTCGTCTCAAACAAAAACAAAAATAAACAAAAAAACCAAGTGTAAAAGGAAAAGAAAAAGGGAGAGAATTGGAGCAATTTGAACCCCGATTCACATTCTCCAAGATGGCCCCCAAGGATCCTCACCTTGGTGTGCCCTGGTAGAGTTCTCCACATTGAGGCAGGCTGGCACGCATGACCAAAATATCACTGCAGAAGCGTGTGTGGCTTCTGAGGCCAGGTCTTCAGAGGAATTGCAGCTTCCTCCTTGTCTCCTTGGATCACTTGCTCTGAGTGAAACTAAGTACAGGTTCTGAGGCCATTCAAGCCGCCCTGTGTGGAAAGCCTTGAAGTGAAGACTGGAGCCCCCTGCCCACAGCCAGCACCGACTTGCCAGCCAGTGGGAAGGAGCCACCATGAAAGCAGATCCTCCAGTTTCAAACTTTCAGGTGACTACAGTCTCATGAGACACTGAGCCAGAACTGCCTCACCAATCTACCAATCTGTTTCTGAATGCCTGGCCCACAGAAACTGTGAGCAATAATACATTTATTGCTGTTTTAAACCACTGTGTTACACAGCAATAGATAACAGCTCAAACACTGACTACATGATAAAGAAATATTATTAATGCATAACGCTAATAATGTTATGATTGCATTCTTCAAAAGTTATCTTTTAAAGATGCATACTGGCCAGGCGCGGTGGCTCACGCCTGTAATCCCAGCACTTTGGGAGGCCGAGGTGGGCGGATCACCTGAGGTCAGGAGTTCAAGACCAGCCTGGACAACATGGTGAAACCCGGTCTATACTAAAAATACAAAAATGAGCCAGGTGTGGTGGTGGGCGCCTATAGTCCCAGCTACTCGGGAGGCTGAGGCAAGAGAATCGCTTGAACCTGGGAGTGGAGGTTGCAGTGAGCCGAGATCTCACCACTGCACTCCAGACTGGGTGACAGAGCGAGACTCCATCTCAAAAATAAATAAATAAATAAAAATTAAAGATGCATACTGAAATAAGTATGGATTAATTACTATGATGTCTGAGATTTGCATCAAAATACTCAGTTGGGCTTGTGGAGTGCCTGGAGTGAGGGTTCTGGATCCCACCCGTGAGATTTAGGATTGTTAAAATGAGTCTTCAGAAGCAAATCCCTAGTGACTTCTTATAGCAAATCATCGGATGACCAATTGTGGTAAAATTAAATTATAGAGTGGATTATTGAGGGGTCCTGGCTTGCCTGGATGGCTACATGAATATAGCCTTGGGGTAGACAGAAGAATATATACAACCAAAGAATAAGTATGGGAAGCTGGGTACAGTGGCTCATGCCTGTAATCCCAGCACTTTGGGAGGCTGAGTTGGGCAGGAATTTGAGACCAGCCTGGCCAACATGGTGAAACCCCTTCTGTACTGAAAAAAAAAAAAAAAAAAAAAAAAGGCCAGGAGCGGTGGCTCACGCCTGTAATCCCAGCACTTTGGGAGGCAGAGGCGGGCAGATCATGAGGTCAGGAGATCAAGACCATCCTGGCTAACATGGTGAAACCCCGTCTCTACTAAAAAATACAAAAAAAATTAGCCAGGCGTGATGGCAGGCGCCTGTAGTCCCAGCTACTAGGGAGGCTGAGGCAGGAGAATGGCGTGAACCCAGGAGGTGGAGCTTGCAGTGAGCCAAGATCGTGCCACTGCACCCCCAGTCTGGGCGGCAGAGTGAGACTCCATCTCAAAAAAAAAAGTACAAAAATTGGCCAGGCGCAGTGGTGCACACCTGTAGTCCCAGCTACTCAGGAGACTGAGGCAGGAGAATTGTTTGAACCCGGGAGGTGGAGGCTGCAGTGAGCTGAGATCACACACTGCACTCCATCCTGGGTGATAGAGTAAGACTGTCTCAAAAAAAAAAAAAAAAAAAAAAGAATGAGTATGGGCTACATTTATCCAAGAAAAGTACATCAGTACACAGAACAGAAGGGTGTGAAGGCACCAAGAGGGCCATACTTTTCATAGTTGGATATCTTTTTATTATTTTTTTCTAATTCTTGCTTCTTTGTGATATACTTTGTCCTGTTTTTTATAATAGTTTATTTTTCACTGACATTTAAGATAAATGTATACAATTAATTATGAAGTGTTCTTTTACATTTAAGTTTCAGTCATTTTCTTTTACCACTTTGTCAGTGTACAAAATGCTAAAAGAATTTTTGAAAAAGAAAAAAAATAGTTGAATGGTGGCAGGGAGTGAAGAAAGTAGAGGGTATAGATAATATGAATGGTTATGAGTTTATATCGGTTGTGGCTAGGCAATGGACATTGATTGTACGATTCTCTCTCCTTTTGTGTTTGAAATGTTCTATCATGGAAAACTAAAGAAACAAAAAAGGCATAATGGTCCAGGCAAGAGAAAAGATGATGTGAAGTAGAGCAGTAGTCATAAGGACAGGAGACAATGGACTAAAATATTCTGGAGGTAAAATCTCCAGGCCTTAGTGATTAATGAGACATGGGGAGGTGAGAAAGACAGGAGATCAAGGATGATTCTCAGGGGGTCAGGATGGTCCTACCAGCTACCTGCCAACTGTGCAAGCTTGGGAGAGTTACTCAGCCTTTCTGTGTCTCATTTTCCCATGTGTAAAATGGAAGTAATAATAGTACTTCCTGTATAGAACTATTGTGAGAATTAAATTAATAAAATACAGTCATGTGCCATATGATGTTTTGGCCAATGACACGCTGCTTATATGATGGTGGTCCTATACTCACACCTGTAATCCCAGCACTTTGGGAGGCCGAGGCAGGCAGATCACGAGCTCAGGAGTTCAAGACCAGCCTGACCAACATAGTGAAACCCCGTCTCTACTAATAATACAAAAATTAGCTGGGCATGGTGGTGCATGCCTGTAATCCCAGCTACCTGGGAGGCTGAGACAGGAGAATTGCTAGAACCCGCGAGGCGGAGGTTGCAGTGAGGTGAGCCAAGATCACGCCACAGCACTCCAGCCTGGGCAACAGGGCAAGACTCCATCTAAAAAAAAAAAAAAAAAGATTATCATACTATATTTTTACTGTACCTTTTCTATGTTTAAATTCACAAATGCTCATCATGGTGTTACTATAATTGCCTATAGTATTCAGTACAGTAAGATGCTGTACAGGTTTGTAGCCTAGGAACAACAGGCGATACCATAGAGCTTAGGTGAATAGTAGGCTACGCCATCTAGGTCTGTGTAAGTATATTTTACCATATTCACACAATGACAAGATCCCTGTCTTACTGTATGTAAACAACTTAGAAGTGTGTTCAGCCCATAATAAAACTTCTAAATGTTAGTTCTTCCACTAGGGAGGCCCAGGTCTGTGGGTGGGATGGTAGTTTTGGCTCTGACATGCTGAGATTGCAGTGGTGTGGGACACCCTTGCAGATGCCAGGGGACATTGGGATATGAATCTAAAGCTAAGGGAAGAAGTTAGGAATAGACGTATGGATGACTTGGCACTTTTTTCTTTTCTTTTCTTTTCTTTTTTTTTTTGAGACAGAGTCTCACTGCAACCGCCGCCTCCTGGGTTCAAGCAATTCTCCTGCCTCAGCCTCCTGAGTAGTTGAGATTACAGGTACCCGCCACCACGCCCGGCTAATTTTTTTTTTTTTTTTTTTTTTTTTTTAGTAGAGACGGGGTTTCACCATGTTGGCCAGGCTGGTCTCAAACTCCTGACCTCAGATGATCCACCCACCTTGACCTCCCAAAGTGCTGAAATTATAGGCATGACCCACCGAGCCCAGCCTGACTTGGCACATTTTTTTTTTCTTTTTTTTTTTTTTGAGACAGAGTCTCGCTCTGTCGCCCAGGCTGGAGTTAAGTGGCACGATCTCGGCTCACTGCAAGCTCTGCCTCCCGGGTTCACACCATTCTCCTGCCTCAGCCTTCTGAGTAGCTGGGACTACAGGCGCCCACCACTGCACCTGGCTAATTTTTTGCATTTTTAGTACAGATGGGGTTTCGTCGTGTTAGCCAGGATGGTCTTGATCTCCTGACCTCGTGATCCACCCGCCTCGGCCTCCCAAAGTGCTGGGATTACAGGCGTGAGCCACCACGCCCAGCCAACTTGGCACATTTTTAAACCATAAAAATGTCAGCTCCTTGAACTTCACTACTTCACCAAAGAAGATACACAAATGGCAAATTGCACATGAAAATATGTTCAAAATTTAAAAATTAGTTGGGTTTGGTGGCATGCACCTGTAGTCCCAGCTACTCAGGAGGCTGAGTTGGGAAGTTGGGAGGATCACTTGAGCCCAGGAGGCTGAGCTGCAGGGAGCTGTGATTGCACTACTGCACCCCCACCTGGACCACGGAGCAAGACCCTGTCTCAAAAAAAAAAAAAGAAAAAAAAGTTGTTCAACATTATTAGACATTAAGGGAATGCAAATTAAAGCAACAATTAAATACTACTACACACCTACTAGAATGGCTAAAATTTTTTTGAAGTGATAATACTGAGTGCTCGTGTGAATGTGGAGCAACTGGATCTATTGAACGTCGCTGGTGGTGAGGTAACATGGTACACTGGATCTATTGAACGTCGTTGGTGGTGAGGTAACATGGTACAGACTCTCTGGAAAACAATTTCGCAGTTTCTTATAAAATTAAACATACATTAACCATACAACCCAGCAATTGTACTGCTGGGTATTTACCCTAGAGAAATAAAAATTTGTGTTCACACAGAAACCTCTACATGAGGCCAGGCACAGCATGCCTGTAATCCCAGCACTTTGGGAGGCCGAGGTGGGTGAATCACTTGAGGTCAGGAGTTTAAGACCAGCCTGGCCAACAAGGTGAAACGCCATCTCTACTAAAAATACAAAAATTAGCCGGGTGTGGTGGCCTGCACCTGTAATCCCAGCTACTTGGGAGGCTGAGGCAGGAGAATCACTTGAACCCAGGAGGTGGAGGTTGCAGTGAGCCGAGATTGCTCCACTTTACTCCAGCCTGGGCGACAGAGTAAGACTCAGTCTCAAAAAGATAAAAAGAAACCTGTACACAGATGTTCAGAGAGGCTTTATTTTTAATAGCCTACAACTGGGACAAACCCAAATATTCTTCAATATGTGAATGAATGAACAAACAAACTGTGGTACATCCATACAATGGAATACTACTCTGCAATACAAAGAATGAACCACAGACACATACAACAACTTAGATGGATCTCAAAGGCTCCATCAGGAAACCCAGGCACCTCACCACTTAAGGAGTGTGTGGAAACTTTGATTCCACGGTTCTCCATCCCCTCTGCCACTGCCTAGGTTTAGGCCTCACTGAATCTCACCTGGATTATTGTCCCAGCCTCCTCACTAGTCTTGGATCTCTGCAGTCCATCTGAAAGGTTTGCAGGCCTGAACTACCACTCTGTGGCGAGAAGAGGAAATATGCAGAGTGCCATCCTTTCACCCTTTGTGACCAGTGCACTAAATTCTGACCACAGTCTCCCCAACCCACTGCACTACTTCTAGAAGGGCCTTTCTACACTGAACTTTTCAATGGCTCATCTTTGCTCTTTAGATAAAGTCCAAACTCATACTTCCCAGGCTCTGACTTACCTCTGTCCTCCCATATTTCAGTGCCCCAGCGATGAGACTCATTTTTATGCTAGAATATTCCACTAGATCCCTCACTGTTACACATTGATTGGCATTTTTCTTTTTCTGCCTAGAGCTCTCACTCCACCCTCTCTGCCTGGGTCAGTCGTACCTACCCTGCAGGTCTTAGGTTGTTCTGTGGGGGTTTTTTTGTTGTTGTTTTTTTAGACAGTCTCATTCTATCGCCCAGGCTAGAGTGCAGTAGTGAAATCTAGGCTCACTTGCAACCTCTGCCTCCCGGGTTCAAGTGATTCTTCTGCCTCAGCCTCCCGAGTAGCTGGTATTACAGGCGCCTGCCACCACGCCTAATTTTTGTATTTTTAGTAGAGACGGAGTTTCACCATGTTGGCCAGGCTGGTCTCGAACTGCTGACTTCAAGTGATCCACCCGCCTTGGCCTTCCAAAGTGCTGGGATTACAGGTGTGAGCCACCTCGCCCGGCCACAGGTCTTAGTTTTGATATCGCCTCCTCTAGGAAGTCTCCTCTGAGCCCTCAAGACTGTTAGAGGAGCCTCTTCTGGGGCCTCCCTCCATCACAGCACGGCTGGAGTCACCTGGGGGCTGTTGGCATCACCCACTGGAACTGGGAGCCCCATTCACCTCTGAATTCCTGCTGTCTGGCTCAGCGTTTCACACCTACTAGGTGTGAAGGTCTGCAAATTAACAACGTGGTTGGATGAGAAAATGAAGGCCTGAAAGTGGAGGCACGGCATGGGGAGGGAGGTCACCCGAAGTGCGTCCTGACTTTAGGAAGGCCAGGGTATGAAAAGCAGACAAGGCTCACCATCCATCCTGCTCCCTTGCCAACGCTTTCTACCTTTGGGCTGACTGTAGGATAAGTGTCCCCCGCCTCCCATGCCAGGCTGGGGGAAGGACTGGCAGGGTTACTTCCAGGAGAAACAGATAAGGCCAGGGAGGAGTTTCTGTCCGTCAAGCGCATATATTTTTATTCTCTGCACTTTGTCCAAGGCCTGCAATGGGTTGGGGAGACTGTGGTCAGGATTTGGTGCATTGGTCACAAAGGGTGAAAGGAAGGCACTCTGCATATTTCCTCTTCCCACCACAGGGTGGCAGTTCAGGCCTACAAACGTCTCGGATGGGCGCTGCCTCGGTTGCACCATCTGATGGCTACGTGTTTCACCATGTTGCACAGGCTGGTCTCTAACTCCTGGCCTCAAGTGATCCGCCCACCTCAGCCTCCCAAAGTGCTGGGATTACAGGTGTGAACCACTGCATCTGGCCAACAATATATTTTTTTAAGTTGAAGGAATCGAAAACAAAGAACATATGTGGCAAATTTATATTTGTTATTTTAAAAACAGTTCCTGGGAATGCTCCTGCCTTAGAGAAGGCCCCCAATGCTATCTTCTTGGCTTCCTGAGTCAGCGGGAGAAACCTGATTTCTTGATGGCATTTGCCACCTGACTGGGCCTGCCTGATCACTCTCGCATGAACTGTTCTCTGCATTTATCACACCTGTATCCAGGTGTCCTCTCCCCCTCGTTCATGTCACTTGGGATACCCCAGGGCTCCTGTGGCTGAACCTCCCCAACCCAGCTTCTTGGTCTCCTGCAGGGATGCTCACCCGCCCCAGCCCCATTTCATCATCTGCTCTCCTACTCTCAGGCCACAGCCACGTTATTCAGTTCTCACTTCCTCTGCCCCCTCCTCACCTACACTTTGGTTGCATTACAAGCCCAGTCCTGCCCCTTAATCCCTCCACTTTATCTTGCTTCCTTTTTTTTTTGTTTTGAGACGGAGTCTTACTCTGTCACCCAGGGTGGAATGCAATGGCACGATCTCAGCTCACTGTAACCTCCACCTCCCGGGTTCAAGTGATTCTCCTGCCTCAGCCTCCCGAGTAGCTGGGATTACAGGCGCCCGCCATCACACTTGGCTAATTTTTATATTTTTAGTAGAGATGGGGTTTTACCATGTTGCACAGGCTGGTCTCAAACTTCTGGGCTCAAGTGATCCTCTTGCCTCGGCCTCCCAAAGTGCTGGGATTTCAGGCATGAGCCACAGCACCTGGCTTGTGTTGTGATTTTGAATGCAGACTCTGGGGCTGAGCTGTCTGGGCTTGTCTCACAGCTCTTCCATAGACAAGCTTTGACATTGGGAAAGTTACTTAAGTTCTCTGATCTTCACTTTCTCCTAGTAAAACAGAAATAACAATAATACCTACCCAAAAACATTGTGGCGAGGATTAATGGACTTAATCTGTATAAAGTGCTTAGAACAGTGCCTGGCACATTGTAAATATTATATATGGGTTTGCTCCTATGTATTATTATTAGTATTACTCGAGCTGGAGGCTTTGGGTCACTCCACTTAGCCTCTCGCCAATTCCACAATCTTCCTTCTCTAGTCCTAGAACCAGGCCTTTGCACCCTGCTAGGAGAAGCAGCAGCAACCACAGAAGTCCGACTTTCCTGCAGTCTGGTGCTAAGGAGATGCCTGGACTTCAGCATCCACTGGGCTCCAGCCTCCTTTGAAAACCCTTGATTTGTCCTCAGCCCGGCCCCTCTCCGCTGTCTCCAGTGGCCATCCCATATCTTCGCGACTTCCCCATCCACACGGTGTGAATGTAAAATGGTACAGAGATATAGAATGGAGGTGAGGGCCCCATATGGTAAATTGATAGACAATGGCCACCGTATTTTGTAGCTCCTCCATCGACGTGTGATGACCTCTCATCTCTCATACTCTAATCCTCAAACTGCTCTGCACATTCCCAAGTCTGTTCCCAACTCCTGAAGCCCTTCCACTGCCTCTAGAATTCGCAGCCCTACATCTGCAAAACTCCCCAACTTCATCTTCTCCTGGTGTTCCCTTTGCCTTCGCAGGCAGCAGGTTCCTGGCTCCCCCTGGAGGACACGGCCCTCCCTGCAATGCCCTCAGGTGGGTGCAGCTTTCCCTGCCTCACCTTTGTGCCTCGAGGCGCCCTCCTTGTTCTTCAGTGCTGCTTTCAGAACCTTCTTCCCTAAAATCCCTCAGCTCTGAGTCTCAGGTTGTAGGACGCTGCCTCCCTCTTCCATGCACCTACCAATCCCTGGGCTACTTCCGTGTTTCTAGAAGGTTTCATTCCTACCTCAGTGTCATTCTCTCTAACGTGATTTCTGCCCTAATTCTTAGAGATTTCTTTTTGTTTGTTTGGTTGGACTTTGGTTTGTTGTTGTTGTTTTGAAACAGAGTTGTGGTCTTATATCCCAGGCTGGAGTCCAATGGCAGAATCTTGGCTCACTGCAACCTCCGCCTCCTGGGTTCAAGCAGTTCTCCTGCCTCAGCCTCCCGAGTAGCTGGGATTACAGGTGCGCACAACCACGCCCAGCTAATTTTTGTATTTTTAGTAGAGATGAGGTTTCACCATGTTGATCAGGCTGGTCTAACTCCTGACCTCAGGTAATCCACACACCTCGGCCACCCAAAGTGCTGGGATTACAGGCGTGAGCCACCACACTGGCCTATTGTTGTTTTTGAGACAGGGTCTTGCTCTGTCTCCCAGGCTGGACTGCAGTGGTGTGATCTTGGCTCACTGCAGCCTGAACTGCCCAGGCTCAGGCGATCCTCCCATCTCAGCCTCCTGAGTAGCTGGGACTATAGGCACGTGCCACCACGCCAGGCTGATTTTTGTATTTTTTTGTAGAGACAGGGTTTCGCCATGTTGCCCAGGCTGTTCTCGAGCTTCTGGGCTCAAGTAATCCTCCTCCCAGCCTCCAAAAGTGCTGGGATTCCGGGCGTGAGCCACTGCACCAGGTCCTAAGAGATTTCAATATTCACGTAGATACATCCTCCCCATACCCTGGCCTCTCACTTCCACGATCTCCTCTCCTCCAAAGACCTCTCATGGCCACACCCTGCTCCTTGTCATTACTAATAACTGCACCTCCTCTGTATTAGTTTGTTAGGGCTGTCATAACAAAGTACCACAGACTGGATGGCTTAGACAGCAGAAATATATTGTCACAGAAATGTAGCCTTCTTCTGGAGGCTAGAAGTCCAAGATCAAGGTGATGTCAGTGTTGGTTCCTTCTGAGGCTGTGAGACAGAACCTGTCTGTGCCTCTCACCCAGCTTCTGGTGGTTGCTGGCAATGCTTGGGGTTCCTTGGCTCATGGATGCATCACCCTGACCTCTGCTTTCATCTTCACATGGTGATATGGTTTGGCCATGTCCCCACCCAAATTTCATCTTGAATTGTAGTTTCCATAATCCCCATGTGTTGTGGGAAGGACCCAGCGGGAGGTAATTTAATTATAGGAGTGGGTAGCCTCATGCTATTCTTGTGACAGTGAGTGAGTTCTCACGAGATCTGATGGTTTTATAAGGGGCATTCCCCACTTTTGCTCAGCACTTCTCCTTCTACTGCCATGTGAAGAGGGACATGTTTGCTTCCCCTTCCACCATGATTGTAAGTTCCCTGAGTCAATTAAACCTCTTTCCTTGATAAAGTACCCAGAGTTTAGGGCATGTATTTATTAGCAGCATGAGAATGGACTAATATACATGGTGTCTCCCTGTGTGCTTGTCCATCTGGCTTCAAGTTCCTCCTTTTTATAAAGACACCAGTCAAAATAGGAGTAGGGCCCACCCAAATGACCTCATTTTAACTTGACTACCTCTGTAAAGACCCTATTTCCAGATAAGGTCACATTCTGAGATACTGGGGGTAGGCCTCCACATCTTAGAGGGAGAGGGACACAATTCAACCCTTAATACCGCATTCCCATTCCCATTCTCTCAATGTCATGCTGCCCATCCCGTGACCACCACCTCATTTCTTCCCAACATCTTTCCAACTTATTCCCACTAGTACTCTACCTCCAAAATTCCTTTGATCCCACTGGGACCTACAATGTACTGTCCCTACTCCCCCATGCCTCCCTCTTTTACTGTTCCTTTTTCCCTTTTTATCCAATTTAAAGACCACAGTCACACTTGTAATCCCAGCTACTCAGGAGGCTGAGGCAGGAGGATTCCTTGAGCTCAGGAATTTGAGGCTGCAGTGAGCTGTAATCTCTCCACTGCATGTCAGCCTGGGTGATAGAGCAAGACACTGACTTCAAAAAAAAAAAAAAAATAGAATCACTCCCCTGCATACACCTTCAATTCCCCTGCTTCTTTCCCCCTCCTTTGTTGCACTCAATTAGTAAATGGCACCCCTGGCTAATTCACCTCACTGCATGGGAAGCATGGGCTGGAGAAGAAAACCAACACATTCATGTTAACCAGTCTCCCTTTAAATTCCTAATTACCTAAGGTGGACCCTTCATGCTGCCTGGTAATCCTACTACATTTCCCAGTCCATTCACTCTTTTGAGCTCCTAGATGACCACCCATACGTTCTCCTGTCTTCTCAAGCCTCCAACATCTTCTCCTGCCATCTTTCTCAGTTGATGATCTTGAATATTTCCTTGAGAAAATAAAAGCACCCAGGAGAGAGCTCCTATAGTTAGACATCATCACATATACACAACTACCTGCTTCTGAGCATTCCTCCTTCCTGTACCTATGAATGATGAATGCTATTTAAAGCCACTTATGCACTGGAGCCTGACAATTCCCTCTTCTCTTTCCTGCGTCATCAGATTTTCTTTCTTTCTTCCTTTCTTTCCTTCCCTTCCCTTCCCCTTCCTTCCTTCCTTCTTTCTTTTTCTCTTTCTTTTCTTTCTCTCTCTCTCTTTCCTTCCTTCCTTCCTTCCTTCCTTCCTTCCTTCCTTCCTTCCTTCCTTCCTTCCCTCCTTCCTTCCTTCTTTTCAGATGGAGTCTCGCTCTGTCGCCAGGCTGGAGTGCAGTGACACGATCTCGGCTCACTGCAACCTCCGTCTCCCAGGTTCAAGTGGTTCTCCTGCCTCAGCCTCCTGAGTAGCTGGGACTACAGGCATGTGCCACCACGCCTAGCTAATTTTTATATTTTTAGTAGAGAGGGGTTTCACCACGTTGACCAGGCTGTTCTCAAACTCTTGCCTTGTGATCTGCCTGCCTTGGCCTCCCAAAGTGCTGGGATTACAAGCGTGAGCCACTGCACCTGGCCCCAGATTTTCTCTAGTTTATCGTTCCAGTAAGTATAAGAATATGCTGTAATTTCTTTTTTTTTTTTAATTTTTAGATATGGGGGGGTCTCACTATGCAGCCCAGGCTGAACTTGACTCCTGGGCTCAAGCAGTCCTCCTGTCTCAGCCTCCCAACTAGCTAAGACTACAGGCATGTGCCACTGGGCCTGTCTGGCTAACTTTTCCTATGTTTAAGAAACCCCCCCTTAGAGCCTGGGAGCAACAACACTCCAACAACAATGAACATACCCAGCTTCCAGATCTTTGTTTCTAAATATTCCCCACGAAAATAAAACAGGGCTCTTTGGAAAAATGCTTGATTCCAGTACTGGGTTGGGGAAAATCCAAGATGAATCTCGAGCATGTTATGGCAGAAAGTAAGTACGTCTTTGAAGAATGATGAAGATTTGTCAAAAAGACACAGAAGCCAGTTTGAAGGGGCTCCCACTGGCCAAATCATGGACAGTTTGAGCATTTGAGATATAAACCACTGAATAAAATAAGAAACCATAATTCTATACTGATTTAAATAAATGAACACATAAAAAGTTAAATAAAAATTAAATATTTACATAGTTTCAGAGTACCTACCTACAACATAATTATTCATTATAAAGGGAAATAGTAAATGTGTGACGGAGAAACCTAGCAGACAGCGAGTAATGAAAATGAGCATTTTTAGTAATGAGACAAATCAATATCAACACCTGTAATCTTCCAAAATTTCAAAGTCCTGTAAGTTAGGAAAGACTGAGGAATTGTTTCAGATTGAAGGAAACTAAATAAACATGACAACTGAATGCAATGTGTGACTTTAAACTGGCTAGAAAGGATATTATTCTAACAATTAGTGAAAGTTGACTGTGGTCTGAGGAGTAGATAAGTTTTTTTATCAATATTAATTTCTGATTTTGATGATGGTATGGTATTGGGGAAGATAAGAAAGTGTCCTTGTTTGTAGTAAACAAACCTGAAGTGTTTGGGGTGATAAAACATCATGTTAGCAACCTACTCTTAAATAGTTTAGGTGAAAGACTGGGACGCCTATAATGACAGCTACTCAAGAGGTGATGGCGGGTGCTTATAGTGCCAGCTACTCAAGAGGCTGAGGCAGGAGAATCACTTGAACCCAGGAGGCGGAGGTTTCAGTGAGCCGAGATCACACCACTGCACTCCAGCCTAGGTGACAGAGTGAGACTCTGTTAAAAAAAAAAGATAGTTTAAGAGAGGAAAAAACTTTGTACTGTATTTGAAACATTTGTGTATGAAATAGTTTCAAAAATAAAAACTTTAAAATGTTAAAAGTCTAAGTCTAATTTCTTGACCCCCATCTCCTCTCCCACTCTCTTCTACCCTACTTACTTGTCCCTAAAGAAGGCGTCTAGGCTGGGCACAGTGGGTCACGCCTGTAATCCAAGCACTTTGGGAGGCTGAGGTGAGTGGATCACCTGAGGTCAGGAGTTCAAGACCAGCCTGGCCAACATGGTGAAACCCCATCTCTACTAAAAATACAAAAATTAGCCAGGTGTGGTGGCACGTGCCTGTACTGTAGTCCCAGCTATTCAGGAGGCTGAGGCACGACAATTGCTTGAACTCAGGAGACGGAGGTTGCAGTGAGCTGAGATCGTGTCACTGCACTCCAGCCTGGGCAACAGAGCAAGACGCCATCTCAAAAAAAAAAAAAAAAAGATGGCGTCTAGGGAAAACAAGATCACGATGGCCTTGAAACTTGAACTCTTAAACTCAAGAGATTCTCCCACCTCAGCTTCCTGAGTAGCTGGTGGGGGACTCATAGGCATGTGCCTTTTTCTTCCCTATATCTTAAAAGAATTTTCTGTTTCTTAAATTATTTGTTTTTATTTTTTTAGAGACAGGGTCTCTCTTTGTCGCCCAGGCTGGAGAGTGCAGTGGTGTGATCATAGCTCACTGCTGCCTCCAATTCCTGGGCTCAATGATCTTCCCTCCTCAGCCTCATGAGTAGCTATAGGGATGTGCCACAATGCTGAAAAAGAGCTGTCTATACTCCAATTCTTCCTTTCCCATTTGCTCTTGACCCACTCAAAACAGCTTTCACTTCCATCACTGTTCCTGTTAAGGTCACCAGTGACCTCTGTGCTGCTAAATCCAAAAGGTAATTTTCTTTTTTTTTCTTTGAGACAGGGTCTCACTCTGTCATCTACCCAGGAATGAAGTGGCACAATCATAGCTCCCTGCATCCTCGACCTCCTGGGCTCAAGTGATCATCCTGCCTCAGCCTCCCAAAGCACTAGAACTAAAAGGTGTGTGCCACAACGCCTGGCTCAAAAGGCAATTTCCAATCCTCTTTTTGCCAGACACATCAGCAGAAGTGACAGCTGATTATTTAATCCTTCTTGAAACATTTTCTTCACTTACATGCCAAGACCCCACATTCTCCCAGGACCACCCTGCAGCCTCCTTTGCCATTTCCTTCTCGTTTCCTCTGACCTCTAAAGAATGGAGTATGCTAGGGGTCAGGACCCAGACTTTTCCTCTTCTCACTTCTTTGGTGATCTCATCCAGTCCTCTGGCTTTAAATAACATCCACATGCTGATGACTTACTAATTTATGCCTCCAGCCAGGCCTCTTTTCTAAACTCTGGACTTCTATAACCCAACTGCTTACTCCACATTTTCCCTTGGATGTTATCCAACAGGCATCTCAAATTTAACATGGCCAACACTTAACTCCTGACCTTCCTTCCCCGCCGACATCTGCTCTAGCCAGTCTTCCCCATATCAGTGAATGGCACCCTTCCATTTGCTCCAAAACTCTTAGAGTTATCCTTGACTCTTCTTTCCTCACATCAATTACGTTAGCAAATCCTGTCATCCTGACTGTCTCCGCTTGGTCCAGGTCACCAGCATCTCTCAATGAGGTTCCTGAAGAGGCCTCCTTACTGGCTCCTGCTTCTGTGCCAGCCCTCTACTGTCTCTTCTCATCACTCTCCACTGCTTCCCCATTTCACTTTGAGTGAAAGCCAAAGCTGTCCCGACACTGACGCAAAACCCCACATGATCTCTTCTACCAAATTGGCTAACAAGAAGTTTGATACAATCAATGATATGGAAGAAGTGGGGAGACAGTTCAACTTGTATGTTGCTTGTGGGAGTGTAACTTATGAATGTCTATTAAAAAACAAAGTTAAGGCCAGGGCAGTGGCTCATGCCTCTAATCCCAACACTTTGGGAGTCCAAGGTGAGTGAATCACTTGAGCCCAGGAGTTCAAGACCAGCCTGGGCAACATAGCAAAACCCATCTCTACAAAAAATACAAAAGTTAACTGGGTGTGGTGGTGCACGCCTAGGTCCCAGCTACTGGGGAGGCTGAGGTGGGATGACCAATTGAACCAGGGAGGTGGAGGTTGCAGTGAGCTGAGATGGCGCCACTACATGCAAGCCTGGGTGACAGTGAGACACTGTCTTAAAAAACAAAAACCTAAGCATACTCTATGACTCAGCAATTCCATTTATAGAAATTTATTTATTTATCTTAGAGACAGGCTCTTACCCTGTTCCTCAGGCTGGAGTGCAGTGGTAGGAAAATAGCTTGCTGTAGCCTCAAACTTCTGGGCTCAAGGGATCCTCCTGCCTCAGCCTCCCAAGTAGCTAGGACTACAGGCATGTGCCACCACATCTGGCTAATTTTTGTAGGTTTTGTAGAGATGGGGTCTCACTATGTTGCCCAGGCTGGTCTCAAACTCCCGGCCTCAAGCAATTCTTTCCGCCTTGGCCTTTCAAAGTGCTAAAATTACTGGCATGAGCTACTATACCTGGAGAATATAGGAATTTATCTTATGGAAATATACAAGTGGCCAAAGACACATATGGAATGTTCACTGCAGTGTTGTCATGACAAAACAAATAAATAAAGTATGTCTATACAATGAAGTATGATGTACAAAAGTGGAGATTCATGGGTTTTGGAAAAATCTCCAAGATATATTATTGAGTGCTAAAGGGAAGATCAGTAACTACAGGATAATCTCATTGTCTAATAAAAGGTAAACATAAATATGCTTGTATATATGTGGATTTTAAAAACATCTGAAAGGGGCCAGGAACAGTGGCTCATGCCTGTAACCCCAGCACTTTGGGAGGCTGAGACTGGCAGATCACATGAAGCCAGGAGTTTGAGACCAGCCTGGGCAACATGGCAAAACCCTGTCTCTACTAAAAATACAAAAATTAGCTGGGCGTGGTGGTGCATGTCTGTAATACCAGCTACTCAGGAGGCTGAGGCATGAGAATCACTTGAACCTGAGAGGCAGAGGTTGCACTGAGCCGAGATCCCGCCACTGCACTCCAGCCTAAGTGACACAGCGAGACTGTCTCAAAAATCAATCAATAAATAAAAATAAATAAAAACATCCGAAAGGATAACCAATTAACTCAGGTTGCTTGTGGAATGAAACTGAGGGCGCAGTATGAAGGGGATTTTCCTTTTTTCTGTTTTTTATTAAATTATTTTTAATTTTTAGAGACAAGGTCTTGCTTTGTTGCCCAGGCTGAAATGTAGTCGGATGCTAATAGCTCACTACAGCCTCAAATTCCTGGGTTCATGCAATCATCCCACCTCAGCTTCCCAAGTATGTAGGTCTACAGGCTCATACTACCATGCCCAGCTAATTTTTTACTTATTTTTTGAGACAGGGTCTCACTCTGTCACCCAGGCTGACTGCAGTGACATGATCATTGCTCACTGCAGGCTCCAATCACTCGGGCTTAAGCCATCCTCCCACCTCAGCCTCTCAAGTAGTTGGGACTACAGGTGTGTACCAACATGCCTGGGTAATTTTTGATTTTTTTTTTTAAACAGAGTCTTGCTCTGTTGCCCAGGCTGGAGTGCAGTGGTGTGATCTCAGCTCACTGCAATCTCCGCCTCCTGGGTTCAAGCGATTCTCTCCCAAGTAGCTGGGATTATAGGCATGCGCCACCACGCCCAGCTAATTTTTGTATTTGTAGTAGAGATGGGGTTTCACCATGTTGGCCAGGCTGATCTCAAACTCCTGACCTTAAGTCATCTGCCCGCCTTGGCCTCTCAAAGTGCTTGGGATTACAGGTATGAGCCACAGCCCTGGCCTAATTTTCTATTTTTTTGTAGAGACATGGTCTCACTATGTAGCTCAGGCTGGTCTCAAACTCCTGGGTGCAAGTGATCTTCCTCCCTTGGCTCCCCAAAGTGCTGGGATTACAGGTGTGAGCCATCATGCCCAGCCCCTTTTTTTCCTTGTATAACATTCCATTTCTTTTCCTTTTCTTTTTTTTTTTTTTTGAGATGGAGTCTCGCTCTGTTGCCAGGCTGGAGTGCAGTGGCATGATCTCGGCTCACCGTAACCTCCGCCTTCCGGGTTCAAGTGATTCTCCTGCCTCAGCCTCCCAAGTAGCTGGGACTACAGGCGTACGTAAGCACACCCGGCTAATTTTTGTATTTTTAGTAGAGAAGGGATTTCACTGTGTTGGCCAGGATGGTCTTGATCTCCTGACCTCGTGACACACCTGCCTGGGCCTCCCAAAGTGCTGGGATTACAGATGTGAGCCACAGTGCCCAGCCTCTTTTCAATTTTTTTTTTTTTTTTTTTTTGAGACAGAGTCTTGCTCTGTCACCCAGGCTGCAGTGCAGTGGCGTGGTCTTGGCTCACTGTCAGCTCTGCCTCCCGAGTTCACACCATTCTCCTGCCTCAGCCTCCCAAGTAGCTCGGATTACAGGTGCCCACCACCACGCCCAGCTAACTTTTTGTATTTTTAGTAGAGACGGGGTTTCACCATATTAGCCAGGATGGTCTCGATCTCCTGACCTCGTGATCCACCTGCCTCAGCCTCCCAAAGTGCTAGGATTACAGGCGTGAGCCACCTCACCGGCCTCTTTTCAATTTCTGACACTTTATAATTGTATGTACTTATGGGGTACAATGTGATGTTTTTGCATACATGGATACATTGTATAGTGATCAAATCAGGGTATTTAGGACAGCCATCTCATTATGAATTTGTAATTTTTTTGTGGTGAGAACATTCAAAACCCTCTCTTCTATTTTGTTAATAATATACCATACTTTCTTGTTAACCATTGTCACTCTACTGTGCAATAGAACACCAGAACTTATTCCTCCTATCTAGTTTTGTACCTCCAAACAACCTCTCCTCAACCTCCTCTCCTCCACTGGCTCTGCAACCTCTGGTAACCACTGATCTGCTCTATACTTCCATAAGATCGGCTTTTTCTTTTTCTTTTTTTTAAGATTCCACGTATCAGTGAGAACATGTGGTATTTGTCTTTTTGTGTCT
The DNA here is from genome assembly GCF_000001405.40 of Homo sapiens. Taxonomy (NCBI): domain Eukaryota; kingdom Metazoa; phylum Chordata; class Mammalia; order Primates; family Hominidae; genus Homo; species Homo sapiens. Next base: position 49,787,820 of record NC_000012.12, read on the forward strand.
GACTTATTTCACTTAACATAATGTTCAGGTTCAAATAATTTGTTTCAAATGACAGGATATCATTCTTTTTCATTGCTGAATAGTATTCCACTGTGTAGATATACCACATTTTATCCATTCATCCATTGCTGGCATTTAGGTTGACTTCAATTCTTGGCTATTGTGAACAGTGCTGCAATAAACAAGGGAGTACAGATACCTCCATTTACCCACTGGTGGGATTGCTGGATCATATAGTGCTCTACTTTTAATTTTTTGAGGAACCTCCACAGTTTTCCTTAATAGAGGTACTAATTTACATTCCCACCAACAGTGTGTAAGGGTTCTATTTTCTCTACATCCTCACCAACACTTGTTTTCTTTTGTCTTTTTGATAAGAGCTATTCTAACTAGAGTGAGGTGGTATTTCATTGCAGTTTTGATTTGCATTTCCCTGATAATTAGTTATAACATTCAATTTCAATTCCTTTTTTTAAAAACCATGAACATATACTCTTTTTTTTTTTTTTGAGACAGAGTTTTGCTTTTGTTGCCCAGTCTGGAGGGCAATGGTGCAATCTTGGCTCACTGCAACCTCCGCCTCCCAAGTTCAAGTGATTCTCCTGCTTCAGCCTCCCGAATAGCTGGGATTCCAGGCATGTGCCATCACGCCTGGCTAATTTTGTATTTTTTAGTAGAGATGGGGTTTCTCCATGTTGGTCAGGCTGGTTTCGAACTCCTGACCTCAGGTGATCCACCCGCCTCGGCCTCCTAAAGTGCTGGGATTACATGCATGAGCCATTGTGCCTGGGGAACATATACTTCTATAATTTCTATTCCTTTAACAATTAAAAACCTTTTAAGGGGCCAGACACGGTGGTTCACACCTGTAATCCCAGCACTTTGGGAGGCCGAGGTGGGCAGATCACGAGGTCAGGAGATTGAGACCATTCTGGCTAAGATGGTGAAACTCCACCTCTGCTAAAAATACAAAAAATTAGCCGGGTGTGGTGGCAGGAGCCTGTAGTCCTGCCTGGGTGACAGAGAGAGACTCCGTCTCAAAAAAATAAAAAAAAAAGTTTTAAACGAGAAACAATTATTCTCTGCAGCAAACTCTAGATATATACCCTCATTCTGTAATCCTGTGTGAGTTAGTTCAAGCATATAAATAAATTACTTAAGGCCACATGAATTTGAAGTTAATACAGGTGAGCATTTCTATAGTCTCGGGAAAAAATTTTTTTTAACTTTTTTTTTTTTGAGACGGAGTCTCACTCTGTCGCCCAGGCTGGAGTGCAGTGGCGCGATCTTGGCTCACTGCAAGGCCCGCCTCCTGGGTTCAAGCAATTCTTCTGCCTCAGCCTCTGGAGTAACTGGGACTACAGGCGCGTGCCACCACGCCTGGCTAGTTTTTTGTATTTTTAGTAGAGACAGGGTTTCACTGTGTTAACCAGGATGGTATAGATCTCCTGACCTCGTGATCCACCCACCTCAGCCTCCCAAAGTGCTGGGATTACAGGCGTGAGCCACTGCACCCGGCCTTAAAACTTTTTTTGATAAAGAAAACAAAACAGGTTGGATGCAGTGGCTCACACCTGTAATCCCAGAACTTGGAGAGGCCAGGAGTTTGAGACCAGCCTGGGCAACATAGTGAGACCCCATCTCTACAAAAAAAAATTTTTTTTTTAAAGAAAACAAAGCACACTATTTGTAGAAATCTACAAAAGGGTAAAGAAGGAAAAAAAAACCCACTGGCTACCCAGAGAAAACTTGAGTTAATGTTTTTGGGACATTTCCTGCAAAAGGCAAAGTGCCCAGTGAAGTTGAACCTGAAGCCTTGTCATAATCTTTTGCTGATGCCTTGATGCCATTTTGGGGGATGGGGGAGGTGGCCTGGCAGTTTTGTCTTCCTTTGTTTGGAAAATCCAGCAGAATGGGTCTTGCACATTGCAAAGGCAAACATTCACCTATTATTCTTGGAGAAAACAGTGAATTTACCTGAATTCTGCAGGAAGATGTTGCAAACTGAGATATGAAGTGTTCTGCCTTAGTAAGGATCAAATGGTCTTTTAGCCTAACCTTTCTTTGAAGTGCAAGAAATTGATTCCCCAGGAGTGTCTTTAAACTCAACTGCATGTCCTCCTCCACAGAATCATTTTAGATAAAATACTGGGTCTGTGTGAAGGGCACACAATTATGTAGGCTGTGGGGTGGCTCATCTGGATCCAGGGTCTCTTAGCAGAATGCTGGGGGATTTAGGAAGTTTCCCACCATGGAACAGTTGGTAGGCAATGGCTGCCTCCAGGCGTCAGGTGTGACTGATGCCACCTGCCCTGCCTTGGTCAGTCAGCCCACATTGCCCTGGAAACCAAGGTGACGCCTTGTATTTGCAAACACCAGAGAATAAAGCCTAGGCAGATGGATCAGACCCTGGTGGTAAGAATGCGGATGGACCCTCTGGTCTCAGCTTGAAAGAGGTGGAGTCCTGCATCAAACCTACTATGCCAAACTCCTTCCCCAGAAGGAAATAGGAGAAATATCCTGCAGGCAAACAATTCTGTTCTAACTAGGAAATGAGGTAATCTACCAAGTTCAAGCAGAGAAGAGGGCTTGAAAAACCAAGAAATAAAAAGTGGGAAGGAGGTAGACCTCTTGAAGCCCACCTGGCAAGAAGCAGATTTACAGCTTGGTAATATTATGCTTAAGCCCATAAAAGCAGAAAAGATAGGACAGTGGGATAGGAATCTGGAAGTAGAAGACAAGAGGTAAGAAAATGGGATACTGACTTAAAAAAAAAAAAAAAAACCCAGACATCTGACTTGACACTCTCCGTCTTGTTAATTTCTTCAATGATGATATTAACTAAGAAGGGGTAGGAAGAGAATTGGGGAAGGGGTAGGAAGAGGAGAATGCTGAGAAGAAAGTCTGGCTGATGGGACCAGCTCGTCTGGATTAACTTTCTAATCTTCTATAGAGGAGGAAAACCAAGGTCTGGAGAAGAGATGCAACTCTACTCAGAGTCTGCATGTCCCCCCCAGCCTGGGACACGTGGGGCCTGAGTGCATGTCCACAGCCATCTTCCCCAGCTCCCTCTCCAAGGGGCCACCCAGCCTCGCGCCGTGCCCAAGCCCTGGCCCAGGAGAATCTCTCCGAGCCCAGATACCCTTCCGGGCCTAAGCAGGCCCTACTCTCCCAACCCTCAGTTACCTTCTGGGATGACTCCAGCCAGTTGCCCTGGTGAGGGGGCTGTGTCACAAGGGGGCCTGGGGTCCCTCAACCTGGCACCCATGCAGTGTCCCCCGACCTGGCCTGCCTGAGTCCTCCCACACAACAAGCCGACTCAGGGGCAGGGAGGGGGCCTCCACATTTTATTAGGGATACGGCAGAAGCAGAGGCAGGAAGCAGAGCAGCCGCATTTTAAACAACACATAAATTAACCGCAGTGCGGGGCTGGGGGCTGGGGGCTGGGCCAGGCGCTTCAATATATAAAAACAACAACAAAAAAGACGGACGAACAGACCCCAAAGGCATGGGGCAGAGGAGGGCAGCACCATCCAGACAGCAGGGAGGACCAGGGCAGAGAGAGAAGGCAACTTGTCCCCCTGGCCCCCAAACTCCACCAGCACGGGGGCCTCCAGGAGGGCCTCGCGAGGGCTTCGGGGCAGAGGAGCAGCCGGGTTGGGCAGAGATGGCACGGCTGGTGGGCAGGAAGCCCAGCACCACAAGATGGCTCAGCCTGAAGTAGGGACTGGAGGGCTGCGACACAGTGGCCTTTAACCCCCAGTCCCTTCCAGGAAGAGCCTTACTCTGGGTGAGAGAAGGGACCAAGGGCGGGGTCTCTCCCTGAGCTGAGCACGGTCATCTCATCCGCCGAAGCAGTGGGTGGTGGGGTGTGCCAGGGACCCCCTTTTCACCTTCTTATCCACCTGCCTCCTTGGTCCCTTCAGGGAGGGGTCCCCGTCTCCGGGGGCTGGGCATGAAGAGAGCCGGTCCAGTCTGTGGTCCCCAGCTCCAGCGGGGCCGTGGCGTGGCGCAGCCCCTCAGCCCTGACTCCCACAAGAGGACAGCGAGTCGTAGAGTGAGTCACTGAGAGACTCCGAGGTCTCCAGCCCTGGGGGGCCCCCGCTGGCCACTCTGCCTTCCTCGGCCATGTCCGAAGTGCTGGGGGTGCGGCTACCCCCGAAAGGTGGGCCCTGGGGCGTAGGGGACGGGCGGCTGGGCTCCTGGCTTCGCTTCCGGTCCACGGGCAGGGCCTGGGAAAGGAGGGGCAGCTCGGGAGGAAGCTCCTCTCCACCTTTCGGCCCAGCCTCAGAGGCACTGAGCTCTGAGGGGCGTCTGTGCACCTGATGGGGGGCTGCTCCAGAGGGGGCCCAAGGTGGGGTATACTTCAGAGGAAACAGGCTGGAGGTACAACTGAGAACAGTCCTACAAGGTTCTGGGGAGGGACAGAAACCTTTCCCCACGAGAGAAGTGCAAGGAGGGCAGTGGGGAGGGCCGCTCACAGGGCATCCCAGGGGTCCTCCTCCCAGAGGGTGCAGCACTGAGACTGTGCGACACACAGGCCGTACCTTACTGGAGAAACTGGTCTCCCCACATCACTCCCTCCTGCTCCCGAGTCCTTTCCCTTTCCTCTGCTGCAATTCTCACCATGGGGGTCCTGGGCAGCCCCTCCAGTTGTCGGGGTGGGCACATGAGAGGGTCCGAGGAGCTGCCGGCTGCCCTAGTATTGGGGAAGGTCCAGTTCTTGGCCAGCTGGACAGGAGGGGTGGGGCCTGGGTCTTCACAGGGATCTGTCCAGGAACAAAGGGAAGGTGGATGGAGCTGCCTGGGCAGCTCCAGGATGCCCAGGGGCATCCCACCCTCCCACCTGGACACTCACCATCAGGACAGGTCTCATGGCCCCGGTGGCCCGGAGCAGCGGGTAGCAGTGCAGGGAAGGCTGGCATGCTGGGGTGCCGCCCACTCACCAGCAGCTCCTCTATGCCTGGCACCTCCCGCTCCAGTGTGTGGGCGCGGCGGGGGACTTTGGTAAGGGGTGGGGGCCGAGCTGGGGGTACCCCAGGTGGGGGATCCAGCCGCGGTGGCTTGGTCTTAGGAAGATTCTTGCTGGGGGTCCCACTGCTACCATGGTCTGGGGGTGGGAAGGTCCCAATGCCACTGTCCAAGGTTCGAGTCAAGGAGCCACAGGCTGGGGAGGGGAGGGGAGGGCCCGTTAAGAGTGTGAGGCTGGGCTCAGTCCCCGGCCTGCCTCCACTTCCCGCCCAGCCCAGGCTCCACCCTTACTCAGGGCCCCTCCTGGCCCAACAGGCTCATTCCACAGCACCTGTCCACCAACCCCACCTGCCCTGGGCTTGGGGAAGGGGTGTAGGTGGGGCGAGTACCCTGAGGGCAGGGAAGGATTTGTTCCTGTGTAGCTCCAGTGCCCACCTGGTGCTTGGCACCAAGATGGCACACAGAGCCTGGCACCTGCTGCGGGGACGGGAAGAAGTAAAGTGGGAAGAAGTGGGTAGGGGGGTGGGGGCAGGCCCATCCTCAGCCCCTGACCCTGCTGACCTGTGAAGTGTGAGGTGGGCACTGGCTCGGCCAGGCTGTCCTCCGAGGGCATCTCTTCCCGCCTCCCTGGCTCGCTGCTCGGCTGTGTGGGATACAGGAGACCTCATAGTCCACTCCTCCCCCCTCCACACCCCTCCCCATGCCTCTAGAGGGTGGGAATGTGTCTGTAAACATATGAGAGTATGAGGATTAGGGCCCAGGAGTATGGATCTGAGAGCCCCTGCAGACTGGGAAGCCCCTCTCCCCTCCCCAGTCTCCCCGTAGAGACTGTGAGTGCATCCGGCACTCATGGTCTTGGGGAAGGGGAACCCTCTAGGGGGTAAGAGACCTGGCAGGGCCAGAGAGCCAGGCCGTCCACCCAGTCCCTACCCCAAGAACTTACCTTTCCAGGAGGTTTTCCGCAGCCCTGAAGAGGGCCCACCAGGCCATTCCGGGGCCCACAGGCTGGCCAGGGGCTCTTGGGGTCAGAAGACACCGGCTGGAAATCCCCGTACTCAGGCTTGGGCTCCCGCCAGCTCTTGGATGGCAGCTCCTTGCCATCCACCCTATGGGCAACAGTGCAGATATAGGTGAGGGTGGTCTTGCCTGCCCAGACATTCCAGCCTTGCACCCGCCAATGGTGCTGGGCTTAGGGAGGCACTTCCTGCCATCCACCCCCGGGGAAGGGGACATGTCGCTAGTGATTGCTCCCAACACCCTTCTTGACACTGGCAACAGGCAAGGACCTTAGGGAACCCCAGAGGAACAGAGGGCAGGGGAGAAGATGGGAGAACTCCCTGAAAGTTATCCAGGGTCAAGCCTAGAGACTGCTTGATGGTGATTCCAGGTAGACTGGCAGACCCGGTCACATCCTGGTCCATGAACGACACACTCCACCTGCTCTAGCTGAACTTCTGAGCACACCTGCGGTCCAAACCACGCACCCTACCTGGGGCCCAATTCCTGCAGACTTTCTGCCTCATCTGGCCCAGACAGAGCAACCCCAAGATGGGTGGATCCCTTCTTTAAACCACAACTCCTGTTGTGGCAGATGTCAAAGGGCAAGATGGGAAGAGGACTCCCCTTATCCCTTTCCTGAGGGAGAAGACCTTTATCAGCCCATAGTTAGGCTCTAGCCTTCACTTAACTATCACATGCAGGCTGCCTCATCTGGTATGGAGACCATCCAGGAAGATGTGGACTGTTAACTCTTCTCAAATGAGAAGCCAGCAATGAGGCCAAGCCCCTGATCTTTCCTCCAGGCCAAGTCACTGACCCCCCCACCAGCTGCTTTGGTGGCCTTCTATCCCTTTTGACCTCTGGGAAGCCCCAGCTCCCAGGAAAAGCAGGCCTAGCTCCAGACGCAGGTGTGCCCACGAAGGGAAAAGTGCCCCAAGCCCACCAAGCCCCTGTTGACTGATCCCAGGACCTCACCTGTTTAGCAGCTGCTGCATGAAGGTGTCTGCACCTTGGTACATGCCAGCCAGCTGGCCCTGCACCTGCCCCAGCCCCGTGTTGGGCCCTGGGGCTGGGCCACCAGGCCGTGGCCGGGCCCGGCTGCTTAGGTAGGCCTTCTCCTCTTCCAGTGCCCGACGCAGGTCTTCCGCCTTGGCCATCAGCTTGGAGATGTTGAGGCTCTCGGCCTCCAGCTTCCGGGCTTCCATCTTGACTTCCCTCCGGAGCGGGGAGCCCCCGCCAGCCCCCTCCTTGTTCTTGGTGGCCTCTGTGCGGCGGTTCAGCGCTGGCAGCTTGCTCTTCTTAAGGCCGAACCAGCTGGCGATGCTGCTGGTGTTGCGGTGCTTGACCTCGGCGCCAGGGGCTCGCTCCTGGCCCTGGAGCCGCAGCACGTTCTCCTCAATGCCCTTCATCACCTTCTCCTCGATGGCTGAGTGTGGGGCCAGCCCCTCAGGGCCCTGACTTGGGTCAGTGGGGCCAGGTACTAGGGGTGTGGACTGGGCCGTGGTACTACCACAGTCTGCCCAGGGAGGGCCCTTCCCTTTGTCAGGCTTGGGGGACTCCTTGGTGACTAGCGGAGCCCCAGGTCGAGGCACCACCTTGGTTGGTGACTTGGAAGGGAGCTTGGTGGGGCTGCTGTGAGGGCTCTTATTGGGCTTGCCCAGGCTTGGGGCTGAGGTTGGCACTTTGGCAGGGGTACGGGGTACCTGGGGGCACAGGGCCCCTGCCAGCCGGCTCTTGGCCAGCTCCACTTTGGTGAGGCAGCTCCTTGGTGAGACAGGCTCCAGGTCCACCCGGGCCCCCATGGAGTGAGAGGAGTAGACTCGGGCCCCGGGATCCCCCATAAGTCCAGGTTCCTGCTGCTTCAGGCTGTTTGTGCCCAAGGCCACTGCCCCCCGTATCCCCCCCTTGGCTTCTAGCTGCTCCAGTGGCCTGTGGATGGAGGGCACCATGTCTCCAGCACTCTCCCCTGACTTCCCAGGTCCCCGGGTCTTTTCGGTGCCAGGCCTGGCTGGCACCCCATTCTTCTCTGAGCCCAGGGCCCCCTCGGGGCCTGTCTTCAGCTTCCCCAGGGCCGCCAGTCTGTCCCGCAGAGGTGTGCTGCCAGGATCCCCAGGTCGCCGTCCTGACCCCTGGCTGGGCTTCTTGGATGAGTTGCCTGGGGTCCTGCGGCCGGGATGGGGAGACTCCGAGCCTGCCTTGTCCAAACTCTTCTCTTGGGGGCTCCCATAGGGGTACGATTCTGGGAGGCAAGGACTGGGGGGTACTCCAGGGCTTCTGAGGACCTCAGGGGCCTGTGGTACCTCCAGAGTTAGCTGTGGGTAGGTGGGCACCTGCAGTGGGGATGGAGGTGGCTCTGGGGAAGGCCCCCTAAAGGTGCTCCGAGAAAGGTCCAGAATGTTCTCATAGCAGGGAGACACCACTGGGCCTGGGGACAGCGTGGTGGACAAGGCTGACTGCGGGGGTCTGAGCTGTGTGGAGTCTGGGGTTGTGTAGCAGGGTGAAGGGCTGGTGGGCAGGCCTTGCGCCCCCTCTGGGGACAGCTCTCCTCCACCCAGACCCCTTCGGGCCAACAGTGGGGAGGGGCTGCCGTCTGAGCCACTGTTCCGACAGGGGATTCGCGAGTTCCGGGGGAGCTGGGGACTGAGCTGCGGGCCTCCTGGGCTGGGGCTCTTCTCCGAGGTTGGAGGCAGCTTTAGAAACTTGAGACCCCTAGCTGGAGAGGGCAGAAGGGGTCCCTGAGCTTCCCCAGGAGAAGGGGGGCCAATTTGGAGCTTGCTTTTCACCTGAGATGAGGAATGGGGGTGGCCAGGCCGAGAGCCCAGTGGGGCATCCCCAGCACCCATGAACATGCTAAGGAAGGGGAGGGGCCCCTGGCCCTCTGAGGTAGCACCGAAGCCTGGCCTGTGGGCCTCTGGGGTACCCCCACCCCAAGCTGACTTGGGGAGGCCTTTGGACTTAGACAGCTGTGGGGGCGCCTGGTCTGGGGAGGATGACTGCCCAGGACCTGGGTGGTCCCCATTGAGTGGGCCTGCAGCCCCGGCCAGGAAGGCCTGTAGGTAAGACTCTGTGTCCTCAAGGAGCTGGCCCAGGTTCAACTGTCTGCGGGCCAGGGCACCGAGCAGGGTGTCGGGGCTGGGTGCCTCATTGGGGTCACCTGCCTCATCAGAAGAGGAGGAGGAGCTGCTGCCTGGGGCACAGTTTGGGCCAGAGCTGGTGCCCTGGGCCTGAGGAGGTCCCCTGCTAGGACCCCAGGGCCGCCCAGTGTCCTCTTCCCCTCCCAGACCCCCCAAGAGGCGCTCCCAGTGCAGCAGGCCTCCCAGGTTGCCAGGGCCTAGCAGCAGGCAGGGCGCCCAGGGTGAGGGTTCAGGCTGAGGCGGGCCACACAGCTCGCCGTTGATGGGCTCTGGGGAGCCAGGCCCCTGGCCTGGAGGCCGCCAGGGGGTGGCAGGTGAGCAGAGAAGCAAGGGGTCAGTCTCTTCCAGGGCTCTCAGCACCTCCAGAATCTGGGCCTTCTTCCGAAGGAACGGGGATAGGGCATCCAGCGCTGGGGGTGGGGCGGCTGGGGGGCCTGGGCCTCCTGGCCTCAGCTGCTGCTCCCAACATACCTTAGGGGAGAGATGATGGCATGAGGAGGAGACCACACACAGCTGGGATCCAGTTCCAGGCCCAGGCCCTGGGCTGGCTTAACAGGGAATGCCAGGAACAGAGCTGGCCTGGTTGTGTCTGTGTCCCCAAAAGGAATTAACAGCAACTGGGATATGATGGTTCCGCTTCCTCAAGGGTTGCTCAACACTGGTTACCCCAGTTCTTCTTCCTGGCACACTTGGGGTTGGGCAGGCACCCTACATCCTTTTCTTGGTTGCCCCAGCCCCTACTCCCCACAGCCATTTGGATTAGCAGGGCTGACCACCTAAAACTCTGACCTCTGTGTTTGTCCCAGGGGAGGGAGGCCTGTCCATTTCTCGGGCCCAGAAAGAACACACAGACTCCAGAAGGGAGTGTGATGTGGCCAAGTCCTAAGTCAGTCACTATAGGCAAACCCAGGCCTCCTCAGGGAACACAGCTGACCCCGCTGACCTCATCCCCAGCAGAAAGGGGTTGGGGGTGACGCCATGCCCAGCCCTTTCTCAGGTGTAGCATAGTGTGGTATAGTGGGCAACCCATAGGCTCTGGAGTCAGCCTGTGTAGGCTCAAGTTCCAGTTCTGCCTATTGATAGGGCCTTCAAGTTATTTGAGCTCTAAGCTGCTTCATTGTGTCATCTGTAAAATGGGATGATTATTACGTTAACCTCACTAAAGAAGACAAATGAGATCCAGGGTGTTCTACACAGTGCCTGGCATGCAGTAAGAGCTCAGTAAGTGTTAACCATGCCTCTTAATGCATTACTAATGCATTTGCTCACAGGGCCAGTGGCTAGGATTGGGGATCTGCTTTTTTTGGCATTCGGCTGCTCACACTTCCAGCCTGGACAAACGTCTGAGCACTGGGAAACAGCCCTTCTCCAGATATTTGCTAGGAAACATCAGTGGAGTACTGACCACAATACCTAGCCCTCCTACCTCTCTCTGCCCAGCACAGTGCCCCAGAGGCAGCGGGGCAGCCGGTCCCTCAGTGGAGCTCAGGGAGGGGGAGGCTGGTGGCTCTGATGGTGGCTGGAGTGGAGTGAGTGGGATCTGCAGAGGGAGAGGCAGAGTTAGCACAGTAGCTGTCTGACCCCAGCTCCCTACTCCCTCGCAAAGCCAGGCCTTCCCCTCTGAGTCCGCTCCTTCACGGAGGACTCCCAGACTCCCAGCCCCAAATGCAGCTCTTGCTGCTGCCCCACCCACCGGTAAGAGAAGCCTCAGGAGACCACAGCACAGGCAGATCTAGGGTCTCAGAGTGAGACTGGTCAGAGGGCTTTGGAGAAACATGAATGTCCCGAGCCCAGAGGGCCACAGCCAGTCTAACTCTGGGTGCCTTTCTTAGCTCCAGGCCTGCTTTACTTTTCTGTGGGGCTTCCTCTCCTCTCACAAAGAGGGTTACCGCAAAGGTCTCTTCCTGTTCTGACCACCTGGGATCTGAGGATCATAGGGACAGCTGAGATAAATGGTCTTAGATGGTCTTAGGAAAGAGATGGCAGGGAGTTATAATATTTCTGTCTCCCCTACCTGGTCTCATGTGGAACATCTACTCTGAGGACTGAAAAGGCAGGATTTAATCATTCTCAGTCCCTGAGAATGTAATTTCCTTCTCCTGGGCATCTTGTGGCTAGATATAAGTCAGCTTTAACTCCTCCCTCTCCCTCATTCTTCACAGCCTTTAAACCCTGTCTCTGCAGCGCCCCTCAAGGCCCCCTGCCCCACAACCTATGGCCAGCTGCAGCAGCGCCTCCAGCCCAGTTCTTCCTGCCTCTGGCCTGCACTACTCAGCATCTCATTCAGTCTCCTTGACCTGGTTTGGTGGTCTTTCAATCTCCTGTGCACAAGAGAACCTCAAGCATCTTTTTTTTTCTTTAAACTATAAACTCTAACAATGAGATGAGATTTTTTTTTTTTTTGAGACAGGGTTTTGCCTCTGTCACTCAGGCTGGAATGCAGTGGCACGACTGTAGCTCACTGCAGCCTAGATCCCCTGGGCTCAAGCAATCCTCCTGCCTCAGCCTCCCGAGTAGCTAGGACTACAGGCACGTGTCACCATGCCTGGCTAATTAAAAAAAAATTTTTTTTTTGTACAGATGGTGTCTTGCTATGTTGCCTAGGCTGGTCTTGAACTCCTGGGCCCAAGTGATTCTCCCTCTTCAGCCTCCCAAAATGTTGGGATTATAGGCGTGAGCTACCGCGCTCGGCCTCATTTTCTTTTCTAAAGCATTTTTGTGCTCAAAAGCCTCCTATGCCTGCCCATTGCCCATGGAAACAAGTGTGAACTCCTCTGCAGGCATTCCGGGCCTGGCTGGCCAGCTCTTCCCATGCCACCGTCTCCACCTTGCTGTCTCCCTCACTGTCCCTTCACACGTACTTTGCTCCAGCCAAGCTGCACAGCTTGCTGCTCTCTGGGCTTCCCTGCCCTTGGATCTTTGCTCATGCTGTTCTTTCCACAGGGATCCCTCTGCCCCAGTCCCCATTCCACTCTTAAAATCTCCCATCCGGCCGGGCATGGTGGCTCATGCCTGTAATCCCAGCACTTTGGGAGGCAGAGGCGGGTGGGTCACCTGATGTCAGGAGTTCGAGACCAGCCTGACCAACATGGAGAAATCCTGTCTCTACTAAAAATAGAAAATTAGCTGGACATGGTGGCGCATGCCTATAATCCCAGCTACTCGGGAGGCTGAGGCAGAAGAATCGCTTGAGCCCGGGAGGCAGAGGTTGCGGTGAGCCGAGATCGCGCCATTGCACTCCAGCCTGGGCAACAAGAGTGAAACTCCATCTCAAAAAAATCTTCCATCCATCCATTAAGGCCCAGTTCCACTGTCATTTCCATCCTTCTCTGATGGCCTCCCCACACTGTCCCCTGGGTTCTTTGACGGCACTGTCACACTCTGCCTTGTGGCATGGCGTCTCTACCTCCCTGAGCTCCCAACAGTCCCAGGGTCCTGGGCTCCTGTTGGCCTGCAGAGGCCTCAGCCCTTAGACAGGGCCTTGTGATGCAGTCCAATTCCATACGTGTTGTCAAAGGCACTGCTCACAGTAAGAGCTTAATTGGCATTTGTGCAAAGGGGCTTTCACCCTAGCAAAGCACAAGCTGGGAATCACATCATAAACAGCTGCCACTGACTGACTATCTACTGTGGGCCAAGCGCGACACATCATCTCATTGAATCTTCACGTCAACTGCAATATGGGTATTTTTATCCTTATCTGTAAAGAAAAAACTATAGTCTGTAAACCTTAGTAATTTGCCCCAGGTCACACAGCTAAGAAGTAGCTAAGTTAGGGATCCAACCCAAGTTTATCCGAGGCCAAGCTTCGTGCTCTTTCCATTATGTCATGTTACCTCTGGGGAAGATAAATCTATTGGCCCAAACCCCATGAGGTTCCAGAATTCATTTAGGTAAAAAGTAAATGATTTAAGGACACTCGACCCCTCTGTTATCAGCAGTCATTGAGAAGAGTGTGCTGGGGTGGGCTGAGCTGCTGTGGTTGGGCCTCCGGGGATTCCAGGGTGAACCCTGCCACAGGGACAGATCTAGGGCAAGGAGAACTGCAGAGTCACTGCTGTGGACTCTGACCCAGCTCTGTGCCAACCTGGCGAGACGGGGGCTCCAGAGTGGCCATGGTGACAAGGGGCCGCCTCTGCAAGGGCCAAGCTACCAGTGAGCAGAGGGGCTGCCTGCTCAGGGGCTGGGGGCCAAGAGCTGCCCAGTTTGCCTCAGACAGACACAAACACGCACACCCCCCTCCCCCATACACACACACAGAAAAGTGCTTCTCTTCTTGTCAAAGTGAGGGGAAGGGGCTGGCTAACCTCAGAAACAACCTGCTGCTCACCTCAGGCATCTGGAGCTGCTCCTGATCCTCCCACCCCCATGTCTTACCCCATCCTTGGGGGTTCCTCACAGAGTAACCTCAAGTGACACCTTAACTCAGCCCAGGAGTCACTCCCAATAGCCTCCTGCTTCTCCTGGGGAAGGGAGGTGTCAGGGCTCCCAGCAGAGACTGTCTGTGAACAGTTATCAGAACCGAAATGTCTTTCCTGACCTCTCTGTGACACCATACCCTAGGCTGCCTAACACCCAGCCCTACCCCTGTGCCCGGCCAAGAAGAGGCTGTGTCAGTGGCCAAATAAGCCTCTTGGAAGCTTGAAATAATTGCATCTGCAGACTCCACCCATCTCCCCACCCAAGGCAGGAGCAAGTGCAAAGCTCTGTCAACAAGAAGGGACACCCTCCCGCTGGTGGGGAGCACTGGGAGGAGGGAACGGCCAAACCCAGGGGACTTGGGTAGTTTCCATACCCCCAGAATGGAAGGTGGACAGCTGATGGCCTGCTTCCCTAGGGGCACGTGAGAAGACAGTGATGGGGCCGATGGAGCCGAGGAGGCAGGAGGCAGTGCGATGGGAGTGAAAGGAGCGCAGATGCCTACCTGAGGGAGCGAGCCTGTCGTGAGCTGGAGTTTCTGCTGAAACAGGGCACTCAGCATCTGGTTCTGCCGTTCCAGGTCAAACACTCTCTTCTTCAGCTTGATGCACTCCTCTCGCAGGTCCTGCCGCCCACCCCGGGAAGTGCAGGAAGAAGAGGTGAGGATGGTGGGAGAGTGTCACAGTGCTCTTCATCAGAGCAGCGGCATCTGTCTGGAGGCCCCAGGACCCTTCTGGGCACACACTTCCGCTGCAACCTCCTTCTATGAGGAATCTAAGCCTGCCGATGTTGGTAGCTATAGCATCTTCTAGGGATGGTAAATTCTCTAAAGTTTATCACCCCTGGTGGGAGGTAAATCCTATTCTCTTTGTTATCTTTCTCATCCCTAGAATCGACCCCCCGCCTCTTTTTTTCTTTTTTTTTTGAGACGGAGTCTCACTTTGTCGCCAGGCTGGAGTGCAGTGGTGCAATCTCGGCTCACTACAACCTCCACAACCTGGGTTCAAGCGATTCTCCTGCCTCAGCCTTCCTAGTAGCTGGGACTACAGGAGTGCACCACCATGCCCAGCTAATTTTTTTATTTTTAGTAGAGACGGGGTTTCACCATGTTGGCCAGGATAGTCTTGATCTCTTGACCTCGTGATCTGCCCACCTCGGCCTCCCAAAGTGCTGGGATTGCAGGCGTGAGCCACCGCGCCTGGCCCTCTGCCTCTTAGAAACCACACATCAAAAAAGGGCCTATATAAGACAGAGCAAGGCCTTGGAGTTAAAGTGGCCCCAATGTCAAGAAGTTATCCACCATAGGTGAGTAAATATTCAGATGCCATTTAGGCTCACAACATCAACACTGCTTTAAGGGCTATCACAACCTGGAAAAGCCAGCTGGGGACAGGGTAAGGGAAGAAGTCATGCTCAAATCAGTGACCACTGCTCAGAGACCTGGCCTTACCTAGTCCCACCTCTGTCTCTAGGTAGAACAGAATGGACCCGCCCAAGGCGGAAAGACGGGGAATCACTGGAGGGCAACAGCCCATGTCCTCCAAGCCCTTAGTCTCCAGGAAGGGTCTCATCTGCTGTGCCCAGGGCTTCTCCCCAGGGTGTCTGGGTTACTCACCTTCTGGTTCAGCAACGCCTGTACCACATGGTTGGCAACCTGGGGACAGAAAGCCCCGAGGCAGAGCCATCAGCTGACCCCAGCTTCTGCCAGGAGCAGATGAGCCACATCCCCCCAGTCCCACTACAGACCCACAGACCTCGTCCAGACAGCGCTCATAAGTCTCCCGCTGGTTTTCGTTGGCCTGGGCAAGTGCCGAGTTCTCTGCCTGCAGGAGTGAGGGAGGAAGAGGGCAAAAAGGTGGCTTTGGGGATTATTCTTCCCCCAGGGCACATTCCTTTTGGGAAAGGGGAGGCAACTACAGGGGTGCTAACTATACCCCCACTCCAGCTCTTGGCTGTGAGCAGATTCTCATATGAGGAATCCTGCAGAGGCCAAGGGCAGCAGGAGGGCAGGGCTGACCTGGGATGGTTTTCTATAAACCCCGACCTCAGTCAGTGGCAATGGGGGCTCTGGGGGATACAGTGGCCAAGTAGACCTGAGGTGGGAGGTGCCCACAGTAACCCTTATTTCCCTGGGAGACGGGCAGAGGAGGCTTTAGGGAGGATGACAGGGTGTTAAGAATGTGGTGAGGGGTGTGGTCTGAGGATCTGCACCCTTATCCCTCAACTCCTGAGCCATGGGCCATCCAGCCTCTTCCTCTTGTGGCCTCTGACCACCCCCTTTCCTAGAGCCTGCAGAGGCATGAGAGGTAAGGAAGGGAGGTGTTTGGGGGTTAGGACACTCATCCCTGTGCATGCTTCTTGTCCCCGAGCCGTCACTGGGCCGGGCAGCTAAGAGCAAGGAAAGGGCTTCTCAGAGGAGCTTTGCAAAAGAATGTTCTGCTAGCCTCCTGCCTGGCAAAGCAGGCCGAGAGGAAGGCCCATGGCACCCAAAAACCTGCAGGAAGCTCAGAGGGAGGGGCAGCCCTGCCTCCCCAGGGCTCTGGCTGGCACTGCTGCCCCTACCACGCCCCATGCCGCACCTCCAGCTCCCGCAGTCGGTGCAGAAGCTCCTGGCAGGTGCCTGGCTCCATGCTGCCATCATCACCCTCTCCTGGCCTTGGGTTTCCAGGACCCCCAGCTGGCTGGTCCATGGCCTCTGACATCTGGCCCTGGGAACAAGGAAGAGAAGCCCCGGCAGGCTACTCCAGGGAATGAGGAGGAAGTGAGAAGGAGGAGGACAAAGATGAAACCCTTTAGTCTCCTTGGAGCTTAGGTCAGTGTGACCTATATGCATGACACTGTAATAACTCAGGGCCAGGCTGGGTATCTCCTGGTCACGGTCACGGGGCAGACAACACAGATACTCTCCTCATCTTAAGAACAGAGACCATTGTTTTAGAAAGCCCCATACTCACACAAGAAACCTGATTTCTCTACTGGGACTGGCCTCAAGCTGGCACGTCATTCAGCCTCCCTGGGTCTCAGTCCCTCTATTTGTAAAATAACACCAATATCCCCTAATCTCATTCAGTGTTTGCAAACAAAGATTAGGTCTGTGAAAGTGATTTGAAGAAGTTAAAAAAAAACACTTAAAACACAAGACCGTTATTACTCATAACAGTAATAATAATTTAAACTAATTTAACAAGTAAGACAACTAGGATTTTGTCCTGGGCATCGGTGATCCCCTGCCTGGAGCAGGCACATGCTTTAGATAGTGGAGACAATGGATAAAACCCTGGCTTTGCGGCCAAAAGCCTCTGCCTGGCTCTGCTTAGTATGAACTGGGTGAACATATGAAAACCGAGCTCATTCATTCACTCGGTCAACCAGATGATCCTCAGTTTCCTAGTTCTGAGAAATGGGCAGAAGAATTCTTCCTCCCTTACAGGGTCATTGTGAGAGTCAAATGTGACCACGTAGGGAAGAGCACCCTGAGAACACGACTCAGCACATGGGGAGAATACAGTTGAGCCTGGGGCCTGGCGCCCTTAGCTCTAGCTCTGGCTCCAGTGCTCACTTGCTGGGTTATCCCAGGGCAAGGTCCCGATCCCTGGGCCTCAGGCTCCTCCTGGACAAAGTGGGAAGTGCCCTGCACCCCTCCGGGGCTCTGCTTTCTAGCTCCAGCCTCACTAGGCACCCACTGCCCTGGCAGGAGCTAGGCCCCGTCAGATCAGGCTCTTTGTGCACGATGGTCCTTCTGCTGGGGTCTCTTGACACCACCCGCTCCTTTCGACTTGGCCAGCTCCTCCCTATTCATCCTTCAGGGCTCCCAGGCGATGCTCCTGCAAGATTGTACACCAGCCTCCCCCACCAGACAGTCAACTCCGTGAGGGCAGGAACACTGCATTTGCCTCCCCATCCAAACTCACATGCCTCCTGGTGGGATCCCTGGCATGTAGGAGACAGACTGATGACTAGACGAAGCTCATGACCACATCCAGCACGGCCAGGGCTCAGACCTGCATCACACCATGGGATCCTCCCACCCCACCAAACCATTGCCATTGTTGCTAGCTTGAACTGACTAGTCTTCATCTTCCAATTGAGTTCCAATTTCTCTGCTAGAGAAAAATGCTGTTTTTCTTTCATACAAATATTGTGGAGGTTTCCAGTAGATGGGCAACCCTTCCTATTATAAAAGGGTGGAAGCTTGGTCCATCACTGACTACCCCTTGTGCCATTGAAGCCCCCACAAAAGAAAAATGGGGTTGGGCGTGGTGGCTTATGCCTTGTGACCTCAGCACTTTGGGAGGCCAAGGTGGGAGGATGGCTTACGGCTAGGAGTTCAAGCCCAGCCTGGGCAACATACTGAGACCGCATCTACCAAAAGAAAAAAAAAGAAGTGGGAGGATCCCTTGAGCCCTAGAGTTCGAGGCTGCAGTGAGCTATGATCGCCACTGTGCTCAAGCCTGGGCAACAAAGCAAGACCGTTTCAAAACAAAAATAAAAAGGCTTGGAGCTTTTGGACTATAGGAGAGAGGTGTCCTCAGCAGCTCACCATCGAGCCATCTGAGTGCTTGCTTCCTTATCCTCCACAGTGGAGCCCAGGGGTGCCTCTCCCACCCCCAGCATGCACAGGCCCCAAAGCCCCTCACCTGTCTCTGCCCCCTTACGCAGGTGGGCACACTCACTCTAGCATCCAGAACGGTCACCTTGCCTGTGGAGAAAAAAAAAAAGACGTCAGCCACGCACTTACTGGGCTCCTGCTATGTGCCAGGCACTGGGACACGGGACGAACAGCCAGAGACAGCCCAGCCGCTATGATGCTTCCACTCTATTGGACGAGGCCGACAATGTACAGCGTTGGGTTGTGATAAGGCACTGAGAGATGACAATTAAGCAGAGACCTGAATGAAGTCCAGATGAAATCCTGGAATGGGAAAGCATTTGGGACAGCAGAAAGAGCCAGTGCAAAGGTCCCCATCTCTCAGCCAGGAATCATCAGACAACAGAGGAGACTGAAAAGTCACACCTGGTACTTTACAACCCGGTTCTACAACATACATTGTCTTGCCTCGTGCTCAACAGTTAACCACAACAATGTTAAATGCTATTATCAGTGCCTGTGTTTCAGATGAGGAAACCGAGGAACAGAAAGTTACACTTGCACACACTGTGTTTACCCAGTGTGATGAATAGCACAGGCGCTTTCTTCCACACCATCCCATCCAGTTCTCCTAACAACCCTGGAAGGGGAGCACCCGCCTGCGGGAGGAGGCAGGCTCTGGGGCAGAGGATATTGCCCAAGTCACATGACTACTTCACAAAGCACACCAGACAGGCCTAGATTTTCCCACTCCTCTGCACACACCCAAGCTTCACTGTAAGCTCCACAGTAAAACAGACATTTAAGCTCCGTACAGCCCTAAGGCTCCCTGGAGGCTAGAAACTTGGGCTAGAAATCTGACACTAAAGAATCTCTTTTCTCTTGTTCTCACTTGTAAAACAGGGATAAGAACACTTAGCCCAAAGGGTTGTTGGAGGACAAAATGAGATAATATATGTAGAGTGTCTGGCGTGAATTCCATAAATGGAGACTTTTCATATCATCACCTGCTGACAGAGGCACAGTACAAAGCTATGGGGTTGTTGTGGAGCCTGCTGCTACCTTGTCCGTTCACACAGAGGCCGACTCCGAGTCCCAGGGCCCTTACCCAGGGGTCTCCGCTATAGGGGCACCTGAAGATCTCAGAATGCTGCTCTGCCCACCCTGCCCTCAGAGGCCTCCTCTCCAACTCCTCCCAGCCGGCCCTCCAGCCCCAGGGCCAGCCTTGCCTTCCCTCTTCTCTTCTATACCCCAGAAAGAGAAGCAGCTGGATGTTTGGGGGCTGGGATTACAGTGAAAAGAGAGAATGCTTCTTCGTGTGTGTGTGTGTGTGTGTGTGTGTGTACACAACAGTGGGAAGGGGACTTCTGAAAACACTTGGAGGAAAAGGAAGACCTGTTTAATACTGATTTTTTTATTTTTTAAAGAGACAGGGTCTCACCTCACTGCCCAGGCTGGAGTTCAGTGGCACGTTCATAGCTCACTGCATCCTTGGCCTCCTGGGCTCAAGTGATCTCCTGCCTTAGCCTCCCAAGTGGCTGGGATGAGAGGCACGAGTCACTGTGCCTGGCCTCTAATGCTTATTGTTAATACTGTATAATAATCTGAAGTTTTTTATTTTAACATCATAAAAATGTATCATATTTAACTTGGTTTGCTCATAACATTATCACGTTTGATAGACTTAGAAATATACAGGCCTGGAAAAAAAATGAAAAATATTTAAGAATTATCTTCCTTCCCACACTCAAATGGGGTGAAACCCAGAATGTCTCAGGTCACCTCCAGCATCTGACCAGTGCCACCCTCACCCACAACTCTGGTCTCTGGGCCACTGTCCTCCCACTGCCTGCAGCAACCTGCCCATCGGTCCCCAGCGTGTCCCTCAATCCCCTCACCATCAGAGGGGCTAGGGTGTGGCTGAGGTATGCTGTGGAGGAAGAGAAAAAAGTTGGGAGGGTGAGGGAAAGGAATGGGATGAAGAAGGCAGCATTCGGGGTCTGGAAAAGGATAACGCTAAGGACCGGGAAACCCTAAGATTTGTGTTCTTCACAAGAAAGCAACAACGAAACAATGTAGAGTATCTTTTCCCAAAATAATAAAAAAGCATCCAGGTTAAGAGCAAGGCCAGGCTGTGAGGACTGGCTGCGGACTCTCTATGTGTGCACGCAGTGGTTTTCTGTGTTGAGGAGCATGGAGACCCCACACACTCCACACAAAGCCAGGCATGGCCCCGATCCACAGCTGAGCCCCTGTGAATCCCAGGCCAGGAGGCCCGAGTTCCACTGAGAATGGGGGAGACCCTCCGATTTATGAGCCAGCCAGTGGTCA
Source organism: Homo sapiens (assembly GCF_000001405.40). Taxonomy (NCBI): domain Eukaryota; kingdom Metazoa; phylum Chordata; class Mammalia; order Primates; family Hominidae; genus Homo; species Homo sapiens. Next base: position 49,808,262 of record NC_000012.12, read on the forward strand.
CAGTTCTTCTTCTCAGAGTGCCCCAGCTGGAGTGGGGCTAGGACTCAGCCCCTCTTCAGGAGAAATACTTTCTGGCCTCACAGCGAGGGGGTCTGGGGTCAGCCCAGGATGAGGGGGCCTCCTCTGCATCTGCAGGGCCGTCACAGTGGAGGGCAGGAAGCTGTCACGGGGAAGAGACCTGCAGGAAAGCTTGGTGGTGGGGAGGAGCACGGGCCATGAGAGTCGGCCCAGAGTCTGAGTTCAAGATTTCTAAAGAAAACTTCCTGCGTCCTTACCCTTCTCTAGGGAAGGTCAAGATCCAGAGAGAGACCACCACCACCAGCTCCAAATCGAAGCCAAGTCAGGAATGTGGCCCTCTGGAGTCTGGGCTTTCTGCCTGCCTCTCATGGGGGATGCCTGCCCAGGCAGGCTTCGCAGTGGTGGTCCCTGCTGCCTCCCCAGGGGCTGAGCACCGCCTCCTCCCTCAGGACCCACAGCTCCTGCTCACAGCCATGAGCTCAGCCCGACCTGGGGCAGGGAAAACCCCAGGCTTCGGGTTTTTGGAATGGCTCTGGTTTCAGACATTCCTCTGGTGGCCCCAACACGTCTGGGACGCTGGGTCTGGACACACAGTGCCGGCCAGGCAGGGTCTGGGAACTCTAACTTGAACTGGAGGCTTCTCCCGCCGGAATTGCCATCCACAAAGGCCTGATTCTGAGGGAGGTGACCTCAGTGCAGGGGGAGGGAGAGAAGGAGGGGGGAGAAGAGCGGAGTCCTCTCTGGCTCGTCCTTCAGAGGGTGTGGGGAGGGGGCCAGTTTTCAGGCAGCCAGGGCCGAGGAAGGAGGAAACTTGCTCAGGGGTCTCTGGGTAACCTGGGCGACCACCATCTCTTCAGCCAAGTCAGTCACGGAGGGCCCCAGCTCTCCCTTCCCCCTTAAAGCCAGGAGGGGACAGGGGCTTTCAGGGCCTCCAAAGAGATCTTACTGTCCTGGCCTTTCAGTTAGCCAGACCAGAAGGGGTCTGTGGCTCCTACCTCCTCTCCAGCAGGGCACAGGCAAGACCCCTCCCTGAACAGAGACCAGGCATGGGAGGAAGGGGCTGGAGAGGCAGGCGGCAGCAAGCCTGTCCTCATTCCCTCACCCCGGCCCTTAGCCAAGGCCTCCTGGCCCCTGGTGAGCCCCTCATTCACCAGCTGTTCCCCCCAGAGTCCTCTAGGGAGAGAAGCCAGGGACCAGGAGTGGGGGAGGGTGGGCAGCTGTAGGAAGGCAGAGATGGAGAGCTCACTTAATCACAGAATCACCCGTAACACCAACCGCTTCCCTCCGCACCCTCCCCAGCTGCTTTCTGGAATCCCTCTTACCCTCCCAGCCCTTTTACCAGTCACACCCAAGAATCCACTTGTAAACAGCAACTTCTGTCCCCACAGCAAACACCCTTTCCAGCCAAGATCAGCCCTGGGCTGCTGAGGAGTGTGGGGAGGGATAGGAGGACTGAGGCCTGGCTCCCAGGGCACTTCTAGCCTGAAAGGGGCCACTTAATCCCTGACCCAAAGCATCTTTCAGCCCTGAGAATTCCAACTGGTCTCCTCCCCATTCAGGGTAAGAGGGCAGACAAGAATTTCCTTCCCTCCTCCTGACAACTGGTACTGGAGACACAATAGCCCTTCTGAGAGGCATCTGTCTTGGAAGGGGCCCCCTACATCCCCCCAACTTCCGTTTCACAGGCACTCCAAGCACCTCAACCACCATGGTGTGAGTTCTTCCAAACCAGCTGCAGGATAGGTCCTCGGCCCTTCCAGGAAGGGAAGAAGGAAGGGCAGTCGTGTTATAAGCCCCAAAGGCCTCCAGATTTCAACATCCCTCATCTCCCCTCCCTCAGAGCCCTCCTGCTCCCTGTCCACAGCATAACCCAGTAACAAAACTAGCAGCTGCCGGGGGTGGGGGGAGGGAAGGGGGTGGGGAGAGGGAAGGGGTGCCGACACAATGGGTTTATTTATAGGACCACACACCAGGGGCTCTGCAGCCAAGTGGCCCAGGCCCCACTCCCAAAAGTCCAGCCCAGGCCGTCCTAGCCCAGCCGAGGGTACTGGAAACAGCCTTAGACCGGAAGGCAGAAGAGTCTAGGCATGGAGTCCAGTTCGAACTCTGCAATTAACTTATGTGCTGTGTGACTAGGCAAATCATTCCGTCTCCCCGAGATGAGTTTCTTCACGCCAAGTGGTTGTTGTTCTGCCACAGTGGTTCCCACAGTGGGGCCTAGGCACCCTGTGGCCCTCTCCAGGGGTCTGTAAGGTCAAAGCTGTTTTCCTAATACTACTACTAAGACACTATCTGCCTTTATTACTCTCATTCTCTCCTGAGTGTACAGTGGCATTTTCCAGATACTATGCTGTGTGATACCGCAAAAGATTGAATACCGAAGCAGACAGGAGAAGCCAGCTTCCTTCTATTAAGTCAGACAGAAGAAATTTGCAAAAATAGAGAACAATGACTTATTATTATTTGTGTTTTTGGAACATATACAATTAAATTTTTAAATAAAATATGTTAACATGTGATGGGTTTATTGCTATTTTTAAACAAATTAATTAAATAACTGTAAGTATAACATTTATAAACAAAAGCTCTTCGGGGTCCTCAAGTTTTAAGCGTATAGAAGGGTCCTCAGACCAAAAAGTTGGAGTCATTTTTCTAGAACAGTGCTGTCCAGTAGAACTTTCTGTAATAATGAACATGCTTAGTCTGTACTATCCAACATGGAAGCTATCTATTAGCTACACCTGGCTGCCGAACACTTGAAATGTGGCTAGTCCAACTGAGGAACTGAATTTTACATTTAATTTTAGATAGCCACATGCGAGCTCAAGAAGTTCCCTGGGATTCCTCAACTTGCGTATTCTAGGACAATGCTTCTTTCCACAAGGAGTGGGTGTTGCAAAGGGACTCCTGTCCCCAGGCTTGTGCTTACGCGCTCTCTCACTCTCTTCCCCACCACAGAAGGCCAGCTCAGCCCCACTGTCAGTCCAGCCTGGCAATCCTGCCCAGCTCAAGTAAGAGAGCTGCTCTCTCATTCTGTGCCATGAGTAGCACACACCCTCTCCACTCTCCTATAACTTCTGGCTTACCACCCTCCTGTTTCCCCAGAGGATTAAAGCCAGCAGAGGGGAACCCCCTCACACCTCCTGCCGCCACCCTCCCATCCCCCTCGGAACCCTCCCCACCTCCTCATCCACTATTACAGCAGATGAGTTGCCTGCTCCCGGGCAAAGCCAGTCCTGCTTGTCCCAGACTTTCCCCATTTACGTCTTCAGTATCTACCTCCTGAAGACAGCTTTCTCATCTACCCTTTAAAACTTAAAATCTTTAAATCTTAAAAACAATCTTCTCGTTGGGCACAGTGGCTCACACCTGTAGTCCCAGCTACTTGGGAGGCTGAGGTGGGAGGATCACTTGAGGGACTCCGAGTCTGCAGCGAGCTATGACCCGGCTACTGCTGCACTCCAGCCTGGGCGACAAAGAGGGACCCTTTTTATTCTCTTAAACAAACAAAAACAACAATCTTTGCTTGACATTTTCCCAGATACTGCCAAATTTCAAAAAATACTCTAGATACTTCAAAGCCAAACTTCTCAAAAAACAAAAAAGAAAATCCCAAAACCATCTTCTCATTGTTCCCTTAACCTGGTCCGACTTCAGTGGTAACCACCACGATGCTAAATCCAAACAATATTTTTCAGTCCTCATTGCCATCGCAGGTATAAGACCTCTGTGACCACTTCCTCCTGGACTTTTTTTTAAGCTTTGAGACAGTCCATGTCTCACACAATTCACCCACTGAAAGTGTACAATTCAGTGGTTCTTAGTATACTCAGAGATACGTGCAATCATCAACATGGTTAATTTTAGAACACTTTTATTAGCTTTTATTGTTCCTTTCCTTAACACTGCCCCCTCCCCACCCAGTCACAGGCAACCACTCATCTATTTTCTGTCTCTATTGAGTTCCCTATTCTGGACATTTCATGTGAATTCAATCATATCATTGGTGCCTTTTACGACTGGCTTCTTTCACTTTGCATGATGTTTTCAAGGTTCATCCATGTTGTTGCACGTATCAGTAGTCCATTCTTTTTGCTTGGTTTTCATCTTTTTTTTTTTTTTAGACAGAGTTTCACTCATGTTGCCCAGGCTGGAGTGCAGTGGCGTGATCTTGGCTCATTGTAACCTCCGCCGCTCAGGTTCAAGCAATTCTCCTGCCTCAGCCTCCTGAGTAGATGGGACTACAGGCGCCCGCCACCACGCCTGGCTAATTTTTGTATTTTTAGTAGAGACGGGGTTTCACCATGTTGTCCAGGCTGATCTCGAACTCCTGACCTCAGGTGATCTTCCTTGGCCTCCCAAAGTGCTGGGATTACAGGCATGAGCCACCACACCCAGCCTCCATTCCTTTGTATGGGTGAACAGTGCTCCACTGTATGGGCCAGCCACAGTTTATCCATCCATTCTACTGATGAACATTTGGCTTGTTTTCACTTTTTAGCTATTATGAATATTGCTATGATCATTTATGTAGTTATCCCTTGGCATCCCCAGGGGATTGGATCTAGGTCCCTTGCAAAAACCAAAATCTGAGGACGCTCAAGTCCCTTATATAAAAAATGGTACAGTATTTGCATAAAACCTAAACACTTCCTCTGGTGTACTTTATAAATCATCTCCAGGCTTCTTATAATATCTAATACAGTGTAAATGCTATGTAAACAGTTGTTACTGTATTATTGTATTATTTTTATTTTATTGTTATTTTTTAATTGATTTTTCCCCCAAATATTTTTGGCCCACAGTTGGTTGGACCCTGCAAATGTGGATCACTACACAAGTTTTTGTATAGATGTATGTTTTCCTTTCTCTTGGGTATATACTTAGGAGTAGAATTGCTGGGTTATATAATAATTGCAGGTTTAATCATTTGAGGAACTGTCAGATTGTTGTCCAGAGCAGGTGTACCATTTTATAATACCACCAGCAGTGTATGAGGGTTCCAATTTCTCCATACCGTCACCACTTATTATTTGATCTGCTGATTCCAGCCACCCAGTAAGTGTGAAGTGAGATTTTATTGTGGTTTGAGTTTGTACCTCCCTGATGACTAATGATGTTAAACATCTTTGCATGTGCTTATTGGCCATTTGCATCTCTTCCTTGGAGAAATGTTTTTCAAATTTTTGCTGATTTTTAAATTGGGGATTGTGTCTTTTTATTATCTAATTGTGAGAATTCTTTATTTTTATTTTTTACTTTTTTTGAGATGGAGTCTCACTCTGTCGCTCAGGCTGAAGTGCAGTGGCGCGATTTCAGCTCACTGCCGCCTCCACCTCCTGGGTTCAAGCAGTTCTCCTGTCTCAGCCGTCCGAGTACCTGGGATTACAGGCATGTGCCACCACACCTGACTAATTTTTGTATTTTTAGTAGAGATGGGGTTTCACCATGTTGGCCAGGCTGGTCTCCAACTCCTGGCCTCAAGTGATCTGCCCGCCTCGGCCTTCCAAAGTGCTGGGATTACAGGCATGAGACACTGCGCCTGGCCTACATTTTTTTTTTAAGAGACAAGATCTGGCTCTATCACTTAGGCCGGAGTGCACTGCCACAGTCATAGTTTACTGTAACTTCAGACTCCTAGGCTCAAGTGGTCCTCCCACTTCAGCCTCCCAGGTAACTAGGACTACCACAGCTGGCTAATTTTAAAATTTTTTGTAAAGACAGGGTCTTGCCATACTGCCCAGGCTGATCTTGAACTCCTCCTAGTAATCCTCCTGCCTTGGCCTCCCAAAGCACTGGGATTACAGGGATGAGCAACTTTGCCCAGCCTAGTTTTCAGAATTCTTTACATATTCTAGATACAAGTCCTTTATTTTATATTTATATATATATATATATATATGATTTGAAAATATTTTCTTCCAGCCGGGTGTGGTGGCTCAAGCCTGTAACCCCAGCGCTTTGGGAGGCCGAAGTGGGCGGATCACGAGGTCAGAAGTTCGAGACCAGCCTGGCCAACATAGTGAAAGCCCGTCTCTACTAAAAATACAAAAAATTAGCTGGGTGTGGTGGTGTGCGCCTGTAATCCCAGCTATTCGGGAGGCTGAGGCAGGAGAACCGTGTGAACCCGGGAGGTGGAGGCTGCAGTGAGCCGAGATAGTGCCATTGCACTCCAGCCTGGGCGACAGTGTGAGACACCGTCTCAAAAAAAAAAAAAAAAGAAAAAGAAAATATTTTCTTCCATTCTGTGGGCTGTCTTTTCACTTTCTTGAGGGTATCCACTTCTTCCTGGATGACTTTTCCCTTGCCTATTACATTCCCCTGCTCCTCCCACCCCTCTTCCACCTCTTCTTCTGTGTGCCTATGTGTTACTTTATGTATAAATACATACTTAAAAAAAAGACATAGTAGCACGTTCTCATGGTTCCACATCTTTCTTTAGCAGAACAATTTTTAGAAAATGAAACTATAGCCTTTATATGGATCTTATCCGTTTTTCTATCAATATTCTGTTCCAAGATCCAATCCAGGATTCCACAGGGTACTTGGTCACCCAGTCTCCTTAGTGTCTACAATTCATGACAATCCCTCGACCTTTCCTTACCTTTCATCATTGTAACACTTCTGAAGGGACTGGTCAACATTTTGGAGAATGTCCTCCAATTTGGGTTGTTTGATGTTCTCACTAATTAGACTGAGGTTATATGCTTTGAGAAGAATACCACGGAGGTGATATGCCTTCCCCAGGGCATTATATCTGAGGACACACATGATATCAAGGTTTCTTGTTCCTGGTGATGTTTTAACCTCATCACTTGGTTAGGCAGTATCTATTAATTGGTTTCTCCATTATAAAGTCACTATTTTTCCTTTTGTAATTAAATATTTTTGGGGGCAATACTTTGGACTATGTAAATATCCTGTTTCTCCTTAAATTTTCACCCAGCAATTTTTTTACCAAAATCAGTGGATCTTGCTTGTAGCAATTACTATGGTGCTCTAAAACATAATTTTCAATTTCTTATCTTCCTTCTATATTTATTAATTGCAAGTTTTCTATAAGGAATAATTGTCCCTTCATCCCATTTAATCATGTATTTATATTGGTATGGATGAACTGGATATTTATTTTAATCTTTGGGTTATAATCCAATAATATTATCACATTTCATTGCTCAAATTCCAGCTATGGCCATTGGCCATTGAGAATCTTTCAGGTTGGGTCCTTCTTTCAACATGCTTCCTTTTCTTTTTAAGACAAGTCTTGCCCTGTTGCCCAGGCTGGAGTGCAATGGCGTGATCTCGGCTCAAGCGATTCTCATGCCTCAGCCTCCTGAGTAGCTGGGACCACAGGTGTGTGCTGCTACACCTGGTTAATTTTTATATTTTTAGTAGAGATGGGGTTTCACCACGTTGGCCAGGCTGGTTTCGAACTCCTGACCTCAAGAGCTCCACCCACCTGGGCCTCCCAAAGTGCTGGGATTACAGGCTTAAGTCACCACACCCGGCCAGTGCTTCCTTTTTTTTTAAGCACTCTCTTGCCATAAGATGTTCCCGGCTTATCTTGTATTTTCCTTGCCACAAACACTTTTCCAAGGAGCTCCACCATAGCAACCTTCTAAAACTATAAATCTGATGGTGTTCTTCCCACTTCAAATCTTCCCACGACCTCCTACTGCTTTTGGGAACGACCAAAGCCCTCAACACAACCCTCAAAGCTCTGCCTTTGTCTGGCCCCAGAGCAACTCTTCGGACAAGCTTTCCTGGACTCGTGCAGCCTCATTGTTCTGTCTTCTACAAGTGCCTCCTGCAAGATCAGTATTTCCAAATGCAATGCATTGTGTTCTTGAACATTCCCTGTGAAGAGGAGGGGACTCCCTATACTGTTAGAAGGGGAGCTCCCCGAGGAGAGGCCCTTCCTTGTATTTCTGCACTCCCTGCCACGCCCTCTGCCAGTGTACCACTCCTACCAACCAGACCAGGCCCTGAGCCACCCTGCCCCCTGCAGAACTGGTGATCTCCTTTCCTTCTCATCAGAAAGAAGGTTAGAAAGAAGGGACAGCTAAGAACATACATGGGCTCATCAGGTTCCCCAAAAGACCCCTAACTATCCTCCATCAAATGGCTCTTAGGGCCCATAGGACAAACCATACTGAGGGTGAGGAAGGGACATTTTCAGATTTGTCTCTGACCCTTTCAAAGTTCTCAACCCTCTCAAAAAAAAAAAAAAAAAAAAAAGGCTGGACGCGGTGGCTCATGCCTGTAATCCCAGCACTTTGGGAGGCCAAGGTGGGTGGATTACGAGGTCAGGAGTTCGAGTCCAGCCTGATCAACATGGTGAAACCCTGTCTTTACTAAAAATACAAAAATTAGCCAGGCATGGTGGCACGCGCCTGTGATCCAGCTACTTGGGAGGCTGAGGCAGAAGAATTGCTTGAACCTGAGAGGCTGAGGTTGTGGTGAGCTGAAATCGCGCCACTGTACTCCAGCCTGGGTGACAGAGTGAGAGTCTGTCTCATAAAAAAAAAAAAAAAGTTCTCAACCCAATCTTAGACCGCAGTGACTCTCTCTGGCAAATAGTACTAACCTATTAATTCTACAGATATTTCTGAACCGACAAACTTACTAGGAAATGCAATGCTTGGGTATATAGCTGGGGGCGATTCAGAGAAGGGTCAGCTCTTGGGCTTCTTGGAGCTTTCAGTCTATAGGGGACATAAGACATGCAAGAAAAAAAAATCAGTAGCCTTTCTATATGTTAACAACGAACTACCTAAAAAAGTACAAAATAGTAAAATATTGGGAATAAGTTTAACCAAGGAGGTGAAGGATCTCTACACTAAAAACTATAAAACACTGATAAAAGAAATTGACATGAATAACTGGAAAGATGTCCCATGTTCAGGGATTGGAAGAATTAATATTTTTTAAATGTCCATAAATACCCAAAGCAATCTACAGATTCAATGCAATCCCTATCAAGATATCAATTATATTTTTCATAGAAATAGGAAAAAAAATCCTAAAACTCATATGGAACCATAAAAGACCCCAAATAGCCAAAGCAATACATCTCACAAAAGAATTACTTTGATAGAGTAAACAATAGAGGTTAAAATCCTCTTATTTCTAGAATATAGGAATTGAACCTACCCCTGAGAATCCAAAATTCTCCATGCTACCTATCACACCACATCCTAGAGTAAAGCCAGGTAAATAAGCTGAGCAAAAGTTTGTTCTTGAGCAAAAGAACAAACTTGGAGGCATTACACTAACTGATTTGAAGAACCTACTACAAAGCTATAGTAATCAAAATAGCATGGTACTGGCATAAAAACAGATACTAGATGAATGGTTCAGAATAGAGAGACCAGAAATAAATCCACATGTTTACAGTTAATTGATTGCTGACAAAGATGCCAAGAACATACAACAGGGAAAGACAGTCTCCTTAGTAATTAGTGTTGAGAAAACTGGATATTCACATGCAGAAGACTGAAATTAGATTAGACCCTCATCTCACACCATATATAAAAATCAACTCAAAATGGATTAAAAACTTAAACCTGGCCGGGCGCAGTGCTCATGCCTATCATCCCAGCACTTTGGGAGGCCAAGGCAGGCAGATCACATGAGGTCAGGAGTTTGAGACCAGCCTGGGCAACATGGTGAAACCTCATCTCTACTAAAAATACAAAAATTAGCTGGGTGTGGTGGCTCATGCCTGTAATTCCAGCTACTTGGGAGGCAGAGGCACAGGAATCTCTTGAACCCAGGAGGTAGTGGAGGTTGTAGTAAGCCGAGATCGCGCTGCTGCACTCTGGCCTGGGTGACACAGCAAGGCTGTGTCTTGGAAAAAAAAAAAAACAAAAAAACCTTAAACCTGACCAGAAACTGTAAAACTACTAGGAGAAAATAAAATACAGGGTAAAAACTCCATGACATTGGTCTGGGCAATGACTTTTTGGATATGACCCCAAAAGCACAGGCAACAAAGGGGATTACATCAAACTAAAAAGCTTCTGCAGAGCAAAGGAAACAGCAGATTAAAGAGACAATCTACAGAATAGGAGAAAATGTTTGTAAACCACACATCTCATTCACTCAGGCTGGAGTGCAGGCTGGTTGCAGTGGTGCAATCAATCATGGCTCACTGCAACCTCAAACTCCTGGGCTCAGCTGATCCTCCCACCTCAGCCTCCTGAGTAGCTGGGACTACAGGCATGCATCACCACGCCCAACTAATTTTTTGGATTTTTTTTGTAGAGACAGACTTTGACCACGTTGCCCAGGCTGGTCTCGAACTCCTGGGCTCAAGCAATCTGCCTGCCTCTCCCTCCCAAAGTGCTGGGATTACAGGCAATGAGCCACCGTGCAGAGCCTGACATTTCTTAAAAGACAGACAAATGGCCAGTGGGTATACGAAAAAATGCTCGATATCACGAATCATCAGGGAAATGTAAATTTAAACCACAATGAGATATTACCTCATACATTTAGAATATTATAAAAAAGACAAATAAGTGTTGGCAAGGATGTGGAGAAAAGGGAACCCTTGTACACCACTGGAGGGAATATAAATTAGTATAGCCACTATGGTAAATAGTATGGAAGTTTCTCAAAAAACTTAAAATAGGCCAGACCCAGTGGCTCACACCTATAATCTTAACACTTTGGGAGGCCAAGGCAGGAGGATCACTTGAGGTCAGGAGTTCAAGACCAGCCTAGACAACACAACAAGACCTTGTATTTAAAAAAAAAAAAAAAAAAAGGCCGGGTGCAGTGGCTCGCGCCTGTAATCCCAGCACTTTGGGAGGCCGAGGTGGGCAGATCACGAGGTCAGGAGATCGAGACCATTCCATCTCTATTAAAACTACAAAAAATTAGCCGGGCGTGGTCGTGGGCACCTGTAGTCCCAGCTACCTGGGAGGCCGAGGCGGGAGAATAGCTTGAACCTGGGAGGTGGAGCTCGCAGTGAGCTGAGATTGCGCCACTGCACTCCAGCCTGGGCAACGGTGCAAGACTCCGCTTCAAAAAAAAAAAAAAAATTAAAAACCCTTAAATAGAACTACCATTAAATCAGGATGTTGAAGAGATATCTGTACTCCCATGTTTATTCATTGTAGTCAAGATATGGAACCAACCTAAGTATCCATCAGTAGATGAATGGATAAAGAAAAGATGCTATATACACATAATAGGACACTATTCAGTCCTAAAAAAGGAGGAAATCCTGTCATTGGTAACAACGTGGATGAATCTGGAGAACATTATGTTACGTGAAATAAGCCAGGCCCAGACAAATACCACGTGATCTCATATGTGGATTCTAAAAAGTTGAATGCATAGAAGCAGAGGATTGCTTGAGCCCAGGAGTTCAAGACCGGCCTGGGCAACATAGCAAGACTCTGCCTCAAGGGAAGAAAAGAAAACAGACATGTGGATAGATAGCTGTACTATGAAGGAAGTTCCATAAGAGGAGTCTTTTGAAGAACTTTAAAAATCAGGAGAGAAATATTAAGCTAAAGCTGAAACCGTTTTTCAGAATTGGAGACATCAAGTGAACAGAAGGTAAAGACAGGTGGGGTTTACATACAACCAAAAGGGAAGGGTGTCATTCCACACAGAAGGAAAGGCAGCAACAGAAGTGAGGAGGCAGAAACCTCTGGGTGTATATGGAACCAGAATGACTCAGTGCAGCTGGATCTAAGGACATTTGAAGGTGATGGTTTCCTGCTTCCCTGGCCCATGCCAATAACTAACTCCTCTCCTATCCCCTGGCCGAATTAGGGAGTTGGCATCTTTTCAATATCCTGGGCATAACCAGAGACACATGCTGGGCCCCACAGGAGGAACCAAGGCAGAGAGGCTCCTGGAGGTGATGGCAGAGCTGACCACTGAAACATCAGCTATTAGTATTTTCTCCCAGGTCTGAGACAATAGGGCCTGGGAGGCTGCACCTGCACGGGGAGGAGTGCTGGGCAGATACCCTTCCAGCTCCTAGTGCCCATCCCCCAAACTTTATCTCCTGGCCTTTTTTTTTTTTTTTTTTTTTGAGATGGAGTTTTGCTCTGTCGCCCAGGCTGGAAGGCAGTGGCGCGATCTCGGCTCACTGCAACCTCCATCTCCCGGGTTCAAGCGATTCTCCTGCCTCAGCCTCCCGAGTAGCTGGGACTACAGGCGCGTGCCATTATGCCTGGCTAATTTTTGTATTTTTAGTAGAGACGGTGTTTCACCGTGTTAGCCAGGATGGTCTCGATCTCCTGACCTTGTGATCCACCCACCTTGGCCTCCCAAAGTGCTGGGATTACAGGCGTGAGCCACTGCACCCAGGCCCCCATCTCCTGGCTTCTTTCTACAAAAAGAATAGGCTCTGGCCAGCCAATATGCCTTCTGCACTCAAGCAACTCCAGTGCTCAGCTAGTGGGCACCATCCAGCCAGAGCCCAGAGGTGACACCCCAAGCTGTCAGCTCTACGCTGGGAGGAGAAAACAGCTCTGGTTCACCCACAAGCCCCCACTGGGCTCTGCTCTTGTTTGTGATCACAAACAGGAGTCAGGCTTTTGGGATTCTGCTCCTGAGATTCATGCAGCCAAACCGCGTGACCCTAGGTGAAGCTGGCACCCCTCTGGGCCTCAGTTTCCTTCCTGTAAAATGGGGGTGAGCCCTCTGACTCTGACTCCTCTCCCCTGCAGGGCACAGGAGAGAAGAATATCCCATCTAGAAAAGGACTGCAGCTGAGGAGCCAGGTCCCTTGTGCGGGGTAAGGGTGGGGTAAGGAGCTCGGCAGGGCCTTCAGGGATAAGCTGCTGGCTTTGATGCTGCCTTGCTCCTTCAAGGCCTGTAGGCTTTCCAGGAAAGCAGTCAGGGAGGAGAAAGGAAGGGACAGCAAAGCCAAGAGTTTTAGCCTTCTTCTAGCCTGGGGGACAGGAAGTGAGGTGCTGTCTACAGAGGAAGTGAGAAGCAAACCCCCATCCCCACCCCCCAACTTCCCCTCAGCCTGGAATGGAAAGAAAGCCTCCAGCTTCAGGAGCCTGCAGGCTCAGAGCTGGGGAAATAGAAGACGATGTGATGCGGGTGGGGGAAGAGAAATGATCAGCACCATCTGGCAGAGAAGGGGGTCTCCTGTCTTGGACACAATAAAACTCAAGGGGCCCAGGACATCCCACAGACTGCGGGAGTGGGGAGAAGAGAAGCCACTCAAGCCAAGTTGAGAAAGCCAGCATTCTAGGCCACATGGTACCCACATCTGCAGTCCTGGCCTGACTCCTGCTCCCAGCATGTGTGCCATGTCATGTGCCTCGGCACGGGCCACCCCCAACACTAGGTGGGGCAGGTCCTTGGAGCACTTGCTCTTATAGCACATGTCCTTTCTTTGCAACCCTTATCACAGCTATAATTATAAAACTGTTTAATTACTTGATTAACGTGGACTTTTTTGATCACCACTGTATCCCTAGAGATTAGCACAGCATCCGGCACACAGTAAATTCTAAATAATCTGCTGGCTGAATGAACAGGCCGCTCATATAGCTTGAGAATTCCTCAGAGGCCGGTTTGACCTGAATCCTGGCATCTGAATGAAGTTTGGTATACAAAGGTGAACAAACACTGCTCATGACTTGGGGCCAACTGGGGAACCCTGGGATGAGTGGTCAAGGCCAGTGCTATGGTCTGAATGTTTGTATCCCCCCAAATCCACATGTTGAAATCCTAATACCCAAGGTAATGCTATTGTGGGGCGGCGGGGCGGTGGTGCTGTGGGAGGTAAATAGGTCATGGAGGTGGAGCCCTCATGAATGGGATTAGTGCTCTTATGAAAAGAGGCCTGGTGAGATTCCTCACCCCTTCCACCATGTGAGGACACAATAAGAAGCCTCTGTCCAGGAATCAGAAAGCTGGCCCTCACCAGACACCAAATCTGCCCTTGCCTTCACCTTGGACTTCCCAGCCTCTAGAGCTGTGAGAAATAAATTTCTGTTGTTTCTAAGCTGCCTAGTTTATGGTATGTTGTTATAGCAGTTCAAACAGACTAAGACAGCCAGAAACAGGAGAGCCGACATAGGCGGCAGGAGAAATCCAGGCACACCCAGGTACTGCTAATAGGTAAGGCAACAAATACAGTAGACATGCTACGCTGTATTTTGGGTAAGAATGAAAAAAAGAATATATATTTGTGTGTATTTGGTATTGTGTAAGGAAACTCAAGGGATATACAAGAAACTAATAAATGATTATGGGGGAGAACGCGATGGAGGTGGGAGTGAGATTTTTTTTTTTTTTTTTTGAGACAGGGTCTCACTGTTGCCTAGGCTGGAGTGCAGTGGCTCAATCTCTGCTCACTGCAACCTCTGCCTCCTGGGTTCAAGTGATCCTCCCACCTCAGGCTCCCCAGTAGCTGGGACTACAGGTTCACACCACCACACCCAGCTAATTTTTATATTTTTTGGTAGAGATGAGGTTTCACCGTCTTAGTCAGGCTGGTCTTGAACTCCTGACCTCAAGTGATCCGCCCACCTTGGCCTCCCACAGTGCTGGGCATGAGCCACCGTGCCCAGCAGAGATTTCAATTTTCAAACTATATTTATAAAACCTGATGAAAAAATAAAACTGCAAAAAATATTAGAAGGAATCCAACTACTCAACAAGTTGATTTCCAAAGCTCCTCCCAGCTGTGGCATCCAACCTCTTCCAGGCCCCTAGGACAAGGGAGCAGGTGAGGTGGCCGGTCAGATGAATGTGGGGGCTCCAATCCAGGGCTGCTGATGCCTTCACATCCTTTCTTCTCCAGCAATCTTGCCCTGGGTTAGCAGAGAGGCCCTCCTAACCCCAGGCTGTGGTGTGAGCATGGTAACACCACTATTCAGAAGTTGGTCAGGGGCACTTCCACCTGGGTAAAAGTTGGGTTTATTCTAGGTCCCTGGGAAGGGGGACAGTCTGGTCAGGGTCAGAGGCAGAGGGCAGGGGGAAGTTTGGGGCAAGTGGGGTAAATGACCCTGGAAGTGCCTGGTGCTGCTGTGGGCAGGTTCTGGGGGTGTCTGAACAGATCCTTGTACAGAAGGGCCGATTACAGCTCCCCCATCAAGCCAGCTGGGAGTGAGGTAAATCAGCCCCTGGGAACTGCAACTGCTGAGAACCCCAGAGCCACACTACGGGAGTTCCAGGGCCCCTCACAGCCCTGCCTAGAAAAACCTTGACCATTGGCCTACCCAGAGTGTCTAAGGGCAGGGGCAATTTCAGGCTGAACTACATGAGAGTGAGGAGACATGCAGACCACAGGTCCTAAGCAGCACCTGTCACTCAAGCCCTGCAGGCAACAGCAGGAGCAGCAGAATGGGGTCTTCTCTCCTTTAAGACATCTATACATTAAAAAAAAAAAGCATAGTGGATATTGGAGAATTCCCAGAGTTCAAGGACCAGCATAAGGTTCACAGTGCTGTGCCTGACTGGGCTCTTCTCAGCAGCTGCTGGTGCTGGGTTTTAGAAATCAGTAATAACAGCAACAATAATTCACCTTAATAACAGCCTGGCCTCTTTCATCTGCCTAACTCCCAGAGCTGGGAAAATGGTAATGATTGAGCAGATGCCACACCCCAGTGGTGATGCATGATTAATCCAGGAACACTGGCTGGGAAACTGAGGCCCAAGGAGAAGGATTTCCCCTCACAGAGAACTACAGACACAGGCGCCGAGGGCTGCTGGGCGGTGGGGGGTGAGGGTGCCAGTTCCATATCTGCAGTGTTTTGGGAAGGTGCTGAAGACAGGGGTACTCGTTCCAGAGTCCTCCAGACTTGGGTTTGGGGAGAAGGTGAAGAAAGACCCAGATATGTGTCCCAAGCTCCCTCCTAGGCTGCAGCAGGGCCTGGTGAGTAGCCTTAGCTGGGAGTCAAGGCCTCTGTTCTTAAGCCCATGCCCCACCCTCCCAGAGTGTCACAAAGCAGGCTGACAGCTGCCTCAGGCACCTCCACATCTATACAGTGTGCCCAGGCACCACAGGGTAAGTGAGTGCTCAGCCCTCCGAACAGCCCCACGCCACAGGCACAGTCCATGAAGTGGGAGTGGGGAGCACCTTACAGCCAGGTAGGCAGATCAGATCAAGAAGAGTCAAGAAATGGGGAAGACTGCTTCTTGGGGACCCCAGCCCATCTCTGAAGCCCCCTTGCATCCTTGGTATTGATCCTAAAATAAAGAGATCCTTCCTACAGCAAGGCCTGTCTGGCCAGTGCCGTAGAAACCTGCAGAGGAGGTCCAGTTGGCGTCTGCCCTCCAAGAGGGCAGAGGACGGTGGGCAAAGCATCCTAAGAGACCAACGACCTTTTCCCACTGTGTCCCCGGAGGGAACCAGTAGAGACTCAAACTAGGAGAGAAGGATAAACAAAGATGGAGGCATTGCATATGCAGGTCCATCCACGGCCTGCTGCGTGCCTGGTACTGTGACAGATGCCGGGACAGACAAAATCTAAGCTCCTGAGAAACCACAAGGGCCAAGACAGGCAGCAACCAATGACCTTAGCCTCCAACCCTCCAGGTCAGTGTCTGGGGGAAAATATTATGGGTCTTGTTCTCAGGGATTTGAAGCTGCTTTTCCTCGGTATGTTACAAAGCTGACCAGAGCCCCTGGAGGGTCCTGCGATAACACTCTGACTCTCCAAGGGCCCAGCTTTCTGCTATCTCAGGTTCAAGAACTGGCCCTCTCTGCCTTAAATCCAGCCAGGCTACCTCATGCATAAAACATTAACGCAGAATGGGACCATGTAAAACTACACAGCAGAATCAGGAGTCCTGCCTCTGACACTCACCACCGCATGAATCACTTCCCCCTCTGGACTTCAGTTTCCCCATTTTTAACATGAGGGCGTTGGACTAGACTGTCTCTAGGATTCCTTCCAGCCTATGCTCTGTGTTGTTTTGATGTAGTGGCAGATCCCAGATTGATTTACATAAATTTGCATGTTCAATCAGAAATCCCAAACTCCAAGTATAGAAAATCCAATCAGTCCATTAATGCAGCCAGACTGGGGCTCGGGGAACCTGCCAGGTTCGGGTGAGGGTTGTCGAAGGAGACAGTGAGAGCGGTGGTGAACTGGGGGAGGGGGCTGAGAAGCAGGGGCTAGAAAGGGCACTTGTTTTGAGAGATGCAGCTCTGGTGACTCAGGCATGATGGGGTCAGGGACCCCACTTCGGCTGTCAGGCAAGGGCCCTTTCTCTTCCTCCTTCTAACGGGGCCTCTGGCTGGCCAGCCTCAGAGCCACACCCCAAGAGGGAACAGCAGCTTCTGCCTAGTAACAGCTGCATCCTTCAGTCTGACAGTGACTCCAGCATTAGCCACTTTCTGGGAAACTGACCTCCCTGGGAGCTTCCATTATCCATTCCAACGGCTCACAGCGGTAAGGAAGGCTTCCTTGGGATTTAACCTAAACACCTCCTGCTGCAGCTTCACCTTCATAGGCAGCAGGGCCCAGGGCAGAGGGCTTCCCAGGCCCAGGAGAGCCAGCAGAGGGAAAAGTAACCCAGGGAGAATGTGCCCCTACATGAGCAAACCCAGGGCTTCCTTAACCACCACCTCTCCTTCAACATTCCCCTTCACCTGGGAGACCGAGGATGAAAACAAACAAGAAGAACTTCAAGACCTCTGGCTCTTGGGCTGGAAAGCAAGTCCCAACCTGGAGAGCCCAACTCCTGAGAAGTCCTACCCTGGGGAGGGAAGGGGCTGGGAAAGGTGGGGTGGGGGCAGCTTCTCCTCACTGCTGCCACTGGCTGGTATAGCAGGGCCTGGGAGGCTGGCTGGGCTGGATGAGGGCGGTGGGGAAGAATCCTTAGCCCCTTGCCTGGGACCTGGGGGTGTGAGTACAGCAGTGAGGTGGGCAGGGCTGGGGGTGGGATGGGCAAAAGCAGTGGGGCCCTCCTTGCCCTCCTCCTATAAGAGGGCGGGTGGGTGAGTATGTTGTGCTCCCTGGCCCAGATCCTAAAACAAGTCCCAACAGCTGAGACGTAAACTGTCTCCTGGGAATCTGCTTACCCTGCTGGCCCTTGGCTGCCTCCTCCTCTCTCAGCTCCTCTTCAAAGGGCCAGGATGTCTCACCACAGGCGTGATGGGTGGGCCAAACCCAAGCCAGCAGGAGCAGGAGTTCATATCCCAAGGCACCAGGGGTGTGTGGGACAAGGTCTACTCTCAGGCTTAGAATAAGGGAATCTGTTCTCTCTACCCAGGGTTCTAATCCTAACTAATTGCAATTTAAAGCACACCCAACACTTTAGCTCCCTCTAAATGGAACCATTCTGCCAGAGGACCTTTCTCCCCTATAGATTCACCCATCAGTGGAACCATTCAATGTCAAAAAGTGGAAGGGAATATTAGAGCTATCTAGTCCAACTACTGACATTTAAAGATGGGGAAACTGAGCCCCAGAGAGCAAACTGTCTTGGCCAAGGTCATACAGCAAGCTAGGAAAAGTAGGGACCAGAGCTTCTGACTCTGTCTTTATTGATACCCGCTTGCTCCCCAAACACTTAGGTCTTCACCGGCCTATCATGAAGATCCTTCTTCCCTGCCAACCACAGCACCTGCCCCTCCAGGTCCTCACTCTCTTCGTGAGGGCCAGAGCTGGAGAAAGATGCTGGAGGGACAAAGCCACCTCATGCACAGACCATAGACTTTGAAAACAAGCTTGAACATGGGAATATCTCCCCGGAAAGGAATACACACGGTTTCTTTGGGATAGGAAACCCACTAATCCCAGGTTGTTTTTAGGAAGATGGGGGGACCAATTTGAGAAGTGAATTTTCCTATCACACAAGGAGTCTCAGAGAGCCAGATGGCGTAATGTCTGCAAGGGAGGGTCTGCAACAAGGCAAATGGGCTATGTTCATTTTCCCCGAAAGTACTGACCACAAAACGGTAAGGCATTGACACTCTTTCTACTGCTCCCCAGGCCACCCCTGCCCGGGCCACTTCCTCTGGCTGACCATTGTGCTTAAGAAGGAGGACCCATGACAGACGCGGAGAAGTGGGAGGGAGGGATTGCCTCTACAGCCAGAGAACTCCTTAGCCCAAGACCCCCAGCTCCTCAGCAAGGCAGGCCTTTAAGAAGTAGCAGCTGGACAGACTAAGTGGACTCAGCTGATCCAGCCCTGGGATGCCTGGAAAACCAGGCCTGTGGGAGGTGAGGGCCCTCTGTGCCCTTGGGGCCGTGCCAGGACTGGAGATAACGCGGGACCTTGGGCCCAGGACAGGGAGAGGGGAGCTAGGATCCGGGCAGCCGCTTTCTTAGTTGGGCTAAGCCAGGGAAGCGTCGGGCACAGATGAATTCTCTGCATTCTTCTGGCACCGCAGCCAGCACCCAGAGGGCCTTTTCTGCAGACGCTGCCCTGTCCCTGCTCCCTGCCCAACCAACCCTTCTCCCTCCCTTAGCTTCTCTTCAGCGTGCAGCCCACCAGGTCCTTCCTCCTTCCCGCAGCCCCTCAAAGCCTTTGAAGGGGCTGTTCTCTAGGAGACCCGGTCTTTCCGCCTCTCCCCGCCTTCCCCAGGCCCTACCGCCCCAGGCCACGGGGAATGGGAAGGAGTGCGAAAGGGAGCCCCAGGCTCGTCTCCGCGCCTGCGCTTTGGGGAGAGAGCCCCTCCCCCCGCAATAACCCGGCACCGCTAAGCGGCACCCGGACGGTGGGATGCGGGTTGGGTGGGGTGAGCAGCTGGGGCAAGGTCAGTGCTTTCAAAGAGGGAGGGGAGCCCGGCCCCCGGAACATCCCCCACTCCCGAAAGTTTCCCTTCCGGGGCCACGGAGTGTGCGCGAGGATGGCGCGGGGGGCGGGAGGGGGTGGGGTGGGGGTGCACAGAGTCGCAGCCGGACCCCCGAGGAGGGTGCGGCTGGAGGGAGGGACGGAGGGGCGGGCAGCAGGGTTTGGGCAGGAAGCCGCGACGCCCTCTCCGACTCTGTACTGCCACGAGAGCCTTACCCTCCACACCCCACTCCCCCCGGCCCGGAGCTACAGATCGCCCCCCCGCACTCGCCGCCCTTTCAATCCCAAGTAGACCCAGAACTCACCGAAATCAGGTGTTGAGCTGGGCCAGGGCAGGCCGGATCCGCCAGGTCCATGGCCGCGGCTTGGGGGCGGGGGGCAGAGAAAGGGGGGTGCCGGAGCCGCCTCCTGATGTCAAGGCTTTAAAGGGGCCGGGGAGCCCCGCCCCTGGCCCTGACCCCGCCTCCCTCCTCCCTAGCAGCCAATCCACGTTCAGCCTGGATGCGCGCCCCTCCCAGCCCCCTCCAGATGTTCCCAGGACGCGAGCTAAGTCTGCCCGGCCGGCGCGCGCCGCTTCCGCTTTGGTGGGAAGGACCTCCCTTCCCCCTTATAGAAACACTTTCTCCAGGCCGGGCCGGGCTTGGTAAACCTCAGCCGTGCCTGGGTAGAGGACGCCGGGCTGGGCCGAGCGGGGGTGGAATGAGGGCGTCTAGAACAGAGAAAACTAAGTAGGTGCGCGCGGGCCCACAGGCATGCGCGTTTGCTTCTGTGGGGCTGGGCGTGCACGTGTATGTGTGGTTGTGAGCGTCGGTGTTTGTAATTTGCTTTTCTGCATACGTGTTGGGTGTAAATCCATGGGGGAAAGGCTTGAGTGCCTCTTTGGCCTTAAATGCTCCCGCCTCTCTCTTCCTTCTCCAGGATGGGGTCGTCCCCCCAGTAATCTGGAAAACAGTTACAGCAACAGGCTCCTCTCATCAGACGGCAGTGCTGGTCGTTTCCTCACTGGTTTGCGGGGAAGGCTGGGCAGAAAAAGGATGCAACCTTGTTCTCAACCACTTGCTATCTCGGTGAGGATGAGGAAAAGCAAACAGCCCATCCAGGCCCCTGCAGAGCCTCAGAGCTTCAATATCATTCCCATTAGTCCTTAATTAAACACCTATTTGCCCTTGCCTAAATACCGTATAACCCTCACAGCCTGCATTGTAGTGACTGCCCCAGAAATGTAGGTTCTCACCTGGGTTCTGCAGGGAAATACGAAGGAATCCCTAGGTACAGTCTCCGCCTACTTCATTAAAATTTCTTTTGTTGCGAGTATACAAAGGATGCAGCTTAGAGTATCATATTAGTCCAATAAAGGAACATAAAAAGTAAGGCAAGTTAGGGTGCTCAGATTGGCTAGGATTAAGAGTTCTTTTCTGAAGGAGGTTTATTTAAATACGGAATTTGAAGGGCAGAGAGAGCTTGAGTAGGGTCCAGGCAGGGTAAAGGCCACAAGGAGATTCAGATAGGAAAGAGCAAATTATCTGCGTGGGACCGTGAGCAGATCACCGTGGTACGTTGGGAAGTGGGAGAAATTAATGGAGGAGGTTTCTTATGGAGGAGAGCAGAATAAGGATATGGATGTGACAAGACATAAGATAAAGAAGTCATTTTGGGTTCTTGAGCATAGAGGTAGTTTGATGAAAAGAGTGCCCAAGGACAGCTATTACTGGAACCTAAAAGATGTCTTGATGGGTACCCCCACCAGCTTTCTCATTTTTTTGCTTAAAAAATATTTTATTCTTTTCTTTTCTCTGAGATGGAGTCTCACTCTGTCCCAGGTTGGACGGAGTGCAGTGGCACAATCTCTGCTCACTGCAACCTCCACCTCCTGATTTCAGGTGATTCTCCTGCCTCAGCCTCCCAAGTAGCTGGTATTATAAGAGTGCACCACCACACCTGGCTAATTTTTGTATTTTTAGTAGAGACGGAGGCTTCACCATGTTGGCCAGGCTGGTCTCGAACTCCTGACCTCAGGTGATTTGCCCACCTCGGCCTCCCAAAGTGCTAGGATTATAGATGTGAGCCACCATGCCCGGCCCTTAAATTATTCTTAACGTGCAATAAAATGCACACATCTTAGGTGCTTTGTTTGGTGAATTTCAAAATATACACCTATGTAATTAACACCCAAAACAAGATACTGAACCACCACCCTATAAAGTTCCCTCATGCCCCTTTATAGTTGATCACCCCACACCCACCACCACCCTCCCCTGGCAACTTCCTGAATTATAGCACCATAGATTTGTCTGCATTTGTATTTCACATATATGGAGCTTTACAGTATGTACTTGTGTCTGTATCCTTTAGCTTAGTAATGTTTTTGAGATCCATCCATGTGTATCAGTAATCTGTTCTTTTTTATTGCTGAGTATTATTCCATTGCATGAATATATCACAATGTGTTTATCCATTCTTCAATTGATGGATATTTGGGTATTTCCAGTTGGGGTTATGATGAATATGGCTGCTATTAACATTCTGGTGCAAATATTTTCATAGACATGTTTTCATTTCTCCTTTTCACCTTATTTCTTGATGATAGTGGCATCTTCGGAAGCCTACAGCATTGTGAATTCTTATTCAATCATCTAACATTGAATAGGGATCAGTGGGCTAGTTCTGGGATTACAACAAAAAGTAGACATGGTCCTTTCCTCAAAGGGCTTGAAAGTCCAATAAAACTCCATGTACCTGTTGTATTCCTAATATTGCCTTGTATTCCTAATTCTGCCTTGAGGTAGAAAACCTTAAAAGTCTGCCAGGCATTTCTAACTACTTTTGGATGTTTCCAAATAACTGAATTATTGGAAGTAAACAGAACATCAAGATGATAATTTACTTTCCTTTTTTTTTTTTTTTTTTTTGAGACAGAGTCTTGCTCTGTCACCCAGACTGGAGTGTAGCAGCACAATCTCGGCTCACTGCAAGGTCTGCCTTCCAAGAGGCAATTCTCTTGCCTCTTGCAATTCTCAAGCAATTCTCCTGCCTCACCCTCCCAAGTAGCTGAGATTACAGGCGTGCGCCACCACACCCAGCTAATTTTTGTATTTTTAGTAGAAATGAGGTTTCACCAAGTTGTCCAGGCTGGTCTTGAACTCCTGACCTCAAGTGATCTGCCCACTTCAGCCTCCCAAAGTGCTGGGATTACAGGTGTGAGCCTCTGTGCCCAGCCAATATTTTACTTTTCATTTAGATGTTTACTCTTGTTTAATAAACAGCCAGAACATCTGTATTTGTCAGAGCAAGTACCTGGCTCTCTCCTTCCTTAAAGGCTATTGTGCACTTGATAATTTCAGCATTCAGATTTTGGCAGATTCTCTATGCTTCACAAACCTTCATCCTCACTGACAGGGGTTGAAAGAAGTGTAGCTACTATTGCTTCAAGATCCCTTTCAGTCTTTTGATAAGGCTTAAGGCACTTTCATTCCTTAGTGCTATTATTTGCATAAATTAAAAATTACACAGAAGTCCCAAAGTTTGTTCTTCACTCTTATGATATACCACTAATCATATATTGTTATTTACTTGAGTCGTCTGTGTAACAAAACAGGCTAGGCCTCTTAGGTCTCTGTTAGCTGCAAGCTGTTACTACTGGTTTAGTAACAAACCAGTTTGGTGGTATTGTCTAACTATGCATGTAGTGCTGGTGCCTGATAGATGGATTCTCAGAGAGAATCACCTCGTCACTGCTAACATCAGTACTTTGAATGGGGTTCCCTGCTTTAATACTGTGTGGTCATTCATTTAATGTTGGAGCATCTTCAATTCTCAGAGGTTGAAACTATAGCCATTTAGCCATTGGTTGATAAGCTGACTCTAGTTTAGAACTCCTGGCAACAGGAGATAGTCAGGTTGGTAACTAGCCTCTCAAAACATTTTTTCTTTTTTTTTTTCCAGATAGGGTCTTGCTGTGTCACCCAGATTGGAGTGCAGTGGTGTGATCACAGCTCACTGCAGCCTTGACCTCTAGGCTCAAGTGAGCCCCTACCAAGCAGCTGGGACTACAAGTGCGCACCACCATACCCAGCTAATTTTTTCATTTTTTGTAGAGACAGGGTCTCACTGTATTGCTCAGGCTGGTCTTGAACTCCTGAGATCAAGCGATCCTCCCACTGTGGCCTCCCAAAGTGCTGGGATTATAGATGTGAGCTACCATGCCTGGCCTCAAAACATTTTTGTAATCTGGCTGTTTTCCAGTTGGATGGACTCTGAGTGCAATCTCAATGTCTTTCCTGATCAGTAAGAGGAAGAAAGGAGCTGTTGTATAATCTTTGGTCCACTTGCTATATAGGAATAGATCTTTACTGCTACATATACATAATTCTGTACGGAACAGTCATGTTCCTTGGATTCTGACAGCATCGCCAATATGTGCTTTGAAACCTCCTACCTGGCACAGATATGATGAATCTACTCATATCCTTGAACCTCTTTTTCATCACTTTTCATCATTCAAACATTTTTATTGAATCTATATGCTAAGCTCTGTATATAAAGTATTAGATAACTTGTACAGAGTTCATGTGGGGTATGATAAACAATGAGACTGGAAAGGTAAGCAGTGGGTAGATCATCCTTTATCCTAAGAGCAGTGTAGCCTTTGAATGGTTTTAAGCAGGAGAGTAGCATAATCAGATTTGCATTTTAGATCCATGTGGTTGCAGTGAGGAGGATAGAGAGAGCAAGACTGAAGTCAGGGGGGCCAGGCAAGGTTTTTGTAGTACCTGAGGAGAAAAACGAGAAATGATGTGGTCTGGACTAGGAAAGTGATAGTGGTGATGGAGAGGACGTAGAAATGCCCAGGGGGCATCCAAGTAGAAACATCTCTCCAACTCGTCAGAACTTCCCAACTGTGTGCCTCAGGAAGAGTTTACGGTGGTGCTGCATAATGGGCTTCACAATTCTCAGGGCAGCACAAGCTTCCTGAGTCAGAGAGCAATCTTGGTTATGCCAGATTGCATCATCCAGCATATAAAACACCATCATTTACTATGTGTGTACTGACATGGAAAAGGTTGGGAAGCACTGATGTAGGCTGTGGGATAAATAATTCTGAAGCTCAGGAGAGGAATCAGGATGATAGATAAGAGATTTGTGAGTCCTCAGAACGTTGGTGGTTACTGAAGTCATGGAGTTGAGGAGATCATGCAAGGAGAGAAAAGAAAGGCAGGAACAGAACCCCAAGGAACATCAACATTAGAGGGGGGTCTCCAGAGAGGGAGAAAGAAAACTGAATGAATGCTGTCACCAGAACCCAAGAAAGGGATTTCCAAAAAAAAAGACCAAATACAGTCGGTCCTTCTTATTGGTGGCTTCCACATCCATGCACTCAATCAATCTCAGATCAGAAAAAATAAAAGAATAAAAACTACATCTCTCTGAAGACTAGATCAGAAAAAAAAATAACTACAGCAATAAAAATACAAAATTTTAAAAATTTAGTGTTAACTATTTACATAGTATTTACATGATATTACATATTATAAGTAATCTAGAGATGATTTAAAGTATATAGGAGAATACCCCTAGGTCATTTGCAAATACTATACTATTTTATGTAAGGGACTTAAGCATCCTTTGATTTTTGTATCCTTGTGGGTCCTGGAACCAATTCCCCATGAATAGGAAGGGATGATTTTTTGGCCCCGATGTTGCTGAGTCAAGTTGGATCAGGACAGAGACATCCCCACTGACTCTGGCCACATGTCATTGGAGACTTTGATAAAACCAGACTTTATTTGTTTATTTAAAATAGAGATGGGGTCTCACTCCATTGCCCAGGCTGTTCTCGAACTCCTGGGCTCAAGCAGTCCTCCCCTCTTGGCCTTCCAAAGTGTTAGGATTACAGGCGTGAGCCACCACGCCTGACCTGGCAAAACCAGATTCTGAAGGATTGAGAAAAATTTACAAAGTAAGGAATGGAGACAGGAGATGTTTAAAACTTTTTGGCTGGGCGCGGTGTCCCATGCCTGTAATTCCAGCACTTTGGGAGGACGAGGTGGGTGGATCACCTGAGGTCAGGAATTCAAGACCGGCCTGGCCTACATGTGAAACCCCGTCTCTACTAAAAATACAAAAATTAGCTGTGTGCGGTGGCATGTGCCTGTAATCCCAGCTACTCAGGAGGCTGAGGCAGGAGAATCGCTTGAGCCTGGGAGGTGGAGGTTGCAGTGAGCCAATTGCGCCATTGCACTCCAGCCTGGGTGATAGAGTGAGACTCTGTCTCAAAAACAAAACAAAAACACAAACAACAACAAAAAAACTTTTCTAAGATTTTGGCTATGCTGTGAGGGAAAAATTAGGCAGATAGATGGGTGGTACAGTAAGAGTTATTTTAGAAAACACTGGCTAATTTTAAAAATTATTCATTTAAGATTAGTTTTTATAAAATGTAATATGTCCATATGGTTTAATAATCAAATAATGCAGAAGCAATTATTTGCTGCATTCCTTACCTCCAGCAATGAGCCATTTTAACTTTTTGGCTGATTCTTCTATATGGCTAAATATGCTTATACTGCCATTCCTTTTTTTTTTTTTTTTTTTTTTTTAAGATAGAGTCTCACTCTGCTGTCCAGGCTGGAGTGCAATGGCACAATCTCGGCTCACTGCAACCTCTGCTTTCCAGGCTCAAGCAATCCTCCCACTTCGGCCTCCCGAGTAGCTAGGACTATAGGCACACGCCACCATGTTCCGCTAATTTTAAAATTTTTTTTGTAGAGATGAAGTCTTATTGTCTTACCCAGGCTGGTCTGTAACTCCTGGGCTCAAGTGATTCTCCTGCCTTGGCCTCTCAGTGTTGAGATTACAGACATGAGCCACTGCACCCGACCTGAGGACCTCATTTTTATGGGCACTAATTGCACATCCTTTTTGTTTTTGTTTTTGTTTTTTTTTTTTTGAGACGGAGTCTCGCCCTGTCGCCCAGGCTGGAATGCAGTCGTGTGATCTCAGCTCACTGCAACCTCCACCTCCCGGGTTCAAGCGATTCTCCTGCCCCAGCCTCCCAAGTAGCTGGGATTACAGGCGCGTGCCACTACGCCCAGCTAATTTTTGTATTTTTAGTAGAGACGGGGTTTCACTATGTTGGTCAGGCTGGTCTCGAACTCTTGACCTCGTGATCCACCCGCCTCGGCCTCCCAAAGTGCTGGGATTACAGGCGTGAGCCACCACGCCCAGCCAATCCTTTCTGCCTTTTTTTTTTTTTTTTTTTTTTTGAGACGGAGTCTCGCTCATGTCGCCCAGGCTGGAATGCAGTGGTGCGATCTCAGCTCACTGCAATCTCCACCTCCCGGGTTCAAGCGGTTCTCCTGCCCCAGCCGCCCAAGTAGCTGGGATTACAGGTGCGTGCCTGCACATCCTTTTTGAAACTAACTGCCACAGACATGAAATACAGTGGTTCCTCCCAACAGGTCAGGTAACTGCTCAGCCAATCTGTTACTAGGGAACAGGTCAGGTTCAGATGCTGAAGCATCTCCAAAAGCTTTTCGTTATTGAGGATTTCTTTTTTTAAGACAGTATCGCTCTATTACCCAGGCTGGAGTGCAGTGGCATGATCTTGGCTCACTGCAACCTCAGCCTCCTGGGCTCAAGTGATCCTGCACCTCAGCCTCCCAAGTTGCTGGACTACAGGTGCGTGCCACCACTCCCAGCTAATTTTTTTTTTGTGTGTGTATTTTTTGCAGATTTGGGGTTTTGCCATGTTGCCCAGGCTGGTCTCAAACTGCTGAGCTCAAGTGACCCACCTGCCTAAGCCTCCCAGTGTTGGGATTACAGGCGTGAGCCACTGCACCTGGCAATTTCTTAATTAGCCATGTTGGACAAAGCCCTTGTGTATCCTTCTGCTCACTGAGGTTATTTTCTGTTAACAAGGAGTTATCTGGGAAAGGTGCCACTTGGCTTTTGTAAGCCAGTCTCACTGTAGTCAGAGCCCATGTATTAGTTTTATAGTGCTGCTGTAAGAAATCACCACAAACCTTAGTGGTTTAAAATACTGATTTATTCTCTTACAGCTCTGGAGATTAAATCTGAAATCAAGGTGTTGGCAGGGCTGTTCCTTCTGGAGGCTTCAGGGGAGAATACATTTTCTTGCTTTTTCTAACTTCTAGAAGCCACCTGCATTCCTTGACTTGCAGCCCTTCTTCATATCACTCCAACCTCTTGCTTTTGTCATTACATCTCCTACTGTGGTCAGCTCTCCCTCTGCCTCCCTATTATAAGAACACTGATGATTGCACTTAGGGTATATTCTGATCATCCAGATTAATCTCCCTATCTGAAGATCCTCAATCTCATTTGCAAAGCCCCTTTTGCTAAAGGAGGTGGACATCTTGGGGGACCATTATTCATCCTACCACAGCCCCATGTATGTTTCTGTGCGCTGCCTTGGTGGAGTGAGAGGAGAGAGCACCCAGCAGGGTTACAGGGTTTCAAAGTGTTCCTAAATTAAGATCTTGTGGGTAAACTCAGCTCTGTATCTACTGTGATAACTGAGACCATCATAAACTAGCCTCATTTCCATTAGTTCCATATCCCTCCCTCCCAACACTGCTTCCTTTAAAATGCTCTGTAGCACTGAAGCTGGACTCCTTATTACTTCATCATCCTGAAAAACAAGTTATCAGAGATAGTAAGATGCATGTTTTCTACAAGGTGAGATGTTTTTCTCATAAGCCTCCAGTCTAACAAGTGCAGTTGTGGTCTGCGGCATGCTCACACAGTGTAATAGCACCTTATTTTTCTTTATCACTCTATATTCTGCAAAATACCTTCACATCCTTAGCTCATTTGGGCATAGGAAAAGGAAAGTGGTGTTATTTCGTTGTACAGATGAGTAAACTGTGGCTGTAAGGCAGACAATGGATGGAAGGTAGATGACTTTAATATAGGAACCTCCCACCAGGCACCGGACACATGTATGGAATGAAACTTACATGTAATTGATAGAATTTGCTGCTGGACTTTGAGAGCATTTCAATGTGGGGGAGTGTAAGTGAGAAAATCAACTGAGGTTTCTAGCATAAGCAATGATTACTATCAAATGAGATAGGACTAGGTTTTGAATGAGGGTAGTGAGCTTGCTTTTGAGATCTGTTGATTCTGATGTACCTAAGAACTAAGGGATATAATGACAAAACAGGAAAAATGCTAGTCTGGAACTGTGGATGTCGGGCTACCAATATATTTGGGGACCATAAGCATGTAGGTAGTTGTTTTTTTTTTTGTTTTTTTTTTTTTTTTTTTTGAGACGGAGTCTCGCTCTGTCGCCCAGGCTGGAGTGCAGTGGCGGGATCTCGGCTCACTGCAAGCTCCGCCTCCCGGGTTCACGCCATTCTCCTGCCTCAGCCTCCCAAGTAGCTGGGACTACAGGCGCCCGCCACTACGCCCGGCTAATTTTTTGTATTTTTAGTAGAGACGGGGTTTCACCGTTTTAGCCGGGATGGTCTCGATCTCCTGACCTCGTGATCCACCCGCCTCGGCCTCCCAAAGTGCTGCGATTACAGGCGTGAGCCACCGCGCCCGGCCGCATGTAGGTAGTTGTTAAAACCATAGGGAAGAACTCACCCCAGGAAAAATACATAGAGAAGGACTGAATGGAACCGTAAGCACTCAAAGTATGGTCTACCTCTGCTTGCCTCAGAATCATCTGGGGGAGCTGTTAAAAATAGATGCCTCATTGTGAAATGTACTTAATATCACAAAATTGTATACTTTTAAAAAAATTATCAATTTATCTTTTAATTTTTTAATCCAATTTTTGATGGGATTTCCACGTTCTGAAAAACTGTACTTAAAAACGGTTAAAATGGTAAATTTTATGTATATATTACAATAGAAGAATGCAAAAACAAACAAACAAAAAAACAGAAAATAGATTCCTAAGCCCCATTCCAGACCTGAATTACTAAGGTTTTGCCCAAAGGCAGGCCTAGCAAGTCCAGAAGCCTGAAGAAACCAGGTAGGATTCAGAGAGCCCAGGAACTGACATATTTTAAGACTAGCCTAGTCTGATCTTTATAAATAATCCCCAAAAGCAGCCCTCTCCATAACCCATAACCAGGACCACTTTTCCTAGGCCATCTCAATCCAGATATCCTAGCTCATCACTCCACAGATTCATTCTCCTCAAGATTTGTTCCAAACAATGGGGAACAGATACTGATTCTTTCAATTATGTGCCTTGGACATTTTACCAAAAGCTCCTGCCAGGTTTTGCGGCTGCCTGATTGTTAAGGAATTAAGGAGAATGAACATAATTCTCAATATAAAACCCTTTCAATATCTTTCTTGGTCTTCTTGCCCTCCCATCTCACTGCTTCTGGAAACTTAATCTGTTCTTTTCTTTCCCTTTTTCTATCAGTGATTCAGGGATTGGATGAGTCTCTATGGTTTGTTTTGCCCTGAAGAGCAGAAGGCTTCTGTCCCAACTGGTGTTGCCAAAGCAACATATTAATTCCATGCCATGATCCTGGGTCAAGATCTGCACAATCTGATTGGGCATGTCACCTCGGATGGCAAGGGAGTGGAAGTGGTCAAAATCATGGAGTCCCAGCTTTCGGAGACGCCTTGCAGCTGCCCGGTAACACTTCCAGGGTTGGGGCTCCACAAGGAGGTAGTGGCAGAGGGAGGAAAGATGGGCCAGGAACTCCCATAGGCCATGGTCTCCATGATTCAGATGAATCCACATGGTTATTGACATGCAGAAGCCAATGTCAAAAACTGAACGTCCAAATTGGCTTAAGAAAGAGCTCAAGAGAACCTTCCGGGTCCTTTGATTCATGAAGTCCAGGGTGATAAAAGTCAAGGCATCAGGAAAAGGACATTCTTTTTCGGCTCGCTTCACCAGGACTGGATCTATGTCGCAGCAGAGGAGACGGAATTCTCTTGAGGCATCTGAGCAGGTTTCCCCGTCAGGTAGGGAGAGGAAGTGTTTGTATAGAGCCACACTCAGATCCTAGAGGAATCCAAAACAGCTTTGTCACTGCAGTTCTCAATCAGTGAATGGAAGAGAAATCTGTATCATTCTCCCACTGAGAATGCCACTTACCTCTGGCTGTATAGGATGTGAGGTTCCTAAACCATAACCTAAAGAGGTTGTGCAAAAATTTTCTACAGAGTAGGCTCTCAGTGCCCTCCAGGGGTCACATGCTGTAATGCATCATCCCCATATTTTCCTGACACTGATGATAGATTGGGTTGTATAGCTGAAAGTTACAGCCAAATGGATGCAGCAAAGGAACCTACAGCAGTATTTCCCAGCTTAAGTAATATGCTGATAAACTCACTCTTTTTCTGGGTATCTCAAGACCCCAGGGCGGAAGAAAGGGGTCCAGAGGCATAACCAGTGTCTCTTACCAGGAAAGTGAGGAATACAGCAAGCACAATCTTACAAAAACCTGCTTCTCAGACCCGCGGTGGGGGAAGTCTGGATTCCAAAGTCCTCATTCAGCCTTCACTAAAGCTTCAATTTTACTGTCTTAGGATTCACCACCTCCTTCTGAGACATTCTGCTTCTATAACCATCATTGCTAAAAGTCACTGCTAACAACCTTCTAGACAAGTCCAATGATTTGTGATTTTTACCACATTAGCACCTTTTTTACTCTTAAGTCACCATCTCCTTTCTCTAACTTTGAATTCTTTTTTTTTTTGAGACAAAGTCTGGTTCTGTCGGCCAGGCTGGAGTGCAATGGCGTGATCTCAGCAACCTCTGCCTCCCAGGTTCAAGCGATTCTCCTGCCTCAGCCTCCTAAGTAGCTGGGATTACAGGCATGCATCACCACACTCAGCTAATTTTTGTATTTTTATTAGAGACAGGGTTTCACCATGTTGGCCAGGCTGGTCTTTAACTGACCTCAAGTGATCCACCTGCCTCGGCCTCCCAAAGTGCTGGGACTATAGGAATGAGCCACTGCACCTGGCCTCTTTGATTTCTATAACCATTATAACTAACTCAAATTTGTGTTTTTCCACATAGTATTTTCAAGGCATTTTTCTGTTTACTACTTTGTTTGCTTGGTGTAACAAGCATGTGAGGAAAATATTTATTTATGCCTTTTCTGCAGGTGAAGAAAATGCACAATGGAAACCACCCAGATGTCCAGTGATAGTGGCATGGACAAATAAATGTGGTATAATCATGAAGATAGAATACTAAATAGCAGTTAAAAAATGAAGGCACCCAGCTTGGTGCACAACATGGATGATTCTCACAAATACATAATGTTGAGAAAAAAAGCAAGCCATAACAGAAAATATATGAAAAGCATCCATTTACATGAAGCTCAAAAATGGGTGAAATTAAAGTACATCATTCAGGGAAGAAAAACAGTACACTATAAAGAAAAGCAAGGAAACAACAGAAGGCTAGTTGTTACCTCTGGGTAGAGATAGAGGTTTATGAACAGGAAAAGGCATATAGGGGAAGTTGTGGGGTGCTGAAAATGTTTATTATTTATTTATTTATTTATTTTTGAGACAGGATCTTACTCTGTTTCCCAGGCTGGAGTACAGTGGTGTGATCACTGCAACCTTGACTTCCCAGGCTCCAGAGATCCTCCTACTTCAGCCTTATGAGTAGCTGGAACCACAGGTGCACACCACCATGCCCAGCTAATTTTTGTATTTTTGGTAGGGATGAGATTTTGCCATGTTGCCCAGGCTGATCTCAAACTCCCGAGCTCAAGCAATCCACCAGCGTCAGTCTCTGAAAATGCTGGGATTACAGCGTCAGCCACTGCACCCAGCAGTTTTTTGGGTTTTTTGTTGTTGTTTTATTTGAGACAGGGTCTCACTTCGTCACCCAGGCTGGGGTATGTGGCACAATCAAGGCTCACTGCAGCCTCGACCTCCTGGGTTCAAGCGATCCTCCTCCCTCAGCTCTCTAAGTAGCTGGGACTACAGATGCCCACCACCACACCTGGCTAATTTTTTTTAGAGATGGGGTTTTGCCATGTTGCCCAGGCTGGGAAAGGAGTTTTTAAAATTGAAAAAAAAAAGCACCCATAAATTATGGTACATCTATCCAATGAAACATTAGGAAGCTGCTAAAAAAAGAATGTGGTGATATAAATAATCTCAGAATTAAAAGCTACTAATAGTGTGTTACCATTTGTAAAACTAAAAGGGGGGTACTTATATGTACGTAAATGCTGGTATACACACAAGACTGATACCTAAGAAATTATAAACAGTAGTGCCACTGTGTGGGGGAAAAGGAGGATTTAGGGTTGGGAGTAGAGACTTACTTTTTAGTATATACCCCTTTGTAGTTTGAATTTTTTTGTTTTATCAAGCGCAAGCATTTTTTTTCCCTTTCCTGACTACAAAGATCCACAAGAAAAAGCATTTTTTAAAAACTGCAAAACAGAAAGCTCCATAAACGTACAGCCAGGTTTGGGAACCACTACCCTAGTTAGCTGCCAACTATGTCTTTACCTCTCATGTGTATACTACTCTCAACTTTAAAATCTCTGGTGGTTTCCTAATGCCTTTCGTGAAATCCCAAGCCTTAACCTCAGTCTCTCTTTTCCATTGTTTTTACCCTCTGACTTCCCGTATCATCACAGCGGAGAAATTTTGCAGGGGACACAGGACATCAACCCATCTCCTCATTCCAGTCTTTGAGACTGTATCCAAATGTCCCCTTCCTACTATCATCTGAGTCCCACAAGGTCTGAAGTCGTCCCCCAAAGTCTCTTCTGTAAAAGGACAGCAACGTAACAGAATTGTCCCCCGCCCTCCAGATGCTGGACTGGAGTGATGGAGGGAGCGCAGAGAGGGTACTAACTTTTGAAGCATTTGCCGTGGTAAGTTCAGACTGCCTGCTAGTGTAGAATATCCCAGTGGCTACAAATAGGTGTGGGAGAGACATTTCCTTATTTTGCATGTGGTTTGATTATAATCATATGCCTAAGAATAGTTTGCAGCAAGAAGAGTGGCAGTGCCGCCCTTCTCCATTCCCTTGGGCAAAATGCTTTATTTGCTTCTCGATCCTCTCCACTGTACTCTGTCAACTCACTGTTTTGTTTTGTTTTTGAGACGGAGTCTCGCTCTGTCGCCCAGGCTGGAGTGCAGTGGCACTAGCTCGGCTCACTGCAAGCTCCGCCTCCCGGGTTCACGCCATTCTCCTGCCTCAGCCTCCGGAGTAGCTGGACTACAGGCGCCCGCCACCACGACCGGCTAATTTTTTGTATTTTTAGTAGAGACGGGGTTTCACCGTGTTAGCCAGGATGGTCTCGATCTCGTGACCTTGTGATCCACCCGCCTCGGCCTCCGAAAGTGCTGGGATTACAGGCGTGAGCCAGCGCGCCCGGCCTACTCACTTTTTTTGAAATAAACATGCAGGTCCCAGGGTCTGTCCTGCACTGTATAGCACACATGAGTCTCAATATCAGGCATGATTCTGTCACCCTTGGCTCTTCTCTCCCAGTAAACCAAACCTAACCCCATGTTCCCAAACGTGTGTCTCTGGAAGCCCCCTCTCCCCAGCCAAAGCGCCAGGCACGCTGGACAGAGGCCACCCTAGATACAAGGACCGTTCCCACCTGGGGTCTGGCCCTGAAAGAAAAGTGGGAACGTAGTCGACAAGGACTCCTCTCCAAGAGAGATTCCTAAGACAGATGGTGGAACCCTGGCGGGCAGGCAGCAGCGGCACTGGCTCAGTCAAAGCCACGCTTTATACTCGTTTTGGGAAAGTTTCGATGGGTGTTAGCCCAGGCCAGAACCACAGTGGATGTGTAGGCAGCCAACCACTTGGCTCCGGATGCTCCAATCCCTCCCCTGTCACTCACCCCGGAGTTACACCCCACGTCGAGCCCCAGAATCGGCCCGTTCTCGGGACTCTCAGGAAAGAGCTGTCGAAGCAGCTCCGGGGGCAGGAGGCGGAGCCGTTGCTCCGGAGGGTGGAAGCGAGAATAATGAGGAAAATTTCCGAACGGGGCGGCGCCAGGTGCCAGAACTCGCGATTCCTCTTCCGCTGCGGTCTCCTTAACACTCCCTCCATCCAGTTCCGTGGGCACCGCCATTAGCCTCAACACAGCCTCTGGGCCGTGGCGGAACCGGAAGCCGGGAACCTGCTGTCGGCGTGGGCGGTGGCGGTGCCAGCGCGCGTGCGTCGAACGGCTAGGGCGGGTGGCTAGAATTCTGCGGTGAATCAGAAAAGCTGTCCTGATTTCCTCTCGCTGTATACCTGGAGCCGGCGAGCGCCTGGGGCTTGCCTTGTATTATTGAACCCTCATCACAACACTGGGAGGGGATTAGCAATATCATCCACGTTTTACAGGGATGAAACAAACTCTGAGGGCTAAGTGTCTTGGCCAAGCTGACATAGTTTGAAACTTGGGCTACTTGACCCAGAACAAGTATACTAGTTTGTTGGGATCTTGGAAATCAATTTTAGTCCAATTTCCTTTCTTTATAAATGCAAAAAGTGAGACCGAGAGAACTTACTTGTCTGGGGTCATACATTGAATCTGTGACTCAAAAACTTCCACCCGGTTCAGGAAAGGGTAGCCAGGAGGTGCAGGTCACTTGCGAAGCCAGCCGACTCAGCCCTGTCCCCCAGGGGCAACTGTAGACCATGAGCTCCTTGAGAGGCAAGGACCGTGCCTTAAGAGCCAGCACTTAAAGAGTGCTTACCAGGCACCAGACACCCTTGTAAGCTCCTTAGTCAATCCTCTCACCCCGTGAGAAAATGACCGTATTATTATTCTTTTTATATAGATGAGGACACTGGAGTAAAACAAAGTAACTTGTCCAAGATCCCACAGTTAGAAATGATGGTACTAGGATTCGAACCCAGGGAGTTTGGATCCAGAGGATGTGCTTGCAACGGTGTGTTATTCTCAGCCTTGAGTCTCCTATACTTAACATGGGCCTGGCACAAAGATGCTCAACAAATGTTGTTGAATGAAAACTCAATAGAGAATACAATAAGGCCAGATCTGTTTGGGGAAACTTTAAATGGAAGGGAGAAAGGATGCCAACTGAAGCAGACATAGTGGAATGGAGTTGGGCAAGATGTGACTCAGAGATTGGAAATAACAGAGCTGATAAGGAGAGGAACTGAAGGGTCAACCTAGGTAGCAGGTTCCAGTCAAAAGCCAGGATGGCCCAGAATATCCGTCAGGGTCAACCAAGCATCAGCAGAGTTGTGCAGGACCCCCAACCCCACCCCTGCACCTGGCCCACCCATCTTAAAGGGGTATCCTGCTCCATGAGGCTGGCAGTTCGGTAAACTTCTTATAAGGCACTGGAGCATGACTCCTGCAAACAGTACCATCAGGAGTTAAAATAAGCGCTGTTTTCCTCTCAGTTTTTACTTTATATTTTCTTTTTCTTTTCTCCTTTTTTTGAGATAGAGTCTCACACTATTGCCTGGGCTGGAGTGCAATGACATGATCTCGGCTCACTGCAACCTTTGCCTCCCAGGTTCAAGTGATTCTCCTGCCTCAGCCTCCCAAGTAGCTGGAATTACAGGCACCCGCCACCATTCCTGGCTAAGTTTTTGTATTTTTTAGTAGAGACGGGGTTTCACTATGTTGGCCAGGCTGGTCTCGAACTCCTGACCTCGTGATCTGCCCACCTCGGCCTCCCAAAGTGTTGGGATTACAGGCGAGAGCCACCACGCCCAGCCTTTATATTTTCATCTCTATCTGGCCTGCTGTTTCTCTAGTTTCACTTATTTGAGGACACAAGTTAATAAAAGTCACTCTGGAATTTAGTAAACCACAGTATTCTGCACAATTACAGAAAAGGAGAAAAAGCTGCACCGTTTTGACAAATTTTGGTGAGCTGAGCTGAACTTACCTCTTTTTGTCACTAGATGAAGCTAGCACAAATAATTAACAATTTTCAAGGAGCTGGAATCACCTTGCTTCCAGGACAGTGAATGGCAAGAACTCCTGACCCTGGGGTTCCTCCAGAAGCAAAGATAGGCCCTCGTAACATTACTGGTAATCTAAAATGCCTGACAGGTGACCTCATAAAGAGGTGTTTTAATTTGATCCACTCTGGTAACTTTTCTAACCTATGACCACTTTTCAGAGCCTGAACAGCACAGGTGTCTTGACAATACTTGACAATACCAGCCCCAGCACCTTAAATAGCTGTAGCAGCACCTAAGAGCTCGCTCTGCACTTTGGTCAGCCAGGTTTTATGGAGTGAGATGCATATATAATTTCAAGGGAAAGGGGAAGAAGGGGCGCCCTCTTTAAGGAAAAAACTCCCACCAACTTACAAATATAAAGACAGGTATAAAAGTGAATATTTATTTATAATGAGAAATCACAACAAATTACAAATTTTGAAAAGCTGACTACTAAAAGCATCACAACAAATTTTCTATAGGCTTGGTGTGGTGGCTCACACCTGTAATCCCAGCACTTTGGGAGGCCGAGGCGGGCGGATCACGAGGTCAGGAGATCGAGACCATCCTGGCTAACACGGTGAAACCCCTCTCTACTAAAAATACAAAAAATTAGCCGGGCGAGGTGGCGGTCGCCTGTAGTCCCAGCTACTCGGGAGGCTGAGGCAAGAGAATGGCGTGAACCCCAGGGGGCGGAGCCTGCAGTGAGCCGAGATCGTGCCACTGCACTCTAGCCTGGGCGACAGCAAGACTCCGTCTCAAAAAAAAAAAAAAAATTCTATAATAGTTTGATTGATTAAATGCTAGTCACACTTGAATATTACTTTTTTTCTTACATTTTTGGCTGCATACTCTTTGATTGCTTCTTCACATGACAATCACTTGATAATATCATTTTAGAGAGAGACCAGGAAGGTAATTCAGTCTTTTCTTAGCCTGGTGGATCAAATTTGTCTTTTATTATTTGTGGCAGTTATAAAAGTTTCTTTCAAGTTCACAAGTTGTTATTGGCAATGTCATGTAAATTTTTTGGTTTGTTATCAAATTGGGGGAGAACTTTGATTAAATTTCTTTCATTTATTAGCTGGAAGATTTCAGAGCATTTCAAATTTTCTTGTGCAAGAAATAATCTTAGATCTACTCTTCAAATGGACTGTATTCATTAGCCAATTTGTCGTTGAAAACCTTATTATGAATGATGCATTATAAAATTTTTATCATCTGCATTGATAGCAGTAATTTGTGTCAAGTCAGCAAAGGAATTTAAACATAGGGATTCTGATAAATTGTGTATTGTACAATTCCCATCAAGAAATAAAAGAATGCATGGTGCATTTATAATTATATATGCTGTGCTATTGAGTTACTGTGTTATTGCCGACAGGACAAAACTTGTTTTGACTGGTGTTTAATAAGAGACAGAATCTTCTGCTTATGACTGGAATAATTTTCTTCAGACTAGCTTCTGACTTCATATATTTTCAAACTTTTAGGCCCACATAACTTCGGGTGCCAGGTGCTATTGGACACATTTATATCCTGGTTTGATCTAAGCCCTTTTTTTTTTTTTTTTTTTTTTTTTTTCTGAGACAGTCTTGCTCTGTCGCCCAGGCTAGAGTGCAGTGGCGCGATCTCGGCTTACTGCCAGCTCCGCCTCCCGGGTTCACGCCATTCTCCTGCCTCAGCCTCCCGAGTAGCTGGGACTACAGGCGCCCGCCACCACGCCCGGCTAATTTTTTGTATTTTTAGTAGAGACGGGGTTTCACTGTGTTAGCCAGGACGGTCTCGATCTCCTGACCTCATGATCTGCCCGCCTCCGCCTCCCAAAGTGCTGGGATTACAGGCGTGAGCCACCGCGCCCAGCCGCTCTTCTACCTACAGGTCACAATAGCAGGTAAGTCAGCTTGCTGGATGAATAAGAGTACTTCTGGAAGGTATTCCTGTGTCTGGGTTGCAGGTGGTAGCTATGCATGGAAGTGTCGGTATGCCATATGAATAGATACCAAATGGAGTCTATTCCCAACTCAACTTCCCTGTAGCTTTTATTTCCCAAAAATGCCTGTGGCCACTTCAGTGCCATCTAACACAAGGGAAAATGTGAAGGAGGGGAAGTCAGAGCAGAAATAGACAGCAGCCTTAACCAACTGCAGTTAAAATATCTCACTTTTTCCAATTTTACAAAAACAAATGACCTGGTAAACACATTGCAAGGGCCTTGGAAAGGTCCTACATGGGAGTGAGGACCTCGAAGCCTGAGGTTTATTAGCTTCATGGTAAATCTATCTCTGCCCTGCACAGAACGTGTACCCAAGCACAGTTAAAAAGAAGAGGTAGACCTATAATTGGAAATATCCAATTTAGCAATGACTTGCATGTATCATGGCTTCCACTTCCTCCCACAGGAAGCTTGTACAGCTGACATCCTGGCCCATGGTGCAGCCCATCCTACCCTCCTGTCCCTCTCTGATCACACCTCAGAGCCTTTGCTCAGCTGCTGCTTGCCTATCTCACTCACTGCTTCCAAGGTAGAGCTTAGGGGGCCTCAGAACTGAGGATGAAGCAGGAACCTATGTATATGTTTAAAAATTGAATCTGGCCAGGTGCAGTAGCTCACACCTGTAATCCTAGCACTTTGGGAGGCCAAGGCAGGTGGATGATGTGAGGTCAGGAGTTTGAGACCAGCCTGACCAACATGGTGAAACCCCATTTCTACTAAAAATACAGAATTAGCTGGTCATGGTGGCACATCACTGTAATCCCAGCTATTCGGGAGGCTAAGGCAGGAGAATCACTTGAACCCAGGAGGCCGAAGTTGCAGTGAGCCAAAATTGCACCATTGCACTCCAGCCTGGGCAACAAGAGTGAAACTCCATCTCAAAAAATATCTATCTATCTATCTATCTATATATATGTTTTCACAGAAACAATGCTCCAACAAGGAACTTGTACCTGAACTTTTGAAACACAACCCATGTATAAATTGGGAATTTAGTCTTTATTATAGTCGAGAAATTCTACATTTAGTCCTTGTAGAGTTTTAAACCATTTGGAAAGAATAACCATAGGATTTATAAATGCAGTGTTATAGCTCATGGCAACCAAGAGTGCCCCTATTCTAAATTCCTCGTTTTCTTTTTTCTTTTTCAATATCCCAGGTCCTGCTTTGACCTCATTTTCAGATGAAGAAACTGAGACCCAGGAGGTAAAAAAAATTTCTCCAAAGATAGGGCTGAATTATTCAGGGTAGGCTAAGTGCTATAACAAGCAATCCCCAAATCTCGGTGACTTACTCATCCAGTATCACGGTTCAATGTGGGTCACTGGGAGAGCGGGAGAGGGCACTCTGTTTCTCAAAGACTTCATGGGTGCATCTAGAAGCTCTGCCTTTTCTAGGGGACTGAGTCCTCCAGTGAATCCTCTGAAAATCCTCTGAACCTGGCTGCAGATGAGGGAGAAGAGAGCCTAGAGAATCTCAAGGGAAGATTTGGGGCCAGATCCAGAAGGGGCGTTCCTAACTCTTCCTAACACATTCCATGAGCTGGCCAGAACTCAGTCTCGCAGTCCACCTGGATGCAAGAATGGTGGGCTAGCAGTGTGTCCAGGAAGAAGACAACACGGGTTTGTGAGAAAGCGAACTAGTTTCTGTCTGGGAAAAACAGGAGAGGAGAAAGGCAGTGAATATTTGTGAAATATTGACCAGCCAATTGGCACTGGACTTTATACATTATTTCATTTAATCTGGTCTAGACTTTGGGTTCTCCTTATTCCCGTGATGGTATATATTTTTTTTAACCTCAGTCCCATATGGAAGGTAAAATGGAAACAAGGGTATTTCTCATCCTCCATTTCTCTCCCAAGATACGTTTTAGACCTCAAGGGTCTCATTAAGCCAACAATCTGTCTTCTCTAATTACTGAGAAGAGGATCTTTTGGTGAGGTATTCTCTAGCCTACCCTCCATAATCTCAACCATTTTCTTGTCCCCTTTGAAATCCCACAGGTCCTGCAAGTGATTAACAGCTAATCTTGTCAGCTATTTTCAGAATCTCTCCCCTTTCTCTTCTGACATAAACTATTTTCATTGTATCAATTAGAGTTCTTGGTTGCAAGCAAAAGAAATGGGCTCTGGTTGATAAACAGAAAAGGAATTTGTTGAAAGGGTATATAAGAATTCACAGATTGTAAAAGAAAAACAGGAGAACTAGGCTTGAAAAGGGCATAAGAGACTTCCAGTTAAGGGTGGTGGATTGAGCCATATGCCCTTTAGCCCCTTTTTTATTTCTTCCATCCTGCTGCCTGAAACTTGGCTATAATGGTTGCATCTCCAGCAGCCATTTTGTGAGCATGAGGAATCATGGCAGACGAAAGCAAATACTAAGGATAGTGGATTAAAACATAGAAGGAACCTGGGTACTGATGACCATGAAGCCATCATACCAGTACTGGACCACCTTCCTCCAGAAGAACAGACAACAAAAAATGGATTAAGGCACAAGACCACCAGCCTGTGATGGCTCAACCTGTGTTCTTCTGCTTGATTGATGGAGACCCGGAATTCCTTAGGAATTTGCAATGGCTTTGCACTGAGTTGAAATTATGACTGCAAAACACTGGTTAATATTACAGAAAAACCCCAGACAAAGAAGTAATCAAAGGCTACGGTCTTTGCAGGAAAAACATAAGTTTTTGCCTGCAATGAAAAGATGAATGGATTATAAACGCTGGCAACAGGCTCACTGAGTGAGAACTATTCAGAACAATCATTAATGGAGGTGCTGGCATTAAGAAAATGCTGAGCCCAGGATGTTACTGAGTAGGACAAAGATTTTACATGAAGAGTCCTGGGAATGGAAAGTATTATTCTTTTAAATATTTTTTTATTTTTAATTATTATGGATACAGAATAGTCATGTATATTTATGGGGTACATGTGATGTTTTGATTCAGGTATACAGTGTGTAATAATCCAATCAGAATAATTGAGATCCATCACTTTATGTGTTTGTCATTTCTTTGTATTAGGAACATCCCAATTTCACTGTTTTAGTTACTTTTGAATATACAATACATTATTGCTAACTACAATCTCCAGATTGTGCCACTGAATACAATATCTTATTTATTCCAGCTAATTGTATTTTTGTACCCATGAAAGTGATATTGGCCAGGCACAGTGGCTCATGCCTGTAATCCCAGCACTTTGGGAGGCCGAGGTGGGCAGATCACGAGATCAAGAGATTGAGACCATCCTGGCCAACTTAGTGAAACCCCGTCTCTACTAAAAATACAAAAATTAGCTGGGCGTGGTGATGCGTGCCTGTAGTCCCAGCTACTCAGGAGGCTGAGGCAGAAGAATCACTCGAACCCGGGAGGCAGAGGTTGCAGTGAGCCAAGATCGCGCCACTGCACTCCAGCCTGGCGACAGAGACTCCGTCTCAAAAAAGAAAAAAAAAAAGATATTCCTGATGCAGGCTGGCTCTGTCTGTGGCTCAACTGGACATTGTCAGTAAATTCAGGGGGTTTTCTTTCTTTTTTTTTTTTTGAGATAGAGCCTCGCCCTGTCACCCAGGCTGGAGTGCAGTGGCACAATCTTGGCTCACCGCAACCTCTGCCTCCTGGGTTCAAATGATTCTCCTGCCTCAGCCTCCTGAGTAGCTGGGATCACAGGTGCGTGCCACCATGCCCAGCTAATTTCAT
Organism: Homo sapiens; assembly: GCF_000001405.40. Lineage (NCBI taxonomy): Eukaryota > Metazoa > Chordata > Mammalia > Primates > Hominidae > Homo > Homo sapiens. The sequence goes on from NC_000012.12 coordinate 49,850,625, forward strand.
ATTTTGAGTAGAGACGGGGTTTCACCATGTTATCCAGGCTGATCTTGAACTCCCCACCTCCGGTGATGTGCCCACCTTGGCCTCCCAAAGTGCTGGGATTACAGGTGCGAGCCACAGTGCCTGCCCGGGTTTTCTTTCATAAACACTTTCTGTTTTCATTTTGCTTTCCATAAACTGCTCATTTGCTGACAATGACTACGCTAAAGTGAAAAGAACAAAAAGTGATATCTGAAGTATTTTTAAACTCTTAGACCATATTTCTGGCTGTTCTTTCATTTCTTATGAGAAAAGTTCATTTTGTTTCAGGCATGCATGAATTATCAGCTACTTTTCAGCAACTGACATACTGTGAGATCTAGAGGACTTCAGTTAAGTGTTCAGAACCTTAAAGCTAGGAAGAGTTCCATCATTACATACTTTATTCCTTAGGATAAGTTCCTAAGGATGTCCATCTAAGCATTGTTTATATAACAGGAGAACAAACTGAAAACAACCAAGAAGTTCAACAATAAGGAACTGGTTAGATAAATTATGCTACCCTTTCCACCACGCCTGGCCTTGTAGCTAGAGTTTTAAAAAGAATTCTTACCTTCTCTAAATAGTCGTTTAAACATTTACTGGTAAAATGATATAATGCTTCAAAAGAATGGGAGAGAGGAAGATGTATAAGTAAAACAAGATTGGCTATGAGTTGATAAACATCAATCTGAATACAGGGAGAAGAAAGTGTCAAGAAAAGCCCCTGAAATATCAATATTCTTTAATACTGCATCCATGAAACAAGCTATAAAAAGAACATTCAAGCCAGGTGATGGTTATATGGGTGTTTGCCATAAATTCTTTCAACTTTTCTATGTGTTTGGAAATTTTCATAACAAAATATTGGAAAAAAAGAACATTTAATGCACAAAAAAAACCCTCTTGAAAATTAACAATATAATAGCAGAAATGAAACACTCCATAGAACAGTTGGAAAATGAGCTAGAGGCAATCTTCCACAAAGTAGAGCAAAAAAAGCCAAAAGATGGAAAATGGAAAATAGTAGACAAAAGATAAGGTCCAGCCTAGGAGGTCTCACATAATAGGAGTTCCAGAAAGGGAAAGCAGAGAGAACTATCCAATTATCCATCAAATAACTACTATCCAGGAAATAATTCAGTAAAATTTCCTAGAACTGAAGGGCCCATTAAGTGTCAAGTATAATGGATGAAAATAGTTTCACAAATGACAAAACATGGTGAGTTTTCACAACACTGAAGACAGAGAGGAAATCCTCCTATATGTTTTCAGAAAGATTAAAAATAAACAAAAAGACACATTTCATACAAAGAATCAGGAATCACAACAACAGTGGATCTCTCACCGGCCACACTGGCAGCTGGAAGGCAACAGAATAATGCCTTGAATGTTCTGGAGGAAAATGATTTCCAATCTTCCCTTCTATACACAGCCAAATGATTAATTTAGTGTGAAGACAGAATGAAGGCATTTCCAGACATGAAAGAAACCAAACCCATTGTCTTCCATGAGCTCTTTCTCAGGAAGCTACTGGAGAAAATTTTCCACCAAAATGAGGTAGAAAAACCAGAAGTGAAAGTGTATGGAACCTAGAAAGCAGGTTTTTAACAGAGGAGAGTTGAAGGAAATCCCTAGGATGGAGATGGAAGGTTATTGAACAGCAGCAGGGCAGCAGATCTTCAGAGTGACCAATGCAGGCTACAGCAGTCAGAAGATTCCAAGAGAGAAGATGGCATCAACGAGATGAAACTGATAAAACATTTAATGGGCTGGGTGCAGTGGCCCACACCTGTAATCCCAGCACTTTGGGAGGCTGAGATGGGAGGATCACTTGAGGCCAGGAATTTGAGACCAGCCTGGCCAACATGGCGAAACCAATCTCCACTAAAAACATAAAAATTACCTGGGCCATGGTGGCACCATCTGTAATCCCAGCTACTCAGGAGGCCGAGGCACAATAATTGAACCCTGGAGGCGGAGGTTGCAGTGAACTGGGATTGCGCCACTGCACTGCAGCCTGGGGGACAGAGTAAGACCCTGTCTCAAAGAAACAAATCAACAACAACAACAACAACAACAAACCATTTAATGTATCTGAATATATTCAGAGAATATTTGCCCACTTAGGGAAGAGTGAAGAAGTTACTAATAGGCTGGGCACGGTGGCTCACACCTGTAATCCCAGTACTTTGGGAGGCTGAGGCGGGCGGATCACCTGAGGTTGGGAGTTCAAGACCAGCCTGACCAACATGGAGAAACCCTGTCTCTACTAAAAGTACAAAATTAGCCGGGTGTGATGGTGCATGCCTGTAATCCCAGCTACTCGAGAGGCTGAGGCAGGAGAATCCCTTGAACCCGGGAGGCGGAGGTTGTGGTGAGCCAAGATCGTGCCATTGCACTCCAGCCTGGGCAACAAGAGCGAAACTTTGTCTCAAAAAAAAAAAAAAGAAAGAAAGAAATTACTAATAAGGACATAAAAAACTAATCAATTGAACATAGAACTAACAACAATGATCAACTCCCAGAAAAGCAAAATGTTGTGCAAGAAAGGAAAAGTAATCATTGTATACTACATAGTTCAGTGGTCAACAGGGTTTACAGTCTTGATAATGTAAACATTGAATATTGATCAATCTGCAATCATAGTTATAACCAAATCAGAAGGACAGGGTAGGAGTGGCGGGAGGTGGGAAGAATATGTGTGTGTGTGTGTATGTGTGTGTGTGCGTGCACGCACGCATGCATGCCCTTGATTTCCTTCTCTCTGTTTTTAATCCCTTCTGATTTTTTCTCTGACTGACCTTTTGTTTTCTTGTTCAAACTAATGTATTTCCAAGCTTTCTAATGCACATATATTAGTTTTATAGTCAGAAAAAAACCAATACAGGTTATTATCCAGAAAAGGTTAGGGACCACATCTCTGCATCCTGTTTCCCTTCTTAACTCACCATGGATTTACTTCTGTGAATCTTTCTCAATGTATTTCGAGCCTACTTATGTTTTCGGCACATGCCACTGCTTGGGCATAATGAATTCCACAAGGTCACCCTGCTGTGCAAAGTATTTCATAGAATCATAGAATCTTACATTTTTATTTATCATTGTTCAAACCCAAAGGATTCCCTGCACTCAAGAATTATACAAGGTGTGTTCAGGGCAGTGAGGCTGAGGAAAGGTCTGTGAAGGCAGGTAGTGAATGGAGGACTGGAGTGTTTGGGGTTAGTGGGTGGCAGAGGGGCTGATGAAGAAACAGGGAAGGAGAGGACTGGGAAGAGGAGATGAAGAACCATCCCCTGCTGTGGACACCAAGGAAGGAGGACAGAACAATTGCGTCCTGCCCCTGCTGAAAGCCCTCAAAGGCTCCCCGGTGTCCACACAATAAAGTTTGAAGGTCTTAAGTCAGAGCAGAGCTTCTTGAACTTGAATGCACAAAGGAATCACCTGAACCTCTTGTTAAAATGTAGATTCTGTTTTTGTTTGTTTGTTTGTTTGTTTGAGACAGAGTTTCGCTCTTGTTGCCCAGGCTGGAATGCAATGGAATGATCTTGGCTCACCACAACCTCCGCCTCCCAGGTTCAAGCGATTCTCCTGCCTCAGCCTCCCGAGTAGCTGGGATTTCAGGCATGCACCACCACGCCCAACTAATTTCGTATTTTTAGTAGAGACGGGGTTTCTCCTTGTTGGTCAGGCTGGTCTCAAACTCCCGACTTCAGGTGATTCACCTGCCTTGGCCTCCCGAAGTGCTGGGATTACAGGCATGAACCACTGCACCCGGCCTAAAATGTAGATTCTGGCTGGGCACGGAGGCTCATGCCTATAATCCCAGCACTTTGGGAGGCCGAGGCAGGAGGACCCCTTGAACCGAAGAATTCAAGAGTAGCCTGGGCAACATAGTGAGACCCTGTCTCCACAAAAATTTTAAAAAATTAGCCAAGCATGGTGGTGCACGCCTGTATTCCTAGCTACTCAGGAGGCTGAGGTGGGAGGATCACCTGAGCCATGATTACACCACTGCACTTCAGCCTGGGCAATAGAATGAAACTCTGTCTCTAAATAAATAAATACATGTAGATTCCGATTCAGAAGGCCTGTGGTGGGCCTGAGAGTCTGCATTTCTGACAAGCACACAGGTAATACACTCTTTTTGAGCAGTGAGGCCTCAGAGGACTCAAAAGCTCCTCTGAGACTGACTTCCTGTCTGTTCCTTCACCTTCCCCTGCACTCCCCACCCCATCCCAACATCTCTGTTCCAGCCATGCTGAACTACTCACAGTGCCCTGAGTGTGCTGGGTGGGAACTCCGTGTCCTCGCATGTACTGTTCCCTGTGCTTGGAATCTACCCTCCACACACAACTCCCACGTTCCTCAAGACCCAGCTCATGGGTGTCCTCTTTTGTGAAGACTTCACCAGCCACTCTCCTTCAAAGAGAGTGAATGTTTTCCTTCCTCTGTCTACATGAATGTCTGTTGCTGCATTTGTCACACAATACTGCAATGTTTGATTTACCATGAACTCATGGGAAAGAGTGACCACATATAGCCTTTGTATCCCCTGCATCTGGCACGATGCCGGGCAGCTAAAGGAATGTCACCTTAATGGGTGGAGGCTCTTTATACATAGAGAAGGAACAGGTTTTCAGTAATGTACAGTTTTACAAAGGGAAGAAAAAATAATTCGCAGGAAAGGACATCTGATGTCTCAAGTAGGTGATACATGGTGAGTATCACTAATTACCTGTATTCCTTCCATCATCCTTCCCTCCTTTTTTCATCCTTCCCTCCTTTCCTTTTTCTCTGTTTATTTTTTGAGTTTCTCTTTACAGTATATTTTAATACCCAAGTTATAGAATTCTTTCAGTGTAGAAAAATTAGTAAACCTAGATAAGCTACAATAAAAGACCTATTCTTACCCAACCTCTGGAGATAATAATTATTACCTTAAAATTTTTAAAAAATTTGTAGGTACATAGTAGGTGAATGTATTTATGGGGTACATGAGATATTTTGATACAGGCAATAATAATCACCTCAGAGTAAATGGAGTATCCATCAATTTAAGCATTCATCCTTTGTATTTCAAACAATTCAATTTTAGTTATTTTTAAGTGTACAATAAATTATTGTTTTAGTTATTTTAAGTGTACAATAAATTACTGTCAACTACAGTCACCCTGTTGCGCTATCAAACACTAGACCTTCATCATTCTAACTATATTTTTGTACTCATTAACCATCCCCACTTCCACATCCCCCACTACACTTCCCAGCCTCTCATAATCATCCTTCTACTCTATATCTCTATGAGTTCAATTGTTTTAATTTTCAGCTCCCAGAAATAAGTGAGAATATGCAAAGTCTGTCTTTCTGTGCTTGGCTTATTTCCTTTAACATAATGACCTCCAGTTCCATCCATGTTGCTGCAAATGACAGGATCTCATTCTTTTTTATGGCTGAATAGTACTCCATTGTGTATATGTACCACATTTTCTTTATCCATTCATCTGTTGATGGACATTTACGTTGCTTCCAAATCTTTTTTTTTTTTTTTTTTTTTTGAGACAGAGTCTTTCTCTGTCGCCAGGCAGGAGTGCAGCAGCCTGATCTTGGCTCACTGCAACCTCCGCCTCCTGGGTTCAAACGATTCTCCTGGCTCAGCCTCCCGAGTAGCTGGGACTACAGGCGCACGCCACCATGCCCGGCTAATTTTTTGTATTTTAGTAGAGATGGGGTTTCACCATGTTGGTCAGGCTGGTCTGGAACTCCCGACCTCAGGTGATCAGCCTGCCTCGGCCTCCCAAAGTGCTGGGATTACAGGCGTAAGCCACCGCACCCGGCCCCAAATCTTGGCTATAGTGAAAAGTGCTGCAATAAACATGGGAGTGCAGATATCTCTTTGATATAATGATGTCTTTCTTTTGGGTATATACCTAGTAGTGGGATTGGTGAATCATAAGGTAGCTCTACTTTTAGTTTTTTGGGGGCCCTCCAGACTGTTCTCCATAGTGGTTGTAGTAATTTACATTCCCACCCACAGAGTATGAGGGTTCCCTTTTCTCCACATCCTCACCAGCATGCGTTATTGCCCATCTTTCCGATGAAAGCCATTTTAACTAGGATGAGATGATATCTCATTGTAGTTTTGATTTGCATATCTCTGGTGATCAATGATGTTGAGCACCTTTTCATATACCTGTTTGCCATTGTATGTTTTCTTTTGAGAAATGTCTATTCAGATCTTTTGTCCATTTTTAATTGGATTACTAGATTTTTTTCCTATTGAGGTATTTGAGCTCCTTATATATTCTGGTTATTAATCCCTTGTCAGATGGATCGTCTGCAACTATTTTTTCTCCCATTCTGTGGGTTGTTTCTTCACTTTGTTGATCGTTCCCTTTGCTGTGCAGAAGCTTTTTAACTTGATGTGATCCCATTTGTCCATTTTTGCTTTGGTTGCCTGTGCTTGTGGGGTATTACTCAAGAAATCTTTGCCCAGCCCAATGTGCCGGAGAGTTTCCCCAGTGTTTTCCTTTAGTAGTTTCATAGTTTGAGGTCTTAGATTTAAGACTTCAATCGATTTTGATTTGATTTTTGTATATGTTGAGAGATGGAGGCCTAGTTTCATTCTTCTGCATATGGATATTCAGTTTCCCAGCATCATTTATTGAAGAGAATGTCCATTCCCTAATGTATATTCTAGGCAACTTTGTTGAAAATGAGTTCACTGTAGATGTATGGATTTATTTCTGGGTTTTCTTTTCTGTTCCATTGGTCTATGTATCTGTTTTTATACCAGTACCATGCCGTTTTGGTTACTATAATGGCTCTGTAGTATAATTTGAAGTCAAATAATGTGATTCCTCCAGTTTTGTTTTTTGCTCAGGATAGCTTTGCCTAACTAACATTTTAATATATATCCATCTAGGGTTTTTTCTATTCATAAGTAAACATAAAATGTGTGTGCATATATATATTTTAATCAACATTAAACAAATTAAGTAGTTTTAATATTACTCAAATATTACAACTGTGAGTATAGCCTCCTTTGGAGATGCCACCAGAAGCCTACATTTCGGAACGTTTTTGAGGAAAACAGGCCATTTAGTTTGCAGAATATCCTTCAATTTGTTTTTTTTTGTTGTTGTTGGGTTTTTTTTGAGACAGAGTCTCACTCTGTCGCCCAGGCTGGAGTGCAGTGGCGTGATCTCGGCTCACTGCAACCTCCGCCTCCCAGGTTCAAGCAATTCTCATGTTTCAGCTTTCCGAGTAGCTGGGACTGCAGGCATGTGCCACTATGCCCAGCTAATTTTTGTACTTTCAGTAGAGATGGAGTTTCACCGTGTTGCCCAGGCTGGTCTCGAGCTCCTGACCTCGAGCTTCTGACCTCAAGTGATCCACCTGCCTCAGCCTCCCAAAGTGCTGGTATTACAGGTGTGAGCCGCTGCACCACCCTCAATTTGGTTTTGTCTAATATTTCTTCATGATAAGATTCAGGCTTTGCTTCTTCTTTTCTTTCTTTCTTTTTTTCTTTCTTTCTTTCTTTTTTTTTTTTTTGAAATAGAGTCTCACTCTGTCGCCCAGGCTGGAGTGCAGTGGCATAGACTTGGCTCACTGCAGCCTTCACTGCCTGGGCTCAAGCAATCCTCCTGCCTTGGCCTCCCAAAGTGCTAGGATTACAGATGTGAGACATCCTGCCAGCCGGCTTTGCATTTTTTTGGCAGAAGTGTTATAAAGTATATTTTTGTCCTTCTCAGCACATCATATCAGAAAACACATAGTGTCAATTTGTGCCATTATTTGTGATTCATGATTAAGTTGGAACCTAACAGTTTTCTCTAATGTAGTGTTATCATTTTTTCCTTTGTAACTTTTTTTTTAGACAGGGTCTCGCTCTGCCCAGGCTGGAGTGCAGTGGTATGATCTCGGCTCTCTGCAACCTCTGCCTCCTAGGCTCCAATAATCCTCCCACCTCAGCCTCCCAAGTAGCTAGGACTATAGGCATGTGCTACTCAGCTAATTTGTGTATTTCTAATAGAGACAGAGTTTCACCATGTTGCATAGACTGGTCTTGAATTCCTGGACTCAAGCGATCCACCCACTTCAGTCTTCCAAAGTGCTGGGATTACAGGTGTAAGCCACTGTGCCAGACCTCTCCTTTGTAATTTAAAAGTAATCTGTGAACAAAAAGCAATCTATGCACATGAAAAGATACTAAGCATCACTACTCGTTAGGGAATGCAAACTCAAACCATAATGAGATACCAATTCACATCCACAAATAGGGCTAAAATTTAAAAGACAGACATCAACAAGTTGGCAAGGATGTGGGGAAATTGGAACCCCTCATCCATTGCTGATGGGATATAAAATGGTGCAGCCTCTTCGAAAAACAACTTGGCAGTTCCTCAAAAAGTTAAACATAGGTACATATGACACAGCAATGCTTCTCCTAGGTGTGAAAACACATCCCCACAAAAAGCAGGAATGTTTATGGCAGTATTACTCATATAGACAAAGGTGAAAGCAAATGTCCATCAATTGATGAGTGGATACATAAAATGTGGTCTATTCATACAATAGAATATTATTTGGCAATAAAAAGGAATGAAGTGGCCAGGCTCAGTGGCTTACACCTGTCATCCCAGCACTTTGAGAGGCAGAGGTGGTGGATTGCTTGAGTCCAGGAGTTCGAGACCAGCCTGGGTGACATGGTGAAACCCCGTCTCTACAAAAAAAAAAAATACAAAAATTAGGCTGGGTGCAGTGGCAGATGCCTGTAATCCCAGCACTCTGGGAGGCTGAGGAGGGCAGATCACTTGAGTCCAGGAGTTCAAGACCAGCACGAAGAACATGGCAAAACCCTGTCTCTACAAAAAATACAAAAATTAGCCAGGCATGGTGGCACATGCCTGTAGTCCCAACTACTCAAGAGGCTGAAACGGAAAGATGGCTTGAGCTCAGGAGGTGGAGGTTGCAGTGAGCCAAGATTGTGCCACTGCACTCCAGCCTGAGTGACAGAGCCAGGCCCTGTCTCAAAACAAGAACAAAAACAAAAACAAAAACAAAAACAAAAATTAGCTGGGCACAGTGGCATGCACTTGTGGTCCCAGGTGCTCAGGAGGCTGAGGCGGAAGGATTGCTTGAGCCCAGGAGGTGGAGGTTGCAGTGAGCTGAGACTGTGCCACTGCACTCCAGCCTGGGCGACAGAGTGAAACTCTATCTCCAAAAAGAAAAAGGAATGAACTACTAATACATGCTACAACATAGAGAACGCTGGAAAACATTATGCTGAGTGAAAGAAGCCAGTCACGGAAGACTGTATTGTATGATTCCATTTATGTGAAGTGTTCAAAATAGGTACATTTCTAGAAACAGAAAGTAGATTCATGGTTGCCAGGGATAGGGGAAGGAAGGGAATAGGAACTAATGCTAATGGGAGAGAGAGAGGAAAACATTCTAAAATTAGATTGTAGTGATAGTTGCACAGCCCTTTGAATATACTAAGAAAACATTGAATTGCACATTTTAAATGGTATGTTATACGGCGTTTGGATTATATCTCAATAAAGCCCTCTCCCTCTCCCTCTCCCTCTCCCCACGGTCTCCCTCTCCCTCTCTTTCCACGGTCTCCCTCTGATGCCGAGCAGAAGCTGGACTGTACTGCTGCCATCTCGGCTCACTGCAACCTCCCTGCCTGATTCTCCTGCCTCAGCCTGCCCAGTGCCCGCGATTGCACGCGCCGCCACACCTGACTGGTTTTCGTATTTTTTTGGTGGAGACGGGGTTTCGCTGTGTTGGCCGGGCTGGTCTCCAGCTCCTAACCGCGAGTGATCTGCCAGCCTCAGCCTCCCGAGGTGCCAGGATTGCAGACGGAGTCTGGTTCACTCAGTGCTCAATGGTGCCCAGGCTGGAGTGCAGTGGCGTGATCTCGGCTCGCTACAACCTCCACCTCCCAGCCGCCTGCCTTGGCCTCCCAAAGTGCCGAGAGTGCAGCCTCTGCCTGGCCGCCACCCCGTCTGGGAAGTGAGGAGCGTCTCTGCCTGGCCGCCCATCGTCTGGGACATGAGGAGCCCCTCTGCCTGGCTGCCCAGTCTGGAAAGTGAGGAGCGTCTCTGCCCGGCCGCCATCCCATCTAGGAAGTGAGGAGCGCCTCTTCCCGGCCGCCATCCCATCTAGGAAGTGAGGAGCGTCTCTGCCCGGCCGCCCATCGTCTGAGATGTGGGGAGCGCCTCTGCCCCGCCGCCTCATCTGGGATGTGAGGAGCGCCTCTGCCCGGCCGCGACCCCGTCTGGGAGGTGAGGAGCGTCTCTGCCCAGCCGCCCCGTCTGAGAAGTGAGGAGACCCCCCGCCTGGCAACCACCCCGTCTGAGAAGTGAGGAGCCCCTCCGCCCGGCAGCCACCCCATCTGAGAAGTGAGGAGCCCCTCCGCCCGGCAGCCACCCCGTCTGGGAAGGGAGGAGCGTCTCCGCCCGGCAGCCGCCCCGTCCGGGAGGGAGGTGGGGGGGTCAGCCCCCCGCCCAGCCAGCCGCCCCGACCGGGAGGAAGGTGGGGGGCCAGCCCCCCCACCCGGCTGGCCGCCCCATCCGGGAGGTGAGGGGCGCCTCTGCCCGGCCGCCCCTACTGGGAGGTGGGGAGCCCCTCTGCCCGGCCAGCCGCCCCGTCCGGGAGGGAGGTGGGGAGGTCAGCCCCCCGCCCGGCCAGCCGCCCCGTCCGGGAGGGAGGTGGGGGTCAGCCCCCCGCCCAGCCAGCCGCCCCATCCGGCAGGTGAGGGGCGCCTCTGCCCGGCCGCCCCTACTGGGAAGTGAGGAGCCCCTCTGCCCGGCCACCACCCCGTCTGGGAGGTGTACCCAACAGCTCATTGAGAACGGGCCATGATGACAATGGCGGTTTTGTGGAATAGAAAGGGGGGAAAGGTGGGGAAAAGATTGAGAAATCGGATGGTTTCCGTGTTTGTGTAGAAAGAAGTAACATGGGAGACTTTTCATTTTGTTCTGTACTAAGAAAAATTCTTCTGCCTTGGGATCCTGTTGATCTGTGACCTTACCCCCAACCCTGTGCTCTCTGAAACATGTGCTGTGTCCACTCAGGGTTAAATGGATTAAGGGCAGTGCAAGATGTGCTTTGTTAAACAGATGTTTGAAGGCAGCATGCTCGTTAAGAGTCATCACCACTCCCTAATCTCAAGTACCCAGGGACACAAACACTGTGGAAGGCCGCAGGGTCCTCTGCCTAGGAAAACCACAGACCTTTGTTCACTTATTTATCTGCTGACCTTCCCTCCACTATTGTCCTATGACCCTGCCAAATCCCCCTCTGCGAGAAACACCCAAGAATGATCAATTAAAAAAATAAATAAATAAATAAATAAAATAAAGCTGTTTAAACACAAAGAAAGGCCGGGCACGGTGGCTCATGCCTGTAATCCCAGCACTTTGGGAGGCCGAGGCAGATGGATCACCTGAGGTCAGGAGTTTGATACCAGTCTAACCATCATCGTGAAATCTCATCTCTACTAAAAATACAAAAATTAGCAGGGCTTGGTGGCGGACGACTGTAGTCCCAGCTATTCGGGAGGTTGAGACAGGAGAATTGCTCGAACCTGAGAGGTGGAGGTTGCAGTGAGCCGAGATCGTGCCAGGGCACTCCAGCCTGGGCAACAGAGTGAGACTGTGTCTCAAAACAAAAACAAAAACTAAAAACAAACACAAAGAAAAAAGAAGTCTGTGTGGAGGCATGTTTAAACTATATCAATATTCTGTTCCCTATCAAACTTGCACCTAAGAGTTTTAGCATCCATTGATGATTCTTGACTGAATCATTACTGTATTGCAAAATGGTGATTTTTCTATCATTACTTCTTCATCTACTAGTTGGCATTTTACTATAAGGAAGAGCCATCAAAGATATTTTTAAAAATAAAAAATGGGATTATACTCAATATTAATGCTTCATAATTTGCTTTCTAATTTAATATTATTCAGTACTGTGATTCTGTATGTAAATATTTACCCATGTCCTCATTTTTAGTGGCTGCTAAGTTTTTTGTTTTTTGAGACAGGGTCTTGCTCTGTCACCCAGGCTGGAGTGCAATGGCCTGATCTCAGCTCACTGCAACCTCCGCCTCCTGGGTTCAAGCGATTCTCCTGCCTCAGCCTCCTGAGTAGCTGGAATTACAGGCATGTGCCACCAAGCCTGGATAATTTTTGTATTTTTTAGTAGAGACAGGGTTTCACCATGTTGGCCAGGCTGGTCTCAAACTCCTGACCTCAGGTGATCCTCCTGTCACAGCTTCTGAAAGTGCTGGGATTACAGGCGTGAGCCACTGCACCTGGTCTCTATGAATCTTATTGGAGGATTATTCCATTAGACAAAAATCACACTGATAAGTCTCTTTAAGACAAGGCCTTCTCTATCTTGGGTACCCAGTGAGGCTGCAGAGGAATAATATCCTTAAGATCCTTAGAAGGTCTTTCTCTTCCTGCCATCTTGAATCCTGTGGAGGCCTGCTGGGAGCAGGACTTCTAAAAGGAAATATGTCTGGAAGGCTGTGGTCCAAGGCCATTTTTGCTGACTATAAGCACAGTCTCTGGAATCAAAGGGAGCACACAGCAGTTCTTAAAATTGAAGGTGGTTTATGCCCGAGATGAAACAGAATTCTATTTGGGCAAGAGATGTGCTTATGTATACAAAGCAAAGGACACCACAGTGACTCCTGGTAGCAAACCAAACAAAACCAGAGTAGTCTGGGGAAAGGTAACTAGGGCCCACGGAAACAGTGGCAAGGTTCGTGCCAAATTCCGAAACAATCTTCCTGCTAAGCCCACTGGACACAGAATCTGAGTGATGCTGTACCCCTCAAGGGTTTCAACTAATGAAAAGTCAACAAATAAAAGTGGATTTGTTGGGGGGAAAAGATCCTTAGAAGTCCGATTGTTTAACAGAGTGGGTCTGCAACAAATGCCTGTGGGATCCTTAGGAGTACTTCTGCCTGTCTGAAGGATTGAGGCACCCGCTTAGATCTTTCTGATGCTTAATGACTGCTTTCACAGTCATAGCTTTGACTTCATCTTTACCCAGAGACTGTGTGTTCCTGACAGTGCTCTGGAGTTGATCTTTGCCCCAAGGCTTTTTTATTACTTTGACAATTCTTCCTTGGCTGGAAAGATTATCCTGGGCTTTTTATATCTCCTCCAAATTCTGCTTAAAAAACAGAATAATTCTTTCTTTAGCTTTTTTCTCACTATCTGTATCTTAGGATGCAAGGCTCAAATAAGCCAAACACACTTTCAACACTGCCTGAAAATCCTAGCCAGAGTCATCAGTTAATTAGACCTTTTTTATCTTTCACATTAGCACAGATGAAAGTTTCACTCAACTGTCCACCACTATATCAGAGTCTCTGTTCCTCCAGATTCCAGTAATGTTTCGCTCAACTTTCCCTGGAGCCTTCGCCCGCAGTCTCCTCAAGGCCCTGCCAGCTTTCACGCACGGTCTCACTGAGGGTGTCAGGCGCCTCCCACACACGTTAGGTTCTGCTACGGCAGTGCCTCACTTCCAGGTACCAAATCCTGTTCCAGGCATCTGTTGCTGCATAGCAAATGACTTCAAGCTTAGTGGCATAAAACCACAACCATTTTATTATTCTCACGGATTCTGTGGATTAGGAATTTGGATAGGGCATGGAGGAGATGGATTTTTAATGCTCCATGAGGTCTTGGACCTCAACCAGGAAGACTGGGTGCACAGGAGCTGGAACAGCTGAAGTTGGAGAATCCACTTCCAGGATGGTTCTTCCTGCCTACAGCTGCCAGCCTGGCAGGCGTGGCTGGGAGGCTGGCTCAGCTGGGTCTCTTGGCTGGAGCACCACACGTGGCCTCTCTGGCATGGCAGCCTCGGGAAATTTGACTTCTTACATAGTGGCTCAGGAGAAAAAGAAGCCAACAGGGGGACAGCAGTGATGCGGGACAGGCGAGACTCACTCCTTTTGGCAGGGTTTCCCCAGATAAAGCAAGCAGAGAGTGTGGAGGGGAGTGGAGGATGAGAAGCTGGGAAGAAAGCATCTTAGCCATCCGTGGTGTGTGTGTGTGCGCACACACGCATGTGCATGTGTGTGTGTGCAGGCACACACACAAAATCTGTGAGGGCAAACAGGTTTGCTGGGAGTAGCCAGACTTGAGTAAAGACAGATGGTATAAGTGAGCTGGATGAGGTTGCTCAGCTCTGGGATTTCTCCAGTCTCACTGGGGGCTGGGTACTGTATGTGAAGACTGTCCCATGGGTGGGGGATGCGTACAGAGGCCACCACGGGGCAGTAGCAGCCAGAAGAGAATGAATGGTGTAAAGGGTTGAATAGGGGCCCCCTCAAGAGAGATATGTCCAAGTTCTAAACCCCTGTACCTGTGAATGTGACCTTTTTTGGAAATAGGATCTTTTTCCAAATAAAGATCTTGAGATGAGATCATCCTAGATTTATTGTAAGCCTTAAATCCAGAGACAGGTATCCTTCTAGGAGGACGGAGAGGGAGCTTCAAGACACAGAGACACAGAGGAGAAGGCCATATGAAGATGGAGGCAGAGACTGGAGGCGCCATTGCCAAGCAACACTGCGGATCACCTGCAGCTGCCAGAGGCTTGGAAAGTGCTTGCCACAGGCCCTCCCTCAGAGCCTCCAGCAGGAACCCACCCTGCTGACACCTTGGCTTCAGGCTTCCAGCCTCCACAGCTGTGGTGAAATGAATCACTGTTGTTTTGAGCCACCCAGTTTGTGGCAATTTGTATGGCAGTCCTAGGAAAGCTAACAGGCAGTCCAGGTAAGAATGGGTGGTGAGGCAGAAGGGATCTGGAGGCAGGGGGTGGCAAGGGGGCCCAGCGTGTACCCCAACCTAGACCATTCATCCCTTCCATCACACCAGCCCCTGCCCCTCAACATTTTGCACACTTTGAGCCCTGATCCAGGGATCTTCCCTTTCCCCGGCGACACGGCTCAGCACTGCTTCCCCGGTGGGGCTGCATCTTCTCAGGACCCACGGCTGCACGGTCTCGAGCCACAGTGCCTGGTTTCTCTCTTGCACCACCGTTGGTATCTTCTCCCTGTCCTATCTCTCACAATCTGTGGAAGTGCTTTGTATGCAGTGAGCGCTTAATAAAAGTCACTTTTCTCTCCTCAGAGTCCTCTAACTCTTGCCCCAGCCACTTTCCCTACTCCAGCTGAATTTGTGTCCTAACCTTGTCAGAGACAAGGATAACGTCCCCCATGGCTCCAGTGTGATGGCGTTCCCTCCCCTCCCACACAGCGCCCTGGCCCCACATTCCCCACAGGAGCTTGTGGGGTGATCATTAACCCATGCGCCTCCTGACCCCACTTCCAGTCGTTAATTTGTGCGTAAACTTGGACAAATCGCTGCACCCTCTGCTCCTTAGTTTCCTCTCAGGTAAAATAAGAGGGTTGGAGTAGACACATTCACCTATGCATTCCTCCATTCGCTAGTAAGTTGTTTACTGAGACCGTGCGTCATAACTCTGCCTTCAAGGAGCTTTGGTTCTGTAGGGTTGTTGTTTTGTTTTGTTTTTTTTAAGACGGAGTCTTGCTCTGTCGCCCAGGCTGGAGTGAAGTGGTGTAAGCTTGGCTCACTGCAACCTCCGCCTCCTGGGTTCAAGCGATTCTCGTCTCAGTCTCTTGAGTAGCTGGGATTACAGGTGTGCGCCACTACGCCCAGCTAATTTTTGTGTTTTTAGTAGAGACAGGGTTTCACCATGTTGGCCAGGCTGGTCTCGAACTCCTGACCTCAGGTGATCTACCCACCTCGGCCTCCTAAAGTGCTGGGATTACAGGCGTGAGCCACTGAGCCCAGCCAAGGTTCTGTGGTTTTAAAGCTGCCGCTCTGGACAATCTGTCCAGATGCAACCCAGGCATTCCTTCCTTCTGTGTACCTTTTAGGAAGCAGATTTTGGCTCAAAATAAGAAAGACCCTTCTACCAGAACGGCCCACAAACGGACAGGCTTCCACAGAAAGGGGTGAGCCCCTGTTCCGGAGGAGACTCTGGGATTGCTTCTAACTCCGGGATCCTGAGAGCCTCCGTAAAGGGTTTATTGAGCAGGAGAACCAATTTAACCCTGTCCACATGAAAATAAACATGGAGATTTACTTCAAACTCAGCAGCTCTGGTGAGAAGGCTCTCACACAGGTCCGGGTTTGACCCACACAGACTCCACGACCATCTGAGGCAACCAGCACACGGCAGACGAGGGAAACAACTCAGGTGTCACAATTGCTTTTATTTTTATCTCCAGTCAGTCACAGACCCCAGGAAGGTGAGGTCAGGGAAGGGAACAGGTGCGGACACTGGGGAACTTGCAGGAGCTAAGGCCAGTGGACAGCAGGAGTGTCGGGGGTGTGGCAGCTGGCCTGGGTCCCTGGAGCTGTGTCTGCCCTCAGGGACTCAGGAGAACGGCTCAGGGAGGGCTTGGGAGGGGGTACACTGTGTCCGAGAGATGCAACCATCGTTCGGCAAAAGAAAACAGCGGTGGCTGATGAGAAGACAGGTCTGGGGAGGTCTGAGGAGAGCTCGGGCCAGATCCTGCCCCCAACCTCCAGCCACATGGGCCCTCGGTGACTCTCCCAAACCAGGCCCTGCGTTTCCTCAAGCAGCCACTGGAGGGCAGCAAAGTGCTTATGCAAAAATCCCACCCCGCCCAGGAGAGCAGCCAGGACACCTGGGACTTGGCTTCAGGTGGGCCAGGGAAGGAGGCAAGGAGCCTTTTGGAAAATGGGTGTCTGTCCCATCCTGACTCCCTCGGAAGGAAGAGTAGGGAATGGAAGAACTAAGATTCCGGGGCTTCCCCAGGTGATACCGAAGGAGCCATAGGTGTGCCCGGGAATGAGTCCCAGACTCGTGTGTGCCTCCCGGGCCCCCATCTGCAGCTTCCAGAAGAGGACTTCAGTGGGAGACCCCTCAACTCACATTCCGGACAGTCAGATTCCTGGCTGCCTCCAGCTTTACAAAATCCAGCCCACCCCTTCCTGGGCCCAGCCCCACCCAGGCCAAAAATGTGAAGGGCCTGCAGACTCCCTTCCTCCTTTACAGCTTGTGACACCTGCTCAGCTGCGGTTTCCTTAATCTTGCATTCCTGTTCCCCTGCCCTTCCTACTTCTGACGCCTCTCCTGGTGTTTCAGGATTCCTCACTGCCTGGATTGGAGATGGAACGCATAGACTTTGGCCCTGACCCTGCTGCCTACACTGTGGTACCTGCCACCCCCCCTCAGGACCCAGAGTAGGAGGCTGCGGCATCTTCTGCCCGGCTTCCCCAGCTCTGCAAAGAAGCCATTTCTCAAATGGCTGTGATGCGTGTGTGACACTGTTTATTGCCGAGGACCTGTCCCTCCTCCCCCAAGCTTTTGGCACTCAGCCCTGAATAAGCTTCTAAATCCCCAGTTTCTGCAGTAACTTATCCCAGGGAGAGGAGAACTTGGACAAGTAGATTCTAGGAAGCATGACCAAGGCTATCTGACAGTGGCAGGAGAGTGGGGTGCTGGGGCTAACCCTCTGGAACTGAGGCCAGAGATGAGGAGAGGAAACTGAGGGGCCCGGAGGAGAGGAGGTGGAGGAGGGTGGGAACCGGGTGAGAAAGTCAGTGGAGAGAAATGTTCTGGTGCCTCTCCCGCCCTATCCTGGCTATGAACTTCCATGTGGCAGATGGAAAAACTGAATTCCAGACAGCAAGAAACCCTCACCTAATAGCAGGAGCCCGCTGGCAGTGAGGCTAGGAACCAGAAACCAGAAATCTTGCCTCCCAGCTCTTGTCTGGAAGATAGAAACCTCAGAGTGCAAAATCTGGCGAGGGGTTTCAGGAAAGACGGGAGGCCGGGTGGCACTGAGGACAAGAAATCCCCAGGACATCAGGGCCTGACCACCCACCTCTCTGCGCTCTCATGTGGTCTCATTCCGGCCCCCACCCAGGCCCAGGGGCAAGCGTGATACCCTGTTTGCTTGAGGCAGCTGTGGGTCTGAACCCCAGGCCCGCCACTCGCTAGCCGTATGACCTGGGACTCATTACCGAGCCTTTCTGAGCACCTCGGCTTTTCCCTCTGCTACGGACATGAGCAGAGCGCTGTCTCTGGAGGATCACTGCGATGGATTAATTTAGACCAGCACACAGTGGGCATCTCACCCGTGCCCCCAATGCCTTTGCTGCACACACACCACCCGCCAGTTCTTGGCTCCTTTTCTCTTCAAATATCCAAGATGGAACAAAACTTCAAATGCTTCTGCAATGTTTCTTGAAAGCTGGGAGTAGGAAGGGTGGGGAGGGATGGGGCTGGGAAGGAACAGCACACCTCGTCTCCCTTCCCAAGGCAGACGGAGCTCCCAGCACAGGGGAGAGAGAAGAGGAGGAGGGCGAAGCCAAGGGAGGGTCCTGCTAGCCACTCAGAGCCTTCCTGTATCCACACAGTAACTTTCCACTGGCCTGGAGTTGGCCACTGCACATGCTGGCTGCACGCTCCCCCAGTGTGGCCTCCTGGTTCCCTCCCCACAGGCGCCCCTCTGGGGGTTGGAGGGCTGACGCACACCCTGCCTGAGATCCCAGCCGCCTGGAAGCTGATAAGGAGCCCTGGCCTCATTACATGGGACCAGCTGGAGGGACTGGCCCTGGCTGTTAGCATCAGCTGGATGGCTTCCAAATTGGAGAGATGCAGAGATAAGTGGGGGAGCACTTAGGGACTCTGGGCTGAGTGAGTGGCCAGTGAAGCTAGAAGAGATGTGGACTGTGCCAACTATGAAGACCTCAGGAGGCCTGGCTGGGGACGAGCCAGCAAACAGCAGCTGACAGGAAGGGTTTAGGAAATAAGAGGTGCAGAAGGGACTCCCACACAGCCTCGGGTTAGGGCTGAGGCAGAGCAGGGACTCCTTCCAGATGGGGCTGGCCTGGCAGCTACAGCGATTGCCTCCTCCCCCAGAACATCCAGCCGGAGGGCCCAATCACACCTCACTCAGCCTTAGGCCTGTGGCAGCTGCCTGGCGGGTGGAGAAGTGAGTGAGAGGATGTGGGTCTCGGTCCTGCAACCCCAAATGCCTCCCAGGTGGACGCGGGTCTGGGTGGATTGGCTCCCCAGCTCCCACTTCCCTGGGAGCCCCAGGGCAGGCCCTTACCAAGGAGCGGGGCCCCCTGCCCTCACCTCCTGCCCCAAAAGAGCTCTGTCATGACCCGGGAGGGCCATTCACAGCAAGCAGCAGACAGCACAGGCTTCAGACCCTCTCCTATTGCCCTTGGCCTCCAGGTCCAAATCCCTAGAACAAGCCGCTGGTCCCAGAGCCAAGAGAAGATGGGCAGACTGGGACAGCCATCCTGCCCACCCACTCCACCTGCCCAGCTGTGTCCCCTACCCCCTTTCTTACAAAGTGTCAATGCCTGACCTGGATGAGAAAGACAGGAGGACACAGACTGGATGCAGGACAGTGTGCCCTAAGGCCACATGATTGTGCAGCCCTAGGAGGAATTGCAGTGGGGCTCAGGGCTCTGCCGGGCTTCCTGGGTCTCTCTCCTGCATCTGAAATCCTGCTAGGCTTCTCCTCCTTGTCCCTTGGACCCTCAAACCCAGAGGAGCCTTCAGCCTTGACCGTCCCAGTTTGGAAGATGTAACGGGCGAATGGGGCGGCACAGGGATTGACGTGGCCTCAGTTCCTCAGGGTCCCCATGGCGTATGTACAAGCGGCAGAGGGCTGGGCTGGGCTGGGGTAGACAGTGACCTGGCCACAGGCTGGGTTGGCAGCTAGTTTTATATCTGGTCTCGCAGGAGCGCAGGGGAGGGACAGGGAACCAGGAGGGGCGCATTCTCTGGAGGACGGTGGGGCAGGGAGGGCTCCTCATTCTCGGTTAGTGCCAAAAAGCTGCAGGAAGAAGGTGAAGATATAGATGATGTCTAGGTAAATGTTGAGGGCTCCAAAAATATACTCCTCAGGGCTCAGCGAGTGGCGTCGGTTACCCATCAGCAACTGGGTGTCAAGTGCCAGGAACTGGGAGAAGTGAGGAGAGAGAGAGAGAGGTCAGAGGCCCAGGCAGTGTGACACTGACTATGGCAGCCCAGGTGTCCCCCTCAGCCCCACCCCCAATTTTATTACCCTCACCAGCTGCCTGACTACCCAGTGGCCCTCCTGTGACACCTTCTGTCCCTAATTCTATTCAGCAGCTATTTACTGAGCACCTGCTATGTGCTAGGCACAGGGATACAGCAGAGAACAAGACAGCCGGGATCCCTGTCCTCACAGAGCTTAGAGTCTAGAGGAAGTAATTGTTAGGATGATGAGTATAACAAGGTTCCAGGCAGCAGTGGGGCTGATAACAAGGAGCCTCACCTATGTGAGTGTGGCAGGAAGTTAGGGAAGGCTTCCTGGGAGAGGGGACCTTCAAGCTGAGGCCTAGTCTTCTTGCCATTCCCTCCGGACCCTGCTCTCAGAGGAAGGCAAACGCTTCAGGTACAAGCAGGGCCCGGGCACTTGTGCTGTACTGACAGCCCATCAGTGCTACCGACATCCCCATCAAATAAGAATCCGATTCTTCCTACAGGAAGCGAGGCCCAGAGACCTTAAATATTAGCTAAAGGTTACACAGCTGGAAAGTGGCAAAGCCAAGATTTCAACCTGAGCAGGCCGGCTTCGGAGCCCCAGGTGTAAACATTCTGCCCTGCTGCTAACAGCACCCGGGGTTAATGCCTTTCCTCCCAGGAAACAGGCTCTTCCCTGGGGCCCTGCTTGGCCTAATGGACTAGGAACAGATTCCCTCTGAGACAGCGCTGTGTCACCCCCCTGCCCCTGCCAGGCCTGCCCACTGTATACAGTGGCTCCTACCCTTTGCCATGTAGCTTTCCTCTGGGCTCCAAGCCTAAAGAGCAGAACCCTTAAGTAGCATATGAAATTTGGCAGGCGTGGTGCGCTTTTCTGGAGAAAGAGGCCAAAAAGTCCACCAGTATCTCAAAGGTGATGAAGCACTGATCCACGTGGGATTGGAATTTTTTTTCTTTTCTTTTCTTTTCTTTTTTTTTTTTTTGAGACAGAGTTTCGCTCTTGTTGCCCAGGTCGGAGTGCAATGGCGTGATCTCAGCTCACTGCAACCTCCACCTCCCAGGCTCAAGCGATTCTCCTGCCTCAGCCTCCCGAGGAGCTAGGATTACAGGCATGTGCCACCACACCCAGCTAATTTTGTATTTTTAGCAGAGACGGGTTTTCTCCATGTTGGTCAGGCTGGTCCTGAACTCCCAACCTCAGGTGATCTGCCCGCCTCGGCCTCTCAAAGTGCTGGGGTTACAGGCATGAGCCACCAGGCCCAGCCCGGGATTAGAATTCTTTTACATTGATTCACATTCTTGTTAACTGGGCTCTTCAGTCACTTGTGTATGAAAGGCATGTTCCCTGGGTCCTCTGAAACTCATTCATCATACAATAAATATGTATGGGGCAACAGCTGCATGACAGGGACTTGCTAAGAGCAAAAGAGACGAGAAACACAAAGCCGTGCCTGCCTTGGGGAAGCTCGCAGCGTCATGGGGGACACTTATAGGTCATTACAAGAAAACCCAGGAAATGCACAATTAGGACTATGAAGGAAGGAGCTACTAATTGGGCCAGAGGAAGGTGACCCAGGAGAGGTGGCATTTCACCTGAGGCTTAAGTAGGAGTTTGCTAGCTGGGAAGGCCTAGGGAAGCCTGGGAGGCCTGACTGGTGTTGTGTGAAGAGTGGGGAACTCGGTGAGGCAGGAACTATGGGAGAAGTGGATAGAGGAGGAAGGGATTGGGGCTTGCCCTTGCAGCTTGCACTCTGCTTGGTAGACAGGGGTCATGCCCAGTTCCCTTTCCTTCACCTCCGCCATGGACTCCTTGTCTCCCAAGACCCAGACTTTAGAGTTGCTATAGACGCAGCCCTGTAGAATCCTAGTCGAATCCCAGCCCTGGTGCAATGCTCCCCCCGGCAGGCCCAAGAGGCCAGGGCTCCAACAGGGAGCAATTCCAGCACATGGGACATTGAGGCAGGGCCACCGTCAAAGGTGAGGAGGTGGGGGCAATTATGAGCACAGGCTTGAAAGTCAGATCCACTTGGACTGCAGGCTCTGCTCTACCACTCATTAGCTGTAGGACCTGGGCAGAGCATTTAATCTCTCTAGGCCTGTGAGTCCCTATGTGTAAAAGGGAGATGAGCGTGCCTGCCTCCTGAGGTTGTTGTGAGAATGAGATAATGCATGCAAGGGGCCTGGCGTGGTGCCTGACACATAGTAAGCACTTAATGAATGCTTGCTATTATATTAATGTGGTTTCATTGTTATTATCTGCAGAAGGAGAGGTGCCCTCTTGAGGACATGCACGTGCTACTGATGAGACTCAGGTGTCTCTTGCATCTCATCAGGGAGGCAGCACTGTTCCTTGGGGAGCTGAGTGGCCTTAACACAGCGAAAATGGGGAGCCATGGCCAGGGCTGAGAGGAGCCCTGCACGGGGTGCGTCAGTCTCCTGAGCTCAGTGGCACTGAGGGAAGGGCACTCCAGACAGGAACAGGAGTTGAAATGCCTGGGTTTGAGACCCGGCTCCATTGCTCAGTAGCCAAGTCATCCACTTGACCTCAGTGTCCTCATCTACAAAGTGGGATAGTAGCAATGCCCACACCACGGTGTGGTTTTGAGGGTAGATTTATGACAGTGTATGTGGCATCCACTATTTGTATTTTTGAGTATGATTTCTCTCCATTCCGCTCTGCTCCTTCTGTGTTTGATTTGGATTCCCAAGCACATTTTCCTTCTGCAGAGAGAATGAGCAAGCAGAAGGCCCAGTGCAAATGCTTTGGGCCACTTGGCAGTCACAGCTGCCAGCATCAGTTCATAAACTGCTGATCTGGCTGTTCAATCAGTAGCTTGCTTGGTTGGTTTCCCAGAGCCTGGTCACCCCTGGGTGAGCTAATGAAATGGAGTCTCTTAACTTGGAAGGCTTGGATCTGTCCAGCTCTGGGGGTGGCCCTTCTGAGAAGCACCCACGCAGGAGACCCCCTAGAGCAGCCAGCTGGCTTTTCTCTTGGAGAGAAGAGGAATGAAATGATTTCTGCCCCAGCCCTTGGTCCATAGCCACAGATGCTTATCTATGTGGTGTTCTCTGGGATGGCCTGCTTCAAATTTCAACCCCACTGACCAGTATGACCCATCACTGCCACCTGATGCCTGTGAGTCAAACAAAGTCTTTTCATCGATTTATTCCCAACAATATTTGCTGAGCACCTACTATATTCCAGAGAACTTGCCCTCATAGAACTGACAGTCTAATGAGGGCAAAAGACATGATCAGAGATTCTGCATGGCAGTGCATTGATTTACAGGGGAAAGTCATCTGCTGCTATCTCCTTGGAGATGGAAAGCATTGTTAACTAATGTCTTGGTTGAGAGCAGGTATCTTGGTTATAGTTAACATCTTAGTGGGTAGCTAGGATCTTGGCTGAGAGCTAGCAACCGAATTGACTGCAAACCCCTAAAAGGAGGGCAGGTACTTGAGTTAGTGTTCAGCTGAACAGGAGACTCTGCAGGAGGAGCACATGGGATGGGGCAGGAGGCCCCCTGGGACAAGGACGCTATTAACTTACATCTGAAGAGTCCTTCCCCAGACCAACACTTGATCTCATCTCCCTCTCCCCATTTGCCCTGGGAGGTGGGCGTCCTCATGGTCTTACATGAGGAAAGGAGTCTGAGAGCTGAGTGACTTGCTGATGGCTGCTTATCGAGTGCCGTCTCCTATGCTGGTGGAGATAGGGGAGGAGTGGGCTTGCAGGGAGGGAGGGAGCATGTGCAGAGGGCACAGGTGCCAAAGGCAAACTTCCCCGCCTCACTTTACTGGCCAGTGCTAAACCTGGCCGGGGACCCCAGCCACACATTTGGCCTGACCCTGCCATATCTGGGGCCCAGGCTTATGTCCGTTGTCCTCCCTGAATGTGGCCCCAGAGGTGACGCTGAGGGGCTCTGGGCAGTGCATGCCATGGAAAGGCCAGCTCAGAGCCACCCGCAGGCAGGCACTGAATACAAAAAGCTGGGGTTGCAATGTGTTGTATCAGCATAAACAGTGCCACGTGGACTGTGTCTGTCCTGCATAAATGCCAGTGTGAGGGCGTGTGGAGGCAACCCCCAGGCTGTTGTTTACAGCATTGGTTCTAACAGTGAGATGCTGAAACAACCCAAACTCTACCAACACGGGGGTGGTTAAATAAACTCTGGGCAGCAGTGCTGAGGTGGAAACATCTGTGACAGACGCTACTGTGAGAAAAAAGCAAGTTGTGAAAAATCTATATCGTATGATCCCATAAAACTATACACGTCAGAGGAGCGCACATAGCAAATATCTATGAAATGCATAAAGAAAGGTCTGGAAGGAGAGATAATTCATGGTTCCTGCTGGGGAAAGCAGTGAGGGACACGATCAAAGTGACATTTGCTTTTTTCTATATTTAAGATTTTCCAAAAGTGAAATATGTGAATAAATGTATTCACATATTATATAATTAGAAGTTTAAAATAGAAGGGTTAAAATAGCACAAAAGAAGAGTTCGTGAACTCTTTCACTGAATTCTCACCATAAGCCTCTGCGGCAGGTGTCGCACTATCAGCTCCACCATTTGCTAAGGACACTGAGGCAGAGACAGTGTAAGTGACTTGCCCGCATCACCCAGCCCAGGGACAGCTAGAGGGTGAGCTTGGGCTTTGGGGAGTCTCTGGAGAAGAGACTACCAGCCATATGTCCAGGTGCGCCGACTGGGCTGCAGGAGAGGGTGAGGGGGTGAGGGAGTGAAGAGAGACCACTGAGTGGAGATCTGGGGCCCATTTCTTGCCTGATACCAATAGAAGATACTTCTCTCCACTGACCTGGATGTCAAAAATTTAGATGGCACAGACAACATTTGCACCCCCAGGAGGGCCACCAAAGGAACAGGGTCTGGCAGGCATTCGAATCAAAAAGCCTGGCCCAGGATGAAAGGGGGGTAGTGTATGAAAGTGTATTAATGACACACGATTATCTATCAACTTTTTAAAAAGTGGGCCAGGTGCGGTGGTTCATCCAGTAATCCCAGCACTTTGGGAGGCCAAGGTGGGTGGATCGCCTGAGGTCAGGAGTTCGAGACCAGCCTGGCCAACACGATGAAACCCCCGTCTCTACTAAAAATACAAAAGTTAGCCAGGCGTGGTGGTGGGCACCTGTAATCCCAGCTACTTGGGAGGCTGAGGGAGGAGAATCGCTTGAACCCGGGAAGCGGAGGTTCCAGTAAGCCAAGATCACACCACTGCACTCCAGCCTGGGCGACAGAGTGAGACTCCATCTCAAAAAAAAGGAACCAGGAGGCAAGGTAAGCATCAATAGCCTGTGGCAGTAAGTGGAATAAAATATTTTGTATGAAAGAGCCATGTGTGGTCATACGAGAAAGGGCATGAGTCCAGTATAATACAGTGCTTAAGAACATAGGCTGGGGAGTCACACAGACCTGGGTTCAAATCTTGGCTCAGACCTCAGATAACTTACCAACAGGTAAGAGTTACTGATCATTGACCACACACCAGGCACTGAGTGCTTTACATATATGAATGCATCCAAAAGCACAGCCACCTATGAGGAAGGTACTGTTCTTGTCCCCATTTTACAGATAGGGAAACTGAAGCACAAAGACGTTACATAACTCGGTGAGTCCACACAGCTAGAATGTGGCAGAGAAGGGGCTTTGATACTTATAGTGAATGATAACCTTGTCATTTAGATGACCAGATTTTGAAGCCAGGCTAAATCTGGTGATTTAAATGACAAGGTTATCATTTACCATAAGAGTAAAAGCTGGGCTGGGTGCGGTGGCTTACGCCTGTAATCCCAGCACTTTGGGAGGCCGAGGCGGGCGGATCACCATGTCAGGAGATCGAGACCATCCTGGCTAACATGGGGAAACCCCGTCTCTACTAAAAAAAAAAAAAATACAGAAAATTAGCCGGGCGTGGTGGTGCACGCCTGTAGTCCCAGCTACTCGGGAGGCTGAGGCAGGAGAATGGCGTGAACCCAGGAGGCAGAGCTTGCAGTGAGCCGAGATTGAGCCACTGCTCTCCAGCCTGGGTGACAGAGCGAGACTCCATTTAAAAAAAAAAAGAGTAAAAGCTGTCATCGATTGAGAATTGCCATGTGCCAAGTGTGAGGAGGCTGTTTTCCCTTCATCTGTTACACTATTCATCCATTACAACAGCCTGTGAGACAGGCAGGTTAGCCCCATTTTAAAGATGAGGCCAGTGAGGCACAGAGCAGTCAGGTCATTTTGCACAAGGTCACAGAATGGTAAGAGGAGCAGCAAGGCCTTGAATGTGACTTGGTGGGGGGCACTGGCCAGCTGCAGAGCCCCCTCCCCACTCCACAACCCTACTGGCCGTGCCAGTGCCTCTTCCTGGCTCTGCTCTGAAGAACCAGGTCCTGGATATGGAAGCAGAAGTTCCTTTCTGCCCCCAGGCAGGTGTGGAGCTGCCTCTGCCTCCCCTCCCTCAGTCCCCCACCCCAGGGCTTCTCCACCTCCTCCTGTCAGGTTTGAGCAGGGTGTGGGTTGGGGGATGAACTCCTCAGGAATGAGACAGGCAGGCCGCAGGAGGGGGCCTGCACACTCTCCCCTGAAGGAGCAATCACTGATCAGTCCACCCACCCCAGCCCAGAGGAACCCACGCCACTTCCAGGTTGTCTGGGTGGGGCGTCGGGGAGGCCTCAGGGGAGGCATTGGGACTGTTTCAGTGGCAGAGGGTGGGCGACCTAATAGAGAAGGTTCTCACTGGCTCCTTCAGCCTCATGTAACGCATTGCGAGAAATGGGCCTCAAGCTCTGAATGGAATGAACATAAGTCTAAAAGTCATGCCTCAGCCTTGGATTTGTGTGGCCATTTTTACTTTTCGAAGTGTTTTTCTAATTGTGAGGAAGGTAGGGCATATATCGCCATCCCCACTAGAAAAGCAGGGTGAGGGGTTGGGGTAGACGGCAGTATTTTTCTTAAATCCCTTGGACGCTGTGGGTCTGGCCCAGGCTGGTCATGGTATGTGTGTGCGCGCACACGGCATGTGGGTATGTGTGTGCCTGTATATATACGTGTGTATGTGCGTATGTATATGTGTGTGCATGTGTATATATGTGTGTGAGTGTGCGTATGTGTATGTGTGTCTATGTGCGTATATGTGTGTAGGTGTGTGCATGTGTGTGTGAGTGTATACATATATGTGTATGTGGGTATGTGTGTGTATATGTGTCCATGTGAGTGTATGCATCTGTATGTGTGTATATGTGCGTATGTGTGTGTATGTGTATGTGTGCATGTATGTGTTTATGTGTATGTGTGCATGTGCATGTGTGTATGTGTGAGTGTGGGTATGTGTATGCATGTGCATGTGTATATGTGCGTGTATGTGTGTTTATGTGTGCATGTGAGTGCATGTGTGTGCATGTGTGTATGTGGGTATGTGTGCATGTGAGTGTGCATGTGAGTGTGTGTATGAGTGTATGTGTGTATGTGCATGTGTATATGTGTGTGCATATGTGTATGTATGTGCTTGTGTGTATATGTGCATGAGTGTATGTGTGTATATGTGAGTGTATGTGCATGTGTGTGTCCATGTGTCTATATGTGAGTGTATGGGTGTATGTGCATGCGTGTATATGTGTATTTGTGTGCATGTGAGTGTATGTGTGTGCATGTGTGTATATGTGGGCATGTGCATGTGTGTATATGTGTGTGTCTGTGTGCATGTGAGTGTATGTGTGTGTATATGTGCAAGTGTGTGTCTGAGTGAATGTGTATGCATGTATGTGTGTGTGCATGTGTGTATATGTATGTGCATGTGTGTATATGTGTGCATATGACTGTGTATGTGCATGTGTATATGTGCGTGCATGTGTGAGTGTATATGTTCATGTGTATATGTACATGTGTATGTGTATGTGTGCATGTGTATGTGTGCATATGTGTATGTATGTGCCCTTGTATATATGTGCGCTTGTATGTGCATGTGTGTATGTGTGTATATGTGAGTGTATGTGCATGTGTGCATATATGCGTGTGTGTCTGTGTGCATGTGAGTGTATATGCATATGTGTATATATTTATTTGTGTGCATGAGTGTATGTGTGCCTGTGTGTATATGTGTGCATGTGAATGTGTGTATATGTGAGTGTATGTGTGTGCATGTGTGTATGTGTGTGTCTGTGCATGTGAGTGTGTATGCATGTGTATATGTGCATGTGTATGCGTGTGAGTGCATGTGTGTATATGTGCATGCATGTGTGTATGTTCATGTGTATATGTGCGTATGTGTATATGTATGCATATGAGTGTATCTGTGTATGTGCATGTGTGTATGTGTATGTGTGTGTCTGTGTGCATGAGTTTGTGTATGTGCATGTATGTATATGTGCATGTGTATGTGTCTGTGTGCATGTGAGTGTATGTATGTGCATGTGTATATGTGCATATCTCTGCATGTTTGTGTATGTGCATGTGTATGTGTGTGTGCATGAGTGCATGTGTATGCATGTGTATGTATGTGTATGAGTGTGTATGTGCATGTGTGTATGTATGCATGCATGTGTGTGCATGTGTGTATGTGTGCATGTGTATATGTGTGTATGTGTGTGGGTATGTGTATGCATGTGCATGTGTATATGTGCGTGTGTATGTGTTTATGTGTGCATGTGAGTGCATGTGTGTGCATGTGTGTATATGTGTATGTGGGTATGTGTCCATGTGAGTGTGCATGTGAGTGTATGTGTGTATGTGCATGTGTATATGTGTGTGCATACGTGTATATGTGCATGTGTATGTGCATGTGAGTGTATGTGTGTATATGTATGTGCATGTGTGTGTGTCCATGTGTATATATGTGAGTGTATGGGTGTATGTGCATGCATGTATATGTGCGTGTATATGTGTATTTGTGTGCATGCGAGTGTATGTGTGTGCATGTGTGTATATGTGCGTGTATGTGTGGGCATGTGAATGTGTATATGTGAGTGTGTGCATGTGTGTATCTGTGTCTGTGTGCATGTGTGTGTGTGTGTATATGTGCAAGTGTGTGTCTGAGTGAATGTGTATGCATGTATGTGTGTGCACGTGTGTATATATGTGCATGTGTGTATGTGTGCATACGACTGTGTATGTGCATGTGTATATGTGCGTGCATGTGTGAGTGTATGTATGTTCATGTGTATATGTACGTGTATGTGTATGTGTGCATGTGTATGTGCATGTGTATATGTGTGCATATGTGTATGTATGTGCCCTTGTATATATGTGCGCTTGTATGTGCATGTGTGTGTATATGTGAGTGTATGTGCATGTGTGCATATATGCGTGTGTATGTGTCTGTGTGCATGTGAGTGTATATGCATGTGTATATATGTATTTATTTGTGTGCATGAGTGTATGTGTGTGCCTGTGTGTATATGTGCGTCTGTGTATGTGTGTGCATGTGAATGTGTGTATATGTGAGTGTATGTGTGTGCATGTGTGTATGTGTGTGTATGCATGTGTGTATATGTGCATGTGTGTGTGCATGTGTGTATATGTGCATGCATGTGTGTATGTGTATGTTCATGTGTATATGTGCGTATGTGTATATGTATGCATATGAGTGTATCTGTGTATGTGCATGTGTGTATGTGTATGTGTGTCTGTGTGCATGTTTGTGTATGTGCATGTATGTATATGTGCATGTGTATGTGTGTCTATGTGTGCATGTGAGTGTATGTATGTGCATGTGTATATGTGCATATCTCTGCATGTTTGTGTATGTGCATGTGTATGTGTGTGTGCATGAGTGCATGTGTATGCATGTGTATGTGTGTGTATGAGTGTGTATGTGCATGTGTATATGTGCGTGTGTATGTATGCATGCGTGTGTGTGCATGTGTGTATCTGTGCATGTGTATATGTGCATGTGTATGTGTGTGCATGTGAGTGTATGTGCATGTGTGTATATATATGCATGTGTATCTGTGAGTGCATGTGTGTGCGTGTCTATATGTGCATGTGTATGCATGTGAGTCCATGTGTGTACATGCGTGTATATGTGTGTGTGTATGTGTGCATGTGTGTGTGCGCATGTGGGTATGTGTGTATATGAGTGTGTATGTATATGTGTTTGTGCATGTGGCTATGTGTGTATATGTGAGTTTATGTGAGTGTATGTATATGGATATGCATGTGTGTATATGCGTGAATGTGAGTGTGTGTGTGTGTGTGTGTCTCTCTGGATGTGCTGTCTTGGCTTCAGCGCATGCTCAGCTTAGCAGCAGCTGCCTCAGGCTGGTCCCTGCCAGCTCTGAGGGCTCCAGGTCTCAGCCCTGCTTTCCTTCCAGAGACTGAGGACAGATAGCTGTATTATGTCTCTCCATAGTCAGTGGTCAACATCGGAACTGGAGGTCCAGCATCCCTACTGAGCATCTTCCTATCCCAGCTCTGCTCATCCAAATGCCATTAGGCTTGCAGCATCCAGTACTGACCATGCACAGTCTCCCTGCCCCCACCCACCCCGGCTCTGGGACACTGCAGTGACCTCCTAACTGGTCTCCCAGCCTCTGGTCTGTCCACTCAGCTTCTCACTAATCTTCCTTAAAGCACAACAACTGTGATGTTTCTTAGCAACTGTCAGTGGCTCCCAAGGTCCTCAATTTGGCCAGGCTGGGCAGGAAGTGAAGAGGTCTATTCCCATTGGGCCCATCACCTAATTTCTAATGTCCTATGCCTCATTCCTTCCCGAGGACTCTGGGACTTGGGCTCCTGATTTAGGGGGCTCAGAGACCTTAGCTTCCCCAAGGAAGAACCAACTCTGAGATGGGGCAACCTGCTCCAAGTTCCATGGGCCCTGGAGTCTCAGCTGCGGCTAGAAGCCAGCTGCAGGCATGTGCCCCCACCTCATTCCCTGCCCCATCACGCCAGCCCCGCCCGACCCTCGTGCTTCCTGTGCGACTTTCCATGAGTTTCTACAGAAAAGCACCCAAAGAGAGGGCACTAGGGGGAATGGGAGGATTCGGCCACTCTGAGGTCAGGGCTGTTCAGCTGGCTCACCCACTTCTACTGGCATATTTGGGTCTGGCATCCAGTGAGGGATATGGGGTAGGGGTAAGACCAAAAACCCAAGGCTCCCTGAGAATGTACTAAGGCTGACATGGGTGAGGCCTAGGAGGGGCCTGTTCCTCAAAGCTGGACCAGAGCCCTGAGACGCCTCGCCTGCCACCCCCTCAGGTGCTGCCCCTTCCACTGGGCGGCCTGCCCTCAAAGATGGCAGAATCTCAAGAGAGGGGCTGATGTTTCTGGGAGAGAAATCGGATTCTCGAAGCTGGATTCTCACAGCGCTTCCAAAGCTCAGGTTGGTGGGAGTTGAGGGGAGGGTCCCCCTGGGGGTCTGGGGCCTCCTCCTACACTTCTCTTCACCCCACTCTTGCACAGTCTCCTTGAGGCGACACACGTGCCAGGGACACCTGCATGCAGTGTGCTGTGTCCAGCTCTGCTCAGCTGCAGGGCTGGGAGTGGCCCCCACTGTGCTGAGAATTCCCCAAAGGCTACGGTGGGAGAGGGCAGGATGGGCAGACGAGAGACCAGGGGGTGCTGGGTGCTAGTTATGGGATAGGCTGGAGCTAGGGGACCACAGAGTCCGCAGGCCTGAGGGTCAGGACGAGGTCAGCATGTTTCTGAGTTCAAGCTAATGGGAGGGTAAGGGGATTTAGTTATGGTGCTGGGCCTCCGAGGGCCTTCGTCTACCTGAAACTGAGAGGAGGTAAGGGAATGAGTCCCAAAGCCCCTCTCATCAACATTCCCCTGCCCCATGGGCCCCAGGGGAGCTGCAGATGAACACGGCAGGGGATGGAGCCAGGGGAACTGGCCCCATGCTCTCCATTGTTGTTTCTATAATCTGCAGGATGATCCCGACCAGGGCCTTTTGGAGTGTTGATCTCCTAATGAGATAATTGGCACTGCAGTTCCCCCTCCCCTGTGACTCACAGAAGACTGATGGGCAGTGCTGAATTCAACCACATAGCCTGTGCGTCCTCTGCCTTGCTCTGATTGTACCTCCGTGGGCCTGGCCCTGCCCCCTGCCACACCTCTTGGGGATCTGTTCATGCCACAAACATCTCCTGGGTACCTACTATGTACCAGGCCCTGTTCTGGGCACTGGGGCTGCAGTGATGAACAAGCCAGACTACAATCCCTGTCCTTAAGGAACTTAGATTCTGCTGGAGGGAGACAGACAATGAGCAACAGATCAGAAAAATACATAGTGTGTCAGAATGAGATGCGCTACAGAGAGAGGGAAATAGGGTAGGGAGGAAGAGGGAGGGACAGAGCTGCACACACTTGAAGGATGGGAGAGAGGGCTGTGAGCAGATCCTAAGAACAGACAGAGGTAGGTGCAGAGGCCCTGGGTTTGGAGAAAGCCTGCCATGCTCACACAGCACGAGTCCAGTGTGGCTACAGCAGAGGGGAGTGGGGAGGTCAGAGAGCTTGCAGGCTGTGGGAAGCGATTGCGGGATGCTCAACGGAGGAACGAGGGGACCTAACAACTCCAGCTGCTGTGCTGTGCATAGATGCAGGGCACAGGGGCAGCCTGCAGGAGGCCATGGCAACAATCAATCCAGGCTGGAGGCGACGGGGGCTGGGACAGGGAGTAGCCATGAGGGCAGAGATAAGTTTTCAGATTCTGGATAGGAGTGGGGGCCACAGCATTGATGTGGGGCGTGATGTAGGGGGTGAGGAGAGGGGAGGAGTGGAAGGTGTCACCAAGGCATTTGTCCTGAGTGACAGGAAGATGGGGAAGGCTTTGGGAAAAGCAGGCATCCAGGGGAAGGGGCAGGAGCTTGGTTTTGTACATGTGAAGTCTGAGGTGCCTATGAGACTTCCTCATGCAGACCCTCACTAGGCAACCGGAAATTCTAGTCTAGAATTCAAGAGAGAGATCCAGGATAGAGATGTAAATGTTAGAGTAATCATCATAAAATATCGCATTCAAAGCTTTGAGGCTGCCTGAGACCCTGAGGGAGCAGGGTAGAAAGAGAAGAGTCGGCCTTTTGCAGGATCAAGCAGGCTGTAGAAACGCCTGGGTGGGTGGTGGCCTGGACACCAAGGGAAGAAGGTGTTTTGGGGCAGGTGGGAGAGGGAAGGAACCGTTGTATCCAATACTTCTGGGAGTCCAGCAAGATGAGGACTGAGACTGGGTCCCCGGATTTAGCTACACAGAGGTCCCTTTGACCTGGATGAGAGTGTGTTTAAGAGGATCAAGAGGGAATGGTCGGGCGCTATGGCTCATGCCTGTTATCCCAGCACTTTGGGAGGCTGAGGCGGGCGGATCATCTGAGGTCAGGAGTTCAAGACCAGCCTGGCCAACATGGCAAGACCCCATCTCTACTAAAAATACAAAAAAATTAGCCAGGCATGGTGGTGCATGCCTGTAGTCCCAGCTACTCAGGAGGCTGAGGCAGGAGAATCACTTGAACCCAGGAGGCAGAGGTTGCAGTGAGTGGAAATCATGCCACTGCACTCCAGCCTGGGCGACACAGCCAGACTCCGTCTCAGAAAAAAAAAAAAACAAAAAACAGAGAGAGAGAGAGAATGGGAGGGAAAGGAATTGTGAGGAGAGTAGGGAAGAAGGAGAGAGGGAGGAGAGCCACTGGACATAGTGAGTGGAGGTTCTCTTAAAAGGAATTTTGCTGTATATGGGGAGCAGGGAATGGGGCAGGAGTGAGAAGGGGGATGTGGGTCAAGAGTGTTTTGTGGGTTATTTTCAGGTGGGAGAAATTGCAACGTGTTCCTATGTTAATGGGACTACTCCATTAGAGAGGGCAATACTGATGACAGAGAGAGAGAGAAAAATTCCTGGAGAGAACTCCTCAGCCTCTCCCCAATTCCAAGCCAGTAGAACCACAGAAGGTGTCCTCTTTGAAGGGAACCACAGGGGCACTGGAAATGGCACCAGGCTGGGCACAGGACACCTGGGTCTTGGTCCTCAATCTGCCTGTTACTGGCCATAAGAATCTGTGCCAGGACGGGCATGGTCACTCACGCCTGTAATCCCAGCACTTTGGGAGGCCAAGGCGGGCGGATCACGAGGTCAGGAGATCGAGACCATCCTGGCTAACACAGTGAAAGCTCGTCTCTACTAAAAATACAAAAAATTAGCAGGGCATGGTGGCGGGCACCTGTAGTCCCAGCTCCTTGGGAGACTGAGGCAGGAGAATGGCGTGAACCTGGGAGGTGGAGCTTGCAGTCAGCCAAGATCGCGCTACTGCACTCCAGCCTGGGCGACAGAGTGAGACTCCGTCTCAAAAAAAAAGACTCTGTGCCAGCCCGTTAACACCCAGGGCTTTGGATGTGGAAAGCAAGTCTTACAGCCTCAGGGCTGCCTGCCCCCACTCCCTGGCCAGACTGTGGTGGAGATGCGGGGAGGTAACAGGTGTGAAAGTGCTTTGTAAAACATAAAGGGTGGAACAGAGGATGGGGACTATTGTTATTATTCTAATAACACTAGGGCTTATCAAACAAATTTAAGGGATTACTGTTCACCCAGCCC
This sequence comes from Homo sapiens, assembly GCF_000001405.40. Taxonomy (NCBI): domain Eukaryota; kingdom Metazoa; phylum Chordata; class Mammalia; order Primates; family Hominidae; genus Homo; species Homo sapiens. The sequence goes on from NC_000012.12 coordinate 49,885,220, forward strand.
TACTTGCATGCATGGCTTCCTCAGGTGGTTCACACACTGGCTGTAACCTGATCCACGGGAAGCCAAGTAAACTCCCCGGCCGGCCCCCCATGGGTGCTCACTGCCTCCAACATCACCAGACTGTCTGCCCTGGCTTGGCCCCTCTTCTGTCCCCTGCAAATGCCTCCCTCTAGGGCCTCCAGGCGCTGTTGCCCAGACTAGCTCTCCCGAATGTGGCCCTCCTCTTTCTCTCCTAGTCCGATTCCCCACCACATCCTTTGAAACCTTTCTTTAGGAAGTATTGCCTGGAGGGAAGAGCATGGTGCGGGGTCTGAGAAAAGTTAGTGTCTTCTGGTGGCCAGGCTCCCAGTTTGCCCAGGATTTAGGGGCTCCTCAAGAAGTGGGGCTTTCAGTGCTGAAACTGGAAAAGTCCTAGGTAGCCTGGGGTAAGCTGACACTTTAGTCTTGATCAAGACCACATTGAGCCATTATCTTGCCGGGAAACCATGGACAAATCATTCCATTTCTCTGGAGTTCAGTTTTCTCATCTAGATCTCAGCCCTCCAGTTCCAAGCCTGGAGGTCATTTATTCATTCTACAATACTGGCTGTGTGCTACTCTGCACCACGCACTGCACTCTCCCTGCTGACCAGGCATCTGGGCAGCCGTGCTGCACATCACACACAGTAGGTGCTCTATAAAGACCTGCGGAGAGGACGCGTGAATGAACCTGCCACACCCTCACTCAGGCTTGATCCCTATCCAAAGCCCCCAAAACCTCTGCTCACAGCTCTCTCCCCATCCCTTCCCCCATTTCAGCCCCCTCAGCCTGTCGCCCACAAGCCTCCGGAAATTTGACTAAGCTGCAACTCTGGCCACTTGAATTGAGCTGAACGTTCCAGCGAGGGAGGGGAGAGTCTGGTTACTGCTTCCATTGTCAATAAATGTTGACCTTGAATGCCTTTCCGAGAGGATGTCACCAGCACAAGCTTGCCCAACTGGGTGGGTCCTAAAACACGACTGCATTCGGGTGCGTGGGGCCCACCTGAGCAGGAGGCCTGTGTTGGGCAGCTCCAGGCAGGTGTCTGTCCGTGGTCATCTCTTGCCTCCTGGGCATCTGCTTCCGGCCACTCCCCACTTAGCCTCAGACCCCAAGGGGGACACACATCAGACTGTCCAGGTTCCCAGTTTGGCCCTATCACTTCCTAGGATGCTGTGTGACCTTGGGCATGTTATTTGATATCTCTGAGCTTCAGTTTCCCCATCTTAATTTATTTATTATTATTATTATTTTTGAGACGGAGTCTCACTCTGTTGCCCAGGCTGGAGTGCAGTGGCGCGATCTCGGCTCACTGCAAGCTCTGCCTCCCGGGTTCACACCATTCTCCTGCCTCAGCCTCCGGAGTAGCTGGAATACAGGCGCCCGCCACCACACCCGGCTAATTTTTTTTGTATTTTTAGTAAAGACGGGGTTTCACCATGTTAGCCAGGATGGTCTTGATCTCCTGACCTCATGATCCGCCCTCCTCAGCCTTCCAAAGTGCTGGGATTATAGGCGTGAGCCACCGTGACCGGCCTCCCCATCTTAATTTATTAACAGTAGAACCTATCTTATAGACTTAAGATGACAATTAAATGCTATGGAGAGCTGGCTGGGGGGAAGCAAGTGTTCAATAAATATTAGCTGTTACTGTTATCCTAACCGTAATCATCATCATCAACATTCTCAGTTTCGTGAGAACAGCAAAGAACATGCTCAATCTAACAGTCTCTCTCTCAGGGTACCTGGAATCTCCCTGGCTCCAAGAAGCCTTCCCTGATTGCCCCTAGGAGGGTAACTACTAACTTGGTCCACATGGCCAGGATACCCCCACTCTCTCGCCCCCGCAAGCACCGCTGCCCCTCCCCTGGAGGAAGGGATGCCTCTTCCCAGCTTTGCCTCTGTCTACAGCTTCCATCCTGCTGTTACAATCTTCCCTCCTGCCCAGGTCAGCCGGTCTGTCCTGGAAACCAGGTAGAATCCCCCAAATGAACAAACAAACAAACGCAGCACCGAGCCTAGCCCTACCCGCAGGTGCTCCCGAGGATCCAGGGAAGAGGGCTGTGAGGAAGATGGGAGGAGAAGGGGACTGGGGTGATGGTCAGGATGCTGGGAAGGAGGCTGCCAAGGAGCTAGACCACACTCACCAATGTAAATACACCCGCTCCCAGTGCTGCATAAACTGCATGGAGCCAGGGCACCTGCGGCAGAGGAAAAATGGGCTTAGGGACGACAAGAAGGGGCAGCAGTCAGAGGGGCAGGGAGGAGGGTTCAGTCCAGAGAATGGAGGACACGGGGTAGCCCTGCCCAGAGCTCCCTAAGGAGCCCCAGGACTGACAGTGGCCCCTGATTCTCTGTGTGCCCAGGGTGGGTGAAGTGAGGCCCGGGATAAGAGCGATCCTGGTGGGACTGGTGGGAGAACTCCCCCGAGCCTGGTCGTTCTTCCCGCAGCACACAGCCCTGGGCTCAGGGCAGATGAAGATGACTCTCGGTGGGCCCTGTCCTCCCTCTAGCCTGGGACTGCTTGAGGCTGCTCCCGCCTCCCAGTGTGCGTTCATCCCTGTCCAGCATAGGATCTGTCTGTCCTTGTGTCAGGGCACTCCTGGGCTCTGCCTTGGAGGCAAGGAACTCAGGTAGAAGGGGACAAAGACTTGACCTCAGGGGTGTGTTGGGGGGGCATCTGGAGTCTCTGCCAGCTGTGCATGGTGGAGGAACAGCTGGAACAGCACAGGCTGGAACAGCACCTCCCCACTCTCTGCCCCCTGAGTCTTCCTCCAGGTCTGGAGCAGCCAGCTGTGGGGGAAACTCTGCAGGAGGCACCGCACTAGGGCCCTCCATGGGGCCCTCCTCCAGAAGACTCGGAAACAAAGGCAACCCATCAACCAGACCTGGGTCAATAAAGGGTTCTTTGAAGTTCCGTGGCCCCTTCCTGTAACACTCCTCCCCATCCTAGACACACAGAGGGCCCCCAGGCCAGCTCTGGCCCCTCCCTTTGTCAACAGGATCCTGGGAAGAGCCAAGGAAATGCCAGCACCAATCCTGACGTCCTGGACTGGACGCCAAGTGCCCGGAGGCTGGGGCTGGGCAGGATGGAGGTGGGGAGGGGGATGTGAGGACAACTGCTCGCAGCCCTACTAGAAAAGGGCAGTGGGGGACTGTGTACCATGTGTGGCTATGGGGGTGAGGGGTATAAGCACTGGGCCCCCAGCAGCGGTCCAACAGCTCATCTCTTGGGTTCCCAGGATTCAGATCTCAAGGCCTTCCTGTGATGACCCCAATCTGCCCCTTCTCCACATGCAGGGGCCTGGGTGCCTGCAGAGTCTCAGTTGGATTCCCCAGGGCAGGCTGGACACCTCTAAAAGAGCTGAGACTTGGCCGCCAGCTGGTGGATGCTCTAAGGATGTGGGTATACTCCGAGCCCCGCTGCCCCACGTCCCGCCTGCCTGGCCAGCTAGATTCTGCCTCTTTGGACTTGGCTGATCCCCCAGGAGCCCCAGAAGACCCTTCTTCAAGGCCCCTCTGGGTCTGGCGGGCCTCATGGAGCCCCAGTACTCCCTTCCCTGCCCAGGGTTTAAATGCTCCACACCCTACCCTCAATCTCACCTCCACCCCACAGAGGAGGACGGGAAAAGTGAAGCCGGATGTGGCTTGTGGAGCCAGGCAGGTACCCAGGCCTGACAAGAAAAGCCTCCTTGTTTGCTTACACTGCCAGCACGCCTGTGGCAGGTGCCAGGAGGGGCCGCACAGGATGGCAGGCTGTGGGGCCTTGGCTCCTGGCCTTCCCTGGCGGATAGGGGAGGGAACGGCACCTTGGGCCAGTGGGGCCCCTCCCTCCCCATGGGGCCTGCTGGGGGACCCAGAGACTCACATATTGGAAGGGTAGGAGGATGGCCAGGATGAGTCCGCTGAAGAAAAGAGTCATGAGAAGCACGAAGAGCACGCCCTGGCAGGAGGTGAAGTCGAACTGTGGGGACAGGATGGGGTTAGCTGCAGGAGCGGCCTGACCTTCCTGGGGCCCCAACTACAGGCTGAGCCCATACAGCAGGCCACAGTCTTGTGCTTACCCCAAGAACCTGGCATTCCTTCCCCTCCTCCCCCTCATCAGGTGGCTTCCCCAAACCCAACTCACCCCCTTTACTTCTCTCCCCAGCCCCAGGTCCGAGCTCTGAGGCCCCCACCCCATCTGCCTTCCCCTGCTCAGCCTCAGGCCAGGGGTCCCTGCCTGCAGGCCCCAGAGCTGACCTTGGTCTGGAAGCTGAAGACGGTGACTGAGAGGCAGACAAGGGCCGTGATGCCCAGGCACAGCAGCACGGAGGTGGTGTTGTAGTAGCTGAGGACCGTCAGGCCGAGGGGTCAGCTCTCAGGCAGGGCATCTGGTCTCCCCCACCCTCCTAGCAGGCCCCTCTCTTCTGCCAGGACCTGGTCTTGGGATCCCTGGCCCCAGTCTGGTGCCCTTTCCCCAGATCCCTCTGTCTGCCTCCCCAGCCTTTCTGTTGGGCCCTGCCCCTCCCAACAGGCTTAGACTCAAAATCAAATTAGAAGGATCTTGATGAGGTGGGAGTGGGAGTGGGGAGGGGTTTGTGCCGGGCCTGGAGGTGGTTTACAAGTAACTGCAGGTCATGAGTCTTGGGGCTTGTAAGCTACTGTTTGGGAGGAGCCACCTTGCTCCCCACCCCCTATCCACCGGGCCAGGTCTTGGGGTCACTGTCCAGCTGAGTGCTCAAGCAGAGGACCCTAGGCCAAAGCCTCCTGCATGCCTGAGCCCCCGGGCCCATCCACATGCTCCCATGTGTGTGGGGCAGCTCCCCTCGGGTGTGGCTGGTGCCTGGCTCCAAGCCTGGCCTATGGTCCTTCTCTCCTTCCACCTGTTCCCTTTACCTGGACAGCATCCCAGTGAGGTAGGCCATGGACAGGGTCTGAAAGGAGAAGCAGGGTAAAGGAATGTTCCAAACTCAGACGCAGGGGCCCAGGCACCCTCGAGGTCCAGCTCAGGTCTCCACCCCTTGCAGGTACCCCTCAACTCTTTGTCTATGTCACCCCCACACACACTGACTTTCGGGAGTCAGGCCTGGCTAAGGAGTGTCCCTACTGCCAGCTTCAGGCTCTGTGCCAGCTGTCCCTTCCTTTCTTCTGCGGCCCTGCTCCCCACTTCTAAGACCCTCCACTCTTCTTCATTACCATAGCTCTAGGATGCCTCAAGCAAACCCCTTAAAAAATTCACAATGAAAAAAGACAGTGGATGGGGAACGGGCAAGATTAAGCCCATTTGGAAAGAGAAGATGGAATGTGTTTGTGGAAGAAGTGGGGTGAAAACACCCCTGCCCCGCCAGGGACCTCACATTGGACATCCCCAGCCCAGTCTTCCTGGTCCTCAATCCACCCTGCTTCCCTTCTTCCTCCATCCCCACTCAGCGTCTGTCCTCAGCACACCCAGGATCACTTACAAAGACGGTCAGGAGAATCAGGTTCCAGGGGAAATGCCTCCTGCAAGGCAAGCCACAGAGTTCAGGGGATCGTAGGGGGTGGGGGCAGTGGACCCAGGCTGTGACACTGTTGCAGGGAGGGGGTCTCTGACCAACCCCCTCCACACTCCTCAGAGCCTCTTCCTTCAGCCACATCCCCATTTGCTCCCTTCTCCATTCCCCTTCTCCCTACCTCAGAGGCACCAGGTAAAGGAGGGAGGGGCTGCCTGCTCGATAGAGGCCCAGAGAGGGATGGGGCCCTCTCAGGGCTGCACAGCTCACTGGTGGCTGGCAGGGCTGGGGCCAGAATTTTCATGATCCTGCTCATATTCCCACAAGTTCCTCCTCAAGCCATTAGCATACCTGGGTCCAGAACAGCAAGCCAGGGTCAGGTAGGTTGCAAAGAACACAGCACTGTGAGAGACAGATGGATAGGTGAGTCAGCCAGCCTCTCCTGGGTCCCTCCCCCAAGATCCCCTGCTTATGCCACTCTCTGCCACCCCCACCCACAGGGCAGCCAGGAGGGACAGGATGGGGAGGCCACGGTCATCCTAGAACCTGGCAGTGGGCAGGGTGGTGGTCCAGTTCCAAAAGAGAGCAAAAGGATGGGACGAGCCTGCTTCTAGAAACAGGGAATCTTGGGTCACATGAGACAGCTGTTCCTGACCACCCAATACAAAGTGGCCTCCCCAGACACTATCTTGCTATTTTAAAAGCCCATATATAGCATTTTCCATGTGCTAGGCAGTTTTAAGTGTTTTACGAGTATCAACGAATGTAATCCTCATATCTTTACTTTACTGCTGAGGCACGGGGAGGTCAGGCGACTTGTCCAAGGCCATCCAGCTACCACGCTGCAGAAGCAGGATGAGAACCCAGGCACTCTGGCTCCAGAGTCCCTGCTCATAACCACTGCCCCACACTGCCCCACACAGGCCCTTCTCAACCCTTATCATTACCTGGAGTGATCTTGTTAGTTACTTTACTGTTGGTCTAGCCTATTAAATTGTAAACTCAGCAAGGGTAGGGCCCTCTTCTGTCCTGCCAGCACCTGGAACAAGCAGGAAGTGGCACCTGTCGGGTGAATTTTTATATCAGGTGGCCACGTCCAGTGGGAGGCTGGCAGGCAGCTTGAGGGCAATCCAGAGATAGCGATGGAGGATTGAGGATTTTCTGAGTAGCGGAGGCAGAGACCAGTCCAGGAGGTGGGAGATGATGGCTGGGGACCCAAGGGTGGAGCTCGCCCATGCCTACCTAGGTTAGCGGTGCCACCAATGCATAGTTTCCAACCCCCAATGGGCCTTCAACATGGCACTGCCATCCTTTCCCCATCTCCTTCCTCGGTTCTCTCACCCATCACCCACAATTTCAAGCTTCCTCCTCCATCCACAAACCTCCCAGGCCCCCTCACTCTTCCCGCACAGTCTGCCTCCGGTGCTCCAGAAAGACTGGAAATGAGGTGAGCTCCCTTGGATCCCTGCCTGCCACCTGCAAATATCATGTGGTGCTACTTGCCCTCCTGTCCCTCCTCCCGTCCCAGGCCAATCCTCCCACCCCCTTAATTGCCCGGGGATCTCCATTACTTAAACCTTTCCACTGGTACCTCTCCTCCCACACAAGCCTCCTCAGCTGTTTTCCGTCTTTAACCAACACCTTCCCTGGCTCCAGCTACTGCCACTTCATCCTCTCTTGCAGCCACGCTTCTTGAAAAAGTGGTCTCCATTCACCATGCCCCCTCCTCCATCTTCCGAGCCCAACAAACACAGTCTCAGCACTACTCAATAGGAGCTGGCTCTGCCACATCACAGGACCTTATTGAGTGCAGTGGATGCTTGTCAGTCCTTATCTTGCCTGGCTTCTCAACATCTGGTCACTATCATTGTTTCCCTGGTTCCACATGACCCCTGGGTCCCTCCTACCTCCCTCACCACTCCTCGGTCCCTCCAGGGTCTCTCTCAGTCTGCCTGGTTCCCTCGATGTGGGGTCCTCTCCAGCTCTTCCCCCACGTTCTCCCTAGGTGGGCTCACTCATCCACCTGACTTGCTCACCCATATTTCTGATCTATATTTTCCTTTTCAACCCTAGACTCGAATTTCCAACTGCCTACTGGGCAGACATGACTATTCAGACACAAGTAATGTTCAACAGGTTAGAGGGGAGCTCCCTGTCTCCCCTGCTCGGTCTCCTGCATTCCCTCCTGCAGAGGATGTCATGCATCCTCCAAGTCACCCAATCAGAGACCTCAGCATCATCCTTAACTCTCACTCTGCTACACCCAATTAACCACCTGGACTTGTTGATCTTCCTACCCAGGCAGTTATCAAAGCTGCCCTCTTCCCTCCACCCCACTACCACCCTTTGAGGTCAGGGCACCTCTCTCTCTCTCTGGCTTGGACTGTTGCAGGAGCCCACCTGCCTTCCACCCTCCATGCTGCAGGCAGATCCAATCATTTGACTTCCCTGTATAAAATTCCCAAAGACCTGGCAATGCCCTGGCTGAGCAATCAGACAATGCATTCCCACCCACCCCTCTAGCCCTTCTCTCACTGCACTCTGCCCCTCCACTACACCCCTCTCATCACAACCTGCTGTGCTCCCTGGAAACGTGCCTGCCACACTCTGCTCCTGCTGGAAAGGACTGACCGGCAAGGACACCTGAGGCCTGGGTTAGAGGGGGGCATCTTCTGTGCACTGCAGGCATACCTCAACCAAAGCCTGAGCCCCCGCACCCTTCTGGCCAGCTCCTCTGACTTCCCACCCAGGTATAGCATCTGGGGGCCAGCCTGCAACTTATCAGTTTTCTATTCCCACCATCTGACCCGGAGCTTGGTGCCTGGTAGGTGCTCTTCAAATATTTCTGGATGAAATGCAAAACAAAACAAAACAAAAGACCCAAAAAAACGAAACAAGAGATGCAGGAGTTGAGACAAGCATATTGGATTTGGTGAGTAGGACCCCTTCAACTTAACCCTTTCCTGGTCTTCAGTGATTTTCAAATAATGAGGAACTGTTGTCACAGTGACTGGAGGGCTCTTCTGGTAGTTGGTGCCAGGGGCTGCTGAACATCCTGCTCCGTGAGGGACAGCAGAGCCATCCTGCCCGATTTAGGAAACACTCGGAACCTGCCCTCTTTCAGTCTCACTTGAGTCATTGGTCAGCCACCTCAGCAATAATGCTAATAATAATACCCTTGTCCATGTGGGTGTGGGTTCTATCTCGCCAGCCAGAGTGGAAGCTTCCTGAGGGCAAGAGCCCAGTCTCCTTTTCTCTCTGGTTCATAGCTCTTCAACTTTCAAGACAAGGGGTCTGGAGGAAGGGCAGAGGGGCCAAAGACCCTGAGATTGTGGTACAGCTTGGGAGGCTGACACCCCGCATTCACATCCCAGCTCTGCCACTACTGTTGTGTGACCTTGGACAATAGCCAAGACCCAGTTTCCACTTTAGCGAAACAAAAATACTGGTACCAACTCACTGGCCTGTTGGGAGGACTGATGAGACAGCACAGTTCAAGCACTTTGCGTGGGCCTGGCACAGGGGTGGGACTCCCCACTAGAGTTATGATAATTAGAAGCTGGCTGATGGACAGCTTCCTGGAAAGTCTCTGACCCACCTCCACCCAGCTCTGGTCTCACACTTTTCCTCCTCTGCCTGGGTTTCTCCTGGCCCACCAGCCCTCCACCACCGCAGACACGGTGGCTCAGTGGGCACAATCAGACAATAAGGTGAGAACCAATGGAGGGAGGCGATGAGGGCCTTGAGAAAGCTGGGCTGTGGGTGGGGGAGGGGGAGGCTGGCAGCCCAGGGGGCAGGGAATGAGTCACTTAAGAAGTCAGAGAGAGAGAGAACCAATGATTTATGCATCAGAGCCCCAGCCCCAGGGCCTGGGCAGGAACCACAGTCTGTTTACAGAATGTCAGGACAGGGAAGTAAGGCTCAGGTGCAGGCCAGCATCCAAACACAATGCCTTTCCCCAGCTTGTCCTGCTCTAAGACAAAGGAGGAAGCAGAGCACAGAGGGCAAATACATGGGTTTCACCATCAGAAAGACCTGGATTTCTACCCTGGTTATGCTGCTCTGAGCCTCACTTTCCTCAACTGTTAAATGAGGATAACAGTAGTGTCTGCCTGGCAGGGCTATTGAAAGATCAAGTGAAAAACACATGTGAAGTGCTTAGCACGGTGCCCTCCATACAGAAAAAGAGCTGTCTGCTTCTCAATGCTCCTATTGTTATTCCAAAAGGAAGAGACCCGGATGGAGTCCTCAGGGAGCACATGATGTGTTGCAGGAGGTGAGACCTACCAGGACTCAGACACGAGGCCAACTTAGGGGGCAGGACGGAGAGAGCTGAGGGGTGTGGAGCGGGCAGGGCAGGGCAGGCAGGACCCCAGGCAGGTTTTCTGGAGGAAAAGGGCAGCATCCCAGCAGTGAAACTCCCAAGCACCTTTCACACTTTGGAACACCCTATGAAAAGCGCCCAGTCCACGCCCACCTCCCACTTCTGCCAGCACCCACCCTGGTAGAAGCCAGAGAGAGCATCTCTGTTTTCTGCCCAGAGATGTTGAAGAGGAGGGACTCCAGATCTCACCATTCAGAGGTCAGATTCTCACACTGCACCCTCCCAATCCCCCCATCCCCCCCAATGGAGTGGACTCTGCCTCCACCTCCCGGGCCTACTCACTCCTGGGCTGTCTCCCTGCCACCACCTGCTCAGAGCATAGAGTCCCACAGACCCTCCTCCAGAAGGCTCAGAGAGGGGCCTAAGAATCCCTTCCCAAGTTCTCAGGAGCTCAAAGCTGCCAGGCCATGCTGATGTGCCAGAAGCCATGCCAACCTGCCACATGGGCTGGCCCAGGTGGTAGTCTCTGGGGCCTCATTAGCTTTACCGTACAGTGCCTCCCAGTTCCCCAAGACACATGCCTCCCTGCCTGCCTGCAGACAGGCCCTCTGTCCTCTGCTCTAGGAAAGACTTTGGAACCCCCAGAGGCCAGGCTAGGGTCCTTACCATCAGCCTCTGGTGGGCCTCTGTGAACTCTAGGCCCATCTCTGAGGCTACTCTGGGCTCGACGTGGTCCAGGGGGCTCTGGGCTGAGCCCACCTCCCCACCAGAGCCCTATCCAGGAACAGACTTGGGACAGCCGCAGTGTGTAAGCTCCTTGGCCAGGCAGTCAGAACCTTGACCCCACGAGGCCCCACTGCTCTCCAAGATGCCTTGGAATTCCCCTGCATGGAGCCTTCCAGCTCTCTGCCAGAGAAGTCCCAGTTTACCAAATGTACCACGTGCATTCTCGCCCCACGCTTTTGCTTAAGCCACTTGTCTCCTGGGAACGCTGTCTCCTGTCTTCATGGCCCATCCTTTGGGGGGCGCCCCTGATGTGGGCTGCGTGTACAGGCTCACTCCTTCCTTCCTCCCCTCTCCGAATGCTGCATCTGTTCATGCTACCTTGGGCCACCCAATAACTTTCCCTGCAGAGGCCTCCTCTCCCGCAGCCCCCGTACAGGGCTGGGCTCACAGTGAGCGCGAGAGCAGTTCTGCTCTGAGTCCCAGGATGGTTCTGGTCTGGAGATATCCAGGGTGACTCCTTAATTACCCAGAAAGGAGGATCAGAATCACCTACACATTCAAACCTCCTCTCCCAAGTTACTGGCCGGGTTCCTCAAAGAATATAGGACAAGCAGGAGCCGAGTGGCTCGAGGGCTGCAGGGAGCCTGCCAAGTAGATGGATTAAGAGCACAAGCCTTAACCTGAATTCTGGGTTTGAATCCCAGTTCTACCGCTGACTAGCTGTGTGACCTTGGGCAAATTCCTCATTTCTCTGAACCTTAATTTTCTGAAGTAGTCATACCCAGTAGATGTGAGGACCGAATGCAATACTGTACATCAAGCACACAGAACAATACCCAGCCCTTATTAAGCACTCTTTAAGTGGTAGCTATTATGATTAATATTTCATAAGCATTACTAACAACATTAATAAGAGCAGCAACATTATCATTAGTGTGGGCCAAAGTGTTCCAGCCCCACTTCCTCTTAGGACCGAGGTCTGGGTCTCTCCGGCTATAGCCCTGGCCCGACCCTTCCCAATTTGCGCAGGCAGCAGAACCTACCCCCGTCTCCTTTGTGCCCCATCAGATGTAATGCCCCAGAAAGGTGCTTCTGGCCATGCTCTGAAGCCGACAGAATGGGGCAGGGTTGGAGGGGATCTGTGAGGACAGTCCCTGTGGGGCTGGGGGAAGCTACGGGCTCAGATTAGGTCAAGAAAGACACAGAGATTCCCTCTTCTGGCCACTAAGCCTTCTCTGGAAGGGGACTGGGGACTGAGATATACTCACTAGGATGCCCAGTACCAGCCTGGGTTGGCCTGGACATAGTCCTTGACAGGGTCACTGCAGAGAAGAGAGAGTGGGAGAGAGAGTCAGAATGTACCCTAGGTCTCCATTTCTGGTTCAGCATCTGCATCTGTCCCACACAGTTCACAGAACTTGAGAGGAAGCCAAAGGAATGCAGCCCCTGGAGGCTCGGGGAGTCCCAGCCCACAGTCCCCGGCTGGGACCTGCAGGTGCCTGGGCAAGCAGCTAGTGGTTCGGATCAGAAGGACTGCCACACAGACACCCAGAAGGCACCCAGGGTCCACCCCACACTGGACAGAGGGCCCCTTGCCTGGTGCCCTCTCTAAGGTTCTTTCCCAGCAGGAGGAGGCCCACTGCCCCACAGGCATCTCTCCAGGCAGCATTCCAGCAGGAGTCTGATCATGGGTTCCCCGGCTCCAGGCCTGGCCATAGTCATCCCTGGAAGGTGCTGGTCCATGCTGCCAACTCACCAGAAAGTAAAGAGAGCCACGACAGCCAAGGTCACCAGCAGCTGAATCAGCAGGATGGTGTAGACCTGGGGGTGGGAGGGGTTCTACTCAGCTTGGGGGGCCCTGTTAGGGACCTGTCAGCCCCGCAGTGACTCAGTCACCTCTCCAGGTCCCCATCCTGTGCACTCCACCCTCCTTTTTGGGGGTCATTGGAGTGAACCCAGGGCAAGGCGAAAGGAAAGCAAAGATGCTGCAGAGCCAAGCGCACCCCCCCCCAGCATTGGGAGAAAAGAGGGGACAGTGTGTTTAGGTGTAGCACAGGGCACTGGAGTGACACCTAAGGAAGCAATTCCTAGTGGGTGCTGTCAGCTGGGATCACAAGAGAAGGGGGCAGGGATGGCTTCTGCAGGCAGAGGGTTGGGCCAGGGACCTCTCCAGGGGCTCCCCCACTGAGGCTCCCAGTCCCAGAGGGCTACAGAGGGGCATTACCTTTCTGACAAAGACTCGACGAACTTTCTGGTCATCCCAGCTGAAAGTGGTGAAGAGCTCATGGTCTCCGGTGGGGAAACCGTTGTCATAGCTGGAGCTGCTGCCTGTGTGGCACGTGGAGGAGGAGGACATGAGGGTTCCCCCTACATAGAATTACTGTCCCCAACAGCCCCCAACTCAAAGCTGCCTTTTTGTCAACCTGGCTCTCTGGACCCTGAAGTCTTTCTCTCCTGCCCCATTATCAAACACCCAGCCCGGCTCCACCCCAATCCCCAGATCTCTCTCCCTGGTCAATTCTCACTTTTCCTGCTCTGAGTCCTGGGAAGAAGCTGTCATCCCCTACCTCTCCCTCCACCCCGGCTGGGGCTCCCTGGGGACCAAGCTCTGCCATACGAATGTGAATCTCCCATCTTCTTCCCCCCACCATCCTCCTTGGACATTCTGGCTCCCTTGTGGTCAAGGATCACAGAGGGCCAGCCACTCTCTCTGGGCCACCCAGCAGCAAAGATCCTGACCCTTGCTCATTCTTTTTGTTTTTGTTTTGTTTTGTTTTTTTGAGACAGGGTCTCACTCCTGTCACTCAGGCTAGAGTGCAGTGGCATGATCATGGCTCACGGCAGCCTCGACTTCCCCTGGCTCAGGCGATCCTCCCACCTCAACCTCCCGAGTAGCTGGGACTACAGGTGCACACCATCACGCCTGGCTAATATTTTATATTTTTAGTAGGGATGGGGTTTCACCATGTTGCCCAGGCTGGTCTTGAACTCCTGAGCCCAAGCAATCCACCTGCCTTGGCCTCCAAAAGTGCTGGGATTACAGGTATGAGCCACTGTGCCCAGCTCTGACTCTGGCTTGTGCTGAGGCTCTTGGGCTGGGAGCTGGGGACTGGTTGGCTGTGGTGGACCGCTGGTACTCCAGCTGGAAACCAGGGCTTCAGGGGGTGGGGGGCTGGAGGGGAAATAAAGCCAGGACAAGGGCAAGAAGTGGGGGTGAGGATGACAGTTCCAGGCCTAGTCCCAGAACTGAGGCTTTTGGAAGAGCATGAACTCCACAGTCAAACAGACGCAGGGGTGGATCCCTCCCCTAGAACTTACTAGATGTGTGACCCTGATAAAGTTACTGGCCTTCCCTGAGCCTCTTCTGATACTGGTTAGTGATACCCACCTCCTGGGCCTATAAACATGAAAGCCTCCAGGTCTGCGAAATGAAAGCCTATGCTCTCTGGTGGGAACTACACAGCCTCACCCTCTCCCATGTGCCCCTCATCGTGGCCATTTCCAAGTCCTCCAGTGTGTTCATTTTGTCCCTCCACTGTCCCCACTAGGTTTCCATGATCTTATTTGCCCCCAGCAGTAGCCTCTGTCTTGGTCTTTCAAAGCTGACCATGGTATTGCCCTGCTTTGAGCTCTTCAATGGCTCCCCACTGCCCTTCACTCAAGTTCAAGTTTCTTAAGAAAGCCTCCGCGGCCTCCCTGCGCAGCACCCTCCAGCCCCGCTATACATTCCTCCCCCGATCAGGTTCTCAACCCAAGTATATTTTTTCAACCATGTATTCTCTTGCCTGTGAGCCCCTGCACATTCTATTCTTTCAGCCTTAAACACTCATTTTCCTGCCTCTTCACCAGACTAACTCATGCCTATCCTTTGGGACTCAGTGTGGATACCGCTTCTTCCAGGAAGCCTTCCCTGACTGTTAGGTGGGTTAGGTAAGGTGCTGAGGCATCTGTCACTGTGTTTGTGTCACTGTGTGGTAGTTGTCCAATCACTTGTCTATACAGTCAGCTCTCTGAGGACAGAGATCCCAGCAGGTCTTGCAAATCAATGCATCCTCCGAAACAAACCCAGACGCGAACCCTGTGCCCTGGCACACACTTAGTAAATGTCTGTCATAGCTGCCTTCCTGCCTCGACAGTTCCTTGGAAAACATTCCTTAAAACAGCAGTCCTAGCAACGAGGATATGGGAAATGAGGAAGGGGGAGAGAGGTAGACCCACTGCAAACCTGAGGCCTGAAGACCCTTGCCCTCTTGTCCTTCACTTCTCCCTCGTGTCCTGTCTACATATTCTGCGAAAGCCCAGGTGGCCAGGCCACAGAGGGAAGGGGAAAAGAGAGGGAAAGTGGGCCGGCGGGTGTGTAGGGAAGGGAGGAGGACACCCACAAACACCAGACCTTCATTGACCCTCCAGTAGGTCACGGTGGGGTGAGTCTTCAGGGGTCTGCGCCCAGGGGATTTGTAGTGGGAGGTGTAGACCATGGTGGCTACTCCCTATGAGCAGAGGCTCTGTCTGGGGCATTGTCTCTGAGATCTCTTCTAGAATCCTGCTGGAGGTGGGGTGATAAAGTGGGAGAGGGGGAGGGGCTGCTGAGGAAGGCCACAGGGGCTAAGGAGGATTTCCTCAGAGCTTTTGGGAAGCTATACGTTCCTGGCCCCGAGGTAAAGCTCCCACAGGCTGCTTGACCCAACAGAGCAGCTCCTACCCACTGGGATTCTCGGTCTGCAGGAATCTGGCATCCACCTGGGTGAGTGTGCCCAGCTGTGGGGGACACTGAGGCTGGAAACCACACTCCCTCCCTGGGTCATGAACTCCTGCCCCAGCACGGGCTCGGGGAAGGGAACAGATATGAGAAGAGTGATTGGTGAGGTGGATCCCCAGACCCCTATCCCCCAACAGCCCTGGGGCCTCCGTGGAGACCTGTCCCCACTGAGGTTTCAGATCAGCCAGTGAGTAAACACTGCACCCCCACTCACAGGGGCCAGGCCCAGTGAAGGCTGTGGCCAGTGGCAGCCTCCTATGCCCCCTCCTTCTCTGTATCTCTTTTTTCTAGGAGTTCTTTCTTAACTAGCCCTTAGCTTTTCTCCCTCATCTGTCCCCTCCATTTGCTCTAGCATGGTGACTTGAAAAAAAAATGCCCTCTTCCCTATTGAGAGCACCCTGATGCAGACATTGTATCTCTCTCTGTTTTCATGGAGTTGTCTCTGACCTACCCTCAGACTAGTTCTCCAAATCCTAAGCATCTAACAACACAGCTTCATACAACCACACAGTGTACCTCTTTCTGGACAACTTCCTCCTACTCAGGTTTTCCCTCTGGGTCCACCCCCACCCCATGATGCTTCAGGTTCCAGGAGCTGAAAGACTTACTGGGGTCCACATAGGCCCAGCTAGGGTGGAGAGGCACCGCTGTGGGGGCTGGGGGGAAGGCCCCTGCCTTCATCCCCTCCCCAGAGGTGGCTTCCTCATAGGAGGGTGGGGCTGAGGGCACTGCTGGAGCCTCCTTCTTCTCGCCATGCACCTGCTGCTGCCCCTCGGTCCCAGGGGCCTTGTTAGCCACGGAGAGCTATGGAGTAGAGTCAGAGAGAGAGATAGTCACCAGGGAAAGGGAGCCTTCCAACTCCTCCTCCTCACCAACTCTTCAATTCCTGGAACTTTCATGGTTCCTTCCTTACCTGCACTTGGAAGCCAGGAATGCAGACAAGAATGTCTCTATTTTATAGACAAGAGAACTAAGCTCCAGAGGGGTCAGAGCTAGCTGGGGCACATGGTGGAGCTGGGATAGGAACAGAGGAAAGAGAAAATTCTTAGGAGTGTCCACCATTGGTTGTCACTGTCATTGTCCCTGGGGTAGGGGCAGGGTCTCTATGGTTCCAGAAAAGAGCCTGGCACATAGTAGATTGTTACAAATAAAAGGTTATGTCATTTAATCTTCCTGAGACTTGCTAGCTGCATTTTGACCCCTGCTTTAAAATGAGGAGAATGAGGATCACAGAGGAAGAGCGATTCATCCAAGGTCACAGAGCTGCATGTGGCCCACTGAGAGGCAGGGCCTAGGCATCATCCACTGGGATTGATCCTTCTGTTGCGCTGGAAGTGATGCAAGGAGAATGGAGATGGGAGAGAGAAGGGCAACAGAAAGGGAAGAGGAGAGGGAGAAAACAGAAAAGAAGAAGGGCCTTCAGGGTGGAGGAAGGGCAAGAGGATCCAGGCTAAGGGTCTGTTCTGGCCTCATCCTGTAGGAATCTCAGCCTCTCCCCTAAACCAGAACAGACTCACAGAGTGACCCAGTGGAAGGGGCCTCAGAAGACATCCAGTTGAGTCTCTTCCGTCACTGAACAGATGAGGAAACTGAGGCTCAAAGGGAAACGTCCCCATGGCAGGTTGGAAATGCGAGTCCATTTACACTCAGATGTGTCCCCTGCCCCCCACCCGTGGACATGTTTAGCTTTGGTGAGAGGATTTGAGCTGGGAAGGCCTGAATGAGGCAGCCAGAGAAGGAAAGACTGGGGTGGAGGGGGTGGTGTGAAATTGAAACAGCAACAAAAAGCCCGGCTCTCAGAAAATGGGATTTAGGTCTGGTTCCCAGAAGACTGTGTTAGACCTAAAGGGCCACTGAGGAAGACTGCGGACTTCCTTCTTTGCAGGGAGCATCTGGCTGAGGCAGCCTGGAGACAGGCACGCACCAGAAGACTTCTGGTTCCATCCAGGCCCAAGGACCACTGAACTGGAGCGGTCTTCTCCATCCCCCAGCAAGCCTGTGCGTGAGCTGGGGACAAGGGGCAGAGGAGGCAGAGGTCCCCCTCACACCAGGAAGGGAACAGCGCCACTAAAGGGCCTGGTGGAGGCAGGGTGGAGGTGGAAGGAGACTCAGCAGAAGGGGTGAGTTCTCCATGTTTACGGAACTGAACACTCCCCAGGCCTCCCACTGCCTCCCACTCCCCAGCCCCCCTCATCACCCGGATCTGAAGGATCATGTCCACCTAAATCGAGTTCAGCCTCCACCCTGCCACTCCGCCCCCCAGAGCCTCCTGGACCCTAATGCCCAGGCCCCCGACACACATACGGCACTCCCAAGTGAGGTGTGACCAATGGCGGGAGGTGGTATCACCCAGTGACATCATTTGAGGCCCAAAGAGCTTGCATACAGGGAGAGGAGGGTCTGAGGGTCCAGGGAAGGATGTCATTGGCTCTGAAGCTCCTCTCAAAGAGAAGAAGGGGGAGTGTAGGGGAGGTCCTTCCCCTGTTTTCTCTGCCCAATCCTTAGCAACCCAAACAGAGGGCCCGAGTACCCTCCCCCTTAGCCCCAGGCCCTAGTGGTTGTATAATTCCACAGGCTATTGATGTTACATAAGCCTACTAGGCCAGCCGAGTCTCTGCCCCAGCCCCTCCCCTACAATTCAGGCCTAAAACTGGAGAAGAGATGCTTCATCCGGACCCATCCATGCCTGGCCAAAACCAAAACAACAATTAGAGCATCTTGATGCAGAGTTGTCATAGCAAGCCCCAAGCACAGGGATGGAGCCAAGACGCCCAGATGTGGAACAATGGCAGGGAGTAGGGTGGGGGTTGTTTCCGTGGAGGGTGGGAAAGATGAGCATAAAGTGGTTGGGTTTGGGACTGGAGGGTTGGGCCAGAGGGGGTTGCCCGATAGGCACTGCCCCTCAGGGCTCACCCTGGCACACACATACCCATGCACACACATACAGTCACACCAGACGCCCGGGCTGACTCCTCACGGGGGGCCTGGGTATCTGTGAGGAGCCTTGTAATGCTGTAATGCCAAAGCAGGGGTGGCAGGGTGACAGGGGAGGAGAGGCGCGCCTGCGGGCAGGAAGAGGCCTCGGTCCATTCCTTGACACCGGCCTTTCGGTCCTCTGACTTCAGCAAGGACCACGGAGGACCTTCAAACTAGGGCCAGGGGAGGATGCTTTCGTGGTCCAGAGGGCTTGCTGAGGATGACAGGGAGCCGGGAGCCGGAGGATGGAGGATGGTGCAGGCTGGGGAGATGCCGGTACCTTTCCCTGGGTCATGGTGCCGTCTCTCGGGGAAGGGGTCCCTGAGGCCCGGGTGGCCGCTTGGGTAACCGCAGCCTGCCTGCGTCTCTTCCTTCCTCCGCGTGGGTTCTAGCAACATCCACTGCAGCCGGGCCAGGCGAGCCGGCGCGTACCATCGGCGCGGGGGGAGGAGAGGGCCGGGCCTGGGAAGATGCTGCGGAGGACGCTGCGGATTCGCGAGCCCGGGGTAAGGCGGCGGCGCACCGCCCCCTCCCGCCGCTTCCCCCCCACCCCGCCCCCCACCGCCGCCCTTAGCCCTCCCCCGGGATGAGAGAGAGTCGCGCTGCGGAGCAACCCCAGTGGATGGGTCCGCGGGGGCTGAGCGGGCGGAGGACGCGGGAACTCCGTGACACCGACCAGCTGACGCTGCCCGCGTGAAACCAGAGCCGGGCATCAGGGCCTCATCTCCACTGTCTCTGCACCTCTCTGCAGCTCCAGCTGCGCCTCTGCCTTTTCCTCCTCCCTCTTTGGATGCGGCCCTGATTTCTGTCTCCATCTCCACCTCCCCTCTCATCATCTATTTCATCATCCCTGGTAGAGGGGAAGGTCTGGAAGTCTCGCCTGTGCTGCCCGCTTCTAACAGGGCCCCTGGGCCCTGCGCTCCTGTGGGCCTGGGGCAAGCCAATAGCCACCTATCCTTGCTCCTTTTTCTCGCCTGTGAAATGCACACAGTAGGTCCCTCCCTGCCTTGGTTCACAGAGACATGGGGTGGGAGGACACCTCTTCTGTTTCTTTCAGCCCTGCTGGGACATTTCACGGGGTCTTTCTGGAGACACCGCTAGTTCTGTCTCAAAGCCTCTACAACCCCTGCCAGAGCTCTCTTCCTGCCTCCACGCTTAGCTTCCATCACCCCGTCTCCATCTTCCCCCCTTTTCCATTCCTCCCATGCCAGAGCTCGTTCTCCCCGCTTCCCCAGACGTGTCACTGGGACCCAGCCATCATCAGGCCCCGTTTTCTGTAGCTGCTGCAGTGTCACTATGGGGTTTGCAATCTCAAGAGCTGGGATCAAGTCCCAATTTAGTCACCCACTGGCCGCGTGGCCTTGGCAAGGCCCTTAACCTCTCTGAGCTGCAGCTCCTACGAAAAAGAGGCTTAGAACAGAGCTCTGTCCATCCTAGATTGACTGTCAGACGCACAGGTTATGGCCGTAAAAGCACATAAAAGACCAAGAAGTGCTGGAAGTATGTGAGGTATTATTAACTGAGGAGTCTCCTACCAGAATGTCCTGGGCTGCCCCAGAGCGAGCACCCACAAATCTGCCTAAAAGAAGTATCTGAACCTGCTAGGATGGGACGAGAAACTAAGACCTGGGACAGGTGGGGGTGGCCACTTACCTTCTGCTTCCCTCTCACTGCCCAGGGACCCACCTAAAGTCCCTGAGAAAGCAGGGCCCAGGTAGGCAGACAAATTATCAAAGTCTTTTTTTTTTTTTTTTTTTTTTTTTTTACAGAGAAAATCTTGTTCTGTTGCTCAGGCTGGAGTGCAGTGGCACAATCTTGGCTCACTGCAACCTCTGTCTTCCGGGTTCAAGTGATTCTCCTGCCTCAGCCTCCTGAGTAGCTGGGATTACAGGCGCGCACCACCACGCCCGGCTAATTTTGTATTTTTAGTAGAGACAGGGTTTCACCATGTTGGCCAGGCTGGTCTCCAACTCCTGACCTCAAGTGATCCACCCTCCTCAGCCTCCCAAAGTGCTGGGATTACAGGTGTGAGCCACCGTGCCTGGCCTAATTATCAAAGTCTTTATCCCACCCCTTTTTGCCCTTTGTCCCCCACTCCATAACCACCAATTTTGCACAAACACACTTAAGCCTGGGCCTCCGTGTCCAGAGGCTCTCTCAACCCTACAAACCCGAGCTCTTCTTCCAGCAAGCTGTGCCCTGGTCCCCAGCACTGCACCTGGAGCTCTGACCAGCTGGTCCAGGTTCTGGCCTTCCCTCCTTCTCTGCATCTGCATCCTGGAAGTGTTTTCCTTCTCCTGCTTGACAGCTTGAATGCCACCTCCTCCAGGAAGCCTCCTTCCCCCCCTAGTTGGGGTTAGATGCTCCTCTTCTGTAGTTCCCTAGCACCCTGATGTAACGCCTGTCACGTGGCGCTGTGAAGTTTCTTTGACTGACTCCCTGTTACACTCTAAGCTCCTGTAGCAGTTTTGGTGTGAGCTGGACTGAATGCAGTGCCAGGTGTGTGGAATGCACTCCATCAATTGTAGCTAGTAATATTTCCCAGACATGGCACTACGCAGAGCCTGACTTTCATCAGCCTTAGCACTTTCATGTTTGTGAATCACTCCTGTTCCTTCTCTCGCATTCACTCTGCTCCAGCCACACAGGCCTCTTGGCCATTCCTTAGACTGGGCTGAGCATGCGCTTAGCTGAGGCCCTTTGCACTGGCTGTGTCTTGTTTGGAAATTCTACAGATCATTGCGTGGCTCCCTCCCTCACTAACTTCACTACTCTGCTCAGACATTATCTCAGGGGTGGTCTTCCTGATCTTATACAAAGTAGCAGTGCCACCCGCATACCCCCACCCAGCAAATTGGACAGTCCCTTTTTTCTGATTAAGCTTTATGTTTTCTATGTCAATTGTCACCTCTGACATGTTTTGTTTTGTTTTGTTTTGTTCTCTCTCTCTCTCCCATTAGAACGTCAGCTACAGAAGAGGAGGAGTTTGGGGGTGTTGTGTCATTGCTTTACACCTGTGGGTTAAAATAGTGACTGACATGGATGTGGTGGGTTGATAAGTATTTGGTTGAGTAAAGTACAGCATTATACAAAATCCTTATATTCCTCAGACATGTTGACATTGTCAGTGCTATGATGTTTCTCAGATGTTGGACTCTATTACCTTGACATTGTGTATATGTCCCCCCAACTTTTTTTTGAGACAGGGTCTCGCTGTGTTGCCTAAGCTGGAGTGCAGTGGTATGATCATGGCTTGTTACAGTCTGAATTTCTGGGCTCAAGCATCCTCCTGCCTCAGCCTCCCAAGTAACTAGGGTATATGTTCCCATGAGGTGGTCTTTGGATATTACTCAAAAAAATTTTTGTTTTGAGGTGTAGTTTTGCTCTTGTTGCCCAGGCTGGAGTGCAGTGGCACGATCTCAGCTCACTGCAACCTCCGCCTCCCAGGTTCAAGCGATTCTCCTGCCTCAGCTTCCTGAGTAGCTGGGACTACAGGCGCACACCACCACGCCTGGCTACTTTTCCTATTTTTGGTAGAGACAGAATTTCACCACGTTGGCCAGGCTGGTCTCGAACTCCTGACCTCAGGTGATCTGCCCGCCTCAGCCGCCCAAAGTG
Organism: Homo sapiens; assembly: GCF_000001405.40. Classification (NCBI taxonomy): domain Eukaryota; kingdom Metazoa; phylum Chordata; class Mammalia; order Primates; family Hominidae; genus Homo; species Homo sapiens. The sequence goes on from NC_000012.12 coordinate 49,907,116, forward strand.
CTGGGATTACAGGCATGAGCCACCGTGCCCAGCTGACATTACTCAAATATTAAACATTCGTGTAACATTCCTCTGGGATCTGGTGATAGTTAGGTGTGGTAGTCAAAAGCCAAGGCTACACAGTCAAGCAGCTTTGCTCCAGATCCCGGCTCCTCTATTTAAAAGCTGTATGAGAGCTTGTGAGAGATGAGTTGTGAAAGTTGTGAGAATGAGGAGAGTTAGGATTTGTAAGGCACTTAGAACAGAACCAGGCATCTAACACATGCTCTATGCATGTTTGATGACTATAAGCACACAATAAGCTCTTGGTGTTAGCTATTAGTGTTAGCCTTAAGGGTTCCACAAATATTGTTTAATGAAATAATTTCCACCACATAAGGCAGCTCAGTTCCACAGTTACTCATTTGTTCATTCATTTGTCATGTCTGTGGTCTCTGTCCCTGTTGACACATTTGGTAGAAGCCATTCTTCAAGAAGAATGAGATCCCTTCAGACTCACCCCCGGGCAGGAGGGGACAGGCAGTGCTGGGGTGGCTGAGGGCTGGGAGAATAGTGCCTCAAGGGAGTCAGAAACAGTAAGGGGCTCCCCAGGGGAGCTGGGGAGGTTGTTGGGGTAACATCCTCAAATCTCCACCCCATGATAGGCTTTATTCTGTTTGTACAAGGCGGGAAAGTAATGGGGAGTTTCAAGCTTTATTTTATTTTATTATTTATTTAATTTTTGAGACAGAATCTCACTCTATCGCCCAGGCTGGAATGCAGTGGCACAATCATGGCTCACGTCAGCCTCAACCTCCCAGGCTCAAGCGATCTTCCCATCTTACCCTCCCAAGTAGCTGGGACTACAGGCCTGCACCACCATGCCTGGTTAATTTTATTTTTTGTACAGACAAGATCTCACTATGTTGTCCAGGCTGGCCTCGAACTCCTGGGCTCAACCGATCCTTTTACCTCGCTCTCCCAAAGGCTGGGATTACAGGAGTAAGTCACTGTGCCTGGCCTCAAGGTTTTATTGAACATGGAAATGACGTGTTTAAAGTCATGCTTCAGAAAGACCAACCAGGCCAAGCGCAGTGGCTCATGCTTGTAATCCCAGCACTTTGGGAAGCCAAGGTGGATGGATCACCTGAGGTCAGGAGTTCGAGACCAGCCTGATCAACATGGCGAAACCCCGTTTCTACTAAAAATAAAAAAAAATTAGCTGGATGTGGTGGCACATGCCTGTAATCCCAGCTACTCGGGAGGCTGAGGCAGGAGAATCGCTTGAACCTGGGAGGCAGAGGTTGCAGTGAGCCAAGATTGCACTGCTGCACTCTAGTCTGAGCAATAAGAGTGAAACTCAGCCTCAAAAAAAAAAAAAAAAAAAAAAAAGATAAGAAAGACCAACCTCTGTAGTAATTTTTGCTATTACATTGTTTTCTCTTTTTTTCTTTTTTTTTTTTTTTTGAGGTGGAGTCTCACTCTCTCACCCAGGCTGGAGTGCAGTGGTGCGATCTCCGCTCACTGCAACCTCTGTCTCCTGGGTTCAAGCGATTCTCCTGCCTCAGCCTCTCAAGTAGCTGAGATTATAGTCACCACCATCATGCCCAGCTAATTTTTGTATTTTTAGTAGAGACGGGGTTTCACCATGTTTGCCAGGCTGGTCTCGAACTCCTGACCTCAGGTGATCCACCCACCTTGGCCTCCCAAAGTGCTGGGATTACAGGCGTAAGCCACCACGCCAGGCCTAATTTTTCTATTTTTAGTAGACGTGAGGTTTCACCATGTTTGCCAGGCTGGTCATTATATTGTTTTATTAAATAAGGAAGAAGATTTTGTCTGTGAACATGTGGGAGGGATGGAGAGAGGAAGAGATTGAAGGTGCAGCGGTAAGTGGAACTTTAGTGATGGCTCTTGTGGAGGGTCAGAGCCCGGCTCTGGAGCAGGCTGCGTGGGTCCCAATCCTGGCCCTGCACAAGACGCTTGACTTCTCTGTGCCTCAGTTTCATCCTCTGTAAACTGAAGGTTGTGAGAATGAGGAGAGTTAGGATTTGTAAGGCACTTAGAGCAGAGCCAGCCATCTAACACATGCTGTAAACATGTTTGATCACTAGAAAATAAGACACGTGATCCAGGGGCAGAAAAGATGGAGAAAAGGGACAGCATGGGACAGGACCGACAGGACTTGGGAAGACAGTAGAAGTGAGAGAAAGGCAGAAGGGGCATCAAAAAGGGCAAAGGTGTGAAGACTGAGTCCCTGGGAGAATGATACCATTATGAAAAGGGAAAGGAGCTGAGGTGCTTGGGCGGGGGTCAGGTTGAGTTTGAGGGCCTGTAGGACATCCAGGTGGAGATGTCCTGTAGGCAGTTGGCCAGAGGTTCCTGGTGCCCAGGAGAGAGGTCCGGGCAAGGCCTCCTCCCTGCGCAGCCCCAGGAGGCACCATGCACTGTGTTCAGGGGGAGGACCACATCCCTTCCCGCCCTGGGGCCCAGCCCTGGGGCCCATGGAGTTGAGTGCTGGGCTGGTGGTGGAGGTGTGGGACTCCTTAGCTCATTAGCATGCAGACAGTGGCTGAACCCTGGAGTCAGTGAGCACCCCCACTGCAGAGTGAGGCCAAGGAGAGAAGAAGGGGATGAGTGGATCCCAGGCAGCAGCTATGAGCAGGAGAAGATGGAAGGAAGTCCTGTCCTCTCTGTAGAATTCCCCCTGCCATCTTCATCACGAGGCTGCTGTGACCGTGGAGAGGCAAAGACCAGCCGGGAATATTTTCAGGGCTGCTCTGAGGGGAGCGAAGGTCTGGCCGCAGGCATTGCCTCTCTCCTCCTTCCAGGCCCACGCCATGGCAGTCCCTCCCACTCCGCAGTCTGCTTTTGTTGCCAGCTCTGTCTGGGGCAAGTGTGGGTTGGCGGTGGGGAGGGGCAAAGGTGTGGGCGGAGGCAACTTCTCATTTTACAGATGTGGAAGCACAAGGCCAAAGAGGTTGAGTGACTAACACGAGGTTACATGACACGTTGGGGCCGAGGCCGGTGAGAAGAATGCATTTGACCCCGCGTAGGCACCATCAGCTCAAGAGGGTTTCAGCGACAACACTGAGGCTGGGAGTCGGGGAGGAGTTGGGAGGGTCTCAGACCTCCTAGGTGGGTAGAATCAGAGCTATCCAGGCGCCTCTCCCCAGATTCTCACCAATAACCCCCTGACACACAGACCCGCACACCCAGCCTGCACCACTCTCTGCCTCCTCACCGTGCAAGAAAAGAGAGAACCTGTGCTTTTGAGGCCAGTGATGGGGGCGCAGAGGCAGGGGCTAGACAAGGCCCAGCTCACCCACAGTAAGAAGGTTCTCAGGTTGGGCCACAAGAGGTGAATGGGCCAGGCCAGCTCAGGCATCAGGCTGCTTGCTCCCTCCTGGGTATAGCCGGGCCTCAGCTGTGGCAGCCTTTCACACCCTTCAAAGCCTGCCATCACCCTGCAGGCCCCTGGCCCCTACCCTTCTCACTGTTCTTCACAGGGGTTCTTCCTGCCTCTCTCATCCCCAGCAGCCCCACAGCAAAGAACCTGACACTCCTGTGCTGACCAGCCAGAGGCTGGTTGCAAAACCCCTCTCTGCTGCAGTCCTACTCCTGCCTCCCCATGCCCCTCACACTGTGCCTCTCCAGATATGGTCTCCAAAACGCGGGACAAGAAGCCGAAGCCTCGGGCAGGCATCGGCATTCTGAGTCGCCATGCTTCCCAGCTGCAGGAATTGCTGGGTCAGGTGTGAAACCACATTTCTGTCCCTCCTCATCTCTGTCTCACCTCCCCTGCTCCCCACACCTGGGCTTTGCTGGGAGTTGGGGCTGAGGCTGGAGCAGTCCTCACTGAGCACAGAAGAGCCAGGCCCCAGGCTTGTCATCCCAGCCTCACATTCCAAAACTCTCAGCCGCATCAGCTCACTCCTTGGTAGGCCTGGCACAGGCCCTCTGCACGTTAGAATAACACAAAAAAATCAAGTTTTCAGGTAACTAAAGTTCTAGGCCAGGCTTAGCCCCTCCCTTGCAGCAGGCCCTCGAAAAGTCAGTTCTTTCCCCAGGGTCTCACGGGTTCTGTTGCCATCGCATGTGCCGCTATGTGCATACATTTCCGTTTCTCCACCAGATGGAAAGTGCCTTAAAGATATGGGTTGTGTATCTCAAGCCTTCCTGCTCCATCCCTTGACCTGGTAGAGTTCAATATTGAAGAATACAGGGTTTGGGGTCAGATCAATCTGGGTGCCAATTCTGACTCTCCCAGTTACTAGATGATTGACCTTAGGTAAATCTGAGCCTCAGTTTCCTCATCTTTACAATGGGTATCCATGAACTGATTTACTTATTCAAACAATATTTATGAGGGCCAACTCCATGTCAAACACTGATGTGTGTACAACAGTGACCACAACAGACACAAATCCCGGCCCTGTGGGGTTACTTCTTAGTGGAGACTATTGGTGCCTGGCCCAGAGAGTGATTGTGAAAACTCAGTGAGATGACATTTGGACAGGGCTCAGCACATACGTCATATGTCAGCCTGGCATACGACAGGCCTGACAAGTTAGAGCCATTATTGTGAACATCCATTCTGAACCACAGAACCATTTGCTGAGAATTTACTGTGTGCCGGCACCATGCTAGGTGCTAGGGAGACAAAGACGTGGAACTCTCATCCACACCCTCAAGGAACTTATAGTCGAATGCACCTACCGAATGTCAAATGCCACCATCCTCATCATTGTTCAGAAGCTTATAACCAGCACCAACTTGTATTACATGCAACAAAGAACCATGACATTCTAGAATGTCAGGTACAACAGAGACAGCTGTTTGTCCCCCAGTATCCTTCAGACAAAGCCATATATGATTGAAGGTTATCAGTACTGTGCTTTTGGAGGATTCAGAAGAAGTTATATCTGATTGGGAGATTGAAAAGGATTGGCCTGAAGGAGAGGTGGTTTTTGAACTGCATCTTAAAGGGTAGGCTTCAACAGACAAGAGACAGTGATGTTGGGGGAGGAGAATGAGGCCCTGCAGGGGACCAGAATGGTGTGCAAATGAAGGCGTGGAGGAAGGAAAACATGAGGCGCCAACTTTGAGCTGAATCCTAGGAAGAAGGTGGCCTAGCCCAGAGTGAGGTTGGAGGCTGATCCAGGCAAAGCAGCTGTATTCACAGGGACAGGAGGCAACTGTCTAAGAGGTGGGGTTTGAGGGACCCCCTTCCCAGCCGTCTACCCTTGGCCGAGACTATAACAGGCTCAATATTCCACCACTAAAAATTCATTTCCTTGAGTAAGCCTCCAGTAGGAGACAGACCATCCCCAGAGGAATAACATGAAAGGATAAGTCTGGGCCAAGGAGGGAGTGATGAGGAAAAGACAGCTGGGAACAGCGGAGAGCCAGGCGGGGCCAGGGGCCAGAGCCCTCAACTTGCCAGGCCTCTTGCATTACCCTACTTGTCCAGGCCATCCATACTGACAGAGCACTGCTCGGCTGTGGGAGGCAGGACTGGGTCACTGGAAAGGGGTGGGCAGGTGTCGGTGCTGTGTCCATGACCTCCCTTTGCCTGGCCAGGGCTCCTCAGCCCTTCCTGCTCTGCCTGCGGGACGTGGGCAGGGCCACGTCCACACAGCAATGCCATTTTTCAGTGCAGTTTGGCCCGGCAGCAGTGTGGGTCACTCCTTGTGTGCTTGGGTGGGGACCAGAACTCATTTATTCAACCAAGTGTTTCCAGCCCAGCCTGAGAGTCATGTCGTGAGCTAGGAGAGCAGAAGCAAGCAAGAGACCCCCTCCCCGCCCTCCAGGAGCTCACAGTCTAGAGGGGGAAGCAGGTCTTAAGTAAATAGCCACATGCTGGAGTGCAGAATCACACATGGCGAGTGCCTCAAAGCCAAAGCCCAAGCTGCCTTGTGGAAGAATAACAGGGCAGTAATGCAGATGGGTGGAGGAGCACGTCCGGGGGAGGCCTCCAGCAGCCCCGAGTGATGAGGTGGGGTTGGCGAGGGGATGAGTGTTCTAAACAGAGGGAACACCTGTGCAAAGGCTGTAAGATGGGGAAGTACCTGGGGCATCAGGCAGATCATGCCAGCCTTGTGGACAGGGGAGGGCTTTGGGAAGTTACAGAGTAAGGGAGGTTGAAGGGGTGGGCACCCACTCAGATTGGCCATTTAATTAATTAATTAATTTATTTATTCATTTATTTTGAGACAGTCTCACTCTGTCACCCATGCTGGAGCTGAAGTACAGTGGTACGATCTCAGCTCAGTTCAACCTCCGCCTCCTGGGTTCAAGCAATTCTTGTGGCTCAGCCTCCCGAGTACCTAGGATTGCAGGCATGCACACCATGCCCAGCTAATTTTTGTATTTTTAGTAGAGACAGGGTTTCACCATGTTGCCCAAGCTGGTCTGGAACTCCTGACCTTAAGTGATCCACCTGCCTCAGCCTCCCAAAGTGCTGAGATTACAGGTGTGAGCCACCGCATCCAGCCCAGATTGGCCATTTTAGAAGCCCCCCTGGCTGCAGGACAGAGAAGAGACACGCGGAAGCTACCGCTGCCATTATGGGAGAGGTGATGGTGGCCTGGGCTTGTGTTGGGCATTGAAGGTGGATAAAATTCACAGATTCAGGGGCTGTTTAAGGGGGGATCTGGTGAAGGGCTGCCTGGCGGTAGAAGGTGAGAGAGAGGGAGAGGTTTCCAGCTTGAGTGGACATGAGGAAGACAGAGGAGGGTCCGGCCCATTCCTGGAGGGTTGCCATTGCTAGTGAGTGGCTTTGGCTCCTTCCCAAGCCCCTTCACTCTTGTTTGACTGGGTTGATAATGGTAAGAATTGCTGCCATTTATGCAGCACTTAACATATGCTAGGTCCCATGCTAAGGATGCTACGTGGATTGTTTTGTTTAATCCTCCCAACAGTGGCAGGTCCTCTTTCTCATCTCCATTTTATAGACAGGAAACTGGGACTTAGAGAGGTTAAGTAACTTGCCCAAGGTTGCCTACAACTGGCAGGTGATGGGGCCAGCTGCCCAGCCCTGCAGTCAGCCCCCAGAGCCCAGCTCTCAGCCTCTATGCCGTACTGCTTCAGGAACTTGGGGTCTCAGCCTGCCAGTGAGGTTAGGTGAGGTTAATGGCAGCTCCTTCACTGAGCCAGGAGGCTCCCTGCACGGTGTGAGGTGTGACACGTCCAGGTACTTAACAAGCGCCACATCCCTACCCTTTCTCCCCAGCCAAAGCTGTTTCACAAGCCAGCAGCCTCGTAAATATTTCAGCAGTGTCTGTGTAGTCGAGGCTGTGAAGCCTGTCCTCTGGAGCACTTGTGACAGCGAGATCTGGGAGATGTCTCAGGGCCTGTTGCAAGCGTTTGATCAGCTGCATTTTCAAAAAGACCTTTCCCTGAGCAGCTGACAGTCTCTGGGGTGAAAGAGATTTGCAGACTTTTTCTGGAGAGAGGCCAGAGCATGAGCCGACCCAGGGGCCCAGTTGGAGCCTTTTGGCTGTAGCTGGCCTCAGTCATTCAGTCCACAATGCAGAGAGAACCCCTACTGGGTGGCTGACACTGTGCCAGGCCCCACCCTCAAGATGCTAGAGAAGAGATAGGACAGGCCCAGGTTAAACTCAGTACCAGGCAGGCTGTGGAGTAAGGAAGGACCACAGCAGAGTAAAGCAATGGAGACCGAGGTCTCAGAAACCCTCAGGGAAGTTGGCATTTTAACTGGTCTTTGAAGACCAGGTAAGGCTTTTAAAAATGTATATTAAACAAATTAATTTTTCCCATTATATATGTAGTTAAGACATGTTCATAATTTTTTTTTTTTTTTGAGACAGTCTTGCTCTGTCGCCCAGGCTGGAGTGCAGTGGCGCAATCTCGGCTCACTGTAAGCTCCGCCTCGTGGGTTCACGCCATTCTCCTGCCTCAGCCTCCTGAGTAGCTGGGACTACAGGCACCTGCCACCACACCCGGCTAATTTTTTGTATTTTTAGTAGAGACAGGGTTTCACCGTGTTAGCCAGGATGATCTTGATCTCCTGACATCGTGATCTACCCACCTCAGCCTCCCAAAGTGCTGGGATTACAGGCATGAGCCACCACGCCCAGCCGACATGTTCATATTTTTCAAAATTTAAAGAAGGCTGGGCGCAGTGGCTCACGCCTGTAATCCCAACACTTTGGGAGGCCGAGGTGGGCAGATCACGAGGTCAGGAGTTCGAGACCAGCCTGGTCAACATAGTGAAACCCCATCTCTACTAAAAATACAAAAAATTAGCCGGGCGTGGTGGCACACGCCTGTAATCCCAGCTACTTGGGAGGCTGAGGCAGGAGAATCATTTGAACCTAGGAGGCAGAGGTTGTGGTGAGCCGAGATTGCGCCACTGCACTCCAACCTGGGCAACAGAGCAAGACTCCGTCTCAAAAAAAAATTTTTTTTAAAGAAAATGTACAAAAGTAAAAAGAAGAGGGGCTGGGCACAGTGGCTTAAGCCTGTAATCCCAGCACTTTGGGAGGCCAGGACGGGAGGATCACTGGAGCCCAGGAGTTTGAGACCAGCCTGGATAACACAGATAGATCCCTGTCTCTACAAAAAATAAAATAAAAAATTAGCTGGGTATAATGGCACATGCCTGTAGTCCTAGTTATTCAGGAGGCTGAGGTGGGAGGATTGCTTGAGCCCAGGAGGTCGAGGCAGCAGTGAGTTATGATTGTGCCACTGCACTCCAGCCTAAGTGACAGAGGGAGATCCTTTCTCCAAAAAAAAAAAAAAAAAAAAAAAAGAAAAAGAAAAGAAAAGAAAGAAGGAAGGAAGGAAAAGAAAAAGTAAAAAGAAAATAGTTACCTAGTTCCAAAACCCAGAGAAAACCATGGCTAAAACGCAGGTGTGTTTTCTTCTGGTCTTTTCTCTGTGTTACACTTCTTTCTTTGTTCACTGAATTTTGTAGCTTAAGCATTTTGAAGGATAACATTTTGGCAAATGCAATTGAAGGAAGGGGTGGAAAGGCATTCAGAATGGAGGAGACAGCAGAGCAAGGGTGTGGCGTCTACAAGCTCTTTACATACCCAAATCAGAAGTGATGGAGCTCACTTCCGGACGAAGCTCAGGTGGGACCCTTGAGCTTCCCAGACCCCCTACTTCTTAGCTCTCTGATTGGTTAATGGGCCACACCCTTGGCCCAGCCTCAGCCCATTTTCCTGCCTGGCACCACAGGCTGGAGTTCTGGGCAGGGACACAAGGCTGCAGCCTCCCTTCTTCCTGGCAAATTCTCCTGGGGAGGTGGAGCCTGTTGCTTGGATAATGGAGTTGTGTTTCCAGCTCCAAAACTAGGTAAAGAGGACCAGATCCCAGAATTGATAATCTAGATCTGTTCTGTCCAATGTGGTAGCCACTAGCCACGTGTGGTTAGTCAGCACTTAATATTCAGCTAGTCCAAGTTGAGATGTGCTATCAATGTGAAATGCACGCTGGATTTCAAAGACAGTATGAAAAGCAGATACAAACTATCTTATTTATAATTTTATATTGATTACATGTTGAAGTGATCGCATTTTAGGTATGTTGGGTTAAATAAAATGTTATTAAAATTAACTTTACCTGTTCTTTATATATTTTTTTATGTGACTATTAAAATTTATTTATTTATTTATTTATTTATTTATTTATTTATTTATGGAGATGGCCTTGCTCTGTCACCCGGGCTGGAGTGCACTGGCATGGTCACAGCTCACTGCAGCTTTGACCTCTCTGGCTCCAGTGATCCTCCTACCCCAGTCTCCCGAGTAGCTGGGACTACAGGCACATGCCACCATGTCCAGCTAATTTTTTTTTTTTTTTGTATTTTTTGTAGAGGCAGGATCTCTCAATGTTGCCCAGGCTGGTCTCGAACTCCTGGGCTCACGTGACCTGCCCGCCTCAGCCTCCCAAATTTCTGGGATTACAGGCCTGAGCCACCACGCCCAGCCCAAAACAAGTTAAATTATGTGTGTAACTCACATTTATGTCTCATGTTATTTTTCTTTCTGTTGAACTATGCTGATCTAGACTGAACCATTCCCCACTCTCTGGAGGGCAAACCCACAGGGCGATGTTATGGGGAGACTCGGATGGGAGGGACTGTGACATGTGGGAGAAGGATCAATCCAGACCAGGCTGGAGACAGGAGGAATGTGAGGGGGCTGCACAACTAAGCCTGACCAGGCTCCTGGGAAGAGGGGCGCGTGGAGCAGATATTTTCTCCTCCACTCTCATATTTCCCTGTTAATAGACTGTGAGCAACCTGGGAGAAATAAGACCGTGCTTTATTCATCGCCACGCCCTCGGGGCCAAACGCAGCGCCTGCCATAGAGCGAGTGCTTGCAAACATGCACTGAATTAATGAGTGAGTGAGGGATAGAATGGGGAGAGAATCCAGACAGCAAAGAACTGTGCTGAGATGGTGCCAGTCCTGCCTGGATGGTTCCAGGGTGCAGGGTGTTTGGAGATTTTAATCCTTAAATCCTTTAGGCTATAATCTCCCAGAGAGCGGGGTGGCCACACTCTATACCCACATATGCACTTCCCAGTAGCTGGAGACAGCTGGGAACAGGCAGTGAGGACACCTGGGGTCATCACATCCAGCCTCCTGCCCCTCTGAGCCCCTTCAAAGGAGTAGATTCTTCTCCCTCCTGCAGGCAGCCTTGGAGCTCCAGCCTGCTCCTTCCCCAAACACAAACACACACACACACACACACACGCCTGGGAGAAACTTCAGTGGGTCTCTCCACACTCAGGCCAGGATGGTAAAGGTTGCCCAGGCAGCCCAGGGAAGGAGGTAAACATGCAGCTGCCTCCACCTGGCCCGGTTCTGCCCGCACTTCAAGCTGGGGCCCTACCCTTGCCTAAGTCATGGGTCAGCGACTCTCAGGAGCACCTTCCTCACACACATTGACTCAAGGTGAGGTACCACAGGCAAGTTTCCACAGTCCTCACCCTTAGCAAGCCTCTTCTGGCCCAGCAGTGGGCAAGGTAGGGATGTGGCAGCATGGGGAGGACCTGTGAAGGCAGAAAAGACACCACAGTGGCTCACATGGATGCACGGTTAGCTCTGTACTCTGAGAGGCAGCCTATTGTACAACATAAGCAGCAGGGCTCTAGAGTTCCTCCACCTGCCCACCTGCTGTGTGTAACCCTGGGTAAGTTAATCAACTTTTTTTTTTTTTTTTGAGATGGGGTCTTGCTTTGCTGCCCAGGCTGGAGTGCAGTGGCATGATCCTGGCTCACTGCAGCCTTGACCTACCGGCCCCAAACAATCCTCCTACCTCAGCGTCCCAAGTAGCTGGGACCACAGTATGCACCGCCACACCTGGCTAGTTATTTTTATTTTAATTTTTTTGTAAAGATCGGGTCTCCCTACATGGGTCAGGCTGGTCTCAAACTCATGGGCTCAAGGGATCTTCCCACCTGGGCCTCCCAAAGTGCTAGGACTACAGGTGTGAGCCGGCACACCCAGCCCACCACTAACTTCTTTAGACCTTGGGTTCCTCCAAAATGGGCACAGTACAAGTCCCCTGCCCATAGCGTGGTTCAGAGATTGACTGAAAACAAATCAAGTTCTTGGAGCAGTGCCTGGCACCTAGTGAGTGTTGGGCATTGGTGATCACCATGACACAGTTTAGTTCCCTTTGCAGTTGGGGAAATGAGGTTCCAAGAGGATCAATTCCTAGAAGCAGTTATAAAGACAAAACGGTTTTACATCATTCAGATTTTTCTTTAACTTTTTATTATGGAAGTTTTCCAACATATATAAAAGTGGAGAGAGTAATATAATAACCCCAGGCGCTCATCACCCCACTTCACTGATTACCAACTCACGGCCAATTGAGCTTCATCTCTAGCCCAGCCATACCCCCTGGGTTCTTTTGAAGCAAATCTCAGACATCGTACCATCTCATCTGTAACTATTTCAGATGCGTCTCTAAGAGAAGAGGACTTTAACAAATAGCTATACTACTATTATTATGCCTAAAAAACTAACAATAATTTAATATTAAATACTTAGTCACTGTTCCAATTCTCCAGTTTTCTCATTTACACAATTGTTCAAATTAGGATTCAGATAAAGTCCATATACTGTATTGCAAATGATTAATGCTTCTTAAGCCTCTCTCTCTCTTTTTTGTTTCTTTTCATGCCTGGCTTAATTTTTTCATTTTTTGTAGAGACGTGGTCTTGCTATGTTGCCCAGGCTGGTCTCAAACTCCTGGCCTCAAGCGATCCTCCCACCTCAGCCTCCCAAAGCACTGGGATTACAGGCATGAGCCACTGTGCCTTAAGGCTCTTTTATTTATTTATTTATTTTTGAGATAGGATCTCACTCTGTCACCCAGGCTGGAGTGCAGTGGCGGGATCTTGGCTCACTGCAACCTCTGCCTCCCAGGTTCAAGCAATTATTGTGCCTCAGCCTCCCAAGTAGCTGGGATCACGGATGTGCACCACCATGTCCAGCTAATTTTTGTGTTTTTAGTAGAGACGGGGTTTCACCATGTTTGCCAGGTTGGTCTCAAACTCCTGACATCATGTGATCTGCCTGCCTCAGGCTCCCAAAGTGCTGGGATCACAGGCGTGAGCCACCGCGCCCGGCCTTAAGTCTCTTTTAAATTATAGGTCCCCTTTTTCTCTTTTTCCACCCTTACAATGTATTTGTTGAGGAAACCAGGTCATTTTTGCTGTAGAATTTCCCAGAGTCTGGAGTTTGATTGCATCCCTAAATCTAGAGGCTTGAAAATCCTATAGTTTTCAAAATAATGAGCGAGTTCCCTAGCATCTCTGAAAGTGATCATTAATTTTTATCATAAACTTATGGATTTACATACATTTGAAATGTTTCAACACATTGCCATTATAGTTAGGGTATTTTGTTTTTCTTTTTTGTCTAGATGGAGTCTTGCTCTGTCATCCAGGCTGGAGTACAATGGCGCAATCTCGGCTCACTGCAACCTCTGCCTCCTGGGTTCAAGCAATTCTCCTGCCTCAGCCTCCCGAGTAGCTGAGATTACAGGCACCCGCCACCACACCCGGCTAACTTTTTGTATTTTTAGTAGAGACGGGGTTTCACCATGTTGCCCAGGCTGGTCTCGAACTCCTGACCTCATGATCTGCCCACCTCGGCCTCCCAAAGTGCTGGAATTACAGCTGTGAGCCATTGCGCCCAGCCAGTTAGGATATTTTTTAAAAATTGTTTTTCCAGCTTAAGTTTAGGGAGTAAGGGTGATTACAAGGGACAACATAGAAAAATTGAGAGAACTCTGGCTTTGGAGGCAAACAACCCGTGGGTGGAATCCTGGCTCCACCACTTACAAGCTGGATGGCTTTGGTCAAGTTACTTCACTTCTCTTTCCTTCTATTTCCCCACCCCCCGATAAGGAAATGATTAATAATAACTAACATTTCCTGAGTGCTTACTGTCTTCCAGGCATCGTGCTCAGCGTCTTAAAGACATGATGGCAATTTAATCCTCCTATCAGTTCAGTGAAGCAGGAGTCGTTATTATTGTCCCCACTTTAGAGATGAGGAAGAAACTGAAGCACAGGTGGTTGAGCAATTTGTCCAAGGTTACACACCTAGAAAGGGGCGCGGCAGGGACCTGAACCGGGGCAGTCTGACTCCACAGCCCACTGTCCTCTAGCGGTTGTTGTGGAGAAGAGAGAGGGTGATGGTGATGCCCTCCTGCAGGCCCTGATAGATGGGAAGACCAGGCCAGAAGGTGAGCAGGGCCGTCCCTGGCACTTCCCCTCAGGGATGGAGCACAGTCAAGCCTGGCGTGTGGGGGGTGCAACCCCTATTGCAGCTGCAGTCTCTCCCCTTCCCCAGACTCCCCCCTCACCTGCTGTGACCCAGACCCTTGCATAAGAACACAGCTGTTCTTGGTGAGTTCTGTTTCCATTGCCATTATGGTTCTCCTCCTAATTGTTTCATTAATCAGAAAGGGCTGATCAATGCTGGGAGGCCAAGGTGGGAGGATTGCTTAAGGCCAGGAGTTCAGCCTGGGCAACGTAGTGAGACCCTTCACCTCTACCCCCGCCTCTACCAAAAATTAAATAAATACAATTAGCTAGGCGTGGTGGCACATGCCTGTGGTTCCAGCTACTCAGGAGGCTGAGGAGGGAGGATTGCTTGAACCCAGGAGGTCAGGGCTGCAGTGAGCTGTGTTCTTACCACTGCACTCCAGCTTGTGTGACAGAGCAAAATCCTCTTGTAGTTGTGGGTGGGGGGGCGGTAGGCAGGGTGCAGGGAAAGAGAGAGAGAAGGAAGGAAGGAAGGGAGAAAGAGAGAGACAGAGAAAAAGAAAGAAGAAAGGAAAAGAAAGAAAGAAGAAAGGAAAGAAAGAAAGAGACGGAGAGAGGAAAGAAGGAAGGAAAAAAAGGAAGGAAGGAAGGAAAGAGGGAGAGAGAGAAACAGAGAAAAAGAAAGAAGAAAAAGAAAGAAAGAAAGAAAGAAAGAAAAAGAAAGAAAGAAAGGAAAAGAAAAGAAAGGAAAAGGAAGGAAGGCGGGAGGAAAGAAGGAAAAAAGGAAGGGAGGGAGGGAGGGAAAGAGAGAGAAAGGGCTGACTGCAGGAAATCTCCCCATCCCCATGCTTCTCCAGAATCAGCTGGCCTGGGGGGTCCTTGGGTCACCTTAGAGGGCAGAGATCCTGAGTGCAGTTGGGCAGAGTGAGGTATTGATAGGAACACTAAGGATAGTACTAACAGTCATCATTTACACCTCGTGTGTGCCAGGAAGGGGCCAGGTCCCACATGATCTCAGTTCATCTTTACAACACCCTGAAGGATGGTCTTGTTATCTTCTCCATTTTGCAGATGAGGAAACTGAGGCTGAGAGGGTAGAGAACTTTGCCTGAGGTCACTCAGCAGGTAGGTGGTGGAGCCAGGGGTGTAACCCGGGCTGCGGGCCTCCACATCAGATACAGACAGAACAGGAAGGTGTTGCAGAGGCTGGCGATGCTGCGATTCTCTGGGTAGCAAAGGGAGGGGACATTCCCAGCAGAAGGAACGGTTTGTGTAAAGGTGTGGAGGTGTGATACGGTGTGGCCTGTTCAGGGTGGTGACTAACAGTGGCCAGAGTGAAGGGTGTGTAGAGAGGAGTGCCAGCAGATGAGGCAAGGGGCTGGGGACTGGGGCCAAGGTGGAAGAACTTCAGGTTCCAGGCCAAGGAAATGAACTTTGTCCTTGGGTAGAGGGGTGCCACAGGAGGCATTGAACAAGAGTGCAACCTTGGGTTTGTATGGTGAGCCTCCAGCAATACCTTGGCAGGTGGGATCCTCATGTCCACCCCGGGTGCCAGCCACATTTTACAGGCTGGGAAACAGAATGGTTATGAGACCGGCTCAGACCACACAGCAATAGACAACTGGCCCCAAGCCAGTTCTCTCGTTGTCACAGGACGTTGCTTCGAAACTCAGGTCATAGTGAGAAAGGCAGGGGCATCCTTCCGTTCCTCACTTCTCCAGCCCTGTGCCTGCTCAGCTCACTGGAGAACGTGAAATGAAGATCAACTGGACCGAGGCCCAGGCATATCTGCTCACCAAGAATAAGACAGAAAACAATAAAAGCAAATCATGGAGCTCCAGCTATGTGCTAGGCACTGGGCTGGGAGGAAACTAAACAGAGAACAACAGTGCCAGGCACTCTCTCTGATAATGAGTGTTCTGGACTGAGGGTCCCCCAGACTGGCCTAGGAGGTGCTGTCCAATCCGCCTGAAGAGCTGGAATGGGCTCCAAGTGGAGAGAACTGTGGGATTGCTGGCTCAGCCCCCAACTATGCAGTGACCTTGGACGGAGCGGGCCCTCTGGGAGCCTTGGCAAGCCAGTTGCTAAGAGGGGAGACTGCACCAGAGAAGGGATTTTTAATATATGAAACCTTGGGGAGCTCCTCAAGCTGACTCGGGAGGTCTGGGGTAGGGACTCTGATTGGGGTGTTTTGACAAGTTCCACCGGAAACTCGGAAAGCACACCTGGTTAGAAATAACTAGATGATCAAGGTCCTTCCAGATTCAGTTCAACAAATTCAACACAACACATGTTTACTGAGCACACACCATGCCAGGTGCCATTCTGCAATGTTAGGATACATCAGTGAGCAAAATAACAAAAAGTTCTAGAAGTTAGAGATACTGTGGACAGGGGAAAGCGGTGCTAGGCAAGGTGGTGAGGAGGGCAGGGATGTGGCAGTTCCAGGACTCAGCAGGATGGGCAGGGCTGGCCTTGTTGAGAAGGAGACTGGAAAAAGCAAGGGAGCCAACTGAGTGACATTTGGGGGAAGAGCATTCCAAGCAGTCAACAGCAAGAGCAAAGGCCCTGACAGGGAGCACGCAGGCAGGGTGGCCAGCGTGGCTGGAGCGGAGTGGCCAAGGGCTGGGGTGGGGTGAGGGGCAGGGGCCAGCTGTGGAATGCTGCTCCTACGTGCTAGTGTTCTAAGACTCATTCAGCACTGCCCTGAGTATCTTGACTCTGAACCTGTCCCTGCCCTGACCCCTTCCCCAATCAACTTTAATTTTAGGGACCCACCCATCACAGTAAATGCCAGCACTGCTGATGCCAAAACAATGTTATTTGTGTAAGTATGTGTTTTGTATTTTACCGCCTTAATCCTGTCTTCAACCTCTCCTCTTCTGTCCCACCCAAGTATCTGCCCTTCCTTTCTTGACTCCTTCCAGAGGCCCTCGGAATTTGTGACCTGAAGGAAGAAGAGCAGGGCCGTGGGAAGTATGTAACCAGTGTCATGCCCCTGGTCCCAAGGAAGCAGTGGCTTGGTAAAGAGGGGACCCCCGTCAATAACTCCCTGTAATTACTGGGCACCCACTCTGAGCTCCTCAGTGGAATCCTAAGGTTAATAAGACTGTCTCTAGCCACTGGGGCTCCCAGCCTGGAGTGAGGTAAGAGGAGTGGAGCCGGCTGGGGAGGGAGACGAACACATACACAGAAGATTCAGACACACTTGCAATGTATTGCTGGGGATTCTCCAGCATTGGCATGATGGAGAGGGTGGAGAATCATTTGACCGCCTCCGCCTAGGATTGCAGAGTTCAGCTGGCCATCATCCACCAGCCGGGGGACTGTGCACATCAGTTAACCTCTCCTCTCAGGCCTTGAAAAGCACCAGGCTTAGTACACGTTTGTTAAATGAATGCACTGCAGTTTTTTTGCTTGTTAAAGGCAGGTAATAATAATGATATTGCTGACTAAGGGCTCCCATCCACTCCCAGTGAGCCCGGTGCCCCCCCGGGCCTCCTCAGTGAGCTGAGGAGGCTCAGCAGTGCCTGCACGTCCCCTCGCCACAATGTCATGTGCCACCTCTTCAAAGGAGGGATGTACCAGCTAGTGGACGTGACCTTGACTGCAAAGGGCGGCACGCAGCTGATGTAATGGTCGCTTAAGTGTTCACAAATGTAAGTCATTACTATTATAAGTGGTGGGTGATCAAGTGGCTAGGGGTGCCATCTTTAGCAAATAAAAATATAGGACGCACAGTTAAATTTGAATTTCAGATAAGAATTTCTTAGCATAAGTATGCCCTATGCAATATTTGGGACACATTTATATCAAAAAAAACTCAATATTTATCTGAAATTCAAATGTAACTGTGTGTCCTAGATTTTATCTGGCAGCCTTATTGATGGTGGCTTATTGACTGGCTGGGAATGACAGGGGTGTAGGCCAGGAAATGGCTCTGTGAAGGCTGCCTAGAACTGAATCGAACATGAGGATGAGTCAGTGTCAAGACTCCCAGTGGGGCCATCGGATCATTACTGCATGATCGTCTTAAGCCTTTGTTAGTGAATCCCTCAGACTCACGCCTTCTTCTCTCCAGGCCTGAACACCCTGTCCTACCTGGTCCTACCTGGATGCTGGCCTCAGTAAGCTCCTGGGCTCATTGAAGATGAACCTAGCAGTAGTATTTACACCACTTGTTGTGTGCCCACTGTGGGCCCGGCGCCATGCCGAGTGCTCTATGGATGTGAGGTAATGAAGCTGCATGGGTGGGATTCAAATGCAGGGTGGTCTGACCCCAGGGCCAAGATCTCTTTCTATTGCACCATGCTATGGCCTGATCAAAGACTCAAGCATCTAGGACAGAGAAAGAGGGAGCAGGAGGGGACACAGAATATCCTAAAGTGGCCTCCTACTGTGTCCCAGGCACTGTGTTAGGATTCACTGAGTTGTCACAAAAATCCTGCAAAGTTCATTCTCGAGGACGCTCTGGAATTTAAATACCTTGCCAAGATCATACAGATTAAGTGGTGGAGCAGGGATTTGAACGGAGGTCTGTCTCACTGCAAAGCCCAAGTAATTTTGCCCCCTTTTGTGTGTATGCATCCTGGGATGATGTGTGCATGCATGTGTGTGTGTATGCGTGTGTGCGTGCATGTGTGCATGTGTGTGTGTATATGCGTGCATGTGTGTGTATGTGTGTGTGCATGTGTGTGCATGCGTGCATGTGTGTGTGTATCGTGCATGTGTGCATATGCGTGCATGTGTGTGTGTGTGTGTGCATGTGTGTGTTCCTACAGTCACATCCCACCTTCGGAGTGGCGCTTTCCGGTCCTACCCAGCCCTTCCTCTCTTGGGATGGGTCTAGGGCCTTGGAGGTGATTAGACTCTAGTGGTGCTGGCACAGGGCTGGCTTTCTCAGCATATTTCAGGGGACTGTGTCCTCTGCCTGCTGTCCCCCAATCAGTAGCTTCTCTTGGGACTTGCCCTCCCCTGCCAGGGCTAAGGTCTGGTTGGTTCCCAGGCCCCTGGGCCTTGGACAGGGGAGCTGGGGGGTGAGGGGTGGTGGATGGTGGGAGAGGGCAGGACCGGCAAAGAAGAGACTGACAAATACCATGGATGTCTCATTTTCAGTTCCTGCTCTGTCACTCCCACACACTTGCTCTCTGCAATCCCTAGAATCAAACAGTATTCAAACTGGAAGAGGCCTTAGAAAATAACTGGTCTTCTCTACTCATTCTACAGAGAAACGGAGGCCCAGAAAGCAGAAATGATGTGTTAAGATCACTCATCAAGCTGATGGTACAGAGGTTAGAGCCTCTGCTCCCTGCTCTACCTCTTTCCCTTACTCCACATCCATGCCTGTCTCTTCCAATGGGTCGGCATCCACCCTGACACATTAAAGCCAAAAGGAACCTTAAGCTAGGGAAGGGGCTCCAGAACTTTAGTGAAAGATTCAAACATGTCCACTCAACTCAATGGAGAAAATACAATATTCAATCAATGGTGTTGGGATGCCTGGAATATTGTTGGAGAGGGATCATAAAAATGGAACCAAAACAATTCCATTTGGGTCAAAGATTTAAGTGTCATAAAGCCATGTAAATTCTATAAGGAAGTATGGGTAAATTGATTTACATTTTGGAATAGGAAAGTCTTTCTTTTTTTCCAACTTTTATTTTAGATTTGGGGGATATATGTGCAGGTTTGTTATAAGGCTATACTGCAGGATGCTGGGATTTGGGGTACAATCAAACCCATCACCCACATAGCATAGTGGGAAGGCTTTTCTAATCAGGATGGAAAACCCAGAGTCATACAGGAAAAGACTAATACATTCAACCACATAAAAAAATTTTAAACTTCTGTATGGAAAACCACCATAGAAATGTTTTTCCAATAACTGAGGAAAATATGATATGGGGATATTTCCTTAATTTGCAAAGAAACTCATACTAATTAATATGAAAAAACAATTATTTTAATTGCTAATACTTAATGATCATTTACTATATGCTAGACACTATTTTAAGTATATGGATTATTTCATTTAATTCTCACAGTAAGTAACCCTATAAGGTAAGTGCTATTATTACTATCTCCATTTTATAGATGAGAACACTGAAGCAGTTTTTTCTAAAGATAGCTGCCTGGCACAGTGGCTCACATCTGTAGTCCCAGCATTTGGGGAGGCCAAGGCAGGTGGATCACTTGAGGCCAGGAATTCAAGACCAGCATGGCCAACATGGTAAAACCCCATCCCTACTAAAAATACAAAAATTAGCTGGGCGTGGTGGCACCTGTAATCCCAACTACTCAGGAGGCTGAGGCAGGAGAATTGCTTGAACCCAGAGGCGGAGGTTGCAGTGAGCCAAGATCACGCCACTGCACTCCAGCCTGGGCAACAGAGCAAGACTCCGTCTTGGGGAAAAAAATGCAAAAATTAGCCAGGCATGATAGTGGGCACATGTAATCCCAGCTACTTGGGAGGCTGAGGCAGGAGAATCGCTTGAACCTGGGAGGCATAGGTTGCAGTGAGCCAAGATTGCGATTGCACCACTGCACTCCAGCCTGAGTGACAGAGCAAGACTCCATCTCAAAAAAAAAAAAAAAGCCAAAGAATATATATTAGGTTGGTGCAAAAGTAATTGCAGTTTTTGCCAATACAAGTAGTTTACAGAAAGAGAAATATCAGTGGCCCATAAACATGTAGAAAGATGTTTAATAGCACTCATAATTCAAGAAATGCAAAATAAAACTAAAATTAAACATCACTTTTTCACCTTTCTGCTTGGCAAAAATGAAAACATTTGCCAATACTCAGGGATGGTGAGAAAAACTACTTATATAACTTATATAACTGTTCCTCTGTAGATTCTGAGTTCTATCCTAGTAACAGTTCATGTCACCAAAAAACTACACATTAGAACCACCTTAGCTTAGCTGCCCAGGAAAAATGCCTTCAGCCAAGTTCCATTTTAATGTTATACGCTTGGCATCTCTTGATGGTTGGCAGAAGAAATGACCACATGAAAAGCTGCATTTTTTTGTCCTGGAAAAACCACCACTAAAGGCATTGTAATCTACATTGAGTATATAAGGAAGGGCCCACACAATAAATTATCTGCAGTATTTACTACCAGGAAAGATTTACTTTCTCCTGAAGACCTGATGTGTTATTTTGCCATACGATGGTAATCATATAAACCTCTGTTTCTCGTTTCTCCTTGGCTGCTAAGAAGCTCAAAAATCACATCTGATGATCCACTCTAGTGACAACATAGCCAGGGCGATTGGCATCTGACTTCTCAACCCAACCTGACCTCATATTAGCTTTTTTCTTTTGTCTCCTCTCCCCTTCCATTAGTTTCTCTTCTTCCACTTGCTGTTTAGTTTTCTAATTCTAGCTTAACAAAATTATTATAAATGTGTGTTTTTGGAAGCTATTTCAAAATCTTTTGGAAGTAGATAGGATATGTTACAAATAGTCAAACTCCCTTAGTTTATAGATGAGAAAACTCAAGTTCTTTAGAAGTTAAATGACTTATTCCAGTGTTAATCAGCTTATATCTGTGTGCACATGTGACTCTCACTTTATTGTAAGTGTCTTAGAATTATATTTATCTCTGAGACTCTGGTGGCCAGCTTTGAGCCAAGTACATGGTAAATTGTCAATGTATATATATTGGTTGAAAAAATTCTAAGTGCTGTGAGGAAAGGGACATTTTTGCAGGGGATAAGGTCGTAGTAGGTGCTCATGAGAACTGAATTCACAACAGGGCGTGGCCTCAGCCTCTGGCCTCACCCCACCACACCCTAGCATCTCCACCACCCAGGAGTCTCAGGGCTGGGCTTCATGCAACCCATCTGCCCTACACCTGCCCGCACTCTGCCTTTGTCTCCACTATTCCACTTTGGCCCTCTTGCCTTGTCCAGTGAGTTTCCAAATATTTCTCTTTTTTTTTGAGACGGAGTCTTGCTCTGTCACCCAGGCTGGAGTGCAGTGTTGCGATCTCGGCTCACTGCAAGTTCCACCTCCTGGGTTCAAGTGATTCTCCTGCCTCAGCCTCCAGAGAAGCTGGGACTACAGGTGCCCGCCATCATGCCCGGCTAATTTTTTTTGTATTTTTAGTAGAGACGGGGGTTTCACTGTGTTAACCAGGATGGTCTCGATCTCCTGACCTCGTGATCTACCCGCCTCAGCCTCCGAAAGTGCTGGGATTAGAGGTGTGAGCCACCGTACCCAGCTGAGTTTCCAAATATTTCTGATTTCACCAGCGGGGGAAGACTGGCAGGCTCCTATATCCTCGAAGTATCCTGCCATGAGATGCCTGCAGAGTGGGGAATGGCATCACCTTTCCAACCCTGTGCAGCACCCAGTGCGAGCTGCTTATTAGTGGGAACTGGAGAGGAAGAGGAGGAAAAGGAGGACCCATGGCCATGGCTTTTTCTGTCCTTGTAACCCTCAACTGATATGTATCCCATACTTCTTGGTTGGGCAGAGGGGAGAGCAGAGGTTGACAGGTCACATTTCCCTCAGTTTTCCATCCTTCCTTCAGTGCTGGGAGAGAAAAGCATACGACATAGACAGGGAGGTCAAGCTCCACCACGCAGATGAGGTGCAGGCCACCAGTCTTCCTCTGCCACATCTCTTTCTGAAAAGGTAACCCTGCACCGCCTTCCCATTGGCTGCCACCTTGCATCCCCTACCCACAGCTCTCTACCTTGCTCTTCACCTGAGCTGCCTCTAGAAAGAGAGCTGAGGTCTGGGCAAAGCCTTCTGACAGGCTTTCTTGGGCAGGGGAGTTGGGGCGGAGGGATGAACGGTGGGAGGGAGAAGGACCAGATTTCCTGGCCTGACAGGCAGCCTGTGCTGAGAAACCATGACTGAGTAAGCCAAGCTTTGTTGGCCGCACCTGCCAAGCCACAGGGTGCCTCAGGCTTGGAGCATCCCGGAGCCAGTTACAACCCAAGACTTCAGCCTTCTGGAAGGTGTTGGGTCAGCCACCCTGAAGGACGATCCTGCCCAAGTGACATGCTTTGCTCTTCCTTCTCACCCAGGACTTCACATTCACCCTTGCAATCCATGTGGGGACACTGTTGGATAGGAGGCGTGGTCCCAGCGTGGTCTCCCTGTCTGGGCCTCTGCCTATGCCAAATGTTTGCCTTACGCTGCACACTCAAGAGGTTCCATGTATACAGATGGGAATTCCAGAGCTACAGAAAAGGCAGCAAGCACCATGATTTAAGCTAACCAGTGTGGATTCACACCTTCCTCTCTCTCTATCAGTGGCAGAACTACCAGCTAGAGTAAGAAGTGGTTGATCCAGGACCTAAACATTCTGGAAACTCTTGCCCACTTCTGGGAGAAATGACCCAATCCATAGTACTAAGCACACCTTAACTTTCGTAGGACGCAGGCAAGTTGTCATACCGTGTGCCTAAATATAGAAAAATGATCCACTGGACTAATAAAGTGTTAAATAAAATATGTCCTGACTGTCTACTTTGACAACATACTTTCATAATGACAAAACTTAAAAATGTATAAAGCTATGGTTTTTATATAGTTGAAAATTGACAAAACAGAAGACTAAATTTACTTATTATTGCACATGATGGGCGGGCTATGTTTGGTTGAGTAATAAATATATACATCATAATTTTTTTTTATTCAACAAAATTTGCTTTTCTTGCCTTTGTAATAGCAAAGCCACCAATTATGCAGTTATAATCACAATTTTATATAATTTTTGTCCTGTTGACAGTCATACTGAATTAGATAACTTTTTTTGAGTCATTATAGTTTTTAGTTTTTTATCAATTTCACTGTGGAGAAATTGTGAATTACACTCTGCGAAGGCTGGAAATTATCAATATAATTCTCAAAGCAATACTTGGATACAGAACTAAACCATGGATTTTATATGCCACGTACAAACTAAATAATGGGATGGTGTATGTTAAATTGTCACTCTCACAACAAAATTACAAAAATGTTTTTATTTCATCATACAAAGTGCTATCCTGTACATCATGAAAATTTCTTAAAGCAATATCAAACAAGTCTCAAGCTTTTTGAGGTTGGAACTCCTTTATACTCTTAAAAGTTACTGAGGACCCCAAAGACCCCTTTTGAGGACCCCTTTTGTTTATATAAATTATAACTATCAATTTTTGCCAAATTAGAAATTAAAACTGATAACTTTTAAAACCCAACACACAAGCACACATCCCATTAGTCATCAGAGTGATGGTGACATCACACACTGAGTAACTTCTGGAAAATTCCACTGTACACTCGTGAGAGAATTAGCCTGAAAAGGGCAAATGATATCTTAGCATTACAGGTTAGGTATCCCTTATCCAAAATGCTTGGGACCAGAAATGTTTTGGTTTTCAGATGTTTTCTTTGAATATTTGCACATATATCATGAGATATCTTGGGATGGGACCCAAGTCTAAACACAGAATTCACTTAGGCTTCATATACACCTAATACGCATGGCCCAAAGGTAATTTTATAAAATATTTTTGATAATTTTGAGCATGAAACAGTTTTGTCTGGATTGTGACTATGACTTGTCACATGAGGTCCTGTGTGGAATTTTCTACTTGTAGGGTCATGTTGAGTCTCAAACAGCTTGAGAATTTGGAGCATTTCAGTTTTTGGATTCTCAGGTTAGGGCTACACAACCTGTATTAGGAAAATGATTTTGACCCCCACAGACTCCTTAGAAGAGCTCAACAACTCCCAGGAATCCTCAGACCATACTTTGAGCACTGCTGCTGTAGAGTGATGGAAAGAACTGGTACCATGCTGCTACATGTTACGTCTAGACCTATAAACGTGCAAAAATATAAGAGTTAATGAGAATCATTCTTACAAAACAGTCCTCAAATGCCACATGCAGGTTTTGTGAATACTGCACTAACTCGTGTATGTCCAGGACCATGAATTGGAACAGGAAGAAATACAAGAATAGGGACACTTGGCATTTCTGGGAAAGGATACTTTGTTAGGTAGGAGTCTATTACATTCATTGGATCTGAGAAGAAAGCTTGGATGAGCTAATTCTGAATCCTTCCTGTGCCCTGCCCTGAAAGCAGTGTTGTCTCCCATGTGGCAGTTGTACAACCTACAAACCTTCCCAGCATTAGGGTTCCAGAGCTTTTGGCTTCGAGAACATAAGGTAAGAGGTGTGAAGAAGCATTTCCTTGGGGCCTGACTGGTGTTGGTCATGAGAGTGAATGTTTGGGTCCAGGCAGTGCTGTGTCCTGGGAGTCACTGGTCCGTCAGATGTCTCTGCTGTGGATATACGTGATATGGCAGAGCCCTCTAAAGCACTGGGCCAGAGCAGGAGCCCCCTGGCCTGCTTCTGAGTGCAGTGCTCCTGCATAGACTTTAGGACACAGAATCACAAAATCTCAGTCTCTGAAGGGACCTCGGTGGCCAGCCAGCCAGCCCACCACGCAGGTAGCAAATCTTCCACATGTGGTAGCAGAAGTGGTCTTGCTACGGAGGTAAGAAAGCTTAAGCTTCAGGGCCCGGCTTGCGTGGGCTCTTCTAGGACTTTGGAATAGGCCCTAGCCATGCATTCACATGGCCATATATTTTCGTATATTTTATAATTTTTATTTTTCTTAAAGAGCTCGCCGCAAGTTGTATAAGCTTCAGGAACCACACAACCCGAACCCACCTCTGCATAGCCAGGCTCTTCCTTGCCAGGCACTTCTCTTGAAGGAACATTGAGGTTTGAACCAGAAGAGCTGGATTTGAGCCACAGCTTTGTACGGACTAGCTATGTGACTTTGGAAATAATAACAACAGCTGACATTTATCAAGCTTTACTACATGTCAGTCACTGTGCTAAGCTTTTGCATGCTTCATTGCGTGTAAAATTCAGAAATGCCTTTCGACCTCTCAAAGTGTCAGTTTTCTCTTTTGTGCAATGAAAAGAACAACATCAATGTATATTTCCCGCCTCAGTTCTGTGCATGACCTGAGGGCGGGCCCTGCCTTAGTCACCACTGTGTCCCCATCACCCAGCCCAGTGTCTGGCCCCCAACTCAGTGATGTCGAGGAGGTATGCAAGTGCCTCATGGCTGTGCTGACAAAGGCAGTCATCACGTGCACTTTGGAGGCTGGCAGCTTAGTAGTGTGAGCTTGAAGGTCTTTTCTCCTGAGGTCAGAATCTCCACCATTTCCAAATCTAGAAACCTGGGTAAGTTGCTAACCTGTAAAAGGGAGTAATAACACTGGTAACTACCTCCTAGGACTGTTCGGAGGATGCAGTAGGTAATCTACCTAAAGCACCTAACACATGACACATAGAAAGTATTTAAGACATGGTAACTATTACTTACTAGGCAGGCAACTTCACTTTTGGACAGACAGATTTATTATAAAACACCTCCTACCTTGGCAAGGGCAAGGGCAAGGGCAAGGACCGTGTCTTGCCTAGATTCTTTTTTTTTTTTTTTTTTTTTTTTTTTTTTTGAAATGGGGTCCTGCTCTATCACCCAGGCTGGAGTGCAGTGGCACAATCTTGACTCCCTGCAACCTCTGCCCCCCGAGCTCAAGTGATCCTCCAGCCTCAGCCTCTTGAGTAGCTGGGATAACAGACCCACACCACCATGCCTGGCAAATTTTTTTATTTTTATTTATTTATTTATTTATTGGTAGAGACAGGGCTTTCACCATGTTGCCCAGGATGGTCTTGAACTCCTGAGCTCAAGTGATCCAGCCGCCTCAGCCTCCCAAAGTGCTGCGATTACAGGTGTGAGCCACAGCACCCAGCTAATTTCTCTTCTTTTTTAAAATATTTGTTTCCAAATTTACCATGATAACCATGAATTACTTTTTTATTGAATGTCTTAGTCCATTTTGTGTTGCTATAAAGGAATACCTGAGGCTGGGTAATTTATAAAGAAAAGAGGTTAATTTGGCTCATGGTTCTACAGGCTGTACAAGAATCATGGCACCAGCATCTACTTCTGGTGAGGGCCTCAGCCCACTTCCATTCATGGGGGAAGGCAAACAGGAGCTGGTGTGTCTGGAGATCACACGGGGAGAGACCAACTGAGAGGAGAGAGAGCCAGGCCCTTTTTAACAACCAGCTCTCGCAGGAACTAACAGACCAAGAACTCCCCGGTTACCGCACCAAGCCATTCATGAGGGATCTGCCACCGTGACTCAAACATCTCCCATTAGGCCTCACCTCCAACACTGGAGATCAAATTTCTTTAAAAAGAATTTTTTTTTTTCTTTTTAGTATCTTTTCTTCAGACCAGAGGGGATCAAATTTCAGCATGAGATTTGGAAGGGTCAAATATCCAAAGCATTGCACTGAGACAAAATTCATATAATGTAAAATTTACTCCTTTTGTTTTTTTGTTTTTTTGTTTTTTTGTTTTTGAGACTGAGTCTCACTCTTGTCACCCAGGCTGGAGTGCAGTGGCACGATCTTGGCTCACTGCAAGCTCCGCCTCCTGGGTTCAAGTGATTCTCCTGCCTCAGCCTCCCGAGTAGCTGGGATTTACAGGCATGTGTCACCACACCCGGCTAATTTTTGTATTTTTGGTAGGGACGAGGTTTCACCATGTTGGCCAGGCTGGTCTCGAACTCCTGACCTCAGGTGATCCGCCCACCTCGGTCTCCCAAAGTGTTGGGATTACAGGCGTGAGCCACTGCGCCCAACCACAAATGTACCCTTTTAAAGTGTAATTCAGTGGTCTTTAGTATATTCACAAAATTGTGCAACCATCACCACTACCTAATTCCAGAACATTTTCATCACCTCCAAAACAAACCCCACACCCATTAGCAATTATTTCCTGTTATTCCTCTCCCTGGCCCCTGCAACCACAACTCTACTTACTATCTCCGTGTATTTGCCTACTCAGGATATTTCATATAAATGGAATCATGAAATATGTGACCTTTTGTGATTGGCTTATTTCACTTAGCATAATGTCTTCAAGGCTCATCTATGTTATAACATGTGTCAGAATTTCCTTCCTTCTTAAAGCTAAATAATATTCCATTGTATGGACATACCACACTGTGTTTATCCATTCCTCTGTTGGTGGACACTTGAGTTGTTTCTCCCTTTTGGCCACTGTGAATAATGCTGCTATGAAAACTGGCATACAGTGATCTGCTTGAGCGTCTGTTTTCAGTTCTTTGGGGTACCCTAGTAGTGGAAGTGCAATACAGCAATTCTATATTTAGCTTTTTGAGAAAATACCACATTGTTTTCCACAGCAGCTGCACAATTTTACATCCCCGCCAGCAATGTATGAGGGTTGTGATGTCTTCACATCCCTGTCAATATTTGTTAGTGTCTGTTTTTATTATAGCCATGATAGTGGGTGTGAAGTAGTATCCTATCGTGGTTCTTATTTGCATTTTCCTAGTGACTAATGATGTTGAGCATCTTTTTATATGCTTATTATTATTAGCCATTTGTATCTATATTTTGGAAAAATAACTATTCACATCCTTTGCCCCTTTTTAAATTGAGTTGCGTTTTTATTGTTGTGTTGTAAGAGTTCCTTAGATATTTTGGAAACTAGATCTTTATCAGATATATGATTGGCTAATATCGCCTCCCATTCTATCAGTTGTTTTTTCATTTTCTCGATGGTGTCCTCTGAAGCACAAAAGTTTTAAATTTTGACGAAGTCCAATTTATCTTTTTTAACTTGTACTTTGGATGTCTGAATTGCCTAATTTGCCTAATTAAAGGTCGAAGAGACTTACCTCTATGTTTTCTGAGAATTTTATTATTTTTATTTATTTAATTTTTGTAGAGATGGCATCTCACTATGTTGCCCAGGTTGGTCCTGAACTCCTGGCCTCAAGTGATCCTCCTGCCTCAGTCTCCCAAAGTGTAGGGATTACAGGCATGAGCCACCAAGGTTGGCTGTGTTTTAGGAGAGTTTTAAGTTTTACCTCTTACACTTAGGTCTTTGGTCATTTTTAGTTAATTTTTGTTTAGGGGTCCAGATTCACTCTTTTGCATGTAGATATGCAGTTTCCCAGGATCATTTATTGAAAAGACTACTATTTCTCTTTTTTCCCATTACCCTGGCACCTTTGTTGAAAATCAATTGCCCCTAAATATATGGGTTTATTTCTAGACTATCAATTCTATTCCATTGATCTATGATATCTATCCTTATGCCAGTTACACACAGTCTTGATACAGAGTATGAATGTAGCTTTGTAGTAAGTTTTAAAATCAGGAGCCGGTGTGGTGGTGCACACCTCTAATCTCAGCTACTTAGAAGGCTGAGGTGGGAGGATCTCTTGAGCCCAGGAGTTTGAGACCAGCCTGAGCAACATAGCAAGACCCTGTCTCAAAAAAAAAAAATTAAATTAAAAATAAAAATAAATTCACGTATTTGAAAGTGGCAGAACCAGGTGTGACCCCAGGACCCTGCTATAAACAAAAGTTTTAAAATCAAAAAGTGTGATTCCTACAACTTCATTCTCCTTTTTCAAGATTGCTTTGGCCATTCTAAAGCACGAATTACTTGCATAGAAGGGAAAAAATATGTTGCTATTAACAAAATCCTGCATATTCATGTCATTCCAAACCAAATGCTATGTCCTCTAGGGAACTTTCCCCAGGCTCACCATTCGGAATATGCCTTCCTCTGGACATTTCGTTAGTATGCCTCTTATAGTGTCTTGTATTCAAATGAGGCTGCTGGGATCTCCAATCTTATTGGAAGGTAAGCTTGTTGAGGGCAGGGGTCTTGTTCACTTGAAAGTATTCCCCAGGCCAGGCACGGTGGCTCACGCCTATAACCTCAGCACTTTGGGAGGCCGAAGTGGGCGGATCACCTGAGGTCAGGGGCTCGAGACCAGCCTGGCCAACATGGCGAAACCCCATCTCTACTAAAAATACAAAATTAGCCAGGCATGGTGGTGCATACCTGTACTCCCAGCTACTCAGGAGGCTGAGGCAAGAGAATCACCTGAACCCAGGAGGCGAAGGTTGCAGTGAGCCAAGATCGCACCATTGCACTCCACCCTGGGGGACAGCCTGAGCGACAAGAGCGAAACTCCATCTCAAAAAAAAAAAAAAAGAAAAAGAAAAAAGAAAGAAAGAAAGTATTTCCCATGGCCCCTGGCATGGAGCCTAGGACTATGGTGGGGCTGAGGATTTGGTAAATGAATGAATGAGTGGATAACTAATGAATGCTATTGCGTCATTCACACCATTTCTATTCTGGTCAGAATCTAGGCAAACATCCTTAACAAAGAAGCACTTGGGAAATGCATTCATTAAATTAATGGTTACACCTTTATTGACAAGCATAGTCATGTGTTGTTTCACTGGAGGTTTCTTTGGTTTATTATAGTCATTATAATGCTCGTCAATAAGAGAAAAATGTGCCCAAATCACTTGAGGAATTATGTGTGAATTGCACACTCAGGCATTCCACAGCTAAGGCTCAGCCTCAATCAATACGGTAACCCAATGACAGGTTTTATCAAACATTGGATCCTGCTTAAGCTAGAAGATTTTTAGCCTTTGAATTAGCACTCTGAACAGGACTCTTAATTAATCTGCTAATGATTTTCTTTGTTTAGAGGGATAGTCCTAATTGATTCTAATATATGCTCCCAGAGATATATGCACTTATATATTCCCTTAAACAATCCTGACAAGAGAGCTAGAGTGTCATAGCCCCTGTCCTCAGGGAGGGCACAGTCCAGAATTGGAGGCAGCACACCCCACTATTTTGATTGGTGGGGTGAGTGCTAGGTCATATGGTGGGTCCAGAGAAGGAGTAAAGGATTCGTTCTGCCTGGGAGGCAAGGAGGTGTCAGGCCTCAGGCCACATCACACATTTGAACTGAGCTTGAAGCACGCCTAGGATTTGACCAGGTAGAGACAAGGGCTGGAGGGTTTCAGGCAGTTGGATAAAGTGTTCCAGGCAGAAGGAACAGCTAGAACGAAGGCATGTTCACAAGCACATACTTGTACCAATACACATACTCATACACTCAGCTGCATTCTTCACCCAAGAATTGGGCCAGTCCAAAACTGTCTGAAAGATGTTATTGTGTCCACCTGAGTCAGCTCACAGCTCCAAGGCCCACCAGGCCGTGGGTTGCAGCTGTCCTTTCCCCAGGAGGGCATTTAATATCTGCTGTCTCCTGCCTGCCTTACCACCAGTGCAGGCCCTCTCCCTGTCACCCGGTTGGACATTCCCCTCAGGGTCCTCACTCACTGCAACTGTGGCTCAAATCCCAGGAGGCTCTGTGTGACTGGGCCAGAGATTACTGGTCCTGGTGAAGCTTGGGTATTGCAAGAGGCAGAATTTTCCACCTCCCTGTGCTGGGGCCTTCGGCTGACCGGCCAAGCTGCAGCGGTGGGGAGGGAGGGCATCCACAGCACTGTGGATGGCTGATGGTGGTGTAATTTTGTCCAGTAGTCAATACATTGCTTAGAAACAGGCCCAAGGTGCTGTCTTCCATCATTCAAGATGAGTATTTATTGATCATTTAAATTTAACTTTTTTAAAATTTTAATTGAAGTATACAAACAGTTTAAAATGCACATGTCATTAGTGTGCAACCTGATGCATTTCCACCCACTGAACACACCTGTGTAACCAGAACCTGGTTCAGAAACAGAGCATGGCCAACATCTAGACTCTCCTTCCCCCGCCAGGTGCCACTTTCTCTAAGGGTGACCACTGTCCTGGCTTGTAACAGCATAGATCAATTTCTTCTGGTTTTGTACTTTACACAAATGGAATCATATAGTATGGACTCTTTTGGCACTTACTCTTGACAAACAGGTTGGTCAAAGACTCTGGAGAGAGAAGGCAAGGGGGTATTGAAAGACTGCCCTCATGAGGAATAGGAACCTATAAATGTAAAATGGAGTAAATCACATGTATGAGGGTCTCTGTGGTCCCCGGGAGAGTGGGGAAGGCAGGTGGCCTGGTAGAAAGTGCTCTGGTCCAGGAGTCAGGGACTTGTGCTCACATTTGATACGTCTCCATGGTTTGCTGTGCAACCTTGGGAAAAACTTCTTTCCCTCTCTGGACCTCAGGTACATCCCCTGCAGGGTTGGGGTGGATCATTTCCTACCTTTTCACCAGAAGAGACACTGTCTTTTATCTATCCCCACCTCCACTGCTGCCGTGGATGTCATGCTTTGAAAAATGTTTCTAGGCCAGGCGCAGTGGCTCACGCCTGTAATCCCAGCACTTTGGGAGGCCAAGATGAGCAGATCGTGAGCTCAGAAGTTCGAGACCAGCCTGGCCAACATGGAGAAACCCTGTCTCTACTAAAAATACAAAACTTAGCTAGGCATGGTGGCGCATGCCTGTAATCCCAGCTACTCAGGAGACTGAGGCAGGAGAACCATTTTAACCTGGGAGGCAGAGGTTGCAGTGAGCCGAGATTTCTCAAAAAAAAAAAAAAAAAAAGAAAGAAAGAAAAATGTTTCTGAGCAGAGTGTGAAGATTAATTTGTTTCCCCATTTCTTATTAACTGGAAGAAAGGCTCATAGAGCAGACTCAGATCTGCAACAGATAGCAAGCAGTGCCACCCTGGGTGGACAGAATTCCAGTCAAAAGCAGAGGCTCTTTCTGGCTGAGTTACTTGACTGCAGCCTCCTATCAGGGAAGTATTCAGAGCCTAGTGTACCCAGTGAGATATAGCAAATAGTTTGAGAACACTTAAACTATTGTGCAGCCCTGGGCCCTGGGCCTAGGAACCACTGAAAAGATAGAAAATCACTAACTTTCCTTCCAGCTCTGATAAGTCAAAGGTCTAGGGTCATCCACCTCTCCTCTCCAATTGACTGCAGAGTTGTGGGGTGTGAAACCCCTCTCCTGAGCTGGACCCCCAACCCCATCCTATGCCCTTCACCCCAGCAGGCCCTCTGCCCAGCCCATTGCTGGAGTCCTAGGGGACCCAGGGCTACCTCATGTTGCTCCGGGGGACTACTGGGAAACTGCTGATGGAACTTGAGTCAGTAGAACACTTGACCACTGCTCCCTACAGCTCCATGAAGCTCCCACCAGTCCAGGGAGAGAATCTCTACAGGAATGTGACCTGGCCCCCTGGGGCTCCTCCTCCTGCAGTCCTGGCTGCCCAGAGCTCAGGCTCCAGGGCCTCACTCCCCTCTGTGCACCCCTGAGAGTTCTCTGCTTTCTAGCCCTATTTCCATTTCTGTCCATGATCCTAGGATAGGGTGAAGTCTGCTTGGGGACATTAAACCCTCTGATGGGGAGCCAGAACCACACCCAGAATAAGTCAGAATCTGACTAGAGCTGAGAACAGGGAGGGAGAAAGCTTAGTGGGGAAGGACTTGGTGAAGGAGAGCGTCTCGGCCAGGCGCGGTGGCTCACACTTGTAATCCCAGCATTATGGGAAGCCGAGGCAGGCAGATCACCTAAGGTCAGGAGTTCGAGACCCACTTGGCCAACATGGCGAAACCCCATCTCTACTAAAAATACAAAAATTAGCCGGGCATGGTGGTGCGTGCCTGTAATCCCAGCTACTCATGAGGCTGAGGCAGGAGAATCACTTGAACCCAGGAGGTGGAGGTTGCGGTGAGCTGAGATCACACCACTGCACTCCAGCCTGGGTGACAGAGTGAGACTCTGTCTCAAAAAAAAAAAAAAAAAGATTGCTTCTTGGAGAAGGGAACTCATGGATGGATGCAGATGAAGAGGCCAGAGCTCTAGGGAATGAGGGTGTCCCAGGCAGGGATGTTGCAGCTGGGACAGTCTCCATGCAGTATTCTGGGCAGTATGAGGGTGTGCAGGGGACCCAAGAGGTCACCTCTGGAGGAATGAAGTAGCCAGAAGTTCCCTAGGGTAATGAGGTGGGCAGGGGTGGCATGCGATGAGTCTGTTGAGAATTTGGAACTTGGTATCAAGACACTCAGGAGCCTTGGTTGGATATTTAGACATGCCTGGGGCAGATAACTGAATGGCCAAGGATGGACAGCCCATCGGTCCAGCATCTGATCCATTTTCACTGTCTTCAAGGCAGGTGGCAGGTCTTTGCACAGTGAGATGTGAAGTGGATTGAGGGGTGAGGCCAGTGGTGTCACCTTGGGATGAAGAAATGCTTGCCCACTAGTCCATCAGGATAGGCTTCTTGAAAGAGTAGCAATTTCGGGAACAATGTGACAGGTGAGACAGAGGGTTTGGTTATAGGAAACGGTTATTGAGCATGTGCTGTGGGCTGGTGCAGCTCTAGAAAATAAGGGTGAAGAGTGGTGACCCCTGCCCTGATCATGCCATTGCACTCCAGCCTGGGCAATAAGAGCGAAACTCCATCTCAAAAAAAAAAAAAAAAAAAAAACCCATAAAATGTTTTTCAGGTTCATTAGTGTTGTAGCAAGCATCAGTATTTCTTTCCTTTTTATGAATGAATAATATTTCACTGTGTGGCTATAGCATAATTTGTTTATAGATTGATGGACATTTAAATTGTTTCTACTTTTTGGCTATTGTGAATAATGTTGCTAAGAACATGTGTGTACAAGTTACTGTCTGAACACCTGATTCCAATTCTAGGAGTGGAATTGTGGGATCACATGTTAACTCTGTGTTTAACTTTTTAAGCAACAGCCTGTACTTCTAATTGCATTACTTAAATTCAAGCAGTGGTGGTGAGACAGGGGTAAAGATGACATCTGAGAGTACATACTGTTATTTTTCAATATTTACAATTTCTTTTCATCTCTTTTTCTGAAAGTTGTTTAAAGTGGAGGAGAATAAGCTGAGACGGGCCATCATCTAGTAAACTGCCCCATAGGCCGAATAAACTCCTTTGTACTGTAAGCCCCAGCAGGCCAGGGATCTTTGTCAGTTTCAATTCCTGACATATTTCAAGTTTAGAACAGTGAATGGCATATGGTTGGTGCTCAGCACATGGCTGGTGCTCAATAAATATTTGTTGCATGAATAAATAAATACAATGAACTGCCTCAAGTGTGCTAAAATCTCAAGAAAACAGACGTCCATCAAGTAGAACCAGAGGAGAATGGGCCGACTTTGTAGCCAGAAGTGCATGGTTAGATATGGTAAAGGACTTCCCAGAGCTATGGGGCCCTCAGCCCTTGGGGAAGCCTCAACTTCTTCTTTTAACACCAGCCATGTGCAGGTAATTTTACATATGTTTATACGGAAGCTCTGAGAGGCTGTGGATTCCACAGCCAGGCAGCCTAGACGGTGGAACCTGAATCCACCCCAGGCTGCTGGTCATGCAGGCCTTGCTCCCACTGTGGGGACAGTGGTCCCTCCATCCCAAGGCCAACGCTCAGCCCTAAGAAGGCCTGGGGTGAGGTCAGCCCAAGGGTACCCAAGGGGCCCTCAGAAGAGCCGTGGAAAATACATGGTGCGGCCAGAGGAGGAAGGAAGGATGGCAGCAGAGCATGCAAATTGGAAGCTGATATCGAATTGCAGCAAAATGAGCAGAGGATTAGATGCCCCACCTGGACCCACCCCAGAGAATACCAAGGCTTGGGCCGGCCCTTGTGAGAAGCTGGCAGGCCCAGTCCCAGGTGGAAGCCTGGCCCCTGGCCCGATGAGCAGGGGCGATGAGGCAGGGTGGCTGATCCCAGGCAGGAAGACACCACTGATTTGGGTGAGGCCCTCCTTCCTGAGCCCTCCACCCTCAGCCTGGGCATCCCACACTCATAGAGCTCCTCCTGGTTCTGGGGAAGGAGCAGGATTAGAGCCAAGCTGAGACCCTATCCCAAGTTCCTGCCTTCAGAGAGTGCAGGGGAGACGGGGATAGGAACACATCCAAATGCCCAGGATTCTGAGGGGGTTGGGGGAAGGGGAAGCTGCCTTGACTGAGTAAGTCAGAGAAGGCTTCCTGGAGGAGAGCGAAGGGTGTGGGGCTGGGTTGAGATACAGGAAGATCTGGGTTTGAATTATAGTTTGGCTGCTTCCTAGCTGTTTGATCTTGGACAAAACTTTCATTCATTCTATATTTTTTGGAGTGTCTACTCCATGCCAATCATGTGTGAAATGTTGGGATAACAAAGGCGAATTCAATCTGGCTCTCGTCCTCGGAGCTTAAGCAAATCATCTGGGGTAGCGTGACCCATGCTAC
Organism: Homo sapiens; assembly: GCF_000001405.40. Classification (NCBI taxonomy): domain Eukaryota; kingdom Metazoa; phylum Chordata; class Mammalia; order Primates; family Hominidae; genus Homo; species Homo sapiens. The sequence continues at coordinate 49,942,948 of NC_000012.12, forward strand.
GATGGAGGTGGAATACGGGGCTGCAGGGCGGGGCCACAGGACATAGTGGGCAGCTTAACCTCCTTGAGCCTCCCTATCCCTAATTCACGTGATGGGGTTTGTAACCACTTCTCACATCGTTGAGAGAAAAGGGTGAGCCTGACTCAGAGGTGTGGCAAAGGAAGGGCAGGGCAGGCTTTAAGGACAGGGACAGGGCTGTCAGAGGCTGAGGCTAGGGAGGGGCAGGAAGGGGTGTGAGGCAGGGCGGAAGAGAGCAGGGCCCTGGGCAGGTGCTGAGCCAGGTCCTGCAGGTCACCCAGTCGCTTGAGTCCACGAATGCTGGAGGCAGGCACTGGAGAGCCAGGGTGGTTCAGCCGCAGCTCCTCTGAGCAGGGAGTCAAACAGGTTTGGGTGACCCTTGTGAGCAAGGTCCCGGGGCATCACTAATTTCCACCCCCTTCTCTGGTAATGACTCTGGTGCGGCCTGGCCCTGGCAGTCACAGCTCCTCTCTCTCCCTATAGGGCTGAAACAGACACCAGCTCTCCAGGACCAGCTGGTAAGAGCTTCTCCACTGCCCCCGAGCCCTGACAGGAGGACTCCCACAGTGTGCATGGAAGCCCAGGGAGCTCGGGGGCTACAGAGGCACCATTGGCTCTGGAGCCTGCAGCCCAGACAGCCCCCTCCAGATGTAATGGGGGAAGGAGCCAGGGACTGGGAGGAATTCAGAGGTCAGAGGAGGAGCAGTATCAGGAGATACTGCCCTCCTGCAACTCCTCCTCCCAGCTGCTCTCCCCTCCTGCTAGTGCCCACAATGGCTCCCAGCTGCCTCCTATAAGGAAGCTTTATTAGCCTGCAGCCTGTACTCCTCCACGCAGCAGAGCTGACAGGACCCCATTAGTCAGCTTATTCAACCCTTCCCCTGGTGCACAAACCCTTGCCAAGCTTTTCTGGCATTTTGCTCAGCCTGCTTGGACCCTCCAAGCAGGTAGGAACTCACTGTTTCACAAAGCAGTGTTATTAGAAAGGTTTCCCTGACCCTAGCCCCCCACATCTAATCTTTCTCAAATGTGGGCAGACTTGTTCCTGGCCCCTTCTCATTCCACCAGTGCACACATGCACATGCTCCCTCTCTCCATCCAAGCTCCAGGAATCAACCTCTACCCTGAACCAGGTCCCTGAGGACCACCACGTGGCTGCAACACAGCAGGTGTGGGGCAGGGCACAAGTGGGCTTAAGGGGGGTATAAGGGCTGGCAGTTTGCTCATTGATTCACTCAACAAACATGTACTGAGCACCTCTAAAGGGCCAGGGCCTGTGCTAGGCACTGCGGTGCCATGGTGAGCAAATCCAGAAATGGACCCTGCCCTCTAGGAGTTCACAGTCCAGAGGAGAAGCCCGATGCTGAACAGAGAATCACATCCGTGAGCAACACAAAAGGCAAGGCAAACCCTGGGCAGATGCCCCCGGGACTGTGTGTTATGGGCCTACAGGAAGCCTCTCCCAATGAAAAAGCAATTTTTCAGCCAGAACCTCCACCAGTGTCTTTCAAACTGTGAGTGGCAACCCATTTGTGGGTCATAAAATCAATTTAGTAGTTGTGACCTGAATTACTTGTTAGTGAAATAGAGAGGAATTTACAACATCACACTTAGGAAATACTGTTTTGTGAAATGTTAGTTTCAGTTATCTATCTATCTATCTGTCTGTCTGAGAGATCATGTTTATTAGTTAAGATATTAAATGTATTTCTTACTGCAGGTCTCAATCAAAAACCTCTGAAAGCCACTGGCCTAGAGTTAGAGGAAGAGTTAGCCATGAGAAATGGTGGTGACACAGGTTCCAAAAGAAGAAACAATAGGTATCAGGCTCAGAGATGAAAGGGCTAGAAGGAGGACACACCAAGTTCAAGGTCTGGCCTTTCTCGAGGGCAGTGGGGAGCCATGGGAGGTTAGCAAGATCCCATCTTCTTCATCCCTGGGCCTCACCCCATGGGCAGGAGGGAAATGGCAGGAAGTTGTCTTTGTGTCTCCCCAGGAGCCTGGACCTGTGGCCTTCCCTGCCTCCACCTGGGCCTCAACCGTCACGACCACCTGGCCTTTGAGGTAGGGTTTGGAGAAGGAAGTCAGCCTATTATCAGGAGAAGGCTTGAATTTCTATATTCATAGCTTGTTTCTGTCACTTACTAGCCTTGTGATCATGGGCAACTTGTCTAATCTCTGTCCCTCAGTTTCCTCCTTTGTAAAATAGGTCTCATAGAACTCATCCCCAAAAGTCCTTGTGAAGATTTAGTTTGTAAGCCAGATGTCTGCAGACCTCCAGTAAAAGAATATGTTTTTGGTATTAGTATGTATGTCCCAAATATTGCTTGGAATATGCTTATACAAACAAAAATCATTTGTTTTTTATCTGAAATTCAAATTTACCTGGATGTCCTGTATTTTATCTGGAAACCCTACACAGAAATCAAATGGCTCACGCTGTGTCTCAGAGCTGCAACGATCCAACGCCCTCCATCCTTCAGAGGCTGTCTGAGTCCGGGGACACAACTCCCACCCTCCTCTCCTGCCAGCCGCGGCCCGTGGCTGCTCTCTTCACTTCGTCCCGCTTCGCCCCGACTGTGGATCTACCCGCTCCCTTCTCCCTCAGTCCCCAAAGCACCAGACTCACAGGCCTGCTGTGTGACCCACTTTTACCGACCTTTCGGGGAGAGTAGAGGGCATTTGTGACTCAGCTCAGAGCAGGAAACACATCTCACGTCAACTGTCAGACAGCGCTGCTCCGAATCCCATCACAGTGCTCCAGCAGGGGGCGTCCTCACCGGCCGCGGCCACAGCCACGGCTCAACCCGGCCTAGCTCCCAGACACCCTCCTTCCACCGCCTGTTTTCCACCGTCCCCGCCTGCTCTTTCAAGCCAGCAGCAAACAACACCCTAATCCGTGTCTTTATTATTCAAAGACCTTAAGCACTCTTTCCCACCTCGTTCCCATCTTGATTATTTCAGGGAATGAATTAGGGATTCACCTTTACAATCAAAAAAGTTCTCTCAAAGCCAGGCTACTGGAGTTCTAATTCTGCCTTCCCACTTTTACTAGCTGTGAAATCTCAGGAAAGTTACTTAACCTCTCTCTGTCTCATTTTCCTCATCTTTAAAAAACAGGATGATAATATTTAGCTCCTAAGATGGTTGTGAGGATTTAAGTGAGCTGATATATCCAAGAATGTCTAGAACAGCGCGTGGCAGAATGGGCATTGCATATGGGTTTAATCTTGTAACTGCCATGTTTCACCAATTCTAAGGTGTATCTCGTTTCTCATCATAAGAGCTCTTCCGCTCGTGTGGCAGCTGGGAGTGGCCGTCATTGCCTGCGCATACCTAAACTTGGTCAGGTGAGTTCCGTGCCTTCAGCTTAATTGCTGTTTAAAATGTCTTCAAAAAGGTTACACTGTGGTTTAGCATTTAAACCCAGTTACTGTGTATGCAGAAAGGCGGGCAAACAGAAGAGTGTAGCAAGAATTTTATATTAGTGAAGCAGTTATCATTGAAGAATGACCACAGTTTCATATTTTCTTGCAAAACAGCAGCCAAGTGTTTTGTGAGACCTAAGAAAGGAAGAGCCCCATAAGTAAATGGAACTGTTGTGTTGTTTTATTACCGAGAAAAGGGCAGAATGATTGCTAGTCACACGTGAAGCAAGAAAACCCCGGCAATAAAGCTTGCAGAATGAGTGGCTGAGGCTTGAAAATAAATGGTGGAAACAATAGTGGACAATCTTTTAAAGAATGGCACATTGCCAATGCTCCTGATGGCACAGAAGGTGACACCATGCAGAAAATCAAGGCTCTGAGTCAAAGAGGGTTTCAGAAAAATTGGACTCTGAATGTGAAGAAATCTGGGGACTATTTTAGCCAATTTGTTTTGCCTATAATTTCCTTTTATGCATGCAAAAGAGCAATTCTGACTTTAAAGACTGATATCTAAATAAATCTAAAATATCTTTTTTGTGTGTGTGTCTGTGATACAGTGTCTCGCCCTTTCACCCAGGCTGGAGTGCAGTAGTGCAATCTCAGCTCACTGCAACTTCTGCCTCCCAGTCTCAAGCAATCCTCCCACATCAGCCGGACTACAGGTGCACACCACCATGCCTAGCTAATTTTTTGTGAGTATTTTTTGTAAAGATAGGGTTTCACCATGTTGCCAGACTGGTCTCAAACTCCTGGGCTCAAGTGATCCGCCCACCTTGGCCTCTCAAAGTGCTGGGATTACAGGCATGAGCCACCAAGCCCAGCCTATAAAATACGCATAACATAAAATTTACCATCTTAACTTTTTTTTTTTTTTTGAGACGGATTTTCGCTCTTGTTGCCCAGGCTGGAGTGCAGTGGCATGATCTCAGCTCACTGCAACCTCCACCTCCTGGGTTCAAGTGATTCTCCTGCCTCAGCCTCCGAGTAGCTGGGATTACAGGCATGTGCCACCACACCCAGCTAATTTTGTATTTTTAGTAGAGATGGTGTTTCTCCATGTTGGTCAGGCTGGTCTCAAACTTCCGACCTCAGGTGATCCACCCACCTCGGCCTCCCAAAGTGCTGGGATTACAGGCGTGAGCCACCACGCCTGGCCCTCATCTTAACCATTTTTAAGTGCACAGTTCAGTGGCATTAAGCACATTCACATTGCTGTGAATTCATCAGCAATTTTTGTCATGTTCTAATTAATAGTGCATGATAGATGCATAGACTTCCTAAGAAACAGTGTAGTGGCCATTGTAGAAAAAATGCAGCCATCCCTGCAGGTGAGCAGAGCTGCCAGCCAGAAGCACAGCCAAGCCCCGCCAGCTTTGATGAGAACACCTTCTTCCTCCCTGGCATGAAGGGAAAGTCAAATGCAAACACAGGCATGAGCCGTGTCATCGTTGGCCCCTTCCCCTCCTCCCAGACTAGGGGCCAGATCAGAATGTGAGTCCTGACTACTATTGTAAGCTGTGCGGCAGGTCATACTCTCTCTGGAATTCATGTTCTCATCATGGAAACTGAAATCCACAGGCAAGATGATCTCTAAGATCCCATTAGCTTCTAAATGTATGATTGTGTAACTGAACAACCACACAAGACACACACCACAAACATATGCAAATTCGGGTTGGGTCTTTGTGGGCTCCAAGGAGAAGCTGTCACACCTATCCTGGTGTATTGGGAAGCAAGAGATTTTTACCCGACTGGGTTAGGAGTGGTTCTTCCCAGAATCAAGGGTCAGTAGGCCACTCTGTCAAGATCGTGAATACCTTGACCAAAGGAGAGACCAGAAAGGGTGTGTGGCCCATCCGAGAGCACACAGCAACTAAATGGTTGGGTGTGGATTTAGAAGCCACTGTCACAGCTTCAGTTCACATGAGGCCCAAGGAGAAGGTTTTCCAGGAACCCCTGAGACTCAGTCCTGAACTTGGCCAGTTGGGGTGGACAGTATATCCGAAGGTCAGGAGAAGTGATACATGAAACCACAAAAGAAAGGAGTAGGCCAGGCACGGTGGCTCACGCCTGTAATCCCAGCACTTTGGGAGGTCGAGGCAGGTGGATCACAAGGTCAGGAGTTTGAGACCAGCCTGGCCAATATGGTGAAATCCCATGTCTACTAAAAAAAAATACAAAAAGTAGTCGGGCATGGTGGCATGTGCCTGTAATCCCAGCTACTCAGGAAGCTGAGGCGACAGAATTGCTTGAACCTGGGAGGTGGAAGTTGCAGTGAGCTGAGCCACTGCACTCCAGCAGTGGGGAAGGCATGTTCCCTGGGTGGGGGCAGAGGCACACCCCAGCCAGACCCCTCTGAGTCCTTGTCTCTTCCTATGTGCAGAGTCTGGAGGTGGGCCCCAGATGCCCTTTATATGACAGGGGTTGGGGTCCCCCTCTCCGTCGATCTTCTCCCGGAGGACCCAGAATGCCTGAAGTTGGGAGGGATGGCTGAGGGAAGAGTGCCAGGGCACCAGGTGTCTATGTGTCAGGCCAGGAGTTAGGCACTGGAAATACACAGGAGAACAAACCCCACAGGAATCCCTGCTCTTTTGGAACATCACTTCTGTATGGGTAATTTTTATTCTTTCTTCCTCCCCTTCCTCTTCCGCTTTCTCTTCCTCCTCCTTCATAATAGCAGGAGTCACGAGTCCCCATATATATATGTATATGATACATTCTCAGTTGCAAAATACCTTCCCGTTCATTATCTTACTGCATTCTCAAAACAACTTTATGGGGTAGGCATCCACACTCCCATTGTCCAGACAAGGAAACTGAGGCGCAGAATGTGGCTCGGTAGTGTGGGGTGTGGCAGAAAGCTCCAGACCAGGCTCCAGTCCCAGCTCAGCCACTAACCTGCTGGAGCACCCTAGATAAGTCACTCCCCTCCCTGGGCCTATACTCACCCCTCCTGCCCACCCCACATCCCCATGATACAACACAAAGCGCTCCACTCCAGTCTCCAATCTCTCCCAGATTTCTGTTCCTGCGACTGTGACTTGCCCAGGGACCTGCTGGACAGGAGCTAGGGCAGGGTGCAGAAGCCCGTCCTTCTGTCCCCACTCTGAGCCTGACCCTGCTGTGAATCCCCAGGAGAGGGAGCGAGGCTGGAGGGATTAGGGAAGGGCCAGTGAGTGGGGCTGGGGAAACTTCTAGACTTGAACGCCTCCAGGACCCCAGTGGCCACAGCAGCACTGATAGCAGGAGGCAGCACTGCCCAGATGCTGAGCTGAGTGGGCACCAAGGCCAGAGAGCTGCTTATCAGGCATCACAGCCGCCCCGAGCCTGCACAGCTCACTGCCCCACAGAAATGTCTTTCTCCTGTGGCCAGAGCGGCCCTGAGCTCCTCAGGGTTTCTAGGACCTGTCACAGCTTCTGGGACCCCAACAAATGAGTGTGCAAAGACCTGTTCTCCTCAAAGTGCAAATAATACTGTAAGTAAGGGCTGATATTCATTGACCACCTACTGTGGACGAGGCGCTGCTCTGAGCACTTGACATACATTGTTTCATTCAATCCAAACCCCAATCCACTAGGTCAGTTTTATTCTCCCCATTTTACAGAGAAAGACAAGAAAGGTTAAGTCACATAGATGGAACAGGCTGATGCCAGAATGGACACCCTCAGCTTCCTCAGCCGCCCCAGGTTGACTCCATCACCAAGGGCCAGGGTCCCAGTGCCCCCAGGCTCTAGGAGCTGCTGTTTGGCTGGGGCTCCCAGGAGAAGGTGAAGCTTAATGATTTATGGGTGATTAGCTGCAAGAATGCAAGCACAGAAGACACAAACCTTTATGCCTTGGAAATTTGTCACAAGCCAACCAGTTGTTTTCCATCCCTGTGAAGCAGGAATAATTGGAGGTCTGACAGAAGAACTTCCCAGTTACCAGAAGGAGCAGCACTCATGTTCTCTCTTAGTTTTGTGTGAGGTGTTGCCCCTGCCTTGGTCAACAGTTTGAGTCAGAGAGATGGGGGCCGGGCACAATCCCCACCAGACGTTCCCATTCACAAGACCCTGTGGGGGCTGGGAGACGCCCTGGGGCAGCAGCCCTGGGGTAACCAAGGGAACAAACACGGAAAACCAGGGACGTCAGTCCTTATCTGGAGCTCATTAAATGGGGAACATTAGTCAGCTGTGAAGGCCAAGATAGGGTGATAGGCCTGTGGGTGGGCTGGGATGGGGCATGGGGGCAGAGGCCGCCATGGAGGAGAAGAGGTATTGGCCTCAACGACTCCACCTCCCCGCCACGTGCCCAGATCCGGGATGGAAGGACCCTATAAATGCCCACAACCCAGCCTCCCCAGAGGCCTTGAGAAAGAGAGCGATAGAGTGCGAGAGCGAGTGCCCGGAGCATCCTGGCCCTGAGACAGCTGGGCCAGCCCCGCAGGGCTCTGCAGCATGTGGGAGCTCCGCTCCATAGCCTTCTCCAGGGCTGTGTTCGCAGAGTTCCTGGCCACACTCCTCTTCGTCTTCTTTGGCCTCGGCTCTGCCCTCAACTGGCCACAGGCCCTGCCCTCTGTGCTACAGATTGCCATGGCGTTTGGCTTGGGTATTGGCACCCTGGTACAGGCTCTGGGCCACATAAGCGGGGCCCACATCAACCCTGCCGTGACTGTGGCCTGCCTGGTGGGCTGCCACGTCTCCGTTCTCCGAGCCGCCTTCTACGTGGCTGCCCAGCTGCTGGGGGCTGTGGCCGGAGCCGCTCTGCTCCATGAGATCACGCCAGCAGACATCCGCGGGGACCTGGCTGTCAATGCTGTGAGTAGCCACAACTTTGCCATCCACAAGGGGCAGGTCCTGGGGAATCCCTTGTAAAGGATGAGATGGGAGGGATGGGCTCTGGGTGATGTAGGGAGAGAGATGGAGACAGAGGCAGAGAGAGAGGCTGGAGCCAGGAACACAGCCACCATAGGAGGGTCAGGATGAAAGGAGCAATGATACCAGAGCAAAGCAGGATGCAGACAGACTGCTGGCTTCTTCCACCCTGACCGTCGTGCAGGAAGAGCCTCATCCAGGTTTCTGTTGGACTCAACGCCTACATTACAGTGAAGACAGGGCTATACCTCAGCAGGGGTTGGTGTCCCGAGCAGACATGCTTTCCAAGCTGCGGGGAGCCTTGGAGTGATCATCACAGGGTTCTCAAGAGAGAAGAGGGGCCCAGCATTTCTTCTGCTTTGAGGGTTTGCAGGTCCCGTGGCAGGTGCTCCTTACAGGCCAGGCACGGACACACCACAGCCCTGCAAGCAGCAATGGGCATACTCACTTCTCCAAACCTTGAGGAGGTCCCCGGAGCCCATAAGCTGGCTGCTGATTACATGATACAGGCGCTAACTGGGCCCCGTGGGCCCTTTGGGAGCTGAGGGTGGTGCCACAGTCCCTTCCCCCATGTCCCACCCACTTCCCCTCTCAAGTCTGTGTGGGCCCTGTGAATCCAAGGCCCATGAATGTGGAGGAATGACCTGTGCCCCCAACAGATCAACACTCACTCTGTACCCCCATCCTAAGCCAGGACAGTGAGTGCCTCTTTTGTGCTTGTTTCCGGTAGTTCCCGGCCTTTTCCATCCTTGAGCCACTGGACAAGAGTCCTGATGTCTTTGATGAGTCCCGCACAATCTCTGTGGGCGCCCCCTTCTCTGCACAAGTGGCCCTTCCTCATCTGTGGGACAGAGGTATCCCAATTAGGGAACTTCTCTGCTTTGTTTTGTTTTGTTTTTGAGATGGAGTCTCACTCTATTGCCCAGGCTGGAGTGCAATGGTACAATCTCAACTCACTGCAACCTCCACCTCAGGCCATTCTCTTGCCTCAGCCTCCCATGGGATTACACGCCTGTAATCCCAGCTAATTTTTGTATTTTTAGTAGAGACAGGACTCGCCACGTTGGTAAGGCTGGTTTCAAACTCCTAACCTCAAGTGATCCACCCGCCTCAGCCTCCCAAAGTGCTGGAATTACAGGCATGAGCCACCACACCCAGCCTCTGTTCTTTAAAGAGGAAAATATGACAAGGCTGGGGGCCAGGGGCCAAGGAAAGGCTAGGTGGGCAAGCAGAGGAGTGGGCTCATTTCCTCTGAGAACAAAATTAGTTCAGTTTGCAGCAAGAAGAGGTCCAGTTAGACTGAAAAAGGAACTTCCTGAGAGCATGACCAGGAAGTCCTTCTCTAATAGCAGGGCACTGGGAGTGAAAGGCCATGGGAAACATGCAGTCCTCCTCCTCCATCATTTCACAACTGACTGGGGCCCTCAGAAGAGAAAGGTCTGGGAGGGCTCCTCCATGCCACTTCTCAGCATTTACCACCTTGAGGACCTGGGGAGAACCCTGCCTGGATGGAATGGGGCAGTGGTGGGACCAACTTGCTCTGAGGCTAAGGAGAGCCAGATGACCCTCAAGACAATCCCAAGTGTCCTTTGAGGACACTGAGAGCCAGCCTGGCCACCAGGAAGTTAATCATTGACATGCACCTGCCCTGTGCCAGGCCAGCTATCATCTCATCATTGGTACAACGCTATAAGGGAAATTCTGTGGTTCCCCCTATGGTGAGTGGCAAATTGAGGCTCAACAGCAATTGATCAAAGTCACAGAACCAATATGTCATTTCTAGTCCTCCCACAGTCCTCCAGAATCCATTTTCTTATCCCATTTCACAGAAGGAGAAACTGAGGCCAAATTAAGTAGTCCCATGGCAAGTCAGAGGCCTCCAAAGTGTCTGCTTCCAAAGCTCTTTTCACTGTCCTCTAGAGACTCTGCATTGGACAACAATAGGAGGGATTGAGGTTAGACCCTAGAGAGACCCAAGGGTTCTGACCTGATGTCTCGGACCCAGGGGTGGGGGTTCAGGGCCTGGAGAAAGAGCGTGGGAGCTGAGAGCTGTCACTGTTCCACCCAGTGCAGTGCCCAGCCCCAGAAGGCAGGGTGTAGGGTACAGGGTGACAAAACCCAAGGAGAAATCCAGTGCTGGGTGCGGCCCAGTTATGAAATCACCTCTTTACTCAGCCCCGAGTTCTCTCCTTACCCAAGGCAGGGTCTGCTGAGACCATGGGCAGCCTACATGGGTGTGGAGGCATTGTCCAACACAGCTCCAGGGCCCTTACCCCAACCTCCATAGGATGTGCAGGGAGCAAACTAACAGGGCAAACCTGAGGCCTGAAAGGCAGTGGGGAATAGACAAGGGTTAGGGAAAGAGGTAGATTCCGGACTCATAGCGGAAAGGGGCACACTAGGACTGTCCCCCAGACCCAAGTCCCTAGACCCTGTCTCTGGGAGCCATTTAACCTCAGGAAGAAAGACCACAGGCCTCTCATTGCACCAAGGTCTGATGGTCTACAGACAGAGGAAGGTCTTCCTGCTAACCGGCCCAAAGCTTCCTGAGGCAGTTGAAACCTCTTCCCTTCTTGTTCTTTGGGAAACAGAAATTCCGGATCTCAGCATTCTTTTCCTCTCATACTGCAGGCTCCCAGCCTCAGGCCCCAATCTAATGGGCTACAGAGTCAGTTTTGCTACCTCTGGCGGGGGGACCATGGGCATCCTGGGGGATCAGGGGCTGCCTTTGGGCCAGGGCCCAGGAAGAAGGGATCAGTCGTTGCAGCTAAGGCGTCTGGCAAGCCCAGGTGTTCCGGCTCCCAGCCCAGAGGCCCCCTGGTGCCTCGACTGCAGGTGGACAGGAAGATGGAGCCAGAGAGGAAAGTGGGCTCAGTGTTCCCCTACCCGCCTCTTCTCTGTCCCCAGCTCAGCAACAGCACGACGGCTGGCCAGGCGGTGACTGTGGAGCTCTTCCTGACACTGCAGCTGGTGCTCTGCATCTTCGCCTCCACCGATGAGCGCCGCGGAGAGAACCCGGGCACCCCTGCTCTCTCCATAGGCTTCTCTGTGGCCCTGGGCCACCTCCTTGGGGTAGGTCATGGCCATGGGTTCCAGCCTCCCTGGAGGAACAGACACACAGACCACTCCAGAGACAGACACAGAGACCCCAAGAGGGACACATACACAGAACTCTCAAGAGGAACAGACACCCCAGAGGTTTGACTCCTAGATACCCCAGAGGGACAGATATCACTCCAGCCCATCTGTAAATAAAACGTGATGTTAATTGTCCATCACGTGGGTTCCCTTTAGGCTGAGGTCAAGCACTGCAGTGCGGGACAAGGACTTCCTGCCCTGTCCTCACCTCCCTTCTCTCTTTGATGCCCTCCTCCCACTGCAGATCCATTACACCGGCTGCTCTATGAATCCTGCCCGCTCCCTGGCTCCAGCTGTCGTCACTGGCAAATTTGATGACCACTGGGTAATGGCTGAAACCCCCTGCCCTCCCCTTCTCTAGAAACCCATTTTAGAGGGAGAACAAGAGCTGGAATAGCATGGGATGGGGGCTCAGCAGCGGTACCCCAAACCCTCCACACTCCTCCTGGTCCTGGGGAGCCTTGGGTTCCACCCCTCAGATCTGATGCCAAAGACTCAGTTTCCACGTCTGTGAATGAGGATGACAACAGCTTACCTCACTGGCTTCTTGGGAACAGTAAGTGAGGTTACCGGTGTAACCCAGATAATGCAGTGTCTGGCACTTAGAACTCTATAAGTGGTAGTATTTAGCACTTATCTGGTGCTTAGTATGTGGTGAGCCTTGTTCTGAGTGCTTTGCAAACATTAACTCAGTTTTCACAACCACCCCAGGAGGTAGACATTCTTAGAGTGAAAGGCACAGAGAGGGTAAGTAACTTGTTGAAGTGCACACAGCACTTAAGTGGTGGAATCAGGACACACACAGGCAGTGGCTTCAGAATTCGCACCCTTAACCCCGCACTGACAAGGCTTCCCCAGCAGCTGGCGTTGTCGTTGTAATTACATAAATAAGCATTTTACTAGATTAATGTCGGGGAGGAGAGGTGCGGCCGCAGAGTGTGCCGCCGGGGCCTGCGGGCTCCGCGTGCCGGTGCCGGCGCGGGTGCCAAGCCGCCCTCTCCGCTCGCCCCCAGGTCTTCTGGATCGGACCCCTGGTGGGCGCCATCCTGGGCTCCCTCCTCTACAACTACGTGCTGTTTCCGCCAGCCAAGAGCCTGTCGGAGCGCCTGGCAGTGCTGAAGGGCCTGGAGCCGGACACCGATTGGGAGGAGCGCGAGGTGCGACGGCGGCAGTCGGTGGAGCTGCACTCGCCGCAGAGCCTGCCACGGGGTACCAAGGCCTGAGGGCCGCCAGCGGCCTCTACGGCCCCGACGGACGCTTGTGAGGCCCGAGGCAGAAGGGCCCACCCCGTCCCTCCTCTCCCGCAGGTCTGAAGTTGGCCCCCCAGCGCAGAGTAGCTGCTTCCTGGACGTGCGCGCCCAGGCCAGTGCTGTGAGCAGGCGGGGAGGAGGCTGCCGGAGGGAGCCCTGAGCCTGGCAGGTCCCCTGCCCTGAGGCTGTGAGCAGCTAGTGGTGGCTTCTCCAGCCTTTTTCAGGGAACTGGGAACTTAGGGGACTGAGCTGGGGAGGGAGGCAGGTGGGTGGTAAGAGGGAAACTCTGGAGAGCCTGCACCCAGGTACTGAGTGGGGAGTGTACAGACCCCTGCCTTGGGGGTTCCGGGAATGATGCAACTGGTTTTACTAGTGTGCAAGTGTGTTCATCCCCAAGTTCTCTTTTGTCCTCACATGCAGAGTTGTGCATGCCCCTGAGTGTGAACAGGTTTGCCTACGTTGGTGCAAGTGTGCATGGCTGGGGACTTCTCACTTCCCCTTGCACCCCTTCCTCCCCAACCTGCAATAAATCCGCTTCTCCTGCAGTGGATGAGTGTGGGTGCCAGTCCTCCTCAGGAGAAGGGGAAGGGAAGGAGGCCACTTTGAGAGGGCTGAAGGGAGGGCCTTGATTTCCAGCCGCAATCTGGCTCCTCCTGGAAAATTTCCCCCACCTGCAGCGCTGGGCCCCAAGGCTTGCCAAGACTCATTGCTGGAGGTAGAGAGGTGTCAACCAGAGAACAGCTCCCCTAGACATGGCCTCTGGAAAAAGGAAATCTTTGGTGGCCAAAGATTTCCTTTCTGTGGTGAGGGAGAACCTCTCCAAAGAGGAAGCAGGCATATGAGTGCGCACGCCTTCACGTGTGTGTATGCTGTGTGTGCCCGGGACCCCCGTCTCCAGGGGTGCCCCAGACCCAGAGATTAGCCTCCCACTTCGGCGCAGAAAACAAAAGCCCTTTGTGGGACCCGGGCCTTTGTCTTGGGTGAGGGGAGATTTGCACCTAGACACTTCTTGAAAGGAGACACTCAGTTTCACAAGTGAGCCCTCTTGCCCAGCACACACCTATGGCTGGCTGGGCAAGGCGCTCAGGCATGCAACCATGGGCACCAGGCAATACCCATCCATCACCCATCTCACTCTCCCCAGTCCTCAGGCAGCAGCTTTTCCACCCCAGGAATCTCTGTTCCTTCTCTGTCTGCCTCTCCACAGCCCGTGATCCCCTGCTTCTGGCTCCTACCACTGGACAGTCATTGTGGATAGAGCAGCCTGCTGCTCTCAGGACCAGAGAAGGGAAATGACTTCTCCAGGCAGAGGCAGATCTGAGTCTAGAACCCAGGCTTCTAAATTTCTAGGCCAGTACTACTGCTCTCAAAAGAGATTAACTGGGATTAAGTGAGATGACGCATGTAAAGATGCTGTGTAAACTGTAATTCTTAATACCATTATCACGCATTACTAGAATCATTTCATTATTTCTGCTTCCTGGGGGAAGGATGCAGAAGGAGTCTGATGCTCAACATCCCTTACCTCCTTTCGTTGATGGCCAAAGCAAAGGAGAGTCCTGGGAGCCCACAAGATCCAGGCAGAAGGAGATGGGTTTGGGGCTGGCCCCATCCTGGCCCAGCCTCTTAACCTCTTCTTACCCTGAATGTGTGCCCTATCTTTTCTCCCACCTCCTTCCTCCTACCACCCAGCCCTATCCATTCTCTCCTTCCCTCTCCAGCCTGCTGTATAAGTAACATGTGGGTCATACCTTGAACCCCCCTCCGCCCCCATGCTCTCTGTGGCCTCCATGCCTTCAAGACTTCTGTCTGTATCTATCTCACACTGCACCAAGCACCCACTGTGCACCAGGCACTAAGTCTCTAGCCTCTTTCTCCCTTCTGCTCCCATCCAAGAAAGACAGTGTATAAGGAACATCTCTGTAATTGTGTCCCCTCTCATCTATGCTCTTTCCTGTCTTCCTTGACCAAAGCTCTCTTTGAGGTCCAAAAAAGGCTGCCCTGGGCCATATGTGCTATGGAGAGGACTCTCCCAAACCCCCAATAGCTAGTGACAGCCACTTGGCCTCACTACCAGAAGAAGGGTGGAGTCAGAAACCAAAGTGACCTCCAGAGCTGTCCTCCTGGCACCTGAGTGTCCTTGCTCTAGAGGTTCAAAGGCAGCAAGGCAGTGAGCTATGAGCCCAGCATGGATGTGTCTCAGGCACCTCATCCCCACCCCACCTCACCCCAACAAACTCCTCTAGAAGAAGCCAAGAATTTCTCTCTATGTCTGTTTCACTTTTTGGATTGCATCTCCCCAAAAACTAAATGTGAAATCCCTACCATTTCTAGCCTCTATTGCCCAGATTGGAGTCAGAGGTCAAAAAAGGATTCCAAGTGATGGAACTCCAGGGGTGGAGGGAAATTGGCAGTTCCTGGCATCTCTTGTGTACCAGCTGCTGTGCTGGGTGCCTTGCATGCACGGACTTATCTGATCTTCCTCAAACTTCAGATAGGTTAGGGAAGGACAAAGGCCCCCAGCCATGAAGGGTTTTGCTATTTCCAAAGCTTCCCCTTATCGTCCCCTGTGATTATCTCCCAACCCCGTGACAAAGGTAGAGCAAATATTGTTCTTCCCATTTTACAGATTCAGAAACCAAGGCTAAGGGACTGGTCTAAAGTCTCACAGGTAGTATATGGTGGAGCCAACACTTGAACTCAGACCTTTTTACACAAAATCCCATGATTTTTCCACTGAGACAAATCCTAGGCTCCTGGGAGGCCCTGGCAGAAGCCAGAACACATGGCTGGGCCTTTCCAGCCCAACCCACTGTCTTGCAGTGGACGGAGAGCCTTGGCGAGGGCAGCAGGGTAGAGAGGACAAAGAATGTGGGGCTGGTTTCTGCCCTTTAAGAGCACCCGGTCAGTCAGAGAACAGAGATCACACACACCAAACCAGACAGAGGCAGGGCAGCATGGAGACAGGTAGACAGACCTCCAGGTCCCTAAGCTGGGGACAGAGAAGGTTCTGAGCTGTCCCATACTCCCACTTTGTGCCAAATGACTTTGCACCTGCAAATGGTGCTTCAATGTCGTTTTGTATCTTTAAGCTGTGATGTTGTATATATACAATGCCTCCCAGCTAGACTGTAAGCCCTTTGGGGACAAGGGCTGCTTCCAGTTCTTGGATGGCGTTCTCCTATCTACCTTCCTTCAACTGCTCTGCATATAATAAGCACTCAATAAATGCTCATTTGCCAATAAGTACTGTTTCTTCCACAACTTGGCAGTGGTAATAGAAATACAGCCCAAGGTACCAGAAGACAGGCGGAGCTCCCTACCACTTCTACCCCAGCCCTCAACTTCTCCCAGGGAACTCAGAAGTCCCCATATCAGGAGAGGAGGGGAAGGGCTCTCCCTAAGACATTCAAATTCCCCCTGCCACAAATGGGGAGACCCATCACTCAGCTCACAAAGGTCCCGGGCATTCCTCTGGAGCTGCCAGGGCAGGGCCTGAGTGCTTGGGCAAAGAGAATTCCGAGACATAATGGGAGTTTACTGTGATGACTTGAGGACAGAGGGACTCTAGTGGTTAGAGAGATGGAAGAGCCTAAGACACAGGCCCTAGGAAACAGAATCAGCTGCCCTGTGTGAGTAACCTTGACAGATGAAATCTCCTTCTTTGGCCTCACCAGGCCCACTCCTGATGACCAAGTCTATGTGGCGACCTGTGGTTCCCATCTCAGGTCACTGTGTGACCCTAGGCAAGTGACCTCTGAGTCTGGGTTTCTTCATGGGTAGCTTGGAATCAAATCACACAGTGGAGGCCAATTATAATCTCTAACTTTGTAGATTATATTCTGAATCTCTAAAATGGCAAGAACAAGGTCTTGGCCTTTATAGTCCCTCATTAGTTCAAATCTTCAGGTCGGAGCTTCCCCTGGCAGCCAAGCCTCTTGTGAGCACTTGTGAATCCTTTCATTCTGAGATGCTGGAGTTTGAGACCTGTGGACTATGAAGACAGTGCCTGGGGAGAGAGGATGAGAAAGCAAGTGAAAGGGTGCGAACTGGAGGCAAGTTCAGCAGCAAAGGAGCCTGGCCCCCAATGGCCTCTGGGGTCATCAGGGTCATTGTCCAGCCCAAGTCCCAGGCCCAGAAGAAAATCCTGCGTACAACTGGCATGTACAGCTGGCATGATTGGCTGGGGACAAAGCGCTGGGACCCATGGAAGAAAGGACAGACTGACCTCCGGCCTTAAGAGGAGAGACCTGGGGGAGGAGCTGCTCCAGCAGGAAATGCCAGAGCTGGGCAGGAACAATAGCGGGGTTTCTTTAGCCCTTGTTTTCTTTGGCATCTTAGCTGCCACAGAGCCCAGAGCCCGCTCCTCCAAGTCCTTAGCATTCCTGCAGGCTCCTCCCCTCAGCCCTGCCTGACAAACTGACAGAGGAGGCACCTGTTCTCTACTTCCTCTGCACCCTCCCGCTGGACTCTTCCCCCTAGCTTAGCACCAC